>NC_000023.11:27137488-28387488 GCF_000001405.40 Homo sapiens | reverse complement strand
ATTCTACTTTCTGTTTCTATAAATTTGACAACTCTAGGTACATCATATAAGTGAAATCATACAGTAATCCTCTTTTTTTATGACTGGCTTATTTCACTTAGCATAATGTCCTCAAGGTTCATCCATTGTGTAGCATGTGCCAGAATTTCCTTCCTTTTTAAGGTTGAATGATAGTTCATTGTATGCATATACCATATTTTGTTTATCTGTTCATCCATTAATGGACATTTAAATTCCTTCGACCTCATGGCTATTGTGAATAGTGCTGCTTAGAACATGAGTGTGCAAATACCTCCTCAATATCCTGCTTTAAATTCTTTTGGGTATATACCCAGAGGTGGAATTGCATTTTTTAAGGAACCACCTTAATGTTTTCCATAGCAGCTGCATCATTTTACATTTCCACCAATAGTGTAGAAAGGTTACAATTTTTCCATATGTTTGCCAACACTCGTTATTTTCTTAGATGGTAGCCATCCTAATGGGTGTGAGGTGGTATCTTACTGTGGATTTCATTTGCATTTCTCTAATGATTAGGTTTTGAGCATATTTTCATATGCTTGTTAGCCATTTGTATGTAATCTCTGGAGAAATAGCTATTCAAGTATTTTGTTCATTTTTACATTTTGTTTTTGTTCTTTGGGTTTGCTGTTGTTGAGTTATAGGGGCTCTTTGTATAATCTGGATAGTAAGTGCTTATCAAATATATGATTTGCAAATGTATTTTCCCATTCCATAGGCTGCCTTTTCACTCTGTTGATTGTGTCATTTGCTTAAAATTTCTGCCACAACTGCAGTCATGTATTCTTTTTCATGTTTAATATTGGGTAGGTACCATCTCCTCTCTCTCTTTCTCCCTCTCCTCCCCCAAACTAATTACCTGATTAGCATGAACATTTTTAGAGCTTTTTTATTAGTCTATTTATACAACCAAATTATGAGTTTGTTGATTTTTTCCATTGTTTTTTCTTTTATTAATGCTTCTTTTATTTCCTTCTTTCTGTTTTTGTTGTTTTTGTTTTTAATTCTTTACCAGGTTGCTCCATTTATTTGCTATTTCTTCTTTTCTACTCTATTTACTTTTTAAAATATCCTTCAAGTATTTTAAGCTTTATCTTCAAACTATTAATATATAGACTTTTAATTTTTGGTCCTAAATATCACATCACTCATATAAATGTGGAGTGATTTTTATTTATTCCTCCCAGGACTTGTGATTTTCTTTTTAAAGAATCAAAATCTTTAGTCTATACTGGAAATCTCTCAGGCAGTTTCCTCTAATATTGCCTAGGTCACATTGAGGTCATACACGCATACTCATTCTATTTGTTTATCTTTCAGGAACATATATGTTTTCCATCTCTTTACTTCTGTATATGCCATTTTGAGCAATTAATTCTCACAGGTAGGTTCTAGATCACTAGTTATCTCTTCAACTGCATCTAATCTGCTTTTGAACACAAACCTGTGCTTTTAGTTGGCTATATTTTTGATATTAGGAAGCTTTAAATTTAAAATTTATTTTTCCAAATCTGTATTGGCCGGAGTACAGGTTTTGACTTTTTAGAGGAGTTTTTGTTGTTGTTGTTGTTGTTGTTGTTTGTTTTTGTAAAACCTAGTAGAGAAATGAAGTTTTCTTGTTAGTGATTTTTTTTTGTAGTACTCACTTTCATGGTGGATGCATATTTTTGTGTGTCCAGGATATTTCCTGTGGCCTCATTTTCAACTTCTTTTCTCATACAGGTCCTGGGCTTCATCTCCTATTCCTATGTGACACAATAACCAAAGACCTTGGTTTTTGTATCCAGTAACGCTTTCTCAGATGGTAAAAGATGTGAAGCAGTAATAGCTGAAGCAATTAGAACTGTATTTCATTTTTCATAATTTATGGCAACTGGGATGGGAAATTGCTCTTTCTTTTTCATGAGATCAGCTATGCGTTAACCTTTTTTTGTTGTTGTTGCTGTCATAGCCGGCACTCCAGGCTGATTTCAGAATTTTGTTTTTCCTTTTGCATATGCTTCATTTGTTATCTTCTTACAATGGGATTAAAAATCTCCCTCTTGACTTGAAATGTACCTAACATATAGAAATGATAAATACTCAGGTGATGGATATCCTAAATACCCTGGATTGATCAATAAACATTGTATACATACAATAAAGTATCACGTGTATACCATAAATATGTACAAATATAATGTATCAAAAATTTTAAAAATCCCTCTCTTGAACTGCCAAAGGACTATTGCAAAATTCCTGCTACTTGGTTATGCACAGCAATTTAGTTGTCCCATTTTTATATTTTTTATCCTCTAAATGAATCTTCTCCAAAAGCCTTATCAAGGTAATTTTAGAAAGAATAGAGCAGAAAACCTAAGTGCTAGTCTCCCACTTTCAGAGCTCTCAATTTAGATTGTAACTATTCTTTAAGTTAACATTTTCTCTAATATATATTTGTCTAAATCAAGAACGTGATCTGAAGTATACAACAGTGATTTCAATCTTGGTGTGCACTGAAGAGAACACAAACAATGGTAGTGACAGTCTCACTGTATGCTGCATTGGGAAGACACTCCTGGAACATTATCAAGCAGAACATTACTAAACTTACACCTTCAGATGGGAGTGAGGTGCTTAACTCCAGAAGAGAAACCGTACAGGCACATGCCCATGGTTTTCAAATGCTTTATGAGTTGCTAAATGGAACATGAATTAATATGGTCTATCTTGTTCTAGAGTGCATTATATGTTTCAATGGGTCAATTTATAAAGATTAAAATTTTGCTAAGAAAAATAACTATCACAAATAAAATGGCTTGTCTTTGGCAGGCATCAGCTTTGGAAGAATGTTAGCAGAGGGTGGCTGACTATGTCCTGGATATTTTATAGGGATTTTGGCAAGAGAAGGAAGATTGAACTGGATAGCTTTTCATGTTTCTTTTAAATCAAAAATTTTTTTCTTCTATGAAGCTTCCACATTTTGAACTTCTATTATTGTGCTTAGTACTGTGAATTGGTGGGAGATTTGTTTATGATTAAAATAGACAGGTAGCTACAGATTTTTGAAGAAATACAAGTGAAGCTAGAGAGTATAAATAGAAGAGCCAGTTATCCTAATATTACTTTATCTCTGCCACTGTGTTGTTCCTTATTACTTATTCTCATCTTTGTTTAGATAGATATAATACCTAGCCTGCACAAAACTGAGAACAACAAAGTTTATTAATTTACATTCTTGTTATATAACAAAAATATTTTTAACTTCCAGCTTCAAACATCTGTTGGTTTCTTCTATACCTAAATTAAAGCCTTGTGTTTCTGAACTGTCCCTTCTCTTTTCAATGGTAGCATGTTTTTTTCCTCACCATTATGATAGATGCATAGTTATTTCTGGTTGTTGTTTTAAAGCTATATTCAAGCTTCAGCTTTGAAATGTATTTATCTCCAAGAATTATAGGCTGAATTTTGTCTCCTAAATAGCCATATGTTGAAGTCCCAATATCCCAGAATGTGATCTTATTTGGAAATAGGGAAGTTGTAGATGTAATTAGTTGAGATGAGGTCACATGTACTGAAGTAGCTGGGCCACTAATCCAATATGATTACTATACATATAAAAAGGGAAAATTTGTACACAGACAAGCACATAGGGAAAATGTCATGTGAACATGAATACAGAGATTGGAGTGTTGTGTCTACAAGCTAAGAAACCTCAAAGACTGCAGGCAAAACACTAGAAGCTAGGGAAGAAGCATGGAACAGATTCTCCTTCAGAGCCCTCAGAAGGAACCAACCCTGCTAACACCTTGATCTCAGACTTTTAGCCTCAAGAACTATAAAATGATAAATTTCTGGTGTTTAAGCCACCCAGTTTATGGTACTTTGTTATGGCAGCCCTAGGAAATTACTACACCATGAGATATATATATATAAAAAAACCCTTCACCCTACCACAAAACAGATCAGTGGGCTTTAGTCTGCAGGGTAGAAGGTACCCTCTTCTTTTCTACTAATCTTATACAATTCCAAGATAGTTTAATGTTTTAAGAATACACTGAAGTCGGGTATTTGGTAACAATTGTGCATGAATATTTTATTAGCAAATATCACAAATAAGGGTACTTAGTATGCACATAAATTGTTTTCCTTTAACCATGCATTTGAACTGTGTTCCTTGCCACTGACACATACTCAGACAGAAAAGCTTTTAACTTTTCAGTTAGAAATGAAATGTTTTCAGTGAATCAGCAGTTTTTCTTCATTAACAAAAACCCTTTTCAAATTTACTTCTCAAAGTAAAAATTTCAAGGAAATTGTAAACCCACCCGAACTTAGACATTTGTTGCCTAAAAGAAAATTAGGCCAAACTGAAAATAAATTAAGCTGAGTGAAATTTTATAATAATAATAAATATGATTCATAGGGCAATTAAAACAAGTTTTGCCATGGGTCAAAATACTGAAAGTTTGTTCAAAAGTATCAAAAGTTTTTTTGTTTGTTTCTGATAGATTATTAGGCTAAAATCCAGAAGAATTTAAATTGACTTAAGCATTTGACTTCTAGTTATATTACACTATAGTAGAATTCTCAATACCCTAAAGGTAGAGGATGTTTGTCACCCTTGCCTTGAGAGATTTCTGTAGTATAAATCTTGTCTTGTAGACTATTAGATTTGCAATTTGTTTCAGAAAGTAAGAGATTTGAATAAAGCAAAATGGGTAAAGTGTTTGGTGGGCAGAAAGATCTGGGGTCACTTTCCAAATCAGCCACTTACAAGCTGCAGACAAGTTATATACATTTCTCAGCCTCAGCCTCAGTAAGGCAAGGAACTACCTTAAAAGACTTTAATAGTTATAAAAATTAAATGTAACATGCCTAGAACAGTTTCCAGACCAAAATAAGAGGTCAATAAGTAGTAGTTATTATTCAGCTTACTTTTCTTCCAACTAAACCTGATGTCACAATCCTTTCCTTCCCCCGATCCTGTCACAACTTTATTTGGATTTCATTTTTCTTCCAATATGTACACTTTCTACTGCTAATGTAAAAGTGGAAAGGAATATGACTACAGTCACTTCAAGGAAAAGGCTGTGTGGAGGCTGAATAATGGTACCCCAAATATATATTCATGTCCAAATCCCCAGAATCTGAATGTGTTACCAAATATGGCAAAATGGACTTTGCAGGTGTGATTAAGGGCTTTGAGATGGGAAGGTCATCCTGGATTATTTATGTAGGCCTGATATACTCACATAAGTTCTTGTAAGAGGGACTCAGGAGGAGTCAGATTCAGAGGAAAAGGAGATGTGATGAAAGAAGCAGAGATTGGAGTCGTGTGCTTGGAAGATGGAGGAAGGGGCCTCAACCCAAACAATACAGAC
This sequence comes from Homo sapiens, assembly GCF_000001405.40. NCBI lineage: Eukaryota > Metazoa > Chordata > Mammalia > Primates > Hominidae > Homo > Homo sapiens. Next base: position 28,382,104 of record NC_000023.11, on the reverse strand, counting down.
AGCCACTAGAAGCTGAAAATGCAAGGAAATGGATTCTCCCTTAAATCCTCCAGAAAGAACCAGCCCTACTGACACCATAACTTTAGCCCAGTGAAACTGACTGCAGACGTCTGACCTACAGAACTGTAAGAGAATAAATTTGTGTTGTTTTGAACCACTGACTTTGTGGTACTTTGTTACAGTGGTAATAAGAAACTAATACAAGGAGAGATGAAGAAGTCATTTGAGGTCGGTATCTGTTAGTGTTATGTAACAAACCACCCTAAAACACAGTGACTTAAAATACCAAGCATTTATTTAGCTCACAAGTCTTTGGGGCTGCTTTGGGTTCTGCAAATCTGGTCTGGGTTTGGCAAATCTCAGCTGAACTTGCTCATGTGTCTCAGGTCACTTTGCCAGATCTGTGTGCTGGCTGGTCTAGGGAGGCCTTAGCTTGATGAGCGGGAGAGGGGGTGCGTAGTGGCAGTTATCTGTTTCACATGCTCCCCAGAAAAGCTAGCCCATGCTTGCTCACGTGGTGAATGGGCAGATTTCCACAAGAGAGAACAAGGAAGAACATTTGACTTCTTGAAGCTTGGGCTCAAAATTGACAGAGCATCATTTACCCTGCTTTTGAACAAGGCATGTCACAAAGCCTGCCCAGGTTTCAGTGGTTGGTAAAATAAATTTCAGTTCTCAGTGAAAGGAGCTGCAAAGTCATGTAAAGAGTGTGGATAAGGAGAGAGATAACAAATTTGAAATACTTTTGCAATGAATGTACCACACAGTCACTCTTGGAAAAACACGTATCTTGGCTTTTACCTGATTTTCTGGCCCCTGCATTTGGCCATCCCCTCAACCATTTCATAATTTTCCCTTTCTGTAGAATACCCATATGCTGACAAGCTTCTGATAAACTACTGTGGGCTTACTGTTAGTTTATAAAAGATCTGATTAACTAATTCACTTGACAGCATTAATAGCTATTTACCTAGTCAATATGCCTCCCAATCCCATTTATATTTAACCTTTAAAAGCAAAGTGGAAAAGAATTTTTGCCAAATTCCTTTTTCAATATATGATTCCAGGTTCAACAAGCCTCACCCATATGGAGTTACTAATGGAGTGTTATCTCAAGGCTTTTCTGAACTGTTTCTAATGCAGCTTCGCTAAGGACAAAAAAAGACCATATGTTGCATGCTGCTTTTTCTACGCAAGATCTTTCCTTTTTATTTCTTTACCCAGGTGTTACTTTTTAAAAAAAGAAAAAAAAAGAAATGACAGTATAGGCACTTATGAATGCCTATTCAAATGAAAGAAGTTATCGGGTCCATGTCATGCAAGTTGCAGAGTCCAGATGGGCTGGTGTGGCAGCTGTGTTTCAATCAACTGTGAAGGTGTTTCTCCCAGAATGCCTTGAAAACAGCAACACCATTAGAAGCAAGTAACTCCCCAAGAGCCATATGGCATAGTTTTTATTTATTTATTTATTGTTATTGTTCTTCTATTTACAAACACATCAAAGCCAGAAAATGAATGACGAATGAATGAAGCTCACTATTGTCCTTGCAATTGCTGAAATCTATTCTTTAAACTTTCTAGTCTCCTAGTAAAAATGAAATAATGTGTTAAATTCATCTTTGAATTATCTGAACTTTTTCTTCTCCAGTCTCACTGTCCCTTTCTTAATTTGGCTTTTTACAAATTTTATTTTAAAATTAAAATTAAATACAGTAATGTTAACATTTTATAGATTTGTGTATCCACTGTCATAGTCAGGATACAACAGTTCCATCTGTATGTGAATGTTTAAGCAGCTTTATTCATAATCTCACAAAACGGGAAGCAAACCAAACTCCCTTTAACTGGTAAATATATAAATAAATTGTGGTACATCAATACAATGAAATACTACTCTGCATTAAAAAGGATGAAACTACTGACACAAGCAACAACATGGATAAATATCACAAACATTATGCTGAATAAACCAAGCTAGTCTCAAAAGGTTGCATGTTGTATAATTCCATTTATATAACATTATCACTTTTTGCCTGAACTTTTCAATTCCATACTGTTTGCTTCATGTCCAGTATTGCCCCAGTTTCCACTATAGTTTCAGACCCTCAACAAATGGCCTTTTTAAAATTAAAAATAAGATCACACCAGAGATCTGCTTAAATCATTTTAATGATTCTGTGAACTCCTGCATGTGATTTAGAAAGTTCTTCGTGATGTGGGTCTTGCCTATGTCTCCAGCCTAACCCCCTGCCTCGCCCATGGGATAACCAATGTTCTAATAATTTGATCACCATGTTACAGTTTCTTGAATGCATCATGTTCTCCAGTTCTTCTGTGGTTCTCCCCCTTGTCTGAAACCTCCCCCAACACATCTCGCCACTTACCTCATTGTGTCTCTTAGCCCTTTTTAAAATACAATTATTTGGAAAAACTTTCACTGATTTTTTTCAGGGAGATAATGGGAAGCTTAAAGTTTCCCAGTCTGTGTCTGTGATTATAGAGGTGGTTTAAAAAGGCATCTGCCTATGAATCTATTAAAATGATCTGGAAGAGGTAGCATTGGCAGGTGCAAAGCCTTTCTAAGGCAAAGTGAATTTCAGTTTCTTCATTTAAAGCTTCCAGAGAGCATAGTTTAGGTCTCTGCCCACATTTACAAATGGAATACACTGAGGAGGCATAAACACTTACTAAAACCCTTGTAGGAGCACATTTTGCCTGCCAGCAACGCTTTGCCAAGCAAACATTTTGAAAACACTTGGACAATCCTGGCTGCCCCAGTGTTTTCAGAAATATTTCCATCCGGCAGTCACAGAAGCCGTGCAGAAGAGAGTGGTCAACAGGAAAACTTGAAATGGAAGAGGTTCAGTGAGCAGCTGCTGAGTTGTGAAAATGTATGCAAAAGCATATGGCTGTCTTTAGGGCCTTAAGGCAACATTTTCATTTATTTATTTATTTATTTTTTTATCCTGCAAAGATCAAAACACATGATTCCATTTCAGAAGATGTTCTTGTAAGCAAACTCTTCACTTTCAAAGAGTGTATAAATAGTTAGCGTGACATAAATATTTGTTTACCTAAAATGTTTTATTGAGAAATAAAAATTCTGGTATAATTTGGCCTGTTGGTCGTCATGAAATTCTAATAATCCCTTCGGCATTCTTGCCTTCTATGTGTCCACCTTTATTTGGGAGGATGTAACATTTAATTTTCTACCATTTAAGCTGAATTGCAGAAGGATATCTAGGTGAAAAACACTCAGAATTTGATGCTGGTGCAGAATGCTGCAATTTGCTTACTTGAGTATAAATGCTGAGCTTTCAACACTTCTATATAGTCAGCTATGTTTTGCGTTTAATTCAAGTATTGAATTATATCTAAAAATATCTCCACTGTTAAAGTCCCAAATCTTCCATCAAGGATAAATCCTCTGCAGTGTGTCCCTCTATGCAGGTAAGAAATTCCCCCATGGTTTTCCTGTTCTTTATGTTGGGAAAAGTCAGATTTTCTGTCACAGGCAAGAAATCTTCTCCAGACATAAGGGGATTTAAATTATGACAGTTTTTACCTGCCCGTTTTGTTAGGTGCCCCACTTGAAAACCAGTGTGTAAATATAAAGGTCTAATTTCTACTTCGGGTTCAGCACTTCTCTTAGAACAACAGTCCCTTGGAATATTTCACCCCCAAAATATTCTGTGGTCAAATAAATTTAGGACATTTTGCAACCATGTCATACCTTGGTTCTTGTAGATTCTCAATTCTCATGAACACGCTAAAGCCCTAATTAGCATGGCATAAAGCTGGCTCTTTTTCACTTTAATCCAGTGTTTCCAAACTTATTTGACAGTGGAATCAATTTTTTACCATGTAACACATTACCATGTTAAGGAACACTTCTTGGGGAATGTGGTGTTAAAACGTTAATGGAATTTTTAATAAGATGAAGACATCATCTAAATGCCTCTTCCATAATGCTTACTGGCAGTTGCTGGAAGTTCTCCAAAATTAAAAATAAATGAACAAACAAAGCAACCAAAAAGGAAATAACTAATCAAAATGATCACTCTTTTAGGTATAATATATCTAATAACATTTAAAGCTTCTGAGCCATTGGCAGCATAGGATTGTAAAGCAGATTGGGATCTGAAAGGTGTGCTAAACTAGTCCACCTTTTTCAGACACAGAAGGGAAAACAGCAAACATGGTAAGGTCCGACAGCCAGTAAGCAACAAAGCTAGTGTATTAGTACATTCTCATGCTGCTATGAAGAAATAATCAAGACTGGGTAATTTATGTGTGTCTGTATGTGTGTGTGTATGTTCCTAACACATTTCTAAGGAAAAATGATTATACAGTCCTTAATACTTTCTGGCAGAAATAAGGTTTGTGTACATTCCAATGCATAAATGAACAAATAACTTTTTAAAAAACAGAAGGAGGAAGCTATCCTAAAAGACATCAGGAAGCTCACTTTGAACAGTTTCCCCAGAGTGAGATGTGCAGCCTCATGCCCCAGACCTATTTCTCCCAACTGGTGGAGGATGGTGCTATTACTCTGTGGTTTTAAATTGACTGATGTAATTGATTAGCCTCCAGTAAGCACTGGCATTCTATCTCCTTTCCTTTCCTCATGTGAGGCTGTGTTCCTCACTGTGTCTGCTCTGATATTTTGCTTGAAAAGTATTGTCCCGAAGTCTGAATTGGAGATGTGGGAATTAGAAGCAGGACCAGAGATCTTAGGTTCATTTGGCCATCAGATCTTAGCTTCATTGACCAAAGACTTTTTCAGAAATAAAGGTGATATTTTGTCAAAATAAAAGATAAAGGTAAAAGATAAAAATCTCTATGTGCAGAATTGAGAAGCCAAAAACGTTTTCAGCACTGTGGAGATTTGCCACAATTTAAGGCTTGAATATACAGAGCCAAATCTCTCAGAGCTAAAAAGTTTTGCAAATATCATCTTCTGGTTTAAGAACCATTTTGTCAAATCATGTAGACAGGAGCTGAACACATTTTGGGGTCAGAGCTGCTACAAATTTAACGTGCAATTGGACCACCTGGGGATCTTGTTAAAATGAAGATTCTGATTTAGAGGTCAGAGGTTGGGCCATTTTTAACAAGCTCTCAGGTGATGGTAATGCTGCTGGACCACACTTTGAGTAGCAAGGTAGCACCTAGAGAAGTAGAACAACTGGCTGCAATAAAGAGAAGGAGCTTCACGATTAGCTCTTGAATTTTCCCAGCTGTTCTTAAGGTGAAGCAACTCTTAGTGCTTTTTCAGGCCTTGGTGTTTTGCAAGTCTCCCAACAGCAAGCATCACATGTAAACAGGACTACAGAAATACAGCCTTGTCAGAACAAAGACATGTGGACTGAAGGGCTGAAAACAAAACAAAACATAAAGCAAGTCTTGTGGGACCAGGGCCAGGGCTGCCTGGGTCCCAGACCACAGTGTTGACCTTTCTTTGCACTAGTAGGTTGCCATTTGTGACATCTCTCTTTCTTCTCTCCAACAAAGTAGGTCTTTACATTAACTTAAAACAGGATTGTGTGTGTGTGTGCATAGGGAAAACATGAGATGGGCTTACCTGTTTCTTTGAAATCTCCCAAGGGGTTTGTGAAGGTACATTTCAGAAGATTTTGAAGTCCTAGAATCAGAGGGATGGAAAAATGGGTAAGAAGGAAGGAATATGTGAAAAGGATTTTTTTAAGTAGCAAGAAGGACATAGACTGGAGACTCAAGTCAGAACATAAGTTTAAGGTAAAACGTGAGCTGTCAATGGAAAGTGGCATGTTTGTTTAGACTTGGTGTCAGGGAATCAGAAATATTCCTTTCAACGGTTTGATACTATGTGTTACATAGCAACTCAAGTTTTCTGCCTGTTTATTTTATTCTCTATCAGAAGTAGTATGCAAATAGATGGAGTTTTTATTTCCTTTAATGCTCTTGGATATTTGGATAAAAAGGCATCATCAAGTATTTTTATGATCATAAGCTCACATTCAATGCTCTGTGGTAGAATATCATTAGTAGAATAGAACGCCCTCAATAAGTCACCTCCAAAATAGTTTTTTTCTTGGAAAGTGCTTGTTTTCAGCATGGAACTGAAAATATCAAAATTTAAAAAGGCTCTCCAGAATTCAAATGAAATAGAATGAAGTTATTTGCCTTCCCTATGGCAGACAGTGTTATTAGTAACTAAAAGACAGAGAAACATTTGGTGGCATTATGTAAGGACCGAGTCTAATACTGCCAGAGCCAATTAGTTGCAAGTTAACCTAAAAGGTAGGGGGTAAGGGTGGTAGTGGACGTAACTTTTAAAAAGACCTATTTTCATGTATATTTACATACATTCTCTTATTTTTAGCATCCTTCATTTTTTGGATATGCATTTTCCAAAGCATGTTTACCAACTCAAAGCCAAAATCATGTTTAAAAATATCAATGTAAATTAAGGCAGCAGTGTTTTGTCCCCTTCCATTTATGTTGTGCAGAAAAACAGACTTCTGTGTGGTGTAAGCGTGTTCCGATTAAAGCTTTAAATTGGCGGCTAGTAGCCCAGTTATAAAAAACTTGGCTGCCTGCTGCTCCTTGGTAATGTGTTCTACAGGCTGTTGTTTTCTGCTGATCGCCTATTTACAGTGATTTACTCCAAATATGTGGGCGTCTTAAGTATATGGGTGTTGTCCAAAAAAAAAGTCAGTTTATTCTGAATGATGAAATGAAAGGCAACACACAATATCTTCTGTTGATCCCCTACTAATTCTCAAATTGAAAAAAGACCTTCCACAGAGTCTTGGAGGCCAACAGAGGAATTAGAGGAAGGGAACCAGTTGCAAGAAAATGGTCATGTAAAAAAGGGCCCTCTGCACAGCCACTGTTGGCACAGCACTGATGTGAGCAGAGGAAAAGAGGTAGATAAAGCCTGAACCTTTAAGAAATTTATAAATCAAGTTGATGAGGCTGAACACCATCCAAACAAAATGATGAGCTCAACTGCAAAGCAGAATAAAAAATTATGCTGGATCAATTTAATACAGTATGCCACAAGATAAGAGGCTCAAGATAAGGCAACACTTCTTTCTAGGATTAAACAATTATGCCATTAGAATGAAAAAGCCTGTGGTGATTCTAATTAAGACTTCTTTCCACTTCATACAGATCCATTAATGAGTGCATTTGAGGTTAATATTTTAAATCATTTATGAGTTTACCTAGTTATATCATAGTTCAACATCAAGTATTCAATTTTATTGAGCATACCTAAAGTGTGACAAGCACTGTACTATGTCAGAGGTTTATATGGTTAAATAATATATGTTTCTTGCCAGTCATAAGCTCCAAATATATAGAGATGAGGGAGGGACAGATGTGAAAATACAACTACAAACTAACAGGATACTGATTATAGTAGAAAAATGAAGAAAAGTGATATATGAGCATAGAGGACCATTATCAAGTATACTCAAGTGATCCAGGACAGGATTCTCAGAGATGGTTACATGAGGGATTTTTGATAAATGCTTCAAGAAATCCAAGCACACAATGAATATGGGACTCTGCTGATTTTTTTTACTATAAGTTTATCAGAAAACAATTAATGTTATTTTTCCATGACATTCTTTTAATGATTCTATGCTAGCTTTGTGTGATTACTTTTGTTACTTTTTAAATTATCATAAATAGTTCATTTAGTAATTGTTCCCAGAATTTTGCCATGGCTTGAGTTTAAGGCTATTGATCAATAATATGAAAACTGACCATTTTCTAGTTCTAGTCTTTTTGATACTTTACGTGTATCTTTCCAGCTTCAATGCAGTGAACTGACAATGTGAAGTATTTTAAGCAGAAAAAGGTTTAATATAAGGACTTAAGGTTTTAAATATGAGGGACTGAAAGTCAGCATCTGACACTAGACTCATCATAGCTGAGATCCAAAGATGAGGAAGATGCTGTTGGTGTCATACCTTCTGTGTCACATCTGTATCTCATGGCCGGGAGTTAATGACTTATCGTGGGAACCCTGAGTCAGGCTACAAACAGATATATCTTTATGAATGCTTTGCTAGCAGTTACAGCAGCTGTAGCAGGAAAATGGCCTCCAAGTAATTTGATCTTCAGAGTGGGGCTCCCTGGTAGAACCTAACTGCCATTTAGAGGCCTAGCTTGAAGAGAGTCAGATAATGTAGTTTTTAGCTTTCTACATTGTGTTATATGAAAGTATGTAGAAAAGAATGGGAATAAATGACAACTACCAATTAACTGTATTAATCTCACTTGTATTCCTCAAAGGTTGCTAACACTTATCCAGAATTCCATCAGCTTTGACAACGAATTATCTAACTACATTTAATCTAAAAACAATTTATTTTATTATCAACTAGATTCATTTACTCATTAAATATGTGTTTACTGAACACTAACTCAGCACCACGCAAGCACCCAGCTGTTGAGGATACAGCTGTGTACCGAGTGGACTATGTTCTCTGCCCTCAAGCAACTTATAGTTTAGAGGAGAAGATAGGCTAAAAGAAATGATCACCTCCAAAATGTATACTTGAAATTATTGTAGGAAAAAGTAGGAGATAAGACATCAAAACACAAGAGTGTAATTTTGATTTGGATGGTCAAGAAAAGTTTGTTTGTTTTCGCAGAAAGTTTTGAAAGCTTTGAACATAGCCAGGGGATGAACTGCGGAAGAGTCTTACAGGTGAAGAGAAAAACAGCAAAGGCTGGAGATAAGAAGGATCCTGGAACCTCCATGGAATTATTAAAAGGCCAGTGACTAAGGGAAGGTGGAAAGTCTTCCCAGAACATGAGGAGTTTATTTTTTTGTTTGCTTGTTTACTTGTAACAAAGCACACATAGCCCAAAATTTATCATATTAACCATTTTAAAAATATTCCCTTTTTTAGAGATGAAAAAGGAGTTCAAGGTTGCTAAACAGAGATGCTGGATGTTCAGGTCTCCTCAGAAAGAAGAACCAAAGTTACAAATGAATAATTATAATTTGAATAGCATAGCAAGCAGAGAGTGCTGGAGCATAGCAGAGAACTCATGGGAAGAAGCTGGGGCACAGAAAAGGAACCAAGCGCTGGCAGAGATCAGCTAGGAATGCTGAGTAACTAGGTGTTTCATTGAAAGGGTAGGTGGGAGTGTTTTGGCTCCTCTTACCCCTGTGGCAGACCACTGGTATCTGAACTGTTGGAGAGCTCCTCTGCCTTTGCGAACAGAATAGAGAACCAGGAAATAAAGCCACATACCTACACCTGATCTTCAACAAAGTCAACAAAGAAATTACTGGGGAAAGAACACCCTATTCAATAAATGGTGCTGGGAAAATTGGATAGCCATATGCAGAAGAATGAAACTGGATCAATATCTCTCACCATATACAAAAATATCAAAATGGATTAAAGACTTAAATGTGGGACCTGAAACTATAACAATTCTAGAGGAAAATGTAGGAAAAACTCTTCTGGACATTGGCATAGACAAACAATTCATGACTAAGACCTCAAAAGCAAATGCAACAGAAATAAAAATATACAAATGGTACTTAATTAAACTAAAAAGCTGTACAGAAAAAAAAATCAATAGTGTGAACAGACAACCTATAGAATGGGAGAAAATATTTCCAAATTATGCATCTGACAAAGGGCTAATATCCAGAATCTACAAGGAACTCAACAAGAAAAAACAACCCTATTAAAAAGTAGGCAAGGACATGAACGGACACTTCTGAAAAGAAAACATATATGTGACCAACAAACATATGAAAAATATTCTATATCACTAATCATTAGAGAAATGCAAATCAAAGCCACAATGAGATACTATCTCATACCAGTCAGAATGGTTATTAAAAAGTAACAACAAAAAAAAGCAGATGTTGGTAAGAATGTGGAGAAAAGAGAATGATTATAAACTGTGGGTCACAGCACCCGCCCCCCCCCCCCCCCCGCCAATCCCAGGCTGATCACACTGAATGATTGCTGACCTGCGTCTGTCTGGGGTGGAGCCCCAGGTGACAAGTAAAAGGCCCTTGGGCCACAATCACTGCTAAGGTCCCTTCCTCTGCTGTCTTTGTTGAGGAGGAAACATAAACCCTGAGATCACCCCAGAATTGTGGCGGGCAGCTGGGAGTGGCAACCTGCAATCTACAGCCAGCATTTAAGAGGGAGAGGAGCCCACACTTTCAAAACATTGAGAGAGAGCATGGCTGCAACTGCGAGGATACATAGGGGAGCCACATGACTGAGGAAGAGCCTACCAACTGACCACTACGCCTAAGCACCCCCTACTGGATCATGTCCCAAACCTTCAACACCAAAAATACCTTGCTATCAAACCCTTCTGTGAAGTCAAAAAACAAGTCAGCTACAAATAATGACCCTGCACATAGCCTTAGCCCTGTGAAAACATCTAGTAAACAAGTCTACTGACTGTTCTCAATCTACGCTGCAGTTAAAGAAACACCCACATGCAAAGATGAGAAACAACCAATGCAAGTACTCCAGCAACTCCAACGACCACAGTGTCTTATGTCCTCCAAACAATCACAGTAGTTATCCAACAAGGGTTCTTAACCAGGCTGAGCTGGCTGAAATGACAGAAATAGAATTCAGAATATGGACATGAATGAAGATCATCAAGATTCAGAACAGCAAAACCCAATGCAAGGAAACTAAGAATCACAGTAACATGATACAGGAGCTGACAAATTATATAGCCAGTATAAAAAAGAACCTAACTGATTTGATAGAGCTAAAAAACACACTATAATAATTTCAGAGTAATCACAAGTGTTAGCAGTAGAATGTACCAAGCTGAGGAAACAATCTTGGAACTTGAAGATTGGCTCTTATTTCTCTCTGAAGTAAGACAGTCAGACAAAAATAAAGAAAAAAGAATGAAAAGGAATGAACAAAACCTCTGAGAAATATGGGATTACATAAAGAGGCCAAATCTACCAATCACTGGCATCTCTGACAGTGATGGGGAAAAAGCAAACAACATGGAAAACATTTCTGGATATCATCATGAAAACTCCCCCAACCTCGCTAGAGAGGCCAACAGTCAAATTCAGGAAATACAGAGAACCCCTGAAAGATTCTACACAAGATCATCCCCAAGACACATTAATCATTAGATTTTCCAAGGTCAAAATGAAAGAATATTAAAGGCAGCTAGAGAGAAAGGGCAGGTCACCTACAAGGGAAACCCCATCAATATAATGGTGGCCCTCTTGGCAGAAAGCCAGAAGAGATTGGGAGCCTATATTAAACATTCATAAAGAAAGTTCTTCAACCAAGATTCTCATGTCCAGCCAAACTAAGATTCCTCAGTACAAGAGAAATAAGATATTTTTCAGATAAGCACATGCTGAGGGAGTTTGTTACCACTAGAATTGCCTTACGAGAGATCTTGAAAGAAGCACTAAATATGGAAAAGAAAGACCATTACCAGCCAATACAAAAACACACTTAAGTACACAAAGACTAGTTACATTACAAAGCAGCCACACAAACAAGCCAGCATAATAACCAGCTAACAACACAATGACAGAATTGAACCCACATATATATCAATACTAACATTGATAAATGGGCTAAATGCCCCATTTAAAAGGCACATAGTGGCAGGCTGAATAAAGAAGCAAGGCCCAATAGTATACTGTCTTCAAGAGACCCATTTCACATGTAATGACTCCTGTAGGCTCAAAATAAAAGGATGGAGGAAAATCTACCAAGCAAATGGAAATCAGATAAAAGCAGGGATTGCAATCCTAATTTCAGACAAAACAGACTTTAAACCTGCAAAGATAACAAAATTGGGAGGGGAAATTAGTTCAACCATGTGGAAAGCAGTGTGGCAATTCCTCAAAGAGCTAAAAACAGAACTACCATTTGACCCAGCAATCCCATTACTGGGTATATATCCAAAGGAATATAAATCATTCTACCATAAAGGCACATACACAGAAATGTTCATTGCAGCACTATTCACAATAGCAAAGACATGCAACCAATGTAAATGTCCATCAATAGCAGAGTGTATAAAGAAAATGTACATACACACCACGGAACACTATGCAGCCATGAAAAAGAATGAGATTATGTCTTTTGCAGGAACATGGATGGAGCTGGAGGCCATCATCCTTAGCAAAGTAACACAGGAACAGGAAACCAAATACCAGCTGGGTGCAGTGGCTCCTGCATGTAATCTCAGCACTTTGGGAGGCTAAGGTGGGTGGATCACTGGAGCCCAGGAGTTTGAGTCCAGCCTGGACAACATGGCGAAACCCTGCCTCTAGAAAAAATACAAAAATTAGCGAGGCATAGTGGCGAGAACCTGTAGTCCCAGCTACTCAAGAGACTGAGGTGGGAGGATCACCTGAGCCAGGGAGGTCAAGGCTTCAGTTAGCTGTGTTTGTGCCACTGTACTCCAGCTTGGGAGACAGAGTGAGACTCTGTTTTCAAAAGAAGAAAGAAAACCAAATACTGCATATTCTCACTTATAAGTGGGAGCTAAATGATGAGAACACATGAACACAGAGAGGACAACAACAGACACTGGGGCCTACCTGATGGTGGACTGTGGGAGGAGGGAGAGGATCAGAAAAAATAACTATTTGGGTACTAGACTTAGTACCTGGGTGACAAAATAATCTGTACAGCAAACCCCTGTGACACAGAGTTTAGCTATAAAACAAACCTATATATGTACATCTCAACCTAAAATAAAAGTTAAAAAAATAAACTGTTGGAATGCAAGTTAATACAGTCTCTATGGAAAACAATATGGAGATTTCTTGAAGAACTAAAACTAGGACTACCATTCAATTCAGCAATCCCCCTACTGGGTATCTACTTAAAGGAAGAGAAATCATTATATCACAAAGATACCTGAACTCATATGTTTAACAAACCTAAGTGTTCATCAGGGGAGGAATGGATAAAGAAAATATGGTCTATATACACCATGGAATGCTACTCAGTCATAAAAAAGAATGAAATCATGTCTTTTACAGCCACATAGATGAAACTGCAAGCCATTATCTTAAGTGAAACCACTCACAAAAAGACAGACAAATACCACATATTCTCACTTATAAGTGGGAGCTACATAATGCATGCACATGAACATAGAGAGCGGAATAATAGTCACTGGAGATTCAAAAGGGTGGGAGTACAGGTGGGGTTGGGTGGGTAAGGGATAAGGAATTACCTAATGGATACAATGTACACTATTTGGGTGGCAGTAACACTAAACAATATATCCATGTAACAAAACTACACTTGTACCCTCTAAATCTATAAAAACAAAAACACTTTTTTAATTACAAAAAAAGTTAAAGGTGGGGTCTCACTATATTGCCCAGGCTGGAGTGCAGAAGCTATTTACAGGGGCAATCACGGCACACCGTTTAAACACATTCACGTTCTTGTGCAACTATTCTCCAGAACTCTTTTCATCTTGCAAAACTGAAACCGTATACCCAGTAACTCCCCATTCTTCCCGCTCCCCAGCCTCTGACAGCCACCTTTCTACTTTCTGCCTCTGTGAATTTGATACTCTAGACACCTCATATGAGCAGAATCATAGAATTTGCCCATTTGTGACTGGCTTATTTCACTTAGCATAATATCATCAAGTTTCATCCATGTTGTAGCATGTGTCAGAATTTCATTTTAAGGCTGAATAATATTCTATTGTATGTATATACTCTATTTTATTTATCCATTTATCTTTTGATAAACATGTGGGTTGCTTCTACTTTTTAGCTATTGTGAATACTACTACTATAAATATGATTATACAAATAATCTCTTTGAGACTTGACTTTCAATTATTTTGGGTATGCACCCAGAAATGGAATTTCTGGGGGTGGAGCCAAGATGGCCGAATAGGAACAGCTCCAGTCTACAGCTCCCAGCGTGAGCGACGCAGAAGACAGGTGATTTCTGCATTTCCAACTGAGGTACCGGGTTCATCTCACTGGGCAGTGTCGGACAGTGGGTGCACGACAGTGGGTGCAGCACACTGAGCGTGAGCCAAGGCATCGTCTCACCTGGGAAGTGCAAGGGGTCAGGGAATTCCCTTTCCTAGTCAACGAAAGGGGTGACAGATGGCACCTGGAAAATCGGGTCACTCCCACCCTAATACTGCGCTTTTCCAATGGTCTAAGCAAACGGCACTCCAGGAGATTATATCCTGCGCCTGGCTAGGAGGGTCCTATGCCCATGGAGCCTCGCTCATTGCTAGCACAGCAGTCTGAGATCAAACTGCAAAGCTGCAGCGAGGCTGGGGGAGGGGCGCCTGCCATTGCCAAGCCTTGCTTAGGTAAACAAAGTGGCCAGGAAGCTCGAACTGGGTGGAGCCCACCGCAGCTCAAGGAGGCCTGCCAGCCTCTGTAGACTCCACCTCTGGGGGCAGGGCATAGCCAAACAAAAGGCAGCAGAAACTTCTGCAGACATAAATGTCCCTGTCTGACAGCTTTGAAGAGAGTAGTGGTTCTCCTAGCATGCAGCTGGAGATCTGAGAACGGACAGACTGCCTCTTCAAGTGGGTCCCTGACCCTCGAGTAGCCTAACTGGGAGGCACCCCCCAGTAGGGGCAGACTGACACCTCACGTGGCCGGGTACTCCTCTGAGACAAAACTTCCAGAGGAACGATCAGGCAGCAACATCTGCTGTTCACCAATATCCGTTGTTCTGCAGGCCTCCGCTGCTGATACCCAGGCAAACAGGGTCTGGAGTGGACCTCCAGCAAACTCCAACAGACCTGCAGCTGAGAGTCCTGACTGTTAGAAGGAAAACTAACAAACAGAAAGCACATCCACACCAAAACACCATCTGTATGTCACCATCATCAAAGACCAAAGGTAGATAAAACCATAAAGATGGGGAAAAAACAGAAGAGAAAAACTGGAAACTTTAAAAATCAGAGCGCCTCTCCTCCTCCAAAGGAACGCAGCTCCTCACCAGCAATGGAACAAAGCTGGACAGAGAATGACTTTGACAAGTTGAGAGAAGAAGCCTTCAGACGATCAAACTACTCTGAGCTAAAGGAGGAAGTTCGAACCCATAGCAAAGAAGTTAAAAACCTTGAAAAAAGATTAGACTAATGGCTAATTAGAATAAACAGTGTAGAGAAGACCTTAAATGACCTGATGGAGCTGATAACCATGGCACAAGAACCACATGATACATGCACAAGCTTCAGTAGCAGATTTGATTAACTGGAAGAAAGGGTATCAGTGATTGAAGATCAAATGAATGAAATGAAGCAAGAAGAGAAGTTTAGAGAAAAAAGAGTAAAAAGAAATGAACAAAGCCTCCAAAAAATATGGCACTATGTGAAAAGACCAAATCTACGTCTGATTGGTGTACCTGAAAGTGACGGGGAGAAAGGAACCAAGTTGGAAAACACTCTGCAGGATATTATCCAGGAGAACTTCCCCAATCCAGCAAGGCAGGCCAATATTCAAATTAAGGAAATAGAGGGAACGCCACAAAGATATTCCTCGAGAAGAGCAACTCCAAGACACATAATTGTCAGATTCACCAAAGTTGAAATGAAGGAAAAAATGCTAAGGGCAGCCAGAGAGAAAGGTCGGGTTACCCACAAAGGGAAGCCCATCGACTAACAGCTGATTTCTCGGCAGAAACTCTACAAGCCAGAAGAGAGTGGGGGCCAATATTCAACATTCTTAAAGAAAAGAATTTTCAACCCAGAATTTCATATCCAGCCAAACTAAGCTTCATCAGTGAAGGAGAAATAAAATACTTTACAGACAAGCAAATGCTGAGAGATTTTGTCACCACCAGGCCTGCCCTAAAAGAGGTCCTGAAGGAAGCACCAAACATGGAAAGGAAGAACCAGTACCAGCCACTGCAAAAACATGCCAAATTGTAAACACCATTGAGGCTAGGAAGAAACGGCAGCAACTAACGAGCAAAATAACCGGCTAACATCATAATGACAGGATCAAATTCACACATGACAATATTAACCTTAAATGTAAATGGGCTAAATGCTCCAATTAAAAGACACAGACTGGCAAATTGGATAAAGAGTCAAGACTCATCAGTGTGCTGTATTCAGGAAACCCATCTCACGTTCAGAGACACACATAGGCTCAAAATAAAGGGATGGAGGAAGATCTACCAAGCAAATGGAAAACAAAAAAAGGCAGGGGTTGCAATCCTAGTCTCTGATAAAACAGACTTTAAACCAATAAAGATCAAAAGAGACAAAGAAAGCCATTACATAATGGTAAAGGGATCAATTCAACAAGAAGAGCTAACTATCCTAAATATATATGCACCCAATACAGGAGCACCCAGATTCATAAAGCAAGTCCTTAGAGACGTACAAAGAGACTTAGACTCCCATACAATAATAATGGGAGACTTTAACACCCCACTGTCAACATTAGACAGATCAACGAGACAGAAAGTTAACAAGGATATCCAGGAATTGAACTCAGCTCTGCACCAAGTGGAACTAATAGACATCTACAGAACTCTCCACCCCAAATCAACAGAATATACATTCTTTTCAGCACACCACACCTATTCCAAAACTGACCACATAGTTGGAAGTAAAGCACTCCTCAGCAAATGTAAAAGAACAGAAATTATAACAAACTGTCTCTCAGACCACAGTGCAATCAAACTAGAACTCAGGATTAAGAAACTCACTCAAAACTGCTCAGCTACATGGAAACTGAACAACCTGCTCCTGAATGACTACTGGGTACATAACGAAATGAAGGCAGAAATAAAGATGTTCTTTGAAACCAAAGAGAACAACGACACAACATACCAGAATCTCTGGGACACATTCAAAGCAGTGTGTAGAGGGAAATTTATAGTACTAAATACCCACAAGAAAAAGCAGGAAAGATCTAAAATTGACACCCTAACATCACAATTAAAAGAACTAGAAAAGCAAGAGCAAACACATTCAGAAGCTAGCAGAAGGCAAGAAATAACTAAGATCAGAGCAGAACTGAAGGAAATAGAGACACAAAAAAACCCTTCAAAAAATCAATGAATCCAGGAGCTGGTTTTTTGAAAAGATCAAGAAAATTGATAGACTGTTAGCAAGACTAATAAAGAAGAAAAGAGGGAAGAATCAAATAGATGCAATAAAAAATGATAAAGGGGATATCACCACTGATCCCACAGAAATACAAACTACCATCAGAGAATACTATAAACACCTCTACACAAATAAACTAGAAAATCTAGAAGAAATGGATAAATTCCTAGACACATACACCCTCCCAAGACTAAACCAGGAAGAAGTTGAATCTCTGAATAGACCAATAACAGGCTCTGAAATTGAGGCAATAATTAATAGCTTACCAACCAAAAAAAGTCCAGGACCAGATGGATTCACAGCCAAATTCTACCAGAGGTACAAGGAGGAGCTGGTACCATACCTTCTGAAACTATTCCAATCAATAGAAAAAGAAGGAATCCTCCCTAACTCATTTTATGAGGCCAGCATCATCCTGATACCAAAGCCTGGCAGAGACACAACAAAAAAAGAGAATTTTAGACCAATATCCCTGATGAACATTGATGCAAAAATCCTCAATAAAATACTGGCAAACCAAATCCAGCAACACATCAAAAAGCTTATCGACCATAATCAAGTGGGCTTCATCCCTGGGATGCAAGGCTGGTTCAATATACGCAAATCAATAAATGTAATCCAGCATATAAACAGAACCAAAGACAAAAACCACATGATATATCAATAGATGCAGAAAAGGCCTTTGACGAAATTCAACAGCCCTTCATGCTAAAAACTCTCAATAAATTAGGTATTGATGGGACGTATCTCAAAATAATAACAGCTATCTATGACAAACCCACAGCCAATATCATACTGAATGACCAAAAACTGGAAGCATTCCCTTTGAAAACTGGCACAAGACAGGGATGCCCTCTCTCACCACTCCTATTCAACATAGTGTTGGAAGTTCTGGCCAGGGCAATCAGGCAGGAGAAGGAAATAAAGGATATTCAATTAGGAAAAGAGGAAGTCAAATTGTCCCTGTTTGCAGATGACATGATTCTATATCTAGAAAACCCCATCGTCTCAGAGCAAAATCTCCTTAAGCTGATAAGCAACTTCAGCAAAGTCTCAGAATACAAAATCAATGTGCAAAAGTCACAAGCATTCCTATACACCAATAACAGACAAACAGAGAGCCAAATCATGAGTGAACTCCCATTCACAATTGCTTCAAAGAGAATAAAATACCTAGGAATCCAACTTACAAGGGATGTGAAGGACCTCTTCAAGGAGAACTACAAACCACTGCTCAAGGAAATAAAAGACGATACAAACAAATGGAAAAACATTCCATGCTCATGGGTAGGAAGAATCAATATCGTGAAAATGGCCATACTGCCCAAGGTAATTTATAGATTCAATGCCATCCCCATCAAGCTACCAATGACTTTCTTCACAGAATTGGAAAAAACTACTTTAAAGTTCATATGGAACCAAAAAAGAGCCCACATTGCCAAGTCAATCCTGAGCCAAAAGAACAAGGCTGGAGGCATCATGCTACCTGACTTCAAACTATACTACAAGGTTACAGTAACCAAAACAGCATGGTACTGGTACCAAAACAGAGATATAGACCAATGGAACAGAACAGAGCCCTCAGAAATAACGCCGCATATCTACAACTATCTGATCTTTGACAAATCTGAGAAAAACAAGCAATGGGGAAAGGATTCCCTATTTAATAAATGGTGCTGGGAAAACTGGCTAGCCATATGTAGAAAGCTCAAACTGGATCCCTTCCTTACACCTTATTCGAGATGGATTAAAGACTTAAATGTTAGACCGAAAACCATAAAATCCCTAGAAGAAAACCTAGGCAATACCATTCAGGACATAGGCATGGGCAAGGACTTCATGTCTAAAACACCAAAAGCAATGGCAACAAAAGCCAAAATTGACAAATGGGATCTAATTAAACTCAAGAGCTTCTGCACAGCAAAAGAAATTACCATCAGAGTGAACAGGTAACCTACAGAATGGGAGAAAAATTTTTGCAATCTACTCATCTGACAAATGGCTAACATCCAGAATCTACAAAGAACTCAAACAAATTTACGAGAAAAAAAACAAACAATCCCATCAAAAAGTGGGCGAAGGATATGAACAGACACTTCTCAAAAGAAGACATGTATGCAGCCAACAGACACATGAAAAAATGCTCATCATCACTGGCCATCAGAGAAATGCAAATCAAAACCACAATGAGATACCATCTCACACCAGTTAGAATGGCGATCATTCAAAAGTCAGGAAACAACAGGTGCTGGAGAGGATGTGGACAAATGGGAACACTTTTACACTGTTGGTGGGACTGCAAAGTAGTTCAACCGTTGTGGAAGACACTGTGGCGATTCCTCAAGGATCTAGAACTAGAAATACCATTTGACCCAGCCATCCCATTACTGGGTATATACCCAAAGGATTATAAATCATGCTGCTATAAAGACACATGCACACCTATGTTTATTGCGGCACTATTCACAATAGCAAAGACTTGGAACCAAGCCAAATGTCCAACAATGATAGACTGAATTATGAAAATGTGGCACATATACACCATGGAATACTATGCAGCCCTAAAAAAGGATGAGTTCATGTCCTTTGTAGGGACATGGATGAAGCTGGAAACCATCATTCTCAGCAAACTATTGCAAGGACAAAAAACCAAACACCGCATGTTCTCACTCATAGGTGGGAACTGAACAATGAGAACACATGGACATAGGAAGGGGAACATCACACACTGGGGCCTGTTGTGGGGTGGGGGGAGGGGGAAGGGATAGCATTAGGAGATATACCTAATGTTAAATGACGAGTCAATGGGTGCAGCACACCAACATGGCACATGTATACATATGTAACAAACCTGCACGTTGTGCACATGTACCCTAAAACTTAAAGTATAATAAAAGAAAGAAAAAAAAAAGAAAAAAAAGAAATGGAATTTCTGGATAGTATGGTCTAATTTTATTTTTAGTATTTGGAGGAATTGTCATACTATTTTCCATAACTTTCCCACCAGTACTGCAGAAGGGTTCTAATTTTTCTACCTCCTCATTGACATTGCTTTTTTTTAAGAAGTAGCCATTTTCATGAGTGTCCGGGGATATTTCAATGTTGTTTTTAGTTGTATTTCCCTAAAGGTTAGTGATGTTGAGCATATTTTCATATGCTTTTTGGCTGTTTGTATACCTTCTTTGGATAAATGTCTAAGTCTTTTGCCTATTTTTAATTGGGTTATTTGTTTTGGTGTTGTTGAGTTATAGAATTTCTTCATATATTCTGGATATTCTTTGTCAGATATATTTTCTGCAAATATGTTCTCGCATTCCCTGGGTTGCCTTTTCACTCTGTTGATTATGTCCTTTGATGAACAGAAGTTTTTACTTTTGATGTAGTCCAATTTATTTTTTCTTTTGTTGCCTATGCTTTTGGTGTCACACCAAAGAAATCACTGCCAATGACAATGTTATGAAGATTTCCCCCATGCTTTCTTCTCAAAATTTTATCATTTTAACTCTTACATTTAGGTATTTGATACATTTTGAGTTAATTTTTTTATCTTGTATAAGATCCAATTTCATTTTTTTGCATGTGGATATCCAGTGTTATCAACACCATATGTTTAAAAGATTGCTATTTCCCATGAAGAGATTTTTAATTTTTATTTTTGATATAAATTGAATGTTCTTGCAATAGTCTCCTCTTTTTGCTATTTTCTATTTATTGTGTGTCTTCATATTTTGAATATTGCCTACACAAATTTTTTTTAACGTTTTGTCAAAAATATCACCTTATACTTTGAGCTGCCCAACACTGTTCTGAGAAGTGCTGATCATCCTTCTATTTCTAGTTTTACTCTGACTGATTCTTATGCCATTTATCTACCTTCTCTTCTATAATTTCCTGTCTTCTTTCACTACCAAAATGCTCAGATGCTTGGGTAATAATCTTTGCCACATTCTACTTGCAACATATGGCATTTGTATTTCTGCCTTCTATGCATTCCTGAAGGTTCTTAATGGTTTCTCTTAAAAGTTTTCCTTACTTAGTCTTCATTCTGCTGCATTTGACTGTGACTCATTCCATCTTGAATGATTTTCTGCACCCCTTCCCCACACTGATATCCTATTATATTTTTCAATATAATAGGTTCAACAAATTTCAATTCAAAATAATTTCTTTAATACCTTCCATGTTATGCATATGAGATACGAACAAAAATTATAATAGCCCTTATCAGTGTTTTCGGTACTCTTCAGATTCCTCTTCCCTTCACTAATTCTCCCACTTTCTCCTGACATTTCTTGTACAGTCTTTAGCTATCTGTCCTCTTCTTTTTCTTCCTCCCCCTGTTAAAATTACATACATTCATTCCTTTTCTTCACTAAAGGGCAAGGGCTGGCCTCAGAGTGAGCAGTACAGCATCTTCCACAGAGTAGATACTAATAAACATGACTTGAATTATGGAAAGTCTATAAGGAGCAGGATCAAATTCATGATAGAATAAAAAGGTCAAATAAGGGGGAGGAAAACCCACCACTACTCATTGTGTGCTAGAGCAGGAAGAAAATGGATCATAACAGCAGGCTTACGAAGTGGAAATACATAGACTGGGGTGACACCAAGTAGGACATTGAATAATATCCCTATAGATAAGCAAATTTTTAGAGGATTATTTCTGAAGTCAGGAAATAAGCAAGTGGGAAAAAACCAAGGTTCTGAAAATGAAGAAACAATTTAAGATAGAAAAGAACCACTAAATTTTGAAAAGGCAAAGTATTCCTGGGTCCGATGACCTCAAAACTGAGTACTACAAGAATCTGCATACAATCTAAGTAATTACTTAGCCGCCATATCCCAATACTTTTTTAGAGAAAGGTGAAATAAAACATGATGTAAATGGATGAAGGGGGTGTTTTAGGGTTTAGAAGCCTCTGACATTACTAAACATCAATTACAAGGTTCTTACAGGAATCAAAATGGAAAGTGAAGCAAGAATAGTCAACAGAATGATGGATGAGATAGAATGAATGCTTTTGAAGACACGTATGTTTACAAGTAGTCACTGGCAGGGATAGAATACCTTGTAGGCAGGAGACTAGACCAAGTGATTTGAAATGAAAAGCAAAACTTATACTCACTAATTTTTTCTTTATAGGCAGATACTGATAATGGTCATTGAAATGAACCATTAATAAGAAAAAAAGATCTGTGCTATAGATTCTATATTATAACTTCTATAATTTCACCACAGAAAGGCAACTCTTAGTGTCCTCTACATTTCTAGAACTCCCTTTTGAGAAAAGCAAGAAAGGGTGGCTGCTTCTTGCTTTGTGTCGTGTGACTCTACTGTCCCAGATAACACAGATTTGATCATGAATTAATGCTGAAACCAAAGATAACCAGATAGAGGCTAGATCAGGAGTTAAAGAGGTAACCTACCATTAAGAACTCTGTCCAGTTTGGGCATGCCATATTGGATCTAACTACCAGACTCAATGGGATTCTCTCTCAGGGATTATTTTTTGAGAATCACAAGTAAACACAGTCAAACACACAGAAAGAGAAGCAGTAATAATAGTAGAGGTAGAGGGCATAGAAGAAGAAACAAATAATAAATAAATTATATAATGAGGAAAAGAGACAGAAGGTGAGAAAGGCAGAATCATAAGAGGACAATAGGAGCCTATTTCTTGGGGGATGATGTGATAACTGATTCCTTAAAGCTGCTTTCCTGTTCTGAGTCGTGAAGGGCTATAGTCATGGTTTTCCATGAGTCCTGAATGGAAAGCTGTTCACAAGGGTTCACAGTGGCTCCTCACTTTGCTGGGCACACATTATAATAGAATTTTATTACCTATGTAAATTTAAGCAATTATTATGACTAAAAGATTCTATCATAGAATCATGATATGCATTTTTGGAAGCTATGTTTTTTCAGATAATCATAAGTTATGAAATCTTATGGCAGTAAATATGTTTCTAGAATATCTTTTTCACGGCTACATAGTCCTTCTCATGAGTATAATATAACTTATTCAAATCATGCCCTTTTCTTGTATATTTTGGTTATTTCTGATTGTTTGTAGATCGTAAACCATGCTGCAATGAATATATATTATGGCTATGTTATTTCCTCTGGATAAATTTCCAGGAACGTTCTATGTCAAAAGATACTGCTATTTGGAAGACAAATTTCTCCCTAGAAAGTTATACTAATTTATATGCTTACTAGAAACATATAAAATAATTTCCTTTTATTCATATGCCAGAAAATACTGAGTAGCAACATTGCATTAGAAAATGAACCATATGGCAGGTAAATTAATAATCTTGCTCTTCAATTTCAATGTATTTGATAACAGGTAACCTTGTCCATTTCTATATTCTAGGCCATCTGTATTTCACTTATTTTAAAATAACCTATACACATTTCCTTATAATATTTCTATTAGTGTAATTTTTCCATTTTCATTTGTGAGAAGTTTTATGTATTAAACTAGTAGTAATAGTTATTTGTCTGTTGTATTTTTTTTCTCATAGGTTTTAATTCACCTCCCATTTAAAAATACTGTTTATGGCATACAGGTTTTTTGTTTTGTTTTTTGTTTTTTTGAGACGGAGTATCGCTCTGTCTCCCAGGCTAGAGTGCAGTGGTGCAATCTTGGCTCACTGCAACCTCCGCCTCCCGCATTCAAGCAATTCTTCTGCCTCAGCCTCCCGAGTAGCTGGGACTACAGGTGTGCATCACCACACCTGGCTAATTTTTGTATTAGAGTAGTAGTAGAGATGGGGTTTCACCATATTGGCCAGGCTGGTCTCAAACTCCTGACCTTGTGATCCGCCCACCTCAGCCTCCCAAAGTGTTGGGATTACAGGTGTGAAACACAGTGCCTGGCTGGCATACAGGTTTTTTATAAACTTATATTGAAGGACATTGCTTTATATTTTGAGATTCTTTCTGGACTACATGCCATAAGTTATATATTTTGTCACTTTATATTTTGAGATTCTTTCTGGACTATAAGTGACATAAATCTCAAGGAGAAAGAGTATTTTAATTTTTTGTCATTTGGTAATAAGAAATGACATTTAATGTCAGAAATCAGATAATTGTAGACAGTTTCACCCAGTAATGTTATAAATGTTTCAAAGTTTTATCACTTAAATTAATCGATAATAAAAAGTAGCTAAATAGGAGAACTAATCCTGTTTCAAATTGTATAACACATGATTCTCTTAGAATCACAAATATATGTTATTAAACTTAAGGCATGCTTTAGGATATGCTCAAAGTGGTATCAATGCTATATTTTCTCATAATATATATAGTTTTATGCATGCAAGTATATATTCAGATGTCAAGTTACTTAGAGTAAATAGGTGATGGGAAGTAAGATAATTAGTAAACTAAATCACATGGAGTCAGGCTATCAAGAAAATCTGCATATGCCCTTGATGTCAGAAAAGGCTTTTACAGTAGATCTGATAAAAGTTATTTTTTACTTGGTTTTCCTTTATCCATTATTTCCTCTGGGAATAGCTTAGATGATGCAAGAACATTACTGCAGACAGAATGGCTCTGCTTACTGTAATGCTGAATTTATCACAAGTTTAAAAAAAAAAGCAGCTTCAAAAAATTCTCAAGTAAACATTTGTTGTAGAAGCTTCAGTGGAATAATCATGATTAAATTGAAAGTTATTTCAAATACATTTGTACATGTTTTCCTTATAGTTTTACATCACTCTGATTATTTGATATTTGTGACCCTGTTAAATAAGTGGTCTAGAGTGCTCATATTGCATTTCCGTGCTACAAAATCACCTGATCGAAAAAAAGTTTTGTTGGAGTGGAAAGAAGAGAGAAAGTGGAAATACACATGCATGCACAAACACAATGATGGATAAGCTAGCTTCCATTTCATATATTAGTCATAAGTACTACCTTTTCACTACTTAAAAATTGTGTATAGAAAAGTATATAGCACTTTTCTGTACCAAAATTGTACTAGTTGATTATAAGCTATAGTGTTCTGTTTCTGCTTATTTTAGAATTCTAGTCCTATGTTCCCAACTAAACTGCAAATTCTAGTTTCATTATATAATCTGCATAAGCTAACATATTTCCAAAAGTATTAATAGATGCATCAGGTGTAATACAGTTTCCTAGCTGGAACAACCCAATTATCCAAGTGTAGCTCATGACAGATATTAGACACATTTTACAGTTAGTTTTCTTGTTTTAAATTCACCTGCAAATCAACCTTGAAAGCATCTTAGGAAGCTCTAGTTGGGGAGCCTAATCATTTGTATTCCTTTTACTGAATAATATGCATTCTTTATGTGAGAAGATCCATCCTTTTCACATACTATGTAAGTGATAACCTGCAAAAACAGCCAAGTTAATATTAGCGGTCAGTGGAGTAATAAATGTGAAGCCAGATTTCCCTTGCATCAATATCTGATTAGATCCTAATGATAAACTTGTTGGCTTGGTATTTTGTACTCACAAATCTCAGAAGAAGAAATTGGGGCTCAAAAAGTTTACTTTGCTCAAGTACACACCAGTTGTAAGGTGGAGTCATATTTCAAACCAATGTCATTCTGACTCTGAATCACATGCCTATTGTTTCCATAAAACCATGAAGATAGGTCACCAATGTTTGGGAGGATGAGTAAACCCCTTTACAGAGGAGGATACATTGAACTGAGGCTTGCAGGATGAAGGTGAGTGTACATGAGGAAAGGATATTTCAGGCAAAGGACATGGTACTTATAAATGTATTCAAAGTTTCAGATCCACACAGCAGTTCCGTTCTCTTGGTAAAATATGCATACTTCATTTGTCTGTAGCAGGGTTTCTGGACCTCTGCACTACTGATATTTGAGACTGGATAGTTCTTTGTTGTGGGAGGCTGTTGTATTCATTGTTGATTGTTTAGCAACATCCCTGGCCTCCACCCACTAGATACCATTAGCACTACCACCACCAGTTGGGACAACACAAAATGTCCTCAGACATTGCCAATATTCCCTGTGGGGCCAAATTCCCAGGTTCAGAACCATTCATTTAAAGTATAGAGTATGCTGGGAGACAGAGATAAAGTTTGAGAAGATAGAAGCCGATGAGTCTTTAAGGACCATCTATTTAAGGAGTGGGGAATGGAAATGAAAAGTCCAAATAAGGAAGTTATATAATCAAATTTCCATTCTGCAAGGCTGAGGAGCAGTTAGGAAATGATGAGAACAGCTCAAGGATGAATTAATAGGGATTTGAACTAAAACTATGGCTGCAGGAATGCAATGGATGGAAGAAATGTGAGGAAAAGTCTTGGCTGATTAGATATGGGGTTTGGAGTGAGTTTGAAAAAGAAAAGTCGCTTTAGCAAAAGAAAGAAGGTTTACCATTTGAGTATGTTGATTCAGAGGTGCCAGTAGTACCTCAAGGAAGAAATACCTACTAAATATTTCTAGATCTCAGAAAAGAGCTCTGTAAATGATCAACACTTACATGTAGACTCTGTAGGCAAAAATGAGAAGACATGGTGAGAAAATAAGATGCTTAAGTAGAGAACCATGTGAAACACTAACATTTAAGTTAAGAGATGTTAGAATAGGAAGTTCCACAAAAGAAACTAGAAGGAGCTGCTGGAGAGGTAGGAGAAAAATCAAGAGGTGTCACAGATACTGATGAAAGAGGGAACAACTGTACCAACTGTTGATGAATATTCACATAAGATAAGGATTCAATGGGGTTTTTGGCCATTGGTGTCATGAAGGTCTTTGGTAACTGAATTAAGAGCAGTTTTTTGTGGTTTTTGTTTTGTTTTGTTTTGTTTCAGAGTCTCACTCTGTCACCCAGGCTGGAGTGCAGTGGCACGGTCTCACTGCAACCTCCACTTCCTGGGTTCAAGTGATTCTCCTACCTCAGCCTCCCGAGTAGCTGGGATTACAGGTGCCTGCCACAATGCTTGGCTAATTTTTGTATTTTTAGTAGGGACGAGGTTTTATCGTGTTGGCCAGGCTGATCTTGAACTCCTGACCTCAAGTGATCCACCCGCCTTGGCCTCCCAAAGTGCTGGGATTACAGGAGTGAGCCACATGCCCGGCCAAGAGCAGTTTAAATGGAGCAGAAAAGGCAGAATCCAGTTTGCTGTAGGTCACTTAGGAGCCCAGAAAATCTAAGCATGAAGAGAATGAAGCAATTCTCCTGCCTAAGTAGTAACGCATTACAATGGGAAACTCAAACTGCTCCTGTTGTTTTGTCGGAGATATAAATGGACTATTACAAACAGGTATGACATATGAGGGTTCAGAAGTAATTCATCCACCACACTCTGAGTTAATAGGACCCGAGTAAGAGCACTTTGTCCAGGTTTGCTTGCATCACCTTCAAAAGGACCATAGACACTTGTTAAAAATGTTCAAAAGTGCAGAAAATAAATCCTATGGAAGGAAGCTAAGTTTTGTGGGTATTTTTAGCCTAGAAATGGAAAACCTGTAGTGTAACTTAATTGCTGTTTCAAGAATAAGAGAGATTATACGAAGAAGATGTATATCTGATATTTCCATGCTCACATAAGAGAAATTGGCTTAAATAAAACTAAAAAGATGTTCTGGAAATGGCTATCACAGGAAGTTTTGAGGTTCATATTTTTCATAAGATAGTGTCCATTATTTAATATAGGAACTATTCCATTAAAAAAGAAATTTACCATGTAAAATGCATTTCCTTGATTTATTAATATTAACTTTCAGAATTCTGATTTACATCCATTAACTTCCAAGAATCAGGTACAGTACTTTGATTTATACATCATGCATATAAAAGTTCTTATTAATGAATCCTAAATTTTAAAGTTGTGATTTAGTGTATTAGTTTATAAATCTTAACTTTAAATTTCCAATTTAGTGCCATGATTTATGGGAACCAAGTTTTATGCTATTTATGAATCATAATGTTAAAGTTCTGACTTAATACAATAGTTACTGTAAGAAGCATTAGTACAATAAAATGTGAAATTCTTAAGAGACAAAGATAAAGCTGATCAATATTCCTATATGCAGCACAGTGCACAGAGACTCAGTTACAGAGCCATCCTTAGTGGTACGTTTCGAATAAAATGCTAAGATAAGGCTAGAAGAGGTTACAATGAAGTTTTAATAAACCATGTAAAAGGTACTGTCTTCTCTTTTTATTAGACCCTTCATGGTAAAAATGAGCAGTGTAGAGCTGTTATACCCCTTACAATTTTAATAAGTAGGCAACAAAAGACATCCCCTACACTGCCTAATATCAATGTCTTAGTAAGAGGGTCAAATTTTCTTAGAAGATATACTACAGGTTAACGTGGCTTATAGCAGCCTTGAAAATGATTCTGATACCATTCAGCCTGAAAATATTTAGTCACAAAATTTACATGAATACCACTGCATAGCCTCTAATCCCATTTCCTACCCCAACTCTTCTTTCTCATCTTATCTCATCTTATCTCATCTCATCTTCCATTCCTGCACTGTCCAATATGGGAACAATTAGCCATATGTGGCTATTGAGCACTTACAATGTGGCTGGTCAGAATTTACATGTGCTACAAGTGGAAAATACATATTCTATTTCAAAGAAGGCAAAAATGTAAAAATATTTTACTAACCATTTTTACACGTGACATGTTGAAAGCATAATATTTTGGATATATTATCTTGAATAAAATATATTATTGAAATTAACTTCACCCATTTCTTTTTATTTTTTTAATGTGGCTATTTAAAAATATTTTTTAAATATTTAAAGTTACCCATTCACTATTAGTATTGCAATAGTCCTTCCACTGTTTCTCAGAAGTACCTAAAAGCTGCAACTACTTCCAAATATCTCACTCATGTTGTCATGCACAGAACACTAAAAGGAGAAAAGATGGACAACAAAGAATATTGTTTATTAAGTTTGTCTCCATTTACCCAGACCAACTTGATTCTCATTAAGAGAAATATATGGCTTCGAGACAAACATTTTTGTTTTTTATAGTGTTTTGTTTTTTCTTCCTGGGTAGGTTATAATTTCACTTAAAAATTGAAGTTATCATTTATTGACCGCCTACTATGGCTCAAACACTGTGCAAAGTGTTTTCTCTATATATTATTTCATTG
Source organism: Homo sapiens (assembly GCF_000001405.40). Taxonomy (NCBI): domain Eukaryota; kingdom Metazoa; phylum Chordata; class Mammalia; order Primates; family Hominidae; genus Homo; species Homo sapiens. The sequence continues at coordinate 28,352,857 of NC_000023.11, read as the reverse complement.
AATCCTCATCACACTTCTAAAAAGTGAATACTATTAATACACTGCTTCTATTAACATGGACTCTGAGGCACAGATAAGTAATATGATTGAGATCACACATTGGCAGAGTGAAGAGTCAAAGTTAGAATCTGTTTTCTATACCCCATATATTAAACAGCCGTTCGAGGCAGACATTTGGAATCTACAGCTGTGAGCCATGCCCCAACTTGTTTGCTAAAAAGGGATATGTAAAGCAGAAATGTCAGGATCTGAGCCCAAACCCCTTACTTTATACTTTACATTCTTGAGTTTCTTTTTGACTAAAGATATGTTAGGGAAACCAGCCAAGGCATTCTGAGCTGGTGGTGGGTTTGTCAGGCAAGTTAACTGGCCATGCCGAGCTCCAAAACTGGGGTTCCAAATAAATTTAGTGGAACACAAAGAAGACAGTATTCTGAGGATATAATGGAGCTTGTCTGATCCTGTTTTCCTAACAAATATGGGCATTTGTGGACTGTGGGGCTTCCTCCTTAATTAGCGAAAACCGCTCAGCTCAGGTGACAGTAGATTATCTAATCCTGCTGCACATGCTTTTGAAGAGGAGAGCAGGAGGTTGGCAGCTTCACACTTTTAATTTGGTGGTATTCCATGTATCTTTTAAAACCACAGTCGTTCTGCCTTGCTTTACTATAAATCTAATAGCAAACTCTAAGTTAGCTTTGAATGTTCCATTCTCAAGAGACAATATGTAAAATTTAGAAAAAAATTACTGAACTATTTAATAATGATATACTTGGAATTGGTGGATGGACGCAGTCTTGAATTTAAATCTGAGCCAGGAAATATCTTTTAAGCTTACCAAAGGAGAAATTAGCACGCTTACTTGGAGTGGCCATAGCAACATCCAAAAACACCAACCAGCAAAACTAATAAACAAAAAACATCTGTTATTGAAAACGAACACACTGCATGATGACAAAAAGTAAATGTTAATACTTTAGTTATTTAACACACAAATAGAGATAATGTGTGGTATTGTTTCTTTTCCATATATGTAAAAATATTATGAAGTGATGGATGTAGTAGTACTCATTTCTTTTTTAAAAAAAAAAAAGCTAAATTGTCAGCAGACAAGAACTCTAGACATTTTAGTATCTTCTGAGTTAACCTCCGTGAGGCAGTTACCAAATAAAAATTTAGTTGTCACATGCAATGCATGTAATAGCTATTCTTTTCTTGATAGTTAGTTCAAAAGCACTACATAACAATGAGTTTAAGTGTTCTTTTCCAGACATTGTCAAGGATCATTCCAGGACCAATAATTTCAACATCAGTGAAAGATTTAATTAAAGCAGGGAAAAATAAAAATGGCAATAAACTGCATCCTAAGCTTCAGCTTTGTATGCATGTTTTATCAACTCACACTCTTCTGAGAAAGATGCCTGGGACACGAACATTTCTGTATGAGAAAATAAATTCCAGTGTTAATTTTGTCATTCAGAGAAGAAGCATGATAAAGTACTGAACACGTATCACTTATTTTTATTTAAACTTCAACTTCAAAACTATTATATTTGGGGTATTTGTTAGGGTATGTTAGATATACACGACTGATATAAGCTGAAGAAAACATTAAATTGAGTAGAGATAATAGATCAAGATACTGGACTGAAACTAGATTTTAGTCATTTATGGTATGCTGATTACTTAAACTTTCAACATTTCATAATCTCACTAACACACGGCTTTCAACGTCCTTTTATTATTTTTCTTTGTTGAAAAGTTATCTCTTCAAATCTGCCAATTGTCTGTGGTTCCCAGCCCTCACCTGAAAATTTAGCAGGATATTAAGTTTTCAGGAGTGTCTTGGACAGAAAATATGTAATAGATTGCTTTATTGTTTAGAACATCTTTACTTCTCTACCTGTCCTGATCATAAGAGTACAATATTTCTTCATCCCATCAATGTTGGGTTCACCATGTTACTTACTTTGGCCAATAGATTAATGGAATGTGGGGAAAAGTGACAATGTGCCAGTTCTAAGTAGAGACAGTTCTGAAGGGAAGCTTTAAGAGACGCTGTAAGTTTCTGTCATCCCACTTCTGCTCTCACATCTACATGAGAATACTCCATTATGGATAAGAGGTGTTCTTTAAGGCGGAGAAGTCACTTGAACCTGAATACTACCTGGAAGAGAGATATTGCAGCTAACCCAGAGTTCCATGATGAGGAAATAAATATTTTTCATGAACCATTGACATTTCGGGATTGTTCATTACTATGGTAAAAGTATTACAGTAGAATTATTATAGCAAAAGCTTCTGTGGCATACAAGGAAATTGAGAGGTGCCAGTTTATGGATGACCCTGGAATTCCCACAGTCAAACAATTACATAAGATGGTTATAGTCAGACCTTGGACTTTTCCCATAAGTGATATTTTCTTCAGAGGCCGAGAAAAGTGAAAGAAAGTAGTTATATATGGTAAAAGATGGGACACTGACATTGCTATTTGTGTGGCTATATCCAAGTGATTAATAAAATATCTATATATCGACATACCTCTGTATATCTATTTATTTATCTATCATCTTTATGTTTTTAAAGCTCATAAAATCAAATAATGAAGGAACAAACTCTTTTAAAGATCTCTATGATAATTTTCCCAGTATGATGGTGGCTGTTGGTAGACAGTCTGTGAGTGTCTTTCTCAATGTGAGAACACATCAGTGCTGGAGACACAGCAGTGCCTACAATTCTTACACACCACATCTGCTCTTGACTCACAACCCCCATGGATCTTTAGAGAGTAACTTGCATGCTGGGTCATGTTAAAATACATTTGGACAAGTAACTCCCATGGTATTACATGCCCTTGAATTTTTACTGAGGGTATTTGACAAGTTCTAAAGAAGCTGTTATAATTTAGACTCAATTTCACAGGCATAGAAGTTACATGCTGGGGAGTTCTCTTGGCTCAGCAACAATCTTGATTAAAAACCTGGGTTAAAGACGCTTCTCTGTGCTTGAGTTTCCTTGTATGAAATTACTTATTTGAGACTACATTAACTAACATGGTCAGGATTAACTCATAAGTTATGATTAAGGGTTTTGAAAATATAAAGTAACATAAAAGTGTATTGTGATGTCCTAATAGTAAAAAACGGATGAATTTTCTCTTTAAAAAACCTGATTATAGTATATTTGAAATAAATGTTCATTGGCTTCCCAGCAATCACTGAGTTCTTTTACATGTAGATGCTGAACTTCCCCTGAGAACCAAAGCAAAACATATTTGATTTTCAGAAATGCTAAAGATTTAGTAATACGTGCTGGAGTTTATACATTCCTTTCAATCAAATCTTACCATTTGGTATCTTTATTATTTTGTGGCTTGAAATTATACACATTCAACAATTTTGCTGCAAAATGTTCTTAGCATCAATGATATAAAATGACTCCATAAATATATATACCTACTATGTATCCATAAAAATTAAAAATAAAAAAGATATAAAATGGGTCAAATTCTGAAGTTTTGGTTGAAAGTAACAGAAGGTAACTTTGGCTAGAAGCATAATAAAAGATAATTCATTAGAAGGATAGAGGAAGAGTTTATAATTAAAACAAGAAGCCAAGTGGATCTCTGCAGAAAGAATTAAGATACCTAATCGATATGAGCATTTCTATTAGCCTAACTCAACTAACCAATCCCTAGCTTGTTTCCCTCTTGACATTTCCAGGGCAAAAGTATCTGATTGGCCCAGTTTTAGTCCTGATTCCACCCCAAGATCATGTAGGTATAATTAAAAGGCTGGAGTCACAAAATAGGGGTAAGTTTTTATACAACTAGGCAGTTTTCAGACAAGAGGGAAGTCATTCAAAGCTGAACCAGGCAACCCACACATGACTGTATCTGATAAGGGGATAATATCCAAAATATACAAGAAACTCTTACAACTCAAAAACAAAAACAAACAAGTAACCCAACTAAAAATGGGCAAAGAAATGGAACAGACATTTTTCCAAAGAAGACATACAAATGACTAACAGGCATATGAAAAAGTGTTCCCACTGCCAATAATAAAGGAAATGCAAATCAAAACTACAATGAGATATCATCTCATACCTGATAGAACGGCTACTAACAAAAATATAAGAGATAACAAGTGTTGGTGATGGTATGGAGAAAAGTAAACCATTGCTCACTGTTGCTAGGCATATAAATTGATATGGTCATTATGGAGAACAGTATGGAGATTCCTCAAAAATTAAAAATATAACTAGCATATGATCCAGAAATTCTACTTCTAGGTATATTTCCCTAGGAAATAAAATTAGTATCTTGAAAATATGTCTGCACTCTCTTACTCACTGTAGCATTAATAGCCAAGATATGGAATCAACCTAAGTGTTTATCAATGGATGAATGGATAAAAACCATGTGGTATATATATATTACTCTGCCATAAAAAATAGAGAAATCCTGCCATTTATGACAACAGGGATGAAGCTGGAGGACATTATACTAAGTGAAATAAACCAGACATAGAAAGATAAATACGACATAATCTCATCTATATATATAATCTTTAAAAGTTGAACTCATAGAAGCAGAGATTAGAACTGTGTTAATTTTTCTATATGGTGAGAGATAGGGGTCCAGTGTCATTCTTCTGCATATGGCTAGCCAGTTTTTCCAGCACTGTTTATTGAATACACTGTCCTTTCTGTATTGTTTATTTTTGTTAGCTTTGTCAGAGATCAGATTATGCAGTCATAAAAAAGAATGAAATCATGTTCTTCACAGCAACATGGATGGAGATGGAGGCCATTATCCTAAGTGAAATATCTCAGAAACAGAAAATCAAATACCACATTTTCTCACTTATAAGTGGGAGCTAAATAATGCGTACACATGGATATAATGATGGAAATAATAGACACTGGTGAATTCAAAAGGGGGAGGGTTGGAGGGTGGTGAAGGAAAAAATTATTTATTGGGTACAATGTTCTCTATTTATATGGGTTCGCTAGAAGCCCAAACCTCAGCATTATGCAATATACCCACATAACAAACCTGCACATGTACTTCCTGAATCTACTATTACATTAAATTTAAAAGAAGAATTGTGGTCACCAGATGCGGAAGGAGGGAGGGGAAATAGGCAGATACTGGTCAAAGGGCACATATTTTCAGCTGCAAGATGCATAAGTTCTGGGGATGTAATGTACCTCATGGTGACTATAGTTAACACAACTGTATTGTATATAGTCATGTGTTGCTTAATGATGGGGATACGTTCTGAGAGATGCATCATCAGGCAATTTTGTCATTGTGTAAACATCTTAGAGCGTACTTACACAAACCTAGATGGCACAGCCTATTACACACCTAGGCCATATGGTATGGCCTATTGCTCCTGGGCTGAGTGGACTAGATAGCATAAGGAAATAGTAACACAATGGTAAGTATTCGTGTCTCTAATCATAGAAAAGAAAAGATACTGTAAAAATATAGTACTATACTATAATCTTACGAGACCACCATCATATATACAATCCACCATTGACTGAAACATTATGGGGTGCATGAATGTACTTGAAATTTGTTAAGAGAGTAGGTCCTAAGTGTTCTCACCACAAAAAATTGGTAATTATGTGATGTGATGGGTGTCTTAATTAGTTTGATTTTGGTGATCATTTTGCAATATATATGTATATCAAATCATCATGTTGTACATCTTAAATATATAATTTTTATTTGTCAATTATACCTCAATAGGGCTGAAAAACAGAATTTATCAGCAATATCAAAACACACTGTAAATATACTCAATCATTGAAATAGCAAAATATGATTTTTAAGTAAAAGAAGGGGCATAAGTGATTCCTTCCTTCCTCCCTCCCTCTTTTTCTTTCCTTTTCTCCTCCTCTCCCTTCTTTTTCCTTCTTCTGTTTCTCCTCCTCTTCCTTCCTTTCCTCCTCATCCAATGGTGCCTACATATGAAGTGCTGAAAATTAACTGCACAGCAAAGTAATACAATTCATTACATGAGACAAAGTCACACTTTATCAAAAACAAAAGAACATGCATCTTTTTCCTTTGTCTATTACTACAACAGATGAGTATAGACATGTTTTCTTGTAAAGTTTGTCTCTTGATTTGAAGAATGAGCAGGGAGAAAAAGATAAATGAAAAGGGTAAACTTTCCACCATATTGGTGAGTCCAAGTTAATATTCTCCTATGAAAGAGCAGAAGAAAACAGTTATTAAATATCTAGTTTTAAACCTTAAAATGAACTACATTATTATTCTATGAAATGAAATCAATCAGAAATTCAAAATAGTTATTTTCAAGCAATGAACAAAACCACAATCATAGTGAGAGATTTTGCATACCTCTTTCAGCCTTTACAAATCAGTAGACATACTGATCAAATTAAAAAATTCAAGAGACAGTAAACAACAAACTTAATGCTGCAGAAATCCATGTAATTAATTTAAAAGATTGATCTGAGACATTTTCTCAGAAGTCAGAGGAAATGGTTAATGAAATGAAGTTGATAAGTGAAAGGATAAGGGACCTAGAGGACAAATCCAGGAAATTCAATATGTATAATAAGAACTCTATAAAGAGAGAGCAAACTAAAGAAAAACAAAAAGTAAAAAAGTTCCATGAGCATAAGATCTGAACATCAAATGGAATAGGCTTTCCGAGAACAGGAAAAAATAAATATTAATAGCTACAGTTTATTGAGCCCTTACTTAAGATAATATTTTTTTGTTTTGAGCCAATAAGTTTGTGGTGATTTGTCACATTCACAATAGAAAACTAGCACAGAAATAGAAGACAAAATTGAGAAAACCATAATTATGGTAGACTATGTAAAACATATCAATAAGTTTTCAAAGATCAAGTAATAAGGAAATAGATAACATGGTAAATAGCTTATACAACAGGATGTTAAATGAACACTATTAAATCTCAGTTCCAGTTATGCCCAAGGTGAGTTACAAAATGACCATACAGGATTTAGAAGGAACAAAGATAAAGAAAACAAATAAATAATGAATTTTATTCCTTGTAGCCTCTCACCCACATGTAGTTAGTAAAAGGAAATTTTGAACACTCAAGAGAGGAATTTTTTTAAAAGCAAGTTGTTGATGTTCTACCTTTGCCCCCATGTACTTTATCAGAGGAACAAATGTGGACAACACAAGAGGGAAAGATTTTCTGAATGTACTTTAAGAAACTTTCTGAGCAGGCAAGAAAACCTCAGCAAAATATGGTATGTGAGGATGGGAAGGAGACTAAATTGACAAATGTGGAGAGCCATTCACCAACTTTGAAGAAGTTGTTGGTAGTAACTCTCTTAGTGGCAAACGACAAGAAGTACCTTCCTGATAAAGAGTCAGACTTAAGTGTTTGCCACAACCAGAGGAAATCAATGGCACATGGGTGCCAATCAAATGAGGCCTTTCTGGACCCTTTACTACTTCTGCTCCCATCCCTCTTATTACCAGAGGAGCCAGACACAGTCTGGAAATCGGGTAGGATAATGAAAATTCTAGCAGGGATGTTGGTATACAATAAAAGTGGCAAAAATAATGTTTGAATAACTGGGTACTTTTGTGAACAAAAAAATTACTCTCTACCTCATGGTGCACACCAATTTCCAAAGGACAACAGATTTAAACATACAAAGTGCAACCCAAAACCAAAACTAACTTGACAAACACGGGAAAATTCTTTCACAACTAGGAGTAAATAGGAAGAGATCTTTCTACTTTGGTCAAACTTCAGAAACCACATATAAAGCACTGATAATTCAATTATGTAACATTAAAAAATCTGCATAAAAAACATAAGCAAAGTCAAAAGATAAATAATAGGTTGTGAAAAAAAGATTTGTAACTCACATTACAAATAAAAATATGTTCCATAATATCTGAATACTAACCACTCCCCCACCCAAATGATTAATGGACATAAAGAGATGGCTCATGGAAAATAAAATACAATTGACTCTTAAATATAAAGAAGCATACTCTATTTTACTGCTAAAAGGAGATGCAAATTAAAATGTACTGAGATGATATTTTTTACCCACTGGTTGGGAAGCTTTTAAAAAAGTTTGACGATACACAGTGTTGGCAAGGCTATAGGGAAATACACAGTCCCATTCTTTTTAGTAAGAATTATAATTTATACAACCTCTTGGAAGACAATTTGGCAATATCTATCAAACTTACTGTATACCTTTTGATCCAACGATTACACTTCCTGGAATTTATCCTACAGATATATTCACTATGTAAAAAGTGACACATAAAGTCTTTATTCATTGTTTATAATACATGCTAAAAAGAGCTTGGGTGCAGTGGATCATGCCTGTAATCCCAACACTTTGGGAGGCTGAGGTGGGAGGATCACTTGAGGCCAGGGGTTTACGACCAGCCTGGGGAACATTTCAAGACCCCACCTCTACAAATAATTTAAAAATTAGAGTGTGGTGTTGCATACCTGTAATCCCAGCTACCAGGGAGACTAAGGTGGGAGGATCGCTTGAGCCCAGGAATTCAAGGCTGCAGTAAGCTATCATCACATTACTGTACTCCAGCCTGGGTAACAGAGTGAGACCTTGTCTCAAGAAATATTTCTTAATGCTAAAAGGAAAGAAAAAAACCCTGAATAGCTGCCAAAAGAACACTGGTGAAACTAATTACAGTAAGTATATAAGTAAAATAAACCTGGAGAAAAGTATATAAGTAAAATAAACCTGGAGAAACCTTAAGTATTGATATAGAAACATCTGGCCAGGTGCGGTGGCTCACACTTGTAATCTCAGCACTTTGGGAGGCCGAGCTGGGCAGATCACCTGAGGTCAGGAGTTTGAGACCAGCCTGGCCAACATGTTGAAACCCTGTCTCTACTAAAAATTAAAAAAAAAAAACGAGCTGGGTGTGGTGGTACACACTTGTAATCCCAGCTACTTGGGAGGCTGAGGTGGAAGGATTGCTTGAACCCGGGAGGCAGAGGTTGCAGTGAGCTGAGATCATGTTACTGCCCTCCAGCCTGGGGGACAGAGCAAGCTTCCATCTCAGAAAAGAAAAAAGAAAAAGAAACATCTACAAGATACCCCAAAAGCACAGGCAACCAAAGCAAAAATGGACAAAGGGGATCACATCAAGTTAAAAAGCTGCTGTACAGCAAAGGAAACAATCAACAGAGTAAAGAGACAACACAGAGAATGGGAGAAAATATTTGCAAACTACCCACCTGACAAGGGATTAATAACCAGAAGATATAAGTAGCTATATCCCAACTCTACAGGAAAAGCATCTAACAATGTTTCCTTTGTTAGAAGACAATTTGGCAATATCTATTAAACTTAATGTATACCTTTTCATCCAGCGATTACACTTCCTGGAATTTATCCTACAGGTGTGCTCACTATGTAAAAAAATGATACATAAAGTCTTTATTCATTGTTTATAATAAATGCTAAAAAGAGACGGGGTGCAGCTGTACCATGAGATATCATCTCACCCCAGTTAAAATGGCTTATATCCAAAAGACAGGCAATAACAAATGCTAGTAAGGAAGTCGAAAAAAAGAGAACCCTCATATACTGTTAGAGGGGAATGTAAATTAGTACAACCACTATGGAGAACAGTTTGAAGGTTCCTCAAAAAACTAAAAATAGAGCTACCATATGATCCAGTAATCCCACTGCTGGGTATACGCTCGAAAGAAAGGAAATCAGCATATTGAAGAGATAACTGCACTCCCGTGTTTGTTGCAGCACTGTTCACAATAGACAAGGATAAACGGATAAAGAAAATGTACATATACACAACGGAGTACTAGTCATAAAGAATGAGATCCTGTCATTACAACAACATGGATGGAACTGGAGATCATTATGTTAAGTGAATAAGCCAGGCACAGAAAGACTAATGTCTCATGTTCTCCCGTATTTTGTTGGATCTAAAAATCGAAACAATTGAACTCATGGACATAGACAGTAGAAGGATGGTTACCAGAGCCTAGGAATGGTAGTGTGGGGTTGGAGGTAGGTGGGTATGGTTAATGGATACAAAAAAAAATTTAAAAGAATGCATAAAACCTACCATTGGATAGCACAACAGGGTAACTAAGGTTAGTAATAACTTAATTGTACATTTTTAAATAACTAAAAGTATAATTGGATTGTTTGTAACACAAAGGATAAGTGCTTGAGGTGATGGATACCCTATTCTCCATGCTGTGATTATTTCACATTGCATGTCTGTATCAAAACATCTCATGTACTACATAAATATATACACCTACTATGTACCCACAAAAATTAAATTAAAAAAGAAACATCAAGGCCAGGCGTGGTGGCTCACGCCTATAATCCCAGCACTTTGGGAGGCCAAGGTGGGCAGATCACTTGAAGTCAGGAGTTTGAAACCAGCCAGGCCAACATGGTGAAACCCCGTCTCTACTAAAAATACAAAACAATTAGTCAGTCGTGATGGCATGCACCTGTAATCCCAGCTACTTGGGAGGCTGAGGCAGGAGAATCACTTGAACCTAGGAGGCGGAGGTTGCAACGAGCTGAGATCGCACCACTGCACTCCAGCCTGGGTGACAGAGCAAGACTCCGTCACAAAAAAAAAAAAAAAAAAAAGAAACATCTACAAGAAATAATAAGTAAAAGCAAACTGAAAAACATTATATTGAAGTTGTTTTGTTAGAAGAGGGAGAATCATATATCTTCATATTTGCAAGTATTTGCTTATAAATCTTTGAAAGGATACATGAGAATTATGAAAAGTGGTTAGGAAGAAGGAAGGTTGTGAACAAGATGTGAAATAAGAAGCTTTTTTCACTGTATGACATATATTTTTATATAAATTTTAGGCTTATGTATAAATTTTAGGCTTTGGTCCATGCAAAAAGTTACTCATTACAAAAATATGAAAAATAGGTTAAAATATAAATTACTGAGAAGCCTAATACAGATTTTTTTAAAGCAGAAGATATGATATAGTTAAAATACTTTGGAAAGAGGAAATTAGTATAACAGAGTATTTAAAGAACAATAAATTATGTAAAACTGCTAATACTGATCTAGAATAAAGAATTAAAGATGAAGTATGTGAAATTATGAGTAAAAAATATGTATATAACCACATGTCTTAGATCATTCAGGCTGCTATGGCAAAATACCTTAGACTGGGTAATTTATAAATAACAAAGATTTATTGCTCGCAGTTCTGGAGGCTGAAAAGTCCAAGATCAAGGCATCAGCAGATTCGGTGTCTGGTGAAGGCTTGCTCTCTTCTTCCAAGGTGGTACCTTGTTGCCTTGTTCTCACATGAGGGAAGGTGGAAGGGCAAAAGGGACAAATTTGCTTTCTCAATCCCTTTTATAAGGACACCAATCACATTCAAGAGGGCAGAACCCTTAATACCATTACCTTGGGGGTTAAGTTCCAACATGAATTTTAGAGGGATACATACATTCAAACCATAGCACCATATATACAGAGGAGTTTAAAAATTATAAGAAAACATAAAAAGCAATTATATAGCCATAAATATTAATTTCTCTTCCCAAAAAGGAAATTTTTCTAGGAAAATATAAATGAACAAAACCAACTAAAGAAGAGTCCTAAATCCAGAATAGAACAATAATTATAGAAGAAATTCAATGAGATGTCAATGAATGACCCCCATAGAAAAGTGCGTGAGTGGAATCTATGGGTGATTTCTTCCCAACCTTTAAGAAATAAATAATTCCAGTGGCATTCTAACAGTCTTACAGCAGAAAAGAGAGATGCTTCCTAATTTGTTTCATACACTTAATACTATATCATGATATGCCTTCCCAGTGAACAAATTGAGTCAGCACTGGTGGCAAACATGTTAGTCCCTATGCTTTTTCCCGGCAATAATTTTATAAATTGTATTCTTGTGTTGAATAAACATCTATCCATTTTCAACACAATTGTGGTGCGCTTCACCAACACTATATTTATGACATTATATTCACTAGAAACTTCGGTTTGTAGAAAGTAACTGCTCTTGGAAATACATTACAAGAGGAATTCCAAGAAGTACAGGCTTTCTTCACGCATTATAATTTTGTCTCCATTAAAATGAGTTTTTCTGAGCACACAGATTGACAATGAGATTGTCCTCTCTTTTGCACCATGAAAGGCTTGAGTTTCATTTTGGGGCTAGATTTTTTTTAATTATAAAGTGGTATAACTAAGACATCTCTACTTTTAACTAATCCAAATAAACAAACGTTGCAAAATAAATTTTAATAATACAGTCCTTGAGGTACATTAGTATATTTGTTAATTTTTATTCTCCAGGTTTACCTTAAAAACATTGATTTCAAATATATATGGCATAACTATAAAATCATAAGTATAATTCATTCCATTGAGAATAAAACCATAGGGAAAATAATATCTATTCTTTCTACTGAGAATGGAAACCAAACAAAATAATGCATCATAAGAGCATATTTATATACACTAGAAATACAGTTAAACTCTTTAATATAAATAAGTTATGTACATTTCCAAAGTGTCAGCCAAATTCTAGACAAGTAATTTCTTGGTGGTGATGTTGAATGAATGTAAAGAGACAAAATTCTGTTCATAATTATTTTGCACTTTCTTACTTGACATTATATAATTTGTAATATGGAGAAAGATTGTGGATTCCTTTTTGCAAGCCAAGAGTTATAGATGATTTTCATGCATTATGGTTCAAAGAAATAAGCTCTCTCAACAGTCATCAATATTTTGCAATTTACAAATTCCAGAAACACAGCAAACAAAGAGAAAGTAGAGAGCATGTAAAATGTAGATACTTCCCTGAACCACCTAGATCTCATTCTTGTTCAGTGTTCATTGTTCCAATTTCATCATGTTTTCTTTTTCTTGGGAACTTACAGACCCTATAATTCTTACTCTTCATAGTTTAATCCAATTTATCAGCCTTATCTCCCATTATAATCCACATAAGTTTTTCTTCAGACAAAATCGTCTTACTTTTTCCATTCAAATATACTCCACTCATTCCAAACTCCACATCATTGCCTTGTTGTTTCCTCGTATCCATATTTTTTTCACGTTAACTTTCAAAATCTTACCAATTTTAGTAGTGCTATCTGATATCTTACCAACAACAAGGTGTTCATAAGAACCTCATGTCCAAATTTCTAATTCATGTATATACTTTATGTTTTGACACATGCATAAAATTAAGCATTTGTATCTTTAGTTTGCCCTCTACATATTTTATATTTCTTAGATCTTTCTCTTGAAAATAACAGAAGCTTATTGAAGACAGTAGTCTTTGCAAATATACTTTTGTATTAATCACAGTATCTAATATACTAGTTCTCAAAAGTGTGGTTTCTGGAACCATGGCAGCAGCATCACCAGGTGTTATGGATTGAATTGTGTTCTCCAGAAATCCATATATTGAAGCCCTAACCCCCAATGTGACTGTATTTGGAGATTGGACCTTTAAGGAGGTATTTAAGGTTAAATGAGGTCAAAAGAGTGAGGCCCTAATCTGATAGGGACAGGGCTGGTGTCCTTATAAGATGAAGAATAGACACCATAGATCTCTCTCTCTCTCTCTCTCTCTCTCTCTCTCTCTCTCTCTCTGCACAAAGAATAGGTCACTTGAGCACACATGGAGGTGGCAGCCTGCTACAAGCCAAGAGAGGGGGTCTTAGAATAAAATCCACCCTGCCAGCATCTTGATCTTAGACTTACCAGTCTCCAGAATTGTCAGAAATAAATTTCTGTTGTTTAAGCCACCCAAGACTGTGGTGTTTTGTAATGCCAGCCTAATAACACCTGAAAATATGTTAGAATGCAAAGTGTTGGGTCCCACCCCAGACCTACTGAATCAGAAGCTGTGGCATTAAAGCTCATCTGTGTGGTAACAAGCCTACCCGCAGACTCAAGTAAGGAAAAGTTTGCGAACCACTGGCCTAACACGTTGCTGGGTACATTAGGATATATTGAGGGATTTAAAGAATGCATTTGATTAGTTGATTTAAAATGTGTCTTCTCTATATAGGTTTGAATTGTGAAAACTGATACTATAAATTCCTAAGCCAATTTAACAAGGCAAGTTCATTACATTTTAGCAACTATAAACTAGACACCTAGTTTTGAATACTCCTGAATTTTACCATTAAATTCTCATTTGGAAATCAAAAACTATCTCGTTCAAACCAGGCTTCAGTTTTGTCATTGCTCATTTGTCCCTCCTGTTGTTATTCTTCATTTCTTTCCTTCGTTTTTATAGTATAGAAATGGCTGCAAGAGATTAGGATAATTCATTTCCCAAATAAATAGCTTCTGGCTTTAGTCTTCACATTCAATATTTAAAAAGCTTGAAGACTTTTTAGAAAGTCCATGTAATATGAAGAAAAGGTTTCAATGGAAATCAAAATGAGTTAGTGAGAATATCTGAACCCTATTAATAGTGGCACTTTTGTTCTGAGGGGTTAGTAATATGAGAAATTGAAGAATGCCATTAGAGTTACTGACTTGAAACATATCCAGCATTACTTTGTTAAAGTGTTCTGTACTGCAGAAAGAATATATTTTTTAATAGCAAGACACTTTGCCATATTCACTGCATAAATGACTTTAAATGTTATGGAAAAGACAGCAGGTAAACATGTACCATTATATACACTTAAAAAAAGAATATGTCTTTCGGCCTTTTTTAGCATTATCTTCTCTTAATTATAGAATACAAAAGTTGTATTTTCATAATTTGTCATTGTATGAAGGGAATTTAAGTAAAATGCTGTCCTCCCAAACATTTAAAGATTTATAATTAAAGAGCTGTCTGCTGAACAATTGAGTTTATTCATGATGCAAGTCATTCACCTTCAAATGCCTTTTAACATGATAGATTGGAGTGGGGGAGAGTAAGAACCAAATATAAAAAGATACTAAATACCTGCACCAACTCATAGTTTGAAAGCCCATGAATAACTTTGAAAAAAAATCATGACACAATGTTCATGAAACCCGGAAGATTACCAAACATGAAGGTTTCCTTTTATACTTTAAAACACTCTTGAAACATTTTCTCTGCAGTGTGACCTCAATTCTAATTAAGATGAACTCACCAGATTTCAATAGATTGTGACTCTACATCCCCCAACAGGTAGCATGAGTCTTGGCACATAGCTGTTGATAAATATTTATGGAATGGGTTTGATTTAATACAGGCATAAAGAAAGTCCAGTAAAGAATCCCCATAATTTTGTTGAGAAACACTTGTTTCCTAGACTTATATAAACTATCATTTATTGAGAAAGTACACATTTTGTAATTAAAAATGAATTTCAGAAGAATTTCATTACAAAATACTTGACATGGTTTGTTGAATTCTTAAAACATTCGCCCTATATTATGCTCCTCACTGTGCTATCAATGATGAATCAAAAATTCAAAGCTATAATACCGCTAGTGTGTGTGTGTATTCCTTAAGTAGGCCATTGTGTCTAATTTTGTCTTATGAGTTGAAAGGTAGGAGTGAATCTGAATGATTCTAATGATGATTTTCCTGTGAATGACAATGCATTTGAAGCCATTTTCTGGAATTAATTATTTTCAGGCTGATACATTTAGAAAATGCATTTGAAGGAAGACTGCCTTTCCCAACTTTGGATATGAACTTTTTTCACTTTTGTAGAAAAGTTTTTATTTAGATCTTTCAAAGCTGCATTTATATCTATTGTAGATTTATTTTGGCAATACTGTATTTTCTCTTTTATGACTCATTTGAAGTTTTTGATTGTCTTGTGTTACCTGAATTTGGAAACTGTAAGCTTTCCTTTAAGCAGTAACATTAACTACCAAAAACTTTAAAAATTCTTACATATGATCAGAATTTTATAATAAAGTCTTCTGTGAAACAAATCAGTTAAAAGGGGGTCCCAAGGCTGGGTGTATGTTTGTGTAGCAAGGTAGTACAAATACAAACACCATCTCCTGATCATGTCTATTATTCAAGTGTGTTCTTCCAGAAGAGGTAAAAACTGTGCAAAATCACAAGAGAAGATTGGAGTGAGATAGAAATATAGACAAGAGAGTTATAACAGGCACTCTGAAGACTGACAAAGGCATGACCATCAAGTTAACTACAATCCACTTGTCTCGTCTGACACTGGACCCTTTTAATCTCCACTGTTTTTCCTTACTAGCCATCAAGACTCAGTGGAGAGAGTCCTAAAGGCACTGGACCCTGCTCCAGCAGCTTTTACAGTTAATATTATCTTATTTCTTCCTCCCCATTCATTCTACTCTACCCCAAGAGATTATAATAGCTGGGAAAATAAAATGTTTCTTCACTGGAAAAGTTCGGAGATTCTCTGAAGCAAAGCAACAAATTTACACTGGAGAGCGGTTATTATTGAGAAAGGTCTCCAGATATACTTTTTAAAAACCCTATAATTTTCATGATATGGTGTTTACTTAATAGACTTTATGCAAAAAAGTATGTTTGAGTGAGGCTGAATATGAGATAAAACAAGTTTAGGAAACACTAGATTAAAAAAATTGAGGAGACTTCATGACAATTGAATTTTTAAGTGCTAAATTACATTGAGAAGTGCCAGTAGAGGGGTAAACCACTCTTTTTCTTTTTCTTTTTTTTTTAAGCAACAGAAATTTATTGTTTCACAGTCTGGAGGCTAGAAGTATAAGATCAAGATGTCACCAGGATTGGCTTCTTCTGGAGACTATCAAGAATCTTTTCCATGTCTCTCTTCTAGCTTCTGGTGGTTTGCTGGAAATATTTACTGTTCTTTGGCTTGTAGACGCATCACCCCAACTCTGCCTTTAACCTCACATGGCATAGTCCTTGTATGCATGTCTTTCTCCAAACTTATCCCTTTTTGTAAGGACACAGTCACATTTCATTGGGACCCATTTTAATGGGCCATGAAACTCTTTTTTTAAATATGCTTTTTATGTGTGTGCTTTTCCCCCCTAAAGCATCTCTTCATGTACAAATTGCTCAAAAGTATAACATATCAGGAAAGTCTGGTGTCATGAAAAACACTGCAATATCACTTCAAATCTACCACAGTATTACGGCTTAGAGAAAAGGGCATGGATTTTGGAGTGAAATTCAGGTTTGAAACTGAAGTCTTTCAGAGGATAATCTTGTGTAATTTTGGAATTGCTTAATGTCTTTCAGTCTGATTATTAGTTTATAAGGGTAAAAAAGTTAAGATATAAAAGTATGTTTTATAGTTTTAGAGTGTTGTGTTCTATATATGTCAATTAAGAAATTTGTAATATTCCCTACTGATTCTTTTTTTGCCTATTCTATTGATTACAGAGAGAGATGTGTTAAAATATTCTACTGTTATTACAAGCTTGTCTATTTCACCTCAATTTCATCCTATATTAACAAGATTCAAGGCTGTAGTTTAGGCTTTGGAAAATTTGATTTATATTTGTTTTCCTTATTGCTAGAGCATACTAATTCAGGGGCTTCCACCTTGGCAGGAACTGGACTCCAGTGTTTCTCTCTCTAGCACGATGAGACTGCCTAAATATCTACTTGGCATTATAGCCTCTTAGCAGCTGATTTTTTTCTGGGTTTCTTGGCCTTTCACTTCATTCATTTTTCAAGGGAAAATTGAGTGCAGGTGTTGGGTTCTTTAATTTTCTCAAATTCTAAGGTTTTGGCACCTGAAGTATAGGCTATCTTTGTAGCTCTGAGCTCCAATGTTTGCCTCTCCATCCTCATGAGACTGTTGCGTATTCTAGACTACTACTTTTGGTTGGGCCTCTAGATCTAATGAAGATAAGCAAATGCGTTTAGAGGAAACATGTCACCACATGCATCTCCAGGCTCATTTCATGCCCCCTCTTTCTAGATCTTGGTCCCTCTTGTTCTGTCTGTTATGGTTGCTCTTTGACGCCTTCATAAAATTATTTTGTATATTTTATTTAGACTGTATAGTTTGTCTCTGTAGGAGGCTTAGTCTGATACAGGCGACTTTTTTCATAGTCAGTAACAGAAATCCCTGCCACTGGGGTGTTTTAAAGTCATATTATTACACAACTATTATAATTTCTCAAATCCTTAGTACCAGATTCCGCTCCTGCCCCGTCAAAGATTGTGGTCTTGAAAAAAGTTTCCAAGATTGTCAACTGTTTTCTCAATTGTTCTCTAAGCTTTCCTTTTAGATGAAAAAATACCAAAAAATGAATTCATCATATTCAAAATCAAGATTTAATTGCTAGAAATGCTTTGCTTTTAAATTTATATATAGAATGTAAATAAGATTTATATTAGATTAAACATTTCCAGGAGGTATTCTAGTGTCTTCAAAATGCATCATAAATTTTAAGAAATTGATGAAATTCTTACCTAGAAATCATGTATTTAAAGTGAAATAAAATGCATAAAATTTATTTGGAAGAGTACAACAGTAATGGGTGGTTACAGGTACCTCTGGGAAGGGAGACTGGAGCAATGAAGTTTGGTTGTGGGAAGGTGTTTTATTTTAGGATAGTATTCAACAGCATGTAGCAGAAGTTGACCATGGTGTCGTAACCAAATTTTGAGTTTATTGATTTTCACAAAACAGGGGATCAATGAATGGGCAAGCAAGAGTCAATGCAACTGTTCAAGAAATTGAGATAGTGTTTTCCTCCCTGCCTTACATTCCTGTTTTTGGCTTTATTAAGGTTTAATTGATAAATAAAATCATATACATTTATAGTATAAAATGTGATGTTTATACACACATGTTGTGAAACGAAAACTCAGGCAAATTAACATATCTATCACTTTACATACTTATCATTTTTCTGTGATGAGAACATTTAGGATCTACTCTTGGCTATTTTGAAATATACAATACATTATTATTAACTATAGTCTCCATGCTATCAACAGATCTCCAGAACTTATTTCTGCTATCTGACTGAAATTTTGTATCCTAGGCCAACATCTTCCCATTCTCCAGCCCCAGCTCCTGGTAATCAGATGTGCAGTTTTTAGTGGTTAGTATTGCAATGATGGTGGCTCAACCTCTAAGAATTTAGTCTACATTCCAGGCAGCAAGAACATGAAGAAAGGTGAAAGGTAAATTTGCATGCTACCTGAGACTCTTCATTTTTATCAGGAAAATAATTATATGGAACCCCCGCCTAGGAACTTCTGCTTCTGTCTTGATGGCCCAAGGTAAGGCACAAAGCCACCTTTTAACTGCAAAGAAACCTGTAGAAGTATGCATTCTTAAAGGGGCACATAGGTATCCTGAACAAAGAAGTTTATCTTCATAAAATTGTGAGGGCAGGTGTTATATAAGAAACTAGCATTGTTTGTCTAGTTATTTTTCATAGCATACATTTATATACTGTTTGATTTTTTAAGTGTGCTGTCATTTGAAGCCAATTATATTTTAAGCATAGATACAAATAGCAACATGAAATATTACTGCAGTTATTCTGTGTGTGTGTGTGTATGTGTGTGTGTGTGTGTGTGTGTGTGTGTGTGTATCAAGGTCCTAGTTTAATAAAAGTAAATAAAGTCATCTTTGACTTTGTACATATGCCTCGTTTTCCAACGTTAGAAAATAACAAATATGTGTATTGTATATTTTAATAATATGCATAACTATAAATATTGAAAAGACTAAATAAATCTAACTTATGAACGTTCAGTAAAGAGTTGGGGTACATAACTATATCCAGAGTTATCAACAGTGCTCTAAAAACTCTCAGGATCTTTACAAAAATCACTCAGATTTTCCCATGGACCAAATTAAGACAGTTATATATACCCAAATATATTGGATGCTGTTGTGTTTTAGTAATATTGTTCCATTAGCCTTGCAGTATTCTTTTTCCCCATCATCAAATTCCTACCCATTTTTAAAAAAATTCCATGATGACTACCTAAGTTGATACTGGCAAATGATTTTAAGAATAGGAGAGAAAAGTAAGCCCAAATAAGAACATATAGTTTATGTGTTATGGCAGCTTCAAATAATAATAGAGATAAAGGACATCTATGAAAAACCCACAGTTAACATCATACTAATTGTGAGAGACTGAATTACCTCACCTGAAGATCAGATACAAGACAAGGATGTAAGAAAATCTGGTCTCACTGTTTCCATTCAACTTTGTACTGGAGGTTCTAAATTTGAACAAATAAGATTTGTATACTGAAAACTACAAAACATTGCTAAATTATTAAAGAATAACTAAATAAATTAACTGAGAGACAGTCATGTTTAGGGATGGGAATATTCATTATTGTAAAGATGGAAATTCCCCATAAATTGATCTATAAATTCAATGCAATCCTTATCAATAATCCAGCAGGAATTCTTGTATAAATTGGCAAGCTGATCCTAAGATTTATAAGCAAATGCAGAGAACTCTGAATAGCCAAAGCAATATTGAAAAGGAAGAAAGTTGGAGGACTCACACTTCCTGATTTCAAAACACAATAATCAAGACTATGCTGTACTGGTATAAGGATAAACATATAGACCATGGGAATAGAGTTGAGAGTCCAGAAGCAAAAACCCTTAAATATATGACCAACTGATTTTTGACAAACAATTCATGGAAGAAAGGAAATCTTTTCAACAAATGATGTTGATACAATTGAACATTCATGTGCAAAAAAAATGAACTTAGACCCTTACCTCATACCCTGCCTAAAATTTAATTCATGAAACATGAAACATAGACTTTAAGAGCTAAAACTATTAAACTTCTACAAGAAAACATAGAAGAAAACAATCATCACCCTGAATTCGGCAGAGTTCTTTGATACAACACAAAAACATGAGCCATAAGAGAAAAATTTGATAAATTGGGCTTTATAAAACTAAAAACTTTTGTGCTGCAAAAGACATCAATGAGAAAATGAAAAGACAAGTTATAGGCTGGGGACAACATATTTGCAAATCATACACCTAATAAAGGCATTGTATTCAGATATCTATTCTTACAATTTAATAATAAGAAAAACAACTCAATTAAAAATGGGCAAAAAATTCATATAGACATTTCACCAAAGAAGATACATGAATAGTTAATAGTGGTGAAGATAAATATGCTTATCATCACCACTTATTAGGGAAATAAAGATTAAAACCACAAAAAGATACCACTGCATGCCTACTAGAATGACTGCATTGAAAACAAAAAAAGGACTAAGTGTTTGCAAAAGCATAGGGGAAGTGGAACCTTCACATATTTCTGGTTTTCATTCTTTGGAAAGCAGTTCAGCAGTTTCTTAAAAAGTTAACATCAAAAGTCTGAAACAGCACAAACAGACAACCTAATGTCACACCTCAAGGAACTAGAGAAACAAGAACTAAACCCAAACCCAGGAGAAGAAAAGAAATAACAAAGAACAGAGCAGAACTAAATGAAACTAAAAAAAAAATGCAAAAGATAAATGAAACAAAAATCCAGTTCTTTGAAAAGATAAACAAAAGTGATAGACCATTAGTGAGATTAACCAAGAAGATACAAGTAAGCTCGATTAGAAATGAAACTGGAGATATTACAACTGATACCACAGAAATACAAAAGATAATTTACTGCTTGGCTAATAGGTGCAGCCAAATCTCAGAAATCGCCACAAAGAACTTATCCATGTAACCAAAAACCACATGTACCCCAAAAACGACTGAAATAAAAATAAAAATAAAAAAGTTAAACATAAATTTACCGTACATACCAGCAATTGCACTCCTAAGACCCTACCAAAATGAAGTGAAAACATATGTCCACAGAAAGACATGTAAGTGGATGCCCCTAACAGCATTATTCATAATAGCAAAAAACTGGAAATAATCCAAATGTCCCTTGATTGGCAAATGGATAAACAAAATGCAGTATGTTCATATAATGGAATACTATTCAGCAATCAAAAGGAATAAACTACTGATACATGTGCAATATGAATGAACTTCAAACATAACCTACTGAGTTAAAAAAGGCAGATGCAAAAGACTATATACTGTATGATTCCATTTATATGAAATGTTTGGAAGAGGCAAATGTATAGAGGCAGAAAGTAGATCTGTGACTATGTAAGGCTGCAGCAGGGAATGGGGATTGACTGTAGATGGGAATGGTGGAAATTTTTGGAACTGCAGCAATGTTCTATTGGAATGTGTAGATGGTTGCATAACATTGTTAATTTACTAATACCATTGCATTGCACACATTACATGAGTGAATTTTATAGTATATAATTATACCTCAATAAAGATATTTGAAACAATGAAGACAATTATCGGCAGTTGTAGATTAAGTGGCCATGGATATTTTTCTGTTACCTTAAGCCCATTAGTTTGCACAGCTTTAAACAAAGGCCAGAGCAGTTGAGGATTTCATCAAGTTAGTTTGAAGGTTTTAGTTAGTTCATATTTGTACAGAATTTATATTCCTGAGTGGCAAGTCCTATTAAGGGATGATAATCATAGCCCTGTATTATATCCTCAATTACTCTGGGATATAAAATCTTTTATCCATTTAATGTTTTTTCTGTAAACCCTTGTCTGGAGAGTTCTCACAACTTTTGTGTGAATTGGAACTAATGAATAGAGTTACATCTTATTCTTGCTCTTTTCAGAGATAATGCCTTCTCTGAGAAAGAACAAATTGCATTACAAATGCCCTCATTAATTCCTACAACAGGCTTGTTCAGAGAAAATAAAAGTATGTCCCTAAAAACAGACACACAGTTATTTCAAAATCTTGGTTGCTTCTTAGATTTCAGGAATTGAGGTTATGCTGATTTCAACATAGACATTACAAGAATAAGTTGTATTTGTAAAAATTTTTAAATGATGCATTTATACTACCAATGAAATATGAAAAATTAAATATGAAGTGAAAAATTGACTTCAAATATGCAGATGAAGAGTATTCTACTTCAAGGAAAGCTGTAATTAGAAATGCATTAAGCTTAATAAAAGTGGCCATGTCTTTCACCTTTGAAAGAAAGTGAAGAAAGAAAAATATGTCACCTACTTTCTCTTCTCTGTAAAAAAGAAGTTTTTTAATCATGATTTTTTCAGCTTTAGAAAAATGTCTTAAAATATCAATAATTTCAGAAGAAAAAAATGAGTATGTTGAATAGAGAAAGCCAGACTGCATGGAATTCTCTATCACTTTTTTGGCTATCTGGATACTCTCCTAAACACACAGATTTTTTTGTTGTTTATAAAAGTTGTTTAAGGTTAAAAATAGTGTTGCGTTATAAGCTTTAAATAATCATTAAGATAGATCTTCACTATGAATTATTTTTAGATTCTACAGTTTTACTTTTAGAAGTACGATATACATCCATGTAGTCCATCTCTGAAAAAGCCTTTGCAAAAATCATAACTGAGGAAACTATGACAGTGAAAGAGATCAGACTTAACCGACCCCATCTTGCTTCTAACTTCTAAGCTGTCTTTGCTCATTCCTGGACATAAGCCAAACTACGGGGGAAGGAATTTAGTTTACAGTTTAAACTCTAAAACAAAATTGATAATAGTCCTTTCCTGAAAAACCCCTTCTTGCCTAGGGACCAGTCTGCCTTTGTAGGACTAACAAATTAGCTACAAGATTAGAAATTATGGTGGAGGGGCCATGCAGCCTCTGGGTGCAAGAGTCTGAACCTCCCCAAATTGCTCCTGGGACTAACATCACTGTTGCAAAATCTAAGATCAGTGCTTGAGATATTTTGCAGACCCTGTATTCCGATGCAGCAGATGACAACATCCAGACCGTTAATCTGGCTCAGCCACTTCTGCAATCCCACCCAGGAACAGAAGTCAGCAAGAAAAGCTCACTTCAACCCACTATGATTTCATCTCCAAACCGACCAATCAGCACTCCCCACTTTCCAAGCCCATACCCTCCAAATTATCCTTAAAAACTCTGAACCCCAAATGCTCCAGAAGACTGATTTGAGTAATAATAAAACTCTGGTCTCCCACACAGCCAGCTCTGCATGAATTCTCTTTCACCATTGCAATTCCCCTGTCTTGATAAATCGGCTCTGTCTAGGCAGCGGCAAGGTGAACCCATTGGGTGGTTACATCTCCATAAAAGATAGGTTGCTCGTGTTAATGAATCACAAGGAAATATTGTCATTTAATTGGATTACTACTCCCATTCAAATGCATAATCATCCAAATAACCTCTCTTTGCCTCACAGAAGATTTATTAAAGTTGAAAAGACAGGTAGTAAGTGCAAAAGATGTATTTATCCACTCAACAAACATTTATGTTGTGTACCTATTATGTATTAATTCATAAGGCAAGGTATGTGAGAAAGAGATTTTAATGGTGGGGAGATGTCACTATTTTATATATGGTGGAAGGAAATATCTTTTTAAAGTGATAACATTTGGGCATAGAAATTAAAAGATAGAGCAAGCTGTGTAGATCTCTTAGGAAAAAGCATTCAAGGAATGGGAATAGCAAACACAAAGTCTCTGAAATGGGCATGAACTTGTGATGTTTATCACGAGCAGTTCACGTAGTAAGGGAAAGATGAGCTGGAAGGAGAGGAGGAATGTGAATCACGTGTTTTCCCTCATATGTAAAACAACAGCAACAACAAATTCTTTTGTTATATTCATTTCTTTTACCTGAGCCCTTACTACTGGAAAATAGCAGTGATTAAGAGAATCCCCGCCCCCATGCATTGTATCCTGGGAAGTGGATCATGGCAAAGAAACATAAAACTTAGATAAAATTCACAGATACCCACCCCCTACTGTTTACCTATGACAGGGTCAGATACAGACCTTCCCTACCCAATTTACGGCTTCATCTCATAAATGACCAGGTGAAATGTTTTGGCTGTACTGATCAATTGGAACAAAATACTTGTTAACCAAAATTTGGTTGTTTCTCTCCTCCCAGACCCCTAAAATTTGACCCACCCTCAGTCTGAGCCAGAATACAACCTCTCCTTAACAACCCCTTTTGAGAGTAAGCTTACTTCAGGGTAAAACATTATCTGATATGATCACACCACCCTCGCTTGCCTCCCTTTCCCCAGTAGGACTCCAGATACGATACCACAAAATATGGCACCTTCCATTTGAGAAAAAAGCAGAAGCAGAAAGGTCCTCTCACTTTTCCCCTGCCCTTCTCCCCCAGATGAAGGTCATAAGAGCCTGATTTGAGAGGTGCCTTCCCTGTATCTGGAGGAAAGGAACATCCTTATCTCTGTAGACACAGATGCACAAAGAGTAAACAAACATGTCTTGCTAAGTTCCCCTCAGTTTATTACCATTAGATCATACCCTTTTGTCCTCCAATCATATTTCACCATGACTGTCCACTTTTCACCAAGCCTAAGCATAAAAATACACAAGTTTACCTATTTTGGGGGTAAGGCTCCTGTGTCATGTAAAATTTACATTACATGCATTTGTATAATTTTCTCTTGTTAATCTATCTTTTGTCGTAGAGGCCTAAGCTATCAACCTAGTGATGGAGGAAGAAAACATATTTCCTTACTCCTTTACCCCCACCTGTTTCTTTCTAGTTTGGTTTACTCCTCCCTGTTAAAAAAAAGAAGCCCTTTTCTAAACCTGAACATACTTGCGGATCTCATGATAGAAGCACCTTCCCTATTGTATTAGCATCCCTCTTCTTCATGTAGTAACCCTTCTGAGTAAAGTCTTCCCTTAACTAAGTCTACATTTGATCTTAGCCAGAAGGCCGAGAAGTGATTCTAAGTCTAGATTTGTCTTTTATTTGACAATATATAGAAGAAGAAAATTCTGAGAGAGGGAACAACAAGTGCAAACTCTCTGAGGTGGGAATGTGTTTGTGATATTTTAGAAACTACAAGCGGGCCATTGTAGGAGGGGCAAGATAGCCTGGGAGAAAAAGCAGCAGATGAATATGAATCACATGTTTTCCCTAATAGATGAAAAAAAAATTTTTTTGTGATATTCATTGCTTTCTCACCAAGTCTTCCTGCCCCTTTGCTATTGAGGACTAAACTCTGATTTTTTTATCTTGCCCAAATTCCTGTCTAAGGGGTCTGGGGAGTCATGCCCTACAAACCATGAATTCTCATCAGATGAGTTTTATTTAACCCTATACATCATGACTTACTTTCCAATATGATTCTGGCATAACATTACAAGACAAGGAAGAAAATAATATTTTAGCCCAAAACATGTTTCTCTGCCATATCTTGAAATGGCCCTGCAAAGCTGTCCTTTGTGGGAGAAAATCTGCATATGTAAAGAATCTCTATTAACATAGCTAGATCTTTTTCTTCCAGCCTCTTGCAATCCTGAAGAGATTAACTAAAAGTCTAGCACCTTTTAAAGATCTGAATAGGAAACATTGGTCAAATACTGTCTCTAAGGGCAGCCACCATAAGACTTCCAAAGAACCTTGGTCTCCACAATCTTTTATTTTAACCTGAACATTTCTTTTCTATGGATCCCAGGTCTTTAGACAAACTCAACCAATTGTCAACCAGATACCTATAGCCTGGAAGCCCCGCCCCCCCAACCCCCCAGGTCTCATCTTTCTGAGCCAAACCAACGTATTTCTTAAACATATTTGATGTGTCATGCCTCCCTAAAATATATAAAACCAAGCTGTACCCCGAACACCTTGGGTACATGTTCTCAGGACCTCCTGAGGTCTGGGTCACAGGCCATGGTCACTCATATTTGGCTCAGAATAGATCTCTTCAAATATTTTACAGAGTTTGACTCTTTTCTTCAACACTATGGTTTAATATTTGTCCCTTCCAAAACACATTTAATCTTCAATGTGGCAGTATTGAAAGGTCGGGTTTTACGAGGTGATTGGGTCATGAAGGCAAAGTCCATTCATGACTTAATGAATTAATGGATTAATGAATTACTATGAGATTGAAACTGGGGGCTTTATAAGAGAGACGTGAGCATGCTCAACCCCTTCACCATGTGACAACCTGTACTGCCATGAAACTACAGAGTCTCCACCAGCAAGAAGGCTCTCACCAGATGTAGCCCTGTGATCTGGAACTTTTGAGCCTTCATAATTGTAAGAAATAAATACATTTTAAAAATAAATTACTCAGTTTCAGGTATTCTGTTATAAGCAATAGAAAACGGACTAAGACACCTTCCATTTTTGAGATTTACTGCATTAAATCATTGTATTTTTATCTTGAACAATTCAATGTCTGAGTGGCTCATCATTTACAAGGCTCAAGTGAAAGTCAGTAGCACACAGATGGTCTAGGAAAACAGTTTGTGTTCCCTATCTTGTTTGCGTGTCATCTTTAAATGTTGTTTTCCCAAAGTAGAATATAAAGATTTAAAAGCTACAGCTGGATTTCCAGTTTAGGTTGGTAGACGAGTACCTTATCACATAATCTCACTGCCAATATCCAAGGAAATAAAACAAAGAAACAAAAAATTAAAAACAAGTAATGAGTAGGATCACATACTAAGGTAAAGAATATGAAAGGGATATGAGACACAAAATGCACTAAGGAAATTATTTATTCAGGCAATTTCAATAGGGAGAACATTTATTAGGTAGGATTTTTTTTTCAGAAAAGTAGAAGAAAGCCTGGTGTTTTATAAAACAAGGGAGTTATTGAAGAAAGGTGGAGGTGGGTCTTATGCTGGCAAATGCAAGAGCAGTTTGGTCCTTTGCGGGTAGCCACTTCTGGGAACACAAAGGGGTTGGGAGCCTCCTTAGTCATTATTTTCCAGGAGCACATAGATCAGGTAAAGTTCAACACTGTCAGGCAAATAATCCAAAAGTGGAGGCCAAAGAAGGAAAAAAGAATATTCTGCATCATCTCTGAGGAGCACAACTGCTACTCCATTCCCCAATCCCAGACCCAAGAAACTCCTGGTAAGTTAAAAAATATTCTGGGAGTTGTCACCAAACTCCCAAATTTGGAAATAAGAAAACTGAACATTTATCTTTTCCCTCTTCTGTCTGTGGATTTAGGAAAAAGAGCCACTGGGGAGAAGAACGGGAGAGCTGACCCTTTCTAATGGAAATGATGATTATAGGCCTCACCCAATTGAAAGCAATTAGAATTCCGAGGTTTAAGAACTGCAAAACCTGTCAGTAAGAACACATCATCCAAACACCTGCGCTAAGAGACCTGACCAACATTTGCAGGGCTTCTAGCAGCCTAAGGTCATGTCCCTGGGACACAGCCCCCTTTTAAGTTCCTCTCTGGAAAAGCTCAGGTTTTTCAAAAGAACTGACTGTTCTAGCCAACACCTGAAAATAGGCCCCGGACCTCCCTTTCTTAGAGCATTTACTAGACAGGGCTTACAATGGTGAATCATTCCTCTGTCACTTTGAGATGTATATGCATCTCCTACAACTCGGAAGTGTTTTTCTGAAGGATGAGAGTCATTCCTTTGAAATGCAATCATTTAGATAGATAGGGCCTCTGTCTCCCGGTCTCTATAGGTGGATAGAATCCTAACTTCCGTACTTGCCAGCTAGCAGACATAGCTAGCCCAGTCGCATTGACACTGACCAACTCTTTGTAATTTTTGACTTCCTTGAATCCACTTGAGCACCTCCCCTCTTTTCCTTCCCTATATTCGTTCATTTTCCTTTTAAAACACCTAGTTACCTCTGTGTATATAGAAAAGGAACTCAGCTCTTTCACTGACTGTCAGCAGTCACTGAATAAAATATGTTTTTACCACTATAATGTCCAGCTTTGTTTATCTTTGGCAGATTTATTCCTCTGTGGCAATGGTATACACTACTTTTCAAGTAGGAGGGGTAAACGCTAATGAGACATTTAACAAACTCTTAGAAGAATGTGCTGAGCCTAAGAAATTTTTAACAAACATAAATCATTGCCTGAACTGAACTTTCTCTCCCATTATATGATCTCAAGTTATGGAAGCAGGCAGGTGGATGTAAGCGGGGTGAGGGATGAGGTGAAGTAGGTCTATAAGCTGTCTTCAAACTGCAGCTCAGAATGAAACAAAATGGTGGGAAAGGAGTTAAAATGTTATCTACAAAACATCAGAAAAAAACATAGCTAGAGAGTGGAGCCTAAGCTTCAGCAAGATGAAAAGGAACAGGATAACTATAAAAAAGGAAGGGTGAAAAGCAGGAGAAGCGAGGGTGATGTAAAACACAAATTATCCAGTTTAGAATAAAATATAGCCCAAGGAGAAGGTAATTCCCAACCTGTGCTTTGCATTATGAAACAATGTATGCATTCAATACAACTAGAGCTCAAAGATGAGATAATATAAGATGATAATGGAGATTGCAGACATAGAGGCCAAGGGAAAGCTTTCCTTACCCTCTGAAGGTTCACTGAAAATAGATTAATAGAAGAAATGGCATACAGATTGACTAAACGTGCATAGTGTGTGGTAATCATAGAATGAGTCTCCAATAACCCAATTAAATCCAGAGGTTTATATACTTTTCTTCATAGAGGAAGGGGAGATGGGGGTGGGGAGTAAATGTATTTTAGACGGGAATGAATGGACCCAGGAGGCAGACATTGTCTTGTAGATGATTCTCTTTGGAAACTGAATGGGACCAGAGAAAAACAATGGTTTGAAACAAAGTTCTTCTGGGCTCTAAGTGTGGTGGTTAATTTTCAGTCCTTTCCTCTGTGATATGTATTTTATTCTTCTGTAGTTAATAAAATTTCAGGGAAGGGGTTGAAGGTAATTGTGTTCCTCCTTGGTGGGTCTAGATTCAAGGTAGATAAGGGAACTTCAGAAAATAACTTCCTCCTGTGCATTGGGAGCGACAGAATGTTGAGAGTTGGGACCCCGGGATGAGGTCAGAGAGACTCTGAGACTGATTCTTTAGTTCAGCTTATCAAAGGGCCATATTTGGGGATATG
Organism: Homo sapiens; assembly: GCF_000001405.40. NCBI lineage: Eukaryota > Metazoa > Chordata > Mammalia > Primates > Hominidae > Homo > Homo sapiens. The sequence continues at coordinate 28,322,946 of NC_000023.11, read as the reverse complement.
TTTTTGCACCTGTGAAGGGAAAAATAAATATTGGGACCCCCAAATCACTAAGCTAAAGGGAAAAGTCAAGCTGGTGTTACGGGATGGTCTTTGTTCTTAGAGCTCCCAAGATGCGGTGGGCCGCTCCCAAGATGGCGGCAAGCCTTTTGTTCTCTGACTTGGGGTTCTTGGCCTCACAGATTCCAAGGAATTTAACCTTGGGCCATACGGTGAGTGTTATAGCTCTATTAGAAGCCATGGGTCACGGAAGAGAACCATGGAACCCAGTGACTAGTGTTCAGCTCAATTAGGACGAACCTGAGCACTTAGCCGTGCAGGAACAATGGTGAGTCTTTAGCCCGATCGGGAGCATCAATGGACACCTCGCTGGATCAGGAGTGCAGTGGACATCCTGCCGGATCCGGAGGAGGGGTGGAAGTCAACGGCGGGTCTGGGACGGCGGCGAACAGCAGTGGTGGACGGCAAGCGAAAGCTCAGCTCAAGCCGTAACAAACACGCACCAGAAGAGTGTGCAGTTGCAAGATCTAATAGAGTGAAAAGAGAGCTCCCATACAATGGGAGGGGACCCAAAGGGGGTTGTCCACTCCCTGCTCGAATGCCTGGGTTTATATCCCGATCACTGTCCCTCCCCCTATGCTCTCAGGCGATAAATGATTTGACTATTTCTTTACCTCCTGCTTTAGCCTAATTTGTATTTTGGTGAGGCCTCTTTACTACCTGATTGGTCAGGTGTGAGCTGAGTTACAAGCCCGTGTTTAAAGGTGGGTGCGGTCACCTTCCACAGCTAGGTTTAGGAATTCTTAGTCAGCCTAGGAAATACTGCTAGTCCTGTCTCTCACTGGGAACTGCTTAGGGCCAACCTGCCTCCCATTCTATTGAAAGTCACCCCTCTGCTCCCTGAGATAAATGCATATCTGATTACCTCCTTTGGAGAGGCTAATCAGAAACTCAAAAGAATGCAACCATTTGTCTTTTATCTACCTTGACCTGGAAAGCTCCCTCCCCTGCTTTGAGTTGTCCCGCCTTTGCTTCAAGTTGTTCCATCTTTCTGGATCGAACCAATGTTCATCTTACGTATGTTGATTGATGCCTCATGTCTCCCTAAAATGTATAAAACCAAGCTGTGCTCTGACCACCTTGGGCACATGTCATCAGGACTTCCTGAGGCTGTGTCATGGGTGCATGTCCTCAATCTTGGCAATATAAACTTTCTAAATTAACTGAGACCCATCTCAGATATTCAGGGCTCACACACTCTAACATTACACAGGCTGAAACTTCCCTAGAAGACTCATACATTAAAAGTTGAGTTCACGGCTGTGGAGAAAAAAATTGTGTCAGGAGCTGAGTGGCAAAAGATCCCATTAAACCAGTCTTTCATTTTTGGGAATAGGCCAGTCCAATTAAAATGCTACATCTCATTTCAGGAGATGGTGCTGTAGATGGGCTCTCAAAGCTAGGCCTTTATATATGATGCCAGCAAACAGATCGTTAATAAGAGACATTTCTATGGAAACAGAAGAAAAACAAAGGTTAATGTCTGGAGTAGTCTGTAAGCTAGTTTCTCCAGAGTCTGGAGGGCATTCAGTTGAGAAGATTAGTGGCAATCTGACAGATTTTTCTGGTTTGCAGTTTGTGTGTACAAAGTTTGTTCACATATAAGCTGTTGTGGGGATTTTTCTTCAAAGCCAAGTTGACTAGTTTCAGCCTCAGGAAAAAGGCAGTTTTAAATTTTAGCAATTCCCAGTCAGAAGTGTGGGAGAAAAACATGGAAAACATTAAAGACTCAGCCAGGTATTGGAGGAAAGTATAAGAAATTCAGATCCAGTTCAAGTTGCAGGTAACAAAATCTCAAAAACAATGAGCTGCCGGGAGCAGCGGCTCACGCCTGTAATCCCAGCACTTTGGAAGGCCAAGGTGGGCAGATCACGAGGTCAGGAGTTCGAGATCAGCCTGACCAACATGGTGAAATCCCATCTCTACTAAAAATACAAAAAAAACAAAAAAAATTAGCCGGGCATGGTGGCACATACCTGTAGTCCCAGCTACTCGGGAGGCCGAGGCAGAAGAATGGCGTGAACCCGGGAGGTGGAGCTTGCAGTGAGCCCAGATTGTGCCACTGCACTCCAGCCTGGGCGACAGAGCGATACTCCGTCTCAAAAAAAAAAAAAAAAAAAAAAACCAAACCAAAAAAAAAAAAAAGCAATGAGCTTAAATCTAATAATAGGTGTACTTTTCTTCTAAAACATAATTTTTTTTCTCCAGTACCTCATTTCTACCAAAGACAAATCAAAGAAAGACCAATTTATTTGCAAAATAAGCTCTAGTCATATTATACTTCACCTGATTATTTGAATAAAGTACAGCAAAGACAGTTATTGTTCATACAGGCTTTTTGTAGATTGGCTTAGCTGAAACTATTCATAAGAAATCTTGGATTAAACTTTTTTAAAAAGTCTCTTGAGGGTAAAGAGTCAAGCTAAGGATTGCCATCAGAATGATTCTGTAATACTTGTACAAATTGGGTGAATACTTCTCTTTTTGAGGTCCCCAAAATACTCTCAAGTTCTTGGGCCTTCTAGAAAATGACATTCTTTGCCCTCCTATAAAGGCAACCAGGTGAACTGCATATTTAAGGTATCAGGCCAGTTTTTCCAGGGGATTTAATTTTTTAAATTTTTTTATTTTTTTGCTTCCCAAGGAGTCGACCTCAATATCACAAAGCAGTCTGGTCACATCTGAAAATATAACATTCCAGTCAAAACCTTGGTAAAATAACCAGTATATCCAATTGTGTCCTGTTACAAAAGGACAAAAAACACATCCTCATGTCTTTCTTATAACTTTCATCACCAAAAATCAGCTCTATTTTTGTGTGTATGCTGTATACAGAACTGTTTCTTTTATGTCTAGTAGTTCCAACTAGATATGTTAATTAAAATTGTAACTTCTAGGAACCCTAATTTTCAGTCAGAGACATATGAAGCAAGCAACTTTCATTTTTATGTACCAAAACATTTTATAAATACATATTTTATAATTTTTAGGAAAATATGATTTATCAATTTTTATGGAAAAGGATATATTTACTAGCAAACCTGAATATATTTGGTCTTTTCATGAATTTTTATTGATACAAATTGTACATATTTATGGGGCACACGTGATACTTTGTTACATGCATAGACTGTATAATAAAATTGAGGTAGTGGGATGTCCATCACCTCGAGTATTTATCATTTCTATGTGTTGCGAATATTTCAAGTCCTCTCTTTTAGCTATTTTGAAATATAAAATGCATTGTTGTTATCTATAGTCAATCTACTCTGCTCTCAAACATTAGAACTTATTTCTTCCATCTAACTGTATGTTTGTACCCACCAACCAACCTCTGTTTATCCTTCTCCTCCAAACCCTTCCCAGCCTCTGGTAACAACCTCTATTTATCCTTCTCCTCCAAACCCTTCCCAGCCTCTGGTTTATATCATTCTATTCTCTACCACCATGAAATGAATTTCTCTAGCTACCACATATGAGCATGAACATGAGATATTTGTCTTTTTATGCCTGGCTTATTTCACTTAACACGATGACCTCCAGTTCCATCCATGTTGCTGCAAATGACATGATTTCATTCTTTTTTATGGCCAAAGAGTATTCCATCGTGTGTGTGTATATCTATATATCTATATATCACATTTTATTTATCCATTCATCCATGGATGGACACTTGGGTTGATTCCATATCTTTGCCATTGTGAATAGTGCTTCAATAAACATGGGTGTGCAGGTATCCCTTTGATATACTGATTTCTTTTTCTTTGGAGAAATGCCCAGTAGTGGGATTGCTGGATCATATTGTAGTTCTATTTTTAATTTTTTGAGAAATCTCCATACTGTTATCCATAATGACTGTACTACTTTACATTCCAACTTAGTTTATAAGAGTTCCCTTTTCTCTGCATCTTCACCAGCATCTGTTATTTTTTGTCTTTTTAGTAATAGCCATTCGAACTGGGTTGAGGTGATATCTCATTGTGGTTTTGATTTGCATTTCCCTGATGATTAGTGATGTTGAGCATTTTCTCATATACTTGTTGGCCATTTGTATGTTTTCTTTTGAGAAGTGTCTATTCATGTCTTTTACCTGCCTTTTAATAGCATTATTTTTTTTTCCTGTTATTTGAGCTCCTTATATATTCTGGATATTAGTCCCTTGTTGGATGAATGGTTCGCAAATATTTTCTCCCATTCAATGGTTTGTCTCTTCACTCTGTTGTTTCTTTTGCTGTGCAGAAGCTTTTTAGTTTAATATCGTACCATTTATCTATTTTTGATTTTGTTGTCTGTGCTTTTGAGGTCGTAGCAATAGAATCTTTGCCTAGCTCAATATCCTGAAATGTCTTCTGCATATTTTCTTCTAATAGTTTTACAGTTTCAGGTCTTACATTTAAGCCTTTAATCCATCTTGAGTTGATTTTTGTATACGATGAGAGACAGAGGTCCAGTTTTCTTCTAATGTATATGGATATCCATTTTTCCCAGCACCATTTACTGAAGAGTGTGTCCTTTTCCCACTGAATGTTTTTGGCACCTTCGTTGAAATCAGTTGGCTGTAAATATGTGAATTTATTTCTGGGTTCTTTATTCTCTTTCATTTGCCTATGTTTGTTTTTACAACAATACCATGCTGTTTTGGTTACTATAGCCTTATAATATACTTTGAAGCCAGGTAGCATGATGCCTCCAGCCTTGTTAGTGTTGCTCAGGATTGCACTGACTATTTGGGCTCGTTTTTTATTCCATACAAGTGTTAAGATTGTTTTTTCTAATTTTGTGAAAAATGGCATTGGTATTTTGACAGGGATTGCATTGAAACTGTAGATCGTTTTGTGAAGTATGGGCATTTTAATGACATTAATTATTCTGATCCATGGGCATGGAATGTCTTTCCATTCGTTTGTGTCCTCTTCAATTCTTTTCATCAGCATTTTTTAGTTTTCCTTGTACAGATCTTTTACCTACTTGGTTAAATTTATTTCTAACTTTTTATAGCTATTGTTAATGGAACTGCCTTCTTGATTTCCTTCTCAAGCAGTTCATTAATGGTGTATAGAAACACTACTAATTTTTGTATATTGATTTTGTATTCTGAAACTTTACTGAATTTATTTATCAGATCTGAGAGGTTTTTGGTGGTGTCTTTAGGTATTTCTAGATATAAGATCATGTCATTGGCAAAAAGGTACATTTGAGTTCTTATTTTTCAATTTTGATAAAATTTTTTTCTATTGCCTAATTGCTCTGGCTAGAAACTCAAGTACTATATCAAATAAGAGTGGTGAAAGTAGGCATACTTGTTCCATTCTTAGAGGAAAGGCTTTTAGCTTTTCCCCATTCAGTATGATGACAGCCATGGGTTTATCATACATGGCCTTCATTATGTTAAGGTATGTTCCTTCTATGCCTAGTTTGTTGAGAGTTTTTGTCATGAAAGGATGTTGAATTTTATTAAATGCTTTTTCTGCACCTACTGAGATAGTCATATGGTTTTTGTCCTTCATTCTGTTGATGTTTTTGTATTTTTATTCATCCCAGAGATTCATGTGTTGTGTTGCATTTATTGATTTGCATATGCTGATTTGTATATATTGATTTGCATATGTTGAACTGATTTATGGTGTCTCATGTGTCATGAGGGCTTTTCTAAATCTTTTTTAATTTTTTCTTTATTTTTGACTGACTAGGTTATTTCAAAAGACCATTGTGCATGTTCTGAGATTTAAAATTCTTCAGTTTCAGAATTTTTGTGTGGTTTTTGATATCTTTCTTTTTGGTGATTTCTCATTCGTGTTCTGAATTTTTTTTTATTATTTTTTGAGGTGCAGTCACGCTGTGTCGCCCAAGCTGGAGTGCAGTGGTCAGATATTGGCTCACTGCAACCTCTGCCTCCCAGGTTCAAGCAATACTCCTGCCTCAGCCTCCTAAATAGCTGGGATTACTGGCGCCCACCACCACGCCCAGCTAATTTTTGTATTTTTAGTAGAGACAGGGTTTCACCATGTTGGCCAGGCTGGTCTCGAACTCCTGACCTCAAGTGACCCACCCGCCTTGGCCTCCCAAAGTGCTGGGATTATAGGCGTGAGCCACTGCGCCCAGCCTCGTATTCCGAATTTTTTCTGATTTTATTGTATTAATTTTAAGTATTCCTTTGTATTTCACTCAGATGCTTTATTATTTTATTTGGAATTCTTTATCCAAGGTTTCATAAATTTCTTTTTGATTGGCATCTGTTGCTGGAGAATTATTGTGTTTCTTTGGATTTGCCATATTTTCTTGCTTTTTCACGTTTCTTGTGTCCTTATATTGATATCTGTATATCTCGTGTAACAGTTGCTTCTTTCAATTTTCTGAATTTGCTTCTGTAGGGGAGGTCATTTTCTTGAAGATACATCTATTGTGTTGGTTGGGTAGGGCACTTTGGTTTTGATTCTGAGTGTGTGCAGTAAAGTAGTCTCCATATGATTTCTTCAGCTGTGAACAGCATCAGTGGTATCTATGATTTCCTCAATGACTTATGGTGCAGTTGTTAGTGGAAGCTGTGATGATGATTTGCTGGGGACTGGGACATCTGGTGGGCCTGTCCTCAAGTCCCAGTGGTGGCAGCATTGGACTGAGCATGCCTGATCTTCAGCTCCAGGGTAGCATATGCTGGCACCACTGTTAGTAGGTATAGGTGAACCAATTCCTGGGTCTCCAGGTGACTTGCTTGGGTGCCAGTAGTGGCAGCAGTGAGGTGGACAGGTGGCTGGGCTCTCGGGTCCCTGGGCAATGGGCATGGCATGGGTGAGGTCAGTTCCAATAGTGGGATTATCCTCTGAGTCCCTAGTGGTCTGTGCTGGAGTTGGCTGTAGTGGGCTGGTCCCCAGGACCCTGGTGAGTGGGCTTGGGACCTGGGGTTGGGTGGGTGGAGCTGGGCCAGGCAGACATGTCCTCAGGCCTCCAGTGATGCATGCAGGCACTGGTTGTGGTATGCAGGAGTGGGATAATTCCCAGGCCCAAGGTAGAATGCTTGAATGAGGGCAACAGTGGCTGTACTATAGCCTTGCTACTGGGGAGGGCGGGGCTGCTTTCAGTGGCAGCTGCCACATGCAGGCAGCTGGGGAGCATGCACTTTAGCTGTGCTTTGGCCACAGCTCTGGCATCCTGTAGCAGTGGCTGCTAAGGATGAGAAAGTTTGTCTTCAGGATGTGTGAAAATTTGTGGAGGCTTTGCTGCTGGAGATAGCGTGGTCTTTGCCAGTGACTTGTGCTTCAGCCCTGGAGGCAGTAGACAGCTGCAGTAGTTGCTGTGGGCAGGGAATGTCAATGGGGCTTAGAGATGTGGAGATGCAGGAGCTGTTGGGCCCCTGGTCTGGATGCAATCTGGTAGGGACTGAGTTCTCAATATTGCCCTTTGCTGTAGCTTGTTAGAACTCAGGGAGTTTGTGACATCCTCTGTGAACCCTCTCTTTGGAGCAATGCTTCCGCACAGTCTCCAGGCAGCTCCCTATGTTAGCCATGGGGCTATGAGGGTCTAGGGACTTTTCCGTGGCTAGGATGCAAGCATCATGGTGGAAATGTGGACTGCTGTGGGTCACTCACTTACCCTTTCCTGTTACCGGGGAGCTTCTTCAGGCTCCCAGCTAATTCCAGCTGAGCAGGTGGCCCTGCTTCCCTCTCCTTCCTTGGTTTAAGTGTTTTCTGACACTGCTTTGTAGAATTCCAGTTTTATCTCTTATATGATCTATTTGAAGTTTGATTATCTACTTGCTATTTTGGTTCTTCATTGTGGAGGAGGCAAGTGCCAGCTGCCTCTAGTCAGCCATCTTGAAGCCCTTCCCTTTTTCATAAATTTTAAGAAACTAAAAGTAAATAAACTTGAACATATGTTTAGCAATTAATATATTTGTATTTTATTTTTCCTAGAAATGACTCAGACATTTCACGATTATTACTTAACAAAATTTGACTTTAAGTCTTTAAATTACTAGAAAGACTTTTGAAACTATGACAAGTTTATTTATAAATGTTTATCCCATTTAGATTTAGCAAATGTAATCATTCTTAACAATTATATTTGGATTGCTCATGGAAAATTAAGCTAGCCACTTACGTTATTTTTTTCCCCTTTTGAGAAAAGCAAAATTATGTTAACTCTGCATTAGTCAATCCCATCTTAACCAAGGCCTTTGAGATACCAGAAATAGGTACTTTCTCTAATGTACCCCCTTCTCCACTGTCATCCTGGGTCTCAAGTACTCACATGTCACTAAGAGCAGCTATGAAGGGAAGGGCGTCTGGGTCCTAAATTTACATCTCAGATACGAATTCCAGGACAGATGGCAGAGCTGTGAAGACAATGCCTCAAGGATGCAACCCCTTCCAGAATGGCCAGGAGGCAGAGCTAGACCAGGGACATCAGGGCCACACTGGACCTGGCTCTGCCTTACAGCTGGTGTCCCAGGAGCCACAGACACACATATGCTCCCAGACCTCACTATGGCCACCTATCCAGACAGAATTCAGAAGCTCAAAATCAAAGACATAAACTAGCAACAAGATGTCTGCAAGGCTTTGGGGGAGCCCAACAGCCAGCTGTCACAGCTTTTGCTCACAGACAAATCAAGCAGTATCAAAAATATCACAGAAGCAATAGTTTTATGACCTGAAAACATCTAGCAGAGAAATCATAAATCTGTCTGAACAGTAGACCCAAGCAAAAATGTCTAAATTAAATTTTGAAGGCATTTTTATTTTACTAACAATTTTAAAACTAGCTTTACTTACCAAAGATTTATTAAAGTCACATGAACTAGAAAAGTATTTGGGCTAGTTATTTATGACTGTTTATTTTTAAGTCAATTTGGTGCCATGTAGAAAACATACAAACACATAGACATATACATACATGTAGACACAACATGCAACACATATGTGTATACATGTATGCATCTAAAAGCCAAAGAGTTCAAGGAATTCAATGCAAAAGAGAGCAAAGCTTTAGGCCTGAGAGGAACCTGGCTACCACTTTCAGGATTCTGTGAGGAAGGCAGATGACCCCCAGTAAAAGGGGAGTTAGTGGTACCTTTTTTTGTATTCCTCAAGGGGCCTCATGATTTCTGGATGTCTCCTTTAGATCCCTTTATATGATATCAAAAGTGGCAAGAGGAAGGAGGGACAGAAGTGAATGGGAGAACAAGTTTTAGAGGAACCCGTCTGGGGAGTTTCTACACTTCCCAAAAGGTCAATGAAGTTCTAGTTAGCAGGAGTTTGAGAAAAAGGGATCTAGTCAACTAAGAAGTTCCTGTGGGGAGAAGCAAAAACCCAACATAGAGAAATGGGGTAAGCCTTAAAGATATATATTTGGCATGATTGTCAGTTTTCAATTAAGCTGACTTTTGATTATAGAGCTTTTTAAAAAATATTATAAATATCTTATTATTAGGTTTTCATCTAGGACAAGCAGCAAACATTTTGCCATATTGTGAGCAGCCAGCATTTCACCTGAATGGTGGGAGCAGGATCACCCTTCACTCCCTACACCTGGGAGAAGCTGGCTGAATTTCAGCGGGAGGCCTATCTCTCTGCTCCAGAAGAGAAAGTGGGATAAGTGGGAAAAATAGTTGCTATCATGCTCTAAATATAAACCAAAGTTTTAAATCAAAGGCATACCTTCAAATGACTCAAAACCAAAACAAATAAATACACATGAAACCAAAACCATGAAGTCCTTTATGGCCTTAACCAACATCTCCAAAGAGGAAGCAAAAAGCTGTAACCCTTCCACTCTCAACCACGGCTTAAAGAAAGGAAAGTTTTGCTAGCCACAGTGGGGTGCAACCCACTTCTCTGTCCAGCTATATTCTCTGGGGTCTCAACCTCTCAGCTAACTGTCTGCACACAATAGTCTAACAACCTGTGTGCCCCGATAGATGGTAAATTAAAAGAAACAAACAGCTGGTAAGATAAACAGGAAATCAAAAGATGTCCATGGGGAAAGAAAGGATTACAAATGAATGGGTACCCCCCAAAAGTTAAAAGTCATACTAATATAAACTCAAAACAAATAATTCAAACTAATTCTTATAAATGTTTCTCTTTTTTTCCGAGTTAAAGGATTTACATTTCTAAGGGACTGGTTTCCTGGTTGGGAATTGAACCCAGTCCTTGGCACCAAATCCTAACCACAGGCTGAAGTGCCTTTTTGCAAATCCCACAGGAAATCCAAAGTGAGCAGTTTGAGTGTTCAAAAAATGTTAATTTTGTTTTAAATCTGATTTCTGCTTTTTAAAAATCTTGTCAAGGAAGTATTTAAGGTTATATTTCTGTTGCATCTTTTCATAGGTACCAATGAGATAGCTGTTTAAGATGAGCGCTCTCTGAAAAGTTTTCTTTTATTCTTTTAAATATAGCTAATTTATTTATTTTAAAAGTGACTCAAGCCAATAAACCTTCTTTATGGAAAGTCCCAGAGGTAACTAGCCAGGCTTGAATACCAGGAACATAAGTGGCATTTTAAAAATGGGTTGCAACCCCCATGATAAAACTACACCAGAGTCACTAAACGTAAGGACTTTTTCATACAAACGCATTTCTCCTATTAATCTGAACTTGAAAAGGAAAAAAAAAAAGAGATAAACAGTGATTTTTACCTTCTGCTTGATCAGATTCCACAGATAGACACCCAGGAATCTGATTGGTAAGAAATTCTTTCCCTTTTTGCAGGCTTGTCAGGTCCTGGGTTCCCTTGACTATAACTTCCAGAAGAGCAGAGTGGTTTTGTTATAGTAGGTAGCTAGTCAGACACCAGACACGAGCAGGGCAGGAGAAGGGCCGCCCCCACCATGAATGTCAGGCGACCATGAGGTGATGGTTAGGTGGTTGTTAAGCTACTATAATAATTGGTTGCAGCCAGCGCTAGGGAAAGGCACTAGATAGAAAACACCTGAAACTGGTGATCAGCCGCCTCCTGATAAGATCTCAGGAGTTGGGCAAGTGGCCTCAATCATGCACATTAAGAGGCAAAATGGTGGCATTTACCTGATACATGACCTTCTAGGGACACTCGACTGGTAAGTGAAGAACACCTCAAGTGAGCATGCACACAACTCCAGTAAACACACTGCTCATGCAGCCCCTCTCAAGTGCTAGCAGGCCACTGCACATATGGACAGCCCTCCCCAAAGGAAGAATCAAAGGAGAAAGGACGCAAGACCCTGGAAGCATGCCAATGTTTAAAACTCCAAGTCAAAAGATTAAACTGCACACTTCATCTCTCAAGTTGTCCGCTTGGCCCTCTTCCAAGTGTAATTTATTTCTTTTCCTTCCTGCTCTAAAGCTTTTTAATAAATGTTTACTCCTGCTCTAAAACTTGTCTTGGTCTTTCCTTCTGCCTTATGCCCCTCAGTCAAATTCTTTCTTCTGAGGAGGCAAGAATTGAAGTTGGTGCAGTCCCATATGGATTAATTGCCGGTAACATACTTTGGTGCTGCATGACTCAGATATGTTCCGCTGCTAACAGTTTGGGGTTATCTTGCTCACAGTGCAAAATCTGTAGGGCCCAAGGGAAAGCTTTCTCTTAGCTTTGTAAAGTTTCACTGAAAATGAACTGACAATAGTCAGATTAATAGGGGAAAAGGCATAAAAATTATGTTAACATGCAAAGCATGGAGTAATTGCAGGAGATTAATTACCCAATAACCCAATGAGGTGCAGATGCTTATATACTCTTCTTCATAGGAGAAGGGGAAATGGAGTGGAGGAGTAAATGATTTTTAGGGGGGAATGAACAGACCCAGGAGGCAGACATTATCTTGTGAATGATTCTCTTTGGAAACTGAATAGAATGAGCAAACAAACAATGGTTTGGGACAAAGTTCATCTGGGCTCTAGATGTGTTGTTTAATTTTCAATACTTTCCTCTGTGATATGAGTTTTAATCTTCTCTCGTTAATGAAATTTCAGGGAAGGGATTGAAGGCAATTTGTTGCTCTTTGATAGGTCCAGATTCTAGGTAGATAAAGGAACTTCAGAGATCAGTTTCATCCTGTGCTTTGGAGAGAGAGTGTTGAGTTGGAGTTGGGGAGGAGGTCAGAGAGATCTTGAGGTTGCTTCTTTAGTTTAGCATATCAAAGCACCATATTTGGGGGTTTTATTTTCCAAGTGCCAACACAAATCGTAAGAAAGAATATATCGAGGACAAAATAAATACTAGTCAGAACAAATAAATTAGAAATAAATATCCTAAGAGGGACAAAATCAAAATGACTGAAAATGTTATCAGAAAGGGGTCTCTAGACCCCTTTGATAAGATCTAGACCCTAAGGGAGGGTTCTTGGAACTCACACAAGAAAGAATTCAGGGCAAGTCCATAGAGTAAAGTAAAGCAAGTTTATTAAGAAAGTGAAAGAATAAAACAATGGCTACTTCATAGACCAGAGCACCAGCATGGGCTACTTGACTAAATATACTTATAGTTATTTCTTGATTACATGCTAAACAAGGGGTGAATTATTCATGAGTATTCCAGGAAAGGGGTGAGCAATTTCTAGAACTATGGGTTCCTCCCCCACTTTAGACTATATAGGGCAACTTCTGGATATTGCCATAGCATTTGTAAACTATCATGGGGCTGGTGGGAGTGTCTTTTAGCATGCTAATGCATTATAATTAGCATATAATGAGCAGTGGGATGACCAGAGGTCACTTTCATTGCCATCTTGGTTTTAGTGGGTTTGGGGCAGCTTCTTTGCCGTATCCTGTTTTATCAGCAGGGTCTTTGTGACCTGTATCGTGACACTAGTTCTTCCAACCTGTTATCCCATTCTGTGATTAAGAATGTCTGACCACCTGGAAATGCAGCCCAGTAGGTCTCAGCCTTATTTTACCCTGACCCTATTCAAGATGGAGTCACTCCGGTTCAAACACCTCTGACAAAAATTGAATGACTAACATGGAAAGATGGCTAATACAATCATAGTCAATGCAGATAACAATAAATAAAAAGATTAAAACAATTACAGAAAAAATAATAGATATGGAAAGTAGACAATTATGATTCAAAATAAAAGTAATCCATGTACCTGAATCAGGGAATCCAATAACAAAGATTTAAACATATACAACAAGTTCTCTGAAATGAAAGACCAATCCAAAATTGGAAAAAGCACCATATTCCAAGAAACGCTAAGACATTGTCTGGTTAAATTATTGAAATGGAAGGATAAACAATTGTTTAGTTATTCAAGCATAAAATTTAAATCACTTTGAAGAGGAAAAATCCAGACCAATGGCCACACATTTCTGAAGGTAACTGTAATTGTAAAATTGATTATCACATACAGGATCACTGTAGTATCAAGACCACAGCCATTTTCGATTATAAAAGAACTAAAGGAGTAGAATACTCATTAGCATTTTTTTGTTATCTTTTGTGTTTGGGGGAGCAATAATTTATATCTCGGAAAATTGAATAAAATAAAATGAAGATCTGGGAAGAGAATCAATAAAATAAATTAAATGATTATATCACTTTACAATAGAATTAATAATAAACAATTGTGGGAGCTATGGTTGCAGAACAGAATGTAAAATTTATAGATCATGATAATGTAACAATTTGTATAGAGATCAAGAGGTGGGTGGGAGAAAGTGAGCACTAATATTCTCATCTTTCACAGTAGCAAGTTGATGGATATTATCTTAACTGAAACAAGGATTAAATATACGTAATGACTCCAAGTTCTTAATGTTTTCCAAAATCTATTTTTTAAGTTTAGGTGGCTGTTTTAGGATATAATATGTCCTCTATAAAAGAATCATTTATTTGATGTGAAACGGGTTTCCTTTTTTTGTTTACTTTTCCTTTAATTTAAAATAAAATCAACTTTAAAAATACAAATAGAAAAGTCATAGCATCATGTTAATATGATTAGGATATTACTGAACTATTGTTCTTGACCATTTTTACCGGTTTAATCTTCCCTAAGTGATTTTTTTCCCCCGGTTTTTATTCTACTTTCAAATAGTGATGACTAGTGAAAGCTGCCCATAAAATTCTTGTGAGTTTTAAAAATTGATAGTAAAAGTTGTATGGGAGAATCAATTAAGTTGATAAATTGATGTGTATGATGAATATGTTTGAGATACATAAAAGGCTTTTAAAAACAAATGAAAAAAAGGACTCCTTGCTCCTAAAATTCAGGTGTTCATTGTGGAATACATGTTATTCATGTGTGCATGTCACTTTGCAAAATTTAATACATAAATATAAATAAGGTTTATTTCATATTTACATGCTCTTGAAAAGTCAACTCCAATATATTTCAAATTGAAAGCTTGACCTCTTTTATTGCCAATAGTAATAGAGGACATTTCAATACTCAGTAATCATGCAGGGATAGTTGAGTGAAGAGTAAGTTAACTGAATGACTCCTAACCAGTTGATTTGACAGCATCCTGACACGTTATTTGATTTACAAATATGTGAGAACTTTGAAGGTAAAATCATTTTAAAAAGTCCTTACACACTATAGCACGTCATTATGATTTTTTTGTCAACAGTGATGTTTAATTATTATTTTGTTAATTAAATTATCTTATAAGCAATGAGTTAATATAAGTGACTAGATATTTACAAGAAATTCTAAGATACAAATATTTTTCACAATTCTGTGTGTGTGTGTGTGTGCATGCTTTGGTTTGATGAGAGCACAAAAACATCAGTGCTTCCTGTTTTCTAGCAATAGGAAAACAATTGGATAATATTTAGATGTTATGATGTCTACTTTCAATCTAGCAAATAAATATGTATTAACTACGTGCTCTGGGCAAATGTTTTTATTAAGGAGGAGATGAATACAACCATCCTGCCCTAAAAAATGTGTAGTGTGGTTGTGCTGAAGGCTAAAACCAAGGTTTTCTAAGCCTTTTTCAAAATTTTATAATAATGCTTTACTTTTACATAGACCTTTGCTATGTAAATAATATTTATAAATGTTATCATATTTATTATGATGATCATTCTGTCTCTATAGAGACTTACAGACTTACCTTATTCTACTAATTTGAAGCATGGAAACACAAAGTAAAAAAAAAAAAGTACATTTTTCTACTTTCCAGAACTACTTTTCTATATCTTGGTCTCATTCCTAAATTAGTTCCAATACCTGCTTTCTTCCAATCCCCACCACCATCACAAGACCAATGTAAACCTGTTTTAGAAAAGAAGAAACAGAAGTTCAGTAGTTTGTCTTAGATAACACAGCTAAGACTATAATGGGACCCTAAATATAAGTCAGTCCCCCATTTCTTTGCAGTGAGGTGTTTTAAATGTTATTAAAAATGTGATATGGCCGGGCACGGTGGCTCACCCCTGTAATCCCAGCACTTTGGGAGGCAGAGGTGGGTGGATCACCTGAGGTCAGGAGTTCAAGACCAGCCTGGGCAACATGGTGAAACCCCATCTCTACTAAAAATACAAAAATTAGCTGGGTGCGGTGGTGGGCGCCTGTAATCCCAAATACTCCGGAGGCTGAGGCAGGAGAATTGCTTGAACCCAGGAGGCGGAGGTTGCAGTGAGTGGAGATTGCGCCATTGCACTCCAGCCTGGGTGACAGACGAGAGCGAAACTCTGACACACACACACACACACACACACACACACACACAAAAGTGAATACATTAGCTTGTAGATGAAACTGCCAAGTCTTTACCTGATATATTTTAAAAACTCAATTATATATTTAAATACATGTTATATAAATATTATTGATTTAAATATGTTGTTTTTTTCTTATTCAAATCACATGAAGCAACTGTATTTCAACTCTTCATCTCTCTTTGACATCAGTATGTGTTGTAGACTGTGACATTTGTGGCCCCCAGTGAACCGTGACGTGCAATTCTGTAGTCTCTTTCCCATCTGGGCTTAGGCTTGCGACTTGCTTTGGCCAATGGAAGTGTAGCAAGTATTACACAAGCAAAAGCTTGATGCTTGCATAGTTGGCCTTATACTACTTGACAGTTCACTCTTGGAAGCCAGATACCATCCTGTAGTAATAAAGCTTGGGCTAGATCACTGAATGATAAAGAGGAGAGGCTATCTCGAACATAAGAGATCCAGCCAAACCCTCAAATGCTTGGGGACTCCAGGCCATGCCGTAGAGTATAGATAAATCATCCCCAACAAATTCTGCCCAGATTTCAGAATCCCGAGCAAATATAAAATTGTAGAAAGCAGAATGGTAGTTACCAGGGATGGAGCAGGGGGAGGAGAGGAGTAGGGATTAGGGAGATGTTGGCCAAAGGATACAAAATTTCAGTTAGATAGGAGGAATGAGCTCAAGAGATGTATAACATGGTAACTATAGTTAATAACAAGGTATTGTGTTCTTGAAAACTGCTGATTTTAAGTGTTCTCACCACAAAAAGTAGGTATGTGAAGGCTGGGTGCAGTGGCTTACGCCTGTAATCCTAGCACTTTGGGAGGCCGAGGCAGGCAGATCACTTGAGGTCAACAGTTCGAGATCAGCCTGGCGAACATGGTGAAACCCTATCTCTACTAAGAATACAAAAATTAGCTAGGCGTGGTGGCAGGCGCCTGTAATCCTAGCTACTTGGGAGGCTGAGGCAGGAGAATTGCTTGAACCTGAGAAGCAGAGGTTGCAGTGAGCCGAGATGGCACCACTGCACTTCAGTCCAGTGCCTGGGCACAGTGAGACTGTCTCAACAACAACAAAAAAAAAGGGTATGTGAACCAACATATATCTTAATTAGCTTGATTTAGTCACTCCTCCACAATGTAAACATATTTTAAAATATCATGTTGTATGTGATAAATATATTCCATTTTTATTCATTAATTTTAACCCCTTTCCCACTTGCCCTGAGAATATTCAGTGGTGGTGCTTGCAGCTGTAGCTTTTACCTGAGATAACTTTGCCATGAAATAGCTTGCTTTTATTGTTATTTTTGCATCAATCTAGTATATTGACTTTGTGGTTTTTTGTTTTGCTTTGTTGTTGTTTTTTTTGTTTTTTGAGATAACGTCTTGCTTTGTTGCCCAGGCTGGAGTGCAGTGGCGCAATCTCGGCTCACTGCAACCTCCAACTCCCAGGTTCAAGCGATTCTCCTGCCTCAGCCTCCCGAGTAGCTGGGACTACAGGCACGTGCCACCAGTCCCGGCTAAGTTTTGTATTTTCAGTTTCACCATGTTGGCCAGGTGGGTCTTGAACTCCTTACTTCAGATGATCCACCCACCTCGGCCTCCCATAGTATATTGACTTTGGAAACAAAAGAAATCATTCTATTTATAGCATTCTGATTTTAGTAGTGGTATTTCCATTTACAGAATATAGTAATGTCAAATCCTAGAAAACATAGCATTTCTATGCATGATGTTAACATTGTTCTAGGACAGTTGTTGGTTGAAGATTCATTTGATGAACCTGATTTTTCTAAAATAGACGATTCTGATGATTCAGACAATCCTGATTTTAGTTCTATTTAGAAATAACTCCAAGAACAGTTTGGCCATGGACCAGTATCAGTCCGTGGCCCGTTAGGAACCAGGCCGCGCAGCAGGAGGTGAGCGGCCAGTGAGCAAGCATTACTGCCTGAGCTCCTCCTCCTGTCAGATCAGCAGTGACATTAGATTCTCATAGGAGCGTGAACTCTATTGTGAACTGCACAAGTGAGGGATCTAGGTTGCGTGCTCCTTATGAGAATCTAATGCCTGATGATTTGAGGTGGGATAGTTTCATCCGGAACCCCCTTCCCACATCTGTGGAAAAACTGTCTTCCATGAAACTGCTTCCTGGTGACAAACAGTTCTGGGACCACTGCTCTAAGTATATACTTGTTGTCTTCACAACGTAAGCACTTACTGTATGGCTTTCAAAAGTAGGTTGTAAAATGCTTATTTACAAAGATCTCCAACAATTACCTTTGTGAGGTTATACCCTAATACTTCCTTAATCTGTTTAAATTTTTTTAAACATCTCAACAGCTTTGCGGCCAAGGTAATTTCAGACTATAGTGTCTTCCTCAAACATGACTGTTGTTTAAATTGATGTTATTGAGAAAATGTCTGGTAATATGAAAGGCTTTCTAAAGTCTAACTTTACACTCAAAGTGTGGTTTTACGGACTAGCAGAATCTAGCATCAGCTGACAGGAGATTTTTGGACCCCAACCTAGATCGATGGAGTCAGAATCTGCATTATAACAAGACTGTCAAGGAGATTTTTATGTACATTAAAGTTTGAGAAGCAAGGGGTCTAAAAGAGGGGTAGACAAACTACTGGCCCAAAAGTCAAAGTTGGCCCACCACCTGGGTTTCGTAAATAAAGTTTAATTGGTTCACAGCCAAATCTTTTAATTTACATATTGTCCACAGCTATTTTCCCACTGCAATGTCAGAGGTGAATATTTGAGCAGAGATCATATGGGCCACAAAGCTTAAATATTTATTATCCAGCCCTTTATAGAAAAAGTTGGCTGACTTCTGATCTAGAATATAAGACTATCCCATACTTTTTGAGAGGTTATGTTGAGAAAAACTATCAAGTTTTAAATCAAGTATTAGCTGTGACCTTGGGCTTTCACTTACTCTCTCTGAGCCTTTGTTTTTCTCATTTGTAGAATGGTGACAGCAATGACCAACCGGTGTGTGTGTGTGTGTGTGTGTGTGTGTGTGTGTGTGTGTGTAAAATCAATATATAAGATACATAATAAGATACACAATCAGATATTTGGATTTCAAATCTAGTACTCTTTTGAGCTTCTTTCATTCAAGATATAAAAATGGATGAGAATACATAGAGTCTCTTTTGGAAACACATGGCATCCCCTACTACCTCTTACTAATAAGTAACCATTTATGGAAGCGGATATCTGCAACAGAAAGTAAAGTCCATTAACCTAGTGAATCTATACATACCTGATTTTCAGCTCTCTTAAAAAAATAAACATGCCTAAATTTCATAGGTATGACTCTATTAATTTGCTGCTTTGATAGGCTATTTGTCCTCAATTTCACACTCATAAATTGTTACTAGGATCAAATCATTCCGGGAAAAGTAAAATCAATGACTGTGTAATGCTAAAGCTTGTAATTCAATGAAGATATGTGGGGCTCTCAGGATGTAGCACATTGTTAGACTGATATCAAGAACCAAAGCCTGATGAAAAGAATTTACTGCCTGGGGCTCAGTTGGGCAGCATGCCAGAAGTTCAGAATGTAGTAACATCACTCTAAAACTTGGGCTGGTGGGCTGTTAGGAATATGGTGAGAAGCAAGATTTTTTAAAAGTAACTTGCAGCACAACGTAGTTTTAAACTATTTCTTATAGGAAAATGGCAAATGAAATGTCTTTAACAAATAGACAATAGGGAGAAAAAGCAGATTGATCTATGGTGTGTATATTCCATTTATTAAGACCCACAAGTATTGAATGTATGACATATGGATAATTTAAAGGTTACAGAAAGAAAGTTTAAAACCAGCTCTTGTTGGCAGTTACAAAAAGCAATTAAATACTAGTAATTAAAAATGGCGATGGTATTTCCTAAAAGTTTCTTCAGAGACAGGGTCTCACTCTGTCGCCCAGGCTGGAGTGCAGTGGCATGGTCCCAGCTCATTGCAATCTCAGCTTCCTGGGCTCAAGCCATCCTCCCACCTTGGCCTCCTGAGTAGCTGAGACCACAGGCACGCACCACCACTCCCAGTTAATTTTTGTATTGTTTTTGGTAGATATGGGTTTTTGCCTGGACTCAGGCAATCCGCCGGCCTCAGCCTCCCAAAGTGCTGGGATTACAGGCGTGAGCCACCGCGCCTGGCCTGTGTCATCTCGCTTGGCCAATCAAAATCTAAAAACTCCAAGCTGAAAGTGGACTGTGGATTTCTAACAGCTTTTCAGAGTTAAATAGATTTGGAAGTCAAGACAACAATGACTAATTAAGTTGTCTAATATGAGGTGTTCTCAAGCTTAAAGACGCATCATAATCTCCTAAAGGGCTTGTTAAAACACACATTGCTGGGCACCACCCCTAGAATTTCTGATTCAGTAGATCTGAGATGGGATCCAAGAATTTTTCATTTCTAACAAGTTTCCAAAAAATGTTGATGTTGCTGTCTATGGACTACATTTTGAAAACCACTGGCTTAGATTACACTGTACTGGGAGGAAATGAGGAACCCTAACTCTCCATCTCTCATTCTGAATGTTTTAAACTCTCAGAGGGAGATCACAAAGGCTATAGTTACTTAAAAATCAGATGAGAAATTGCAAACACTCTTTGGTCTATCCATGCTATAAAATAATTCTTTAAAATAGTATTTGGATCACGAGGTTAGCATTTCAAACAGCTGACGTGACCTCACTGTATAAACATTTTGTTATTAGAATTCTTGTTAGAAGAGAAGAATTAGGCCAATTACCTTTGTCAAAAGTTTTGAAAAGTGAGAACAGTTTGAAGATCGCTTTTATTAGAACTGCTAATTAGGTTTTAAGTTATTATGCATAATTTTATTTATAAATAACTTGACATTGATTTTCAGTAGTTTTTGAATGCTTAGTATGAAAACGTGTTACTTTAATTTACTTATAAGTAGTAGAAGGTAGGTGATGTGTCTCTGCAATAAAAGCTATACAGTCATCTGGCATGACACTATTTGCATAATAAACCACATATTTACACCTTGGTTGCCAAATGTAGAAAATGATATGTTTATAAGATGCTGTAAAAGAAAAATCCTCCCCCAAAACCAAAATCCTGCTTTGAAAGATCTGTCTGCTTTTTATGTTTATGAGGAAACCTGAAGAAGTCAGTGACACGTGAAGTATGCAAATATTGGTAATCCTTTAATTAAATTTATGGTGGGATTTTGTTGCTAACCAGGAATTTGCAATGAAGTTTCCACACAGAAATATGTGTCATCACTGAATAGAACTAAAATATATAATAAAACCAAGGAAGATAATGTCAGCCCAGAAGTCAAAATAAAATAAAACTTTAAAAAGCAGTAAAGCTTTATTTGCTCTTAGTCAAAGGAGTTTCTCATTTTTCAAGATCTGCTAGTAGAATGATAAAACATTGTAAAGTCACAATGTTGCAGAAAATAAAATAAAAGAGGAATGATGATAATATTGGAAGTGAATCACGCACATGATATTGTGGAGAATAGGAAGGTTGAAGATGGGAATAGGAGTAGGCTGTGTCCGTGGTAAGTCAACAACATTCTTCAGTGCCATAACACATTAACATATAGCATTTATACACCAGGGAATATAGGTGTGAACAGAAAGAACCGCATTTTTCTCTTTAGTAACCCTGTCAAGATGTCCAAGCCATACTTGTATTTTCAGCTTGGCAAAGGGAAAGGACAAGATGAGGGAAGTCATGGAAGTATGATGGGGAAATCTAGGAGAAAGAGTAAATTTCCTCAGTTGCAAGTGAGAAAAACCTTGCATCAAATGTAAATAAAGGAAGACAATAAGCAAATTTACCATCTCATGTAACATGAAAATCGTTGTAGGTAGGGCAAACTTCAGGCGTTTTATAGCCAGGATTCCAGATCAATATCTCCAAGATTCTCTGGTTGTTTCCTATAATGCCCTCAGAAAAGGCTGATATTGAAGTGCTTTGTATGAAAAAACAGTCTTCTATTTATTTATACCTCTAAGGTGCCTACATTTTGATCCTGCCTCTGACACTCAATAAGTGTTTAACCTGGGTAGGTTATTAACCTTTGCAACTCAGATTCCTCTTTTATAACTGCAGATGGTATTTATTTCAGCTTTATAATAAATAGATATACATGTAAAGCACTTAAAACTGACTATCACATAAATCTCCTGTATTAGTCCACTTTCATATCGCTATAAAGAACTCCCCGAGACAGGGTAATTTACAAAGAAAGAGGTTTAATTGACTCACAGTTCAGCATGGCTGGGGAGGCCTCGGGAAACTTAAACAATCATGGAAGAAGGCCAAGAGGAAGCAAGGTACCTTTTTCACAAGGCGGCAGGAAAGAGAAGCGCCCAGCAAAGGGGAAGAGTCCCTTATAAAACCATAAGATCTTGTGAGAACTCACTCACTATCATGAGAACAGCATGGGGGAAACCGCTCCCATGATTCAATTACTTCCACCTGGTCTCTCCCTTGACACATGAAGATTATGGGGATCATGGGGAATTACAGTTCAAGGTGAGATTTGGGTGGGGACACAAAGCCTAATCATATCATCTCCCAAATAATTAGAGATGATGATGATGGTGGTGGTGGTGGTGATAGTGATGGTGATGGTGATGATGATGGTGATGTCATTCCTTTGCCATTCAGGAATTTAGATAGAAGGCTTCTGTCCTGTGGTAGACAATATTGATGTGTACAAGAAAATGGTATACACGTATGTGTCAAATGTGGAAAGTTGCATATTTGTTTCTGGGGCTTAATCAGTATTCCCACCACACTGACTCCTAAATTCATATTTATACCCAGGCACACTGGTGCGTGGGTATCTCAGTAGGTACTTGGTGTCTCAGTAGGTACTTGGCATCTGAAATTTAAGAGCAATAGCTTCAGCTCCTTTGTCTATAGTCCAAATTAGGCACTGAAGCCCTGAGCAGTCACCTGGATGGCATAATAAGCATTTCTTAGTTCCCGTAGAACCTTGTTCCTTTCTTCTTCTGTTCCTGAGCTCTTTGAGCTTCACTCAGCTGACTTCTGTGGGATGTTTGGCCTTTATAAA
The DNA here is from genome assembly GCF_000001405.40 of Homo sapiens. Classification (NCBI taxonomy): domain Eukaryota; kingdom Metazoa; phylum Chordata; class Mammalia; order Primates; family Hominidae; genus Homo; species Homo sapiens. The sequence continues at coordinate 28,300,153 of NC_000023.11, read as the reverse complement.
TCCATTTTTATCATAGTCTTAGATACTTTCACACTTTCTTTTCTAAGCCATCATTACCACAGATCTCTGTTTTGGACTCCTCTCCTACATTTAGTAATGACTTTTTCTTTCAAGCACATTTTTTGAAAAATTACATTTGCATTGTTTGTCTTTTCTCAGTTAAGTGGATAATATTTAGTCTATACCTGATGGATAAAGTAATTTTTCAAAATAAAATACAGTAATAACAATAAAAAGTAGACAATAAAATTAAACTCATAATAATTTTTGAAGTTCTGGATGCATAAAGAAAATGTATTGTAGATTTAGAAAACAAATGCATTGAAGGTTAGCAATTTGGCGAAAGAAAGGGAAAATCATAAAATATGTACTTATTAATTAACTTCTAAAAATGGTCAAAATTTAGATTTCCAGAGATCTTTTGAATGATTCAAATTTTGGTCATCACTGAGGGAACTGGGTGGAGAGTTAACATTCAAGCTAAAGGAATTATCTGTTATTTTTATTGGAAAAATGTTTCAAGCTACTGAAAATGTGATTAAGAAACTGAGAAATGATTCACTTAGACAAATGGCTTGCCCAGTTCACTGACACTACAAGAAAATCTAAGCTCTCACAAAATGTAAGTTTTATAAAGGCTGGGATTTTTGATGGTTTTTTCACTGTTATTATTTTTAACACAGAAGAGGATGTAATACATGGTACTTATCAAATATTTGTTGTAGGACTTAACAACATGATTGCTGTTTTTTACAAGTAGAATATACCTCAATTATCACTAGATTTCCATGTTATGTTGTTGCATGTATTTTTATCATCAAATAATAGATATAAACTTTAATTTAAAAATTATTTTGACATAGATTCAGACTTACAGACAAGTTACAATAGTACAAATAATTTTTGTATATCCTTCACTCAGATTTCCCAAATATTAGCATGCTCTCTTTCTCTGTATTCAGGTTTCATTAGTCCATTTTCGCACTGCTGATACAGACATATTCACTATCATGAATATGATACAGGCTTATTCAATATCATGATACTAGCAAGAGAAAGACCGGCCCCCATGATTCAGTAACCTCCCCCTGGGTCTCTCCCACAACACGTGGGAATTCTGGGAGATACAATTCAAGTTGAGATTTGGGTGGGGACACAGCCATATCAGCTTTTTTTTTTTTCTAAATTGTTTGACAGTAAGTTGAAGGCATGATGTTTCTTTACCACAATACATCAAAGTATTTAGAATTAAAGAACAGTCATAACCACACTGTAATTATTGAAAAGAAAATGATCATTGGTACGATAATACTGGTTCATTTGAAGACCTTATTTATTTTTCACCGATTGTCATAGTATCTTTTGCAGAATAAGGGACCTTTGAATCATGTGTTGCATGAAGTTAATAAAGTCTCTTTATTTCCTTTAACTGAAACAGTTCCTCAGTGTTTCCTTGTTTTTATGGCCTTGCCTTTTTTTAATTATGATATCAGGTCAGTTATTTTATAGAAAGTCCTTCAATTTGGGTTTGTGTGATGTTTTTCTTGTGATTAGATTCAGATTATTCATTTTATAGCAGGAATGTCATAGATGTGTTTGTGCTCTCCCCCAATTCATATTGAAAGCCTAATTCCAATGTGATGGCATTAGGAAGTGAGGCATCTGGTAAAGTAATTAGGTCATGAGGGTGAGGCCCCAAAACTAGGATTAGCGCCCTTATAAGAAAAAGTACGAGCATTTTCTCTCTCTTTGTGTTCTTCCATATGGGGATACAACAAGAAGGCAGCCATTTGCGAAAGAGAAAGAGTGTTCTCACCAGACACTGAATCTGTTGGTGACTTGATCTTAGATTTCCCAGCCTCCAGAACTGAGGAATACTCTCTGTTGTTTAGGCCACCCAGTCTATGTTATTCTTTTATAGCACCCAGAACTGAGTAAGACAATGTAATATTTTTAGTGCGTCACATTAGGGTTCTCATGATGTTGATTTTCTCCATATCTACTTTTGTTAACTTTGGTCACTTGATAATATATTAGCTTCCTATTGCTGCTGCTGTAACAAACTGCCACCAATGCAGTGGATTGAACTGTACAAATAGGCTGGGCGTGGTGGCTCATGCCTGTAATCTCAGCACTTTGGGAGGCCAAGGCAGGTGGATCACTTGAGGTCAGGAGTTCGAGACCAGCCTGGACAACATGGCAAAACCCCGTCTCTACTAAAAATACAAAAAAAAAAAAAAAAAAAAAGAAAGAAAGAAAGAAAGAAATTAGCCAGGCGTAGAGGTGGGTGCCTGTAATCCCAGGTACTCGGGAGGCTGAGGCAGGAGAATCGCTTGAACCTGAGAGGCGGAGGTTGCAGTGAGCCGAGATTGCGCCATTGCATTCCAGCCTGGGAGACAGAGCAAGCCTCCATCTCAATGATAAAAAACGAACAAAAAACAACACAAATATATTTTCTTATAGCTCTGTAGGTCAGAAGTCAGAAACAGGTCTCATTGGGTCTCACTGGGATAAAATCAAGGTGTTGGTAGGGATGTTTTTCTTCTGAAGACCCAAGGGGAGAATCTTCTCCCTTGCCTTTTCCAGCTTCTAGAGACCACCTGAATTCCTCGGCTTATGGCTCCTTTTTCTATCTTCAAAGCCACTAATGTTGCTTGTCCCTGACTATTTTTCTGTAGTCACATCCCCTCTGACCACAGCTGGAAAAAGATTCTCCACTTTTAAAGAATCGTGTGATTAGATTGAGCTTACCTGGATAATCCAGGAAATCTTCCCATCTCAAGATTTTAACCTTAATTACATCTACAATGTCCCCCTTGCCATGTAAGGAACAGTCATAGAGTCTGGGGATTAAGATGTGGAGATTCTTTGGGGACCATTATTTTGCCTACCATTCTTAAAGTTGTGTTTGCTAAGTTTCTAAATGTCTTTATTAGCCTTAAAAAAATTACTTTCTGGCCGGGTGCAGTGGCTCATGCCTGTAATCCCAGTACTCTGGGAGGCCAAGGCGGGCGGATCATGAGGTCAGGAGTTCGAGACCAGCCTCGCCAACATAGTGAAACCCCGTCTCTACTAAAAATACAAAAAAATTAGCCAGGCATGGTGGCGGGCACCTGTAATCCCAGCTACTCGGGAGGCTGAGGCAGGAGAATCGCTTGAACCCAGGAGGCAGAGGTTGCAGTGAGCCAAGATCGTGCCATTGCACTCCAGCCTGGGCAACAAGAGTGAAACTCTGTCTCAAAAAAAAAAATTACTTTCTCATATACTTTTAGAGTTACTTATTTAGATAATATTTTACATTTAAAAGTGTCTGACACATTAACAGCTTAATAAATGTTTAATAAACTCCTAACAGAATGATAGATTGTCCAATTTAATGAGTGAATGTTTGAGTCCAGTCATGACTGTAAATAAATTCCATTTGTAGAGCATTTTAATTAGCAAGTGAATATTGAATGCATGTTTAATTGCATATTATATTACTGTTTCAAAATAAATACCTAAGTTATTGTTTGATAATTTCAGGGAATTTATAAATTAACATATCTATATATTTTGCTATCTGAACACATTTTATAGATAAGATTTTGCCCTTTCTCCTCATTGTTTTAGAATTATATTTCAAGACATGTTTTAAATTACTTTTCGGTTTATATTATTATCAGGAATGTTTTTCTATGCTCAACATAGCATTTTAGATACTACCGAGACATTGAGAAAATAAAGTAAAATAAATGTCCTCATCTTCAGGGAATTTATTTTGCAAAAATGTTAAGATAAATATAATAAACATATAAGACAATAAAAAATCCTTAATGATATCCTCGTTAGCCTTCCAGAGTCCTGTTCAGCTTATTCTAACCTCAAGTAAAAACTATTTTATCTTCCAGATCATTTCAGTGGCTCTCTTACAAGAGCTGGAATCATTGACCTTTAGAGATGGACAGAATCCAAGAGATACGAAGGCCAACTTGTGTCTAAAGAAGAGAAACCTGAAGGCTAGGAATTCCCAGAGATGCCTGTCATCACACAGCTGGTTAGGAGAAATGTCATAATAAAAATGTGAGCTTCTGAATCTCTTATTTTAAAAATGTACATATATGACTGAAAATGTACTAAAAGAAATATTTATAGGCATATTTTTCTAATAAGAGGGGGAATACCTTGTAATCTTTTTACTCTGTAATCAATACTGTATATTTCCTGGGTGGGCATTACAAACAAAAAGTTAATTTTGTTTTCAAAAGCAATAATACAATGAATTGTCACTAGGTTTTTTATTCAGAAAGGCCTGGGGAAGTTGAAAGTATTTTAAGTTCCATTATTTGAGCATAACAGCAAGAAATATTCCAGTAGCAAAACTGTGCAAGAGTAGCATAATGTTTTGTTTCACATAAAATGATTTTTGGTACTATGTTGCCTTTTATGCTGCAGTTATTTGTTGTGTTGGTCTGGTTATCTTGTGGCAGCAGTCAACAATGTGGTGGTAACCCTAATCCTGCATAGCAGTTGACGGATGATAATCTTTCAGCTCAGTAGCATAGAATACCATTTTCTCAAGATACATTTTTCATAGAGTAATCTTTACTTACTTCCAAACTAGAGTGAGCAAAACATCAAACTATACTTACAGAAAACAGAAAAAATAGACATCTCCAAACAACTTTATTGCATTTCCTGTTAGGAAAATACAGACTTGGAATGCAAATGACTAGGCCTTTTGTTAACTGTATGACTCTGCAAGTTTTATAACCTCTATTAGCGTGGATTTTCTCATCTATAAAATGGGACTAATAACAGCACATGCCTCATAATATAGTTGAGAAGATTAAATAAGATTATCCATGTAACATGTTTAGTATATGTAATGAATTCTTGATAAAATTAATTGTTAGTATCATGAATATTAGAGCAGTGCCACATACCACTAAGACAAACATTAGCAGAAATTGGTGGTGGAAAGCAAGTGTGCTTCAGGGTTGAGGAAAGCAGGATGAAAACACTTTACAAATTCTGCTGCTCTAAAGTAACTGAGATAATATCATGAAATCAGCATTTTGATAGGATTTTTTAATAAGATAGATATAGCTCAATTTTTAAATTAATCTATGTGATGAGAATTCTTGGCCTGCTATGGTCTGAATGTCTGCATCCCCCCAATATTCATGTTGAAATTCTAATCCCCAGGGTGATGATGTTAGGAGATAGGAGCCTTTGGGAGGAGATTAGGTCATGAAGGTGGATCCCCTCATGATGGGATTAGTGCCCTTATAAGAAGAGACATGAGCGCTTTCTCTTTCTCTGTTCTCTGACACCTGAGGATACAATGAGAAGGTGGGTCATCTGCAAACTTAAAGAGTGCCCTCACCAGACACCAGATCTGCCAGCACCTTGATCTTATACTTACTACCCTTTAGAACTGCGAGCAACTAATTTAAGTTGTTTGTAACCCACCAGGCTATGATATTTTTTCACAGTAGCCAGAATGGACTAAAATATGACCCATAACTTAATATTACCAGGAGTGTTGGGTACAAGAGGGAAGGGGAACAATATACCTTTCTATCAATATCCCAAGAAATAGTCAGACCTAAGAGAGCATTGACATTGAAGTTAGTAGGGGGAATGAAGAAGAATTGTTGCTTGGAAGTAGAGTAGTGAGTACTTTAAAATAATCATCAGCATTCATGTGGATAATAAGGAATCATGGGACTGTGATAAATATGAGACTATATGCCTCATTCATAGGACTCAAAAATTACACAAACATACTAACAAACCAAATACAACAGTTCTATAGACAAAATTTGGCCATATGGCAAGAGTTTGGACCTCTAGAAGCCGGTGAGTCTTAAAACTGTTTTCTTTGCAGTATATTACCATTTCTCTAACAATTTTGAAACAAAACAGTTCAGTTAGAGGAAAAATATCTGGGCTTTTCTTTAGGATCTTTCATAAAATATCATGTATATGGACAAAGAATGACTTTGGAGAATATATAATACATTCTTTAGCAAATCTTTAAAGATTCTTTGACACCATTTATCACACGTTTACTGTAAATAACTGCTATGTGCCCTTTCCTACATTATCTCATATAATTTTCACAAAACAAAAATATTGTGGTCTTGTTATTAAGAATGAAACTGATGCTAAGAACAGCAATGTAATTTGCTGAAAGTTCAATAATTAAATGGAAGAAGCAGGACTGGAAACGAGGCTTGTATCTTAATCCAAATTCCATGAGATGAAGTATTGTTATACTGTCTTCCTATCTTTGCTGAGAGAATCTAATTAGATACTGCATTTAAAAGAGCTTAAAAACTAAAAAATTCAAGGTAATCTATAATTAATAATTATGTCAAGAAGTAATTTTAGAAACTAAAGTTTCCCATACATTTAATTGAAACCCAGTCTAATATGAAAATAAATGTATATGTACTTTTGCCAAGTAATTGTATTATAATCTGAAATGAATGTCAACAGGGTTTTACAGCACGAAACAATTGAATGTCATTGGCTTAAGGTAAAGAATACTCTAATAATGAGTATTCTATTAATTTTTTTACTTGAATTTCTATATTGAACGATATTAGATAATCATAGACCTGAGTATTTCCTTTGAATTTTGTAAAATTTAAAGAAAATTCCAAATTCATTTTTATATTTTACCTAGATAATGCATGCATATCACTAAAAATTAAATATATAATGTTTTTAATGAAAACTATATTCTCATTTTTCTCCCAGCCTCACTCTGTCACCCAGGCTGGAGTGCAGTGGTACAATCTCAGCTCGCTGTGACCTCCACCTCAAGTGATTCTCCTGCCTCAGCCTCCCGACTAGCTGGGACTACAGGCACCTGCCACTACGCCTGGCTAATTTTTGTATTTTTAGTAGGGACAGGGTTTCACCATGTTGGTCAGGCTGGTCTCGAACTCCTGACCTCAAGTGATCCACCCACCTCGGCCTCCCAAAGTACTGGGATTACAGGCATGAGCCACCGCGCCCAGCCCGACCCTCGTTTTATGATGGACTTCTTATTCCAGCCCTGCTTCCCAGAAACAACACACTTCCTATTCCCTTTCCATGCTTTATTTGGAATTTATCTCCATATTTCTAACTAATGTGCTTACACTACTGTTTCTTGATTTATCACATTTAGACATTTCCAATGGAGTTTTATTAACATTTAAGCTTTCCTAACGTCTTCTTTACTCATTTTTTCAACGAATATTTTCTGGGTACCTACTATATGTTGAGCGTTATTCCAGGCTTTGGAAACACAGAAAAACAAAACAGACAAGTGCCTCTTTTCATAACACTTCCATTCTATAGGGGAGATACATGATAAAGGGCTATAGGTGATGTAAGAAAAATAGCCAAGGTATTGTGTGATATGAATGGGACAGTTTTCCTCTTCACAGTTTCTCAATATAATTAATCAAAATGCTTTCCACTTAACCAATTATTGTACTTTAATATACTTTATTTCTTATAACACTTTTATTTATCCCGACATTCATAAGTCATGTTATTAAATTTGCTTGTTTTTCTGAATACCTATCAGTATTTTCCAAATGCTTCAACAGATCTCTCACAAATGTATTGCTATTTTCCACAAGTGATCAAACATAATTCTCAACACACTATCCGCTACATTTTATTTTCCAAGATCCCTTTGTTCCTCAGATATCCATCCTTTCTGTTTACTCAGCAATTGTTCTTGAATGCTGGTGCTCCCTGTCATTCTGAGACTTTACTTCACTATTATAGTGAATCTCCTTTTCCCTGATTGCTTATGTTTTTCTTTCCCTTTTGTTAAAACACATTTCCAGGCACATCTTCAGTAAGTGTACACAGGAGGTGAACTATTTAAATTTTGCGTGTCTGACTATATAATTAACCTACCATCTCCAAACCTACTCCCCGCTACTTCATTAAATGACCATTCCATTCAGCTTTCTCGAAGAGTCATATTAATAGACTTTTTATATTTTCATTTTATTTTTATATTCCATGTCTTACATATTTTATCTTTTTGAAGAAAGTTTTTCTTTTTAAAAAATTTGGTGGTTTTTGCTTTTAATTCAAGTCTTTTTGTTAGAAAATTATCTGCAATGTATCATGATTCTTGTTGCTCTCTTTATATTTAATTAAGGCACTAAAATTAATTGTTAGTTCAATATACATGGGGATTATCCATTCAGATTTTTCTCTAGAGCAGTTGGCAAACTTTCTGTAACGGGCCAGAGAGTAAATATTTTAGGCTTCATGGGTCACATGTTTTTCATTACACACATTCAACCCTGACATCGTATAGTGAGAATAGCCATAGATAATATGCAATGAATGGGTAGGGCTGATTTCCAATAAAACTTTATTTACAAAAACATGCTGTTGGCTAGATTTGGCCTGCAGGCCATAGTTCTAAGATAATTAGAGGAGGAACTTTATTTTTCATATTAGTAAGCTTTTTCTCAGTGGATATTTAGTTTCTACACAGAAGAAAACTCTAATTTCCTATCTGAAGGCGTTTAGGTAGTGTATTGACACACTGGTGTTGGAAGCTGTATTTCTCAATATTTGTTATGTAGGCAACTCCCTGTTTTAGGTTAAATATTTCTCCCATCCTCCCAGAATTTAGATTCTCTTATGTTTATTTTCTCCACAGAAAAGCCTCTGGCATCTGAAAGTTTTGTGATTGGAGTAGTCACCTGACTGCTTTACCTCAGTCCTCCACACTAGCTGTTACCAAGTCCTATGCCCTCCAGCATTCTGCAAATAGACTTGTTACTCATCAGTATCTCCCTCTGTAGCACTTAGGTTTTATAATAGTTTCCTTAGGGGCCCTTAATGAGGTCTAACTCTTCCATTTGCCTTTCCTCTTCCACAAATCGGATGACATATTTTTTCCAGTGTTATCCTTTCTCCCATTCTCAATGTCTTTCTGGGTTTATAACATATTCAATTCCCTAACTGTCATTTTGGTGGAGATTGAAGAGGGATCTGAGATACATGTACATACTCTCAGCCATATTTACCTAGAAGTATGTGGGTTTTTATTATAAAACAGCAAGGTTCACATAATATTAGAAGTGAAATGGAAAGATAGAAAACGCCTAAGCTCTAATGGTCAGAGGGAATATTTAGTTGTAGTACACAAGATGTATCCTAACATTCATGTTTTTGTTCATCAGTTTATCTGTTTTTAAGCAGGATTCAGTCTGCAGTTTAAACTTCATCCCCCAAATTTGAGTATGATTTTTAAAATGTCTCCATCAAAGCATCTTGATTAGCATACACAAAACATATTACATAGGCAGATGAGAATCCAGCATAGAGTGTAGCAACTACACTATGATGTTATGCCGGGTGAATTCTTCCATAGTTATGCAGAACTGGTTGAAGGATTGTGTATAGCATACTAGAGAGAAGCAAATCCCAGTTAATAATATAATTGATTATCATTTTATTTTAAAAATAAAAATAAAAATTACAATTGTATAAAAAGTACGATTTCTGGCCAGGCGCGGTGGCTCACGCCTGTAATCCCAGTACTTTGGGAGGCCAAGGTGGGCGGATCACGAGGTCAGGAGATCGAGACCATCCTGGCTAACACGGTGAAATCCCGTCTCTACTAAAAATACAAAAAATTAGCCAGGCGTGGTGGCAGGCGCCTGTAGTCCCAGCTACTCGCGAGGCTGAGGCAGGAGAATGGTGTGAACCCAGGACGCGGAGCTTGCAGTAAGCGGATATCGCGCCACCGCACTCCAGCCTGGGTGACAGAGCAAGACTCCATCTCAAAAAAAAAAAAAAAAAAGTACGATTTCTAAACACATTTTAATACTTATTAAAATAAATAAATATTCCATTGCAAATCAGTTTTGAAATTAGAAAAGAGGACCAACAGAACCTAGATAGGTAAACAGAACTGAAGAGAGACAGTTATCTTAAGTACATCTGTTTCATGATATTCAATAATTCCTCATCCACTACTGATGTGACATATTTATTAATCACCCAACATGGTGAGAAAAGTAAGATGATATATTGGAAAAACCAGTGACTATAACAAACCATAGTCTGAAGTTCATATCCAAGGTTAAGCATATATCTTTATCTGCTTACAGATACATAGATAACATGGGCAAGTTATTAAAAATATTAATCTTTATGTTTAGATCTTTTAAACATTGAGAAACTATTATTTCCTTTATCTGACCACAATAGAAGTTAATGAAGTAAATTATGACATGTGCCAGTACTGTCTTGCAGGTCATATAGATATTCAATATAGTTGTGAGGCAGGAGAGCAGGGTTTGGAGGCAAGGAACCTAAGGCCGTTTCATGGTGACTTCCTAGAACTAAATTGAAAGGAAAATCCTAACTTTCCATGCCTAAGTAACAAAAGGACCATAGGCTACCCCCTTTGCAAACTCCCACCTCTTCTGCCTGGCAGATGGAAAATTGAAAGTACCTCTGCAGAAAGCAACCAATCAGACGTTTGCATACGAGTGCAACTTTGTAATTTCAGCCTCTGATTGGTTGGCTTTCCGCAACCAATCAGACTGATTGCGGGCCACCACTACATTTACATGAGGTGAACAAGTGGCCAATGGGAAACCTCTAGGGGGTACTTGGACCCTAGAAGATTCTATATCTGGGGCCCTTGAGATGCTGCTAGGGCAACTCCCACACTGTGGAGTGTACTTATCATTTTCAATAAATCTCTGCTTTTGCTCTTTCGTTGCTTCATTCTTTGCTTGCTTTGCTGTGCGTTTTGTCCAGTTCCTTATTCAAAATGCCAAGAACCTGGACAACTTGAAGTGAAGACCCTCTACTGGTGACAGTTGGGTGGGAAGGTGGACACACTCTGGGTACTATTGAAGTTGGACCTCTAGATCCAACCCTGCTAATGCAGATATTAACCTGGAATCCTAAACGCAAAACTTGTTAAGTAACACCTTTTGCAGAATATTAGCCTTAACATGACTTACTCCTGTCTGAATCATTAGTGCTCAGTACAGTGCCTGATAGATAATAAACACCCAAGAAATCTTTGCTGATGTAATTGGATTTGATTTTTGCTTAGCCTAATTTAATAACATCCCAGAGACAACCAGGAGCTCAATTTGGCCAAGTCTTTTATCCTCTTTGCTCATTGTTTCCTTTTGAGGCTTTGCAACTTGATTTGCAAATATAGGTTTCATTTATTTATTTATTTATATTTATTTATTTATTTATTTATTTATTTATTTTGAGACGGAGTCTTGCTCTGTCGCCCAGGCTGGAATACAGTGGCACGATCTCGGCTCACTGCAACCTCTGCCTCCCAGGTTCAAGCGATTCTCCTGCCTCAGCCTCCTGAGTAGCTGGGATTACAGGCACGTGCCACCATGCCCGGCTAATTTTTGTATTTTTAGTAGAGATGGGGTTTCACCATCTTGGCCAGGCTGGTCTTGAACTCCTGACCTCGTGATCCACCCACCTTGGCTTCCCAAAGTGCGGGGATTACAGGCGTGAGCCACCGTGCCCAGCCACAAATATAGGTTTTATAAAGAAATGTCATTAACATTGAAAACATACTTTTAAATTATTTAAAAGTACTAATGAATGTAATTCTCAAGGAAGAAGCATTTTAGTTCTTTCATAATTAACTTGTCTAATATAATGCCCATTTTACTGAAGAGACAAGTTATAGGATTCATTAAAATACACACAAGCCTTAATGACAAAATATAAAAATAACAGGATCTACATTATACTTAGAATGATGCAAAAAAAAAACTATTTTGAGGTAATTTGAGGCAGTACTTTTAACATTTCAACAGGTACATTCTTTTTCCTATACATTTTCACTAACACTGTGGCCTCAATATTGTCCATTTCCAGGCAACCTTAGCAGGATCTTAAATTTTTTCATATTTTCTGTGTATACTTCCAAAAATTCTCCCTCTTTTATCTAAGTGATTCCTAATGTTTGTCACTTCTTGGTCGTCAAGACAAGATAGACAAGAGTTTAATCATGTGTGGCTCTTTTCTTTTTGACCTCTCCACTTCTCACTAATTAATTAAAAACATTGCTTCTAAAAAGCATTTCTCAAACACTTTATCCTTACAAGTCCTCTAATCAAAATCTTTAACTGTGCAGAACCTTCTTTTCACTGTAGTCAAATTAGACTTAAATAGGTTCAACTGTTGCTTTTCCACATTCTCAGCCTCATAACGTCAATTTAATCAACTGACTGGAATATGTTATTCATTAATACTATCTCATACAAATATGTCTTTTGCGTTTCTGTTAAGATAAGCACAACTTTATATGAATCCTTGGATTAGTCTTTTTTGCACTTGTAATTTAAAGTGGCATGTAGTTTTTGTTGCATGAATTAATTACATTCATATTTCATGCAACAGTTTTTCTTTGTTTTATATTTTCCATTCAAACCATTGGCCTAAAGCATGACACACAGGAAGATAGAGATATATAAAGAAAAATATTTTACTGTAATCCAGCTCTGTTATAATTATTCAAAGCTCTTTGATTATGCAGATTTACATACTTCAGCTTCTACTCACCCAGACTTTCTACCTCATTGACAATGCTCTAAGAACATTTTAAAATGTAATGACTAAAGCACTTTTTTCTAAATAATCCTCCATATGAACTGATTCAGGAATTTCTAATCTTGGGCACTTGCATCCCTGGGTGAGGCAAAAACAAAAAATGGTGGCCCTTGTCTTATGCTTAGTTATTTGAAAAGCCAAATGCAAATCTCAACATTTTCATAAGCTGAGGCTGCACTATTCAAGTGAAACCTGACATTCTCTTGTTCTTTTTTATTTTTTTCCTAGAAGTCTTTTCAGTTTGCAAGTTAACTAATTATCACAGCTTATTTGAAACTCTGTTAGTTCTATTTGTCTTTAACAAAATGGAGAAAGTGAATTATGACCAAGAAGTTTGCTGGGAGGGCAAACTTTCAGAACATGCAGTCTGGGCATGGAAACAGGGAGCAGAATTGAGGGTATTAATGTTGTTAAAACCTTGGACAAATCTGATAGAAGATAGTTCAGGATGTACTACGGTTTAAGTACTGGTTTCTTTTTTTTTTTTTTTTTTTTTTTTTTTGAGACGGAGTTTTGCTCTTGTCACCCAGGCTGGAACGCAATAGCGAAATCTCGACTTACCTCACTGCAACCTCCTCCTCCTGGATTCAAGTGATTCTCCTGCCTCAGCCTCCCAAGTAGCTGGGATTACAGGCGTGTGCCACCACGCCCAGCTAATTTTGTATTTTTAGTAGAGACGGGGTTTCTCAATGCTGGTCAGGCTGGTCTCAAACTCCCGATCTCAGGTGATCCGACTGACTTGACCTCCCAAAGTGCTGGGATTACAGGCATGAGCCACCACGCCCAGCCCGAGTACTGGTTTCTTACCCCCAGAGATAACTGAATAACTGATCCTTTACTTAGTTACATACCACGTGAAATTCAGGAATGTTTTTGGACATGGCCATATTTACTCTGCAGAGTCGAGGATAACAGAGATGTTTATTTCTGAGTGTTTCTTGATGCAATGACTTTTATGAATTTGCTGCATGTTGTATAACCATGTTTGATGAGGAACTACTGATCCAGAATTGGTATCCCTTACATATCCAGACACAACTACATACCTATTTAATTTTGTTTTGCTTTTGGTTTTTTTAGACGGAGTCTCACTCTGTCTCCCAGGCTGGAGTGCAGTGGTGCGATCTCAGCTCACTGCAACCTCCGCCTCCTGGGTTCAAGTGATTCTCCTGCCTCTGCCTCTCAAGCAGCTGGGACTACGGGCGTGTGCCACCATGCCCAGCTAATTTTTTTTTTGTGTTTTTTTTTCATAGATACGGGGTTTCGTCGTGTTAGCCAGGCTGATCTCAAACCCCTGACCTCAAGTAATCGGCCTGCCTTGGCCTCCCAAAGTGCTGGGATTACAGTCGTGAGCCACCATGCCTGGCCCATATTTCATTTATGTATAGAAATCGAGCACAGAACAGGATATATGGGCTTCCAAAAGCTCTGAAGGGACCCTTACTCACATATATATTCTCATCTTCAATATGCACTTGCCTGGTGAGGATGTTGGGCTCAGGCAATGTGGACTTTTACCCCAATTGCAGTGATTTCCTTTTGTAATAGTCTATTTCATCTACTAAACCAATGGTAGTGTACAATTGTTCCATGAATCCAAGCGTACTGACCCATGTCAATGCAATTGTCATGTAATATGGAAGAAGAATTGGGAATATTTAACCATAAAACTGATATTTTTAAAAGCAAGATTAAAACAAAGAAACAAATATGCCATCAGAAAAAAGAATTAGATTAAGAATAAAGTAATTTGTAATCTATATATGTTTTATAAATTTTTTCTAATGTACATTTATGAGGCAAACAAAGTTATAATGGTAATAAAGGATATACCGATAATACTACCTATGACATGCTGAACCTCAGCAGCTCCTTTCATTTTTCTAGATTCTGTTCCAGTTTTCATCTAGTGGTATAAATTTGACATAGCTATACTCAAGGTTCACAGTGTAATTGAATATTATTGCAACCTATAGGTACTACCAATTATTTAAATATTTGTTTTTTTCTTCTTTTCTCTTTAATTTTTCTATTGCATAGAAGATATAGTCTTTTAAATTTAGAATTACATAATGACTGTTTAAGTTGGCAGGCAAGAGTGACCATATTCATAAGATAGTGGATGATAAAGAGAACAGAGAAGACACCAGGTAAACTCAAGCAAAGAGCACTGAGGAAAACTAAAACAAATCAAGTGGCCCGAGTCCTCCTACCTAGGACTTACATTCTGCATTACATATTAGCATTAATTTTTACATTTTACTTCATACTAAATAGATGAAAAAATTAAGCAAATTTTGTTATACAAATTCATATTTTTGGAAGGTTACTTTCCTTTTTGTACATTTATTTGCTGTGTGTTGTCTCTTATGTTGAATATTAAGTGAAAAGAGACAGGCCCTTATCATCCCAAGGGTGTAATGAATACCCTGTGGTCAAAAATCTCCCCACTGTTAACCACCGTTACCCTAAACTAGAAAAAGACATTACAAGAAAAGGAAACTATAGGCCATGTATGGTGACTCACACCTGTAATCCCAGCATTTTGTAATCCTAGCATTTTGGGAGGCCGAAGCAGGTGGGTAGTTTCAGCCCAGGCATTTTGAGATCAGCCTGGGTAACATGTGAAACCCCATCTCTACAAAAAATAAGGAAATAAGCTGGGTGTGATGGTGTGCAATTGTAGTCCCAGCTACTTGGGAGGCTAAGGATGACTTGAGCCCAGGAGGTTGAGGCTGCAGTGAGCCATGATAGTGCCACTGCACCCCAGCCTGGGCAACAGAGGGAGACTGTGTCTCAAAAAAAAAAAAAAAAAGAAAAGAAAAAAGAAAGAAAGAAAGAAATAAGGAAAGGAAAAACTATATGTCCATATTTCTTGTAAATCTAAATGCAGAAAACCTTACCAAAATTTTAGCTAATGGAGTCTAGCAGCATATAAAGAAAATAATGTTTTATGATAAAGTAGGTTTAATTCCAGGAACACAAGACTGGTTTAAAAGTAGAAACAAATTGATGTAATTCATCATATTAAACAAATTTTTTAAAAAAACACGAAATCATCTCATTAGATTCATAAAAAGCATCTGACAAAATTTACCAACCATTCCTCCCAAAAACAATAAAACTCTTGGAAACTAGAAATGGAAGGGACCTTCCTTAACCTGACCAAAAAAATTTACAAAAACCAACAGCTGAAATCATACTTAATGATGAAAGTCTGAAAGCTTTCCCCCTAAGATGAGGAAGAAATCACAGATGTTTGCTCTCAACACTTTTATTCTACCTTGTACTGCAGGTTGTAGCCAGTGCAATAAGGCAAGGAAAAATACAAGGAATACTGATTAGTAGAAAGGAAGACAGACATACAACTGAATTTGTAGACAACATATTCGTCTATGTGGAAAGTCCTAAAATATCTAAAGTTTTCTATTTTTATTTTTATTTTTTCTGAGACAGGGTCCTGCTCTGTCACCCAGGCTGAAGTGCAGTGGCATCATCATAGCTCACTGCAACCCCAAACTCCTGGGCTCAAGCGAGCCTCTTGCCTCAGCTTCCTGAGTAGCTGAGACTACAGGCATGCGCCACGACACTCTGTTTTTTTTTTTTTTTTAATTTTTTTTTTGTAGAGATAAAGTCTCAGTATGTTGCCCAGGCTGGTCCTGAACTCCTGGCCTTAAGTAATCCTCCTGCCTTGGCCTCCCAATGTGTTAGGATTATCCATGAGCCACCATACCCAGTCCACCTAGAGATAAATTTAACAAAAAGTATATCTTCTGGCACTGTGAACTGCAGAACTACAAATCATCACAGAGTTATTAAAGCAGACGTAAATAAATAGGTTTTAATTTAATTTAATTTAATTTAATAACTAGTAATGGTGAGCGTCTTTTTCTGTGTATATTTGCCATTTATAGGTATTATTTGATGATATGGTGTCTATTCAAATATTTTATACATTTGTAAAATAAATATTTTAGGATAGTTTTAGATTTATAAAAATGAAAATAGTACAGGGAGTTCCCATATACCTTGCACCCAGCTTCTATTATTAATATCTTACATTAATATGGTTCACTTGTGTATCATATGAGAGGGATTTACACATGAACAATTGAAACACAAGTCTACACAATGATGTATACTCAAAAGTTGAAGCAAATTTTGTTTAAAATTCTCCCAAATTGAAAACATCCCAATTGTCCATCAACAGGTGAATAGATAAACAAATTATAATATATCCATACAAAAGAATATTATTCAGGCATAAAGTATTGACACAATTAACAATATAGACAAATCTCAAAAGCATTATGTTAAGAGAAAGAATGAAGACACAAAAGCCTACAACTTTTGCCATTCAATTTATATGAAATTCTAGAATAGGAAAAAAGTATAGTAACAGAAAAAAGATCAGTAATTACCAGGGGCTGGAGTTGAGGAAGAAGATGGAATGTAAAGAGGACAGAGGAAACTTTGGGGAAGAGGGTGAAACTATTTTGCATATTGATTTTCATGGTAATTACAAGACTGTATGCATTTATCAAAACACATGTTGAACCTAAAAAAGTCAATTTTATAGAAACGAGGAGTAGAAAGGTGATTATTACTAGAAGTAGGTGGGGGTGGTAGGGATGAGGAAAGGGGAGATATTGATGAAAGGATACAAAGTTTCAGTTAAACTGGAGGAATAGGTTTTAGTGATTTTTTGCACTGTATGGTGGCCATAGTTAATAAGGTGTTTTAAATTTCAAAATTGCTAAAAAATATAGATTTTTAAAATGTTCTCGTCACCAAAAATGTATAAGCTAGTTAGGTGATAGATGTGTTAATTAGCTTGAAGTAATCTTTCTACAATGTATACATAGATTAAAAATATCACATTGTACCCCATAAATATTACAGCTATTTGTCAATTAAAAATAAATTAAAACACTCACAGAACTGTATGCTTCTTTTTTTTTTTTTTGAGACGGAGTCTCCTTCTGTCGCCCAGGCTGGAGTGCAGTGGCGAGATCTCAGCTCACTGCAACCTCCGCCTCCAGGGTTCAAGCAATTCTCTGCCTCAGCCTCCTGAGTAGCTGGGATTACAGGTGCCTGCCACCATGCCAGGCTAATTTTTGTATTTTTAGTAGAGACAGCGTTTCACCGTCTTGGCCAGGCTAGTCTTGAACTCCTGACCTCGTGATCCACCAGCCTCAGCCTCCCAAAGTGCTGGGATTACAGGCGTGAGCCACCGCGCCCGGCCAGAACTGTATGCTTCTAATGGATGAATTTAAATATATGTAAAACACACCTCAACAAAACAAATTTAAAATATAAGATGGTAGGTGTTATTATGATGGAGTTCGCAGAGTTCTGTAGCATGGAGGCACATTGAAGGGCATGTTTTTCCACCTGGCTGTTCAACTGGGCATCTTTGAGGAGACAAGGCTTGTTTCATAAGTCTTGAAAGATGAGTAGGGGTTGCTAATAATGAAAGACGTGATGGTATTTCAAACAGAAGATCCCTGCAAATCACTAACATTAAATTATTAACTTAAACCGAGATTTAGTGATTTAGTATCAGAAGAATGGTTAGTGTTTCTAGGTTTTTAATACAATAAAGAAGTCTCAGCTTCTTATCCTTAAGATGCCCTTCTGAAGTAAGTAAATCTCTGTATAAATGTGTACCTTTTCTTGTCATTAAGCAAACTTTTAACATAGCATACATTAATAATCAGTACTGTTTCAATTGCAAGTGGCAGAAATCCAATTTAAACCCCATTATGAAATACAAGATATACATATATATATTTATTTTATTATTATTATTATTTTTGCTCACATAGAAGAAAAAAATTGAAGGGTAGACCTGGTCTCAGGTACACCAGGCTCAGATTACTCAAATGATATTGTTAACAGTCTGTTGGTTACTTTCCATCTTTCAGGTTTGCTTTCTTTAATTTTAAATGTTTTCTTAGGTAAGTTTTCTTCAAAGAATAAAGTTACTGTGTAATTTATTATCCAAACCAGGGCAATGTTATTACTAAATACACTGGGATTACAGGCATGAAGTAGGATTGTCCTGGACAACTGGGGATGAGTGGGACCACAACAAGATGAACACAAGCAACTCCAGGCTTATGTATTTCCACTTGGCATCCTCACTGGAAACATTTCGTTCCTAATGTTTCCAGCAAAACTATATGGTTGATGCTGGTTTTGGGTTACCTCATCATGCTTTAACCAAACCTTGTGGCTAGGGAAATACAATACACTGGGAGGACATTTGCTTGCCTCTCGAGCTAGTAAGCCCCCAAAAATATGTAAGTAGATTTGGTTGTCTAAAGTAAATAAAGATTTTTTTTTTTTGAGATGGAGTCTCACTCTGTCACCCAGGCTGGAGTGCAGTCTTGCAATTGTGGCCCACCGCACCTCTGCCTCCCAGGTTCAAGCGATACTCCTGCCTCAGCCTCCTGAGTAGCTGGGATTACAGGCGCGTGCCACCATGCCCGGCTAATTTTTGTATTTTTAGTAGAGACAAGGCCAGGCTGTCTCATGTTGGCCAGGCTGGTCTCATACTCCTGACCTCCAGTTATCCACCCGCTTCGGCCTCCCAAAGTGCTGGGATTACAGGCATGAGCCACCGCGCCCAGCTGAAAATAAAGATTTTAATTCCAGAAAAAGGAGAAATAAATAGGTTGATAAACAAAGCTGTCCACTGTAGATGGCATATATTTTCATATAATTTTATTTACCATAACTTATTTGATTAAATATTTTTTATCTTTTTTAGAAATGGTAGTCTTTAAAAGTCTCTGTAACATGTTGAATTACTGTGTCCCAATATGAATAGAGTTAAAATGGAATTTCAAGTATTTTTAATCAAGCAATTTATAGCATGTAGTTGAGGTTGTGGACTAAAGAATGCATTCCATATTGTAATTTTCCCCAAAATAAATTTTATTTGTTGGTGATAAACTTTTTATAATATCACACATTCTCTCTTGTTTTTGCCACTATTGCTTTACCTATATTTCATAATATTTCTATTAACTTAGTTTTTCTTTTTGAAATGAATCCACTGAAATTATGATTGTATGTTTTCTGGAGTGTTTGATTTTCCCTGTCAATCAAGATTGTAAGCATGGGTTGTAATATGGGCATATAATCGTTTATCTAAGTTATTTCAGCCACTTTATATTGTTTAAAATTGAGAACCACAGGAAACTATTCTCTTTTCCTCTGACTCATATCATTTCAGATGTTTCTCTCTTTTCACTTAAAAAGGGGTATTCTGCACATTGGGAGACATTCGTCTAAGTCTATATTGGAGAAGCAAAGCAATATGAGAAAATTAAGAGAACCATGAAACTGATGTTTGTGGTTTTACTTCATTTTACATTCTTCCAAGGGGTGCCAAAGCAAGTTTGTTCTTTCCTAGGCTCACCTATTTTCTTTCTTACCACGTGCTCTTCTTGAGGTGATTTTTATCCACTTCTGTGTGTCAAAATGCTACTGATAAACTGGTCTCCCAATTCTCTTTTTATTTGTAGTTGAGATTTCTGCTCTGAATTTTAAATTCACCGGCAATTGGCCATCTCCACCTAAATATTGTAACCACAACTGAAACAGAACGAGTTTCACATTTAACACAATATCTCTGTGTGTCACCCCCTTATGTGAAATATGCTTTATCTAAGTGAATCTTAACACATACCACAGTGTTCATGCAAGAATTTTACAAAGCTCTCAAATACTTTTTTGTCCTTTATACTCGTACGAAACTGCAAATTGTATGTTCTAATCATTCATTAAATACTTTTAATAATTTTTTCTAGCCTCGCTGCTTTTATGATAACTCTCTCCATCATCAATTCCCACCCAGATTATTGTCCATTACTTCTGATTGGTCTCTCCCAATCTTTTCTCTACATTAACACTAGGGAGATCTTTTAAAATGCCCATCAATGATAGACTGGATAAAGAAAATGTGGCACATATACACCATGGAATACTATGCAGCCATAAAAAAGAATGAGTTCACGTCCTTTGCAGGGACATGGGTGAAGCTGGAAACCATCATCCTTCGCAAACTAACACAGGAACAGAAAACCAAACACTGCATGTGCTCACTCATAAGTGGGAGTTGAACAATGAGAACACACGGTCACAGGGAGGGGAACATCACATGCCGGGGCCTGTCGAGGGGTTGGGGGAAAGGGGAGGGAGAGCATTAGGACAAATACCTAATGCATGCGGGGCTTAAAACCTAGATGACGGGTTGATAAGTGCAGCAAAACACCATGGTACTACCTGCATGTTCAGCACGTATATCCCAGAACTTAAAGTAAAATAAAAAAAAAATAAAAATATGCAATAATATATACTTCCACTTTCAGTACTGATAGAGTAATTGTGGAGGGCCAATGTTGCCATTGACAGCAACCAGATGAAAAAGAAAAATAAACAAGAGAAGATCTATTTAAGAGTCTAAGATTCCTGAGTGAAGGAAGTGCAGAGAGTTAAGCCAACATGCTATAAGCTCATTTCCCTATTCTGGCATCTGCAGCTTCTTGGCACTGGGTAAGACACTGAGATTCTGTCAGAAAGCTATAGTCAAGAAGCAAAGAAGCCAACAGAGACAGTTTGGCAATCTCTTGGGGCTTAAGAAACAAAGATTGGAGTTTGGGACTGACAAAGCAGCCAGGATATAAGGGGCTGAGATCCTGGTGAAAAGTGGGGAATACCAGTGACTCCCAATACTTGGCAGCGCTAGTCTCAAGGTATTTGTTCAAATCTAATAAGCAGCTAAAAAACTACGTAGAAAGTTGCATGTTTAGATTATCTATTGCTGAGTAACAAACCTTCTCAAAACTGAGTAGGCTAAAACAACAGCAACATTAATTTGCTCATGATTCTGCTATTTGGGAAAGTTTTGGAAGGGACACATTGTCTCTGCTTCACTCATTGTCAGCTGGGGCTGCGTGAAGTCTCGGGGCTGGAATTACATGAAGGCTCATTTTCTCACCACTTACATGTCTGGCAGTTGACGCTAGATCTTGGTGCAGGTTGTGATCTAAAGACTTTCCCATGGCTTTTCTACGAGACTGTGGCTTGGTTCCAAGAGAGAATATCCCAAAAAGGTCAGGTGGAAGGAAGTCATGTTGCCTTTTACAGCTTAGTTACAGAAATCACATAGCATTGTTTTCACCATAGAAGCAATTCCACCCAGATTCAAAGGAACATAGGTCCTACTTCCTGAAGTCAGCATTAAATTGTAAGAAAAACATATGTGATGGGATGGGATGTATTTCTCTGTATGTATCCTTGAAAACTACATCATGCCTTGCTGAATAAAAGCATAACAGAATTTATATCAGTCTTACAATGCTGAGAGGGCAGAACTGAAATTCAGAACTCAGCAAAGGGGGCATGCCTTGTAAGTTCACTAACCTCTAAGTTGGGATCCATGCTGGTCTCCACACTAACAGTGAATGTAAAACTGAGGAAGATGTAATCTTGGGAAAACTGCAGTTTTGAGGTAATCAGTGCCTGGTTAAGTTAGGGTAATCTGACTTCACTCTTTCTTCCTCCCTGAAAATATGGCTAACTCTATTGGGAAAAGATGATATCTTCTAGAGCATCTACAATTTTTCATACACAATGTCTGGCATAAAGTAAAAAATTACCAGGTCAACTTATTGAGGAAGGTATAAATGGAATTATACTATTGTAAGTTCCTTATAATATTAAAGTAGACTATAATGAGATAATTTATTATTAGAACAAGCATTTTGATATAAAATAGAGATACAATAGATTACTAAAAACATTTGGTTAATCCAAAAGAA
Organism: Homo sapiens; assembly: GCF_000001405.40. Lineage (NCBI taxonomy): Eukaryota > Metazoa > Chordata > Mammalia > Primates > Hominidae > Homo > Homo sapiens. The sequence goes on along the minus strand of NC_000023.11, from coordinate 28,277,690 downwards.
AGAAAAGAGGAACAAAGAATATATAGGACACATAGAAAACAAATAGTAACATGGTAGACTTAAATTCAACCATATCAATAATTACATTAACATTTAATTGTCTAAAAACTCAAAAGGTCAATTTTCAGATTGAAAGTAAGACAAAACTCCATGGCTATTTACAAACAATACATTTTGAATTTGAAGACAGAAACTGGTTGACATTGAAGAACTGAAAAAGGTATACCACACAATCATTAAGTATAAGAAAGAATGTTGTTGCTATATTAAATAACAGATAAAATGGACTCCAAGACAGGAAGCATTATCAGAGATAACAAGGGTCCATTTTGTAATGATAAAAGGCTCAATTCACCAATAAGTTTATACCTAACAATACAACTTTAAAACACATGAAACAAACTTAACAGAACTAGCACAAGCAAAATCAGTAAAAATACAAGAGATTTAAATAACACTGGCAGTCACGAGGATGAACCACTCAAATACCCCTTCAAGGGAGGATTTGTTGTCCAAGTCAGTTCCCTCAGCTGCAGAGAGCCATCTCATTCAAGGGCACGCCTTAACCTGGGAGACCCAGATCCAGTTATTAACCATGGCAAGGACCCATACCTAATGGCTAATCAAGGCCTTTCAGCCTACTAAGATACAATTCCCATGGGCCATATACATTCCAGAGAGCCCCATGGGATTGTCTGAGACTTTGTTGGGACTGCAATGTAATTCATCTTCTACCCTTTGCCTAATATTTATTTTTATTACTTTAAAATATTTAATTGAAAAATGATTGTATATATTCAAAGTATACAATGTGATTGTTTGATATACATATACATTGTGTGATGATTATCACAGTCAATTAACACTTCCATCATCATTCATGCTGTACATTATATTCTTCAGAACTTGTTTATCTTATAACTGAAAGGTTATACCCTTTGTTTAATATCTCCCCATTTCTCCCACCACTCCCCACTAACTCCTGGCAACCACCATTCTCTTCTGTTCCTATGATCTAGACTTTTTTAGATTCCATATATTAGGAAGACCATACGGTGTTTGTCTTTCTGCGTCTGGCTGCTTTCACTTAGCATAATGCCCTCCAGTTTCATCTGTCATCACAAATGGCAGGATTTCCTTTCTTACCCCCCATTCACAAATGTTGATCTTTAATAAGTATCTTACACAGAAAATTTATTCTCAGTATCCGCTTTTGTATAACTCAGCCTGTGACAAACACTGTCAACAAACTTGTCCTAATTAATGTTTTTCTTTTTGAATATTACATCCAACAACTGCAAACACAGAATTTTAAAAAATGTACACATAACACACACTTGGACATATTCAGGACCATACAAAAAATTCTAATTAATTTCATAAGCTCAAAATCATGCAAGTTGCATTTTATGATCACAGTAATTAAATCAGAAATCAGTAAGAATATAATATCTAGAAAGTTACCAAATATTTAGATGTTACATAGCACACTTCAAAACAATCTATGGTAAAATAATAAAACAAACAAGGAAAATTTTTGAATAGTCACTTTATAAAGGAAATATTCAAATACTTAAATATCCAATAAAATATGAAAGTATGCTCAACATTATCCTTTATCTGGGAAACATATTAAAATCAAAATAAGATGCAACTAAAGACCATTCAAATGGCTACAATGCAACAGAGTGACAATATGAATGTTGGCAAAAATGTGGAATAAGTTAGAGCTCTCATATACTGCTGGTGGTAGGGTGAATTGGTACAACTACTTTGTCAGTACCTACTGAAGCTGAACATACACTTACCCGGCAAGCCCACTTCTTTAGTATATATGCAATGAAAATGCATATATGAATTCATCAAAAAGATATAAACAAGAGTTTTCTTAGCAGAGCTAGTCATAGAAACTAAAAACTGGAAACAACCTAGATGTTCATCAACAATAGAATGTGAATAAACTGTGGAATATTCATACAAAAGAAGGCTACATAGCAATGAGAATAAGAAAATCTATAGAAGATCATGAATGCATCTCACAAGCAATGTTGAGCCAGAGACACTAGAAACAAAATAGTTCAATACTGTTTCATTCAAGTTACATAAAATGCAAAAACAGGCCAAACTAACTCAGGGTCATATAAAGTAAATATATAAATTTGAAAAAAGAGGAGTTAAGATAATGGTTACCTTTGGTGGGGACAGTGACTAAATGGATGTGGGAGAAGCCTTAGGAATGTACCAATAATGTTCAATTTTTCTATTTGAGTGCTGGCTTCACTGCAGTGTTTAGGTTCTGAAAATCCAAGTCTTGAGTAAACATCAGTATAATGGAGTCCTAGTTGTCTTGAATGCCTTCAACAGTTCTCCTCTTCTGTCTGTTTGAAGCAAAACTTCTAAGCAGAACAGAAAGGTCTCCTCATGATCTGGTCCCTTCCACCTTCCCAGCTTCATCTTTAACAAGGCTTTATCACTATCCCTTATCACTATCCTGCATGTGAATTACTTGAGAACAAATTTCACCTCTCATTAAACACTATGCTTGAGAAACAGTTGGTGTTCAATTTATGTTTATTGAATATGTGACTCCTTATATCTAACATCCAAAAATCTATGGACTATGCAAAGGCTATGTGATCTGGAAACCATTTATTCCAAAATTTTATGTGTTCTCACCCAGAATTAACTCTGGAATGTTTCATAGTAATAGTGGACATTGTATAAGTCAAGGTCCAGTCAGAACATGAAAGCAGAACAATTATTTCAAAAGAAATAATTTTGGCTGGGCATGGTGGCTCATGCCTGTAATCCCAACACTTTGGGAGGCCAAGGCTGGTGGATCACTTGAGGTCAGGAGTTCGAGATGAGCCTGACCAACATGGTGAAACCCTGTCTCTACTAAAAATACAAAAATTAGCCAGGCGTGGTAGTGGGCACCTGTAATCCCAGCTACTTGGGAGGCTGAGGCAGGAGAATGGCTTGAACCCAGGAGGCGGAGGTTGCAGTGAGCCAAGATGGCGCCATTGCACTTCAGCCTGGATGAGAAACTCTGTCTCTAAATAGTAAATAAATAAATAATTTAAAATAAAGAATTTAATAATTTTTAATTGTTAGAGAACATAAAAGATCAAAAGGGAACCTGGAAACGTCTGAGAGGTAGTAACTGCAGTAAGCAGTTACCATTTTTATGACTGGGGGAGAAAAGAAAGAGGTTGTAATATTAAAATATAGAAGCTTAAATGTGGGTTCCCACAGAACAGTCCCTTATTCCGCCTCTAGCCTTCTTCCTCCCTTCCAACTTAAGCTATGTGGTGTCCAGATAACACCACTTATTGATAAAGACTAACATGAAGCAACTTCTAGCAGAAATGGGGTTTGCAGTATCCCAGCCCAACCATCACAAAGCAGAGTATAGAGAGACAGGCTTGAGATAGAGTATAGAGAGATAGAGAGAGGCAACAGTTGAACAAATAGCACAGTGGGAATCGAAGAAGGGTATCCGAACTAGAGTTTCAGAAGCAGAACCTTTTTCTTCTCTGCTAAAACGGTTAAGGGTCAGTTCTTAAACTGCTCTCTAGTGTGATTTTAGTCTCCAAAGAGACTGAATGGTAAACGTGAATGTTTTCTTCAAAATACTGAGAGGATATGGAATTTCCTGGACATTCCCAGGAGTAGACCTAGATAAGTCTATTTTGGTAGAAGATGACTTAGAAGGAATTTCATAAACATTAGCTAAACTGAGCAGAATGGAGGCCCTTCGGACTTAGGGACTACAATGGTAACCATGGTGACTGTAATGTTTATGAGGTAAATTGCATGACCCAGTATATTTTCTACTGCTGTTGGAAACATGTCTTTATTTATAGATACTATTTCATTTAATAACAGCAAGAACATGTAAAATGGTTCTTCTAAATGAGCGACTAGGGCTTAATTTAACCTACCAACTCAAAAAAAGACAAGAAAGTATATCATACACTAGGTATTTTCAGCTGCTTTTACTGAAAAATGCAATTCATACTCATTCCTTTGCAACTCTGGCCAATTTAACCAAGATTCCAATAAAATGTATTTTCTAAGTTTTATGGAAAAATAAATCTTACTATCTAGAAAGCACAGTCTGCTTTTGCTATAATTTGATAGTGAGAATAATGAGAAACCTTCTATTATTAAAAATTCCATAATGAAAACAATTGTTTCAAGTGGAAAAGTGTTTTTACAGTCCAAAGAGTTAGGAATAATGAAATTCTCTTACCTGTAGCAATTTCATTAATAAAGGTATATTTCTCTGTGTGTGCATGTGTGTTTACCGTTAGAAATATAACAAGCCCAGCATATGCTCATATTAATTTTGATCTTATAATAATGGATTTAAAAAATCTCATTAGCAGATATTTCTTATACAGCTCTATCAACCTTTATTAATTTCATCACCTATTGTTATGCTAAAAACCGCACAAAGTCACTCAGTTTGAATTATGAAAACTCCATGATGTTGCAGAAACACTTGAGTAATGAATTTGGGTGGCATCTTGTGTTGGGAGACAACTCTCCACGGGTCTTTTGTGTTTCTGCATATCTTGCAAGTGAGACACCAGTTGCCCTTTGTTTCAGACAAACTTTTCAAGGTTGTTCATATAGTAAACGACCTTGAGAGACAGAGATAGTGTCTCTCTCTGCGACAAAGCACAAGCATGATTACTTCTCATTACAAAAGATTCAAGTTTCCTAAACCTAAGGTTCCTCTCCTGTAAGGCAACCTGCATAAGTAGGTATTGCCTGGCATTCTTTACATTACCCTGTGGGAATTGGAGCTTGGGGAATTGCACCAAAATGCTGACACTCTGGCTAGTGATTGTTATTAGTTTTCTACTGCTGCTGTAAAAAAAAAATTACCACAAACTTTGTGGTTTAAAACAACACAATTATATTATTTTACAGTTCTGGAAGTCAGAAGACAGACCTAGATCTCATTGAGAAAAAATGAAGATGTCAGCAGACCTGTATTCTTTCTAGACTCTCTAGGGAAAAAAAATTCCTTGCCTATTCCAGTTTCTTAAGGCTCCCCTCATTTCTTGGCACACAGCCTCCTTCCCCTATCTTCAAGGCCAGCAAGGTGGTTCTTCTCCGGACCTGAGACTACTGGGTCAGAGACCTTGAAATAGACACCTTATCGTGGATTATCCAGAAAGAAAGATGGACATCCTTTTTCTGACACCAGCTAGGAAAGATTCTCCACTTTTAAGGATTCATGTGATTAGATCAGGACCACATGGATAATCCAGGCTAAGTTGACCATCTTAAAGTCTGTGACCCAGTAGTCTCCTGTCTACCAGCATCCATGAAGCTGTGGCAGACAGCTTAAAAGCAGAGTAAAATCTCAGATCCTTCCCAGATTTTGAAACCATGATTCTTAGTCTGGAGGTTGAATTCAATCATTTTAGCAAACATGTCTAACTATAAGTTAATAATGCTAAACATGAGTACCATCATTTTAAGTTATTCATGTCTTCTTTAATATTTTCATTTTCAGAAAGCAAGTGTCCCATCTGCCCAGTCCATGTAGACTAAAGAAAACTATGAAATAAACCCAAAAACTATTCTCTAAGTCAGTGACTGACCAGTTACAGGGCCACAACACAGTTGAATGAAGCATTTTAAAGTCAGTGTTTTTCAAGATTTAGCATGTACAGGAATGTCCTGGGGAGCTTGTTCAATAAGCACATTCCCATCACAGCTCTATTCACCTGAGATTCTATGCTTGATTTTATTGCAGAAGTCTAAATTTTTAACCAGTGCCCCCAAGTTATTCTTATGTAGGTGGTCTTTAAAACACCTAGAGAAACAACCACATGGGCCATTGCTTTGAGATCTACTTCTTTTTTTTTTTTTTACTACCAGTTACCTTGGATGCTTTAATCATTAAATTTATCTCCATTTGAATTGAAAAAACATCTACTAGCCTGGTGTGGTAGTTCACGCCTGTAATCCCAGAACTTTGGGAGGCCAAAGTGGGTGGATTGCTTGGATTGCTTGAGTCCAGGAGTTTGAGACCAGTCTGGGCAACATGGAGAGACCCCGTCTCTACAAAAAAATAGAAAAAGTAGCTGGGTGTGGTGGCACGGGTCGGTAGTCCCAGCTACCTGGGAGGCTGAGGCAGGAGAATTGCTTGAGCCCAGGAGGTGGATGTTGCAGTGAGCCATGATCAAGCCACTGCACTCCAGCCTGGGTGACAGAGTGAGATCTTGTCTCAAATAAATAAATAAATTAAAAAGAAAGAAAAAGTATCTGCTTTACATGGAATTCTAGAGTCATGATAGCTATCAGCACATTAAGTTTTTATCCACTAAAGAAAATGCTTCATTTAACAGTGTTGTGGTCCTGTAGCTGGTGAGCCATATTTTGACTTCTCTTCAGTGACACTAAAAATAGATCAGTTGAGGTTACCACATTCCAAGAGATCCCCATGTCAAGTTGTTCTACAAGAATAACTGTGAATAAAATAACTTTATCTCAATTTATTCTAATTGAAATGGTTTATATTACATTTTAGAATCAGAGTTTTGAAAAAGATCATGAATGTTCATCTTGGAAACATGTAAACCTTAATAGACAACAGTATTGGATTGAAACTAACACAATACTTCTGAATACCATTTCTAAAGACACACTATGCTAGCAGTTTACATGAACTTGGAACTTAACAAAGGAGCAAGAAATCATAGCTTACAAAGTTCAGAAAAACATCCAAATTGTAAAGCTTCTTGTACAAATGGAAACAACTAAGCTTTCAGTCACTTCACCTATCAAAAATGTTCCTAGATTAGGCAGGAACAATTATCACTTTATCCCAATTGTTATTTTGTATCTGTTAAAGGGGATTTGAAGTTCATTTGTAGAAACAATATTTTGTATTACTTTTATAGCATGTGTAATATGGAAAAAATGGTGGCTATATTGCCAAAGCATATATAAGTATAAAGATTACTTTGTGGGGACATTTTGGAAAAATCAAATTCTATTAACATATTACTTTTGTTCTCCAAGCTTTCTGTTCACTTAAGTAAGTGAACCTCCTAATTTGCTAATCTAACTATATTGAAAGTTCCAATTTTTAAAACGATGCATTTCTAAAGAAACTAAAATCTACTTATTCTCAAAGTTTTATCTTTTTAAAAATGAGGTGTTCTTGTTCCTTCACCTCACTAAATAATCAACACAAATTTTCAAAGCCATTTCTTTTAGTCTGAGATTAAAATAGAAATCCATTTTATTTATTATATAATTCCATTGTCCTTGCCATGTACTCTTACGTGTGTCACAAGCTGGCATATTTATGACATCTGACAACAAATCATAAACTAAAAAATATTTGCCTTAATTTAATAAACATTGATGTTCCAGAGCAACCATCAGTACTTCTGTGGTTGTGCACTGCACAATTTCAAGTGTGCCATTCACATCATATTTATGAGTGTGGTGCCCCTGGAGTTGTACAGTGAATAATCTGTGCAACTATGTAAGGTGACCCTGCTTAATATGAAATCAGGTACTGTGATAGATACCAGATATGAATAGAAAGAGAATGACATCAAAGTAGTTTTTCTTTTAGAACTTTTAGTTCACTAAGGAAGATTGACAATTAAAGGACCCTGTGAAAAGACCTACAACAAGAAAGTGCAGGGTCTTCCTATCTATGTAGCCATCTAATCAAAACAGAAAAACAAATAAAGATGGGTAGTGAGGCTAGAACTCATCCAGAGAATATTTCAGGGTAAGGAGTCCTAAGTTGGTTTTCTGTTTCTATAGTTGCTCAGTCTTAACACAAAATTTAATCAGAAAATTGATGAGCTAGGTGCTCTTAATAGCATCCTCCCTGCTCATGGTGAAACTACAGCTATTAAATAAAACACTGTTTTACTATATGTTCTCTCAGGCACTATCCTGGCTCTGCCCCCCAATCCCACTAGCCCCATCTTATGTGTCACCATTGTGCAGATACTCAGCTTTCAATCTGACTTTTACCTATTGGACAATCCCCTAGTACTTGATGCTTCTGAGAGTTTAGGTGTTCCCCAAGCCAAACTTGATATCCTTGATACTCTTTCTTCTCCACCATGCAGCTGTGGTCCAGCTTCACCCACTTTCAAATCCTGATTTTGGAACCTCAGCCCTGGGATACACTGCTTACTTCCAAAATGAGTTTTGATTTTTTTTCCCTTAAAGCCTAGTTTCCAGGTGAAAAATTTTGTTCTGATGGAGGGATGCCTCACAAGGACAGAGATTTTGATATATTTTGTTCACACACACCTCCAGTGCTAGAAGAAGGCTTAGCATGTAATAAGTGCTCATTACGTGTTTGCTAAGTGATTAAATGCATGTAGGACAATGAACAAGGATTCCAAGGGACTTCCGCTGCAAACTGCCTCCTAGATGTTGCTAATTTTTGTTCATCTGGGGATGCAGCCTTCTCAGTTTACTGTAGGAAATCGTGGTCTTCCCAAAGCAGAACTTAGGTTCACACTCCAACAGCCTTGAAAAGCAGAGGCCAGGGTGCTGCCACGGCTCAAAAGTGCCTTTCCATGGTAAGGAGTCTAACTGCAGCTGACTGACTCCTACAGTCCAGAATCAACACCATCAAATTCTCTCCAACCCAAACATGGCAGGAAAACTTCTCATGGCAATGTCAACCAATGACTTAACATCTCAATCCTCTTTCTCCTGCAGATGCTCTTATATCAGAGCACACTACGCTTTAGGTTCCCAGTTGAGGTAGTATGGATTGTCTTCAGTCTTTTGTGTTGTCAGACAAAACAGATATCACAGCACATCTCTGGCGAGGATTCTGGAAAAATAAAAACATTACTTTGGAAATGTTTTCCTCTTTACTGATGTTTTCTTTCCAGCTGTAAAATAGAGCGGGAGACTGAGGCATGCGACCTCATTAAGCAGATTTGCTTCCTTTTATAAACTTGAAGCCTGAGCCTCTTTCAAGTGCAATGAATGACAACATATTACAGTTGGAATTCATTGGGACCACAAAGCCAAATGGGGTCCCAGGGCTTTGTAAATATGGAAGCTCTAATGGAACACATTCTTCTTGCACAGCAAAGATCTTGGTCTGGTCTGTAGAAGACACATCTGAAGATCTCTTTTTTTAATATGTGCTGACATTCTAGCTCATTTCTAACAAACATAGATCCTTATCTTCAAGTTTGATGGCACTAGCTGAGTCTCTTTGACCTAGGCAACATCAGATGCTCAGACTTCTGTCCTGTGCTTATTTCTTTCATTTGCTGGTCCCAGGAAATAGCATCTACCCTGCTTGGAAAGGGAATTGGTATGCACCACAGCTATCTTAAAAGCTTGCTAATATCACCTCAAGTGTCTGTGGAATCTGGTGACAATGTGCCCAGGCCAACATAAGATGAACAATCTGGCAGACCTACAAACTCTCCATATAAGAGACAGTTTGTCATCTTCTGTACATGAACGAGTAAAGAATAAACAACACTTAAATATAAGGCCTAGAAATTTATTTTTTAACCAAAAATTTATATCTGAATTATTAAGTTCTGATCTTTGTAGTGAGAATAACAATTATTTTCTTTTATGTAAAATTTAAATGAAGAAGTTCCTAATGAAGAAGAAAAATCATTTCCAAATTGTAATTCTAAGTAACCGGCAAAATGAGATTTTTATTTGAGAGGTGATAACATTTTAAATGAGGGACAAGAATATGAAAGGAGGATTTTTAAAAACACTAATCAAGGAATTGGTGAAATCAGGCAATATAAATTTAGGACTATGCCAATTAACAGTTTTTTCTTTAGAAACGTAGAGAAATAATAGAGACAAATAGGTCTCTCTAGTAATCAGGGATGTAGTTCACATTATTCTGAAAAATCATAAGCCGGTGAAAAAGGCTTTAGATAACACATATTTGATTGGAATGATCAAATAAGATGAGTTCTGAAGAGCTATTCCAATGATTATATTTTAAAATCTTACATTTTAGTGGTTTTGATATATTAGGTGTCTAATGTTTATTGAATTAATGACACTTCCACCATGTAATTTTAAAAGCAGTTGAGAAATTTTCAAAGCAATCTTTCCTTTGATAGTTTGGGATGCTGACTGGAGAGTAGGAGGTGTCTCTGTTAAATTAAGGTGGTTTTAAAATTAAAGGAAAGCAATATTGGAGGTCTTAGAGGAGTGAACTACTTTATTTTTTTCCAAAGATTTTGAAAATTATAAATTAGTTTACTATCTTAATGGGGGTTGAGAGTACATGTGTTCTCAATTAAAAGTTCAGTTAATTGTGGTACATGCTATTAGGCTACATAATTAAGAATGATGGATGGATGGATGGATGGATGGGGGGATGGATGGGTTGCTGTTTGCATCTAAGGGAGAATCATGTTAGCCATTTCTACAAATAGCACATCCTTTTGCTGAAGCACACGTTTTCTGTGGCTTTAAGCATTCTTGACCAAATTTCAATCGCACTTCTGTTAGCAACTTTTCTCCAATTGTAGGAATGAACTTCTCTGTGCCTTGGTTGTCTTATAAACAACATGAAATGGTTATATCAGATGGCACCTTCTGACTATTAAAAGCACAGAAATAACCTCCATGATGGGATGGTCCCAAAGGTTCAATCAAGTAAATGTTTTGGTTATCACAAGTTTAGCGAAAAAAATAGTTTCACTATTTTTTCTAGTTACTGTATGGAAAAATAGAAACAAGATTTTGTTTATTGCATATGTAGGAAACTGATTAATATTAAACTGAGATAGTCTCGTCTGATAAGAAGGCAGTTACTTTCTAAGTAATCTTACTAGGATGATAACTTCTGCTGTTTGAGACTAGTAGATGTATGGAAGCTTGGAGCCAATAACTTTCTAAACTAATATGCATTTTATTGTGTTTATATAGGTATATATAGATACATATGTATATACATACACATCTCTTTCTCTCTCCCTCTCTCTCTATATGTGTGTGTGTGTATATATATATACACACACACACACACACATATATATATATACACCTCCCATTGCTTTCATTCCTTATAGTGAAATTTTTTACTGATGCATGTATATGGTAAATTATTCATTTTCTCAGTATAAAATTAGGCAGTAGTTGCAATTAGTTAAAAGGTCTGTCTATATCAGAATTTTATAATTAAGGAATAATGATAATATCAATATACAGTATATTTATGCCAGAGTTTCAGTATGTTTTTAGAAAATATCTACATATATAGTTTCATTTTATATTTGGCTTTGAGCTGGATGAATTATTCAACTTCATTTGCATATTCACATAGTACATTTGTAAAACCACTAGAGGAACAATAGTGAAATTTGGCATCACATTTTACATCAACTTTGAATATGAATTTAATGTCAAGATGTGGCTTTAGGTGAACTAAAAAGAAACTTTGTGATCTAAAAATGTGTTTCAAAATTTTGATAAAGAATATAACTAATAAACAGAAAAATAGCCCTCCAAAAATGCCTGTGCCCTGAACCCCAGAACTTTTGAATACATTGTGTTACATGGCAAAGAATTGAGGATGCAGGTGGAATTAAGATTGCTAATCAGGTGACCTTAAACTAAGAACATTATCCTGGATTGTGCAGGTGAGCCCAATGTATTCAGAAGTGTCATTAAAAATGGAAAAGGGAAAAATGGTTAGAGAAGGTAGTAGATGTGACTGTGGAAGAGGACAGAATGATGCACTGTGAGAAGTATTTGACCTCCATTGCTAGCTAAGGACCTATTTGCTTTTCCTAGTAATTTTGTCTTATATATAAAATTATGTTTTGTTTTTGAACTGTGTGGAAGTCTAATCACATTGTTTGCATTATCTTATTTCTCATTTATCTTTTTTAGCATTGTGTTTGCAAGATCCTTAGCAGTTGTGGCATAAAGCAGAAATCTACTCATTTCATTGCTCTGTAGTATCTACTGAATGAATATACCATAGTTTATTTATGGTATATATATATTTATGGTATATCTCTAGATATAGATAGAAGGGTTGGTGTATGTATGCGTGTGTGTGTGTGTGTGTGTGTGTGTGTGTGTGTATGTGTAGATTTCTTCCTGTAGATTAGTGTCTTTTATATGTTTTGTATATTTGCCATTATGTCCTAAAAGTTGTCCCTGCTCCACTATTTCTCTCTTCTCATTCTGGGACACCAACTAAAAACCCTCTCACTGTAACTTTCTGCATGTTATCTTCTCTGATCCAAGATCAGGGTGCCATAATGGTCAGGTTCTGGTGAGGGCCTGCTTCTCATTGTATCCTCACATGGCTAAGAGACATCATTTCTCTCATGTCTCTTCTCATAAGTTCACTAATTTCATTCATGAAGGCTCCACCCTTATGACCTAATTACCTCCATAAAGCTCCATCTTCAAATACTAATCAAATAAGTGATTAGGCTTCAGTATATGAATTTTGGGCATCACAGTCATTCAGTCTATAGTAAGAAGTATTTCTTCTGCCTTTAGCTCTTTGAAAAGATGGTACAGAATTGGTATATTTTTTCTTTAAATGTTTGGTAGTATTCACCAGTGAACCTATTTGTGCCTAGTGCTTTCTGTTTTTGAAGGGTCTTAATTATTACTCAATGTATTTAGTAGATAAAGACCTATTCAGATTGTCTATATTTTCTTGTGTGAGTTTTGGCAGATGATATCTTTCAAGAAATTGGTCCATTTCATCTAGGTTATCAAAAGGGTAGGCACAGAGTTGATCATAATATTCCTTTATTGTACTTTGTTCATGGGTTCTATGTTGAGGTCCTGTCTTTCATTTGTGATATTAGTTATTTGTGTCTTTTCTCTTTTATTGTTAGTTAGCCTGGATAGAGGTTTAAAATTTCATTGATCTTTTCAAAGAACCAGAATTTGGGTTTGTTTATTTTCTCTATTGATTTCTCTTTTCCATTTCATTGATTTCTACACTAATGGTTATTATTTGTTTTATTCTTCGTATTATGGGTTTAATTTCCTCTTATTTTCTAGTTTCCTAAGGTGAAAGTTTAATTTATTTTAGATTTTTTTCCTAGTGATATCATTTTTCTAATGATATAAATTTCCTTCTAGGCACTGATTTCATTGCATCCCACAAATTTTTATCAAATTTTTTAATCAAAATTTTTATCAATTTTTATCAAAAATTTTTATCAAAAAACTTATCAGTTTTATTTCCATTTTGATTTGGTTCAATATATTTTAAAATTTATTTTGACATTCCTTTTTCAACCCATGTGTTATTTATATGTTGTTTAATTGCATGTATTTTATGATTTTTCATGTATCTTTCTGTTATTAATTTCTATTTTAATCCACTGTGATCTCAGACCAGACATTGTTTTATTTCTACTACTTCAAATTGTTTAGGTGTATCATAGGCCCTAGAATGTGGTCTATCTTAGTGAATGTCCCGTGTGACCTTGATAAGAATGTGTAATGGATGTGTAATGTGTAATGGAATATGTAATGTGTAATGTGAATGTATAATATTGTTGGATGAAGTAGTCTCAAGATGTCAATTATATCCGGTTGATTGATAGTGCTGTTGGGTTCAACTATGCCCTTACTGATTTTCTGCCTGCTGGATGAAAGGGTGTTAAAGTCTTCAATAATTACAGTAGATTAATTTATTGCTCCTTGCAGTTCTATCAATTTTTGACTCATTTATTTTGACTCTGTATTTTTAGCTGCTAATACATTAAGAATTGCTATGTCTTCTTGGAGTATTGACCCTTTTACAATATGTAATGCCCCTCTTTATCATTAATAACTTTCCTTAGTGTAAAGTCTGCTGTCTGAAATTAATATAGCTCCTCCCACTTTTTTCTGATTAGTGTTATCATGGCATAGCTTTATGAATCTCTTTATTTTTAATCTATATGTGTCTTTATATTTAATGTAGATTTTTTGCTGACAACATATAGTTTGGTCTTGTTTTTTGATCCACTCTGATAATCTTTTAATTGGTGTATTTAGACCATTGATCTAGAAAGTGATTATTGATAACCGGATTATATATATATATACATATATATATAGGATTATATATATATTTGCTACAGTTTTTAATTTGTTGCCCTTGTTTGTTGTTTTTATTTTGTCTTCCACATTTTTTCCTGCCTTTTGTGGTTTTAATTGAACATTTTATGATTCCATTTTCTCTTTTTTCTTAGCATATAAATTATATTTCTTTTAAAACTTTTTGGTGTATATGTGCCACATTTTATCAAGTCTATTATTGATGGACACTATGCAGCCATAAAAAAGGATGAGTTCATGTCCTTTGCAGGGACATGGATGAAGCTGGAAACCATAATTCTCAGCAAACTATCACCAGAACAGAAAACCAAACACCGCATGTTCTCACTCATAAGTGGGAGTTGAACAATGAGAACACACAGACGTAGGAAGGGAAACATCACACACCGAGGTCTGTCGGGGGTGGGGGGCTAGGGGAGGGATAACATTAGGAGAAATACCTCATGTAGCTGAGGGGTTGATGGGTGCAGCAAACTACCATGGCATGTGTATACCTATGTAACGAAACTGCACGTTCTGCACATGTACTCCAGAACTTAAAGTATAATAATAATAATAAAAAATTCTACAAAAAACACAACTTTTTTTGGCTGGGGCAGCAGATCATACCTGTAATCCCACCACTTTGGGAGGCCGAGGCGGGTGGATCACCTGAGGTCAGGAGTTCGAGACCAGGCTGGTCCAAGATGGTGAAACTCTGTCTCTACTAAAAATACAAAAATTAGCCGGGTGTGGTGGCGTGCGCCTGTAATCCCAGCTACTCAGGAGGCTGAGGCTGGAGAATCACTTGAACCTGGGAGGTGGAGGATGCAATAAGCCGAGATCGCACCACTGCACTCCAGCCTGGGCAACAGAGCGAAACTCCGTCTCAAATCAAAACAAAACAACAACAAAAAACAACTTTTTTTAGTGTTTGCCCTAGTGTTTGCAATATACATTTACAATGTATTCAAGTCCACTTTCAAATAATACTATACTGTTTCACAAGTAGGACATGTTTCTTATAACAAAATATCCTAAGTCCTCCCTCCTGGCCCCTTTTATCATTGCTGTCATTCATTTCACATATACAGGTTGAGAATCCCTTATCCAAAATGCTTGGGGACCAAAAGTGCTTTGGATTTTGCATTTTTTCATATTCTGGAATATTTGCATTATACTTACAGAATGAACATTTTAATCTGAAAATCCAGAATCTGAAATGCTCCAAAGGGCAATTCTTTTGAACACAAAATGTTTTGGAATTTGAAGCATTTTGGATTTTGTATTGTTATATTTTGGATGCTCAACCTGTATATGTGCTCAACCTTATATATATGTTTATGTAAGTACACATAATTTAATATATTTTTTTCTCATTATTTTGAACAAACTTATCTGTTAGGTCAATTAAAAACAGAAAAAAATAAAAATTTTAAATTTGCTTTCACTTATTTATTCTCCAATGCTCTTCCTTTCTCTATGTATTTCTGAGTTTCTGACCTATATAGTATTACTTCTTTTTGAACAACTCTTTTTTTTAACATTTCTTGAAAAGCAGTTCTATGGGCAACACATTACCTCAATTTTTGTTTTACTGGGAATGTCTTTATTTCTTCTTCACTTTTGAGTAATTTTTCGGGGTGCAGCATTACTGATTGGTGTTTTTCTTTCTCTCAACGCTTTATTTATTTTAGTCCATACTCTTTTGCTTGCATGGTTTCTAAGAAGTCAGATGCAATTCTTATCTTTGTTCCTCCATAGGCAAGGTGGGTTTTTTTTTGTTTGTTTGCTTTCCACCTCCCCCAGCTTTTTTCAAGATTTTTTTTATTATTATTGATTTTCTGTAATTTCAACATAACATGCCTTGGCATAATTTTGTTTATGTTTTTGGCATTAATCCTGCTTGGTATTCTCTGAGGTTCCTGGGTTTGTGGTTTAGTGTCTGACATTTATTTGGGAAAATTCTCAGTCACTATTGCTTCCTGTATTACTTATGTAGCTTTCTTTTTAATTCTCCTTCTGTTATTCTCATTATACATGTTATACATTTTGTAGTTGTCGTACAGTTTTTACCTATTATGTTTAATGTTTTCAGTCTTTTTTTCTCTTTGCTTTTAGTCTTGGACATTTGTATTGTCATATCTTCGGGCACAGAGATTCTTTCCTCAGCCATGTCCATTCTACTCATGAGGCCATCAAAGGCATTCTTCATTTCCTTTAGTGTTTTTGATCTCCAACATTTCTTTTTGATCCTTTCTTAGAATTTCTATTTCTCTGCTTTCGGAATCCATTTGTTCTTACATGTTTTCCACTTTTCCATGAAAACCCTTAGTGCATTATTCACAGAAAATTTTTTTTTAATGCTGGTCTGACAATTCCAATATTATTGCCATATGTGACTCTGGCTCTGATGCTTGTTCAGTCTCTTCAAACTGTTCTTTTGCCTTTTTGCGTGCCTTATAATTTTTTGTTGAAAGACAGTCATTATATACTGGTAAAAGAGACTGCAGTAAATCATCCTTTAATAATGTAGTGGTAAGATGTGTGTGTGTGTGTGTGTGTGTGTGTGCGTGTGTGTGTGTATGTTTGTATTATTGCGGCGGGGGGGGGGCAAAGTGAAATATTCTATAATCCTTATAATTAGATCTCAGTCTTTTCCAGATACTGTGCCCCTGAACTGTGAACTTACCAGTGCTTCTCATTTCCTGTTTAGACACAGGATGACTGGAGCGGGCTGGAGTCGGGTATTTCTCTTCACTGATGTAGAAGGCTATAGGGAACTAGAATTGGTTATTTCTCTTCCCCCAGGTAGGTTAGGCTCTAATATAGCCCCAGAAGGTTAGGTTCTGGTAATATAGTTTTCCTGAGGGCAGGCCTTGATAAGAAGAGAGAGCTCTGGCATATTCAGAATGGTTTCTTTTTAAAAAATCCCTGCTGGAAGCACAAGGGGATTTTTCTCCAATATTCACTATGAGGACATAGAGATCCTGGAGGTAAAATTCACGAAAGTCTGAAGGCCCTCCTATGACTGGATCATCCTGGGGTTTTTATCTTTCAGACTTGTCTATGCTGAGCCTCCAGCAATTCATTCATTAGAGTTCAGGTTTTCCTACCCTAGTACTGGTTCCTGCAGAGGTTTTTGCTCATGCGTTTCTGTTCTGGTAAATTGTGATTTTCTGTGTCCACCTACCTGTCTCTCCTATTTACATGGCAGTGGTTTACCCCGTAATCTCACTTCTCAGGTGGTTTAAGAAGAGTTGTTTATTTTTCAGTTTGCTCAACCTTTTACCTGTTAGGACACAGTGAAGATGTCTAAGCCCCCCTTATATACTGGACCTGGAACCAGTACTGGACACTAATTTTTGTTACAAAAATATTTGTGGAAAAAAGTCTGTGAACTATAATGGTGATTCTCTAAGAGGAACTTTGTTTTTTTCTGCCAGGAGCATCTAATATCATTTTATCCAAGCTGTCAGAGCCCCAGATTACCAATGGCAAATCTAGCTTACCATTATCATTAGGGAGTAGGACTTTGTTATTTCAGTTTTCAATGAAAGGATTAACAGAGTCCCTACATTAGGAAGGCCCTAGACTTTTTTTCTGTAGCCCAGTGAGGCTAAACAAAACTGTAGCTTTGTTTCTCAGCTGTTTCTTCCATTTCAGGAAACACCTTCAGAGCAAAAGTAGTTTTGTGAGCTCAGTTTACCTTTCTGGGTTTTTGCTTTCTCTTAGATTTTCTTGACTATCATGCTATCTCATTGATGTTTTGAAGAAGGCATTTAAAACCTTTATTAGCTGTTCAGAATGTGAGAATTGGTCATTATCACCAAGTTTGCCATTTATAGAAGTGTAAGTCCAAATTTTAAAGCATTGGCTTTAAAAGTATATTTTCAATAAACAATTCTTTGAGATACAAACAAAATTTTAGATAAAACCCTCACTACAGTTTGGTGAGGCACTATCAAGAGTAA
This sequence comes from Homo sapiens, assembly GCF_000001405.40. NCBI lineage: Eukaryota > Metazoa > Chordata > Mammalia > Primates > Hominidae > Homo > Homo sapiens. Next base: position 28,259,643 of record NC_000023.11, on the reverse strand, counting down.
GGTCTCAGAGGGCTGGCCTCATTATCTCATCATGGGTTTGTAAGGGAAAATAACATGTCTTATTAATCATCCTCTCAATTTAAGGCATGAAAATATTGGCCCTGAAAAAGGAATCTAAGGAAAAGGTAGTGATAATTTTCATAGGACATTATTGCCTAAACCTTTCAAACCATTTGGGCTCTAATGTCTACTTGGATGTCTATGGTATATATATATAAGTAATTTTTTTCTGAAAGCAACTTGACTTCAGCAGAGAAAACAGAAAATATGAGTTGAAGATCTCTTCCATTATGCATGGCACAAGACATGCTCTTGTGATTTTTTCCAGAAGTTTGGAGAAAAATTTAACCTGGACCTTTCCCAGTCAAATTGATTCTTTAATTTGAGCACACTAGTTTCGAAGTTAAGAATAAATATATAGGCTGGTCATTTTTTATTTGAGAGGAATTAAATCCTGTTTATATGGTTGAACATCAAAGGTGTGTTTTGTTTTAACCTTCAATCTTAAAACCTAGAAATTTGAATAATGTTAGAAAACACCAGATGAATTCATTGAAATTAAACTCAGATGTTCAGTGACCGAATAATAAGCAATCAGAAGTAAAACAAGATTTTAATTTATCCTAAATGTTCAGGCATGTAATTTTTAAATGCCGTTTTAAAACCTAAGCTATTTGATAGCAATTGAGTTCTAATTGCTCAAAAGTATGTTCCAACACAGCTATTAAAGAAATCAATGATTGCCTGAGGTAGATAGATATAATTTAAATCTATACAAATTAGTTACCATTGATCCAGTTGACAGTAGAGTTTTATTTTAATTCTCCTTGTTTATTGGCCAAAGGGAGTTTACATAAATTTATAATCATGACTCATGATGTGCACCAATTGCTTTTTAAAACAAATGACATTGATTAATATTGTCGAAGAAGCATTACTGTTTTACATTTATATAAGTGGATGCACTAGGATTTATAAGGCAAAAATAATATCTTGATGGTTAATCATTATAAAGATTGCTTATCAACCTGGACTTCGTATTTAGCATGGCATATAGTGATTTTTAAAGGAACGTTCCATCAATTTTCATATTGAATCTTTTGTTGTTCAGTTTGGAATTTTCTATTCATTCATGAAGTTTATGTATGTAATTCATTTTTCATTATGCTCATCACAAGTGAATCTTGAAAAGTAGTTAAAACAACTTTTACAATTGATAAATAGGGAGGTGATAAAGCATGATTTCTGGAAGTTACATGTGTATTATTTTCTAACTCTTTTCCTGGATCTAGTATCAAATGCTACAATATTGCTCTATCACTGAAACTTGGAGTAACTCCTAATGATGACCTTGGAACCCACTGGCTGAGGATAAAACTTAAGCAAAAGTAAGTTCCTCTCTCCATCTGGGGTAGCAGTTCTTAACACAAGAACTGGATTGTATTATGGAATAATGAGTACACCATGGCTTAGGACTTGGAGAGAACAGATTCATATTTCACCTCAATACTTAACAGCTGGGTGAAGTAGTCTTACTTTCCTTATCTATAGTATGGGATCCCAATTATTTCTGCCTCACAGAGCTAGTAAGAGGACTGAAGTAAAATGTAATGAAAGAAGCTTTTCATCTGATTGGGAAATTAAGCATATGACCTAGTAACTATTTATAAGACCAAATGAAATAAGTAAAACATAGAAATCAAACCAATGTGCTGTAGGAATATTGTTATGGGAATGGTTAATGTAGTATATAGGGCTAATTAACTTTTAAGAATTTGGAAAACGAATGAGGTGAGAAATGATGTTTTACTGGTAGAACCTGATGATTTTTCATAATCAATGTAGCTGTGCCCTGATTTCAATTTTATCTAATATCGCTGGTTTGAGTGTGGGAGTCAGGCTTGTTCAATTTTGATGGCAGTTTGATGGATTTTCACTTCTTCTAGCACATTTCCTCTGTACATTCAAGATAATTTGTCCATCTTACCTATACAAAACTAACTTGCATGCCTGATGAAAGCATTAAGGGCATACTAAGCCTTAAATTTGCCAAGAGCTTTTAATCATTTTCCCTCTGTAAAAAGAGTAACTAGAAAGTGTATCTAAGGAAACATAAATGCATTAGATGAACTTAACTTCCATTTCTCTAATCACAAATGTCATAATGATTTCCTGCTCATAATCAACACAATATGAGTTTTATGCTGCTTTTTTTCACCACAATTTTTAAATGTCTGATGTTCCAGAAAGGCACAAAGCATTTAAACTTTACCTATAGCTAAAGTAGTTTTAAAAATGTATGTATAGAGACAAGGTCTGGCACTGATGTTTTTAAAAATGGGACAAGATAATATAATGAAATTTGAAGGAGAGATGGCATTCAAGAAAGGAATTAGGTTAAGAAGTAATACAAATTAGTTATCAAAGATCAGGTTAATACTCAAAACATTTAAAAGATCTTTCTTGTTTATTAGCCAAAGGCAGTTCTCATAATTTGTGATGTACAATAATTGATTTTTTAAAATAACATTGATTAATATTGTCAAAAATTGTCACCATTTCGTACTGTGGGCATTTCTATTTTAAAGGTAAAACAGTATTTTGATATTTATTTTTATAATTAAATTACTCTAAACCCCTGACCTTTGTATTTTACCATAGTGCATAATATGTGCATAATATTCGTAGACACTATTGATTACAAATAATATAGAGGGTAGGGGCTGTCAGCAAAGTAGTTAAAACTATTACATAGCTTAAATAGTTAAAACTATTACATAGCTATTACATAGCTTAAAGAACACAACTTGTAAGTAATAACCAATTCAATTTGCCAATTGGTTATTTCAGGATGAGTCTCAACCATTCTCAGTGCCTTTTTTAGTATTTGTGTAATGAGTTTAAAACTGTCAGGTTGTTATGAGGCAAAAAGGAGGTAATGCATTACAAAAGCTAGATGAGATGAATAAAGCATAATAGATAAGGTCAGCACAACTACATTGAGGATCCAACAGGAAAATAGTGTACCTTTTGCAGAGAAGCAACTCGACCTCCATTATTTGCCACTTGAACTGCAGTAATTGCCTCTCTCTTCTGCTTTTGTCAAGATGCATTTATTCTTCACATAACATAAACCAGATTCTGCCTCTTCTGCTTAAGCCTTCCATTGTGTTTAAGTCTTAATTCAAATGCCTCCATTCTAGTTTCCAAAGTTCTAAGTTATTTGCCCTACATAAACCTTTGATCTCACCCAGACTTTTCCCTCTTGCTTACTGTGCTTTAGTAAAACAGGCTTTTTATTCTATTTTGTTCCTATAAAAGATCAAGGTCATTCTGACCTTTTGGGTTTTGCATTAATGTATTCCTCTGTTTGGAATGCTTTTCCCTGGAGATCCTAGCTGGTTGCTTTTTTGTCCTTTAGAACTGACATATTCCTAGAGGTGCTTTCCAGGACCATCTATTCTGAAATAGCCACCTAGTAACAGTGAAATTACCCCCATTTAATTATTTTAACAGCAAATATGGCTAATTGGTATTCCCTTAATTCCTTGTTTATGGATAGATTATTTGATTTTTCTTCATCCACTAAAATGTAAGCTCCATGAGAGAAGGAACTTTATCTTGTTCACCAATGTGACCGCAGAACCATAATAGTATTTGGTACATAGGAGATACTCAATAAATATTTGTTTACTTAATAAATGAATGTTTAATGGATAAAATATTGTTGTAAAGGTTCATCTCTAGAATTGGCCAAATTTAGAGAGTACAAAGGTTTAATAGGTATAAGGTGATGAGAATCTGGAGCATTGGTTCTTAATCCTTTAAGAAACTGATGAAAGTTGGTGCTCTTTTATACATTCATGTAGGTATGTACAAAATTAGGCATACTTTCTATGGATTTTCAGATTGTCTATCACCTCCCAATAACTCCATGGAGCCCTGAATAAAAACCCCAAGTCTACACTCTACTTCAGGCAGAGGAGATGGAAAGTGAAAGAAAAATTTAAGGGGCATTTTAAGGAAAAAAATAGCATTTACATTGCTAATTTGAGGGACAGTGAGAAGAATGCTGCCATTAAGATGTTGAATTGAGAAACACAGCTGCTAAGAGGACAGTTTTTAATTTTGTGACCCATTGGCAATTAGAACTAGAGAACTGCAATCCTGGTGGAAATCTGGACTAGGGAGGCAGATTTAGGTAGTCAGTAGAAAATAATTACTGAGATCATGATATTTTTGGTTTTCAAAGGGGTTGGTGTGTAAAGAAATATATATTTAGGGAATGAGAAAAGAAGGACTATTTCAAAAGAAAAATAGAACTCTGAAAAGTAGGATGAAATTAGGATAATATACTATTACAAAAGTGAAAGACTAGCATTGTTATAGATTAGTTGGTGCTCAAGTCAAAACTTGGGCACTTGTGGAGTCAACTGAAGGGTGGGCAGGGCAATGACTGGCCTCATTGATCAGTAGATCTGAAGGCAATGTCCCAGACGGGCTGGGAAGCAGAAATAAGTGGAATGTTTGGGAGGCATGATGGCTCCAAGGAGTTTTTGGATAATAGAGTGAAGGAGAAAACTGAAGACTTGGGCTGAGAAGCCAATTCAAGGCATAGGAGGGTAAGCACATTTAACAAGTAAAAGCCAATAGGAGTCAGGCATATAGAAGGAAAAACAACTTGCCTACAGGACGCAAATTTTGATAGACACCTGATTCTAACGGACTTTCTACTTTTAGCCTCTTTTCTTTTGGTTGGTCCTGTGATATCAAATACTGAAGAATAATCATAATTCTGGGAGCTCCATGATACTGGGTACAGAAATAAGGGAGTTTCCAACTGGGAAAAACAAGATGGCCTTCAAGAAAGTAGGTTTCATGTAGTATAAGATGGAAAATTATAGATATGTGTCCCTACAATGGCCCTTCCTAGTGCTGTTGCTATACAAAAGAATGAGGCAAGAATCTTCTAGAAATGGTAGCCCAGGCAATTAAAATTAATCTGACACCTGAAAACAACAAATAATACACGTCAAAAATATTGAAAATATCTTCTTAAAGGCCAAAAATATCTGACTGAAGTGAAGAATAGTGGTCTGAAGACATGAACCTTTAGTGTCTTTTATTCCTCTTTGGACAGCAACAATTAGAAAATAATTTTAATTAAAAAAATTAATTTAAAAAACATGTTATATAAGATGTTATCCAAATAGCCAATAAACGTATGGCCCAGGATCCAAACTCATTTAGTCATCAGTAAAATGCAAATTAAAATATGAGATTCTATCACACTACTAGAATATCTAATATCAAAATTACTGGCAATATAAAATGTTAAAAAATTATGAAAAATATAGAATTCTCATATATTTGTATTTGTTACTTTGGAAAATATTTTAGTATGATTACCTATCAATCCCTCTTAAGAAATATCCCTACAGAAATGCATGCACATACCTACAAGTGCACACATGCATGAATATTCACACATTATTTATTACAGTCAATTACTGAAAATAACAAAAATATTAACCAGTAATAGAATGGATAAAAATAAATTTTGCATGTTTATTTGATGAAATACTATGCAGCAATGAAAAGGAGAACTACAGACACATGCAACAACATAGATGAAACATTTATAATGTTGAATGTAAGAAGGCAGATTTACAAAAATTACATGGTGTATAATTCTATGAATATAAATTTGAAGCACAAGAAAATCTAAAGTTGTATTTTTATTTGGTAAAAGTGTGAAGAAAAATAAGAAAGCAATTATTATGGCAATCAAGAGAGTGATTACCTGTGAGGTTGATACAGTGATATTTCGGCATAGAGAAACATCTGGGTAGTGGTAATGTTCCAAATCTGGAGAAAAGAATGGTTTCATTTGTGCATGTTTTGCTTTGTGTTATGTAATTTAGCTACACATTTTTGTGCAGTATTTTGCACGTGTTAAATTTATAATAATAAAATTTTTTGAGGCAAGCTTGAGGGAATGTCATCACATGTAAGAAGAATGCAGAAAAATTATCTTGAGTGACCAGCATCCTTTCGTCCCTTATTTTTAGTAAAAACTAAAATTTAAAAATTAAAAAAACTAAAATTTAGTGAAAACTAAAAATAGTGAAAACTAAAATCTATTTCCAGAACTAGCAAATAGAGCTTGAGAACAAGTAGAAACCATAGAAGTTTGAATATTTCTATTTTACAGATGAGAAAATGAGGCCTAGGAGTTTTGCATATCAGCTCAAACATCCCATAATTGGCTGGAACTGAGAACCAGGTTACCTGCTTATGAGTACTGATTTTTGTTTTTTACTACACACCATTATTTCTTGCTAAATTCCCCTTTTGAACTGTGAATTTAAACTTGGGTATTATAAATAGATTGATATATTGAAATGGACTTTTAAAGATACATTTTTGGGGTAATTTTTCTCTGAAACTTTTTTTTCCATTAGAAGTTAATGTACATTATGAAATATCTTCACCTAGTAAATCTATTCAGAATTAATGGATGTGCAAACTGTCAAATGATGCTCACATTAAATGTGGGCTTTTAAGTAAGTGGTTGAGTTAATATCTCTACTCACATCAAAGGACACAATTTCACACCTAACATTCATAAATGTGACTATTTCCTGCATTTATTAGCACTGACTTATTATAAAATATAATGGGAAGGTGTGTACATGACATACATTTTGTTACATATTTTTACTTTATAATTAAAAAAGGATTTTATATGAACAGGCATTGACAAGGACATGCCTCAAAGATGATTTTATCTTTGTTCACATGAGAAACCAACAGAAAAGAAGAAATCTATTAATACATCCAATTTATTCGACAAATATTTATCCAGTGTTCAGTAATGCAAGTTTAAAAGTGTAGTACTTGCAATGGTTACATGTTAATGATATGATATTTGCATTCCCAAAATAAAGATTTGGTTGTATGTTGGCTTGTGATTTAATTCTGTTTCTCTGCATGATTCTTATTATTCTAAACTTATCTTTATTACACGTGTATTCATCTGTTAAGTAATAATCAATTAGTGACAAAAGCCAAAGTCCTTAGGGGAAAGAAATACATATATCCAGTAGCAATATTATTACTCTTGGTTTAAAGGACATTCTCATGTCCTGAGTTTTGATGGCTCTGAATACCTTGAGGTATTGCTGTCTTTCATCATGCAGGAAAGTGTGCAATTCTTCATTTCTTTGTTTTCCTTGGCTTTCACAACAACCCTTGAGATTCATTGTCAATCTGACTGGCATCTTCTGTATATTATAGCACTTAAAATTAAGCATAATGCCTTCAAAGTCATATGTTTATTCAGTTTAGAATTTCACCTAATTCTAAATGGAGATATCATAATTACATTGTTCAATAGTTTGTCACAATGCTCAGAGGAATACTTTAGCAAATTAAAGGGAAGACAAAACCCTATTTCATTATTTAATGACACACTTTCTACTAACCAATTCATCTTTGTTATAAAATAAGGGAGGTTTTTTTTCTTTTCTTCTGAGATTGGTGATTAAAATCAGATCAACAGATATCAAACATTTGCTCCTGCAAGGTACTGTGGGAAGTATATAGAAGTAAAAGACACAGGGCTTGATTTCAGCAGATTTTGCATTTCAGTTAGACAAGGAGAAAAATTGAATACTAAATATGATATAGTATTTAAATAATAATTGTTTATTGCAACAAAGTTGTAAAATATGTTAGTATTAGCATTAAATGTCTATACATACATTATATACGTATTCTAAAATGCAAATAAATATAAATACAAATAAACAGAAAATAAGCTAAGTTTCACATTTTCTCAGTACATCTATTGAAGTGTGAGTTACTAAAATTTTACTTAGTTATTTCTATTTTGCTATATGGAAACTCTGCCATTTTACAATTTTTTCTCTCTTCTAAGGGCCTTTCTGACTTACACGAAGATGATATGAGATTGTTTTTATTTTAAAAAATATAAAAGTATTTAACATGTTTTTATGTTTGAAATGTTTTAAAAGGTAGACTATTGGATTTGAGGGAAATGCTTATTTACTTGACATGCAATTTATAATTAGAAGTTAGGAAAGAAGCATGAAATAAACTATTTTTAAGGGGTAGAAAACATTTATTTTTTATTGGCTATATATTCAAATCAGTGATAATATACTGAAATTGATACTTATATAAACTGGAGGTACTTAAGATATATCATTAGTTTTAAAATATAAATATTTTTGACTTGGATATTCATAAATCCAAATTTAACATATTTACATGTATATGTCTTTATGAACAAAAACTACAGCTCATCATTCAAATCCCAGAAAACAAACTTCAAGAAAGCAACTCTTGAAAACACAATTTCCATAGCTTATATTTATTAATACTTTAAAATTAGACACTCTAAAACAAATATTTTTATGCAAATCTCAGGTCTTAATGGGTTGCAATTTGCATTTATTTCTAGGTAAAATATTTGATTCCGTAATTTCTATGCTATATATATATGAAAGAGAGTTTTAGTAAATGTGTGTCACAATGTGAAAGTAGGTCTCAAGGAAAAAGAGTAGTCAGTTCTCTAATTTGCCTTGAAATGAATTAGAATCTTTCCATTATTTTCACGTCAGTAGGTCAGAAATAATTTTTTACTAAAATTCAGCAAATGTCTAAATTTTTGTGATTTAAAATAAAAAATCAGATAAAGCCAAAAAGAGGAATGTATTTTATTTATTGAATATACAACTGCAAACAGAAAATATCCCTTATATATTATAAAACGAACACTGCATTAGTTTATCCTCCCAGTCAACTGAACAGGAATGCTCAGCAAAGCAACTTCCCTGCAGTCATTCAACAAATAGTATTGATGGCCTGCCATACATGCAGCATTTGGTTTTGAGGCAGCAGAGGATGCTTAGAAATATAATACCCAGTCCTTTTCCATAAGGAGTGTCAATCTAGACTGGGTGTAAGTCATGACAATGGATGATAAATCACTGTACAAGAATGAATAATAAAACTAGACAGCAATATAAAGAATGCTTGCAAACACTATATGATAAGTGATGCGGGATATATGTATGCTAGAAGCTCTAAGAAGAAAAATGTCATTCTTGGCTGATTATGCATTATGATCTTATACCAACCAACTCTGGAACATTGACAAAACATTTATTAAATAAAGTTATTTGCAACTATGTCTTTATATCTTTGTAGACGTAGAAGGGTTTGATTAAAAATAAAAGTATCTGGTTTGATGTAATAAGTAAGAGAACTTAACCTCTGTGTTTTGTTAAATTCTTGGGTATTCATTAAATGTGCGTATTTCCATGGCTACTTTTTCTTATTCATGTAGATACAATCTAAGGAAAATTTATTTCTCATCTTTGTTCCATACCACCTTGTTTAGTTTAATTAAGTATACAGAATTCTAGAAATGTCATTTTATGTTACTGATCTCAGTATCTCTTCGTTTTGGTGTTAATTGTTCCAATGTATTTATAAGGGAGTCAGAAATGAGCTAAATGAGGGGGAGAAATCCACATAATGTTAGGGTTCTAAATAAAGAATGCAATTCTCATTTATGGAGACATCCCTAATAGGAGGGTAGGTTCAAAACTGCATTTTCATCCTCGCTTTTTTCTACATCTGAACTCTATCTTTTCTTCTTTTTGGAAAACCCACTTTTATATATCTACACAGATTATATATATAGTTTTCTGTTGATTCCAAGTGATGTAAATATTCACCATCCATACACTAGAGTAGAAATATCTGTACTTCATTACATATTTATTCTTACTCTCCTATAGAAGTTTAATCTCTTAACCAAAGGTCCTAAAGATTCTTACTTATTTGGTGCAGATATAATGTTGATAAAAATTCCTAAACTATTTAAAACTGTTTAAAAAGATAAACACTAAAGAATTGTTCATCATCAGTATTTTCAGGATATATAAGCATCATAATTTTTCAGCTCTTTTAAGTCATGTCACTTTTCATTCAGTTTGGATGTTAGGATGTTTGGATGTTAGGAGGATGGTGGCCCTGACTCACAATCAGATATAAATTGATAAAGTTAGACTTTGGAAATCATAGCAATAGTACTGCTTGTTGTAGACAAGCGGATTCTGTATTTTAGGGAAAATTAAAGCCAAATTAAAGTTCCTACTGGAGATACAATGGTGAGCAAAACCAGACATGATTCCAATCCTCCAGGATACAGCTGTTAGCTAATCCATGAAGTTCTCTGCTAGACAGAATGAGGAAACAGAAGGGATTTGCTTCAGGGCACCCAAGCACTTAATTGCAGATGTTCTCAGAAGCTATGCAAGACCTAGGGTACTTCCATATTCTGTAAAGGCTTTATTGAAATACTATAACATTCACCTATTTTGAGTACTGTTAAATAAATTTTAGCATATTTACAGAGTTGTACAACCATCACCATAATCCAATTTTAAAACATTTTCATCACCCTAAAAAGAAACATCATGCCTATTTAAAATCACTCCTATTCCCACTCCTAATCCCAGGCAATCACTATCTACTTTCTGTCTCTCTATATTTTCCATTTAAGGACATGTAATGCAAGTGGAGTCATATAATCTGTGGTCTTGATCTCTGGCTTCTTCCACTTAGCACAATGTTTTTGAGATTTATCCATGCAGCATATATCAGTACTTTATCCTTTTTTATTGTCCAATAGTATTTCATTTGTATGGGTTTCCATTTTTAATGGACATTGGACGGTTTTAAAATGCAGAGATGTCAAAATGTGATTACAAAAATCATAGTATAATTTAAATGTTTTATTATAACAAATTAATATCTTAGCATAGAAAGAAGCAATGACTTTATGTCTATATGGGTAACTGTACTTTATTTTACATCAAAAATCTAAACTCAAGGCCTCACCCTCCCATCCCCTGCATACACATACTATTATGTCCTGATTAGTTAACATTTAGTAATCGTTATTGGGGCCGTATAACTGGTATGAATGCTTTATAGAGTTTATAGCATTTTATCATCACAACAACCTTGTGGAATAAGTTCTATTCACTCTGGAATCAGACTGCTTGGGTACCAATGCCAGCCACTGACCAAGTGTGTGATCTTGGGCAAGGCACTTTAGTATTAGTGCTTTAGTATCCACTATTAAAAAATGAGAATAAAAATAAGATCTAAGAAAGGGTTTATCACAAATATCAAATTATACATATATAAGAATTCTTTGCACATAAAAATAACAATTTTAGTGTCAGCTACTATTAATAGAAAAGTAAATTGATGCTCAGAGGTAAATAACTTTGTCCTGGGTGACACTGTAAGCAAATACTAGGGCAACATGACTACGGACACCAACAACTTCCTATATAATGAAGGAAAACCTAGTGTCCAGATCTAGGAGAAAGAATTTAAATCCATGACTTTTTCCCTTAGGCTAGAAAACAAGCCACTTTTCAAATACTGAATATGCACGGTATAATTGGCATTGAGTCTACAGGGTTACTGATATGATAAATATAATCACATATGGTTAAATTTGAGGAGGACTGAATTGACAGTACTGGATTCTGGTTATATTATTGTGATTATTTAAAGCTATTTTATACTAAGGGAACTTGAATCTGTGGAAGTAATCTTACAGATTTTTACCTGAGAAGTGGTAAATGCTGAACTACCTAATGGTACTGAATTCTTCTGCATTAGATTTCTACCTACACTTTTAATTGACTGCAAATACCTTTTATGACCACTGCAGTTTGCTCAGAGTCCTCTAGAGTAATTTAGAAATTTTTTATTAGGAAATATTTTATGAACGGCCATATATTTATTAATCTGTGCATACCTAAGCAAAAAAGACTCACTTCTACACTAGTAATCCCATTTCCAAGGAGAAGTACTCTTCTATGTAAAGATCGATTAAGGAGTTATTAAACAGCTTTGCCCTATTCCTGTTTTTTTGAAGGTAGATAATGACAATTATTCAAAAAATATTTTAAGTTCCAAGTTTAGTAAGAGATATTTGGCATGAAAAGGCCAATCACTGATTTATTTTCTTTTTCCAATTAACACAGTTTATTCTTTAGAGTAGTTTTAGGTTCACAGCAAAATTGAGTGTAAAGTACAGAATTCCCATATACCCTCTGTTCCTACCAATTCATTTCTTATTAGACAACTTTGTCTCTGAAACTGATGAAAATGGGTATCTTTTTCCTAAATTATTGTTTTTTAAAAGTGTAATTATATTAGTTAACTTCGTTGTGATTTTCCTATATGCCTGCACATTTTTGAATTTTAAAGGAAGTGTAATTATTTCTTGAACAAAATTATTATTGTGGGATCCTGAATTGTTAATGCTTATGTTCTTAGTTCACCCATGAGTCATTTACCTAGTTTAATTAAAAACATGTATTAGGTCGGGCGCGGTGGCTCACGCCTGTAATCCTGGCACTTCAGGAGGCCAAGGTGGGCGGATCACCTGAGGTCGGGAGTTCGAGACCAGCTTGACCAACATGGAGAAACCCCATCTCTATTAAAAATACAAAATGAGCCATACGTGGTTGGTGCATGCCTGTAATCCCAGCTACTCGGGAGGCAGAGGCAGGATAATCTCTTGAACTCGGGAGGCGGAGGTTGCAGTGAGCCGAGATCGAGCCATTGCACTGCAGCCTGGGCAACAAGAGTGAAACTCCGTCTCAAACAAACAAACAAACAAACAAAAAACATGTATTAAATTGGATTGTGCAATACTTTTATGTTGAAGTTAATCAGAATTCCTGTTCATATTGTGGTGAAAGAGGTTATTTCCAATTTTCAGAAAGCTCTAAAAAACTCTTGAAATCATCTCTTGAAAAGGGAGACCTGAAACTTATGACTTTTTGAAGGAGAGAGTTTAACCTTTTATCTACTACATAAAAATGTAGGCTGCCCTAGTACAGTAAGAAATCTAGAAACAAACATGCAAGAAAACATTGGGGAAACTCTCCAGGACATTGGACTGGGCAAAACTTTCTTAAATCATACCCCACAAGCACAGGCAACCAAAGCAAAAATGGACAAATGGAATCACATCAAGTTAAAAAGCTTCTGCACAGCAAAGGAAACAATCAACAAAGAGAAGAGAAAACACACAGAATGGGAAAAATATCTTCAAACTACCCATCTGACAAGGGATTAATAACCAGAAGATATAAAGAACTCAAACCACTCTATAGGAAAAAAATCTAATAATCCAATCTAAAATTGGGCAAAAGATCTGAATAGACATTTCTCAAAAGAAAACATACAAATGGTAAACAGGCATATGAAAAGAGAAATGCAAATAAAAACTACAATGAGATATCATCTCACCCCAGTTAAAATGGCTTATATATAAAAGACAGACAATAAAAAATGCTGGCAAGGATGTAGAAAAAGGGAACTCTCGTACACTGTTGGAGGGAATGTAAATTAGTACAACCACTATGGCAAACAGTATGGAGGTTCCTCAAAAAACTAAAGAGAGCTACCAAACAATCCAGAAATCCCACTGCTGGGTATATACCTCAAAGAAAATGTATCAGTATATTGAAGAGATATCTGCATTTGCATGTTTGTTGGAGCACTATTCACAGTAGCCAAGGTTTGGAAGCAACGTGTCCATCAACAGATGAATGGATAAAGAAAATGTGGTATATATACACAAGTAAGTACTATTCAGCCATAAAAAAGAATGAGATCCTGTCATTTACAACTACGTGGATGGAACGGGAGATCATTATGTTAAGTGAAATAAGCCAGGCACAGAAAGGCAAACATTGCATGTTCTATCCTATTTGTGGGATCTAAATTCAAAGCAATTGAACTCATGGAGATAGGGAGTGGAAGGATGGTTACCTGAGGCCAAGAAAGGGAGTGGAGGTTGAAGGGGGAAGTGGGGATGGTTAATGGGTACAAAATAATAGAAAGAATATTGAATAAAATCAATTATTTGATTGCACAACAGGGTGACTATATAGTCAGTAATAATTTAATTGTATATTTTAAAATAAATAAAAGAGTATAATTATGTTGTTTGTAACACAAAGGATATGTGCTTGAGGGGATAGATACCCCCTTCTCCATCATGTAATTATTACACATTGCATGACTGTATCAAAACATCTCATGTATAGCTACTATCTACCCACAAAAACTAAAAATTAAAAAAAGAGATCTAGAAACAAAGAAAAGGCATTTTATTTTTATTTTGTCTTCTGTACTATTTTCTGCTTAAAAGGGTATGCTCTCTTGGAAATTTTTAACCAGACTGTTATGGTTGTTATAGGTTAAATAAACAAATCAGTATTTAAACCTTTCGTTGTAATTAAAGAAAAACAAATTCAGTGGAAAATGAAAGAACTATGTTAATCATGAATAAAATAATTTTATCTGGTAAAATTATGTTGTTTCTAAGAAAAATTTTAAAAAAGAAAAAATTTAGATATTTTTATCACATTAGAGTGAGGAACCAAAGGGAAATAAATGTGTGCTAGTGTACTTGTCTTTTTTAAAGAGTCAATGTGTATGCAGATACGGTTTAAAATATCAATAGTGGTAAACAAATACATGAATGCACCTTAATTTACAATGTTCGGGTAAATTAGAATGTTTAAATTTTAAGCCAAGAGAAGAAATCTAGCCAATGGAAAGCAGGAAGGAGGGAAAAAAGGAGTAAAAAAAGTAAATGAAAAAACATAAAACAGGGAAAAGAAACGTGTCCTAACATATACAATACAAATGTAAATATTTAAAAGTAACTGATTCAAAGAATCTATAGAGGAAATACTTAATATGAAAGGTTATGAACTGGTTGAACATTTTAAAAATGGGAAATATATATGCCAATCAAAAAAACTTGAGTAATAATCCCAATTACTGACAAAATAAAATTTAAGTCAAATGTATTATGAACCCCTAAGAAGGAATTACATACTTGTAAAAGGAAAAAAAATCAAGAATATATATCATCAAAAAGCTATCTACTCCTAACTTTACATCCTCAAAATATGTCAAATACCTAGTAGAAATGAAGAAAAATAGACAAATAATGAAATCATCAAATTTACCTGGAGATTGTTACCATTTTCATCTAAATAAAAATAATACATCAAACATATAAGTAATCAGTGGAGATATTGAAGATTTGAATAATACAGTTCGATTTTTACATATGTATAGAACTCTTCCCAGGAAATACTGGAAATGTGATGGAAAAAATAGACCAAAGTTTAGGCCATAAAACAAGCCTTAATGAAGTTCAAGTGATCAATATCGATATCGTGTTCTCCGATTACAATGCAACAAAATAGAAATTAGTGACAAAATATTGGTTTAAATATATGATATTTCAGGAAAAGGCCAAAACATATGCCAGAATAATCTTTTGATAAAAAATGAAATAAAAAGGAGTAAAGAAGCATTTGGAACCAAGTGACAATCAAAATACTACATGTCACAATATAAAGGACACAAATACGAATGTATGTACAGGAAACTTTGTAGCTTCAAATTCATTGTTGGAAAACAAGGAAGGTTTAAAATAAATGAACTAAACATTTAAATTCAAGTAGTTTGATAAATACCAAGAAGTAAAACTTAAAAAAATCTAAAATAAATAAAAGATAAGGGTAGAAATTAATGCAATAGTGACGAATGGTAATATAGAAGGTTAACAAAATCAAAGGTTATAGGTTATACTTTGAAAAGTCTAACAAAGTAGACAAATTTTTTTACGATGTAGTCAAGAAAAAAATAAGATATAAAATAAACAAAAGGCGGAATGAGAAAGAAGAAAAACCTATACAGTAAATAATTTAGAATAAGTACATGTGCAAATATATACTATTACTGAAAATGTGATTGAACTATACTATCTCCTAAAAAATGTAAAATGTCTAAATCGATGCAAGAAGAAATAGAGAATTTCAATAGACCTATAAGAATCAAAGCAATTGAAATGGCTAAATGGCTGATAAACACTCTTCCCTCAAAAAGAAAAAAAAAATAAACAGACAAATCAAAAAACCACTCCAGAATTGGATGGTTTTACACGTGAGTTCCAGCACTTTTAAGGAACAATTATTTCTTCTCGTACATCATTGATCAGAATACAGAACAGGAGCACGTTTGCCCATCTCATTTTATCAGGATAGTGCAATCTTGATTGCAAAATCAAATAAGGATAATTTCAAATAACAAAATTAATAGCTCTGTTTTCTTATAAATATAGATGCCAATATTCCGAGTAAAATATTAACAAACTATATCTAATGATGTATTTCACAACACAGTCAAGTAGGGGTATCACGAAAATGCAACAACATTCCAACATCAGAAAATCTATCAATATTGCTTTTAATGTAAACAGATCAAAGGAGAATTCATATAATTATCTCAATCAATACAGAATAAATATTTGATACAACTCTTCTGCAATTTAAATGGAAACTTCTATCAAGCCAAGAATATAAAGGAACTTCCTCATCTTGGTGAATCTGTATTATAACTCATTACAGCAAATATTATGCTTATTGGAGTAACTTTGCTGCATTTTCTTTATGATTTGAACAAAGGCAAGAGTGTCTACTATCGCTGCTACATTTTAATTTAGGACAGGAGGACCTAGCCAAAACTAAAGAAAGAAAACAGAGCTATTCAAGATTGGAAGGTAAGACAATAAAGGTGATATTTTTTTGTGAATGAAAAGATCATTTACCTAGAAAAATCAACAGAGTGCGGACAAACTATCGGAATCAGCTGTGTTGTTGGAAGCAAAGTTATCCTATAAAAATAGTCAGGAGTAGCTAATTAGAACATATGATGAAATAATGACTTGCTATTTGTAATCTAAAAATTAGTTTAAACAAGAATAAATAAGATATTCATAAAGAAACTTTAAAACTCCAATAAAAATATAAAATATTCGATGCTTTTGATTGATAGATATAAAGACAGCAATTCCCCACAAATTAGTTAAAAAATTCAATAGTATTCCGGTGAAAATTGTAGCATGATATTTAAGATAATTTATAAACTTGCTCCAAACACTGTATGGATGAAGAAAAATCCAGAATAGATAGGTCAATCTTTAAAAAGAAGATTAAAGATGGAGGACTGTCTATACCTGATATTAAGACATAAAACTAAGTCCAGAATTAAAAGAGTATATTATCAAAGCAAGGAAAGCTCAGCAAATGAAATACCACAGTGAGTTCAGAGACAGATGTAGAAGGGAACTTGACACAATTATGGAACACATGTCAATGGGGGAAACGGACTGCTATATAGAGGATGTTGGGAAAACTGGATCACCATATGAAATAAAATAAAACTGGATTATTGATTATTTACTGCTACATGAAATGCTGGTTTATAATCAGATTAAAGGACAAAATTTGAATGGCAAAACAATAACATTAATTTTAAAGAATTTAGAAGGGCATGATTCATAGAAAGGAAAAACTTCCTTTAAAAACACCAACAATATGGCAAAAGTGTTATGAATTTGATTATGTGAAAATTAAGGATTTCTATTAAACAAAAAACACTGGACAAATTTAATCCACAATTGACAAAGTGGAAAAATATATTATTTGCCACATCTGAAATAAAGAAGGATTTTATCTTTTGTATAAAATTATGTGCAAATAAAGAATGAAAGACAATTCCAATTGCAAAAACTAATGGAAAAGAGATATAATGAGAAATTTGCTGAATGAAACCTCAAAAGACAACAAGCATGTGATAAGACTCTAAAAATTATTGTCATCTACAGAAATAGAAATCAAAAGAAAATGAGATCGCTCTACACCTACTAGACTGACAAAAATTAGAAAGTTACACTGTGCTAAATGTGTTCAGAGATCTGGCGACAGTCATCTTTATCATTTGCTTTTAGGACTACAGATCAGTTCATCTATTTAGTAGAGCAATCCACACTACTTAGTAAAATTAAATGCACACATAGACTAAGCTTTAGCAATTTTGAGCCTGAGTTTATATGATAAGGAAATTTCATAGAGATGCATCAGGGTACATGCACAAGGATGTTTAATGCAGTGTTGATGGTATGCCTGGAAAATGGAGGCAGACTGTGTGTCTATCCCTAGGCGAGTGTTCAGGTAAAATATGGTAGTTGCACAACTTGGAATACTATTAACAGTTACAAGCAATAGATTGGATCTACAAAGTGCAACATGTGTAGATCTTAAAAGCATAAATGGAGGTTAGTGTCAAAAATTAATAAGCAAAATGAGAAGTAAAACATGCTATTTTTACATGCATTAAATATATATATACACACACATTGAATCTATAGATAACTTTGGATGGTTATCTACATAACCATATGTTTTGAGTATGTTATTAAAGCAAGAAAAGCTCAGAAAAGAAAAGAAAGCTTTTCCAAGAAAAGCTCAGTTATTGGAACATAAAATGTTATTATAATATTAAATCTTCCAATCCATACACGTGGGATGTCTTTCCATTTATTTGTGTCTCCTTTAATTTACTTCATCAGTGTTTTGTAATTTTCACTGTACAGGTCTTTTACCACCTTCGTTAAGTTTATTCCTAAGTATTTTATTCTTTTCGATGATTTTAAAAATGGCATTTTTAAGAAACAATTTTATTTTTAAATGGTGGATAGAAATGCAACTAATGATTGTATATTAATTTTGTATCCTGCAACTTTAGGAAATTATTAGTTCTAACATTTTTTGTGGCGTCTTCAGAGTTTTTTACGTGTGGATCATGTCATGTGGAAACAGACAATTTTATGTCTTTTTTCAAATTTGGATTACCTTTATTGCTTTCTCTTGCCTAATTGTTCTTACTAGGATTCCCAGTACTATGTTTAATAGAAGTGACTAAGGTCAGCACAATTAGGCTATTCCTTATCGTAGAAAAATATCTTTCAATATTTCACCATTGCATATGATAGAAGAAAATATGTGCAAACCGTATGTGTGATAAGAGGTTAACCTCCAGAATCTTCAAGGAACTCCTAAAAGTCAACAACAATAAATCCCCAAATAACCCAATTAAAAATAAGTGAAGTACTGAACACACATTTCTCCAAAGAAGACATACAAATGACCAACAGGTATGTGAAAAGTCACTCAGCATTGTTAATTATCAGGGAAATGCAAATCAAAGCTCCAGTGAAATATCACATCTGTTAGGAAGGGTATCATAACAAAAGGAAGATAAGTTTTGGTGAGGGTGTGGATAACTGGAACCCTTGTATATTGTTATTAGGAATGTAAAATGGTGCAGCAACTATGAAAAACACTATGGAGGTACCTAAAAAAATTGAAAATTGAGCTACCATATTACACAGCAATTCCACTCATGGATATATATTTTAAAAATCGAAATCAAGATCTCAAAGAGATATCTGCATTCATATGATCATTGCAGTACTATTTACAACAGCTAAAATATGGAAATAACCTAAATGTTCATTGACAGATGAGTGGATTTTAAAAAATGTGATATGTACATACAGCAGAATATTATTTGCCCTTAAAAAGGAAATCCTGCCATTTTCTTTCTTTCTTTTTTTTTTTTGAGACGGAGTCTCGCTCTGTCACCCAGGCTGGAGTGCAGTGGTGCCATCTCAGTTCACTGCAAGCTCTGCCTCCTGGGTTCACGCCATTCTCCCGCCTCAGACTCCCAAGTAGCTGGGACTACAGGCGCCCGCCACTGTGCCCGGCTAATTTTTTGTATTTTCAGTAAAGATAGGGTTTCACCATGGTCTTGATCTCCTGACCTCGTGATCCGCCCGCCTCGGCCTCCCAAAGTGCTGGGATTACAGGTGTGAGCCACCGCGCCCGGCCAATCCTGCCATTTTCAACAACATGAATTAAACTGGAAGACATGCTAAGTGAAATAAGCCAGTCATAGAATACAAATACTCCCTGTTTCCACCTACATGAGGTATCTATGATAGTCAAACTCATAGAAGCAGAGAATACGATAGCGGTTGCTGAGAACTGGGAGTGGGGTAAACAGGGAGCTGATGTTCAGTGGGTTTAAAGTTTCAGTTATACTAGATAGGTCAGTTCTTATTTTTATGTTTATTTTTATTTTTTGAGATGGAGTCCCTCTCTGTCGCCCAGGCTGGAGTGCAATGATGCTATGTCAACTCACTGCAACCTCCGTCTCCCAGGTTCAAGCGATTCTTGTGCCTCAGCCTCTCAAGTAGCTGGGACTACAGGCACGCACCACCATGCCTGGCTAATTTTTGTATTTTCAGTAGAAACAGGGTTTCACCATGTTGGCTAGGCTGCTCTCGAACTCCTGACCTCAAGCGATCCACCCACCTCGGCCTCCCAAAGTGCTGGGATTACAGGCATGAGCCACGGTGTCCAGCCTAGATAAGTAAGTTCTGAAGTTTTGTTCTACAATCAGAACACATGGACACAGGGACGGGAACGACACACACTGGGGCCTGTAGGGGATGCCGGCGGGGAGGGAGAACATCAGGATAAATAGCTAATGCATGCGGGGGTTAATACCTAGGTGATGGGTTGATAGGTGCAACAGATGAAGCAAACCACCATGGCACACGTTTACTTATGTAACAAACCTGCAAGTCCTGCACATGTATCCTGGAACTTAAAATAAAATAAAATAAAATTTTAAAAAATCTGTTCTACCAGAAAATGTCTATAGTTAAAAATGTGGCATTGTTCACTTCACAGTGTGTTAAAAGGCTAGATCTCATGTTAAGTATTCTTATCCACTCTCCCTCGACCAAAAAATGAAAACGAAAACAAAAACAAAGGGATGCAAGAAAACTTTGGCAGGTGTCGAACATAGCTTTTGCCTTGATTGTGATGACAGTATCACAGCTGTATGTATATGTCCAAACTCATCAAACTGTATACATCAAATATGTTCAGTTCTTTGTATATCAATTATACTCAAAGCTGTTAAAAATATAAATTAAAACATAAAAGTATATGCACACAAAAGAACACATGTTTTGCAAGAACATATACAGGGATACCTCATTCTATTGCACTCCACTTTATTCTACTTTTCAGATGTTGCACTTCTTTGACCAGCTGACGGTTTATGGTAACCCTGCATTGAGCAAGTCTATTGGCATAACTTTTTCAACAGCATGTGCTCACTTTCGGTCTTTGTGTCACATTTTGGCAACTCTCACAACATTTCAAACTTTTTCATTCTTATTGTATCTGTTATGGTGATCTGTGATCAGTGATCTTTGATGTTAACTATTGGAATTGTTTTGGGGCACAACAAACCGCACCCGTATAAAACAGTGAACTTAATCAATCGATGTTGTGTGTGTGTGTTCTGACTGCTCCACTGACCAGCCATTCCCTTATCTCTCTCTCTCTCTCTCCCCTCAGGCCTCCCTATTCCCTAAGACGTAATATTGAAACCAGGCCAGTTAATAACCCCACAATGTCCTCTAAATGTTCAAGGAAGGGTCACAAGTCTCTCACTTTAAATCGAAAAGTAGAAATGATTAAGCTTAGTGAAGAAGGCATCTTAGTAAAAGCCAAGATAGGTTGAAAATTAGGCCTCTTGTGCCAGATGGTTAGCCAAGTTGTGAATGCAATGGAAAAGTTATTGAGGGAAATTAAAAGTGCCACTCCAGTGAACATGCAAGTGATAAGAAAGCAAAATAGCCTTATTGCCGATGTGGATAATGTTTTAGTGGTCTGGATAGAGGATCAAACCAGCCACAACATTCCTTAAACCAAAGCCTAATCGAGAGCAATACCCTAACTCTCTTCAATTCTCTGAAGGCTGAGAGAGGTGAGGCAGCTGCAGAGGAAATGTTAGAAGATAACAGAGGTTGGTTTATGTGGGTTAAGGCAAGAAGCCACCTCCATAACATAAAAGTGTAAGGCGAAGTAGCAAGTGCTGATGTAGAAGCTACAGTAAGTTATCCAGAAAATCTAGCTAAGGTAATTCATAAAGATGGATACACTAAAAAACAGGGGCTGTCTGTTGGAAGAAGATGTCATCTAGGACTTTCATAGCTAGAGAGGGCTCAATGCCTAGTTTCAAAGCTTCAAAGGACAGGCTGCCTCTCTTAGGAGTTAATGCAGCTGGTGGCTTTAAGTTGAAGTCAATCCTCATTCACCATTCCAAAAATCCTAGGGCCCTTAAGAATTATACTAATTGTACTCTGTCTGTGCTCTATAAATGGAACAATAAAACATGGGTGACAGCACATCTGTTTACAGCATGGTTTACTGAATATTTTACCTCACTGTTGAGACCTACTGCTCAGGAAAAAAAAAAGACTCCTTTCAAAATATTACTGCTCATTGACAATGCACCTGGTCACCTAAGAGCTTTGATAGGTATGTAGAAAGAGATTAATGTTGTTTTCATACCTTCTAACACAACATCCATTCTGCAGCCCATGGATGGAGTCATTGTGACTTTCAAGTCTTATTATTTAAGAAATACATTTCGTAAGGCTATAGCTGCCATAGTGATTCCTCTGATAGATCTGAGCAAAGTAAATTGAAAACCTTCTGGAAATGATTCACCATTCCAGATGCCATTAAGAACATTCATGATTCATGGGAGGTGTTCAAAACATCAACATTAACAGGAGTTTGGAAGAAGATGACTCCAAACTTCATAGATGACTTTGAGGGGTTCAAGACTTCAGTGGAAGAATTAACTGAAGATATGGTGGAAATAGCAAGAGGATTAGAAGTGGTGCCTGAAGATGTGACTGAATTGCTGCAATTTCATGATAAAACTTGAATGGATGAGGAGTTGCTTGTTATGGATGAGCAAAGAAAGTGATTTATTGAGATGGAATCTACTCCTGGTGAAGATGCTGTGAACACTGTTAAAATGACAACAAAGGCTTTAGGATATTCCATAAGCTTAGTTGATAAAGCAATAGCTGGGTTTTAGAGGATTGACTCTAAATTCAAAAGATGTTCTACTGTGAGTAAGATGTTATCAAACAGCATCATGTGCTACAGAGAAATCTTCATGAACAGAAGAGTCAACCGACATGGCAAATCTTATTATTTTATTTTAAGACATTGGGTGGCCACAGCCACCCAAACTTCAACAACCACGACCCTGACCAGTCAGCAGCCATACTCATCAAGGCAAGACCCTCTACCAGCAAAAATATTAGGAATCACTGAAGGTTCAGATGATCATTAGCATTTTTAGCAATAAATTATTTCTTATTTAATGTATGTACATTTTTAGACATAATAATGCTATTCCACACTTAATATACTACAGTATAGTATAAACATAACTTTTATGCACTGGGAAAGCAAAAAATTCATATGATTCACTTTATTGTGAAATGTGCTGTATTGTGATCATCTGGAACTAAACCCGCAATCTCTCCAAGGTATGCCTGTATAAAGATTCAACCTAAATGGTTACCTCAGGCAAGAGAAGAAAGGTGAGAATAGGGTATTAAGAAAAAAGGGAATTTGTCAAGTATTAAGTCTATTAATAAGGACAAAATTGGGTCCTTATATGGGACAGTATACCATCAACTGAGTAGAATAATTAACTTAACTCACTGTACTTGAGTTATCTCTCTCTCTCCCCGCTTCCTCTCTCTTTATCTATTGTTGCAGCTATAATTGGCTCTTTTAAGCAACGACAGAAATAATCAGATTAGTTGTATGATTTGTATGATTTTAGTACTAGTAAAACAATCTGAGCCTGCATTAAAAAGAAAGCAGAGTGCAACCAATTACCAAGTCAATTACTTATTAAATTATTGTGTATTTTTGGTTTATTCCAAGCATCCTCCAGTGTTGTTTTTTTTTAAAGAATCTAGAGAGGTTGCATATTATGATAGAGAGTACTAACAAGCCAAATTCTCACTCTGCAGTGACCTCAGACAAGATTCTTAAACTTACTTAGCCTCTGTGCCAGACGTCTGCATGTTTGCTCTCAGATCCATCTGGGCTCTTTGCTATTTCTTAGGGATCTGTTACTTGCATACTACATGTCCTAGGCAACATAGCTTCTAGTTAGGCTTAGCCAGTGTGTAGCTTTGACAAGACATTGGAAGACAGGAGTAGGAGAGAAATCAGATTATTTTTTTCCCTCTTTCTCTGCTTAGGGTGGCATCTCCAGCAGAGTCTTCCTGTCTTTTGTTGCTTAAACTCCTGCTGGGCATTTTCTTTTGTCTGGTTCTAGCTTCTCCTAGGCCCTACCCTCCATGGTAGCCTTCTTCTCCAGGTTTCCAGTTCTTGCTTGGATAGCCTCTCAGGTGTCACCTATTCCAAATTTCCAAGCTATCTCTGGGTGATTGCCTCTCCTGAGATCAACTAAAATATTTTTTTCCCTTTAAATCCTGTATGATTGTTAGGCACTTCCTGTAGTGTTTATCTTCTGGATTTCCTCACTTTGCTCTGTTGACAACCTCTATAGTTAGTTCCCTGTATTAAATTATCTCACTGAAATACTTTTAAAAAGTTGTCCTTCCAACCCTCTTCAATGCACCTTTTCTCACTATTATGTTATAACCAGGTTCTGTGTATCTGGTTTCTTTAACTCTTGTGAAGGTATTTTCATGCATGGATAGTTGTTCAAACTGATGTTTCTGTGCAGGGACAATCACTAGAGAGTCCTATTCTGCCATCTTGCTCTGCACTCTCCTCTGAAATACTTGTTTTCCTTATTAGACCCTGACTAATACAACCTGGCAGCAGGAAAAGTGGTTGTGGAGATTAAGTAATATAGTAATAATACAAATAATAAGAATTATTATTGTTATTAAAGAGGCATAATATGTTTATTATGTGCTAAATTCTATGCTGAGCACTTCACAAGCATTTTATTCCTTATTCTCTATTATAATGTTTTCAGAGCCCTTATATCACCATTTTACTAATGGGAAAATGGAAATCCAAAGAATGAGTTGTCTAGTGTAATGTACATATCCAATGACTTCTCTTAATCATTATCTATAATTGCCTTTTGTGCTGCATAAAGCATGTGGAAGTTAGTGGCCACTATCATGATTACTAACAAAATCTGTATTAGTCAAAGTGGAAACACTGAGGCAAACATAGGCTGATGACACACCATGATTAGCACTTTTTAGGGATACTATGTTTGTTGTTTTCTCCAAAACTTCTTTTAACCAGAGGGTGTCTGAAAGGAAAGGTACACTATGAGCATAAAAGTATTGCATCTGAAGGGCAATGATAATATTTGGGAATAATTCTGTTGAAGTGTAAGAATGACAGTTTGTCAATTACTAGAAATGACTAAAAAATCTAGAACTACACAGAATAAAATCTAGGGTGAGGAAGCAAAATCTTGTGTGCACATTATAAGGTACTCATGTGGACAATTAGGCAAGAAACAAACATAAAACATATTTGCACTGAAAGGAAGAAATAAAACTGTCTCTATTTGCAGATGACATGATCTTATATATGAACGCCTAAGAAATCCATGAAAAAACTATTAGTACTAATTAATGGGTTCAGCAAAGTTGCAAGATAAAAGAGCAACGTACAAAAGCAATTGCATTTCTATACACTAGCAATTAACTTTCCAAACATGAAATTAAAAAACACAATTTCAATTACAATAGCAACATAATAATAAAGTACTGAGGGATAAGTTTAACAAAAGAAAACTGAAAACTATGAAACATCACTGAAATAAACTAAAGAGGAACTAAAGTGAATAGAGATCCCACACTCATGGATCAGAAGACTTAATATTTTTAAGATGGCAATACTCTGCAAATTGATCAGCAGATTTAACATAATCTCCATAAAATCTCGAATGAATTTTTGAAGGAATCAACAAGTGTTGATTTGTTGCCTAAAATTAATATGGAAGTGCAGGGTATTTGGATAGCCACAGCTCTATTGAAAAAGAACAAATCTGGAAGGCTCATATTTCTTTATTTAAAAACTTACTACAAAACTACAGTAACAGAAACTGTGTAGTACCGGCATAAGGATAAACATCTAGATCAATGAAATAGAATTAAAAGTCCAGGAATATACTCTTACATTTATAGTCAATTGATTAACCACAAGTGTGCCGAGATGATTTAATGGGAGAAAGGATAGTCTTTTAAACAAATGGTGCTGGAATAACTAGATAGCAATATGCAAAGCAATGAAGTTTGACCCTTATCTCGCACCATACACAAAAGTTAACTGCAGAGATACAGTTGAGAAATAGACAGATATTACCAGGTGGTGGCACTGATATGAGGAATTGCACTCTAATACATTCTTTTGCATTGGATGCTAAAGAATAACTATTCTAGTTGTGGAGATAAGCACTGGAGACACTAGAACTTTTGGTATGACTGTGTAATACCCAGGATTGAGGTGTCAGTACTGTAGCAAAGCAGTACTAGCACACACTGACTCTGGGCTTGGCCATGCAACTTGTGGTTCCAATGGGGTATTAGCCAACAGGACACAAACAGAAGTTTGAAAGATGTTTGTTCATTTGAGTTCATCTTCTCTTGCTGTTCTTGAAACCTGAGACTACCATGTGAAGAAATCTAGGTTAGCGTATTGGAAGATGAAACACCATGTGGACAGCTGAGGCGCACTAGATGAACTAGCCTGACAACCACAAGACACATGTGTGAGGCCATCCTAGGACATTCAGTTTCAAAAGAGCCTCCAGCTAATTGCAGAGATCTGGCAAGATAGCCAGGATCAGAACTGCCCAGTAGCCTCACAGGCTTGTGAGAAAAAAAAATGGCTATTGTTTTAAGCCACCAAGTTTTTGTTTGTTATGCTGCAAAAGCTAACTGATACAGGACATATCCACATGCAAAGGAATGCAGTTGAAATACAAATGCATACCATATACAAAAATTAATTCAATATGGATCATAGTCCTAAATGTAAGAGCTAAAACTATGAAACTCTTAGAGGAAAATACAGAAGTAAATATTTGTGAGCTTGGGTTAGGGAATAGCTTCTCAGATATGACATCAAAAGAACAAATGACAAAAGAAAAAATAAACTGGACTACATCGAAATTAAAAATATTTCTGCTTCAAAGGACACCATCAAGAAAACAAAAATAAAACCTATGTAATAAGAAAATATTTGTAAATCACATATCTACATATCTACAAAGGGACTGGTACCTAGAATACATAAATAACTCTTATGACTCAATTAAAAAGACAAATAATCCACTTAAAAATGAGAAAAAGATTTGAATAGATATTTCTCCAAATATTATACACAAATAGTTAATAAGCACATGAAAAGATGCTCAACATCTTAAGTCATTAAGGAAATGCAAACCAAAACCACAATGAGGTGCCACTTTACATCTATTAGGATGGCTATAGTAAAAAAGATGGACAATAACAAAATTTGGCATGGATGCAGAGAAATTTGCACCTTGTATATTACTTGTGAGAATGTAAAATGATGCGGCTACTTTGGAAAACACTTTGGCAGTTTCTCAAAAGGTTAAACATTGAGTCACTATATGACTCCATAATATACAGCATATATCCAAAAGAAATAATATGTCACACATAAACTTGTACAGAAATGTCCACAACAGCATTATTTATAAGAGTCCAAAGTGGAAGCAATCCAAATGTTCATCAATTGAAGGGGTAAACGAAGTGTGGTATATCCATACAGTAGAATACTCTTTGCTTATAAAAAGGAATGAAACAGCAATACATGCTAAAACATGAATGAATCTTAATAACATTATACTAAGTATAAGAATTCAGTCACAAAAGACCATTGTATGATTCCATTCATATGAAATGTCTAGGATAGGCAAATTTGTAATTAGAAAGTGAATTAGTATTGAATAGGGCTATGGTGAAGAAGGGAAATTGGGATTGATTGCTTATGGGTACAAAGTCTCTTTTTGGGTTGAATTGTATACTTTAGATAAATTAGTATGTAACTTATACTTCAATAAACCTGTAATAAAAAGGCAGTGTGAGTTAAATAAAGCTGTTACAGGATGTCTTGTTAACCACTGAGTTTGGCTTGTTTAGTAATGTCAGATTCAGAAGTTTTAACTTTGTAGGAGCCAAAAAAGTGATGCAATGTGATATTTTATTGGATATATGAGAGGATAAATTTAAAGGGGGCATTTTTTTGTTTAAATGACAAATGAAAATAGCAATGAGGTAGGCATAACATGATATGGTAAGGACGGAATGAGAGCGATACTGTACTCTAAAATTATTAGGCCATAGTGATAGTAGCAATGAGAAAGCAAAGGTTGGAGGGACGATTTTTTTTTCATTTATTTATTTGTTTTTTTTTGTCGTTGTTATTATGCTGCTGTCTAATTAGGTTTCCAGGAGTCCATAACAACACGAAGAGAGTGCCTGCTGCCTACATGAATAGCTTAGGTGGATTCAGATGACATCGTGGGAAGGTATTTCTGGCAGATGAAATTGGGTTAAGGCTGGCTCAACGTATTGATTCATCCAGAATTAGTTTAGCTCATCTGGCTGGCCAGGTAGGTGGCCCCTTCTTATATTTGCCTCTTCTCTTGTTTTCTTTCTGAAGCTTCATGCTTCATTGAAGAAGATGACTTACTTAAATGGTTTTGATAAGCATAGAGCTGAGGCTGACTTCCAAATAAAACTTCTAAAAAGTTCTCAAGGTCAATTTAAAGGAGAATTTAAGCTGTCTTATGTCATTAATAACAAGGGTAACCATTCTGAAGACACCGAAGCACAACTTTCCTCAATTCACATGTAAGTTGCACTTCTGGAAAATTCAGATTATTTTAGAACGTTACAAACATTCTTTGTGTTTCTATGTAAAATGAAATGAGGCTTTCCTCACAGATAATTATAAAGAGGCATTTCACATTCATGAATATCCACCCAAGATGTTTGAAAATTATCAGCGGAGTAGGATATTTCTTTATGTTTGGGAAAAGCTGGGGTATTTCTTGACCTCTGCCTACTTCATCCTAGTAACTCCCATTACTCTGACAACCTAAAATGTTCCCCCGGGGTGAGTGATACCAACCCCCTTAAAAATCATTTATCTAAATAAATTATGTCAGCAGTCAGCAAGAGATCTCCTTGAGACTTCTTAAGTTGGTATATACATATATCAGATATATTTATATCTACATTTATAAATATATGTATAGATATATAATATCTATATTATATGTATAGATATATAATATCTGTATTATATGTATAGATATATAATATCTGTATTATATGTATAGATATATAATGTCTGTATTATATGTATAGATATATAATGTCTGTATTATATGTATAGATATATAATGTCTGTATTATATGTATAGATATATGTCTGTATTATATGTATAGATATATAATGTCTGTATTATATGTATAGATATATAATGTCTGTATTATATGTATAGATATATAATGTCTGTATTATATGTATAGATATATAATGTCTGTATTATGTGTATAGATATATAATGTCTGTATTATATGTATAGATATATAATGTCTGTATTATATGTATAGATATATAATGTCTGTATTATATGTATAGATATATAATGTCTGTATTATATGTATAGATATATAATGTCTGTATTATATGTATAGATATATAATATCTATATTATAAGTATAGATATTATCTCTGTAGATATAGATGTATTTATATATTTATATAAATCGGCAATTTTTAGCTTGTGAATTCCCATGAATTGATGTAATTGATTTATTGATTTTTTTCTCTTGTATTTATATATAAAAATATAAATACATCTATATCTTTCTATATAATATCTATATATTATACAGATATTATGGATAATTTTTAGCTTGGGAGTTCCCTTGAATTGACTGAAGAGAGACAGATAAAAATTATGATAGAATCACCCTGCTTTAAATAAAGTAAATTGTCATTTGTCAACAAATATTTATGTTTCTTTAATCCTGTTTCTAAAATTCATACACTAGTAAATAACTCACAGAAGTGTGCAGTACCACACTAAAAGATGACATCTTCAATGGGATATACTGTTTATTTGTTTATATATATACACACACACTATATATATATATAATAATTTGTGCTTATTATTTCTTCCTGAGAATTTAAATAGATTTTTAAAGGGTATCAGCCTGAGGCCATAAACTGGAATTCTCAGTGGTTTGTTTGGAAAGCACAGTATTTATTTATTTATTTATTTATTTATTTATTTATTTATTTATTTTTAGTTTGCTATTATTTTTAAATTATTATATTACAAATAAATGATGTCTCACATATCTTAAAGTTTTTAATAATGCATCCTCACTGGGCCCACAGTCACTACCATTTATAGATGCAGGATGCCTTCTCCTGTTCACCATAGTTTCCATCACTTTCTATTCACCTTCCAAAATGACTGACCTCAATAATTTATTAATCTGCCTTCAAACAAGGGTGGGAGTAGTCCTGGGGATAAATGGAGACACGAATTAATTTCAAGGAATATTCGAAATTTTTGTCTTAGAAAGTGGCTGTTCTCCTCCTACTTAACATAAGTAATACAGTTCTTTACAGGACAATATTAAAAAAAACACAAATGCAATGAAAAAAATAATAAGGGTCAACCTAAGATAACAATTGTTTGCATTTTAGTGTATGTACATCCAATTTAACAAAAGCTAGATCATATTGAGTTCTTTGCATTTTTTTCTATCAAAATTCAAGTGACATTTTAATTATGGAAAAAACTAAACGTGCAGAAAAATATAGAGATTCAAAATCGACCATTCCAGTATCTCCTACTACATTAGTTTAGTCAGGGTTTTCCAGAGAAACAGAACCAATAGGGTGTGTGTGTGTGTGTGTGTGTGTGTGTGTGTGTGTGTGTGTGTGTTTGTGCGTGTGTGTGTGTGTGTGTGTGTGTGTGTGTCTATGGAAAGAGAGAGGGAGCAAGAGAGCGAGCCAGGAAGCTAGACATTTAGGGAAGAGCTGATACTTGCTACTGCAGTTCAAATCTAAAAGCAGTTTGCTAGCAGAATTCCTTTTTCTTCAGAGGTCTGTCTTTTTCTATGAAGATTTTCAGCTGATTGGATGAGGCCCACCAGCATTAAGGAGCGTAATCTGCTTTACTTAAAGTCTACTGGTTTAATTGTTAATGTCATCTAAAAATATCTTCACAGAAATATCTAGAATAATGTTTGACTGAATTTCTGAGTAATGTGACCTAGTCAAGTTGACATATAAAAATAGCCATCACAATCATCCAGTATTAATAAAGACTATGTGAAATATTCCATAGGCTGTATATGTAAAAGTGCTGCAGGATCCCCATAAGAGAACCTTTCATTTTACCTTGGGTGAGCAGGTAGTCAACAAGGAGGTGATATTGTAATAGACACTTGAAGGATAGATAAGAGTTTGGCAGAAACCAAGAATTTGAAAGGGTAGAATTAACAAGAGAATTACAGAACAAGGAAATGAAATAAGCAAAATTTAGTAGGTATAAAAGCATACAAAACACTGATGAAAGAAATCATAGATAATACAAACAAATGTAAAAACATCCCATGCTCATGGATAGGAAGAATCAATATTGTTAAAATGGCCATACTGCAAAAGCAATCTACAGGTTCAATGCTATACATATCAAACTATCAATGTCATTTTTCACAGATTCAGACAAAACTATTCTAAAATTCATATGGAACCAAAAAAGAGCCTGAATAGCTAAATCAATTCTAAATAAAAAGAACAAACCCAGAGGCATCACACTACCTGACTTCATACTATACTGCAAGGCTACAGTAACCAAAACAGCATGGTACCGGTAAAAACAGACACACAGACCAATGGAACAGGAGAATCCAGAAATAAAGCACACACCTACACGCTAGAAAATCCTAGAAGAAACCCTGACAAATACCATTCTGGACACTAGCTTTGGCAAAGAATTTATGACTAAGTCCCCAAAAGCAATTACAAGAAAAATAAAAATTGAGAAGTGTGAACTAATTAAATTAGAGAGCTTCTGCACTGCAAAAGAAATTACCAATAGAGTAAAGAGACAACCTACAGAATGCATCCAACAAAGGTCTAATATCCAGGATAAGAAACTTAAAAAATTAAACATGCAGAAAACAACACCCTTATAAAGTAGGCAAAATACATGAACAAACACTTCTCAAAAGAAAACATACAAGCAGCCAACAAACACATGAAAAAAAATGCTGAACATCACTAATCATCAGAGAAATGCAAATCAAAACCACAATGAGATACCATCTCACATCAGTCAGAATGGCTACTGTTAAAAAGTAAAAAAATAACAGATATTGGCAAGGTTGCAGAGAAAAGGGAATACTTACACACTGTTGTTGGAAATGTAAATTAGTTCAGTCACTGTGGAAAGCAGTTTGGAGATTTCTCAAATAACTTAAAACAGAATTATAATTCAACCCAGCAATCCCATTACTGGGTATATACCCAAAGAAAAATAAATCATATTACCAATAAGATATATGTATTCACATGTTTATCACAGCACTATTCACAATAGCAAAGACATGCAATTAATCTGGACACCCATCAACGGTGAACTGGATGAAGAAAATGTGGTACATATACACCATGGAATACTACACAGCCATAAAGAAGAATAAAATCAGGTCCTTTGCAGCAACATGGATGCAGGTGGAAGACATTATCCTAAGTGAATTAACGCAGGGGCAGAAAACCAAATACCACATGTTCTCACTTATAAGTGGAAGGCAAACATTGAGTACACATGGACATAAAGATGGGAGCAACTGACACTGGGGACTAATAGAGGGGGTAGGGCGGGAGGAGAGCAAGGGTTGAAAAACTAACTATTGGGTATTATGCTCACTGCCTGGGTGATGGGATCATTCATACACCAAACTTCAGCAACACACAATTTACTCAGGTAACAAACCTGCACATATACCCTGTGATCCTAACATAAATGTTGACACACAAAAAAGCATACCAATGTAAGATGTTCAGGAACCACAATGGGACAAAAAGAAGTGTCCTTGCATTGAAGCTGGAGTGGTGCTGGGATTGAGGCCTACTTCCAACCTGTGTTTTAGAAAATATTTGTAAAACCTTTTCAACGTAGTGAAGTTTTATACTAAAATAAGAAATTACTAAAATTATTATGCATTTGAGGTGTTTCAATGGAACTTCCCCTTTTATATTTTTATTGCTTGCTTTAGTTTCTCTTTGGTAGTCTTTATCAACCAAGAGTTAAGATGATTCTTAACTTCTTAATAGCTTAAGAGTTAACCTATTTTTCAAAATAAGGACAATTAAGGGTTTTCTAGTCAGTAGCATATTGTAAAATGGAATATTTTCCTCAGAAGACATGGCTTGGAAGTATTTAAAATTCTCTTTCATCTATACTCATTCACATTATATGGAGAATCAGTTTCATAGTCAGCAGATCTTGGGATTACTTTAACAAAGGATTTTCACTCCCAATGAAGAATCAATAAAGATCTATTTATTTTTATGACACATTAAGAAATATAAGGTCCTCATTTACTAATACTTTTATGTTATGATTGAATGGTAATTAATTGACCAAATATTTCTATATTTCTTTCAAAAGGTATCCCTGAGAAATTGTCAAAGCATAGGGCTTAGTCTAGCATCTAAGAAGTTGACAGAGTAGTAACATGGGAATTTAAAATATTTAATTTATTTTAAACTAGACAAAGGTATAAAGGATTGAAAGCATTAGTGTGCCTCTTTTAATATGAGGATTCATATATTCCTGGAAACAATGTGCCATGAATTATTTTGAGGTTATGGTCAGAGGTTTTCAAGAATTTGAGACTCACAATTGGGTAGAAGGCTTATCAAGATTAGTACATTGACAGAATCTGAATCATCCAGGGATCAAAGTCCAGTTTCTCATGAGCTTTCCAGCATACTCAGTGCTGGCTGTAAAATGACCCAGTGAGTCCGGGAGTTAGGATTAACAGGGATGAGAGCTGAGAGGTTAATTGCACTGATGGAATATCATCAGACCCCACTTTTCTCATGTTGTTGCTTGGAGAAGCCAAGCCAACCTCTAGGGTGTTAACAGAATTCCAACCTACAGATGTGGCTTACAGAGAAGTAATCATCCAGAGTCAGATTTTATAAAGTGAGTAAGGAAACACCATTGTCAATATTGTATTCATATCTTCTAAGACGCTAATGCATGTTCAATGCTTCAAATGTGAACATGTTGGCTGTTGTAATCTGATAAATCCACATGTAATTTAATACGGTGTTAAGGCACGCAAAATTGGTCTCATAAGAACAATGCACACACACACACACGCATACATTTTTCCTGCAATATTTGATAGTTACAAAAATAATCACTTTTACCTTTAATGATTTCCTTAAAACAAAGACATTCTCTTATATCACCTCAGTACAATTGTCTAACTCTAAAATTAACTTTCCTATAATATTATCAGCTAATCCACAAATCTGATTCAAATATCACTGATTGTCCCAATTATATCTTTTGTTAGCAAAAACAATTTTTTTCTTCCTTGTCCATGATTCAGTCCAGGATCACATGTTGCATTTAGTTGTCATGTTTCCTTAGTCTTCTTTAATCAGGAACAGTTTCTCAGCCCTTCTTTGTCTTTCACGAGTGTGATATTTTGGAAGAGTACTGGGCAGTTATTTTGTAGAATGTCTCTCAATTTGACTCATTCTGATGTTTCCTCATGGTTAGTTTCAGGTTATATATTTTTGGCAGTAATCCCACAGAAGTGATTTTGTAGGATACGCATTTTACAAGAAGCAATTACCAGATAGACTGTTGTTTGGGGTTTTCAGGAAATGTTGCTAAATGACTACCCCTACTTATTTTTGAAAAAGTGAAATAAGGGTCTGTAATACTGTGAAAATGCATTTGTGCAGCTTACTTGCCTTTCAGTTCTTTAAGTTGTTGGCTTTATTTTTCCTTTAAATATGAGAGACTTTTACTGTGAGGCTATATATAACAGCACAGTTTCCTATCCGAAAGAGTATCGTACTCACACATTGAGAGAACGTAAGTTTACGTAACCCAACATGCTGTTCAAGTGAGTGGATGTTCTTAAAATCATTAATGTGTACCATGTTCCTAAGAAACTAACTCAGTACAAATGAAAAATAAAATTAAGTTTGAAGAATTGGAAGGATTTATGTTTCTGCATTGTGATAAAAGATAAGCTGATCATAGTATTTCTATGTATATGTCATTTTAAGTACCTCTTTTACTTTGCAAAAGCAGTGGAATGCAAGAATTAAACACATTGGCTATGGAGTCGGACTGTCTGGGGAGAATCCTAGATCTGTGATATCCTAACTGGGAGACTCTGGATCCCTCCAACTTCAGTTTGCCCATCTACAAAGAGGATCATAATAGTATTGAGTTAATGGAGCTACGGAGGATTAAATAGAACAATGTAAGCAAATTCCTTACAGTGGTTCCTGCCATACAGCCCTCAGACACCACTGTGATCTAATTACGAATGACTTAGTGCAAACCCAGGCTTATCCACTTTTGTGACCTTGGACAAATGCTATTTAAAATTGAAGAAAATATTGGGACATATACCTCTAGGGAATATTTGCTTTTCTTCCAAAATATAATTGCTGAAAGATTTTCTTCTTCAATGAACACAAGTCCCTTATACATTAAAAATCAGGTGTGTTTCATTGTTTGGATTATGCACAGATGTGGGAATTTAATTTTTACTATTAATTATAGCTACATATTGACATTGAAAATATACACAATTTAATATTTTAAATGTGTTGAAATAGGAGTAATTATTACCGTTGCAAAATATCAAATAATGTGTGTGTGTGTGTGTGTGTGTGTGTTTGTTATGTTGACCTTTAGTCTGCTAGTAGTGAATTTAACCAGAATTTCACTTGGCTTGGTTAATGTTCCAGAGCAGTGGCTGCTTACTTTACTATCTGCTTAGAGTGGACACCAGAATGTTTACTGCCATTGTCACCTGGGGGACGCATTGTTCACAAATCGCACCCAGAGGATGGTGCAATACGTTGTTATTTTCCAGCTCATAGAAAGATCCAGTTCGTGCAAGGCCTCCCTATCCTCTTGTCTCCCTAATTTTCTCAAGTCTTAACTTTGCCTGCACATCATGGCTAAGACCTGTTATGAAAGAAAATCACTAGAGTCTAGAGTTCTTTGGAATTTTTTTTTTGTGTGTGACATGGACCCTTTCGGCAGCCAGGGGTCATTTAATATGTATTTACCTCCTTCTTTTCAAAGGAATACCAATCCTTTCTATACTATCCACAGAAGTAAAACTCATTACCTTAGAAAACAGAATATTCCATTTTCTGGGAAGCTCAAATGGTTGGGAAAAGTCTTCCTTACACAGAAGAGAAATTGATGACTGTCATGAATGAAGTTTTGAACTTGGGCCACCCCTTTATCAGTTTCCTTTTTAGAGAACTAGATAATTTTCCTTATGTAATTCAAAGGGGTAGGTTAAATTATAAAATGATAGATGGGAAAATAAGAACATGATAAAATAACAAAATGATAAAAGTAATTAAAAATAATAAAATGAAAATATAGCTGAAATTTATAATATTAGAGACTATAAACCTGAAATTATTTAGAATAACATAAATAATTTATTGTTCCCTAGTTATTGTCAACTTCTTCTCTTTGTTCTACTAATTTCCATAAAAGGCCTGTGAAATAGGCAGGGCAGGAATGATTTCCCCCTGTGCAGAGATGAGGAAATTGAGCCATGAGATGCTCAGGGACTTACAGGCCTCCCATAATTGTTACTACTAGAAGTAAGGCATGTTTTCTTACACCTGGACCATTATTCTTCTCAGAATATCACCCTGTTGTTCAGTGTGACTTCAAACCTTATAGCATGCCAAGTCAATTTCATGAGTCAATTAGGATATATCTTGCAGTGTTGAGAACAGTCAGTCCTCTAGCTAGAAATTGACCTGGTCTCAGTCAACTTGAGTTTTGCTTTCCCCCAGGGAGGTTGTGGACTTTTTACTGGTTCCTTAAGATAGAGCACCAAGACACAGGATACAGTTCTCAGATGTGTTAAATGTTTAAAAGGAACAATTAAGTACAGAGAAAAGGCTGGCATTTACAGAAATATATAGCTTTACAACTGCACAATTTCTTAATTAGTCTCCATGGGATCACTGGAGATTTTTTTGTTTGTTTTTACCTGCCCCGTATATCTGTTTAACTTAGCAGCTGCTAAAATATGTTTGTACAATTTATCCTGCCTGGTTGAAGGTATATGATAATATCTTTTATCTGCCATCTGTTGCCTGGCACTGAAACAGGTTTTATTTATCACCCTCTAGGTCTACCTATCAATGTAGAAATTAAAAGTGAACACTCTTTTTAAAAATGTTTAATTGGAATTTCAAAGAATAATTTTGGGCAGAATGGAGACTGACCAACAAAACTCCCATTAAATTGCTGTGAGATCTTTATTTCATTCAATATCTTATGAACTTTTATAAAATACCTGGTTATTGATATAAAACCTTAGAACTCCAGTTTTACAAGAGACTTGATGATTGTAAAGGCCATATTTTACCCCATTCATAAATATCATAAAAAGCATTACCCATGAGTTGTCAGATAGTTTGAGAGTTTTTAGGGATAGAAAACTAAATAAAATCTAGACTTCTACAAATGTTCAAGAAATAAGAATCTTCTAATATAAATCCCTTATCACATATATAAGAAAAAGAAAGGTCAAAAAAGAAAACAGAAGTAGATAGTGAGCAGAATTCAGATTTTAGTTATTAATTCACCAGGTCTTGTTGCTCTTCAGGAGTTAGATTATTCAAAGTAGTTTCTGATTCACCCTAAAGAATATTCTTAGTTCTGAAATCTACTTTTTCTGATATTAATACAGACACTCTGGACTTATTTTGATTAACGTTAGTGTGATATATCTTTTCTTACTCTTTCAATTTTCACCTATTTTTGTCTTCATATTCAAAGTGGATTTCCTGGTTTGGCCTATGGTTGGGTCTTCCTTTTCTTATTATCCAATCTGACAAACTCTGTCTTTCGGTTGGTATGTTTAGACCACTTAAATATAATCTTATTATTCATATGGCTGGGTTTTTTGTTTTCATAATAATAGCACATATTTCTGGGACACAGTGTCAAGTTTTGATGTATGTATACATTGTGGAATGATTAAATCAGGCTAATTAGCAAATCCATCACTCAAATATTTATCATTTCTTTGTGATGAGAAGATGTGAAATCCCTTCTTTTAGCTATTGTAAAATATATGACATTATTATTAACTATTAAGGTTTGATTAAAGTCTACCATCTGACTATTTGTGTCTAATAAATCCATCAATATTTTTTATCTTTTTTTGGATTGAGAATTTATTGTTATTTCATTTTATCTATTTTGTTGCCTTTTTAGCTATAGTACTTAGTTTTACGATGTTTCTTTAGGGTTTATAGTACAAATCTTTAACTTACCCCAGTCCTTAAAGTAACATTATACTACTTCTCTTATGGTACAAGAACCTTACAACTCTATACTACCTTTTCCATTCTCTCAGTCCTCATGCTATGGTTGTCATGCATTTAACTTCTATACATGCTCAGAACCACATACTGTATTGTTATTATTTTGGGCTTAAACAGAAAACTATATTTTAAAAAGAATTAAAAATAAAGTCTTTATATTTACCTTTTTTTTCTTTTTATTTTTTTTATTTTCCAGGTAGGGTTTTATTCTATCACCCAGGCTGGAGTGCAATCACAGCTCACTGCAGCCCCAACCTTCCATTCTCAAATGATCCCCCCATCCCAGCCTCTCGAGTAGTACAGGTGCACACCACCATACTTGAGCTAATTTTTGGAGTTTTTGTAGAGATGAGGTATCGCCATGTTGCCCAAGATGGACTTGAACTCCTGGGCTAAAGCGATCCACCCACTTTTGCCTCCTAAAGTGCTGAGATTACAGGCATGAGACATCATGCCCAGCCTGTATTTACCATTTCTGGTGCTCCTCATTTCTTTGTGAAAATCCAATTTTTATCTAGCATCATTTTCAATATACCTGAAGAATTTTTAAAACATTTTTACAGTGCAAATCTGCTGGTGATTATTTCAGTTTGTACAAATAAAAAAGCCTTTTATTTCATATTTTTGTTTTTGAAAAATATTTTCATTAAATATAGAACTCAAAGTTTTTACTTTTCTTTTTAACCATTAAAGATGCTGCTTCACTGTCTCCTTATTTGCATTTATTCCAACGAGAAGTCTGCTGTAATCCTTATCTTTGATTGCATAAACATACAGGTTAAGCATCCCTAATCTGAAAATCCAAAATTCAAAATGTTCCAAAATCTGAAACTTTTTGGTGTGACATGATGCCACAAGTGGAATTCTACACTTGATCTCATGTGAAGGTCGCAGTCCAAATGCAGGTGCACAGCACACTATGAGAGTGACATCTTTGCTTCTTGATGTCTCAATGTACACAAACTTTATTTCATGCACAGAATTATTTAAGATATTGTATAAAATTACCATTAGGCTAAGTGTGTAAGGTGTGTGTGTGTGTATACATATATAATAAATTTCATGTTTAAACTTGGATCCCACCCAAGATATCCCATTACGTATATTTAAAAATCTCCCCCCAAAATAAAAAATTTGAAACATTTCTGGTCCCAAGCATTTCAGATAAGGGATATGAATCAACAGGGTGACTTTTTGCCTCTGGTTCTTTCAAAGATTTTTCTGTTTATCACTGGCTGTAAGCAATTTGATGATGTGCCATGGTATATTTTTCTTCATATTTTTTCTGAATGAGAGTTGTTGAGCTTTGTGGATCTTGGGTTTATAGTTTGCATCATATTTGGAAAATCTTCAGCCATTATTTCTTAAACACTTTTTCTGTTCCTCTCACCCTTCTTTGCTTTTGATGACTCCAATTACATATATGTTAGCCAACTTGATGTTGTTCCACAGCTCACTGATGGTTCATTAATTTTTTTCAGTCTTTTCCTCTATTTTATTTTGGACAGTTCCCAGTGGTAGGTTTTCAAGTTTACTACTCTTTTTTTTTTTTTTCCTGCAGTGGCTAATCTCTAGTTAATGCTATCCAATGTATTTTTTGTTTTTATGCGTTTGTTTCCACGCAACATGTTCAATCTTTCCTCTGTCTTCTTAAGCATGTGCAATACAGTTATAATAACTGTTTTAAAGTCCTTACCTACTAATTCTAGCATTTGTGTAATTTTTGAATCTATATCTATTGATTTGTTTTAATTCTTATTATGGGCTATACATCACTGCTTCCTTGCAACCCTGGTACTTTTTTATTTGATGCCAGAAGTTGCAAATATTACCTTGTTAGGTTTTGGATACTCTTGAACTTTCTTCTGAGTTGCAATTAAGTTACTTTGAAACACTTTGATCTTTTCACGACTTGCATTTAAGCTGTGCTAGATGACTAGAGCAGGTTTAGTCTATAGCCTATCTTTCTCCATTATTGTAGCAATGTTATTCTGAGTACTCTTTTTTATATCTTGTGATTTACAAGCTTTTCCACTTTGACTGGTGGAAGCATGAACTATTCCTGGCCCTGTAGGAGATACGGTGATTGTTCTCTCTATTTCTTTTAGATAGTGTCTTAGTACATTTTTGTGTTGCTATTACAGAATACCTGAGGCTGGGTAATTCATTTTATAAAGTGGTTTATTTGGCTCACTGCTCTGTAGGCTGAAAAGTTCAAGATTGGCCAGTGGCAACTGTTGAGGTCCTCATGCTGTTTCCACTCATTGTGAAAAGCAGAAGGGGAGTGGGCATGTGAAAAGAGATCACATAGTAAGAGAGAAAGCACAAGAGAGAAACAGAGGAAGCCAGACTCTATTTAACAACTCACTCCTGTGGGAACTAGTCCACTCCCTCAGGAACTAATTCATTCCCACAAGCAAGAACTCCCTCACTCTAGTGGGAAAGCATTAACCTATTCATGAAGGATCTGCCTTCATCACCCACATACTTCCCAGTAGGCCTCACCTCCAACTCTGCCACATTGCAGATCAAATTTCAACATGAGTTTTGGCATCAAAACCATAGCAGATAGGTTTGAAGATCTCTGAAAGAATGAGCTTTTGCCCTACTCACAAGTTGAGAACTTAGCCTGCCACAATTTCAGGGATGTTAAGAGAAGACAGTTTGCCAATTCTCACAGGGCAACGTAAAGAGGTACAGGCAACTCCTACACATGCTGTAGGTTGTATTATAGGAGAGAAACCCAGAATCTAGATCTTATATTGGACAGTAAGCATATCTGTCCTTTGCTTCCAAAGAAGAAACTATATCTGCCTTCTAAGGCAGTTTGCAACAACAAAAAAATCCTTAATAAGATATACCAGAACATGGGCAGTTCGTGACGCTGTAAGATGTGCAAAAATGTAAGAGACTGCTATGGACTGAATTATGTCTCTATAAAATTCATATTTTGAACTCTAATCCCCAAAGCGACTGTATTTGGAGATAAGGCCTTTAATGAGGTAATTGAAATTAAATGAGGTCATAAGGGTGGAGTTCTAACCCAAAAGGACTGGTGGGTGTCCTTGTAAGAGGCAGAGAAACCAGAGATCTCTTTCTGCACATGCCCAGAGAAAAGACCATGTGAGGACACAGTGAGAAGGCAGCCATCTGCAAGCCAAGAAAAGAGGCCTCAGGAAAACCCAACTCTGCTGGCACCTTGACCTTGGACTTCCAGTCTCCAGAACTGTGAGCAAATAAATTTCTGTTGCTCAAGCCATCCAGTCTGTGGTATTTTGTTACAGCCCTGGCGGACTAACACAGAGACTCATAGAGGAATGTCTCCAAAATAGTTCCTCCCTTCACTTCAGGTAATTTTCTCAGATATATGTATCGATCTATACTTAGCAGAAGACTTGGGGACCCTCTGCAGATCCGTGGAGTTCTCTTATTGTGCAACTCTTTTTTCTCTGATATACAGCCCTACAAATTCCAGCTGTTTTGGCCTTCCCAGAGTCCTAGCTCCATTTCCTCAACTCGGGGTGACCTCCACGTTCTGCTTTATCTCCCCATCCCTGTGCTAGGCTTAGGAACTATCTCCAGACAGTAAGCTGTGGCAATCAGATGCTCACACCATTTGCTTTCCTTCTTTTAGGGATCACTGTCCTGTGCTACTTGATATAGTGTCTGTAAATCATTTTTAAATATATGTTTTTTCCATTTTAAAAGTTGCTTTAGACAGAGAGGTAAATTCAGCCCTGGATTCAAGAGGAAGCATCTCATCCTAAAGAATAAATGATTACTTTTAACCTTAGAAAAAAAAATCAAAGCTGAATTAGTAATTAGTTTGGGACTTAAGGGATTCATCACAGTTTTAATTCAACCACTTCTCAGACTTATGAATGCATGTCAAATATCCTGAGTATTTATGCCTCATTTTCTCATTTGTAGCATTCGTAAGAAAATAAATAACTAAGCCTTCCAAGTAGAATATTGACGTGGTTAGAGAAAATGTTATGAAAGAGATTTGAGCTCTCTGAAAGGAAATTTATATACAAACATGAGGTTTCTGAATTATTAACAAGGCCTGGAAAGTTCAAATTACATTAGGCAGTTTGGCAAAATATCAAGAAAGATTATAGTAAGCACGAAACCTCTCTCCTGCTACTCTGGGTGTTGTAGTAAAACTCCAGGGTACCGTTTCTTTTCTTTATGTTTAATTGTTGATAATTGACAGTAAACCAATCTTCACACTTTATATCTTTACTTCCAACCATGTAGATTGGAGTTTTTCATGTTTCTTTTATTAAAAAGAAAATAAAAACCAGGGAGAAGTGGTTGAGTTCAAACTAGAACATGTAATGGAAATTAGACCCAGACAAAATTTGAGTCCTGTGACCTAGAATGTTTTTATTTTATGATTTCAAAATTAATGTCAACAGATAATAAAATATTGCATTTGGTCCAGACCACTTAATAAAATACTGGGAAATTGTATCAGGAGACACAAATAACTTGAAAAATAAAGGAAGATGAAGAGGGACAAGAGGCAGTGAAGAGATTAGAGTGAGGTACCTTTGCCTTGGGAAGAGCAACTACTTAAGAAACACTTTTTAGAAAAGTCACTCCTCTGCCTCAAAGGAAAGATGTCATCCTGAAGAGTACACTGTGAAACTGTTTTTAAATGCTTTTCAAAATCTGTAGCTACAAATTATGATCACTTACAAGCATTTCAGAAAAACAGCTTCTCTTCCCACACACTCACACTGGCAAAAAAAAAAAAAAAATGCTAAGGAAGAAATTGGTTTTTAAGGGACCTGAAGTTGCTTTTTAAATAAAACTTTTCATTTTTAATGAAAAAAAGAAAACTTCAGTATTTCCTTATTTTGCTTTCTGTGTAACCCTGTCTGACAGGAGTTAGTAGTTTACATTAGAAGAGACTGGCTTTCTGCTTCTCTCAGTGGAAAAATACATTGCCATACAAGGAAAAAAAAGGAAGGAAGGAAGGGACGGCGGGGGGGGGGGAAGGAGGGAGGGGGGAAGGAGGGAGGGAAAGAGGGAGGAAGGAAGGAAGGAAGGGAAGGGAAGGGAAGAAGGGAGGGAGGGAAGGAAAATTCTCCAGGACAGAAATTAGCAAGCTACTGTCCTACCACCTGTTTTGTAAGTAAAGTTTTATTAGAAAATATTATCTGTGTCTGTCTTTGCAATTCCATGACAGAGTTAACACTTGCAACAGAAACATTGCACCTAGAAAGTTAAAAAATACTTACTCTCTGGCTCTTTTCAGAAATAGTTTGTTGGCACCTGCTCTAAGAGACCATCTTCCATGCCTAATATTAAAAGGGTTCATTCTGAACAAAGTCATTCCCTTTGTATTTATTATTTATTTATTTTTGAGACAGAGTCTTGCTCTGTTGCCCAGGCTGGAGTGCAGTGGCCTGA
Organism: Homo sapiens; assembly: GCF_000001405.40. Taxonomy (NCBI): domain Eukaryota; kingdom Metazoa; phylum Chordata; class Mammalia; order Primates; family Hominidae; genus Homo; species Homo sapiens. The sequence continues at coordinate 28,215,622 of NC_000023.11, read as the reverse complement.
TCTCTGCTCACTGCAAACTTTGCCTCCCAGGTTCAAGCGATTCTCCTGTCTCAGCCTCCTGAGTAGCTGGGATTACAGGCATGTGCCACCACACCCTGCTAATTTTTGTATTTTTAGTACAAACGGGGTTTCACCGTGTTGGCCAGGCTGGTCTCGAACTCCTAACCTCAAGTGATCCTACTGCCTTGGCCTCCCAAAGTGCTGGGATTACAGGTGTGAGCCACTGCACCCAGCCCATTTCCTTTTTAAAGTCCAAGTGAAGTATGCCAAATAAAGGAGTTGTACTTGTTCTTCATCCTATTGGTTAATATGTTGTGGCATTTAATTATTTTTACATATTTCTCTGGAGCACCAGAACATTTTGATGAACTACAATTGCTGTTGCTAGAATAAAATTGATGTTTTATTTGAAATTTATTTTCTGTTATTCTTGCTAATTGGAAATACAATGGCGAACTGGTAAATTTCAGTTTTCATTAAATTTTGTCTTTCCTCAGTGAGTGCCTGTAATTACTCTGACTAGCTGTAATTAAAGATGGACTTTTTCATTTTTTAGTTTTGTCACCCTTCCTTTCTCTTACACAGGCTTTCACAAAGATGATATCAAATAGTCAAATGAATAAATGATGAAATTAGGAAATAAGGGAGAAAAATTGGACCTACTGAATAATTTCACACATGGATTACTGAGTTAATGATACAGAAGTTTGAATTTTACATTTCTTTAATTATCTGTCTCTTCTATCATGGGTTACAGTAGCTGTATCTCCTCTGCATACATAACTTAGGGACTGTGAGGTGGTTAAACATCATTGACATTTCTTAAAACACAGATTATTTTACTTCCAGTTCTTTGCACATGCGGTTCCACAAACACACTTCCTATCCCCCCTCTTTGCATATTTAGCTTCTATTTAAAGTTCGTGTCTGGACTTAAAGTCCTTTTCCTCCAGGCAAGTGCTACCTAGCATAACATTTACCACACAACAAATAATTATTTGGTTTATCTCCCTTAATAGAGTGTTTCTTTCTCCTTTACTTGAGGGCTAGGGCTGAACCTCTCTTGCTTGCTGCCGCAGCTCCAATAACCAAGAGAGTACCTGTAGTAGTTTCCTGTTGCTGCTGTGATAAATCAACACAAATTTAGTATCTTTAAACAAAATAAATGAATTGTCTTACAGTTCTGGAGGTCCGAAGCCTGATAGAGGTCTCACTGGAGTAACATCAAGTTTTGACAGGGCTTCATTCCTTCTGGAGACTCTAGGGAAGAATCTGTTTTCTTGTCTTTTGCAGCTTCTAGAGGCTGCCTGCCTTCCTTGGCTCATGGCCCCTTCTCCCATCGTCAAAGCCAACAACAACAAGCTGAGTACTTCCCATACTGTCATTTCTCTAGTTCTCTCTTCCATAGTCACATTTTTCTCTCTCTCTCTTTTAAGGATCTTTGTGATTTCATTGGGCTCACACAGATAATCCAGGAAAATCTCGCTATTTTTAGGTCAGTTGATTAGCAATCTTAATTTAATCTGCAACCTAAATTCCCTTTTGCCATGCAACATGACATATTCAAAGTTTCTGGGGATTAGGACATGGACTTTATTTGAGGGGCCATTAACTCGCCTAGCACAGTACCTGACACATAAAAGGCTTTCAAATAAAAGTAGCTGAATGAAAGAATACATGAATAAATAAATGAATAAATAAGCATTAAGTGAAAGGTGTGGCAATGATAGAGAGACATGGGATGATGTCCAGGGAATAGATCTGTTTATGAGCCTCCAAAAAAAAAAAAAAAAGAAAAAAGCAAAGTAAACAAAACCTTGAAAAACAGTGTTTAAAGCTAAGGGATATCTTTGCGGTCAAAAAGCCTGTAATTTCTAAGAGGAGAAAGTATCTGAAGCCTGACCTAAGATTTCATCTGCTTCATTCCATTGAAAAAAGCAATACAGCATAGGACAGAGATTCTCAAACTTCAGTGTGCACCAGAAACATCCAAAGAACTTGTTAAAACATAGATTTCTGGGCCCAAATCTAGCAGTATCTAGTTCAGTACATCTGTAATAAGGTACAAGAATTTGTACTTCTAACAAGTTATGAGGTGATGCTGGTGTTGCTGGTTCAGGACCAACATAACATAATGATGTTGTAAGTTTGATAACAACTTATGTAGTAGAAAGGGCACAGATTTTTTTAAAAGGCCAGTCTTTGGGTTCAAACCCCTGTCCAGTCATTTATTATTTGTTAGACTTTTTGTAAGTTATTTAGCTTATCTTCAGTTGAATTTACATGGCTGTAGAATAAGAATAAATATTTTATAAGATTATTTAAGAAAATCATTAAGATGAAAATTACTACTCCATTAAAATATATGTAAATTTCCTATTTTCTAGAAGCTACTCAACAAATACTGATATCCTCCACTGTCCACTCCAAGTGAAGTTACTAATACTTTTAATAGAGCAAAGTTATGAATGGAAGTAATAATAGCAGGGTAGAGCAATATTAATGTGTCATCAGAAACAGCAGAAGCGTGAAGCTTCCAGATCCTACATTAGGCAGTATGGAAGGATGGCCACATGAAGCAGCAGGAAAGGAAAGCTGCTAAGAGTTAAGGTCCCTGTATTAAAAGACTGGGCAACAGCTTGAGCCTTAGCCACAGCTTAAGATTATGAGTTGTTTTAGACTAACTGTTACCAATTATAATAATTAGTGCTTTCTTCTGCTCATAAACGATCTTAAAACTTATTAGCAGTAGGTCTTTTTAAAATCGTATATGATTTGGGGTGGGTGATAAATGCTGGTTTTAGATTTTTTTTTTTGAGGGAAAAGCTGTATGTTTTTTTTTTTATTATACTTTAAGTTTTAGGGTACATGTGCACATTGTGCAGGTTAGTTACATATGTATACATGTGCCATGCTGGTGCGCTGCACCCACTAACGCGTCATCTAGCATTAGGTATATCTCCCAATGCTATCCCTCCCCCCTCCCCCCACCCCACCACAGTCCCCAGAGTGTGATATTCCCCTTCCTGTGTCCATGTGATCTCATTGTTCAATTCCCACCTATGAGTGAGAATATGCGGTGTTTGGTTTTTTGTTCTTGCGATAGTTTACTGAGAATGATGGTTTCCAATTTCATCCATGTCCCTACAAAGGACATGAACTCATCATTTTTTATGGCTGCATAGTATTCCATGGTGTATATGTGCCACATTTTCTTAATCCAGTCTATCATTGTTGGACATTTGGGTTGGTTCCAAGTCTTTGCTATTGTGAATAATGCCGCAATAAACATACGTGTGCATGTGTCTTTATAGCAGCATGATTTATAGTCCTTTGGGTATATACCCAGTAATGGGATGGCTGGGTCAAATGGTATTTCTAGTTCTAGATCCCTGAGGAATCGCCACACTGACTTCCACAATGGTTGAACTAGTTTACAGTCCCACCAACAGTGTAAAAGTGTTCCTATTTCTCCACATCCTCTCCAGCACCTGTTGTTTCCTGACTTTTTAATGATCGCCATTCTAACTGGTGTGAGATGATATCTCATAGTGGTTTTGATTTGCATTTCTCTGATGGCCAGTGATGATGAGCATTTTTTCATGTGTTTTTTGGCTGCATAAATGTCTTCTTTTGAGAAGTGTCTGTTCATGTCCTTCGCCCACTTTTTGATGGGGTTGTTTGTTTTTTTCTTGTAAATTTGTTTGAGTTCATTGTAGATTCTGGATATTAGCCCTTTGTCAGATGAGTAGGTTGCGAAAATTTTCTCCCATGTTGTAGGTTGCCTGTTCACTCTGATGGTAGTTTCTTTTGCTATGCAGAAGCTCTTTAGTTTAATTAGATCCGATTTGTCAATTTTGGCTTTTGTTGCCATTGCTTTTGGTGTTTTAGACATGAAGTCTTTGCCCACACCTATGTCCTGAATGGTAATGCCTAGGTTTTCTTCTAGGGTTTTTATGGTTTTAGGTCTAACGTTTAAATCTTTAATCCATCTTGAATTGATTTTTGTATAAGGTGTAAGGAAGGGATGCAGTTTCAGCTTTCTACATATGGCTAGCCAGTGTTCCCAGCACCATTTATTAAATAGGGAATCCTTTCCCCATTGCTTGTTTTTCTCAGGTTTGTCAAAGATCAGATAGTTGTAGGTATGTGGCGTTATTTCTGAGGGCTCTGTTCTGTTCCATTGATCTATATCTCTGTTTAGGTACCAGTACCATGCTGTTTTGGTTACTGTAGCCTTGTAGTATAGTTTGAAGTCAGGTAGTGTGATGCCTCCAGCTTTGTTCTTTTGGCTTAGGATTGACTTGGCGATGCGGGCTCTTTTTTGGTTCCATATGAACTTTAAAGTAGTTTTTTCCAATTCTGTGAAGAAAGTCATTGGTAGCTTGATGGGGATGGCATTGAATCTGTAAATTACCTTGGGCAGCATGGCCATTTTCACGATATTGATTCTTCCTACCCATGAGCATGGAATGTTCTTCCATTTGTTTGTGTCCTCTTTTATTTCCTTGAGCAGTGGTTTGTAGTTCTCCTTGAAGAGGTCCTTCACATCCCTTGTAAGTTGGATTCCTAGGTATTTTATTCTCTTTGAAGCAATTGTGAATGGGAGTTCACTCATGATTTGGCTCTCTGTTTGTCTGTTGTTGGTGTATAAGAATGCTTGTGATTTTTGTACATTGATTTTGTATCCTGAGACTTTGCTGAAGTTGCTTATCAGCTTAAGGAGATTTTGGGCTGAGACGATGGGGTTTTCTAGATAAACAATCATGTCGTCTGCAAACAGGGACAATTTGACTTCCTCTTTTCCTAATTGAATACCCTTTATTTCCTTCTCCTGCCTCATTGCCCTGGCCAGAACTTCCAACACTATGTTGAATAGGAGCGGTGAGAGAGGGCATCCCTGTCTTGTGCCAGTTTTCAAAGGGAATGCTTCCAGTTTTTGCCCATTCAGTATGATATTGGCTGTGGGTTTGTCATAGATAGCTCTTATTATTTTGAAATACGTCCCATCAATACCTAATTTATTGAGAGTTTTTAGCATGAACGGTTGTTGAATTTTGTCAAAGGCTTTTTCTGCATCTATTGAGATAATCATGTGGTTTTTGTCTTTGGCTCTGTTTATATGCTGGATTACATTTATTGATTTGCGTATATTGAACCAGCCTTGCATCCCAGGGATGAAGCCCACTTGATCATGGTGGATAAGCTTTTTGATGTGCTGCTGGATTCGGTTTGCCAGTATTTTATTGAGGATTTTTGCATCAATGTTCATCAAGGATATTGGTCTAAAATTCTCTTTTTTGGTTGTGTCTCTGCCAGGCTTTGGTATCAGAATGATGCTGGCCTCATAAAATGAGTTAGGGAGGATTCCCTCTTTTTCTATTGATTGGAATAGTTTCAGAAGGAATGGTACCAGTTCCTCCTTGTACCTCTGGTAGAATTCGGCTGTGAATCCATCTGGTCCTGGACTCTTTTTGGTTGGTAAACTATTGATTATTGCCACAATTTCAGATCCTGTTATTGGTCTATTCAGAGATTCAACTTCTTCCTGGTTTAGTCTTGGGAGAGTGTATGTGTCGAGGAATGTATCCATTTCTTCTAGATTTTCTAGTTTATTTGCGTAGAGGTGTTTGTAGTATTCTCTGATGGTAGTTTGTATTTCTGTGGGATTGGTGGTGATATCCCCTTTATCATTTTTTATTGCATCTATTTGATTCTTCTCTCTTTTTTTCTTTATTAGTCTTGCTAGCGGTCTATCAATTTTGTTGATCCTTTCAAAAAACCAGCTCCTGGATTCATTGATTTTTTGAAGGGTTTTTTGTGTCTCTATTTCCTTCAGTTCTGCTCTGATTTTAGTTATTTCTTGCCTTCTGCTAGCTTTTGAATGTGTTTGCTCTTGCTTTTCTAGTTCTTTTAATTGTGATGTTAGGGTGTCAATTTTGGATCTTTCCTGTTTTCTCTTGTAGGCATTTAGTGCTATAAATTTCCCTCTACACACTGCTTTGAATGCGTCCCAGAGATTCTGGTATGTTGTGTCTTTGTTCTCGTTGGTTTCAAAGAACATCTTTATTTCTGCCTTCATTTCGTTATGTACCCAGTAGTCATTCAGGAGCAGGTTGTTCAGTTTCCATGTAGTTGAGCGGCTTTGAGTGAGATTCTTAATCCTGAGTTCTAGTTTGATTGCACTGTGGTCTGAGAGATAGTTTGTTATAATTTCTGTTCTTTTACATTTGCTGAGGAGAGCTTTACTTCCAACTATGTGGTCAATTTTGGAATAGGTGTGGTGTGGTGCTGAAAAAAATGTATATTCTGTTGATTTGGGGTGGAGAGTTCTGTAGATGTCTATTAGGTCCGCTTGGTGCAGAGCTGAGTTCAATTCCTGGGTATCCTTGTTGACTTTGTGTCTCATTGATCTGTCTAATGTTGACAGTGGGGTGTTAAAGTCTCCCATTATTAATGTGTGGGAGTCTAAGTCTCTTTGTAGGTCACTCAGGACTTGCTTTATGAATCTGGGTGCTCCTGTATTGGGTGCATAAATATTTAGGATAGTTAGCTCCTCTTGTTGAATTGATCCCTTTACCATTATGTAATGGCCTTCTTTGTCTCTTTTGATCTTTGTTGGTTTAAAGTCTGTTTTATCAGAGACTAGGATTGCAACCCCTGCCTTTTTTTGTTTTCCATTGGCTTGGTAGATCTTCCTCCATCCTTTTATTTTGAGCCTATGTGTGTCTCTGCACGTGAGATGGGTTTCCTGAATACAGCACACTGTTGGGTCTTGACTCTTTATCCAACTTGCCAGTCTGTGTCTTTTAATTGGAGAATTTAGTCCATTTATATTTAAAGTTAATATTGTTATGTGTGAATTTGATCCTGTCATTATGATGTTAGCTGGTGATTTTGCTCATTAGTTGATGCAGTTTCTTCCTAGTCTCGATGGTCTTTACTATTTGGCATGTTTTTGCAGTGGCTTGTACCAGTTGTTTCCTTCCATGTTTAGTGCTTCCTTCAGGAGCTCTTGTAAGGCAGGCCTGGTGGTGACAGACTCTCTCAGCATTTGCTTGTCTGCAAAGGATTTTTTTTTCCTTCACTTATGAAGCTTAGTTTGGCTGGATATGAAATTCTGGGTTGAAAATTCTGTTCTTTAAGAATGTTGAATATTGGCCCCCACTCTCTTCTGGCTTGTAGGGTTTCTGCCGAGAGATCCGCTGTTAGTCTGATGGGCTTCCCTTTGAGGGTAACCCGACCTTTCTCTCTGGCTGGCCTTAACATTTTTTCCTTCATTTCAACTTTGGTGAATCTGACAATTATGTGTCTTGGAGTTGCTCTTCTCTAGGAGTATCTTTGTGGCGTTCTCTGTATTTCCTGAATCTGAACGTTGGCCTGCCTTGCTAGATTGGGGAAGTTCTCCTGGATAATATCCTGCAGAGTGTTTTCCAACTTGGTTCCATTCTCCACATCACTTTCAGGTACACCAATCAGACGTAAATTTGGTCTTTTCACATAGTCCCATATTTCTTGGAGGCTTTGCTCATTTCTTTTTATTCTTTTTCCTCTAAACTTCCCTTCTCACTTCATTTCATTCATTTCATCTTCCATCACTGATACCCTTTCTTCCAGTTGATCGCATCGGCTCCTGAGGCTTCTGCATTCTTCACGTACTTCTCTAGCCTTGGTTTTCAGCTCCATCAGCTCCTTTAAGCACTTCTCTGTATTGGTTATTCTAGTTATACATTCTTCTAAATTTTTTTCAAAGTTTTCAACTTCTTTGCCTTTGGTTTGAATGTCCTCACGTAGCTCAGTGTAATTTGATCGTCTGAAGCCTTCTTCTCTCAGCTAGTCAAAATCATTCTCCATCCAGCTTTGTTCCGTTGCTGTTGAGGAACTGCGTTCCTTTGGAGGAGGAGAGGCGCTCTGCGTTTTAGAGTTTCCAGTTTTTCTGTTCTGTTTTTTCCCCATCTTTGTGGTTTTATCTACTTTTGGTCTTTGATGATGGTGATGTACAGATGGGTTTTCGGTGTGGATGTCCTTTCTGGTTGTTAGTTTTCCTTCTAACAGACAGGACCCTCAGCTGCAGGTCTGTTGGAATACCCTGCCGTGTGAGGTGTCAGTGTGCCCCTGCTGGGGGGTGCCTCCCAGTTAGGCTGCTCGGGGGTCAGGGGTCAGGGACCCACTTGAGGAGGCAGTGTGCCGGTTCTCAGATCTCCAGCTGCGTGCTGGGAGAACCACTGCTCTCTTCAAAGCTGTCAGACAGGGACATTTAAGTCTGCAGAGGTTACTGCTGTCTTTTTGTTTGTCTGTGCCCTGCCCCCAGAGCCTACAGAGGCAGGCAGGCCTCCTTGAGCTGCGGTGGGCTCCACCCAGTTCGAGCTTCCCGGCTGCTTTGTTTACCTAAGCAAGCCTGGGCAATGGCGGGCGCCCCTCCCCCAGCCTCGCTGCCGCCTTGCAGTTTGATCTCAGACTGCTGTGCTAGCAATCAGCGAGATTCCGTGGGCGTAGGACCCTCCGAGCCAGGTGTGGGATATAGTCTCATGGTGCGCCGTTTTTTAAGCCGGTCTGAAAAGCGCAATATTCGGGTGGGAGTGACCCGATTTTCCAGGTGCGTCCGTCACCCCTTTCTTTGACTCGGAAAGGGAACTCCCTGACCCCTTGCGCTTCCCAGGTGAGGCAATGCCTCGCCCTGCTTCGGCTCGCGCACGGTGCGCGCACACACTGGCCTGCGCCCACTGTCTGGCACTCCCTAGTGAGATGAACCCGGTACCTCAGATGGAAATGCAGAAATCACCCGTCTTCTGCGTTGCTCACGCTGGGAGCTGTAGACCGGAGCTGTTCCTCAAAGCTGTATGTTTCTACTCACAGTTCTCTGGAGAAATATCTCCCTTTATGAAGTTTTCTCTTTTTTTCGGTCAGATAAATGTGATTTACTTTTATTTTGTAAATATAGTATTTCAAAGATTATATGAAAGTCTTGAAATGCCCCATGTCCTTATTATTCTGTCAAATATATCAAAATGTTGCAATTTGTATTGCTACAGCTTCTTCTAGTTGACAATCACCAGTCATTCAACTTATAACTATTGTTGCTCAGTGAAATCTTATTAGTAGTTATGCCCTTAAAGTGCAGATCCTGTCTCAATTTAAAACTGGAGTTATTCTAAAAACCCAATATCTTTTGTTCCAGTAAACTGAAATATGCTTGTGATATATCAAGCAATGTGTTATACAGAATTCAAACTAGGCAACTTTTAATATACCTATTCCATGGTCTAATAAACACTAAAAGTATTTCTAGAAAATTTCTTTCTCCTTCTAGTAGACCTTCTTGGTTCCACACCAAGATTCTGTTTACCTGCCTACTGCTCTCATCCCTCAGCTGTTGTGAGGGTTGGTTGCTAATATTAATAGCTGGCCTTTCTCCAGAAAATTGCCCTTACCTTGCCTGGGAAACAACACCTCCCTCTCAGCTCCTCCTCTTCCCTCCCATCCACTCCTGCTCCCAGGGACAACCACTGACCAATGACTGGTATTGGCATACAAAATGCTGCCCTCCTAGCCTCAAGGCAGTAACTATTCTGTGTTACAATTCATGCTCCAGAGCTCCCTGCAGAGTTAGGTTCAATCTAGACTCCCGGTTAGGCATGCTCTTGCTTGATTTATATGTACCTGACTTATAAATGCCTGCCGTATTTGCTTCCTTCACTTCTTTCTCCTGAGAGCACTCCTTCAATAAATAACTTATTCAAGAATTCCCATCTGCCTCTGCTTCTGTGAAAAGGAACCCAACACTCCTGAAATTAGATATTAAATTATTTCTGAATCATGTCTGGCTTTTATCTCTCAATGTTTTGTTAAAAAGAGGAAAATACTGAATTCCTATACCTTTACTGTTTACCCAGGATAAGGATAATAGTAAATTAGAATTGATATAATACAGTGTTTAGTGAAGGGTTTTGAATTATTTGATCCAACTATCATCAGTTTATAAAAATGGTCCAAAATGATGAGCTTGAGGATCACTTCTTTGGTCTGGATCCAGGAATGAGAGGGAAAATGAGGGAGGTACAGCAACCAACTGCTGTCACAGTGATAAGGGGCAAAGATTGTTGTGGATGCAAACCAATAAAAGTATGTCCTGGTAATTCAACAGCCAGTAGCTGAGAAAAACAATTTGGGATTCCCTAGAGATCCCTATTTCCTGGTAGAAAGAATCAAATTGACCAGAATGCTGGATTATTAACCCCCAAACCAGGATTGTGGTTACATTTAGGGAGAAGGTCATGATAAGGAAGTAGCATGTGGGGAGTTGCTGCAGTGCCAACAATATTGCAGTTTATGACTAAAGCATTGGTTACATGGTTCTCCATTCCATTAATACTTGTTTAACTGTGAATATAGATTTATGGTCTACTCTGAGTATAAACTTGAACATTTAAAAAGTTACACTTTGTATCTGCTTGCTACTGTTAATTTGAATGCAATTAATTTTTCATTTTTTTATCATGCAGTTTATAAACTTTCTTGTTGAATGTAATAATCTGTAGATTTGGGTTTTTTCAAACACAATATTATCTGAGAAAATGATATTTTTCTCCTTTTCTAGTTATTTATTTTTTTTGACTTATTGTACTGGCTTTAAAATTCAATATATTGTTAAATGGAAGTAATATGTCCCTGAACTTAAAAGGAACGTTTTTCATATTTTTCCATTAATTATGGTTTTTACTGTGGGGTTTGTGGTGGTATCTTTAATCTAATTAAATATTTCCTTCTAGCATTTTTTAAATCATTTTTAAGTTAAAAATGATGTTAAATTGTACTGAACATGTTTTCCATTCCTACTGAGCTCTTAATATCCAATATTTTATTTTTAATTCTTAAATCCAGTAAGGATATTCTCAGGTCTTTTGCTCCTTTTTATATTTCCTTATTTTTATCATATTTAATTGCTTCTTTTCTTTTTAAAACCTATCACTATACTTATTTCTATATTCTTATTCTAGTAATTCAAATATATGGAGTATTTTCAGGTTTAACTCCATAGTCTGATGCTCTTGCTGGCTTTCATATATGGCACGTTAGTCCATTTTGTGTTTAGTGATTTTTGAATTTGACTTCATAATTCTGGAGACTTTATCTTTGAAAATCCTTTCAAAGGATTTCCTTTCAAAGGATTGGGCTTTAGCTGAGTTTCTCCAGAAAATATTTTCATTTTCTTCTGCAAGCTATCAGGAAGTTCTACCAGCTCTGGATACTTTAAATTCTTGGATAAAGATTTTTCAAACTACCAATGTTGTAGGAATTTAGGCTGTAGATGCACGTAAGACCAATGTTTTGGCTACAAGTTTTCAAAGAAGACTTATTTTTTTGCCCCTGAACTCAATGCCAAAGATCAATTAGACATATTTCTTTGCATTATTCTGAAGGTGCAGAGGAAGGAAAGCAGATTTATTTCTAGTATATTCTTACTTTGAAGGTGTAGCTGCTGGGAACCCCAGCTTTATGTTGGGAGTATTTCCTATTAGACATACCAAATTGGATGACCCTTGTGCTTTGCCTATTCTCCCCCCAAGTCTTGAAAGAGTTGGAAAATCAAAGTTCAAGTTCACACATTTGTCAGATACTATCAGATTGAAAGCTATCTCTCAACGTATTTTTCCTCTGGGTCTTAGCTTACATTTATTTTATTTAAAAATATTTTTCCAGCATTTTTGTTGTCTTTTTTTCACTCAAAGGGTTGTTCAGGTTACTTAGTCAGCTAGGATGCCAGAGGCAATAACTTTAACTTTATGATTTCTGACCTCTCTTTCAACTTTGGAGTTGACACTATGTTTACTATATTAAAGATTTGTGGTTGGTAAGTGCTATATTTCTAAGAAGCAATAACTTGTGAGTGCAAGCAATATAATTGTTCGCTCATGAGAGGGTTTTGGGCCACACATTCCCACAGCTTATGCATCTATGTCCTTGCCCTAGGCTGTTCCATTTAACGTAGAGGGGATTTTTAGTTAAATGATAACTTTAGTTTAACTAAAATCCCATTTCCCAATCATTTCCTAGAATGCAGTAACAATGCCTTGATATTGTTGAAACTTATTTCTTTTAATAAAATATAGCCTTCCAAAATAATGTCAAAATTCATACAGTATAAGATGCATCCAGCTTTTAACTATACAAACCTCTTCTAAGAATTAAACACATTTCTTTTTAGTTAAATACACATTATCTTCCTCACAAGAATTTGGTCTTTTTGATTACAAACGTGTGTTAAATCATACTTTTGGTTTCTGTAATTACCATTCTTGTGATGATAATACCAACCTCACAAAGTTGTGAGAATTACATGAGTATATGTATATGAAAGGTTTTTGCAAATCATAAAGGAATACAAGGTTACCAAACATATTTTATAAAATGAAATGTTACATCTAAATTCTCATAGCAATTTAAAAAATCATAGGTGGATACATGTTTACTTTTCCTTCTAAATTGTAAGCTTAATAATGAAAGGAACAAACTGATTTAATCTCCTAAAATCCCTAGAATTTAGCACTGTGCCTGGCACATAGTAAACATTCAATCATAAAGAATATTTGTTTAGTTGATAATAAATGAGATATTTTTGATGTATCTCATGTCATTGAAATATTCATTTTTAAGGGATATTTATTTTACACTAGGGATTTTTTATGTCTTTTCTTCTTCTTCCATATTTTGTATCTGTTAATAGGTGTCTATAACAACTTTAAAATAATGGTCTCTTGGGGGACAAGAATTATGTTAAGATTATTTCCCCATGTGTCAAATGAGAGAGTTTGATTGGATAAGGTGAATTGTTTTTCCCAGATGTAAGATCCTCTGAGCTTTGATATTAAATGAAGTGTAGACATGTAATTTCTACACTGTAGTACTATCATGGTCAGCTTCTAGTTTAGAAAATGCATAACAGCAGATATGTAGGCAAAAGTATGCAAATATGCAATATTTGCAAGCATATGCAAATTTTCTTTTGCAATATTCATTTAATCCACTTTTCAAAATAGAACTATGCAAGGCCCTACCTCTGTACATAATCCTAATTGGGTTGCTTTATAAAGGCATAAACCATTGCTGCATCCTCCTTTTATCTTACCATCAAAACTTTTTTGCTTTGGTTATGGTCAATTTGGGGTCAATTTTTCTAATTTCCAAGGTGACAACTAGATAGCCCGATAAAATAATCCATGAGACAATGTGAATACATTTATGGAGGAGGAATTATAGTCAAGCATAATATATTATGATATCCTGAATTATTTAAATGTAATAAAATACAATATACTTATAATTGTTGTCTCACCAGAAAGAGTGCATTTATTATTAAGAATTTCAAAGTAGATTGTAATGAGGGTAGTGCATAGCAGACCTCAGAGTAAACAGAGATCTTGAGGTCAGCAGATTGTATGTAAATTTGATGAGTTTGTAAGTCTTCGTAAGGCTTTGGGGTATGTAAGGGATGTTTAAGGGAGCACCAACTATAAAAAAATAGTTTTTACATTGCTTGTATACCTTCAGCTTCCTTAATCTATTATTTAAACTAGTACTATGAACAATATTTGTGCTTAATAAATGGCTAATAAATACCATATGACTAAAAGTTGAACGTATTTCAAAATTAATATACTACTTGGGGAAATGAAAGAAAAGGAGCCTAATTTAATCTTTCCATTACAAATATTTCCTCACTCAGAAGGCATATTATTTTAATACATAGTCCAAAATTTATGAATGTTGTTAAATAACCTTCCATTTACTTTTTCATAACTAGAGACATTGTTTTTAAAGACTGTCCCCATTTTCTATAACTGTACATTAAAGGCAAGAAAGAAAAGAAAGTATTATATGTAAAGACACATTCTAAATATTCCTGACAAGATAACATTTTGTTGTCAACTTAGACTGTGAAACAAGTGGATAGAAATCAAAATCACTAACAAGAGGTAGTCTTTTGAGACTTCTATTGATGTCCATATTACCCACAAGGAGCGCATAAGTTATCTGTGGAAAGTACTGTGTGGCTATAGATTTAGGGATCTTACTCTTGCTATCAAACTCCCTTTAGGCAGTGAATCAAGGGAGTGTAAACTGAAAAACCTATAGATAAGGAATTTTGAGTACTTATTAATAATTTATCCATCCCTTCTGGCATTTAAATGACTATAAAAAGTTACTAATCTGTGGGCATGTCATGCTTTTTCTCTTCACATCAGTTTCTTGGTTTCTACTTGGTTTTCTTTCCTCACTTTTGCCTTTTGAAAATTAAGAATATAAGACATTATTACTTTAACATACCATCTGTTTTCACAAATCGTCACTTGGTAACAAATTATTTAGAATTTTACGATGTTAAAGAGATCAATCATGTGAGAACAGAAATCTCTATAGCATGATTTGATTGTAGACTACATTTTGAGCATGCTTTACAACATAAGCAGAATTTGTACATTAGCAACATTCATATTAAAAAATATTAAATTAGAAATTCTTAGCTGTATATTTTCATTCTCTAATGTCCCTTGCATTTGACTTCCATGAAGAAGCAGACATGGTATGAAAGAAATTGATATCACAAATATAGGAATACAAATAAGACTGGGGGTGGCAAATTGATAACACAAATCCAACTATCAACCTTCTTATACCAGTAACACGTATGACTAATTAAACAAAGCACATTCTGCCTTCTCCTCATCAAGATGTGGCATTTCAAGTAGTGCTCTAGAGACACTAGCTGCCCAACAGAGGTAGAATAAATCTAACATCATTTCTCATCACTGATCGAAAAAATGTTTGGGAAATAAAGATTCGGTTCAATTTATTCAACATTTTACAGATTTGGGTATTCAAAATGATAACTGAGGCAACGTAGAGATGAATTAATTCCACATTTTTGAGGCTTAACGTGTATCAATTGTTGATCTATATCCTGAATATACAAAGATAAATTAAGACAAGTTCCTTGCTGTCAGTATATAAGTCTATTAGGAGAGTCATACAAATAAACTATTTCGGTTCCAAGTAATATACCATAAAAATAATGTGAAAAAATGCTGTAGGAACATAGAGAAAGAGGGAAGAGCTCTGTTATTGCCCAGAGTACCTGAGGAAGACTTTTATTGAGAAACTAATAACGTTTGAATAGGTCTGGAAAGATGAGTAGAAAATGGAGTAGGAAGATACACAAGAACAAGACCACTCCAAGAAGAAATAATGACAGGACAAAAGTAAGATTATAATGGGGTATGTTTTGATTTGAGAAAGGTGAATCATTTGGTGAGGCTGCATGGAAGAAAAGGAGAACAATATAAAGATTACAGGTTATGAGAGGGCCATGTATAAGTTTTATCCTTTAGGCAGTGAGGAGAAAGTAAAGACTTTAAGCAAAAGGAGGTATATGGTAATTTAGTTAACAGTGTGACAGATAAAATAGAAAAACGATATTTTTATTTTGAGATGGAGTCTCACTATGTTGCCCACTATGTTGCTGGAGTGCAGTGGTGCCATCTTGGCTCACTGCAACCTCTGCCTCCCAGGTTGAAGTGACTCTCGTGCCTCAGCCTCCCAAGTAGTTGGGACTACAGGAGCGTGCCACCACGGCTGGCTAATTTGAAAATGTCATTCTGATGGCAGAAATATCACTTAGAATAATGATCCTCAAAGTAAATTAAGCACACTCTAGGGAACCTTAGGTAATCCATTGGAATATGAAAAGAAAATATTAGAACATTTACTTTTATTTGAAAATAAGAAAGAGAATAAATTTAACTTTAATGTATGGATTGACAGACAAATTTAAATACTCTTATAATGGGGTTGTATATGCAAACATTTTAAAAAAGAAAACAAATACAGCTGTGCCCTTTTTCAAAAAAATATTTTATTTTATTTTTATTTTTGAGATGGAGTTTCACTCTGTCGCCCAGGCTGGAGGGCAGTGGCATGATTTCAACTCACTGCAACCTCCGCCTCCCAGGTTCAAGCAATTCTCCTGCCTCAGCCTCACAAGTAGCTGGGATTACAGTCACCCACCACCACACCTGGCTAATTTTTTGTAGAGACAGGGTTTCACCATGTTGGCCAGGCTGGTCTCGAACTCCTGACTTCAAGTGGTCCACCTGCCTTGGCCTCCCAAAGTGCTGGAATTACAGGCATGAGCCACCATGCCCAGCCAGCTGTGCCCTTTTAAAGCTACTCTCTGCCCTTCTCTGTCCTGACCATAGCCTAGAGAGGATGACTTCTATGGTCTACTTCAACCAAGTTCCCATCCTCTCTTGCTCTCAGATTCAACCAGTGGATTGTAACGGTAACAGACTGAAGTGTGAGAAGACAGAGAATTTGGAGAATATATTACCCTTTCTCCTGACTAATATGAGATTTGTTAGTGAATGATTTATTCTATTAAGACAGCAGCTTGGCCAGGTGCAATGGCTCACACCTGTAGTCCCAGCACTTTGGGAGGTCAAGGTGGGAGGATTGCTTGAGCCCAGGGGTTTGAGACCAGCTTGGCCTACATGGCGAAACACTGTCTTCAAAAAATACAAAAAGTAGCCAGGCCTAGTGGTGCGCACCTATAGTCCTTGCTACTCAGGAGGCTGAGGTGGGAGGATCACTTGATCCAGAGAGGTCAAGGCTGCAGTGAGCTATGGGCGTGCCACTGCACTACAGTCTGGGCAACAGATCAAGACTCTGTCAAAAAAAAAAAAAAAAAAGACAGCAGCTCTTACTGGGGAGAGCAAAAGAGGGGAAGAAAGGAGAAGACAGGCCAGACACGGTGGCTCATGCCTGTAATCCCAGCACTTTGCGAGGCTGAGGCGAGTGGATCACTTGAGGTCAGGAGTTCGAGACCAGCCTGGCCAACATAGTGAAACCCCCGTCTCTACTAAAAATACAAAAACTAGCTGGGCGTGGTGGCACATGCCTGGAGTCCCAGCTACTCAGGAGGCTGAGGTAGGAGAATCGCTTGAACCTGGTAGGCGGAGGTTGCAGTGAGCCGAGATCACAACATTGCACTCCAGCCTGGGCAAGAAGAGCGAAACTCCGTCAAAAAAAAAAAAAAAAAAAAAGAAAGAAAGAAAAGAAAAGAAAGAAAAAGAAAGGAGAAGACAGCAGAGAAGAGAAGAGAAAAGAAGAAAAGAGAAGAAAAAATGAAGAAAAACATTGAGGAGGAGGATGGATTAAAGCTGTACGTCTTCACTCAGAGACACCACATACATATGGGAGGAACAGTTAAGGGCAATCATACTACAATAAGCAGCTACAGCCAGGGAAGCAAACTTCCAAAAAATAAGAGGAGACACTTCCCAATTCATGTAATGACATCAGTATTAGCCTGATACTAAAATGAGAAAAAGACTATATAATAGAATACCACAGACCAATATAACTCATAAATGTACATTCAAAAATTCTAAACAAAATATCAGCAAGTCACATCCAACAAAGTATAAAAAGAAGTATATACCCTGACAAAGTGGAATTTATTCTAAGTGTGGAAGGCTGATTCAACATTCAAAAATCAGTGGAATCCATCATAAGAACAGGCTAAAAAAGAAAAATTATATGATCGTATCAAATGAGGAAGAAAAATCATTTCACAAAATCCACCACCTATTCATATTAAAAACACTAAGCAAGTTAGGAATGGAGGATATTTCCTCGACTTGTTAAAGAGAAGCTACAAAAACCTTTAACTAGCCTCATGTTTAGTGGTGAAAGACTGAATGCTTTCCCCCTAAGATCAGGTACAAGGCAAAACTGCTCTCATTATTCCTATTCAACATAGTACTGGGAATTCTAATAAGGGCAATAAAGCAAGAAAAAGAAAAGGAAGTAAAAGGCATACAGATTGAAAAGTAAGAAATAAAACTGCCCTTATTAGCAGATGACATGATTGTTTACATAGATAATCTGAAGGAATTTACAAAAACTCTCCTAGCACTAGTAAATGAGTTAGTTTAGCAAAATTCTTAACAACATTGAAGTGAAGAAATATACTACTAGATTAACCTTTTGACCAAAAAGTAAATAAGAAGGGAACTTATTATTTATAAAACAATGTAGGCAGAGCACTTCATATCAAAATATATAAACAGCAAAAACTCTACTTATATATCTTTATTGTTGAAGAAGAATGCTTAGAAATAAATAAAAAATAGCCATATTAAGAAATTAAAGCCATAATTAGAAAAGCCAAATATATTAAATATGAAAATGATGGATGTTTTCCCAGTAATAAGGCAGAATAAAAATGCAGAAATTTTTATTAATTAAATAACTAAAAGGTATTATAAAGGATAAGCATGAGAAAGACTGCTAGTTTTTCCCCAATGCCCATTGACCTCTTTCTTTTTTGAAGTAATAGAATCATTAATGCCTGCCTGATTTATTTATTTTTCTTTTCTCATTTGTTTGAGACAAGGTCTCACTCTGTCGCTCAGCCTGGAGTACAGTGGCATGCACATGGCTCACTGCATCCTCGACCTCCTGGGTGTAGACAATCCTCCCACCGCAGCCTCCCTAGCAGCTGGAACTACAGGCATGCACCACCATGCCCAGCTAAATTTTTTGGTACTTTTGTAGAGATGGAGTTTCACCATGTTGCCCAGGCTGGTCTCGGACTCCTGGGCAATCCACCCATCTTGGCCTCCCAAAGTGGTGAGATCACAGGTGTGAGCCACCGCACCCAGCCTCTTGCCTGGTTTAAAGCTGACATGACCAGTAAAGTTCTTTATTCTTCTGTCTGAGGTGCAGATGTGATGGCTAGATCTCAACAGTCATTATGGACCACGAGTCAGAAGATGCATATTGATTTTAATGGAGTTACAGGATAGAAAGTTTTGGAATATATGCAGATTATAGACCCTTAAATTATTCATTTCCAGAATTTGTTTATATGAGTGAAAAATAGCCTTCCATGTAAGTGGTGTCTCCAAAGGACAGCTTTAGCAGAATATAAGACTGACATTCTTCCAAAAAAAAATAAAAATAAAAGGCTGAGAACCTCTAATTAAGGGGAGGATTAAGAGCTTTTTCTTCTCATCAAAGTCTACAGTTTCAGATGGCCACAAGGAGCTGCTATTAGGCTGAGGGACAGGAGTTTGGTAGAATGTAGAGGCTAGTAAATAAAAGACTGGAGTCTCAAGGCTTAAATACATGTCTAAATATGGAACTGGCCTGAAACAAATAGGCCAGAAACCAATTAAGTTTTTAAAGTAAATTTTTTACCATAAAAATCCCAAAGAATACAAACAAACCCAAAATACAAACCAAGACTGAAAAATCCTGTGACTGTTTAACCCATAAAGCAATCCTCAGGCCTCTAAAACTACACAGCAAGAAGCTAGTTGCAAAATCTCTGCAGCTATGCTTCAAATATGGCCACATGGGGCAAAAAGAAGCACCACAGAGAAATACAGAAAAAAACATCATCCTAGAAAACACAACCAGAGCAACTTCCAGTCAACTTACTGCATTGCTATAGTATAGAATTCAATAATGGTTTGATAATGGCTAAAAATCAGTGATTATTATCTGTATTTCCTATTTTCCCTTTTTTGAATGGGAAATTCTTCTTGGTTGTTCTATTAATACTTCATCATTTAATATTAAATAACCATGGGTCTGACAACATGTCTGGAAAACCAGTACCATATATAAATCTGAATGACAAGATGACCAATCACCCACAGAGCACAGATTTTGAGACATAGTAACTATACGGTACAGTGGGGTTTGTTTCCTTGGGAACAGATATATATGATTCCATATGGGAAAAAGCTATTCATGGATACTTGGGTTCCCAGACTGCTAGTTGTTCCCCAAGTTTACCCATTCTCAATTTTTTAATGTAATAATATAACTTCTTATGTTTAATAGGACATATGGCTGCCCAGAATAAAGACTACATTTTCCAGTTTGCTTTGCAGCCAAGTGTGCCTATGTAACAAAGTTCTGGTCAATGGGATATATATGGAAATGGTTTGTTCCAATTAGGACAGGATCACTCCTATTTCAATTAGAACCAAGAAGAAGTATGTTCTGTCTCCCTCATTCTTTCTCTTAAATGGAATGTGGATGGGATGAATGGCGTAATTAATCCATTGTAAAGGTTGTCAACGTTGATTGTCATGAGGTACAAATATAGAGGAAGGCTGGATCCACCCAGATGCCTACCAGCCTTGGAATTTTAGCTCCATATATATTTTTTAATATAACAGAAAAGTAAATGCTTATCTTTGGGGAACTCTGATGTGCATTCCAAATGTTCCCATAATTTTTCCTCTCTGGTGCACTTCATTCCTTTCTGCATTATTATACTTCCTTTTGGAAGAGTTTTCCTTCTGCCTAAATAATAATATTTAGTATATCTTTTAATGTAGGTTTGTTAACCTCCCCTCAACTCCCAGAAATCTTAAATTGTCTTTGAAAATTATTTTATTTCTTTTTTTGAAGGAAAGTTTAGCAGGTTATACAATTTATATTTAGCTGCTATCTTCTTTCAGGACTTCAGATAGCTCACTATTTTCTTCCTACTACCATTTTTCTGTTTCTGTTGTAAAGTAAGCTGTCAGTCTTGTTGATGTTCTTCTAAAAATAATTATTTTCAGTGTCTCCCTTTAAGATTAAACATGATGCATAGGTGTGGTATTTTTGTACTTTTTTCTGCTTTGGATTTATAGATATAGAAACTGAGATGTCTTATCCTTCGTCCCTTTGGGGATATTTTTGCCAATAACTCCTCAAATATTTCTTTTGCCTCATTTTTTATCACACTTTTCCTTTGAGACTCTATATACACATGTATGGGGTGGGGGGAGATAGAGATATGATTGGGCTACATATATGTGTGTGTATATATATATATATTCCTTATACTTTTATCTCATATATAGTCCTTACATTCTTATTTATTTTATATCCTTTTTCTCTTGCTTCAGTCTGAATATTTTCTAACTTATCTTTATTTAGTGAATGACCTCCTCTGCTGTGTCTAATCTTCTCTTAATCACACACACTTTATTCTTAATTTCAGTTTTGTTATTTTCTAATTTCCATTTGATTTAATTTGGTAAAAGTATCCATCTTTGAATCCATTTTTGTACATACTAATCCTATTTATTTTAAAGGTAGTGTCTAAAAACTCTACTAACTATATCACCTGTCAATTTATCTTATTTTAAATATATGATCTCTTAATTTCCAGTCCTTTAGTCCTATCTTTTCACATATCTGGCAGTTGTTTTTAATTAATATAATTCATATTTTTCCTTGGTTCAGACAGCTAAAATATAGATATTTTAAGTATATATATATAAAGTACATATATAAATACAAAGTATATATAAATATATATTATATATACTTTATTTTTAGAGCAGTTTTAGATTTACAGAAAAATTGAGCAGAAAGTAGAGTTCCCGTATATCCATTCTCCCTCAACAGTTTTCCCTGCTATTAATATCTTACAAACTTTGTACAGGGGCAGCAGCGATGTTATACTATCACTTGACTAAATGCATCACCTGATCACACACACACACACACACACCATAAACACCAATATTATTTATGCAAAAACATAAGTAAAATATTAGCAAATTAAATAGTACATTAATACATTGTGACAGAGATTGTTTAATGGATGCAAAAATAGTTTAACACTGAAAATCTGTAAAATATATTCAATAAACAAATCTACCAAGAAAATTTATGGTGATCAAGAAATTGACCAACCCAAAGAAATCTACAGATTCAGTGCAATTGCTATCAAAATACCAATGACATTCTTTGCAGAAATAGAAAAAAATTCTTAAAATTTATATGGAACCACAAAAGACCCAGAATATCCAAAGCTATCCTAGGCAAAAATAACAAAACTGGAGGAATCACACTACCTGACTTAAAATTATACTACAGAGATATAGTAACCAACACGGCATGGTACTGGCATGGGTACCATGCCACCATTGGAGTGAGAGTCTTTGGCAGAATTCCCTTCTAACAAAAAGCAACCCAATAAGTCATTTCTCTTTCAGCAAAGAGCGGCCTGAAAGATCAGGCTGCAAACACAGATAAGGAAGGCAAGTTCTAACACAGAAAGGGACCTCCTGTGTAGACGAACGGAGAAGAATGGAGAACCAACGTATCCACACACCTACAGTGAGCTCCTTTTCAACAAAGGTGACAAGAACATACACTGGGGAAGACAGTCTTTTCAATAAATGGTGCTAGGAAAACTGGATATCCATATGTGGAAGAATGAAACTAGACTTCTGCCTTTCACCATATACAAAAATCAAATCAAAATGGATTAAAGACTTAAATCTAAGACTTCAACTATGAAACTCCTACAAGAAAACTTTGGGAAAAATCTCTGGGACATTGGTTTGGGCAAAAATTTCTAGACCAATACCCCACAGGCACAGGCAACCAAAGCAAAAATGGACAAATGGGATCACATCAAGTTAAAAAGCTGCTGCACAGCAAAGGAAACAATCAACAAAGTGAAGATACAATACACAGAATGGGAAAAATATCTGCAAACCACCCATCTGACAAAGGATTAATTACCAGAAGACATAAGGAGCTCAAACAACTCTATAGGGAAAAAATTCTAATAATCTGATAAAAAATGGGCAAAAGATTTGAATAGACACTTCTCAAAAGAAGACATACAAATGGCAAACAGCCATATGAAAAGGTGATCAACATAATTGATCATCAGAGAAATGCAAATCAAAACTACAATGAGATATCATCTCACCCCAGTTAAAATGGCTTATAGCCAAAAGACAGGCAATAACAACTGCTGGTGAGGATACGGAGAAAAGAGAACCCTTCTACACTGTTGGCAGGAATGTAAATTAGTACAACAACCATAGAGAACAGTTTGGAGGTTCCTCAAAAAACTAAAAATAGAGCTACCATAAGATCCAGTAATTTCACTGCAGAATATATACCCAAAAGAAAGGAAATCAGTATATCGAAGAGGTATCTGTACTCCCATGTTTGTTGCAGCACTGTTCAGAATAACCAAGATTTGGAAGTGAAACTGGCCTCGTTGTCTGGGGTGTCATCACCCGAAGTTCTTAGTCTCACAGCCCAAGATATCAAGGATGAGGACACTCCAAGGGTGAGGTTAGAGCAGAAGTTTAATAAGCAAAAGGACCAAAGCTCTCTGGTGCACAGAGGGGTCCTGGAAAAATGGGTTGCTGTTTTACAGTGAAATGCAAGGGTTTTTATAAATGAGCTGGTGGAGAGGGGTGATTCATTTACATAAGGCACGAAAAACCGGTCAGGACTAGGTGTGTCATTTGCGTAAGTCATGAATTTCTGACTGTCCCCACCCCAACCTTTCTAGTGCACATGTGGGCTCTTTAGCATAAGTTACTCCATGTTGCTTATCTCTTCCTACTGCACACGTGTAAAAGGGCAGGGCAGAACCCTGGAAGGTGGACGTGCCTGGTCCAGGGCAGTTCTTCTTTTCAGTGCTGTTGCAGGCACCCCCTACCTTTTGCAAGCTTCCTTGTCTGAGTATATCCAAGAAGGGAGAGGAATATGCTCAATGGGGCCCACTGTATGTCAGCAAAACTTGCTGATTACATGGGAGGTCCCTTTGTTTGTTAGAACTTGCCTTCCTTATCTGTGTTTGCAGCCTGATCTTTCAGGCTGCTCTTTGCTGAAAGAGAAATGACTTATTGGTCTTTTTGTTAGAAGGGAATTCTGCCAAAGACTCTCACCCTAACTATCTGCCTAATTGATTCTTTCTTTCTTTCTCCTCTCTCAGAAGCAACCTAAGTGTACATCAACATATGAATGGATAAAGAAAATGTAGTGCATATACACAATGGAGTACTATTCAGCTATAAAAAAGAATGAGATCCTGTCATTTGCAACAACACGGATGAAACTGGAGATCACCATATTAAGTGAAATAAGCCAGGCACAGAAAGACCAACATCACATGTTCTCACTTAATTGTGGGATCTAAAATTCAACACAACTGATCTCATGGACATAGAGAGGATAAGGATGGTTACCAGAGGCTGGGAAGGGGAGTAGGGGTATTGGGGGAATAGGGGTTTGGGGGAAGCTGGGCATGGTTAATGGGTATAAAAAATAGAAAGAATGAATAAGACCTATTATTTGATAACACAGAGGGTGACTATAGTCAATAATAAGTTAATTGTACATTTTAAAATAACTAAGAATGTAATTGGATTTTTTGTAATATTAAGTGTAAATGCTTGAGGAGATGGATACCCCATTCTCCATGATGCGAGTTATTACACATTGCATGCCTGTATCAAAACATCTAATGTACTCTACAAACATATACACCTACCATGTACCCATAGAAATTAAAAAATTTAAAAACTTAAAAAAAACAAATTTTACAAGTAGCTCAGTGTAGACAGAAAATTTCTTAGCTTGATAAAAACTACTTAGCAGAAACTTAACAACAGACATCATAATAATGGTGAAATATTATTATCATTACTTAATTGGAAAAACAAATGGTTAAATTTGAAGAAAAATAAAACAATTACTAAAAACCCTTATTGAAGGAAATAAATAGACTTTAATTGTTGGAGAGATACACTATGATCTTCAATGGTAAGACTCGGCCTTGATAAAGCATCATGTCTCTCCAAACTTATCAAACAATTAAATGAAGAATATTGAACAAGAACAGCTTAAAAATGAGGGAAACTTTATTAGATATCAAAACAGTCATTCAGTCTTTTATTCATTGATTTATTCACTCACAAAATATTCACTGCATGCCTACATTCTATCAGATACTGTATATATTGGGAATTCTATCCTGAGTAAAATCACAATTCTTGTCCTTACAAAGCATATTTACTATCTATTTTGGGCATATATTAATTTATAAAAACTTATAAGAAGAGAGGCCAGGCATGGTGGCTCATGCCTGTAATCCCAGCACTTTGGGAGGCCAAGGCTGGCAGATCATGAGGTCAAGAGATTGAGACCATCCTGGCCAATATGGTGAAACCCCGCCTCTACTGAAAAACAAAAATTAGCTGGACGTGGTGGCGTGCACCTGTAGTTCCAGCTACTCAGGAGGCTGAGGCAGGAGAATTGCTTGAACCTGGGAGGCGGAGGTTGCAGTGAGCCGAGATCACACCACTGCACTCCAGCCTGGGCAACAGAGCGAGACCCCATCTCAAAAAAATAAAAAAATGAAAAAATCTTATAAAAATAAATCATAATCTGTGCTACATTGCTGAGGTAGTTGGAATTAAGAGAGCTTATTATAGAGGACTTTGGATCTTGATATATGGGTCCAAGAGGAAGTATTAATGGAGCTAAAATCTGAAGTTCATTTTAGACCCTGGTATTAGCAGCACATGGATGACAAATTAATCAATGAAAGAGAGGGGATATTTCACATTGGTGGATAGAGTATACATGGTATGAGACCACATATGAAGACCAGGCCCTTCATTTGAATAAAGAATATTATATCTCTACTTCACATCATTTACTTTATAAGTTAAATACTTTGTAGATTAAAGGTCTAAATATGAAAACAAAACTTTGAAATTACTAGAAAATATAAAAGATTGGGGTTCTTTCTAATTTAGCATGAGAAATGAATTGTTAAATTAGAAAATGTTTCAGAAAACATAAAAGAGAATTTAAGAAAGATTACTACCTAAATTTAAACAGATTTTTATGCTAAAAGATCACAAGTAAAAATAAACTACAAAATAGCAGGAATATTTATACATCTTACAAAAGGGCATTTATCAAAACGAGTTAGCATTGTTTGTAATATCAAAAATGGGGTAAAATAATGGATTTTTAGCATATAAAATGCAATACTGTACTATGTACTAGTTACAAGAACAGACCCAGCTGTTTGTCTATTATATATTAAGTAATTTTTTTAAAAAAGTTACTTGTAGAACTACATATATAGTTTGCATAGGTAGGTAACTAGGTAGATAGGTAGATAGACACATATATACATATGTAAATACATAGATGAAGGAAGAGAGAGGCAATGTACTAATCACACATAAACACATATATGTAAGAGATAGAGAATAGCTTTGTTCCTAACATTATATGGATGAATCAAAGATGTGTGAATGGAATCATTAATGGAACTTATCATTTAAAGAAAGTATGTGGTGAGTCATTATATGACTCACTAAAAGGTGAATGCAAACAGCCACATTTTAAAATATAGATAATTACATATAATCACTATTTTGTCACTTTGGGTTTTGAAGAAGCTACCTGTTTGCTTCTGCATTCTAATAAAAGTAGATGCTCTTAATTTAGTGATTCAGAAGCTTATGGTCTTGGTTGCATTCCAGCTAATATGTTTCATAAGCACTGACTCAGCTGTTGAAATAACTGTGGTATTTAAGTTGATGATGACATAACCCTCAATATCAGGTGTTTCCCATGAAGTGTTTCCATTTATGGAATTCATTTTCCCCCTGAATTGGTGAAAACCAAATCTATTTTAAAACTTGTAGCTTCCAAATGAATCCTATTAATCAGTGATGTGGGTGTGTGATGAATCAAATCGTTAAAGAGTACTACTTTATAATTTAAAGTTGGTTGATGTGGTAAGCTGAATAATGAGAGATATCAGTTCCTTATCTCTGGATATAGGAAAAAGGAGTCTTTGCAGATGTAATTAAGTTAAGGATGTGGAGATGAGGAGATTATCCTGGTTTACCCAGGTCGAATCTAAATACAATCACAAATATCCTTTTAAGGGACATTAAGCAGAGAGATACTTGTCACAGACTGAAGAGAAGAAACAGTGTTATAACAGAGGCAGAGATTGGAATGATATAGCCACAAGTCCAGAAATGCCCAAGGAATGCCCCTGGCCACCAGAAGCTGTAAGAGGCAAGGAACAGATTCTCTTGTAGACTCTCTAGAAAGAGTGTGACCCAGTCAACACTTTGATGTCTGCCCAGTGATACTGATTTTAGACTTCTGGCCTCCAGAATTGTAAGAGAATAAATTTCTGTAGTTTTAAGCCACCAAGTTTGTGGTAATTTATTATGGCAGCCATAGAAAATTAATACAGTTGATATAATAAATTTTTATGCATCCACACAGGGAATCAGGTACGTTTATTCTAGAAAATTGATGAGACACTTCTGAAAGTAAAAAATAAAATAAAAGCATGTTTAATACAGATTGTTTTGTTGGAAATGGCAATAAGCTTTTTTTTCAACTTATATTTCTAAGACACAAGTTTTTACTCAGCCTGTAGTGCTGTGGATTTGACTCCCATTTGAAGAGTGCCTTACCTCCCTGTAGACTATGTGGGTTACAAATAAACCCCTGCACCATTTTCTGAGAGAAAATGAGATCTGGTAGTTTGAAAGAAAAGGATATAAACAATGATTCTATGATTCATATAGCAGATGTCTAGGAGTTTGTCTTATGTAAGCTCTCTTAGATTTGACTTAGATTCACCTGAAAGTTATTGGGTTTAAAGGTCTGTCTACCTCTTAGAACAGAGTTAAATAAAAATAAGTTGCTTTACTTCATTAGATGATATCTGACCATTGCCTGTTAATAACCATCTGCAAGGAGCTTTTGGTGTGACTCAATTATTCTAGGTTTGTTACATGACAATTACACACTTCATCCGTGAATTAGGGGTGATATAATAGAGGTATGCTTTTCTCCCTGTTAGCAGCAAGGTGAATTGCAGAAAATCAAGTCCAGTATAAATGAATGTTCTAACCTTGGATGTGAGAGAGAAAAGATGATAAGGTGCTAATAGTTAAATGGAAGTAGCAGATAGGGTCTTCTATTGACTGAAAAATATCACAAGTTGGAAGGAGAAGTCATGAATGGATACAGAGGATGAACGGTTCACAGGGTGAATGGCAAATACCAGGTTTATCTTCTAAGAGATTTAATACATTTTGTGCAAAGGGCTAACTTGTTTCCCTGGTAAAGTCATAGGTAGCAATGTAGTTCAGAATATTGGAAATAAGAATCCAAGGAAAAAAAATCAGTATTATCTTTCAAAAATATATAATGGGCACTCTATGCATATTAAATTAATTAAAACTACTATACCTTATTCTTGTCAGTTTTGTAATTATTTCTGGAAAAATCTTTTCTAATTCCTCTATCTTCATAGTCTGCAGCATATATAAACTACTTTATCATTCCTGTTTCCTCTTTTTATCATTGGCGCAATGTTTCCTCAGTGTAGTTCTTTGAAATGACTGCATATCGTGCAGTTTTTATAAAATAAATTAAAATTATAAATTATTAGTTACTATTATTTTTGACTTTACCAAGTGAAAGTCTTCTACTAATTCATCTCTATTCCTGTGCTAGTCTCCCCTTCATCACTGAATTTGTAGTATTTAATGAAAGTTGACAAAAATCTTACATTTTAGTATTTTAAACCTTAAAACTGTTAATATTCCAATCGTGACTGGATCATTTAGTGGGAGCAACAGGTTCTAATTGATCAACTGTGTACATACCAATATCGTGAGCACTCTTAAATTACATAATCATTTGAACCACTGTAATAGCCAGCACACATACCACATTAAAGTTTTAGGTGTGATAACATATGTGTTGCCTTAGAAATCTAGGAGAACAATCATGTCTTAGTTACCTATTGCGCCTTTGAAATTTTCCCCAAACACAGTGACTTGAAAATGACAATATTTATTATCTCCTACTTTTGTGTGTCAGGAATCCAGGAACCACTTAGTTGGGTCCTCCAGCTCAGACTCTCACATGGCTGCAATTAAGGTTCAGCTGGGGCCATAGTCTCTCAAGAGCAGAATCCACTTCCAAGCTGAATCAGTAGTCGTTTGCATGATTAATTTCCTTGCAGGCTGTTGAACTGATGGTCTCAATTCCTTGCAGGATATTGGTCAGAGACCACCCTCAGTTCCTTGCCACATATTCTTTTCTACAGTACAGCTCACAAGATGGCAGCTTGCTTTCTCAAAGTGAGCAAGTGAAAGAGAAGTGAGAGTGTCAGCAAGACAGAAGTCAGTTTTGTAACCTAAGTTTAGAAGTCACATGCCATTGTTTTTGCTGTTCTCTATTTGTCATAATAACTAGGTTCAGTTCATACCAAAGGGAAAAAGTTAGACAAAAGTGAAAATTCTAGGAGATGAGAGAGGAGCCATTTTAGAAGGCAGCCTACCAAAGATATGCATTCCTCTTTTTCAGTTGAATAACAATGTAGGTTGGTCCATTTATCACAATTTGATATGAAGTACTTTGCCCCTCAAATTATTCAGTTGCAAGCTAGTTGTTATTTGAGGATATATGTGTAGACATTCCTCTGATTTAAAAAGAGACATTTTTATGTTATTTCAGTACAAATCACCACATAAAAAGCTTATCATTCTAACAAATACTACTTCTCTACCTCTTAGTCCACGTGTGCTACTCTAAACAAAATACCTGAGATTGGATAATTTATAAACAACAGACATTTATTTCTCACAGGTCTGGAGGCGGGAAGTCCAAGATCAAGGCTCTGGAAGGTTTGGTGTCTGGTGAGGGGCCAGTCTCTGCTTCTAAGATGGCACCATTTTTGCTGCGTCCTCCAGAGAAGATGAATGTTGTCCACATTGTGGAAGAGATGGAAGGGCAAAAGTGATGGAAGGGGCAAACTCTGTCCCTCAAACCCTTTTATAAGGGCTCTAATCCCATCCATGTGGGTAGAGCTTTTATGGCCTAAGCATCTCCTAAAGGTCCCACCTCATAATACTGTTGCCTTTGGGATTAAGTTTCAACATGAATTTTGGAGAAGACACAAACATTCAAACCATAGCAACCTCCCTTCTACCAAATCTGTTTCTTTCACTTTATTCTTGTATTACATATTCTACTGGTAAATCATATTATACCAAACTTGATCTAACATGATACAATTTTACTATGTGTCATAATTTCAAGTTAGTTTTAAAGTGATTCTACAAATGTGGTTTTGATAACCTTACCAAGCAAGTATACACATATACATCAGCGTAACTGAGTCTACTCTCATGCTATTTAAATTTGTAAAACACAGGGCCTACGTCCTGAAACGTCTTTCTTGCTTTATTTTTCTAGATAGCACTTTGCACTATCCGATATATAGAATGTTTTACTTGTGGAGTTATTCACCAGCTGTTTCCTCTAATAGAATATAAATTCCACGAAGAAAAATAGTTTTATTGGTATCTTTAATGCTAGAACAGGATTCGGCACACAACTGGAAC
Source organism: Homo sapiens (assembly GCF_000001405.40). Lineage (NCBI taxonomy): Eukaryota > Metazoa > Chordata > Mammalia > Primates > Hominidae > Homo > Homo sapiens. Next base: position 28,185,329 of record NC_000023.11, on the reverse strand, counting down.
TGAAGAAATATTCAATGAAGAAATGAACTGATGAAGGTCTACATATATCATGTGTGAAATAAAAAAAAAAAATATATATATATATATAGGTGTCTGCCCCTCAGTTCCTGACACAGATCTTCTAAAACTCTTGTAATTTCCTAAGCAATAGGAATGCTACGATCATCTTTTGTTTTACTATTTGGTTTTTGACCCTGGTTCCTGAGGCACAAAAAGAGAGCTCCTGGATCCACTGGAATTTCCTAGGTGATAGGAGGATCTTTTGTTCTAATGACACATTCTTGGTGAGATCCTGGATGGGGATGGTCACCAGAAAAACCAATCCATGATTAGAAGCTTGGAACTTTCAGCCCTACTCCCTATTCTTCTGGGAGGTGAGAGGAGTTGGAGACTAAGTTAATAATTGATCATGTCTATCTGATGAAATCACCATAAAAATCTCAAAAGTATAGTGGCTCATAGAGCTTCTGGGGTGGTGAACGCATTCATGTGCCAGAGGTGTGGCACATCCCAACTCTACAGGAACAGAAGCTCTTGCACTCGGGACCCTTCCAACCTCTTTCTCTTGCTGTGTATCTGTATCTTTTGTAATATCCTTTCTAATAAATCAGTAAACACAAGTAAGTGTTTCCCTGAGTTCTGTGAGCCATTCTAGCAAATGACTGAATCTGAGAAGCGGATTGTGGGAACACCAATTTGTAGCCAAGTTGGACAGAAGTTGAGGACCCACCATTTGTGACTGGTATTTGAAGTGGGGGCAAGTCCCATGGGACTGAGTCCTTAACCTGTGGGGTCTACGCTAACTTCAGGTAGATAATGTCAGAATTGAATGAAATTATATGACATCAATTGGTGTCTGCAAATAATTAGAGAACTACTTGATATGTGAAATTAAAAAAAAAGCCTCACACATCTAGTGTCCAAATTGAAGTGTTCTGTGTTGAGTGTGAGTACAGAGAAAAAAAGTTTGATTTTCCTGTACACCATGACACTACGTGTTGAGCCTCCAAGATAATTCTTTCTAGGCCTCTGCTAGTTTTATATCAGCCTCCCAAAATATGTTAAAAATTATTTATTTATATAATTTACTATAAACAAGGTAACCTTCTTTCCAGGAATTTTAATATGTCTCATTAAGGAATCTTATGTCTCAGTTTCCTCACTTTCTAAGTAAACATAGAATTTTTCCTTCAGAAAATGTTTTAGCCAACTGCTAAACTTTCTGGAACAAGGCCAGTTAAATAAATCATAAACAAAACAAGTAAATAATTTTATTAAGCTTAAGGAGAAGGTACATTTAATATTCACATTATTCCATATTTTAAGATTATCTTTGTGCTGCTTTTCTTTTGCTAAATGTATATAATTTTAAAACAGATGTGACAATCTATGAACAGAAATCAAAGAGGGGCTGTCAGAAGGGTAAATAATTCACAAAACTAAAAGATATCTAAGCCTTTATTCATATGAAATATTTTTAGACTATTTATGAAGTTATTTTTCATTTAGGCACAAAGTTTTACCTCTTGAGAGTGTTTCTCCCTGAATACTTTTGTCTTATTGTTTTAGTGACCTTGACTATAGATTCTCTATTACATCCCATTGACATGACTGACTACAGGAATAATGTATTTTCCAATCCAATCATTTTCTCTAATGCCAAGTTAAATGCTTTAATTAAAAAGTTAAACCAAAATATTAGAAAACATAATTCATATCAATCTCAATAATCATTAGTTGCAGGGATTTCTATTTCTACTTCACACTTATTTATACATTTTCTCAGAGTATGCCTTCATATCTCAATCCATTTTCTGGAAGAAAAGGATCTTTTGAGGGGATACTTATAGCTTCACAATTAGCATCAAACAACTTATTAGTTATTTACAGCTCTTGCTATTTAACTTTAGGTAACTATCTCAGGGGTCCCCACGTCCACCCTTGTGCTAGATTATTTGCTAGAGGACTCATAGGACTCAGAAGCATTTATATGCACAGTTATGGTGTATTATAGCAAAATGAAACAGATTAAAATCAGCAAAAGGAGAACTTCCATGGGGTGAAGTCCAGGAGAAACCAGGCACAAGCTTCCAAGTGTCCTTCCCAGGGGAGCTATGCAGGATGCACTTAATTCGCCCAACAATAATGTGGGACAACACATACCAATCAGGGAAGCTCCTCCAAGCTTTTTTGTCCAGGGTTTTTATTGGGGTCAATCATATAGGCATACATGACTGATGTCACCTACTCAGACTCCTGACCCCCAGAGCAAAAACAGCAAAAATAAATCACATCGTTAGCATAAACTACCTAGTCAGACTGGTACAGGCAGAACATTCCAAGAACTCAGAGCTCAGCTCCCAAGAGCCAGCCAAGGGCTGACCCTAAAATCTGGCCTTTCATGGGAATGTGTAGAGTTTGAGCAATCCAGACATGCAGACTTAACCCTTTCCTATACAGGAACACAACCTGTAGCTACCGCTTGAGAAAAAAAGGCTTCATGAAGAAAAATCCCCTAGATACTTAGTTCATTTCTTCTTTTAGGGCCCTATTTTCATTTTTCTTCAAACGTCGCAAAAAGAACAAAAAGGGGAAGGGCATTATCATTCAACCATATGAAGCCCCATCATTACCATTATTCTACAAATTGGAATAGTTAACTAACTTCCTTTAAAACAAGAGAGGTGAAATTACCTTCTTTCCCTGAGAGGAGCACTCATTTGTCAACTAAGTTGTATAATCACTAACGTAATTATATTTGTGCTTTTAGCAACCACTCTGTTATGGGAGGACACATTCAACTTTTTCTCATATTATCCATATTGAATAAATACCAGAAATTTAAAGTCAGTCATTTTGTGTATGTGTCATTTTCTTTGAATAAAATGTCAAACATTACAAAAGAGTAAACATTTTAAAAAATAGAAGTACTTCCTCTGCCTCTTATCCCATTCTTCAAAATTCACACTTGTAGCCATTAGAAATTAGTTTCATTATAATCATCATCATCACCACCACCACCAAAAACCTCCATGTAGTGGCTTAAATATCTAGGGATTTAATTACCTTTCATTGAAAAAAACACAGAGGTAGGCATCCCAGCGCTACTGTTGTTGACCTAGGATGCCATGAGAGACTCCAGCACATTGTTTTTGTTTTTGTTTTTGTTTTTTCCTTTGAGACGGAGTCTCGCTCTGTCGCCCAGGCTGGAGTGCAATGGCGCCATCTCGGCTTACAGCAACCTCCGCCTCCTGAGTTCAAGTGATTCTCTTGCCTCAGCCTCCTGAGTAGCTGGGATTACAGGCGCCCACCACCATGCCCACCTAATTTTTTTTTTTTTTTTTTTTTAGTAGTAGAGACAGGGTTTCACCAGGTTGGCCAGGCTGGTCTTGAACTCCTGACCTCAGGTGATCCACCTGCCTCGGCCTCCCAAAGTGCTAGGATGACAGGCGTGAACCACTGCGCCCAACCACACATTGCTTTTTCCCCTCACGCTAGCATGTTGGTTCTAGGCCTCATATTTGCTGCTTCATGGTCACCAGTTGGCTGCTATACCTCCAGTTTTCACCCTGCATTACAGGCAGGGTAAAAGAAGGGGAAGAGGCTGTAATGCTAGACTTTCGATAACACATCATTAGCCAGAGAGGTTTGACATGGTCAATCCTAGCTGGAAGACTGTCTGGGAAATCAGGTTCTTACCTTTTAGAGCCTCCACAGAAGAGGAAGATAGGGGAAAAGAGAGTTGAAAATAAATATCAGATAAGCCAACATATAATGCCAACTACAGAGTTTCAAGGTATACAAAATTATACACATGCAGATACATACATTTAAATATATAACTTATGCACTCAAATAATAGCACATAAGTTTATAACTTACTTTTTACCCTTTAAATATTTATTAGATATCTTTCCTTATCAGACACAAGCATATTTTCTTCATAGTTTGTGAAAGTGCAGATTATATGGCTATATCGTAAGTTATGTTAACTAGTTCCTGATTGATGGACATTTATATATTTAGATGTCAGTACTATTATCAGTGCACTGCAGTGAACATCCTAGAACATCTGCCCTTTTGCACTTGTGAGAGTATATCTTCAGGATAAATTCCTTGAAGTATAATTGCTGGATTAAAATGTATTCACACTTTAAATCTTCTTAATAGGAATTTAAAGAGATATAAAAATGGTTTTGCACTTATAATGGGAGGTAATATGTCCAGTTTTATGCTAGATACGAAGGGCTGATCATAGTGAAAAACTCAATAGCTTCTAGTAATACCTTGTGTAGTGAAAAATGAAATGCAAGTTTGTTTCAAAAGGGGTGTTTGTGAAATTCTGGAAGATGTAGGGATGATTTAAAGTGATAGGGAGAGTACAGTTTGCAGCAGCTTTTATATTTGTGAAAGATTTAGAAGATGTTAATATATCTCAGGTATTGGTTTCTTAGCTCCATTTTTTCCAGATCTTAATGTGTATACATATCACTTGTTAAAATCTGGGCTCTGATCCTGTAGGTCCAGAGTGTGGCCTGAGAGTCTGCATTTCTAACGAACTCCTGTGTGATGCTGATGTTACTGGGGACAAAGCTTTAGGCAATCTTCATGGATCAGAAACTGAGTTCTAAAGCAAGAATAGTACTAAGAACCAATGTTGATTTGTATAAGGTTGCACTCCTTTGGGAATCAGGTGGGGCCTCCAGCTACACACTCTTCATTGTGTCATTCACACAATGCCAATTTTGATCACTTTGATTGGTATCAACACCAGCATTAGGAGATAACACTGGTAAATGTGGCTTATATGTGTTCATATAACATAATAAGCATCTTGGGCCTAGGGTGAGATGCCATTAAAGTGGACCAAAGCAAGAAGGGGAAAACTTGGAAGACACTTTGTATTCACTGACAGAGCATTTGCATGATCTCACATAAAACAGCCCTTTGGCACTCCCATATAAAACGTGGAGTCAGGGGAGATGGTGGATTTTGTGTCAGGCCAGATGTTTCTAATTAGCTGAGTTCTCTGCTCAGGGTCTCACAAGGCTGCAATCACGGTGTCAGCTATGACTGTGGCTCATCACCAGATTGACTGAAAACCTGCTTCCAAGTTTTTCAAGTTGTTGGATAAGTTCATTTTCTTACAGCTGTAAGACTGAGGGCCCCAGCTTTTTGCTGGCTGTCAGCTGTTGGCTGCCCTTAGGTTCTAGAGACCTCCAGTAGTTTCTGGCCACATGGTCCTTACTATAGACCCTCTCACAACATGGCCGCTTACTTATTCAAAGCCAGCATTGGAGAGAGAGTCTTTAACCTCAGGGAGGGCCCAGTGGGATTTCTTCTCATTAAGACAGACCCACCCGGATAATCTTTCTTTTGATAGGTCAAAATCAATTGATTTAATTTATAATCCTTAATTATATCTACAAAATCCCTTCACTATGCCAGATAATGTAACCTAATCAAGGGAGTGACATCTCATCGTATTTGCCATAGTCTGTTGTTTAGAAACAAGTTCTGCTTATACTCAGGAGGGGATTACAAAAAGGCTTGGTCACCGTGGGGTAGGAATCATGGAAGCCACCTCAAGGTCTGTCCACCACAGCATATATTTACGTTTATACATTTTTTTTGATGAGAAACTCACTCAGTGGCACTGTTAGATACCTTTGTAATGAGTTTGGCTATATAACTTCTAAAGGCACATAAGATTAGAACCACAGGGTTTCATCAGTATGTTAAAGAGATTTCTGTGCTTGCATGTTTATTGCAGTACTAGTCACAATAATCAAAATATAGAAGCAACTTAAGGGTCTATTAACAGATGAATGGATAAAGAATATGTTCACAATAAAATATTACTCAATCTTAAGGAAGAAGAAAGTCCTGTCATTTGTAACAATATGGATGAATCTGAAGGACATTACGTTAAGTGGCATAAGCCAGGCACAGAAAGACAAATACTGCATGATCCCACTTACATGCAGAATCTAAAAAATTTAAACTCATAAGAGAAGAGAGTACAAGGGTGGTTACCAGAGGTTGGGAGACGGGGCATTGGGGTGGGGAATGGAGAGAAGTGACTAAAGGATACAAAGATTTAGTTAGAAAGGAGGAAAGACTTTATGAGATCTATTGCACAGCATGATTATTAATATATTATTAGCCCTTGTTAATAATGTATATTTCAAATTCCTAAAAGAATAGATCTTAAATGTTCTCATTACAAAAGAGTGATAAGTATGTGAGGTGATAAATGTTAATTAGCTTGATATAATCATTCCATAATGTATACATATATAAAAAATCACATTATATCCCATAAATATATACAATTATTGTTTGTCAGTTAAAAATAAAAATGAAGTAAAACAAAACCAACACAAAAATTTAAAATTAAAAAAATTTAAAAAGGTGGAAGAGGCTCAAGATGGCTGACTAGATGCACCTGGGGCATGCCTCTTCCAAAGAGAGAAACCAAAATATTGAATAGATATTTACACATTGAATGGACTGTCTGAGAAACGACACGAGAAATTCAAGAGAAGCAACAGGAGACACCGAGGGTGAAGGAAGGAAAAGAAGGGCTGTCTGCTCAGGGTCGCTGGAAGCCAGGAGCAGCCTGTGGACCCAAGAAAGGGTTAAGTGGGAGACCGCCCTCCCCGTCCCGCACCCCCCACCCCGCCCCGCACTGAGCTCCTCATTCTTGCCATGGACATTTACAATACAAACTACAGGAGAGGTCCTCAATCCCCTCAGACCTCCACACTGGTATAGGTAGTTGCCTGGAGATTATGCACAGGTACTGCTCCAGTCCCATAGGCTTCTAATCACTGGGCAGCTGCAGCATAGTGCCATTCTTGGAGCTCATCCCCCAAGGCTCTGCATCTTGCAGTGAGGCCACTGCTGCTGCTGCCGCCTGCTACCAGGCCAGGTAGGGAACAGGGAGGCCCAGTGCTCACATGTGCCCCAAGGACAAGTTCCACCACCACTGCTGTGGGCTCTTGTGGGACCACAGAGCATTTGGACCATGTGCCACACATGTTCTAGCCTCCCCCAAACCTGCCTGCATGGCCATTCCCATGAAGAGGGGCCTGACCTTCCTGGTGGCAGGCCCACAGTGCAGCTACCATTGCCCCACCCTAGTGTTCCACTAGTGGCCTTGGACCAGCCCACCTATCCCTATTGAAGATAGTACTTGAGTCTGAGTGTCTGAGGGCAAGTCCACTGGCCTACTCCCATCCTCCCACGACTTGAGCATGATGTCCAGGGGAATGGGGATGAGATTTGTGACCTCGTCTGGAGTGGGTACAGAACTCCAAAAGGTAAGAAATGACAGGAGAGTGTAGCATGGTTTCATCCTGTGATGCAGGAGCTGGGTGCCCTTCCCTTTGTGGGACTGGACCAGGAAGAGCGTGGTCTGAGAGCCTCAGTTTCTGCCCTGGGAAGGGAGTCTCCTGTCCTGGGGTGGCTTTGTGATCTGAACACACACTGCTTGGGACTGGGCCTGCTGCTGGACACCACAGGGGAACTCCCTGAGTCAGAGACATGGGATCTGGGTTGGTCCCCCTGCTGCCTGTTGGCCTGTGGATTCGGGACCGCCCTTATCCTTGTGTGGGCTCCTTCGTGTAGGAGATGCACCTGTGCCTCTCCCTGGACATTTGCCCTAGCAGCCTGAGAGCTGCCTGCTACTCATGCTGGGGTCAACACTTGCGCCTGCCATTAGTGAGCCTAGATATTGGCTTGTTCAACCCAGCTAGGCCCAGTCTTGCCCCCTCCACCTGTGTTGGTGCCAGAGCACCGAATGGGGAACGTTTGGAGTTCCACAGCCCCACCTATTGCCTGGGACATCCAAGTACTTCTCCTGATTAACAAAGGCCAAGCCTAAGTCCCACTGCCACCAACACAGCTGTGTCCCTCCTGGAAGCGCCACCTACTGGCCAAGTAGGTGGCCAACCCAATAAAACACACCTGCACAACCCAATAAAACACCTGCTGAAGGAAATGCACAGCATCAGGGAATGAGATAAGCTTCCTGAGACTTCCCCCTCCCTGTCTCTGCAGGAGAAATCGAGCTTGCATACAAACTCAGTTCACCACTACTATAACCTATAAGTAAGCAGCATTTGAAAAAAACCACCACACTAAGGTTATCAATAACCAAAGAATTCATACAGACTCTTGGCTTCCTGAAAGCACCCAGAAGCAAAGCCAAATGAGCCTACCGAACATAGACTACAACCCCACCCTCAAGGGGTACTAGTGAAACAAAAGTAAATTTTAAAATAAGAAGTGACAGTTTCTCCAAATGAGATAAAACCAGCATAAGAACTCTGGCAGTATGAGTAAAAAGAATGTTTTGACACCCTCAAAGGATCACACTAGCTCTCTAGCAATGGACCCTAACCAAAATGAAAATTCTGAAATGACAGATAAATAATTCAAGATATGGATTGTAAGGAAACTCAATGAGATGCAAGAGAAAGTTGAAAACCAACACAAGGAAATCAGAAAACCAATTCAGAATATGAATGAAAAATTTACTGAAGAGACAGTTATTTTAAAAAGAAACCAAATAGAACTTCTGGAAATAAGTTCACTGAAGAAATTAAAAAATATGGCTGAAAGCTTTAACAACTGACCAAGCAGAAGAAAGAATTGCAGAACTTGAAGATGGGTCTTTTGAATTGACCCAGTGAGACAAAAATGAAGAAAAAAAGTTAAAATGGACTAAGATTTTGAGAAATATGGGATTTTGTAAAGCAACCAAACCTCTGAGTTGCAGGTATTGCTGAGGCAGAAGCTAAAAGAGTAAAAGTCTGAAAAACCGATTTTAGAAAGTAATTCAGAAAACTTCCATGATTTTGCTAGAGATGTAGACATCCAGATACAAGAGGCTCAGATAATACGATACTTTGCAAGACGAACTTCACTGAGACATACAGTCATCAGACTATCAAAAGTCGATATGCAGCTAAAAATCCTAAAAGCAGCAAGAAAGAAGCATCTAATCACCTATTAAAAAAATCCCATCAGACTAACAGCAAAATCCTCAGAAGAGACCTAAGAAGCCAGATGAAACTGGGGTCCTATGTTCAGTATTTTAAAGAAAAAAAAAAAACCTTTCAGCCAAGAATTTTGCATGCTGATAAACTAAACTTTATAAATGAAGGAGAAATAAATTCTTTCCCAGACAGGAAAATGCGAAGGGAATTTGTCACCAATAGGCTAGTTCTGCAAGAAATGCTCAAAGAAGTTTTAAACATGGAAATGAAAGAGTGATACTATAAAAAATACCTCAAAGTATAAAACTCACAGGTCTTATAAAGCAATGATACAATTAAGACTACAAAGCAACTAGGTAACAATTAACATTATGACAGGAATAAAATCTCACATATCAATATTAACCTTGAATGTAAATGGACTAAATGCTCCATTTAAAAGATACAGACTGGAGAAATGGATAAAAAAACCAATAAGTAACCACAGGTTGCTTACAAGAAACACACCTAAATGGTAAATATATTTACAGACTCAAAGTAAAGGGGTAGAAAAAGATATTCCACGCAAATGGAGACCAAAAACAAGCGGGAGTAGCTATACCTACATCAGATAAAACATACATTAAATTAACAACAGTACAGTCCAGGCGTGGTGGCTCACGCCTGTAATCCCAGCACTGAGGCGGGTGTATCACCTGAGGTCAGGAGTTCAAGACCAGCCTGGCCAACATGGTGAAAACCCGTCTCTAATAAAAATACAAAAATTAGCTGGCCATGGTGGCTAGCACCTATAATCCCATCTACTTGGGAGGCTGAGGCAGGAGAATCACTTGAACCCGGGAGATGGAGGTTGCAGCGAGCCGAGATTGCACCATTGCATTCCAGCCTGGGCAACAAGAGCAAAACTCCATCTCAAAGGAAACAAAATGAAACAATAACAACAAAACAACAGTACAAAAAGACAAATAATATCATCGTATAATGACAAAAAGATCAATTCAACAAGAAGCTATAAAATCATAAATATGTGCACCCAACACCAGAGCATCCAGATTCATAAAACTAATACTACTAGACCTAAAATAAATGAAAGACAGCAGTACAATAATAGTGGGGCATTTAAATACCCCACTGACAACACTGGAGATATTACTGAGACGGAAAACCAACAAAGAAATTCTGGACTTAAACTGGACTCTAGACTAAATGAACCTAACAGACATTTACCAAACATTCTACTCAACAACTGCAGAATATACATTCTTTTAATCTGTGCATGGAACATTCTCCAAAATAGACCATACACTAGGCCTCAAAGCAAGTCTCAATAAATTTAAAAAAACCTGAAATCATATCAAGTACCTTCTCAGATCACAGTGGAAAAAAACTAGAAATCAATCAAGAGGAACTCTCAAAACTATACAAATAGAAGGAAATTAAACAACCTTCTTCAAAACGATTGTTGGCTCAATGATGAAATTAAGGTGGAAATTTTACAAAATTTTGAAAGGAATGAAAGTAGAGACACAACATGCCAAACCTCTGAAATACAGCAAAAGCAGTGCAAAGAGGGAATTTTATATCATTAAATGCCTACATCAAAAAGATAGAAAGATCTCAAATTAACAACCTAATGTCACACCTCAAGGAACTAGAAAAATAAAGAAAAAAACCCAAACCTAGCAGAATAAAAGAAATAACAAATATCAGAGCGGAATTAAATGAAATTGAAACCAAGAAAACAATATGAATTATCAATGATATGAAAAGTTGGTTCTTTGAAAAGACAAATCTTATAGACTGCTGGCTAGATTAACCAAGGAAAAAGGGACGATTCAAATATGCACAATCAGTAATGATGACAATGATGACACTACAACTGATACTACAGAAATACAAAACATCAACAGAGACTACTATGAGGATCTCTATGCACATGAACTAGAAAACTTAGAGGAAATGTACAAATTCCTGGAAATACACAATCTCCGAAGATTGAACCAGAAAAAATAGAAATACTGAACAGACCAATAAAGAATAGTCAAATGGAATCAATGATTAAAAAAAATCTCCCAACAACAGGAAAAAGCCCAGGACCAGACAGAGTCACAGCCGAATTCTACCAGATATATAAATAAGAACTGGTACCAATCCTGCTGAAACTGTTCCAAAAAATTGAGGAAGGAATTCTCCCTGCTTCATTCTATGAAGCCAATATCACTTAGAAAACCCTAAAGACTCCCCCAAAGATTCCAGATTTGATAAATGACTTCAGGGAAGTTTCAGGATACAAAATTTATGTACAAAAATCAGTTGCATTTCTATATGCCAATAACAATGAAGCTGAGAACCAAATCAGGAAGTTAATCCCATTTACAATAGCAATGTAAAAATAAGATATCTATTTGGCATATATATATATATATATATATATATATATATATATATACACCATGAATACTACTCAGCTATAAAAAGGAAGGAAATAACAGCATTCACAGCAATGCGAATACCTGGATGGAGTTGGAGACCATTATTACAATTGAAGTAACTCAGGAGTGGACAACCAAACATCGTATGTTCCCACTTATAAGTGGCAGCTAAGCTATGAGGATGCAAAGGCATAAAAATGATACAACGGACTTTAAGGACTTGGGGGGATGGGTGAGGGGTGTTGAGGGATAAAATACTACACATTGGGTACAGTGTACACTGCTTGGGTGATGGGTGCACCAAAATCTTAGAAATCACCACTAAAGAACTTATCCATGTAACCAAACACCACCTGTCCCCCAAAAACTATTGAAATAAAAAAAATACCTAGAAATATATTTACTCAAGGAGGTGAAACATCCCTATAAGGGAAATTACAAAACACTGCCGAAAGAAATTGTAGGTAACATTAACAAGTGGAAAAACATCCCATGCTCATGCATTGGAAAAACTAATATCATTAAAATGACGATATTGACCAAAGCAATCTACAGATTCAATGCAATTCCTGTCAAATTACAAATGGCATGTTTCACAGACCAGGAAAAAAATCCTAAGCCTCACATGGATCCAGTAAGGAGCCTGAATAGCCAAAGCAATCCTAAGCAGAAAGAACAAAGTTGGAGGAATCAAATTACCTGACTTCAAACTATATTACAGGCTACAGTGACTCAAACAACGTGGTATTGGTATACAAATAGACACATAGATCAACGGAACAGAATAGAGAACCCAGAAATAAAGCCACATACCTACAATCAACTAATCTTTGGCAAAGTTGATACAAATACACACTGGGGAAAGGGCACCCTGTTTAATACATTTTCCTGGGAAAACTGGATAGCCATATGAAAAACAATAAAACTGGGCTCCTATCTTTCACCATATATAAAAATTAACTCAAAATGGATTAAAGACTTAGATGTAAGACCTGACACTATAAAAATCCTAGAAGAAAGCCTAGGAAAACCTCTTCTGATCACTGGCCTAGGCAAATTATTTATGACTAAGTCCTCAAAGGCAAATGTAACAAAACCAAAAACAGACAAATGGGACTTAACTAAACAGCTTCTGCAGAACACAAATAATCAACAGGGTAAACAGAAAATCTACAGAATGGGAGAAAATATTTGTGAACTATGCATGCAACAAAGGACTAGTATCCAGAATCTACAGGGAATTCAAACAACTCAGCAAGACCGAAGCAAAGAACCCCATTAAAAAGTGGGCAAACGACATGAACAGAAATTTTTCTAAAGAAGACATACAAATGGCCAACAAGGATATAAAACATTCTTGACATTACTAATCATCAGCCAAATGCAAATTAAAAACACAATGAGATACCAGCTTACACCAATCTGAATGACTATTATCAAGAAGTCAAAAAACAACTACTGTTTTCAAGGATGCAGAGAAAAGAGAACACTTATATACTTTTGCTGGGAATGTAATTTGGTACATCCTCTATGGAAAACAGTATGGAACTAGAACTAGAACTACCATTAGATCCAGCAATCCCAATACTAGGTATCTACCCAAAGGAAAAGATATCATTATATCAAAAAGACACTTGAATTCATATATTTATCACAGCACTATTCACAACAGCAAAGTTACAGAACCAAGATAAGTGTCCAGCAACAGAAAATTGAATAAAGAAAATGTGGTATGTATGTATACAAACAAACACACACACACACACACACACACACACACACACACACACGCACATCATAGAATACCATACAGCCATAAAAAGAATGCAATCGTGTCTTTTGAAGCAACATGGATGGAGCTGGAGGCCATTATCCTAAGTGAAATAATTCAGATACAGAAGGTCAAATACTGCATGTTCTTACATACAAGTGAGAGCTAGACAATGGTTACACACATACACACAGAGTAGAATAATAGATATTGGAGACCCCAAAAGGAGGGAGGTTGGGCATGGGGTGAGGGTTGAAAAACTACTTGAATTACAGTGTTCACTATTTGGGTAATGGGTACGATGAAAGCATAGACTTCAATGCTATGCAATATATACACATAACAAAATTGCATTTGTACCATTTAAATATATTTTAAAAAAGAAAAAGAAAAGAAATATTCTTGTCCACAAAAGAAAAAAAATTTTTAAAAAGCACAGAGTTTCAGCCAGAGGCAGAGACAGACAAGGTGACAAGGGCAGGACCTCACAATCTGATACTTAGAAACAATGGGGAAAAATATATATAGAAAAAATATACAAAGACCCAAAGGTAAACATCCTAGGAACATATAGTATAGGTACACATTTTTCTACCACATTCCACAAATCCTGAAGGCATCAATATATTAGAGAACAATACAACGATTTATTTTAATACTGGTGATAACCTAAAGGAAGAGGCATAGAAATTGCATTGAAAGTTGCTATTGAACAAAATATAAATTACACTTATAATACTCTATTTAGGATGCTGAATTTTCATTTGATTTAAAATATTTTTCTTAAAAAATTAATATACACAAATTTTGATGCCATATTACTCCATGACACTAAACATTTGAAGTGTTGATGAACATGATTTGTGTGCAGGACTATACATACTTGTGGTTATATTATTCTTTAGAGGAGGGAAATTATCCTCTTATATACCAGAGAGTACTCTAGGGTAGAAATTAAAGGAAGACTAATTTCTATTTAGTGTAAGCTAATGTTTTCCAATAATTGAAGACATGTAACAACGAAAGGAGATTCCTTGTAATAGAGCTGAACTTATGCTCTCTGGAAAGGTAAAATCATTTGTGGGTTTATCATCCTTGGTGGTCTGAAAATACAGATGGTAGTTTTGTTGCGTGAATAGACTAGATGAACTCTTATGACCAGTCTGACTTTTAATCCCTTTGTTAGAAAGGTTTGACTTGGCTAGCCTTGCAGATTACAAAATTCCTTGGGGTAGAGGCCTAGTTCTATACACTTTAGGCTACCTTTCTAGTTAGTAGAGTTTTGGAGCCCACAGATGGTAAAAGCTAAAGGGACCCAAGGTACTATAAAATGTCTTTTCATGGTGAAGGGGAGAATAAAAAAATAAGGAAGAATTCCATTAGCAGAGAAGGCATATTGGTCTTTCAAAGTTGACTTCAGAGCACTGGAGGACAAGGAAATGGTCAGAAAGCAAAACTTAGTTGAATAGCAACTTTCAGTGCAATTTCTATTCCTCTTCCTTCATCTGTTGTGCTGCTAAGGGGGCAGCCTCAGCATAGAGAAAAGCAAAAAAGTATCTCCAAAAAGTCTTCTTGCTCTTTTGGAGCAATCTGGATACCTTTTACAATATTTTTGGCAAGAGTAAGAAATCCAATTTTCTACCTCTCAGTAATGCTTATCTATATTGTAATGAATGAACTTGGCCTTTTAATTTTTTTATTGTCAACATGCAAAATGCTCTCATAAGAGCATCCTCTTAACTGTGCCCTGCCTTCTTTCTCTCTGCTACCGATGGCACACAACTTGTCACACATGTGGGAATTTGGGGGAATATTTAAGAAACAGTACACGCATACAAACAATGTATCCCTTTGCAGTGTTCCAGATTGCAAGCTTATCTCCAGGTTGAGAATATTAACTCTGTGGATATTTATTTTAATTTTTTCTGTCTTTCTGTTTTGTTTTTTGGACTACATGGAGCAAATGGCTTAATAAAGAGAAAGGTTAATCTCACTTAACAGTGTCTTCATGATCCCACATAGCTTAATGCATATATTGTTTATATAGCATGCACTGAAAGCTCATCATTGCTACTGCTTTACAAGGACATTGTTGCTATAAAATAAATGTTCACTCTGTGTGCTTCTTGGCTTAAAGAAAAAAGGGAAATCAAGTCAAACCCTTCTGATACTCTTGCTTTAATATTATTAAGATTAATAACATTGAAACCTGGATAACTATAATGTTACTAACATTTGGAAAATATTCCACCATATTTAGTTTCTGGTTCTAAACAATCCAAGTTAAAAAAAAAAAAGTAAAAAAAGCAATGTCCCTCTATAGACAGAAAGCTTCCTGTCCCTGAAAACAGGAATCGTTTCTGATGTATCTTTATCATCGCTCAGTGTCTAGCATAATGCTAGGTACACAGAGCTCATTTTCATAAATTTCTTTTCGGTAGTTTCTAAATATTTACATCTGAATTGCATAGGCCATATCTGAATACCTGGATCAAAGAAAAGTAGGCCTATGTACTTGGACATAAAGTTTGTTGTGGAAGAAGAACATTTAAAGATAAATTCAGAAAGATAGTAGTTGATTGGTATGAATTAAGAATCGTTTATAGAGGAAGGCATTTCAGCAAAGGATGGAGTATTGAGGAAGACTAGAGGCAAGGACTTCAGTTGGAATGCTACTGCAAAATAAGATGAGTGAAAATAGTAATTTATAGATTGCACATTGTAGGCTTGGCTCTATGCTATATACTTTGCACACAAGGTTTCATGTAGTTATTGTTATCTCCATTTTGCAGAAAAACAAATGAACAAAGAAACAAACAAATACACGCCAAGTCTTAGGAAGGTGATGTGACTTGCTGAAGGTCATCTATAGCTCATAAGTGCCAGAATGAGATTCTAACACCCATCCATTTGATTCCCGGGCCTGTGCTTCTCCCACCTTACTCTACTCTCGCCTGTGTACCGTGAATTTGTGGAGCTGCCGGGGAAGAAACTTTGTGAGGTGGTAATCATATTAGTTTGGAAAAACTGTTCTGGATTTTCATTTTTCTTGATGATGTTAATTAATTTTAGATATATATTCGCATCTTCTCTTTGTGTGAAAAGCTAACATTTGACCTTTTCTAATGTCACAGCTATTATGAAAGCCTGCTAGTACAATGCTGAAGCAGCAAAAGGAAGTTTTTATTGTATTGGAAAGTTATAATAAAATTAAGTTTGTACATTATAGTATCAAAAAAGTGTGACTTTAATGGCTCAGTAAAGAATAAGGCAGAAATATGAGTTAGTTTATCACTGCAAACTGTTTTAGGAACACAAAGTCTGTGTTCATAGTACTAAATTTATCTAGATGTTCTGTAATTACAGAGAGTACCTGATAATATTAAAAGGGTTCAAATAGACAGAATGCTCACAGAGTTACCACTTCTGATATAGAAACAAGGGAATTCTTCAGATCAACTAGAGAGAAATTTTGTTATCTATGGACAGAAAGGATTCCACTCTACCACTGCTGTTTAAAATCCAGTGTAAAAATTGGAATGAAATGCAAATTTTAAAAATAGCTAAATTGGAGATATAAAGTGGAATGACATAAAGTAGAACCATTGTTTCAAATAATAAAAATTCTTTTTATTAATATATCACTAGAATATACATTTTTCTTAATTCTATTGTGATATTCTTTTAATTTAATCCTATGAAACATTCAACCTACTTTTCCTAACATGCAGCAACTACGAGTGTAACAACAATCTTTTTAAAAATCTACTAATATAATTTCTCACTCAGTAAGAAATCTTTCATTAAATGGGGAAAATAGGATAATAACTACAATAAGTGATTATTTTATACACACATGCAAGGCAAATCTCTATATTTACACACATAGTATGTAATATGTAATATATAATATGTATTATAAATATGTAGGATGTCATGTACAATAAATAATATACTAACATGTAAGTGATTAAGATATATAATATACAGCAATAAATAGCATTATATATAATGTACATAATATACTACATTGATGAATATTACATGATATGGTGGATGTAATATATTATGATGTGTATTTAGTATATAGTATAATATAAAATTATAACATAGTATATAATACAAATGTAACATGTATTTTATATAATATATATGATGCATGGAATGTGATATGTAAAATAGTACATTTTATATAATGTATTTTTACTTTCGTGTTTGTATAATTTTTTCATACCCAGATCATATATATGTATATTTTTCTCTATATGAGCAACACTTGAGAATGATGATGGTCTCTCTCATTCTGTTTCTCACTTTAACTGATATTATATGAAAGAGTTCTAATTACATTTCACTTCAAAATTTTTAGACTGCCTCTGCATTAAAAAAATAGTCTTAAATTCTAAATTGTTGCAGCTCTTAAACAGCCATACATACATTTACCCTTTCAAACATTTCATAGAGTGTTACTGAAGAGACTAAAAGAGAACAAGATATTGGAGAATGAATTACTTAGTGGATGATTTACGCAGGTAATCTCACTAAATCTTCACATCAATCCTGTTATTATAGCCTTTTACAGATGGGTTATAATTACTTGGATAATTGCTTTTTCCCAAGTCTTGCCAGGATTTGTACCCAACTGTACTTAACTCAAATGTGTCGAGTTAAGTACTCTTTGCACTGCACTATATTGCTACGCTAGCATGGTTTATGTAACATACATCTTTATATATGAAGAATACGTGATAGCATACCTTTCCCAGAATAGACATAAAATAATTATCTAGATTGGATGAAGTAAACCATCTCTACAACACTTGAAATAAAATTTTGAAGCAGTAGAGAATCTGAGGTAAGCTTACTTACTCCCCCAGCACAGTAATAAACTCAGTTATATGCTATTTGTCCATAGTTTGCCTAATTTGTGAGTTTTGTCTTTTATCTGTAGTTTGAAGTAATCAATAGCATGCTATAGATTCTCCCATTACCTTGAATCATTATCATCCCATGTTACTATGAAGAAGAATCTCATAGATTCACATTAAATCTAAACTTTCTAACCTTGTGTTTTCATCATTACATAAGATTGATAATAAAGGTGGTCTTGAGAACTATCCAGCCTTGTAATAGAAGGTTATTTTAGGCAGGTATGCTGTATTAATCCCAGCGTGGGTTATCGATGCTAACATTAGGGAATAGGGAAATTTAGGTAGGCATGACCTTAAGATAAAATGACCCTTCTGCTGCAAAGGGAATACCCTGGAGGAGCCCTTGCTTTAGAGATAATTACCGTATGAGATGAATGATCTTGGTTTGCCCATACCTTATATTCAGCTTCCATGCACTGCTTTTTCCTTTATCTAAAAAAATCAGAATAATAATAAATAACACAGCTTAGGACCAGGAGATTATATGAACATTTTCAATATAATGAATAGAAATGAGGGACATTCATTGCTTCATCCTATTTATCCTGATTTTAAAAAGGGGACCTTTAGAACCCTTGGTCCATTTCACTGTTCCCTTTTTGATATCTCAGCGTTTTTCTGACATTACATTGTAGCAATTTAATAATGATAATAAACTGAGTCATCCTATTAGTAACAGCTTTGGCAACCCAGAATCTAGGTACTTAAACTGATTAATTAATTAATAAGTAATTGAAACATTTATTGAATACTTCTACGTGTTTCTTTTAGAAATTAATGGATACATACAAAACAAAATTAGCCAGGCGTGGTGGCGGGCACCTGTAGTCCCAGCTACTCGGGAGGCTGAGGCGGGAGAATGGTGTGAACCCGGGAGGCGGAGCTTGCAGTGAGCTGCAATCGCGCCACTGCACTACAGCCTGGGTGACAGAGCAAGACTCTGTCTCAAAAAAAAAAAAAAAAAAAAAAAAAAGGAAATTAATGGATACTCTCTCAGTTTTCTATTTATATAATTTTTTGGCATATGTTTCTTTATTTTGTTCTTTTACTCCTAGATATTTTGACCCCAGATTCTTCCACCAGTTCTATTTGCACTCATGACTTCTCATGCACAGGAATTGAGGGTGTGATGAATGGAGGCAAACAGTAGATAGGTTTGTAGAATCATTACCACACATATTGGCACTTTAAGATAGAGCTTAATTCTGAAATTATCTTAGAAATGTAATTTTCCAGGGGTGTTTTAGACTGCTTTAAATAAATTTAAATGCCAAGGAATTCAATATCTTCTTTAAAAAAACCTTTAAAAATTACTTTTGAAGTAGCCAAAGAACTAGAATGAGAAGTCAGATTCTTTTTTAGATAGACAGTAGAGAGTGGACCAACACATGGTGACTACAATTCAATGAAACAAATGTATACTGAAATGCTGAGAATATAAGAAAACAAATAAACATGCCAAATCTGGTTGGACCTCCAATTCTACAACAGTGCATAAAAAAATATCAAGAATGAGCACTAAAGCATAAGAAAAAATAAATGTTTAAAGTAAATTATATAAACATGATATAAGACATATACTAGCCAAAAAAGCTGACAGAACAGCATTAATATCAAATAAAATAGAATTTAAGGCAAAACGTGTTATTAGAGATAGAGTAGGTAACTACATGACAATAAAAGTTGCAACTAACTAGAAAGTTAAAAATTCTAAGTATGTATACACTTAAAATATATTCTCAAAGATGTAACACAACTCATGAGAAGTTGATAAATTCACCATTATTCTAACAGATTTTAACACAGCTCTTTCTGATATGTCAAGTTGCTCCCAAAAAGCAGTAATATGATGCACCTGAGAAAATGCTAACAGACGCTTGACCTATTGGACAAACACAGAATTCTACATCCAAAAAGAAGAAAAAGCATATCCTGTGCTTTATCAGGTGGAGGAAATTAACCTCTATTCGTAGTTTGTTGACTTTTTGTTTATCATGAAAAGGTATTGAATTTTTAAGTACCTTTTCTGCAGTTATTGAGGTAACCATGTGTTTTTCTTTTCGTCCTTTATTCCATTAATACTGTGTATCACATTGATTTGTATTCATATATTGAATGTATTTTCTTATGAATTCCAGGAATAAATCCCACTTAGCCATGTGAAGAAAAAGAAAAAGCAAATCCTTTTCAGAACCCATGGACGATATTCTAAACTGATGATTTACTAAGTGAAGAGCAAATCTCAGCAAATTTTAAAGAACAGGCATCATATTCTCCACGCATTTTGTTCTCAATGCAATTTAGACGTTAATAACAGGCCGGGCGCAGTGGCTCACTCCTGTAATCCCAGCACTTTGGGAGGCCGAGGCCGGCAGATCACGAGGTCAGGAGATCGAGACCATCCTGGCTAACACGGTGAAACCCCGGCTCTACTAAAAATACAAAAAATTAGCTGGGCGTGGTGGCTGGCGCCTGTAGTCCCAGCTACTCAGGAAGCTGAGGCAGGAGAATGGCGTGAACCCGGGAGGCGGAGCTTGCAGTGAGCCGAGATTGCGCTACTGCACTCCAGCCTGGGCTACAGATCGAGACTCTGCCTCAAAAAAAAAAAAATACAAAGAACTTAATAACAACCTAAAATTTCCCCACATCAGAAATTTAGAAACACAGTGCTAAATAATTAAATAATAATGGATATTTTAAATAAATCAGATAATTGGCAATGAAAATCTAAACGTATCAAACTATAGAAGGCAATAAAAAGTGGTACATTAAGGGTAATTTAAAGCCTTCAGTATTTATAATATTAAACAATACAAACTCAAAATGAATGAGTTACGAGTCCAACTTAAGGTAGAAAACTGAACAATAGGATATCCTCAACAATAAAGAAATCAGTTGATTATGATAATTAAATAAAATAGTAAAAGAAACAGTAGACATTAAAGTGTTTTTAACACTTGAAGTTAGTTCTTCAAACAACAAAACAAAATTAGTAGACGTCTATCAACATTGATCAAAAGAAGAGAGGAGACACGAAGAAACAATATGCTTTAAAAGGATTCATAATTATAAGTAGAAATTGAGATAAGAGAATTCTTCCTATGGTAATATGTCAACAATTATAAAAACATAGACACATTTTTAAAATTCTTAGAAATTCTTAGTTCTATGAAAATTAAATAAATTGAAAAATAAGATAGTGTTACAGGAAAAATTAACCAGTCATTCAAACTCATGTCAATCTTAAATAAAATCTTTCAAGATTAGAAGAGTAATACTCCCCACCTATTTTACAAAATCAGGATAATCTTGATGCCAAAACCATACAACGATACTACAAATAAAAAGTATCAGGCTATTTTTTTTTCATGAAAAACCCTTAAAACATAACAAGTCAATTCCAACAGTGTATAATAATATACACACACTGTGTCCAAGTTAGCTTTATTTCAGATATATAATGGTGGTTTAATTCTAGATAATTTTCGATGAGTTAGAAATGAAAAATCATATAATCATTAAATAGATGCAGAAAATGCACTCAATAAAATCAACGTAAATATTTAACAAAAACTTCTAGTAAATGAGGAACAAAAGCCAATTTCCAAAACCTGATAAAAATATACATATTAAAAACTAGAAAACAATTACTCCAACTGGGCTAATTTTAGAAACATCCTTTTATTTATTTTATTTTAATTTATTGAGACAGAGTCTCACTCTGTTGCCCAGCCTGGATTGCAGTGGCGCAATCTCGGCTCACTGCAGCCTCCACCTCCTGGGTTCAAGTGATTCTCCTACCTCAGCCTCCCGAGTAGCTGGGACTACAGGCGCCTGCCACTACACCTGGCTAATTTTTGTAATTTTAGTAGAGATGGGGTCTCACCAAGAAACATGCTTTTTAAAACCAGAAACAAGACAAAGGTGTTCACTATTATACTTCAATAAAACACTGTGCTATAATTTGTAGTCAGCAAAATAAGGCAGTCAAGTAGTATTATTAGTAACAAAAGGATTAGAGAGGAAAAAATAAAATTCATTTTTTAGGGGTGATTTAATTATTTATTGAGAACACTCAAAAGAATGTGTGGACAACTTAGTAGAAATAATAGGTGGGTTTAGCAGTTGGTTGGATGGAATGTTAATTTATAGAAATCAATAATATTGCAATATGTCATAAACAAGAAACCAAAAAATGTTTTTAAAAAGACTACTTAAATTGGTATTGCAAAATATCACATATCTAAGAATAACAAAAATATGCAAAACCTTGACAGAATTACAAAATTCTACTGAGTGACATTAAATAAGACCTAAATCAATGGTGAAATATACTATATTCACAGATAGGAAGACAATATAAAAATAAAAGTCTTTCCTTAGTTCGCTGATTAAGGCAATAACTTTCCTCATAAAAGAATAAGTTCTAGTGTTTGATAGCACAGTAGGGTGATTATACTTATCAAACATTTATTGTATATTTCAAAAAGCTGGAAGAGAAGATTTGCAATTTTCTCAGCACAAAGAAATGTTTGAGGTGATAGATATCTCAATTATTCTGATTTGATCATTACACATTGTATGTATATATGAAAATATCACATGTACCCATAAGTATGTACAATTATTTCGTATCAACAAAAAAACCCTATAAAGCATTTATGCCAAAAATATTTGTCATAAATCTAATCATGAGAAAACAATTACTAAACTTCAGCAATTAATGATATTATAAAAGACAACAGACGAGATTCTTCAAAAATCCAATATAATGAGAAAAAAACAAGTATAAAAAATGATCCATGAAAAACAAAAAGGCAGAGAACTGTTTGAAATTGAAGATGATATAAAAACTGAAATAAGTTTGTGAACTTTGGATTTTTAAAAGCTATAGAAGATAGCTTTTAATATTTGAGAACGAGTGGGGAAATTTGAATATTGGAACTAGGTGATATAAAATTATAATTTTTAAGTGATTTAAAATATATAATGGTATTGTGATTATATAAGACAATGTCCTTCTTAAGAGGTAAATGGTGAAGTAATTAAGGGGAAAATATCATGATGTCGACAATTTCCTTTCAAGTTCAATGTGCACATCAACACATGTTAACCAAGCACATGTGGCAAAATGTTAACAGCTGGTGAATATTGATGTTCACCTAGGGTGAATATTTGTAAACAATGGGCATTCACTGTACTATTCTTTTAACTTTTCTGTAGTTTTGAAAATACTAAATATAACAATTTATGGGCAAATAACTTTTGTTCATCACGAGATACTTTAAAGATCTCATTCTTTTTTATGGCTGAATAGTGCTCCATTATGTATAAACGAAAAATCAAGTTACAAACTTGGAATGTACTTGTAGGCACACAAGTGACAAAAAAAAGTTAGGACCATAAAAATTTTCTAAAAATAGCTAAGAAAACAAACAAAAAAAGAGAAAAAATGAAGAGAAGTAAAGAACAGGCATTGGACAGATGATAAAACACTTTGTGCAAATAAATTTTTGAATATGAGTTCTCATCAGTGAAAAGCAAATAAAGATCAAAATGATATACAATTTTTCCCATTTGGATTGGTGAAAATTAAAATAAAAAATATCTGACAATACCACATATTAAAGGAGAAATGGAAACACAGCATCACTTATAGATTGGAAAACATTTGACAATATCTCATAAAATTGTACATATATATTACTTTTGAGTCAATAATTCCACTTCCAAGGGAAATTCAAATATTTCCATGAAAAGACATGTGTAAGAATGACCATAGTAATACTACATGTAAGAGCAAAAACCTGTAAATAACCCAGTATTCATGAAGAAAATAATGGATAAATGAACTGTGTATGTTCACACAAAGGAATATTGTACCACAGTTAAAACGAATGAGTCACAGCAAAACATGATAATATATGTGTGCCTCAGAATTTTTAAGTTAAAAATCCTGAAAAGATAATATATAGACTAATATCATATTTATATATCTATATCTTTATATATACTTTTTAGGAATATATATATAGATAATTTAAAACTGTATAAAATTTAACCTAGGGAATGCAGAACACAGGATTCAGATGGTAATTCCATTAGGTGGGAGGTGAACAGGGGAATGTTTTGTATAGGTTCACAAATGATTTAAGTTATTATTCAGGTTCTATTTTTCTTGTTGAGAGGTGATTTCTCAGGTTCTTATTAACATAGATAAATAAACACAAACATGTATGTGTCTAATGCAGAGAATAATAAAAGAGGGTCATTCCTAGTCCAACAATGAATGTGGGTTGTGAGCCAAGGATGAAGGTTGATCCTCAATCCTATGTCCCGGTGATCAGGCGGTGTGATAAGCATTTGTGGTATGAAGCCCGTATGAATTGCAATAGGAGGAGTACACAGAAAGTCTGATGGCAAACCTTCAAGAACACTGGAAGTGAATTAAGTAATTTTGTGTTTTTACTGTGTACCTCCTTAAATTCTTTATTTATACTTTGCTCCTTATTAGTTCCACAAGGTTTCCTGATTATCACTTTGCCTTCTAATGTCTGCAAAAATTTACTGACTGTGTAGGTGGATCTTTTCCTGAGAATATAAAAACTCTAATAAACCTGGATGTTTTGAGCTGTTTGTAAGAGCAGTTGGGCATGGTTTGAAAATCCTGATGCAGGAAAGAACAAATTAAGTTTATAAGGTATTGTTAACTTTTGTCTCCAAGTGCTACTCCTAGACTAAGTAGGAGTTGGATTCTTCATATTACCTCCCATTTTCATCGGCGATGAGGCAAATTTAAAGTGTGTATCTAAAAATAAGGCTTTGTCCTTTTAGACGGTTTGAGTAGTTCTCTGGCAGATAGATACTGTATAAAGACAGATGTGTTTCTACAGAATACTCAGCAAATTAGTTGTGAAATAAGTATCAGTGTTTAAGTAGCAATAAGGTGATTTTATTCTGGAGAATTTTCACATTTTAAAACCCAGAGAGATGAATAAAATAATAGACACATGTTTTTACTCATACTGTGTCACCACTCTGCTTATTGGATCATGTGTCTGGGCTCAACTGGTGGCGGGCTAGAAAGCTGGCTCTGTCTTCCTTGGCTGTTTTTATACACATGTTTAGAATCAGCTGACTGTTCACCAGGGCAACTGCTGTGATCCACATGTCTCTCATCCTCCAACAGGCTAGACACAGCATTTTCTCATGATAATAACAGAAATCTAAGAGGCAAGTAGAAACATGGAAGACTAGGAGCTGGCATGCCTACAGCTGGCAAGTCACATGGTCGAATCTAGCTTTAAAGGAGGAAAGTATTCCAATGTATGGATATAAGAAGAGGAAATAACAAGGCCAGTTTTGCAACCTACCAAGGGCACTTATGTCTGTAACTGTTCTCCAATTGTTTGTCTTTGAATAATAAGGCCAAGTTTTCATCACCTCACATCCTCTCCCATATTATCTATAGTAGTTAGATTAGAGCCTCTCTCACCTCATCCCTTTGATGGTTCTCTCACTCCCAAGGCCCGAGAGAAAGAATTTCAAACAGGTTAGCACATATTTCTAATTTCACAAGCATCACTTAATTTTTATATTGTGGGTCATTATTTCAGATGAATATGCCTCCTTCATAAATAAAATGATATGCCTTGAGATCAAGGACATATTTTAAGTATCATAATTTTTCTCCTAGACTCTAACGTACTCATAGTAGGTGCTCAATAAATAAATAGCAGTTGTTTAATGCATTTGTCACTTCTGAGGCTAACATAGAATCTTTCATATCAAGAAAAGACGTCCAGGCTAAAGAGGGAGTTTTCAAATGTGGGTTTTCAAGAGGCAATACAGAAATGTATTAGTTTAAAAAATAAACAGAATAAAGCACTCAAATATTAATTACGTTTTACTTGATGGAACACCTTTTTTATTGACCTAGCAGAAGCTTATTATGAAGTATGTAAAAATTCAAGCAACTGCTGTTATCTTAAATCAGTGATTTCCAGCTCTGTTTTCATACTAGAATCACATGGGGAGCTTTTTAAATAATACCAATGCCTGAGGCTCACCCCAGGTCAATTAAATCAGTATATCTGGAGGTGGGGCCAAGGCATCAGAATTTATGAAAGTTCCCTAGATGGTTCTAATGTGAAGCCAAGGTTGAGGACAGATGCTTTAAACTCTTCTAAAAATGCCAACAAGAAAGTTTGGAACTTGAGCAATACACCTGGAAGAAACACATGGCTGTTAACTTGGATAGTGCTAAACAATCCTGACTGATGAAACGGTATCCTAATTAATTGGTCTTTCTAAGTCTATTATGGGACATCATCTGGCAGTATTTTCAAAATATGGGTTTTCGAAATGCTGAATTTCAGTAATTATAAAGTAGTTTATAGATGCTGGCCAAGCAAACTTACAATTTGACTTATCCTGTGATATAAAATCGATTTGATATCACTGGGATGCAGATCTCCTGATGGGAGCTGACAAAGACCAGCTGAGGCTTTAGCTAAATGATGTGTGAGAGCACTGAGGAGCAGACAATTGGAAACTAATGAGATGATAAAGGCTTTCAGGTATGTGACTTGATCAGCTACCTGCTGAGACCCTCTCAGTGTAGAAGAGAATTCCCTGGCTCAGGGCATTCTTTTCCAGCTTAGGAGAAATTAGGGCCAGTCCAGGCTGTATGTAACATTCCCTTAAGTGTTGTCCATGCTCGTTTTGAAGGTGAAGTTGGAGAGGAGCTGGAGCCAGTATGTATGGCTTCCACCCCCCACTTACGTACATTCCACTCTAAGAAGCATTCTTATTAGCATTTGCATATAATCATACCTGGATGATTGGTGACAGCATTTAAGGAGGGAGTCTTGAGCCACAGATCCAGACTCCATGGTCACTTGGGATTGTGCTTGCTGCCCTGTAAAGCTGCTGATCGTGATTGAAACTTCCACCCCCAACCCTGTCAAACCTGGTCACTTATTGCCCCTTATCCAGAGCAGAGTGGCTGCAGTTGCGAAAACGAGGCGTGAGGCCATATTTTAAAGTCCGTTTTTTGATCCCAAGAAAAATCAATTGATTTGGCAGTTCCAAATTCGAAGAATTTAAAATAACTCCTCATGAGAAGATATCATACTGGAATGGAAAATATTGGTAAAATATAAAGAAACATGTGTAAATAAAGTAATCAAGGAGCACTAGGTTATAGAAAAGTACAAACACAATAATACTGTTCAGACTGAACTAGAAAAGTGATTCTCATTTTCCTTTCCTTCACTTTTTGCTTTTTTCTTTCTAAAATTAACCCATTGTAAGCCTCCTGATTGAAATCCTTTAGAAATAAATCCATTTATATGCTATTTTACCATTGTTTCAAAGTATCACTGTTGATACTGTATGGGATCATGTTAGTATTTCTGTAACACTTAACTTACTATTGTTACTACTAGCAATGGAAGTATTAGTTAATATTGATATAGTTTCATTAATAGCCTTTGAACATAAATGCATAGTAAATTCATTTTTCTTACAGATTGGTGCAGTTCTTGTAAAAGAACCAGAAGTTATTTTGCACTAGAATATCTACATATTACTTCAACAGGGTAGTTTTGATAATTGACAACTAACTGCAAGTTATTTGGAGGAAGGAGTATTTTATTTTATTTTATTTTATTTTATTTTTATACTTTAAGTTCTAGGGTACATGTGCATAACATGCAGGTTTGTTACATATGTATACATGTGCCGTGTTGGTGTGCTGCATCCATTAACTCGTCATTTACATTAGGTATATCTCCTAATGCCATCCCTCCCCCCTCCCCCCACCCCACGACAAGCCCCAGTGTGTGATGTTCCCCACCCTCTGTCCAAGTGTTCTCATTGTTCAATTCCCACCTATGAGTGAGAACATGCAGTGTTTGGTTTTCTGTCCTTGCCATAGTTGGCTGAGAATGATGGTTTCCAGCTTCATCCATGTCCCTACAAAGGACATGAACTCTTCCTTTTTTATGGCTGCATAGTATTCCATGGTGTATATGTGCCACATTTTCTTAATCCAGTTTATCAGTGATGGACATTTGGGTTGGTTCCAAGTCTTTGCTATTGTGAATAGTGCCGCAATAAACATACGTGTGCATGTGTCTTTATAGCAGCATGATTTATAATCCTTTGGGTATATACCCAGTAATGGGATGGCTGGGTCAAATGTATTTCTAGTTCTAGATCCTTGAGGAATCGCCACACTGTCTTCCACAATGGTTGAACTAGTTTACAGTCCCACCAGCAGTGTAAAAGTGTTCCTATTTCTCCACTTCCTCTCCAGGAAGGAGTATTTTAAAAAGGACATTGAGTGAGTTTTTGATGTCAGATGAAGTGACTTCAGTAAAGAGGCAGAGAAAAATGAATCTTTGCAAATGAATGAGAGTCAAGGAAAAGTAAAAATATATGATATGCATACATAACCTCATTGATATATATGTACATATATTTATATTTACATACATACATATATGATTGATAATAATTATTTCTGGAATAATATCTTTTGTGAACAAAAAATTCCTTCAGTGAAAGGTATATGATAACGAGAACTAAGACACTTGTACTGACTAAGCCTGACACTATTTCAAATGTTTTACATGTATTCATTTCATACTCACAATCCATTTATGACCTATATATTAAGATAATATATATTATCTCCATGCTTACAGAAAAGAAAGATGAGTTTCAGTCAATTACCTAGGAGCTACCCAACTGGTCTATGCCTCTAGACTAGTTGATATTATTGGTGTTACCCCCCCACCGCCACAAGCTGGGTCCTGAATACAGACAATTTGATTCCACAGGCCATATACTCATCCATGGCATTATACTAGCATTCGCCTCGAAAGCCCCAGATGAAGGATATGGACCTGCCGCCAAACACCCCAGCCATGACTTTCATAAGTACACTAGTACTGGTACATGCTAGAGCACATGTCACAAATTCTGTTTGCAAAATATGATAATGTTCCAAGGAACATTGCTCTGTATGTAGCTTTTACTGAAAACTATATTTACAGTGGTGCTTAGTCATAGGGGGCCCTACAATGAAAAATTATACATGGGCACAAAACACTGAAATACATTTAGGCTAAAATCTTAAGACATATAGGACTTATATTACTTAGAATGGAAGATATTATGTTACCTTTTATGGCCAAATCCAGAAATGTTACATACACAAATTACATTAGTTTTTAGGAAAAGGGAAATTTTTCTTTCCAAAAACATTTAGAAATGTACAGAACTCAGGGTTGTAAAATTGCTATTTTAGGAAACAAAAGTGATTTAAATTCACAAAGGCAAAGCAATGGAAAAACATTCATTTTAGTTGCTTGTAAATGTGGTAATAAATTGAGAGAAATTTTGGTATAAATGATCAAATCCCTTGGTGGCAAGCTATTTAAGTCACTGGTATTCAAATTAATGAGACTGTTCTCACGAAAAAGGTTCTCGTTGGCCTTTACAACTCTTTAATTAGAAGGTGAGTATTGTAATAAAATTAATGAACAATAACTTATTTGGGAAATGTATTTGAATCAAAATTTAAAAAATTGATTACAACATTTCACATAAGAAAATGAAAAAAAAACTAGTTAGTCTGAAAAAATACATTGTTCATATAATACATTAAAGAGTATAATAAGTTGCTTACACTTTTCAGTTTCTATAATTTTAGGAATGGGAATATTTTCAAAATCTGTGTGTTAGTAAAGTTTCTAAGAATCCAAAACATGCTTTTCTACTGATAATGATAATCATTTAAAGATGAATTTCATGGAAATAAATTTGTTCTAGAATAAAATAAAAATGGAAACTATTAATGCATAAATCATTTATAAATCAATGCCTGTAGATTTTGAAAATCATAATTTTCCAATTAAAATGATTCTTATTTTGCAATGGCTTGATGAATTTCACTATCAAGTAAGCAAAATACACAGGTAATTGTCTAGGTAAACAAAGTATTTTTTTTCCTCTGGTTATTTTCTTATCTGTCCCAATTTCCAAATCCTCTGCAAATTCAATGCTGGGAGACTTTCCTCCAGACCACACCTTCTTATTGTGTTAATTAAAAAAAAATTGTAAAGGTGATTCTATTTATACATAAAACAAACACTGATGAAGTGTGATTTTTTAAAAGTTTCTTAATATACTATATTTTAAAAAATTATAAAATAGGAAATTCCAGCCTTCAAAGTTTTAAAAAAATTAAAAGGAAAAAAATTCGAAGTAATCAATAAAACATTAACCATCATTTCTCAGATTTACCAAATTGATAAAATAGTTATAGGAAGATTGAATCATTCTGTAAAATGATATGTCATTTTGTAATTTAAGAAAGAATACCATAACATGAGACATGAATTGTGATGGAAATCTTATTTGTGTTGTTTCGGGACACTATCACTGAGTAAATCTATGTATATATTAGAAATTGCCTCTCCAAAACCTAGTGAAATAAAAAATATAGTAATAATACAAACTGCAAGTTTGTATTTAAAAAATAATCAAATAATGCAACTATCTTTAAGAACTCTTCATGGAGAAAATTTTCCAGAAAATGGTGTGGTACCCAAAACTTTTCTAAGGTCCCTGACCTGTTAGAAAATGACTTAAAATTTGTATAAATTTAGATGGTACAGGTACAGTTTTATTACATGAATATGTCTGTGTTGGCGACATCTGTGCTTTTATTGTACCCCTCACCTCAATAGTGTTCACTGTACTCATTAAGTAATTTCTCTTCCTTCACCCTTCTCTCATGCTTCTGAGTCTCCAAGGTCTATTATTCCACACTCTGTGCCCATGTGTACACATTATTTAGCTCCCATTTATAAGTGAGAACATATGCTAAGTGACTTTGTTTCTGAGTTATTTCACTTAAGATAATGGCTTCCAGTTCCATTCATGTTCCTGCAAATGACATGATTTCATTTTTTTATGGCTTAGTAGTATTTCAGTGTGTGTGCGTGTCACTTTATGTATCCAATAATCCATTGATGAACACAGGTTGATTCCACATCTTTGCTATTGTGAACAGTGCTGCTGTAAACATATGCATGCAGGTATCTTTTTTATATAATGATTTATTTTCCTTTGGGTAAATAACCAGTAATGGGGTTGCTGGATTGAATGGTAGTTCTATTTTTAGTTCTTTGAGAAACCTGCATACTCTTTTCCATAGAAGTTATACTAATTTACATTTCCAAAAATAATATATAAGTGTTCCCTTTTCTATACATCCTCACCAACATCTGCTAATTTTTTTTTTTTACTTTTTAACAACAGCCATTCTGACTGGTGTAAGATGATATCTCATTGTAGTTTCAATTTGTAATTTCTCTGACAATTAGTGATATTGAGAATTTTTTCATATGCTTGTTGGTCACTCATGTCTTCTTTTGAAAACTGTCTGTTCACATCCTTTGCTGACTGCCCACTTTTTCTTATCTTTCTTCTTTTTTTTTTAAATTTAGAGACAGTGTCTCAATCTGTTGCCCTGGCTGAAGTGCAGTGGCATGATCAGAGCTTACTGCAGCCTCCAACTCCTGGGCTCAAGGCATCCTCCTGCCTCAGGCTCCTGAGTAGCTAGGACTACAGGTGTGTGCAACAACACCCAGGTAAATTTTTTATTTTTTGTAGAGGTGGGGTTCTTACTATGTTGCCCAAGCTGGTCTAGAACTCCTGGCTTCAATCGATCCTCTCACCTCAGCCTCCCAAAGTTCTGGTATTATAGGCATGAGCCACTGCACCCAGGCTCTTTGCCCACTTTTTAATGGAGTTATTTGCTTTTTTTTTTTTTCGTTGTTCGAGTTCCTTGTACATTCTGGATATTAGTCCCTCATTGAATACATAACATGCAACTACTTTTTCCCTTTCTTTAAGTTGTCTTTTCACTCTATTGATTATTTTGCTGTGCAGAAACTTTTTAGTTTAATTTTTTCATATCCTCTGTGAGACTAATACCACCTGTGAGATCTTACAAGCCAGATACTGAGCCAATTTTTTTGAGAGGGCTTTGTGTGGTCTTTTTGTCCACAAGGGCAATGCATGTTCTTTAAGAGTGGGTGGATCACCTGAGGTCAGGAGCTCAAGACCAGCCTGGTCAACATGGTGAAACCCCGTCTCTACTAAAAATACAAAAAAATAAGCTGGGCACGATGGCGGGTGCTTGTAATCCCAGCTACTGTAGAGGCTGATGCTTGAACCAGGGAGGTGGAGGTTGCAGTGAGCCAAGATCATGCCACTGCACTCCAGCCTGGGCGACAGAGTGAGAGTCTGTCTCAAAAAAAAAAAAAAAAAAAAAGGTTCCAAGATTGCCGAATAGGAACAGCCTCAGTCTACAGCTCCCAGCGTGAGTGATGCAGAAGATGGCTGATTTCTGCATTTCCAACTGAGATACCGGGTTCATCTCACTGGGGCTTGTCGGACAGTGGGTGCAGCCCATGGAGCAGGGTGGGACATCACCTCATCTGGGAAGCACAAGGGGTCAGGGAATTCCCTTTCCTAGCCAAGGGAAGTCGTGACAGACGGTACCTGGAAAATCAGGACACTCTCACCCTAATACTGCGCTTTTCCAATGGTCTTAGCAAATGGCACACCAAGAGATTATATCCTGCGCCTGGCTCGGAGGGTCCCACGCCCACGGAGCCTCACTCACTGCTAGCACAGCAGTCTGAGATCAAACTGCAAGGCGGCAGCGAGGCTGGGGGAGTGGTGTCCACCATTGCTGAGGCTTGAGTAGGTAAACAAAGTGGCTGGGAAGCTCAAACTGGGTGGAGCCCACCACAGCTCAAGGAAGCCTGCCTGCCTCTGTAGACTCCACCTCTGGGGGCAGGGCATAGCTGAATAAAAGGCAGGAGAAACTTCTGCAGACTTAAATGTCCCTGTCTGACAGCTTTGAAGAGTAGTGGTTCTCCCAGCATGGAGTTTGAGATCTGAGAATGGACAGACTGCCTCCTCAAGTGGGTCCCTGACCCCGAGTAGCCTAACTGGGAGACACCTCCCAATAGGGGCCGACTGACACCTCATACAGCCAGGTGCCCCTCTGAGATGAAGCTTCCAGAGGAAGGATCAGGCAGCAACATTTACCATTCTGCAATATTTGCTGTTCTGCAGCCTCTGCTGGTAATACCCAGGCAAACAGAGTCTGGAGTGGACGTCCAGCAAACTCCAACAGACCTACAGCTGAGGGTCCTGACTGTTAGAAGGAAAACTAACAAACAGAAAGGACATCCACACCAAAACCCCATCTGTACGTCACCATCATCAAAGCCAAAGGTAGATAAAACCACAAAGATGGGGAGAAACCAGAGCAGAAAAGCTGAAAATTCTAAAAATCAGAGCGCCTCTTCTCCGCCAAAGGAACGCAGCTCCTCACCAGCAACAGAACAAAGCTGGATGGAGCATGAATTTGACGAGTTGAGAGAAGAAGGCTTCAGATGATCAGTAATAACAAACTTCTCCAAGCTAAAGGAGGATGTTCAAACCCATTGCAAAGAAGTTAAAAACCTTGAAAAAAGATTAGACGAATGGCTAACTAGAATAACCAGTGTAGAGAAGACCTTAAATGACCTGATGGATCTGAAAACCATGGCACAAGAACTACGTGATGCATGCACAAGCTTCAGTAGCAGATTTGATCAACTGGAAGAAAGGGTATCAGTGATTGAAGATCAAATGAATGAAATGAAGCAAGAAGAGAAATTTAGAGAAAAAAGAGTAAAAAGAAACAAACAAAGCCTCCAAGAAATATGGGACTATGTGAAAAGACCAAATCTATGTCTGATTGTTGTAACTGAAAGTGACAGGGAGAATGGAACCAAGTTGGAAAATACTCTGCAGGATATTATCCAGGAGAACTTCCCCAACCTAGCAAGGCAGGCCAACATTCAAATTCAGGAAATAGAGAGAACGCCACAAAGATACGCCTCGAGAAGAGCAACTCCAGGACACATAATTGTCAGATTCACCAAAGTTGAAATGAAGGAAAAAATGTTAAGGGCAGCCAGAGAGAAAGGTTGGGTTACCCACAAAGAGAAGCCCATCAGACTAACAGCTGATCTCTCGACAGAAACTCTACAAGCCAGAAGAGACTGGGGGCCAATATTCAACATTCTTAAAGAAAAGAATTTTCAACCCAGAATTTCATATCCAGCCAAACTAAGCTTCATAAGTGAAGGAGAAATAAAATCCTTTACAGACAAACAAATGCTGAGAGATTTTGTCACCACCAGGCCTGCCTTACAAGAGCTCCTGAAGGAAGCACTAAACATGGAAAGGAACAACCAGTACCAGCCACTGCAAAAACATGCCAAATTGTAAAGACCATTGATGCTAGGAAGAAACTGCAGCAACTAACGAGCAAAATAACCAGCTAACATCATAATGACAGGATCAGATTCACACATATCAATATTAACCTTAAATGTAAATGGGCTAAATGCTCCAATTAAAAGACACAGACTGGCAAATTGGATAAAGAGTCAAGACCGGCCGGGCGCGGTGGCTCACGCCTGTAATCCCAGCACTTTGGGAGGCCGAGGCGAGTGGATCACTAGGTCAGGAGGTCGAGACCATCCTGGCTAACACGGTGAAACCCCGTCTCTACTACAAATACAAAAAAAAATTAGCTGGGCGTGGTAGCGGGCGCCTGTAGTCCCAGCTACTTGGGAGGCTGAGGCAGGAGAATGGGGTGAACCCAGGAGGCGGAGCTTGCAGTGAGCCAAGATAGCGCCACTGCAGTCCAGCCTGGGTGAAAGAGCGAGACTCTGTCTCAAAAAAAAAAAAAAAAAAAAAAAAGAGTCAAGACCCATCAGTGTGCTGTAGTGCTGTATTCAGGAGACCCATCTCATGTGCAGAGACACATAAAGGCTCAAAATAAAGGGATGGAGGAAGATCTACCAAGAAAATGGAAAACAAAAAAAAGCAGGGGTTGCAATCCTAGTCTCTGATAAAACAGACTTTAAACCAACAAAGATCAAAAGAGACAAAGAAGGCCATTACATAATGGTAAAGGGATCAATTCAACAAGAAGAGCTAACTATCCTAAATATATATGCACCCCATACAGGAGCACCCAGATTCATAAAGCAAACCCGTAGAGACCTAGAAAGAAACTTAGAGTTCCACACAATAATAATGGGAGACTTTAACGCCCCACTGTCAACATTAGACAGATCAACGAGACAGAAAGTTAACAAGGATATCCAGGAACTGAACTCAGCTCTGCAACAAGCGGAACTAATAGACAACTACAGAACTCTCCACCCCAAATCAACAGAATATACATTCTTCTCAGCACCACATCGCACTTATTCCAAAATTGACCACATAGTTGGAAGTAAAGCACTCCTCAGCAAACGTAAAAGAACAGAAATTATAACAAACTGTCTCTCAGACCACAGTGCAATCAAACTAGCACTCAGGATTAAGAAACTCACTCAAAACTGCCCAACTACATGGAAACTGAACAACCTGCTCCTGAATGACTACTGGGTACATAACGAAATGAAGGCAGAAATAAAGATGTTCTTTGAAACCAAAGAGAACAAAGACACAACATACCAGAATCTCTGGGACGCATTCAAAGCAGTGTGTAGAGGGAAATTTATAGCACTAAATGCCCACAAGAGAAAGCAGGAAAGATCTAAAACTGACATCCTAACATCGCAATTAAAAGAACTAGAGAAGCAAGAGCAAACACATCCAAAAGCTAGCAGAAGGCAAGAAATAACTAAGATCAGAGTAGAACTGAAGGAGATAGAGACACAAAAAAACCCTTCAAAAAATCAATGAATCCAGGAGCTGGTTTTATGAAAAGATCAACAAAATTGATAGACTGTTAGCAAGACTAATAAAGAAGAAAAGAGAGAAGAATCAAATAGACGCAATAAAAAATGATAAAGGGGATATCACCACCGATCCCACAGAAATACAAACTACCATCAGAGAATACTATAAACACCTCTACACAAATAAACTAGAAAATCTAGAAGAAATGGATAAATTCCTGGACATATACACCCTCCCAAACTAAACCAGGAAGAAGTTGAATCCCTGAATAGACCAATAACAGGCTCTGAAATAGAGGCAATAATTAATAGCCTACCAACCAAAAAAAGTCCAGGACCAGATGGATTCACAGCCGAATTCTACCAGAGGTACAAAGAGGAGCTGGTGCTATTCCTTCTGAAACTATTCCAGTCAATAGAAAAAGAGGGAATCCTCCCTAACTCATTTTATGAGGCCACCATCATCCTGATACCAAAGCCTGGCAGAGACACAACCAAAAAAATAGAATTTTAGACCAATATCCCTGATGAACATCGATGCAAAAATCCTCAATAAAATACTGGCAAACCAAATCCAGCAGCACATCAAAAAGCTTATCCACCATGATCAAGTGAGCTTCATCCCTGGGATGCAAGGATGGTTCAACATACACAAATCAATAAACGTAATCCAGCATATAAACAGAACCAAAGACAAAAACCACATGATTATCTCAATAGATGCAGAAAAGGCCTTTGACAAAATTCAACAGCCCTTCATGCTAAAAACTCTCAATAAATTAGGTATTGATGGGCCGTATCTCAAAATAATAACAGCTATGTATGACAGACCCATAGCCAGTATCATACTGAATGGGCAAAAACTGGAAGCATTCCCTTTGAAAACTGGCACAAGACAGGGATGCCGTCTCTCACCACTCCTATTCAACATAGTGTTGGAAGTTCTGGCCAGGGCAATCAGGCAGCAGAAAGAAATAAAGGGTATTCAATTAGGAAAAGAGGAAGTCAAACTGTCCCTGTTTGCAGATGACATGATTGTATATCTAGAAAACCCCACTGTCTCAGCCCAAAATCTCCTTAAGCTGATAAGCAACTTCAGCAAAATCTCAGGATACAAAATCAATGTGCAAAAATCACAAGCATTCCTATACACCAATAAAAGACAAACAGAGAGCCAAATCATGAGTGAACTCCCATTCACAATTGCTTCAAAGAGAATAAAATACCTAGGAATCAAACTTACAAGGGATGTGAAGGACCTCTTCAAGGAGAACTACAAACCACTGCTCAATGAAATGAAAGAGGACACAAACAAATGGAAGAACATCCCATGCTCATGGATAGGAAGAATCAATATCGTGAAAATGGCCATACTGCCCAAGGTAATTTATAGATTCAATGCCATCCCCATCAAGCTACCAATAACTTTCTTCACAGAATTGGAAAAAACTACTTTAAAGTTAATATGGAACCAAAAAAGAGCCTGCATCACCAAGACAATCCTAAGCCAAAAGAGCAAAGCTGGAGGCATCACACTACCTGACTTCAAACTATACTACAAGGCTACAGTAACCAAAACAGCATGGTACTGGTACCAAAACAGAGATATAGACCAATGGAAAAGAACAGAGCCCTCAGAAATAATACCACACATCTACAACCATCTGATCTTTGACAAACCTGACAAAAATAAGAAATGGGGAAAGGATTCCCTATTTAATAAATGGTACTGGGAAAACTGGCTAGCCATATGTAGAAAGCTGAAACTGGATCCCTTCCTTACACCTTATACAAAAATTAATTCAAGATGGATTAAAAACTTAAATGTTACACATAAACCATAAAAACCCTGGAAGAAAACCTAGGCAATACCATTCAGGACATAGGCATGGGCAAGGATCTCATGACTAAAACACCAAAAGCAATGGCAACAAAAGCCAAAATTGACAAATGGGATCTAATTAAACTAAAGAGGTTCTGCACAGCAAAAGAAACTACCATCAGAGTGAACAGACAACCTACAGAATGGGAGAAAATTTTTACAATCTACCCATCTGACAAAGGGCTAATATCCAGAATCTACAAATAACTTAAACAAATTTACAAGAAAAAAATCAAACAACCCCATCAAAAAGTGGGCAAAGGATATGAACAGACACTTCTCAAAAGAAGACATTTATGCAGCCAACAGACACATGAAAAAACGCTTATCATCACTGGCCATCACAGAAATGCAAATAAAAACCACAATGAGATACCATCTCACACCAGTTAGAATGGCGATCATTAAAAAGTCAGGAAACAACAGGTGCTGGAGAGGATGTGGAGAAATAGGAACACTTTTACACTGTTGGTGGGACTGTAAACTAGTTCAACCATTGTGGAAGACAGTGTGGCGATTCCTCAAGGATCTAGAACTAGAAATACCATTTGACCCAGCCATCCCATTACTGGGTATATACCCAAAGGATTATAAATCATGCTGCTATAAAGACACATGCACATGTATGTTTACTGTGGCACTATTCACAATAGCAAAGACTTGGAACCAATCCAAATGTCCATCAATGATAGACTGGATTAAGAAAATGTGGCATATATACAACATGGAATACTATGCAGCCATAAAAAAGGAAGAGTTCATGTCCTTTGTAGGGACATGGATGAAGCTGGAAACCATCATTCTCAGCCAACTATGGCAAGGACAGAAAACCAAACACTGTATGTTCTCACTCATAGGTGGGAATTGAACAATGAGAACACTTGGACACAGGGTGGAGAACATCACACACTGGGGACTGTCGTGGGGTGGGGGGAGGGGGAGGGATAGCATTAGGAGATATACCTAATGTAAATGATGAGTTAATGAGTGCAACAAACCAACATGGCACATGTATACATATGTAACAAACCTGCACATTGTGCACATGTACCCTAGAACTTAAAGTATAATTTTAAAAAAAAGTGGGCTTGATATACCTAATTACCTGATTTGATGAGAATCATTTGCAAATATGATATTCTAGATATGGCCATGGTTACACAAACAATTTGTCCAGTTATATCTGGGTAAAGGGAGGACAGATTGTTATTGAATCTAGGAACGTAACTTTATAACATTGCTTTGAAAAGTAAGAAAACTCAAGTAAAAGTATCTGTTTCTGCATTCTGAGAGGCCAGTGAGAATCAGATACGATTAAAATATTTCATTTTAGTTTACAGATGTATAGTCTACTAAATTGAGAATTAGAAAGAGCTTAAGTAATAAATAGGGCATCCTTACACACAATTGCAATTCACATTTAAAAATTATTGCAGTAATTTTCCAATGAAATAACAATAGGATTTTCTTCCTCAGTCCTATACGATGAATTTTGTTTCGTTAGGTCTCAGGTCAGCAATTTGCTTTTGCAAGAGTCCTGAAAATCCTGACTCAGTTCATGATATAGACTGTGAGTTGTTTAAGCCATGGTAGCTCTAGCTGGGTGCCGTGGCTCACACTTGTAATCCCAGAGCTTTGGGAGGCCGAGGTGGGAGGATCGCTTGAGGCCAGGAGTTTGGGACCAGCCTGGGGAACATAGTGAGAACCTATCTCGGCAAAAATAAAAATTAAAATATTAGCGGGGCTTAGTGGCACGTGCCTGTAGTCCTAGCCCCCTCAGGATTATTACTGCTGAGGTGGGAGGATCACTTGAGCCCAGGAGTTCAAGGCTGCAGTGAGCAATGATCCTGCCACTGTACTCCAGCCTACGCAACAGAGACACTGTGTCCAAAAAAAAAAAAGGCTATTCTTTGAAATTTCAATAGTTCAGAGTACCTGTTACATTATCCTTTCCAAGAGGCTCTGTGATTCCTTTTCTTTGTTGAAGACAGTGATTTGAGCTTCTTCAGGCAAATACCAGGAAGTAGAAAGCCATTTGATAATGAGACTACAGGCTGTGGTTACTTTATCACAGTGCTAATAATATCAGAATTTTCTATTTGAGTGCAGTAAAACCCTATTTTATAAGGGTTTGATCAATGCTTCCTCTAAGGATACGAATGTATTATGGCAGTATAGGCATTGACTGAATCCTAGGGTTTTCCCATAAAATGTGTAATCTCTGGAATATTTATATTAATAACATTATACTCAATTTAACCTTAGGAAGGCTGAGTATCTTTTCTGATTTAATGATTATTTTCATGTAACTTTTACAATAGCATAGTTAAGAAATATGGAAGAAACAATATATTTCTAGCATTTTTTCTTTTATAGGGTAAATAACACATCTTCGATTTTCCAAGGGCCCACTGGAGAACCTAAAATATCTCTTTAAATGCAAAAAAAAAGCTTGAAATTTTATTTTATGTTTTCTTCAACTTAGGTCCTATCTTGGGAAAGTGAAACCAAAATAGTTGCCAAAGATTAGGACAATTGATTCAGTCAGGATGATCGGTGCTCGAGAAACAATATTTGTTTCTCTATTTAATCAAAGTGTCAATAAAATATTTTAAAATAATTATTTAAGAAAGTAACTCAATTGTAAAAAATGTCATCTTTTTTTACAGGTGAAGGATCTGTGTTGGATATGTTGTTATTTTACATAATAATTCAAACAAAGCAGAGAAAACTATCTTGGTGATATAGGAAATTACCTACAGAAGATAAATAATAATCTTTATTGCCTCTTGTTAGGAGCTCTAAGGCAAGTTAATCATTTTAAGGCAGAAAAATCCATATTCTAGTTTTGCATTTATATAATATTTGGCATTAAAGTTTCAACATATTTTCTCATATATAAACTCATCAAAAATGAGCCAGCTTTGGCAAAATTTTAATACGTTTCTTTGCTTTTTTATGCTCAAATATTACAAACCAAGGCAAATAAAAACTACCTTTCTTAAAACCTTTTACAATTTTCTATAACCATTAAGATTTTGTCTTTCACTAACCTGTTTGACATTCTGAAACCACCTGATCTTTAAGGCAAAATTACCCCTTTTCTCTTGATAAACAAAACTATATCCCATTACCTTACATATGCAGGTATATTTATCTTCCATTATTGCTCCTAGTACAGTCTCAACTTACCATATTAATTATAACCTTTAAGGAAGAAAATGTACTTCTATTTCACAGAAAAACTGAGAGGTCTATAATTTCAGAACTCTCTTTCAAATACTTTAGCAGACTAAGAAAACTCATTACCTGCAGCCCCACACATCATTTTTATACCTTCTTAAAAATGACACAAATGAACATGTTCATTAATGTTACCCAAAGATATTGTGACTGTAAGGAATATAAAAATAATGAGAAATAAAAAATAATCAATGAAAGCATATAAACGTAAAATTATGTTTAGTAATCAATGTTTAAGTATTCAATTTTATTTAGAAATTATCTAGGCATTGACATGATACAGGACATGCTACCCCAAAATATGACACTGTGGAAACTGAGAAAACAGTAGAAGCAAAAAGGTCACCATCTGACTTTCTTCTGCTTTTCTGTGTGAGAGTTGGCTATAAAAGAATTTTCTGACCTACCTCCCCTGAAAGTAGTTCATAAGACCCTATGTGACAGGTGTCCTGCCCTATACCTGGAGGGAAGGAATGTTACACAGAGAGGCCAAAAAGAATCTGAAAAAACAGTCCTTTCAAAGTTTTCCCTAGTTTAATATCCTTAAGTAATATCCCATTTTTGTCCAATCACACTTCTTCATTTAACCTAAGCATAAATATACAGTTTTCCCTGGGCCTTGGGTTCTTCATTTATGAAGGCTTCTGTGTCACATAAAACTTTGGTTAAATAAAGCTGATATGCTTTTCTCTTGTTAATTTGT
Source organism: Homo sapiens (assembly GCF_000001405.40). Lineage (NCBI taxonomy): Eukaryota > Metazoa > Chordata > Mammalia > Primates > Hominidae > Homo > Homo sapiens. The sequence continues at coordinate 28,143,522 of NC_000023.11, read as the reverse complement.
CTTTTTTTATAGGCATGTCAGCCGTGAACCTTGCACTGTGTGAAGGAAATATATTACTTTTTCTCCCCTGCAGCATCTAATCATTATGCATTAATTAACTCAATTTAATATTAATCTAAATTTGTAAATCATCTAAGGATCTTGGAAATTTTATTTAAACAGAAACACTACAAAACATAATTACCACTGATATAAAAATGAGTAAAATAATGATTCAACTTAGCTAAACACAAATTAATTTTCTTCATAATCTTAAATGTTTTCTGGGAGTAACATGATTTGATTCATAATATGGTATAAGAAGTCTAGAAGTTCAGATTACCTCATCACTTTAAGACAAAGCAAACCCAAATCTAAGAAAAACAAATACAAAATCAAAACGCTTGTGCTACATACAGTACTGTTGTTAGACTCAACAAAAATAGTTACTACTTATTATTGAACCAAAACTACTAAACCAGTCTAATTTGTCCAAAGATTCAACTTAATTATGTAAACTTGGATATAAAATGTTTCTGAGCTAGCAATTCCTTTAGAGATATCAGGTCAGGATTTTTACAAACTGATTTTCTGTGATTTTGAGGGAGGATATTAAATTTGTATATGTGGTCACTTATCTCTAAAAACAAATCAGAATAGTAGTTTTTTAAGTTTAAGGGACATAATAACTTATTAATACTCCATGGAACTAGGAAAATATCTCACACTCACATCATGAAAGGTATGTCCTTTTATCAAGTACAGATGCACAGACACAAAGAGAGCCTACAGCTTCTGTTATATAACTTCAGCCACAGATCAACATTAAACACCAAAACCTCTCAGTTAAAATCTCAAAGAGCTTTCTACCTTCCTAATAGGCATAAAACTCTTAATTAATTTAAGCTCACAGGTAGACAAAAAAAAAAAAAAGAAAACGATTAACCATATTCTCTGTCATCTCTCACACAGAAGAGAATAAATCTCTATTATTCATCTGACACGTATCACCAAATGGTCTATAAAACCAATTTCTAACCATTGCTGCCAGCAAGGGAACATAACTTGTTAGCTGAGTAAAAAGCAGAAACAAATATAAAAATATAAAATCAATAGAAAGGGGAAAAAAGCAACTTAGAAAAATAAAGAGTCAGTAAAATGAAAGTTTTATTGCCCCTTGGGATTCACTCCAGGAGCCAAGGAAAGACAAGCCTAGGTTTAACCAGCCCAAGAGGTTTAGTTTACTTGGCTCCAAAAGGCGGGACCACTGTGGAATCTCAGAGAAACCTCAAATATGGTTAAAATGTAATTTTCAAAAATGTAAAATCATGAAACTAAGAAACATTTAAAATGAAAAATGCTAAAGATATTTAATTTATTAAATAGTGAAGAACCTGTAAGATAATAAAAATAAAAGCCCAAAAAGCATTTTAACAGTTAAGTATACAGGCAATTTAACAAAGAAATGCTTGAGTTAGACTGTTGGGTTACATACAAAACTGGTTAATGTTTAACTGGCCCATAAACCCTTGAGGGTGGTCTGTTTCAATGGATAGAAATTACTTTAATCTCTACCAGATAAAAAATATAAAAGTTTATCTCTGCTCCAGTGACTTGTAAAATAGCCCAGACAATAGGAAGTCAAGGCCAGTAGTCTCTTTTTCCTATTTTCTAATTTCACAGAGCTTTCCTGATGAGTTTCTCTTATGTTTCCTCCACTGTTTGAGAGCAGAGTTAACAATTTCAGGTAAGAGGATGATGATGAGGTAACTGTCTCTACCTAAAGCAAAGTTTCCAAGACTCCATGTGGATTTTAAAGAACAATTTAAAGCATGTGTGGAATCCCATCACACAACAGTTATTAGAGCTACCAATTCGCTGAGCAAATTAAAGGAATAATAAATCATTTATAAATTAACTTACTCTCCGTTAAGTTAAAGAAAGTTAAAGAAAGAAAGAAATTATAACAGTTCCAAAACATCAAGTAAAGTTTGATTACACCATGAATGTACCTTCCCTGGACCCAATAACGTTAAGAAAAATAATATAATCCCATAAATTGTTTCTTCAGAAAATTTATGCATCCAAATGTTAATCTCCTCACACCATACTCCCCTACAATGACACCGGTGCTTGTTAAGAACATCTAGAAAATGACAAATACCTTCAGGTTCTATACCATTTCCCAGAAGCTTCTGTCCCCCTTTCTTTGACCACCACCAGTTTTCAAAGGTAATCAGAATAGAAAAGAAAAATGTGAGTAGAACACTTAGTATCCAACTCTCATATAGAAAGTGAGACAAACAGGTCACAGACATAGTGAGAAAGAATCAAGGATACTTTACACACATTAAACCAGAGCCAATAATGTTCATGGCGCTTTCCACCTTACTTAAAAATAAGATGTAAAGAAATATCATGCCAATTACAGTAGGCCCCCTTATCTTAGGTTTTGCTTCCTGTGGTTTGTTGTACACAGTCAGCCTCAGTCTGAAAATATTAAGATATTTTGAGAGAGAGAGAGAGAGAGACCATATTCATGTAACTTTTATTACAGTGTATCATTAAACCTGTGCTATTTTATTATTAGTTATTGTTGTTAGTCTTTCACTGTGCCTAATATATAAACTTTATCTCATATATATATATATATATATACACACACACACACCTATGATATAAATATATTTAAATATATTATTTAGGTATAAGTATATACATACATAACATAGTATGTGTACTCACATACACACTCTATGTTTTTTTCCTTTCTATATAGAGGAAAAAATATAGTGTATATAGGATTCATTCCTATACACAGCTTCAGACATCCACTGGGAATCCTGTAATGCCCCCACGTAATCCCCTCCATGTAGAACTACTACATGCCAAAATGAAAAAAAAAAAGTGAAATACAGAAGCATAATACGAAAAAGGCACGAGAGAAAAAAAGACAGGAACAGAAATCATGACCTAACCAAACAAGCTAACAGAATCCCCAGAATAAATGATTTGCACTACAGAAGAATTGAAATAAATACATTCAGTGAAAACGAAGACATTAAAAATAAGATGATAAAATGATGGAAAGAGATTATAAGGGCGAAATGGCAGTTCAAACTCACATTCTGACGGAATAAACAAATGAATCATAAGCAGCTGATGAGAGACTAAATATAGCAAGTTGTTGGTAACAAAGTAGAACATCCTGTTATAATCACAAATAATAAAATTAAAAAGATAAAAAGATTTTAGAGATAAATCTTGATTTGTATTTCTGGAATTATGGAAAAGATATATTTTTCCTTAGTCCTTCTGCTACTTACAGCTAAAATTCGTGAACATTATATACAAAACGTATATAAGGAAACTCTGAAACATGGAAAGAAACAGACTGCCTACAGACCTCAGGACTCAAGGAATGACACAGTGGTGCCCTGGATTTTCTTTTTGCCTTAAGTAAGTGCCTTGGGTTTTCTTTTTGCCTTATATATACCAGACTGGGTAATAAAGAAGCTGGTAAGCCAGAAATGCTAATGGGCTCAAAAATAAATAAATAAATACAACAAGAAATGCCTCTGTCTTTAGCTAAAGAATGAAATAAGTGGCAGCCTAGCAGGAAATAATTTTTTTTTAGACAAAAATTGTTCTACTCCAGCCAAACACCACAGAAAAAAATACAGCCCCACCCCAAACTAGAATTCCATTCTTGCCTGGCTGTAGCAGGGCACCTGACCCCCTCCCTGTCCCCAACATGGTTATGTCAGGAAAGGCTAGGTGGGAAGCCAGGACGTCTATATTCAGGCAGTGACAAGATATCCCTCCCCCTCCTCATTGGCATTGTGTCAGAGGAGGCCTAGTGGAAAGCCAGGACTTTACCACTCGGTGGTGAGGAGGCCATGCCCCTGCAATGTAAGTGTGAGAAAGCAGTAATGAGGCATGCTCCCATTCCAAGCCAGGCTTGTATAAAGAGAGGCCTAGTGGGGAGTCTGAACTCCAACCCAACTTAGCAATAACAGGGTGCCCTTCATAATCAGGTGGTATGTATCAGGCTAAGTGGAGAACCCGGACTCTCTCTCCCCACGTGGCAGTAACAAGGTGGTGCCTCCCTTCCTCTGCAGGAGGAGGCCTACTAAAACACAAGATTTAAATAAATAAGATTCAGTCTCATAACAAAATCCAAATGTCTACATTTTTATCAAAAATTACTTTTTATGTCAATGACTAATATCTAAAATTAATAATCTAAAACCTAACCACAAAAATATGGAAAAGAGCAAAAGAAGCACAAAGAAAGCACAAGGAAGGAAAGGGAAGAAAAGTCACAAATCAATGAAATTGAAAACAGGGAAATGGGGAAAATCAATGAAACAAAAAGCTGGTTCTTTGGAAAAAGTCAATGAAATTAATAAACCTCTAGTAATTCTGACAAAGATTAAAAAGTGAGAAGACACACAGATATCAATATCAGAAATGAATCAGGAAACATCACTACATATTCTAAAGCCATTTTAAAAAGGCAATAAGAAAAAACTGCAAACACATTTTATGTTCATAAGTTTGGCAACTTCGAAAAAAACAGATCAATTCCTCAAAAACCCTAAACTACCAAAACTCAATCAAGAAGAATTAAACAACCTGAATAGTCCCTACACACATTAATGAAACTGAATTTGTGATTCTAAACTCTTAAAAAGAAATATCCAGGACCAGATTGTTTTGCTGGAGAAGTATAATATTTAAAGAAGAATCAATACCAATTTTACACAGTCTTCCATAAAATACAAGAGGAGGGCATACTTTGCCAACTCGTTTTATGAGGCCAGTATTACCTTGACACCAAAAGCAAAGACAGTACAAAAAAGATGACTATGGACCAATTTCTATCATGAATTTAAACACAAATATCTTCAACTACATATTAGCAAATATAATCCAGCAATGTATAAAAGGATTGTACACCGTAACTAAGTAGATGTTAGTATTGAAGGCTGGCTCAACATTCGAAAATTAATCAATGTAATGCACCATATCACAAGCTAAATAAGAAAAATCATATGACCATATAAATTGGTTCAGAAAAAGCATTTGACAAAACCCAACACTGTTCAGGATAAAAGCTATCAGCAAACTAGGAATAGAGAGGAACTTCCTTAATTTGCTAAAGAACATCTACTAAAACCCACAGCTACTATTATATTTAATGATGAAATTCTGAATGCTGCCCCACTAGGAACAAAAACAAGGCTGAGATGTCTCCTCTCAGGCCTGCTATTCAACATAGTGTTGTAAGCTTTAGCCAGCACAATAAACAAAGAACAGAAAATAACTAACAAAGGAAGAAATAAAACAGTTGCTATTTCCAGATAATACGATGATTTATATTTAAATTCCCAAGAAATATATTCCCAAGAAATTCCCAAGAAATAATTATTGGGAATTTATATGTAAACAAAAACAAAAACACAGACAAAAGGAATATCACAGATAAAATGTTTTAAAGTTAAAAAACAATAGTTCTGCCAGGCACATGGGTGACTCATACCTGTAATCCCAGCACTTTGGGAGGCCGAGGCAGGAGGATCACTTGAGGCCAGGAGTTTGAGACCAGCCTGGCCAACATAGTGAGTGTGTTGGCACACGCTTGTGATCCCAGCTACTCGGGAGGCTAAGGCATGAGAATCGCTTCAACCTGGGAGGAGGAGGTTGCAGTGAGCTGAAATTGTGCCACTGCACTCCAGCCTGGGCAACAGAGTGAGACTCCATCTCAAAAAAAAAAAAAAAACAAAAGAAAAAACAATAGTTTCTAGAACTAATAAGTGAGTCCAGAAAGGTCACAGGATACAAGGTCAACATATAAAAACCAATCGTATTTTTATATACTACCAATAAGCACACAGAGACCAAAGTATTGATATTGTCCAAAAATACAATACAATTGACAATTGCTTAAAAAGTAACATATTAAAATTTAAATCTAACAAAACATGTAAAAGATTTGTGTACTGAAAACTATAAAATACTGGTGAGGAAACTGAAGGAAGATCTAAATTACTGTAGAGAAATATTACATTCACAAATTGGAAGAGTCAACATAATAAAGATGTCAATTCTCCCCAAATTGATATACAGGATTAATGCATTTCCTATCACGATTCCAGCAAGATTTTTTGTAGCTGTAGGTAAGTGCATTCTAAAATGTATATCAAATGGCAAGAGGACTAGAATAAGTAAAACTTTTATTTTTTTTTATTATACTTTAAGTTCTAGGGCACATGTGTACAACGTGCAGGTTTGTTACATATGTATACATGTGCCATGTTGGTGTGCTGCACCCATTAACTCGTCATTTACATTAGGTATATCTCCTAATGCTTTCCCTCCCCACTTCCTCCACCCCACAACTGGCGCTGGTGTGTGATGTTCCCCTACCTGTGTCCAAGTGTTCTCATTGTTCAATTCCCACCTATGAGTGAGAACATGCAGTGAAGTAAAACTTTTTTTAAAAAAAAGATGAAAATAGGAGGAATTAGTCTACCCAGTTTAAAGACTTATTATATACCTACAGTAATGAAACCTGTTTTATGTTGGTGGAAGGACAGAAACATAAGTCAATGGAACTACTGGCTAGAGAACCCAGAAATAGCCATACATGAATATACTCAACTGACTTTTAAAAAATAACAGAAACAATTCAATGGAGGAAAGATAGTTTTTCATTGAATAGTGTTGGAACAATCAGACATCCCTAGGCAAAAAATAATAATAATAAAAATGAAAATAGAAATGAATCTTAATCTTAGTTTCACACTTTATATAAAAATTAATTCAAAACTAAACATAGGCTGGGTGCAGTGGCTCATACCTGTAATCCCAGTACTTTGGGAGGCTTAGGTGGGAGTGTTGCCAGAGGCTAAGTCTAAGACCAGCATGGGAAACATAGCGAGAACCTGTCTCTACAAATAGTAGGAAAATTAGCTGGGCACAGTGGTGTTTGCCTGTAGTCCCTCCCAGCTACTTAGGAGGCTGAGGGAGGTGAGAGGATTGCTTGAACCCAGGAGTTTGAGGCTGCAGTGAACTATGACCACGCTGCTTCACTCCAGCCTGGGTGACAGAGTGAGACCATGTCTCTAAAAATGCATATAAATAATAAATAAATGTAAAACATGAACCTATAAAGCTATTAGAAAATAACATAGGTGAATATCTTTAGGACCTAAAGCTTGATAAAGGCTTCTTAGACTTGACATCAAAAGCATGATCATTTAAAAAAAATTTAATTTGACTTTATCAAAATTAAGTTTTATTCTCTATAAAAGATTCCATAAAGAAGATGAAAAGACAATGTACTGACCAGAAGAAAATACTTGGAAATCACACATGAGAAAGGATTCATATCTAGAATATATAAAGAATGCTCAAAACTCACTCAACAACAAAAAATCAAAACATTCCATTTGCAAATCGGAAGAAGATATGAAGAGATATCTCACCAAAGAGTATATATGGGTGACAAATAAACCCTTGAAAAGATGTTTGACATCACTAACCATTAGGAAAATGCAAATTGAAATCACAATGAGATATAATTACATACCTATCGGAATGAATAAACGAGAAAAAAAGTGAAAACACTAAGTGCTGCCAAGTATGTGGAGAAGCTGGATTACTCATACGTTGCTGGTGGGAATATAAATAATGGTATAGTCACTCTGAAAAAATTGTTCAGCATTTTCTTCAAAAAATAAGTATACAACTATCATAGAACCCAGCAATTTCACTGCTGGGCGTTTATCTCAGAGGAATGAAATTTTATGTCCACGCAAAAAACCAGTACACATTTTTTCATAGCAATTTTATTTGTAATAGCTGAAAACTAAAAACAACCAAAATGTTCCTCAAAAGATAAATAATTATACAAACTGTGGTAATCCATAGCATTGCACAATAAGAAAGGAACAAATGATTATGTACACAACAAATTGGATGGATCTCAAGGGCATTATGCTGAGTAAAAAATGCCGACCTCAAAAGATCAGATACTGTTTTATTCCATTTATATAATATTCTCAGAGTGACAAAGTATAGAAATGGAAAACAGATTAGTGCTTGCCAGGGTTTAGGGATGGTGGGAGGAATGGTGTTGGTGTTAGTATAAAGAAGTAGCACACAGAAGATTTTTGTGGTGATGAAATAGTTCTGAATCTTGATTGCAGTAGTGATTACACGAATCTATATAAGTGAGAAATGGCTTAGAATTCTATACACACATTATACCAATGCCAATTTTCTAGTTTTGATATCATACTATAATTATGTTAGGTGCTACCATTGTGGAGAACTGGGTGAAGGAGATATTTTCTTTACAACTTCCTGTGACTCTATGATTATATCAAAAGAAAACTTCTTTTTTGACAGTATCTAACTCTGTTGCCCAGGATGGAATGCAGTGGCACAATCTCGGCTCACAGCAGTCTTAAATTCCTGGGCTCAAGCAATCCTCAGACCTCAGCCTCCCAAGTAGGTGGGACTACAGGTGCATATCACCAAGCCTAGCTATTAAAAAAATTTTTTTTTTCTAGAGGTGGGAATCTCACTGTGTTGCTCAGGCTGGTTTTGAACTCCTGGCCTCAAGTGAATCCCAGAGTGCTGGGATTACAGGTGTAAGCCACCACACCTGGACACAAAAGAAAACATTTTTTTAAAAGGTCCTTAGAAGATAATTGTTCTCGGGGATAAATAGGCATGACCTCTGGGAAATAATAATTAGTATATCTTTAAAATGCCAGTAAATGGAACAGAAAAATAATTCTAAGGTGAAATTTAAAATATTTTATTTAAAAATAAAGAACCAATTAATATGTACAATAGTCTAAGGAAGATTGAAACAGAACAGATGAAAGCAACACATAGTAATGCTTTGGAATTTCAACAATAAGGTACAAAAATTTGTAGACAATATAGGTAAAAATCACGGCAAATCTGCCACGAAATTTGAATATCATGTTGCCTCAGTCTTCTTTAATATAGTATTCAGTGCATGAGGACAATAGAGGCATTACTACATATATTTCTGTGAAATAAAATACGAAAACCTAATTGTTACTCCAATATTAAAGTAACAGGCATTCTTAAACAGGTAGGAACCCATAAGCCCCTGCCTCATTTTCTTAAATGACAATAAAAAAAAGCAAACAAAAATTCTGATAACGTGAATCCTTGACCAATGATGTACCAGGAACCCTTTGAAAAACAATTAGTGGTAAGCTTCATATTCACTTTCAGGAGGCAGACATAACTCTATAATTGGGTATCTTATCTAGAAGGAGAGAAGAAAGAAGTGTGCCTAAATGTGCAACTGGTAATGAAGCAGCAGTCGCATATATTAGTCAGGCTCGGGGGATGTTTGGTTCTTTTTGTGGTTTAGAAAGTGTCCATGTTTTTGTCTGTGATCAAATATGATTGTGGAGTGGTCTTGTTTTTGTGTTAATTCCTCATGGTCACAGGGTGATCACGCTGATGATATTCTATGAAACTGTTGTGTTCATCTGGAGAACACCAAAACCTAGCTGTGAGTGTCAGGTCAGTTTCTGACTGGCAGGGGCTTTCCCGTTTCTCAGCACCAAGAACTGTGTTTGCCAAATCTCATCAGGTTATCAACAAAAGCTGAAACTTCTTTCTGTCACTTAAATATTTTTTCAGGAAATGCCAGACCAAAAAAAAAAAATCATAGTTGCTGATAACATAACCTATGCTATTGTAGACTTCGTATGGAAACATTCCACCTCATCACAAAAAAACAGTTAAAGTTGTCAAAAAAAAAAAGATAAAGCTAAGGCTAAACGGTCTTTAGGAATATAGTTACATAAGATAGAAATTAGAAAGTTTGATAAAATAAAAGAAAGACAAAACATGAAAAAATAGGTGTTGGCGGAGGATCAAAGAAGGGATGGTGGGAGGATGCAAAAGTACACAGATTTCCTGGTCTTTCTGGGAAGGATAATACCTAAGTTTCTGTATTAACAACTAGAGCTCCAAGTATATTATATAAATTTCAAAAGGACATCTTTATAAAAACTAGAATAGACTTTAAACATTCCATATTGGAGTAGAATCATGTGTACACACATATGCATACAAACACAAGAAACAAAAGAGAAGTTATAGAGAGCATGTTTATATGCCCCAGTTTATGCCTGATTTCCTCACATAATTATTAATGGTGCCTCCTTTTACTTTTAATGAAGTCCTGATTTGAATGATAAATTTTATGGTCAACTTTGTTATAGAGCAAACAAAAAGCAAAGATAGAACTAAAAAGAGAAATATATACTGTAAGAAATACAAATGCCAGAAGATGTTTTGAATCACTTCTGTTAAGACAATGACAAATCAATATTGATATCCAGATAAAAATGAATGATGGCCAGGCGCAGCGGCTCATGCCTGTAATCTCAGCACTTTGGGAGGCCAGTGCGGGTGGATCATGAGGTCAGGAGTTCAAGACCAGCCTGACCAACATGGTGAAACCCTGTCTCTACTAAAAATACAAAAATTAGCCGGATGTGGTGGTGCGCGCCTGTAATCCCAGCTTCTCAGGAGGCTGAGGCAGGAAAATCACTTAAACCCAGGAGATGGAGGTTGCAGTGAGCCGAGATCATGCAACTGCACTCCAGCCTGGGCAACAGAACGAGATTCCGTTTCAAAAAAAAAAAAAAGAATGGTTATCTAATCTAGATCAAACATAAATTTCCAGGGTTGACATAAGAAGAACCTAATAAGAATAAAAATGTGAATATTACCAAATATTATATTTGTCAGCTTCACATTCGAATTATTATTTCACATTTTCAAGGACATGATAGTATAATTCTAAACTAAAGTATAATTCTAACTTATTTAAAAATGTCCAGAGCAAATAGGAAGAAGGAAAGCACTCAAAATATTTTTAAAAGCCAACATACACATACAACAAAAAGTCTGATATAGTCCAAAAATAAGAAAAAAAGAAACAACTGTAATTGTAAACAATTGTCCCTTGTAATTTTGAACAAATATTAGTTAAATATTATAAAAATTTAATGATATTCAATTAATTTGAATCTTTCTATAATGTATACATAGACCAAAACGATCATATTATACTTCATAAATGTACATAATTATTATTTGTAAATTAAATATAAATAAAAAGAAAAAACAAAAAGTATATAACATCATAACTATATGGAATTCAACATGGAGAGTATATATACATCTCATAACTCATTCCAGATAAACAAAAACCAAAAAGTGTTTACTTAAAGCTATCACTTCTGATTTTTAAAAGTTTACTGAAAAGGGAGTGGATGATTATCTCACTGATACAAAAAAAAAGTATATATTTCAGACCCAAATCCAGCATCATGCTCATTTCTAGCAGCATTACTTTTACAGGCAGGAATGTGCTTTCTATCCACCATATCACTTAACATTACTATTGAGATGTTAATTGACACCATTTCTTTTTTAAAAAGTAGTGAAAGGTATAGGATAGAGTCAAGTGTAGTTAGCAACAACATATTATTTTAGTACTGTGGGTGGTTGCAAAATCAATATGAAAACATATTAGTAGCTTTCTTATATATAAACAATAACCAATTAAAATATAGTAAAATGACAATAATCCATTTACTTTAATAAATAAGATGGTAAAATATCTAGAAAAAATTCTAACATGGAACATGCTGAAGATATATATAACACAGAGATAAAATCCTATTAAGGAACATATAATTCTACAATAAATAGAATGTCATATTTTGTTAGCTGAATTTTTTTTTCTGAAAATAAAATCAAATCTCCCAAAAGAAATCTATGAAATCAATTATATCAAAATGAAAATATCAATAGTATTTTTATTAGGTTGTCAAAAATAACAGTAAAGTTTATTTGTATATGTAAAACAAATAATGAAAAAGTTGGAAAAAATGAGGAATATTTAAATAAAAAAGACAGGGAAGGAAAGATCAAATAGAATATGTAATTTATAAACATATTCAAGTATCTGTAGGTATTTGGCATATAATAAAAGTGGTTTATCAGTTCCTAGCAGAAAGGATGGCATTGGACCAATTGGCTATTCATTTGTAAAATTATCCCTATCTAGATACAAACATCACATTTATATTTGGATTAAAATATTTAAATATAAATAAATAAAACACTAATGCACTCAAAGAAAAGATGAGTAAATTTTATATACAGTATCTGCATAAAGGCCGGGCGTGGTGGCTCATGCCTGTAATCCCAGCACTTTGGGAGGCCAAGGAGGGCGGATCACTTGAGGTCAGGAGTTCGAGATCAGCCTGGCCGACATGGCAAAACCCCGTCTCTACTAAAAATACAAAAAAAAAAAAAAAATTAGCCAGGCGTGGTGGCTCGTGCCTGTATTCCCAGCTACTCGGGAGGCTAAGACAGGAGAATCACTTGAACCTGGGAGGCGGAGGTTGCAGTGAGCTGACATTGTGCCACTGTGCTCAAGCCTGGGTGACAGAGTGAGACTCCATCTCAAAAAAAAAAAAAAGTATCTGCATAAAGAAGGAATGTATATACAAGTTAGTCAGAAAACCAGAAATCTATAAGGAAAATAATTATATACACAATTATAATATTCAGTATTGGTAAGGATGTTGAACTGTTAATGTCATACACTATGAGTAGGAAGATACATTAGTGCTCCCATTTTGAAGGGTAATTTTGTAAAATCTCTTAAATTTAAACATACATACTGTATTCCCTTTTTAGAAACGGCAATATTAACAGATTACCCTACAGATAAGCCGACAAAAATTATTCAAGATGCAATTACGTGGAAGGCCATTAAGTTAATATTTATAATAGTGAATATTGGGAACAATCTAAGTCTCTGTTACCAGCAGACCACTCAGGTAAATAAATTACATACACATATTTAAAATATGTATCTATAAAAAAAATAAAATATGTATCTATAAATAAAATTAGGCTCCCTCTGAAGAAAAAAAAATCACCAAGTTATATCTTTAAGTGGCTGTATACAGAATAGATTGATCCTGAAAAATATGGAAGAAATTTTGTGTTAGTTTCATTTGAGATATATTCTTATGCATTTTTAAATTTTTAACATGTTTGTATAGTATATTTTTGAAAATAAATACCAAATTTACATAATTTGTATTTTACTTTAAGACTTTCCAAATGTTCATGATAGTATTCTCTTGTTCAGTTATTAATATTAAAATATTATCAATAATAAAGAGTAAGTCCCTTGAATTATCCGTATTCACTTTATTTTTATAACAGATGAGAAAGAAGTGTGTAGAGAGGGTGATTTTTTTTTTTTTTTTTTGAGACAGAGTCTCACTCTAATTCCCAGGCTGGAGTGCAGTGGCGTGATCTCGGCTCACCGCAACCGTTGCTTCCCGGATTCAAGCGATTCTCCTGCCTCAGCCCCTAGTCTCATTAACTGGAATTACAGGCGTGTGCCACCACGTCTGGCTATGAAATTTAATTGCAACGTGCATTTATCAATTCAGTTCAAAAAACATATGTTTATTCCTAATGTGTACATTATTTTGTAAATTTGGATATTTCTCAGCAAAATAATGGATATAATAAATTTTGAGGTTTCTCAGTATTTTCATAAGTATAAAGATCAGGCAAGAAAAGATAATCATATGAAAAAATAGGTATTGCCTAGATTTTCTTCCAGTGTTTTTATAGTTTTGGGTTTTACATTTATGTCTTTAATCTATCTTGAGTTAATTTTTGTATATGGTGTAGGGAAGGGGTCCAGTTTCAATTTTCTGCATATGGCTAGCCAACTCTTCCAGCATGATTTATTAACTGGGAGTCCTTACCCCATTGCTTGTTTTTGTCAGGTTTGTCGAAGATCAGATGGTTGTAGGTGTGCAGTCCTATTTCTGAGTTCTCTATACCATTCCTGAATAGGCATGGGCAAAGATTTCATGATGAAAATGCCAAAAGCAATCACAACACAAGCAAAATTTGGCAAATGGGATCTAATTAAACTAAAGAGCTTCTGCACAGCAAAAGATACTATCATCAGAGTGAATAGGCAACCTACAGAGTGGGAGAAAATCTTTGCAATCTTTCCATCCCACAAAGGTCTAATATCCAGAATCTACCAGGAACTCAAACAAATTTACAGGAAAAAAACAGACAACCTACAGAATGGGAGAAATCTTTTGCAATCTATCCATCTGACAAAGGTCTAATATTCAGAGTCTACAAGGAACTTAAGCAAATTTACAAGAAAGAAACAAACAACCTCTTTAAAAAGTGGTCAAAGGACATGAACAGACACTTCTCAAAAGAAGACATACATGCAGCAAACAAACGTATGAAAAATAGCTCAATATCAGTGATCATTAGAGAAATGCAAATCAAAACCACAATGAGGTACCATCTCATGCCAGTGAGAATGGTTATTATTAAAAAGTCAAAAAACAACAGATGCTGGCGAGGTTGCAGAGTAAAAGGAATGCTTTTACACTGTTGGTGGGAGTGTAAATTAATTCAACCATTGTAGAAGACAGTGTGGCCATTCTTCCAAGACCTAGAGGCAGAAATACATTTAACCCAGCAATCCCATTGCTGGGTATATACCCAAAGGAATATAAGTCATTCTATTATAAAGATAGATGCATGTTATGCCCATTGTAGCACTATTCACACTATTAAAGACATGGATTCAACCTAAATGCCTATCAATGATAGACTGGATAAAGAAAATATGGTACATATATACCACGGAATACTATGCAGCCATAAAAAGGAATGAGATCATGTCCTTTGCAGGGACATGGAGTTGGAAGCCTTTATCCTCAGCAAACTAATGCAGGAACAGAAAACCAAACACCACATGTTCTTACTTATAAGTATGAGCTGAATGATGAGAACACATGGACACATGGTGGGGAACAACAGACACTAAGGACTGTCGGAGGGGGATGGTGGGGGAAAGAGAGCATCAGGAAGAATAGCTAATGGATGCTGGGCTTAATATGTAGGTGATGGGATGATCCATGCAGCAAACCACCATGGCACACATTTACCTGTGTAACAAACCTGTGCATCCTGCACATGTACGCCTGAACTGAAAATAAAAGTGGAAGGAAAAAAAATAGGGTGACAAGGCCTGAGAAAAAGGAAGGTAACTTGCAGCAGATGTTCCAGTTTGGGAAGAAGTCAACATTATCGGAGACTTACTTTGAGCGCTATAGCTACTCATTTCTTGGCCATCTTGATATTTCTCAATTTTTTCCCCTTCATCTAGATTTTCAATATTCATATGCCAAACCAGATTATGATTACTTTGTTCTTTCATGTCTTTATTCATCCTGATGCATTTATCTTACCTAGGTGGTGTTACTTCAAACTTTCCACAGAATTGATATTTTCTGATCTTCTAGAAATACAGCCTACACATCTGCATCGGACTATTTTAAGTAGGCAGAATAATGGAAACCAGAGGAACCCAGGGATGTTTACATCCTAATCCTCAGAATCAGTGAAAGCCATTTTACATGGCGAAAAAAAGGGACTTTACTGTTGTGATTAAGGATCTTGGGATGGAAGGTCATCTTTGATTATCTGGGTTGGCCCAATGTATAAAGGTCCTTGTAAAGGAAAAGGGAAGTAAGAGAGTTAGAGTCAACA
This sequence comes from Homo sapiens, assembly GCF_000001405.40. Lineage (NCBI taxonomy): Eukaryota > Metazoa > Chordata > Mammalia > Primates > Hominidae > Homo > Homo sapiens. Next base: position 28,127,841 of record NC_000023.11, on the reverse strand, counting down.
AAGGATATGTGATGATGAATCAGAGGTTGGCGTGATGTGGAGCCAGGGGGCCAAGGAATGTGAGTAGCCTCTAGAAGCTAGAAAACTTAAGGAAAAGGATTTTCCCCTAAAGCTTTAGGCAGGAACCAGCCCTGCCAACACCTTGACTTTAGTCCAGTGAGACTCCTTTTGGACTTCCGACCTTCAGAACTGTAGGATAATAAATTTGTATTGTTTTAGGCCACGAAATTTGTGGTAATTTGTTGTAACATCAGTAGGAAACTAATATAGTGACATTTTGAACTCATTTTATATAGGCAGCCTACTGTTTTTAGAAAAGTTAATTTTGAAGCAGAAAATTGGAAAATTTTACATGGAAAGTTAACCAAGTACTGAAAATTGCTGTCTACAATAATATATTTGTTTCTGTGGGGGACTAGAGTGATAAATTAAAACTGTCAAAGCGGAATTTCACTGGACAAAGTTAAACAAGCAAGGCTATTGCAATAGGGGAGGTAAGCTAGAACTCAGTCTGAACTCAGTTCCATGAGAACAAAGGGCTGGGAGGTTTTAAAGGGACAAGGATGAGCTAGTGGAACAGTACTGGAGGACAATAGGGGGAAGGTTAATCAATGTAATATGAGCACATTGAGTTAGTTTCCTGAGTTTGCAAATTATTGTCTTTGTGATTAGGCCATCTGTGTTCCCTAATTGGTCACCATTGAATTAGGCTCCTATCCATCCAGAGACTGGCAGATAGGGGCACTATCTTCCTTGATAATTACATTTCAAAAGGAAGGCTCCCAGGTCCTTGGGAAGACATTCCTGGGGTATGAAAGTGGTTAGAGGCTTCTAATATATTTGCATCTCAAAGAGGGAAGGAAGAGAAAGAATTTACAGTAACAAGCTTTCTAAAGTAAATCCTCTAAGAAAAATGAGGTCTGGCCTAGAGTCAAGAAGAAGCCTGTCTAATGCTAGTCAAGCTGAAGGGAACTTTAAGGTGAACTTGGTCAACACTTTAGGTACTGGTGATTTCTGCTGTGCAAAGATTTTTTTTTTTTCCCTAGGTGTGATGGGGGTACTATGTTATTTGTAAATATGATAATATTTAGAGACTTAATTTTCTTTTAACATACATTCCTCATGAGAAGACAATGAAATTTAAAAAGAAGAAAATAAAACAAAAGAGAAGAAATACTCCTGGACGTATGTTGCAAGTTAAATCAAGATTGCAGTACAAAGTTATAATAACAAAATGCTTGTAGAAGAGTGAAGATGAATGAGGGGCCAGAAGGTTAAGGCCTAAGGATGATATGAAGAACAGAGATAGATAAATTTATCTCAGAAGCAATAAAATACAATTAGAGTTGAGTTTATTGACATTTGGGGAAAATAATAAGCTCCATTTTCTCTTAATCTTTTGAAGAGTAACCTACTTAAAATGGCACAAACCTTTTCTATGTGACATCTCAACTTCCTAACTTAAATATATTTGAAGTCACTCACATTAAAATCATGAGTCCATTAGGTTTGATTTGATTTCTCTATAAATTTTCTGATTCCTGTGTCTATCTATACCATTGGTTTGAAATAATTTTCTATACCATTGGTTTGAAATAATTACAGCATAGCAAATATATTTCGTCATTAAAAATGTGAATAACATTTGTTACAATTTATTATTTTTAAAATTTATTTTACTGTTTCACAAAGAATTTTATCTTTGTATCTCAGGGATTCATTCATTTTAGCTTACAATAAAATTTACCAGCATCATGTATTTCTTTTGTAGATCAAAAGTAAAGCTAGTGTACCACTCCCTCCCTCCCTCAAGAAAAAACCACAAAGAAACTAATTAAAATAAGAATTTAAAAAGCACCTCTGACACTACAGCATACCAAACATTATATCTCACCATGCAGTATTTTTCTAAATTTGGTGCTTTGGGTTTTATTTAAATTCTGAATTGCCTGAATGCACTAATAAGCACGATAGTCATAGATAGTTCCTATCTAACATTAGGTACACTTCAAATATGATTGCAGATGCTTTTCTCTTAATGGGAGTTGTCAAAATGTACAGAAACACTAATCTTATTTTTATTCTCTCTATTTCTTAAATAGCAACTGTAACCACATCCACATCCTGTTTGGAAAGAAATCCCAAAGGGTTTAGCTGATGTTTGATATTATCTTACATAAAACTTACACTTTTATTTCAGTTCACATCAAAGTGATTAGAAGTAGCTCAGGTAGTTTTTTTAAAAATGTGTCCATACAGGGATAGCAACTAAATTTAACTTTATGCATTTGATTGGAAAGTTAAAGGGCACTCAACAAGGAACTGAGGTGCTATTTATTGTGAAGGCTCCTACCATGGCAGTGCTTTTTGATGACAACTGGGACACCTGTATTTCACTAATTCTATAAAATGCTCATTTTTTCCAATACTGAAACATCTCAGAACTAGAGAATTATCTTACAATAAATACCATCTTACCATTGCCATATTTATTTAAGAATATAAATATCTCTGAAATTGGTGATGCTATAGATAGATTCAATGAGGTATGGTATATACGGAGTTTTTCATTTGTTGCCTTCTCACCAAGTTCTATTAAAGTTTTATCAAAAATGAGCCCAGGAAAACTTGCATAAGATTAATTCACAATTTTGGTAAATGGGAAAATGATAATTTTTGTAATGCCCTATTAGCAATTCACTTATTATGGCATCTGAAGAAACTATGTTTTATTTTGTTATTTGTATTTGCTTGCTTTTAGGTGGATTAGATAAAAACTAAGTGTTAGAAGTTTTTATACGTAGAATGAACGACAGCCAGTGGAATTTTGTCTAAACTCATGGGAATCTGCCTATATGAGTTCTAGGGTTTTTGTTTTGTTTTGTTTTGGGCTACTTACGCCATCCTCTTGACCAGGCAAATGTTAATATTTGTATTGGTTTGTGTTACTAAAATCACACCACTCCAGGACTTGTATCTATCTAAATAACTCCTAGTATTGATATAATCTTTTGTGTTCTTGAAACTTATTGACAATTTTGAAGTGTAAGATAGCTTCTTTCAATTCCTATCTGAGCCTCCTAATTCCATCAAAGTTTGGTCTGCCAATCAAAACAAAGATATGTTTTTCCCTCTTCGATTCCATATTCATTGAGTCAGATTTTAAAGTAGCATCCTGGATGACTAGTCAGTTCTTAAATGTTTATACAGACATGGATGGAAGAGCACATGCTGGATATCCGGATAGCCCAACTAAAGTGTCAGAGGCAGGGCTGTCTGGGAAACAATGAACAGAGTTGTTTGGTTGAAACAGACAGGTGTCTTATGTGGAGAGACAGGGAGATAAGTTGGAAAAGTTGGTAGGGGATAGATTTAGGGATCTAATAAATGCAAGGTTTCTTGAGTTGTATTTTGGTGGGAGAATGTTGAACCATTAAAGGTTTTTCAGCACAGTAAAAAATAAGGAATGGCAAAGGGTATAGATAAGAGTAAATTATTATTCTAAATAACAGCATTTTAGAAAATGGCTTTAGGTTTAAATTTTTAGATGGTGATTTGAGTGCAAGCATTTACCTTTCAATCCTTCCCAAAGCCTACTAAATGAAAAAAGAAACCTGCAACAAAGATGGAAAATGCATAATAATCCAAAAATAAAACAGAAAGTCTTCACAATTCTTTTTCAAATGAATCAAATACGATCTGACTGTGTGAAGAATAATCTATATGAATCAGTCTCCAATTCAATAATGGAACAACACTGGTAACCTGTAAGTGTGTGCCAAGATTGTTCTCAGAAAATCCCTAGTTCCTGGACACAGGGAACTAGGGACAGGCCAGTCTATGGTCCCAGCAGGACAAAAACAAGATTTCAGGAGCTTCATTGTGGCCCTGGATTCCAGCTAAGTATAGAGTAAATAAACCTGAGGGAATTACTCCATTACAAAACAGTGGACTTTCAAAGGATGGGCTAAATAGAGAAGGGGAAAGAACAAGCTTCACAACCCTTCAGACTAGCGTACATTTACTACAATGAGCTGACTTTAAAACTGGCCATGATGCTTCCCTTAGGATATTTGGCCTTTTTAGAAAATGGGGACTCTTATGATAATAGCACAATTTCTAGGTGTGTAGTTTTGTCAGATAGAGTATGCATTTTTCTAGTTAAATTCAGCCTGCTAGAAGGACAGGAGTTTGTTTGTTTGTTTGTTTGAAAAAACCCACCTGGCCTTAGCACGGAATTGCCTTAGCTCTACTGTTTTGAAATGCTTGAAGTAAAAGGTGAAGTAGTTATATGCTATGCCAAAAGAAAAGATATTAGAGGGAGAAAGGTAAGGGAAGAACCTCTTATATATATTACAAAATTCTCGGAAGAAGATGGTGGAGAAAATTCATTAAAAAAAGAAATAACAGAACAAAATTTTCCCAGAGTTTACACAGGGCTAAAGTCTTTAGACAAAAATAACTCTCTAAATATTTGGCAAAGTTAATGGAAAAAGAAAAACACGTAGACATACCGCAGTGAAATTTCAGAATGTAAAATACTAAGTAAAATTCCTGCAAGCTTCTAGGCAAGTTATTAGCAAAGGGGGCAAAAAAGGAGATTTAGGAAACTAAATACCAGAATACAGTGGTACAAAGTCTATAAATAATATTTGGGGGAAATGGGTATCTTTTACTATCTGATTGTGGATCCTTTCTCCAGAAAAATGCACATGTGCTCATTCACATAAAGAGTTCGTAGTTTTACATGGTTCATGAAGTCTGGGAAACCCATTCACATATTCTAGATGGCCCAGTGGAACTCAGAGCGTATAGAGTTTTGAGGAAGAGATTTTCATCTATGAATCTACTTTGCAGTAAATTTATGCTATGTTCTTATGTGAGGGCAACAGAGAAACAGTTTCATGAATTAAGAATTAACCCATCCATGTACATTGTTTGGAAAAAATGCTAATAGCAGCACTCCAGCCAAATGAGGAATGGCTATCGCTAAATATCTCAAGCATGAGAGAAACAGAATAAATGGCAGTAATCATTCACCTGTTAAAACTAAAAAAAAGGAATATCTAAATAAGTGCTATACTAACAGGAATCAGAAAAGTAATTACAACGCCTTTTAAAAAGAGCAAATTTAAAAATAAAAAGATTAAAGTCTTCTTTTCAAAAATAAGATTGATTTAACAAAGGGGTCGCAGGTAGTAAAATACTTTATCCTGCCGAGAGGTAGAATACCGATGCATTACAGATAGTAGAAGAAAAACAGACATTCAAATGCAGTCATGCAGTGCATGGTAATATTTTGGTCAACAATGGATCACATATATGATGTCAGTTCCATAACATTAAAATGGAGTTGAAAATTTCCTATCCCTAGTGATGGCAGCGCCATTGTAATGTAGCACAATGCATTATTCACTTGTTTGTGGTGATGCTGGTCTAAACAAACCTACTGTGCTGGCAGTCATTTAAAAGTATAGCACATACCATTATGTACAGTACATACTATTTGATAATGTTAATATACGACTATGTTACTGGGTTATGTATTTACTATAATGTACTTTTTAATTGTTATTTTAGCGTGTACTCCTTCTATGTATTAAAAAATAGTTAACTATAAAACAACCTTAGGCAGGTTCTTCAGGAGGGAGTACAGAAGAAGGCATTGTTATCCTAGGAGATGACAGCTCCATGAGTGTTATTGCCCCTGAAGACCTTCCATAGCGACAAGATGTGGAGGTGGAAGACAGTGATATTGATGATCCTGACTCTGTATAGGCCTAGGCTAATCTGTGTGTTTGTGTCTTCATTTTGAACCAAAAAGTTTAAAAAGCAAAAAAAAAAAAAAAAAAAAAAAAAAGAAAGGAAAAGAAAAAAGCTTATAGAATGAGGATGAGGATTCAAAAAAAAAAGAAAATATTTTTGTACAGCTGTACAATGTGTGTTTTAAGTGAAGTGTTATTACAAGAGCCAAAATTTTTTAAAAAATGAGGTTGGGCATAGTGGCTTGTGCCTGTAATACCAGCACTTTGGGAAACTGAGGGAGGATCGCCTGAGGCCAGGAGTTCAAGACCAGCCTAGGCAACATAGCAAGAACCCCATCGCTACAAAAATATAAAGACATTTAGCTGGTTGGGGTTGGCATGCACCTGTAGTCCTTGCTACTTAGGAGATTGAAGCAGGAAGATAACTTGAGCCCCAAAATTTGAGGTTACAGTGAGCTGTGATTGTGCAACTGCACTCCAGCTGGGTGACAGAGCAAGATCTTGTCTCCAGAGAAAAAAATTAAGTTAAAAATTTACAGTAGTCTAAGGTTAGTTTATTTTTAAAGAAATAAAATATTTTTAATAAATTTAGTGTAGCTTAAGTGTACAGTGTTTATAAAGACTACAGTAGTGCACAGTAAAGTCCTTGGCCTTCACTTTCACTCAGCACTCACTCACTGACTCACCCAGAGCAACTTTCATTCCTGCAAGCTCCATTCATGGTAAGCACCCTATAGAGATGTACCATATTTTATCTTTTTTTTTTTTTGAGACGGAGGAGTTTTGCTCTTGTTGCCCAGGCTGGAGTACAGTGGTGCGATCTCAGCTCGCTGCAACCTCCACCTCCCAGGTTCAAGTGATTCTCCTGTCTCAGCCTCCCAAATAGCTGGGATTACAGGCGCATGCCACCATGCCCGGCTAATTTTTGTATTTTTAGTAGAGAAGGGGTTTCATCATATTGGTCAGGCTGGTCTCAAACTCCTGAACTCAGGTGATCCACCCGCCTCGGCTTCCCAAAGTGCTGGTATTACAGGAGTGAGCCACGGCGCCCGGCCCATATTTTATCTTTTATGCCATATTTCTACTGTACCCTTTCCATGTTTAGATATATTTACACACACTAATACTTACTATTATGTTACAATTGCCTACAGTATTCACTACAGCAACATGCTGTCTAGGTTTGTAGCCTAGGAGCAATAGGCTATACCATATGGCTTAGATATGTAGTCGGCTATATTATCTAAGTTTGTGTAGGTCCACTAGATGACATTTGCACAATGACAAAATTGCCTAATGATACATTACTCAGCACATATCCTTGTTGTTAGATGATGCATGACTGTAACAGTAGTATAAAAATGATTTCCACAACTTCATAGCAAGGAGTATTTGGTCAATATATATTTCAAAAAAATCAGAAAAATAATACAGAGCAATAAATATCAAAGAAGCTTGCAATCATGAAGCACAAAATAGGCTGACAAATATAAAATTTTAATTAATCTTGCTGGTCTCGCTGCATGTACATATGTCCTCTTCCTCCAAAAGTGGCACTAAATTGCCAAGGAATTAGTTTTTTTTTTAAAGAGGCATTATTAACCTACAAGATCAATGATAACGTGACTATTGTGCAGCAGTCATTTCAAAAATGTTAGAAGGCAGAAGGCAGATGAGGGAGAGAGGCATGACTTAAGCAGGGCAAAGAAATGACAACGTGGGGAAAGGACACCACATTTTTCTGCGGAATCTTAAGAGTGACTCAGCAATTGGAAATACTACATACCTTGCAGGTGGGGCTAAGGAACAAGGCTGGCTTTATGAGGATATTTCGAAATCCTTTATCCAGACATTTGACTCCCTTCCTGTATCCCTTCCCCATATTGCAAAAGCAGTTGGCTATTACTACTCCCTTTTGCCAACCTGGGGGGAAGGTGGGAAATTAGTTTCTGAAGAAACCAAACCACAGAGGCTTTGGGTTGGGGAAAATAATCTCAGTGAACAACATGGTTCATGGTTGAGAAGCAGGGCTCAAAATGGGAGAATTAAGTATAAGTCTGAACGGTGAACTGCAGAGACTCTAAGTCCCCTTCCTCCTTCATGATCCCAGAACATGAGCAGCTAGGCATATATTTGCCATGCATGAGAGTAGAGGATTATTTTCTTAATTTCCTCAGAGAAAAAAATGTCCTAATACTGACATCTGGTAGATCCCTTAATAAAAGCTGGATTTGGCATCCAATAACCCTAGAGTTAGGGCAATCAAAATAAAGATGTTTGTAGTGTCTCACTCTTAAATTAAATGGATAGCCCCAAATTAATAGGCATTTGATGAGCCTCAAACTTGAAAAAAATAAAATTGGAGGAAACATACACAAATGTATGTAGTAAAAGAAAATGAAAATATGAATACCCACAGGGAAACAAGAGAAGATATTTCATCCAAGACATTGAAACAGAATTGTATTAAAACAGAAAAAAAGGTGGAGAACATAAGAGAGTTTTTGATAATAAAAAATAAGATACTCATCAATGAGAATTTAACAGAAGGGCTGAAATATAAAGTTGAGAAAAATGTCACAAAAAGTAGAACAATAAGACAAAGAGAAAGTAAGAGATGGAGATGGAAAATAAGAAAATAGGTAAGCAATTGATTAGGTCCCATGCCTGACTGATTGAAGCATTGGAAAGAGAGAATAGAGAAAACAGATGGAAATACATTATCAAAGAACAAAAGATCCCAAACAGAATGATAAATCTCCAGATTAAAATGGCTCATCAAGAGACTAGCACATAAATAAAAGGGACCCCATACCATGTCAAATCATTGGGAACATTCAAAATTCCAGGAGAAAGAGAAAACCTTAAAAGCTTGCATATAAATTAAATTGTAAATCAGTAAATATATTAACAAGATGAAACAAGAACAACAGTGATGACAATAGTAGAATTATTAAGGCATAAAATCTATGGTCGTTGAAATAAAGCACATAATACGTGTTTTTGTGAGGTAGAACAACAAATGAAATTATCTTCCCTGAAAGCAGCAAGAAAGAATATAGAGAGAACATATATAAATGGAAAGTTTAAAAATACAGGATATAGAAGAGTAGCAACACATACTGAGGCCTAGAAGTAGAAGTAGGAAAGGACTAAAACAAAGAGAGAGGTGGGAGGGGAAGAAGGAAAAGGAGGAGGGGGGGCTGAGGGAGGTAGAGAGGAGAGATTTGAAGAAATATTAAATAAAAAATTACCAAAATAAAGGTGAAATAAATACCTTAGATCGAAAAGGCACATACAATGCCAAAAAAAGAGAAAAAACCTATGCATCAACATATAATAGTAGAAATGCACTAAAATTCCAGAGAGTATAGATGATAGTCAAAGAAAGAAGAATCAGGTTGACAACATAGCATCTCTGGATGCAAGAAGACAACGGAATGGCGTTTTAAAAATAGCAAAGCAAAGATGTTTTCATCTAGATATTTATAACCAGTCAAATGGACATTTATATGTAAGAGTGTAAGAAATATATTATCAGACATTAAAAAAAGGTATAGATGGTTTTCCACACACACAAAAACATGAATTAAAGGAAAAAAATCTGGGAGATGCTAAAAAGAAATATAAGACTTATCCCAGTCTTTGACATGTAATAGGTTCGCTGTAAATATTTGCTGAACTAATGTAAACTAAGGTAATATTTGTTGATGGAAAACAATGCCTAGGAACTGGAAAGCTATGAAATTGAAACATAGGGACAAAATAAAAAGTAAAATCCTAACAAGACATATTTACAGGTTCCCTGGTGTCCTCTTGTCCCCTAATCCAATATAGCTTTCCTTTTTGATACACAGTTTTTGCTATGTCAATGATTTAGATTTTAGCCAGGGAAAATGTCTGTAAGATTTATAGAGAGGAATTAAATGTAATCAAATGCCCAAGACGCCAAAATCTCTTTTGTATCAAACACACAAAAATCATTAATATATTAAGGGCATATGTTTCTATTATTAGTTCATAGATGGAAAACCATTCATGGAAAGGAAATTTGCTTTTCAAAAGGGATTGATAAAGGTCTACGCACATTTTCAAAGAAACAATCATTTGTGCAACAGCTACTACTCAAATGAGTACAAAGATAAATCCCCAAGCAGAAGAGAAAAGGCCTAATTATCTCATCTGCCTTCAGCTTATACTCATTCCTTCATATTAAAACAGTATGTTTTCATCTTTCTAAGGTCTGAAATCAATTAAGATAATTCTGGACTCTTTTTATAATGGTTTCTAGAGAACAACGGCTCATTTCCTTTCCTCCTAATGGTGAATATATTAAGAAACCTAAAATTTCCCAATCACCTTAATAAATTAGTGGTGTTTTAAATTATTTTATTTTTATAAACCTTGGACATACAGTACTTATGGATTAGAGTTCTTTGGTTTTATGTGCTGAAATTCAACTTGAATTAAGCAAAAAGGCAAATGCAGGGCTCAAATATCCACTATGATAAAAAGGGCAGGGTGCAGGATTCTTTCTGTCCCCGCTTTCTGCTTCTTTTCTTCTCTCAGACTACATTGCAGTGGACATGACATCCACTACTTTGAGCCCCACATCTTCACAGGTTGTATCCAAGGAATAAAGAAGTTATTTTACCCTATCCAAATTTGAAAAACAACTCTAAGGGAAAATCTATTTGGTTTAGCTTGGGCAGTGTGCTGATTCTTGGAGCACTCACAACTTTCAGATGACAGATACCACGAATGGATAAGCCTGGGTCTTGTGTTCACCCCGAGGTAAGGGCATTGTTCCAGGTTTGATTCCCTGAAAATCCAGAGCCTGGAAGGGACGCTCTGAGTTGGAGATTTGCATGCAGGAAGCTTATTAGGAAGTGCTCTTAAAATCAGTATTTGTGAGAATTGGACATCAGGAGACACTGAGCTGAGATGCAGTTATGACAATTTCAGAGAGAGTGATGAAAATGGGATGTCTCTGCAGAGTGGTTCTGAATTGGAGGAGGGGCTCAGACTTTTTACTCCTGAATTCATCAGTCATTTGATAAGCGTTGCTCCTGGGAACAGGTGTGACCTTAGGCTTGGTTCTCTTCAGCTAGGGTAATCTCTAGAGGGGGACTCAGCTGAAAGTTACTCTGCTGTCAGAAAGTCAGCTGCCAAAACTCTCAGGATTGTGGAATTGGATTCTCCAGCCCTAGAAGGGAAAGGAGTAGAGATCTGGGCAGCATACCACAACATTCACTAAAGACGGCAGGGTCTTTTCCTATAATGAGGGTAAGGGGTAGAAGAGGGAGTAAATAGGCTAAAACCAAAGCCACTGGAAATCATAATGTAATTACTACTTGACTGGTTGATAACACCCATTTTATAGGTTTTAGTGAGCACTTTTAAGCACTTGCTTCTGAGTCAGAAGGCAAATTCCTTGAGAAAATCAGTTACCTTTCTGAGCTTTAATTTCTTTTTATTTAAAGCGAATGAAAACATTGGGTTATATGGAATATGGTATGATATTGCTGTATACTAACATTCAGTTTATAAATATCATTTATTATTGGAATAAAAATTCTAATTCGGAGCTTCTTTTTTGGTAATTGTATACCTGGCTCCTTTAGGATTAAACAATACCTTCTATTTAAATGGAAATATGGGGCAGATAAATGTTGATAGCTGGGGCTAAAATATACATTGCTAGCATACCTTTATTGAGAGGGAACATAAAGTAAGAGTTTAAAAATTATCAAATGGGGATGAATAGGCAGAGCACAGAGGATTTTTAGGGCAGTGAAACTACTCTGCATGATACTATAATGGTGATGACATACCATTACATATTTTTCCAAACCCATAGAATGCACAACACTGAGTGAATTCTAACATAAACTATGCACTTTGGGTGATAATGATGTGTCATTGTAGGTTCATCAGTTGTAACAAGTGTACCACTCTGGTGGGGGATGTTGATAATGGGGGAGGCTACTTATGAGTGGGGTCAAGGAGTATATGGGAAATCTCTATACCTTCTGCTCAATTTTGCTGTGAATCTAAAACTGCTTTAAAGTAATTACCAAACATGCCTGTAGCCCTTTCAAATAAGTATTCTCTCAGGTGGTATGCAAAAATTAGCAGAATCCAATAATTTTCCTTTGTGGGCTTATTTTCATAGTTGAAAAATATACATGCAAATATTTGTGTTGTTAGTAATTTGTTTCCACTAATTCACCTCAAATGCGACTGAATATTTTTCATTTTTAAGCTTTTACATCTGCTAGGATTGGTGAACTCCATAAATTATCATCTACTATTTGAATTAGGGTTTCTTTCCATTGTACAAAAATACCTCTGCCATGCTTCAAAGAATGCTTCCTTGCTCTGTCACTCAAGAATGTGATAAACAATGACATGTTATTTTATGCCATTATTTTTATAATGTTATAGATTTCAACGTATCTTCTTTTAGTCTGTGTATTCCAGAATAAAGTGTTTCATTTAAAATAGTTTTAACTTCTTAACCACTACCCTTCTATCACTTTAAAGTTCATGAGTTTAATTTTATCTTTCAGGTGTGAAAACAAGAATCAAGTAATAATAACAAATATCACTACCTGATATTTATATCATTATAATTTATAAAACATATTTACAACATTTTATTTGACTATGAAAGCAACTAAATTACTGACATGCAGATCAAATATTGCTTTTAAACCAATTCATGAAATGTTTAATTGGCTAGTTCAAATTCGTACAGTTCAGATGTAGTGTTAAGTATAGGACTCCTACCACAAGCCTCTTCCTTGTTGTATAATGCATTTGGATCTCAGTTCACAAAGTCAGCAGGGCAAAAAAGCCCGGCCACACTACCAATGAGATGTCTGTTGTTCCAGTCAATATGGTCCTTTTAGTCTTGAAGCTGTGCAGTTTCTATGCTATGTTCTAGGAGGAGAAATAGCTTATAGGAAACCTTTTCTTTATGCCCTGAAATATAAACCTCTCTTTAACACAGGTTATATAATTTGCAGGGCTCAGGGCTAAAAAAAAATGCAAGGCTTCTGTTAGAAAATTATTAAGAATTTCAAGATGGTGACAGCAGAGCATTAAACCAAGTGTGGAGCCTTTCTCAGTGCCCTGTGCAATTGCACAGGCTGTACGCTCCTGAGATGCTTTCTCTGCTTCTCCTTGAGGCAAGTGTGCTCAAAAACGGCTGCTTACTTGCTTGGAAAGGAGAATGGAAAATGCAAACAGGAAATACATTTCTTTCTCAACAAATTACTCTGTCTCATTTCCCCCTTTTAAATCTTTATGTTCTCCAGAGGAAATGTCTTACTTCCCCTGTCCCCATTGGAAGAGTGAGCCCTTTATCTCTGTTCTCTTGGACAGCATGTTAGTTTCCTGTTGCTGCTGTAACAAATTGCCACAAACTTAGTGGCTTCAAACAACACATATTTATTAACTTATAGTTCTGGAGGTCACAAGTCCAAAATGGGTCTTACAAAGCTAATGTAAAGATGGTGGCATAGCCGTATTCCTTCTGGAGACTGGAGGGAAGAACCACTTCCAGCTTCTAGAGGCCACCTGCAGTCCTTGACTGGTGGCCACAACATTCCAATATCTGCTTCCATTTTCAAATTTCGTTCCTGACTCTGACCTTCCTGCTTCCCTGTCTCCTCTTGTAATCAGATTAGGCCTACTGGAATAATCCAGGATAATCTCCCCATCTCAAACTTCTTAATTTAATCATATCTGCAGAGTCTCTCTTCCCATGTGAAAGAACACATTCATATGTTCTGGGGATTAGGACATCCACACCTTGGACTGGGGGTGATTATTCTGTTTGTCACAGACTGGTAAAGCTGGTTATCTTCTAAATGGCCAAATAGGTGAGCCAGTGTACTGGAGAATCTCTTTTCTCTAAAACTGAGTGATTATTGCTGAAGAGTCTACCTTTTCCAACCCCTACAGGTTCCTACGCAGAGGATGTTTCAGCCTTAGATAGAACAGTGACTAAAATAGGTAATGTGGGCAGCCCTTCCATTCTGAAATTCTAATTGTGTCTTCATTGTCATCAAATCCATCACCCTCCACCATATCTGAGTCCTGTGGATTGAGATAGAGTGATTCAGTCTCCCATCTGAGAGTGCCAAGGGCTGCTATGAGTATGCAAAGCCTTCCCTTTGCCAGAGGCCTAGGACCAGGTAGACACATTCTTTCCTCTTTCTCAACTCCCTTCTGGGCAATGAGTACTAGTTGAATGCAGATTCAAATACAATCAGGTTTTTTATCCGACCTTTCTAAGTACACTGAAGTGGACCTTAGATTCTATATTACTAACTGCACTTCTCTTTATGGCTCAGTTTGCCATGAAATGTACATTTTTAAAATAAATGAATCAAAAAAGGAGTACTTATCTTAATCCCAAGAAGCAGAATTAGCAACATGTATTCTGAGGTTGGATAGTACTTTCTTTAGTCTTTATAAGGTTTGGTTCATCCTTCAAATCACTGATTTGCACAAGGGATCTAGATTACCACGTTGATGTGCCTAAATGAGAGCTAGTTATTGGCAGCCTATGAAAGGGTGATAATATTCGGCTTTCTAGAATACTGCCAGTCTGGGCTTTTATCTGCTTTTTTAGTTGTTGACTCACCCCAGCTGTCAGGGTCTGGGCTAGTATCATTGAAATCTACCCTTCATGCTTAGCTTTCCTGGATCTATGGGAGTGCAACTCCCTTAGCCTTCTCCTGTTCTGGCATAGCATCATCATTTGGGAAAAGTTTTCAGGTTTCTGTGCTTGCTGAGACATGTTCTAAAAGGGCCAGATCTACGATTTCTGAAAAGACACTTCCAAAAGCCAGTGTCTTCTGAGCCAAAGTCTTCAAACTTTGTATGATTGCACTCTTGTATTCACTTGCCTTCTGGAATGTATTTAATCAAATTTACTAAGTATGCTTTCTGATTTGAATGTCTGCTAGCCTGTTGTATTGTTTATGTTCTAAAATTAATAGTTCTTATAACGTTGTTTTGAGATGACTAATGTCTATTATCTACAAATATTTGGAGGTCACAGGTACCTGTCACTTGGCATCAATTACATTGTGTTTTTAACAAAATTTAAATGTCTGTTTTTCTGAAGAAAGAGGTTTATCATCAGTAGATAATACTTTTAAATTTTGATGGATTGTCATTTCCATCACTGCCAAAATAGATTTACCTATATTCTGTTTTATCATTTTAGCCGATGTCTTGGCAGCTCTAGAAAGAGGTCCTGTGTTTTTTGTTTGGTTCTATTTTTATTAGTTTAAACTAGGCATCTTAAGTTTCACCATCCATGTGTCTCCATTTCTAGGTTTCCTCTGGGAATCATGGAGAAATGAATCTCTTCAAAAAATGCAAACAAAGCTTCATTTCCCTTCTCTCTATTCCTTCTGACGACTAAATTATATATTATCAGAGGTCCTAAAGAAATCTTTAGTACTCTTTCGAGCTTATTCTTATCAGAGTTAACTTTTTTCCATACATCTTAATGAATTTCTGAAAGTTCATAGTTATATCTATGTACCTTTTTAAAAAATGATCATGATTGTTATCTTGAAGTGAATTAGCTCCAATTCTAGAGATTGAAATTGGTCCACGGTGCATGTAAGTGCAGTATAAGAATTCTTAGTAAACCTTAATGAGGACTCCATATGTAATGTGCAATCATCTCAACCCACAATCTCAGGAGCATAAAAGAGAGCAAATTCCTTAATATCTAATGCATAAAAATGTAACTCTTAGTTAAGTCTCCATCTTATCACTGTTGAGAGGGATATTCAGTCCTAGTCATTATTATTCTCCTCCCTCCAAAAGTGATGTTTTATAGTCTTGAGGTCTTACACAGCAACAGGCATACGTAATCAGCTTCTTCTCTTTATAAGCTTACCTTGGAGATGCTCATATCCTGACACCATGTGCTGCCTCGGATCCAACAGTTCTGCTGCCTTCTTGCCATGCTCGGCAAGACTGTATTCTGAATTAAAAGCTGATGGTTCAACGTCGTCCACAAAGATGAGAAAACTATATCAATTTGATTAGGAAGTATACATAGTAGTATACATAGTAGTGTTATTTTGCCTTCAATAGCATTACTGTTTCCCCTGACACTTCATATCAGAAACTAACTACAATGTGTTGCTTTACACTTAATTTCATAGCATCCTTTTCGCCACAACTTTACTCCCATTATTGCTATTTCTCCACTGTCCTGATACCTCAGATATACTGGCATCTGCTTTTATCTGCTGAAAGAAAACACTTGAACACCCTCAGGAGCACTAAGGGCATACACAAGGAATATCAACTGGTAGCAGACTTTTAAAATTGCTACAGGATTGTCAACCCCCAAGATTAAAGTCAACACCTAAGGCCCAACTCAGGAAGTTTGTAGTGGAGAGTTGCTTGTGGCCTAGTGTCTATTCCTTCTCTTTCTGTGAACCACATCCTGGGTTTTGGAACTTGCACCAGTTATGAGCCCTGATTAGTTTAGGCCAATCAACATGCTGACCTCTGAGACTGGCTTAAGCAAAGACACATATCCCATTCAGAGCCAATAAAATACAAGAAGAAAAAGTAATCACTTTTCTTCTAAAGAAGAAATATATATGGCAAGGTGATGGGGACGGCAGCTAAGGGAGGGGGAAGAAGTTGAGAGGATATGACATCTGGAATTTCAGCAGGCAATTTGCTATGAGAATAGAAAGCCCGAAGCCACTAGGAATGACTTTGTTTTCCTACCTAAATTGATATCCTAGCTCCAGACTATTGAACTATTGACTTCACAGCAGCTTTGAAATCTGACACCAGTGTTGTACTGAAGATAGATCTCACCAGCCCATTAGAACATGCTGGTAGCTTGAAATCAACCATGGTTGAAAAATTTACTGCTTGAAATGAGCAAACACTCCAAAACAGTGCTTTATTTCCCCAGAGAGCTAGCTGTTAAACATTTTTACCACCACACCATTGCTAATTTTGGACGCTGTCTCTGATGATTGTTTTGTAATTTAGTAGTTGAAAGTATGGGCTCAGAAGTCAGACTAGCTGGGGTACCTGAGATACTGAATATACAGCACTTAGTACAATGCAAGGCATATAGAACATATCTCATAAATAATAATTATTTATTGTATTAGCTATTATTGTTCCCCCTTAGTTGTTTAAAACGTAGCTGTGACGCAAGGAACCACACTCTGACTCCACCTTTTACTATAGCTAGTAACAGGTGTTTTTGACTTCACAGCTTTCCCTCTTTAAATGTGTTTTTTTCACACTGCTACAAAAGTGATCTTTATAGAATGCAAGTCTGATCACACCACTCTCTGCCTAAACTTTTAAATAATTCTCTATTAATTTCATATAAAAATCCAAACTTCTTAGCAAGGCCATTTATTGCTTGTCTCAGTCTATTCTCATATTAACCTCTGATTTATATCCCAGCCTACCCTCCAGGTATACTGAACTACTTGTAGCTCCCCCAACATGCCATATTAACTCTTTCAGTCCCATCCCTTTCATTTGCTTGGATTCATCACCAAAATCCCGTTCACATGCAACCTTCTTTAAGTAAGTGTTCTTCCTAGGACACTGTCCTTTGGCATTTCCTGTTTGACATATCCATTAACTTTTTTCATGTCTTTGGAATTAACAAAACTGTGCTAATCAGGCAGTTGTAGTGTTGGCCCTAGAGAAATGGAGAGGCTTGTAAGATTTAAAAGGAAAAAGGGCCCAAATGGCTGATGAAATAAAATAGAATACAAAGTTAAAACAGAGATGAGCAAGAGAGCAGGGACAGAAATATGAAGAGGCAAATTTACTGGAAAGGGTAGAAGAAAAAAGAAGGAAGTGAGAAAGATAATTTTAATTCAGCATCAGATAGCAGCCTTCTGAGGATGATATTATGGAAATTATAGCCATAAAGAGAGGCTAAATAAAATTAGACAAAGTTTGGGGCAGTACAAATGTTGAGACTATCTCAAGAGACTACAGTAAATATTGAACTGTATTTCCCTTTGACTGTGAGACATTTTAGTGAGATAGGTCTATGGAAGACGGGACTTTAAATGGATTAATTCATCATCATCTCCTTCTTCATCACCAAACTTTTTTTTAACATTTACTCTTTGCCAGGTACCTGGCATAATCCAGCTAACATGACGTTAGCTGGATTATCTTATCTCATACTGACAACTCTATGAAGAAGGCACCATAATTTCCTCTATTACTCAGATGAGGAAGTGAGGCAAAGACAGGTCAAAATAACATATCTAGGAAGCGGTAGATCTGAGATTCACTTAAACCCCCTAGTCAAGCACAACTTGATACTGTCTGCCTGTACAGCTTTTAAAATACAAATCTGATTACTCATAAAATACATGCTTATTGTAAAAAAAATCAATGTGCAAAGAGGGAGGAAGTAGATGAAAATTCTCTCAATTTCAACAGTTCTGTAGAGTACTGTTAGCACTAGAATGAATATCATTCTGGATGTTTTCATGTACTTTTATACATATGAAAATAGTTATCTAAAATATATTTGTATAATTCATATGCATGTATATATTAGATGTATTAATATCAATATAATACAGCATGAGCATGTTTTGTTGCTTCCCCTTTCACTTACTAAAGCAAGTGGCTGCATAGTAATTCAATATACAGATGTTACCATAATTTATTTCGTCAATACCTGGAAGCGATTATTTTATCATATTGTAATTTTATGATTATATACCCTCTTCACAGGGCTGAGTATTTCTTAAGAATAGAGAATTCTAGAGGTATTTGATTGTTTACTTTTAATAGATCTATTTTATAATAGATTCCCAGTGTTGAACACAGTGCCTAGTGGATGGATAAATATTTGGATGGATGGGCAGGAAGATGGATGTAGCAGTGTGGCAGCTAGATTGCAGAAGCGAATATCTGATTACAATAAGAACTATTTTGTTATTGCCACAGTTCATGTGAGACGAGTAATAAGAGCCTGAACTAGGGTATCAAACATAGGAATGGGAGGAGGTGAAAGATCCAGGAAGCTATCCTGAATGGCTGGTTGTTTTGCTTTTTAAAACATATTTATCTAAACTTTTCAATAAGATGATTTTAAACAGCACACTGGTTTCCAGTGGGCTATTGATTTTTACATTTTATATTCCAAATTTTGTCTAACTACTGTGTTTTGTCAGTCAGAGTTTCATTTGTAAAGCTGAATAATTGTATTACATATTCCTTGGACTTCCTTTCCCACCATGATTCTGAATTTAATTGTTGGTGACTCACCAACATTGATTCCTGTATGAGTTTCCGTTCACCATCCAGTACAAAGTCCCTCATAGGGTCTAGAATGATTGCCAGAGAAAAATTGTTTGAGCAAAACTGTTACTTCATCCCTTATTCCAAAGAGATATTCTATGACTACAGAATAATAACAGTAATAATTTATTTAGTGTCTACAATATCAGGCACAGCAATAAATCATGTATACAAGCTTATTTTTTAAAAAATAATTTAATCTTCACAACTACAATGAAGCTAATAAAGTGGCAGAGTTGGCAAGCCAGATTATAAACTGAATACACTTCTCTTTTCTTTTTCTTAGCAAATCTTGGCAGCCCTGGAGTAAGAGCAAAGAAAGTAAATATTTAGTTATGATAGCTGTAACAGTGAGGTTTTGAGAGACATATACAAAGAAGAAATAAAGAAGTACAATTGAGAATGTTGGTTAAACTTGTTTTAAGGGGATAGATACAAGACCCAGTTTGAATAGCAAATCACATAAAACCAATAGTGTGGTGGCAGCCTTGTAGAACTGTGAGGGATCAAGAGGCTAAAAGGTTCTGTGGTGGTGGAGAATACTAGAAAGTTGTTTGAGTGCTTTTAAAATTACAAACTTATCATCTACGCAAAGTATTATTATTGGTAACATAAAATAGTTATTGACAAACACTTCTTCAATCATTATATTACAGTGGTTAAGAGCAGAGGTTTTAGAGTAAAAATTAAGAGTTTGAACTCAGTCTCTTCATCTGGCACCCTCACATGAATTATCCAATTGAAATCTTAGTACTCCCATTTTACTGGAGAAGAAAATGAGGATTAAATGGTTTATTTGTCTCAGTTAAGGTTATATAGTTAGGGAGCAGTTTGAATTTGATCTTCTTGGTTCAAGTACGGGCTGCTAAAACATAACTTGGTAATCTTCAACAAGCCACACTGCCTTGAAACCTTAAGAAAATATTTGTCTATATGTCTAAACAATTGTCACAAAGATAATCTACTACTTTTTAAGGTTAAATTCTCTAGTAAAATGGTAACCTTCCTTTCTGGAGTAGACATGATATCAGATTTCCACATTGGCAATTATGTCTCCTTGAGTATATTTTTAGTACCAAAACTCCAACTGGAGTTTAGATGTATACACACATCTAAACTTGCTGGTTTAAATAAATTCAATCCTGCTAATAATTCTATTTTGTGGATCAATTTTAGAAAAATAATTGGAGGTCAGCTTACTTTCTTTCCTCTATTTTCCTC
This sequence comes from Homo sapiens, assembly GCF_000001405.40. Taxonomy (NCBI): domain Eukaryota; kingdom Metazoa; phylum Chordata; class Mammalia; order Primates; family Hominidae; genus Homo; species Homo sapiens. Next base: position 28,107,496 of record NC_000023.11, on the reverse strand, counting down.
AGGCTTTCGATTCCTTTCCAGCATCCCCTCACCCTCACCCCAAGGGACAACTGTTGTCTTAATGTTTTATTATGGTATAATGGAAAAAGCACTAGACTGAAGTCAGGAGTCTTAGGGATTCATTCTGGATTTGTGCTTGTGTGTGAGTGTTTATTGAGCCTCAATTTTATCATCTGTAAAATGTATTGGGTGGACTAGATGATATTTTATTTTCCTTCTAATCCTAAATTTCCTTCTAATATTAAATTTCTAGAATTATAATTTATTTGGAAAGAAAATAAAGCTAAATCATACCGAGTTATTATTGTCTTAATGTACTACCTTTTCTATAATATTCTGCAGTAAAATAGGCGAGGAAAGGACATGTTTCTAATATAAAAATGAGCAATTCATCATATAATTTTAGGCAATGTTATTTTAGATAATATTTTAGGGTTACAGTAGCTTTCATAGCTCATACAGACAGCCTCACTCATCTATGTGAAAGAACAAGATTATTCAGGCCAAATGTTAGAAATATGCAGGTTGGAAACACATGGGATCTTTGCCAGTATAGAGTGGTAATGTACCTGTTTGTACTGGGTTGAGAAAAATGGGTCTCACCCTACCTTCCATCAGCCACATGCCTGCTTTCCTCTCTGTCACACACAGTATTCCAACTATGAGCAGGTTCTACCCATGAGCCCTTACGCCACTCTTTTCCCTATGAATAATCTAGATAAATCATTTTCTAACACTTTGCCTTAGAATTTTCCACTAAGTCCAAGTAATGGAATAATGGGCCTTTCCATCTTTGACAAAAAAATCAATACGGGAAAGGAGACCAAAGACCATATTTTCCAATGATATAAAGTTTATTTTCTACAATACTCATTCTTCAATGATGATAAAACTAGATTTAAGAGCAGAGGAACCCAAATAAATGTGCCCTTGAAAGAATTCTATTTACAAAATTAGGACACTTGTAACAATTAGACTCTGTAGCAGACTTTATCCTAATGCACATGATTCTGAGTGTTATCACTGAAGGAGAAGTGAGAATAGCAGAATTCATATCTGCATTCTTGGATACAGATAAATTTTAAGTAGAAAGAAATTCAAAATCAAGTTTTCTAAAATAAGTTTATCTGGTATCTAGGACTGACCTTATTTAATCTGGGAGCTACCATAGGGACTGCTTTTATTTAAACTGGAAGCTATCATAGCTTAAAATCTTACCTTTTAATTGTAAATATAAAATGCTAATCACAATATATAAGCAATTACTACTGTCTGCTGCAGTGACTTCTTTTTAAGTGCACTTCACTTTGCAGATGGTGAGAGTTCTACTAACACATCTATTGTTAGCGTGAAAGTCAAGCGATCATCTGTGTAGGTGGCTGTGTGGGAGCAATGCTAAGATTTACAAGGATTTTCTCCCACATTGGCAATCCACATTGAACAGAGAGCCATATGAAACAATCTTCTGTTCCCCTGGCATTTTTAATCATTCACTTAATTTTTAATAATATAAAAATTCTCAATTAAGATGACGTTTTTCACTCAGATATTATGTTCACATTTTAAAAAGTATTTTTGTGTGATTTTTTTCAAGTGGGCATCTATTGGGGAAAAACTCATAACTCTATCAAAGATGGAAATTCTGAGGAGAAATTAGTAATTATGTTCAGCTTGTCAGTTACAAGATTAAAAAAATCTTATACATTTGCAACAATAATTATACACTTAGACTTAAAAATTGAAGGGGGAAGTACTCTAAGAGTCAATTCTTACCTGTTTTACAATCTTTCAATATAAATCTTTAGCAGTACGTAATGTAGAATATTTTTAACATCTTATTTTTCATTCTTCATATATTTGTCTCCGTTGAGATATTAATCATCTCAAGGGAAAACATAATCATATATTAAAGCCTCACATTTAAAAAAAAAGGTTTCCAAAATTCCTATGGTTATTAAGCCATAGTTGATATGGTTTGGGTGTTCTCTCCAAATCTCATGTTGAAATGTAATCCCCAGTGTTGGAGGTGGGGCTTGATGGGAGGTGTTTGGGTCATAAGGGTGGATCCCTCATGAATGGCTTGATACAATCCTCACCATAATGACTGAATTCTTGCTCTTTGACTTCACAAGAGATCTGATTGTTTAAAGGAGCCTGGAACTTCCTCCTTTCTTGCTCCCACTCTCGCCATGTGACACACTGGCTACCCTTCACCTTCTGCCATGATTGGAAGCTTCCTGAGGCCCTCACCAGAAGCAGATGCTGGCACTATGCTTCTTACACAGCCTGCGGAACCGTGAGCTGAATAATCTTCTTTTCTTTATGAATTACCCAGTCTCAGGCACTGATTCATAGCAATGCAGAATGGACTAATACAATAGTAGACACAAGAGAACTGCTTATCTTCCATTGGCTGAACCTGCTTTCCTTCTATATAAAACTCCTTCTGCCATGTTTTTCCTCTCATTGTTTTAATGTTGCCAATTATCTAGACACATGACAAAACCTTGGCCAACTGGGCTGTCTCTGTGTGAACCAAGGTTTTAATAAATAATTAGGATTTATTGGCTCTAGTGGTGAAGGGTGGTGAGAAGGCCACACAGCTATTACCAAGGTCTTCAAAAACTACCAGATTCAACTCTGGACCACACATGGTTCCTTGCCTTTCCCTTCAAGGGAAATCCGTAATAAATCTTCAATATTTTAATATAAAATACAAATATTTAATATTTCCAATGCATTATGCTCAGGTGACCCCACTGGTTTTAATTGCATTCAGCCAAAAAATCAATGGCCATTAAATAGTATTAAGTAAATGTAATCAATTTGATCTGGGGGAAAGGGGCTTTAGAAATTCACCAAATCCCTTTTGTTACGGTGAAAGAGATCTGCGCCTAGACTTAACATGACTTGCCCAATGAATCTAGATAACCTGGAATCACAACTAAACCTCAAAATTGTTTTCTTCAAATAGATCTATTTACACACTGATTTGATTTACTTTTAGCAACTAATGATATCATCAGTCTTTTTTTTAATTCAGGTCCTTGAAAATTAAACAAGTTTTTTTCTGATATCTCTTAATATTTTTCTATTCTTAATTTTTGCATTTCTCAGTAGCTGCACTTAACAATATTCTGAACATTTATTTTTAAACTCTTCTGGCTTTATCTGGACTTTTCATTTTTCCTTTGTGACTTTTCCACTGTGACCTTTAGCAAATTATTCAATCTCTTTTTGCCTTTGTTTTCTCCACTGTTGTGAAGATTACATGAATTAATGTACATAAAGCACTTAAAACAGTGTAGTGCTCATGATAAATGCTATATTAATGGCAGCTACTATTGTCATTGTTATTACTGTTGTTGCAATTCAATCGTGTATAGAACACTATTTATTTTCCCTTTTGATGTTACTCTCCTTTTGCCATGTATTCTTTTACTTAGACTATTATGTTTCTGAAAATATTCTCTACTTCAAAAATTGAAATTATTTGCAGACACTAAGCTACATAATTCAGTTTCATACAAATAATTTGGAGAAACAGTCAAACAAAAACAAAAAAAATACTCCAAACAAAAATAATATTGTGTGATAAAAGTATGTCAAAACAAAATTGAAAGAAGTCTTTAAGGGTGGTTTATATGCAAACGACATTCATATTATGTTTTGTTTTACCTCAGAAACACTAATGCACCAGGAAATAGGAACTACAACCATCTAATCTTCGACAAAGTTGACAAAAATAAGCAATGGGCAGAGGACTTATTCAGTAAATAGTTCTCGGATAACTAGCTAGCCATATGCAGAAGAATACAACGGGACCCCTACCTTAGACCAAATATAAAAATTAACTCAAGATGGATAAATGACATAAATGAAAGACCTAAAACTATAAAAATACCAGGAGAAAACCTAGGAAATGCTATTCTGGACATTGGCCTTGGGAAATAATTACTACTAAGTCCTTAAAAGCATTTGCAACCAAAACAAAAATTGGTAAGTGGGGCCTAATTAAACTACAGGGCTTCTGCACAGAAAAAGAAACTATCAACAGAGTAAACAGACAACCCACAGAACGGGAGAAAGTATTTCCAAACTATGCATCCAACAAAAGTCTAATATTCAGAATTTATAAGGAACTTAAACAAAAAACAAATAACCCCATTAAAAAGTAGGCAAAGGACATGAACAGAATGGACACTTCTTAAAGAAGACATGCAAGTGGCCAAAAAACACATGAAAAAATGCTCAACATCATTAATCATTAGGGAAATGCAAATCAAAACCACAACAAGATACCATCACACACCCGTCAGAATGGCTATTATTAAAAAGTCAAAAATCACAGAGGCTGGTGAGGCTTCAGAGAAAAGGGAATGCTTATACACTGTTGGTGGAAATGTAAATTAGTGCAGCCACTATGGAAAGCAGTTTGGAGATTTCTCAAAGAAATTAAAACAACTATCATTCAAGACAGCAATCCCAATTACTAGGTACATGTCCACAGGAAAAATAAATCATTCTACCAAAAAGACACATGTGTGTAGGTATATTCACTGCAGCACTATTCACAATAGCAAAGACAGGGTGCCCATAAACAGTGAATTGGATAAAGAAAATGTGGTATATATACGCCATGTGGTACATATAACCATGGAATACAATACAGCCATAACAAATGAAATCATATCCTCTGTAACAACATGGATGGAGCTGGAGGCCATCATCCTAAGTGAATTAATCCAGGAACAGAAAACCAAATACCACATGTTCTCATTTATAAGTGGGAGCTAAACACTGGGTACACATGAACATAAAGATGGAAATAACAGACACTAGTGTGGGAGGCGGGGAGAGGGGGAGAAGGACAAGGGCTGAAAAACTACCTGTTGGGTACTATGCTTACGCCCTGGGTGACAAGACCATTTGTACTCCAAACTTCAGCATCACACAATATACCCATGTAACAAACCTGCACGTGTACTCCTGAATCTAAAATAAAAGCCGAAATTATAATAAATAAATAAATATCCACAAACTTAAAAAAATTGTAATCAAGAAAAACACTCAAATTCAATTTAAAAATCCAATTATTTTCACTGTTTTTATTGGGCTGACTCTTCCAGGTTTGACACAGAAAACAAACCTATCAGTTAGGAACTTAACTGAAAAATTTCTTCAATTTTAGTGGATTTAGAAGAGTTATGATTTTGTCCATTTAAAATAATGTATATAAGAATCATGCCTTAATTTCATGACTTTAATTCTGAATTCACTTAGCTTTACATCTGCAAAAGTTCAAATAAAATTTCAACAAAAATATACAACTAAAAATGGATTATGTTAAAATAATATTAATAATAATAAAATATAAGATAGAGAAATCACAGTTCCTTCTCAATTTGGGGATTTAAATTGTAGAGGAGGTAGCAACATTGTGATTCCTAGCCAAAATCTGAAGGCTACATAGGCCTTAAAATAGCCAGGTATTCCATATTAATGTAATTGAAGCAGCGGTAGCTGTGTCTCCTTTCCAGGTCAGTTTGGAAGCAATCCCTCAATTCAACAGCCTAGTTTATATCATTGCTAAAAATAACAGTATAACATTTTCTCCCTAAAGTCGATTTAGAGAACAAACGTACTGTAATAATTACAGCCATTATTCGTGACAATTTTCCTGAGCTTTGAAATGAATTCAAATGTTTAGAAACAGGGATCATCGTGTCATCCTGGAAACTGACACTTTGACTTTGGAATGTAGTGTGTATATATGTATACATATTTAAGTGGTGTTATGTTAGAATGCAGGAAAACGTAAGTAAGGAATCATTTTCTAGGCTTTACAATAATAAGAAAAGCATAGAAAAGCTACAAAATATAGGAGAAACTTACCCATTATTTCAGACCAAATCATACTATAGTATTCACCAATGCAAACAAAAATAGATATTTGATTGCTAACTGAGGAATCAGTCAAAATCTCTGGAAAACATTATTATAAAAATACCATCTAATAATCATTCAAAAATCCTAGGATGCAATAAAAACTGTGTAAACATTGGAATTCTAGGCACAAAAGTTAAAAATGCTATTGACTTACTACACTAAAATGGAAAAACAGAAACAGACAAGAGTTCTTCAATATTTTCTCTAGCATAGAAATGTGCTTAATTTTTTGAAATAAATCAAAATATGTATCATGACAATAAGAACAAGAAGAGACTTTTGGACAACCCCTATGCCTTCATGTGGAAGTTTTTTGATGTCTCTCATGATAAATGCCAAAACTTTTTGGTCCCAAAACACCTGCAGCATCTTTTTTTCCTGAAAAACTAAATTCTTCTAAAGAGTCTACTTGTAGGGAATTTGTCAGCAATGTTATTTAACATCCTTAATAATTGCGAATTAGTGTAATCCTTCTTATTGCTTCTCTCTAGTTCATTTTCAGGCTACTGACTTTTCTCCCTTTCACTGTTTTCTAATATCACAGGAAATAGAGACCTAATCTGTATTTATGAAATACTGTTGTTGATAGAATCATTTGCCAAAACCTAGTAAATGGCTCAGCAGTCACTTGCTGGAAGTCACAATCTTTAAGAAGCAAAAAGTCCTGGATAAAAGAAAAATTTAGAATGCAAAAACCTAGTAAGAAATTAATTTTAATTAATTAGTATTGTGCTTTTTCTGTAGTAGGTACTCACCAAATGCTTTTGAATTGTACCCATTTGGTTATCTCTGAGGTTTCTGTATATGGATGTCTAAATCTCTTGCTAGACTTGTACAGTTTTTAGCTATTACTTTGTTAAATATATTTTCCATCCTTTTGGTTTTCACTTTCTGGGACACCGAAAATTTGAATATTTGATTGTTTTATGGTGTCCCACATGTCACGTAGGCTTTAACTAATATTTTTGACCTTTGAAGGCATTAGGCCCCCATATATATTTTCTCTTCATCATGATAGGAAAACACTAGGTATCAGATAGTGATGCAAAGTCTGACCTTGCCCTCACAGTGTTTCAAACAAGTTAAGTTTTGAGAGAATTAATTGAAGAGTAAATTGATGGGGAAGCTACTTTTAAAACAGATACATTGATGCCACCTAACTAGAATGTTATGCAATCAGCTTGCCAAACTTAAAATCAAATTTCTGCCTACTGAAAGCTTCCCAAGCCTGTCTTTCGAGTTCTATGCTTCTCTCTTTTGCTGCTCAACACAAGTCAACTTTTAAAGTTCCCATTATTCATGGACAATAATATTTACATTGTATTCGAATTTTATTTAATGTCAAAAGCACTGCAAAATTTTCTGAGCCACAGAAAATCTTTCTCTGTGCCATTTTGTTTCGAAATATGTGCTACTTCCTACATTATATCAAAGCAAATGAAGTTTCTTCAGTTTTAGTAATTTTCCTAGTGAATAAAATGAGGAAATATATGCAGTTTTACTATAGATAGATATTTTTGCATAAGCAAAACCATAACTAAACTTATAACAAGACAATATAAAAAAATCAACCCTTTTAGTTAAGTCTATCCCTATTTGGCCTCAGTTAAAACATTGAGTTTGGAGGTTATAAATGTAGGAGAAGAGCAAAAGGGGAATGGATTTGTGAAACGAGTTTTGAAACCTATCAAATGCTAAAAATTAGAGTAATTCAAAAAAATTGAGTGGATTACACACTTTAAAGATTTATGTATTTCCAAGATAAAAATGAAACTAAAACTTTTGAGTAGACAATTGAGCACATCAATTAATTTCTCTCTCCCATTCCAAATACATTAAAAATGCTGTATAAAGTATTCAGACAATATTAAATAAAAATATATAGATAGATGAACAAGAAAGGATGAAAATTTTCAGAGTGCTAGAAATAACAAGATAACACATAACAGAAATTGGAAGCTGTGGTGTTAATGCCTGCTTCATGATAGAAATAGAGGCCACAAGCTCCATTGCTGCTGGAAGCCAGAACATAACTCCCTGTAGAAAGCTGGAAGCCCACGCTGCTTTTTTTGTTCCTGAGAAGAAACCCATAAATCTCTGTTAGCTAACTGAGTGGCTGATTTGCCAATCACAAACTGCCTGCCCCATATCATACGTGGACAAAATTATCTTTGGAATACGGGAATTCTGAGCTTGTGCCAAGCCTGTGGGTAAAACCCAACAAGTGCTATCCATTTCATGTGCTAACCCTAGGCCTGAATGCTAATAAAAATATTTCTACATGTCTCAAACTACTCCCAAAGATAAGATTCTCACTCAAATTACACAAGGGTGAAAATTTCTGTAGAAGGATAACTTCAGCAGAAATTGAGCTCACAGACAACAACAACAACATATTTGGAAGTCCAATGACACAGAAGAAATTCTGCAGACCTGGAAGTTGCATTAGTATTTGTATCAATTAACAGTATGCCTCAAACAACACCATGTTTTCTAGATAGATTTCGATTTCACCGAAAATATCTGCTCATTTTACTTTAGTCAAAGCATATTTTATACCATGCCTTTAATGCTCATGTATATTATACATTTACTAGCTTTGTGATTTGGGGCAAGTTACTTTTATGCTCTGTGATTCAGTTTCCTTATCTGCCAAAGGCCTTTTGTGAGGATTAAATAAATTCGTGTGTTTGGAGCATTTATAATAGTTTCTGGAACATAGTAGCCACTCAATACATGTTAATATTATATATGTGTGTGGGTACGTGTCGGTACATAAAACTTCCCATTTGACATAAAATATATATAGATATATATGTATAATATTAACATTATCCCAAAGGACATGGGACTGGGGGCAGGAAAGAAGAAAGTGGGCTTTTAATTCCCACTTTTTTGTCCTTTCTCAATTGCCTTAATTCTTTTCTTTTTGTCTGTAAGTTTTTATTACATTATACTAATAAATATTTTGGTTAACAATAAAAAGAAAATTACAAAACAAACAGAAGAACTCCTTCCACAATATGCTTTGATTCCACCATTAATTAAGGGATGAGTGAAAGGAAGAAATGAAGGTGCTAGGGAGAGATAAAGAGGGTGACTGGTGGGCTCCTTGGAGAAAGAAAGTGAAAATGGAAGAGAAGTCAGACAGTAAGGTGAGAGGAAAAATGAAGAGGTCAGTAGGTTCTGCAATGTTGGTAACACTCTAGTCATGAGCAGCTGTTCACTAGAGCTGTTTGTTTCCATGTTCTCACCCCTGAACAGATAACTCTGAATTATTAATTAGTCACTGCATATATCTGTTCTAACTCTTTAAACCTTTAAAGTCTCAAGCTGTTTGATAGAAACAGAAAAGGGATTTTTAAGTCCCCAATATCAAACGCAGCAGAGAGGGAACATCTCAATGCCCACAGACAAGGGATGAGTTTCTAGATGTCTCCAACAATAGCCAAAGGGGCTAGGCATCTGAATATATTCAGGAAGTGATGGGATGTTGAAAAGATTCAGTAGGTAAGTGATTATGAGGAAAGCGTGTACCCATGATTTCGAGAAGGAGGTTTGCTGATCTTTGTTGGAGATGCTGATGAATCCTGTCTTAAAACTTATCTTTTTTTCGTGCTTTCCCTGAAACTATATTGCCACCTTCACTGGCTCTTCCTTCTCAATACTTCACATATTCTCTCTGGTCTGCTAGACTTCGACATCACAAAGCAGGTTGCCGTCAGGTTTAGCTCTGGACACTCACTCAACTCTATCTCCTTTTTTCCCAAACTGTAATCTTTTAGTCCCACAGCTTTGAATGCTATTGCTATTGCGACAACTTGCAGATATATATAAAAATCTCTGACCTCTCTCTAGAGAGCCATGTCTGTATATACAACTTCCCACTTAACATCTCCACTTGGATATCTAATAGGCATAGGCTCACCAGATTTAGCAGTATTGGGGATATATAATAAAAAAATTTCATCAATTATCAGAAATTCAAATTTAACTGGGCATCTTGTATTTTAATCTGGAAAACCTAAATAGGCATTTCCAACTTAATACATGTAAAATACATTTCTCAACTGTAGGAAGAGATCTACTGTGCAGCATGACGACTGCAGTTGATGACAATATATTGTATTCTTGAAAAATGCTAGGCAAGAAATAACTAAAATCAGAGCAGAACTGAAGGAAATAGAGACACAAAAAACCCTTCAAAAAATTAATGAATCTAGGAGCTGGTTTTTTGAAAGGATCAACAAAATTGATAGACCGCTAGCAAGACTAATAAAGAAGAAAAGAGAGAAGAATCAAATAGACGCAATAAAAAATGATAAAGGGGATATCACCACCGATCCCACAGAAATACACACTACCATCAGAGAATACTACAAACACCTCTATGCAAATAAACTAGAGAATCTAGAAGAAATGGATAAATCCCTCGACACATACACTCTCCCAAGACTAAACCAGGAAGAAGTTGAATCTCTGAATAGACCAATAACAGGATCTGAAATTGTGGCAATAATCAATAGCTTACCAACCAAAAAGAGTCCAGGACCAGATGGGTTCACAGCCAAATTCTACCAGAGGTACAAGGAGGAACTGGTACCATTCCTTCTGAAACTATTCCAATCAATAGAAAAAGAGGGAATCCTCCCTAACTCATTTTATGAGGCCAGCATCATCCTGATACCAAAGCCTGGCAGAGACACAACCAAAAAAGAGAATTTTAGACCAATATCCTTGATGAACATTGATGCAAAAATCCTCAAAAAAATACAGGTGAAACGAATCCAGCAGCACATCAAAAAGCTTATCCACCATGATCAAGTGGGCTTCATCCCTGGGATGCAAGGCTGGTTCAATATATGCAAATCAATGAATGTAATCCAGCATATAAACAGAACCAAAGACAAAAACCACATGATTATCTCAATAGATGCAGAAAAGGCCTTTGACAAAATTCAACAACTCTTCATGCTAAAAACTCTCAATAAATTAGGTATTGATGGGCCGTATCTCAAAATAATAAGAGCTATTGATGACAAACCCACAGCCAATATTATACTGAATGGGCAAAAACTGGAAGCATTCCCTTTGAAAACTGGCACAAGACAGGGATGCCGTCTCTCACCACTCCTATTCAACATAGTGTTGGAAGTTCTGGCCAGGGCAATTAGGCAGCAGAAAGAAATAAAGGGTATTCAATTAGGAAAAGAGGAAGTCAAATTGTCCCTGTTTGCAGATGACATGATTGTATATCTAGAAAACCCCACTGTCTCAGCCCAAAATCTCCTTAAGCTGATAAGCAACTTCAGCAAAGTCTCAGGATACAAAATCAATGTACAAAAATCACAAGCATTCTTATACACCAATAACAGACAAACAGAGAGTCAAATCATGAGTGAACTCCCATTCACAATTGCTTCAAGGAGAATAAAATACCTAGGAATCCAACTTACAAGGGATGTGAAGGACCTCTTCAAGGAGAACTACAAACCACTGCTCAATGAAATAAAAGAGGATACAAACAAATGGAAGAACATTCCATGCTCATGGCTAGGAAGAATCAATATCGTGAAAATGACCATACTGCCCAAGGTAATTTATAGATTCAATGCCATCCCCATCAAGCTACCAATGACTTTCTTCACAGAATTGGAAAAAACTACTTTAAAGTTCATATGGAACCAAAAAAGAGCCCGCATCACCAAGTCAATCCTAAGCCAAAAGAACAAAGCTGGAGGCATCACGCTACCTGACTTCAAACTATACTACAAGGTTACAGTAACCAAAACAGCATGGTACTGGTACCAAAACAGAGATATAGATCAATGGAACAGAACAGAGCCCTCAGAAATTACACCGCATATCTACAACTATCTGATCTTTGACAAACCTGAGAAAAACAAGCAATGGGGAAAGGATTCCCTATTTAATAAATGGTGCTGGGAACACTGGCTAGCCATATGTAGAAAGCTGAAACTGGATCCCTTCCTTACACCTTATACAAAAATTAATTCAAGATGGATTAAAGACTTAAACGTTAGACCTAAAACCATAAAAACCCTAGAAGAAAACCTAGGCATTACCATTCAGGACATAGGCATGGGCAAGGACTTCATGTCTAAAACACCAAAAGCAATGGCAACAAAAGACAAAATTGACAAATGGGATCTAATTAAACTAAAGAGCTTCTGCACAGCAAAAGAAACTACCATCAGAGTGAACGGGCAACCTACAAAATGGGAGAAAATTTTCACAACCTACTCATCTGACAAAGGGCTAATATCCAGAATCTACAATGAACTCAAACAAATTTACAAGAAAAAAACAAACAACCCCATCCAAAAGTGGGCGAAGGACATGAACAGACACTTCTCAAAAGAAGACATTTACGCAGCCAAAAAACACATGAAAAAATGCTCACCATCACTGGCCATCAGAGAAATGCAAATCAAAACCACAATGAGATATCATCTTACACCAGTTAGAATGGCAATCATTACAAAGTCAGGAAACAACAGGTGCTGGAGAGGATGTGGAGAAATAGGAACACTTCTACACTGTTGGTGGGACTGTAAACTAGTTCAACCATTGTGGAAGTCGGTGTGGCGATTCCTCAGGGATCTAGAACTAGAAATACCATTTGACCCAGCCATCCCATTACTGGGTATATACCCAAAGGACTATAAATCATGCTGCTATAAAGACACATGCACACGTATGTTTACTGCGGCACTATTCACAATAGCAAAGACTTGGAACCAACCCCAATGTCCAACAATGATAGACTGGATTAAGAAAATGTGGCACATATACACCATGGAATACTATGCAGCCATAAAAAATGATGAGTTCATGTCCTTTGTAGGGACATGGATGAAATTGGAAATCATCATTCTCAGTAAACTATCGCAAGGACAAAAAACCAAACACTGCATGTTCTCACTCATATAGGTGGGAATTGAACAATGAGAACACATGGACACAGGAAGGGGAACATCACACTCTGGGGACTGTTGTGGGGTGGGGGGAGGAGGGAGGGATAGCATTAGGAGATAATATCTAATGCTAAATGACGAGTTAATGGGTGTAGCACACCAGCATGGCACATGTATACATATGTAACTAACCTGCACATTGTGCACATGTACCCTAAAACTTAAAGTATAATCAGAATAAAATAAAAAAATAATAAAAAAAATAAAATTTAAAAAAAAGACATATCTGAGGGATCTTGCCCTGTTCTCACTTTGGCCAAATGGAATAAACTTTTATCTATCTATCCCCAAACAAAAAAAAAAAAAAAAGAAAAATGCTAAGAAAGTGGATGTTAAGTGTTCTCACCACACAAATATGATAACCATGTTTGGTAATGTACACGTTAATTAGCTAGATTTAACCTTTCCACAATGTACACATATTTAACCATTCCACAAGGTACACATACTTCGAAACATTATGGTGTACAGGTCAAATGCATATAGTTTTATATTTCCATTTTTTAAAATAAATAAATTTGAAAAAAGAACTCTTGGTTACATGGGAGAGAAATTCAACTCAAATGTGCTCAAGCACGTGGAAGCTAATTTGGGGGAGAGATAACTGAAAGGCACTGGAGTAAATGTGGCTTCAGGCATGGGAATTCAGGGACTTAAAAACATCATTAAGACTTAGTTTCTCACTCTACCACTCTGCCTGGTTTGCCTCTGCATTGGCCTCATTCTCTGTCATGCTCTCTCAACATGGTAATCTCTAGATACGCCAAACTGAAATCCTACTAACTTATCAATCACAAACTTAACATCTTTAACCCCCTACAGTTTAACCCAAAGTCTCAGGGTTGCATCCGACTGGGCCAAGTATTGTCACTAAGTCAATTACTTTGGTAAAAAATTTGAAAATGCTGATTACCCAGGCATGCCTCTCATACACATATCTGGAACTGGAAATTGGAAGTAGTCTCAAAAAAAGAAAAACCAATCTGATGGAGTAGGAGGAGGGTGAATCCCCAATGAAAAATCAGTGTGCTATATTTAGATGGCAATGGAAGCTGAACACAAAAAAATAACAGATATCTTCTACACTCCCCCAAACTACATGTGTTAGTAAGAGGCATGAATCTTTAACTAATTACTCAAGTAAAAAATGTAGCAGCCTTTTTCATGCTTGTTTTATTCACCCAGTAAATTAATCAATTTGCAAATGCTGTCTATTCTACTTTCAGCATTTATCTTAAATCAGTCCAATTCTCTCCTAGTCTAGGTGACCATCATCTTACTCCTGGACTCTTGCCATAATCTCCTATCTCTGGGATTTCTGCTTCCACTCCTTAAAGTCCATTGTTCTTATAGCACTATGAGAAATTTTTCAAAACATAAATATAATTGTGTCATCCCCTTGCTTAAAACCATTCCATGGCTTCCCTTCACACTCTACGTCCCTATGTCATCTGGTTCTTGTCAAACTCTAGACACCAATTCACACACTCCTTTCACTGCACCCCCTGCTTACTACATCACAGCCACACTGGCCTTTTCGATGTTTCTTCAATAGGTTAAGGGTATCCCCTCTTTAGAGCTTTTGGATTGGTTGGTTGCCATTACTTGGAAATATTTTCCTTTTTTGTAGCTGGCTTCTTTCATCCCTCAGTCCTCAGATTAAAGGCTACCTCATCAGAGATGCATTCCCTAGAACCCTATATATAAAAATGTCCAGTCACTATCACATCTGCCTGTATATACTGCACATACATAATGATAAGAAATTATCTTGTTTATGCAGCTTTTTACTTTTTATGATTTATCTTTTTCTACCAGAATATAAGGTCGAAGGTAACTTGTTTATCTTTTTCCACACTGAATCCCCAAACAAAAACCAGAGCCTGTTTAATAGCAAGCTCTCAAAAAGTATTTTCCAAATAGTATTAGTGTAATAAATGAGTGTAAGAACTATTGTTAACTGATATTTTTGCATTTTCTAGTAGGTTGACCATATATCAAAATAGATTGAGTTATTTCAACATTAATTTGGGAAGGTGCTCTAAGAAAAAATTAAACTGACAGCTCCAAAGGTGTGACTTGAATTGTATTATAAAATAAAGAGAATTTTCTCCTTAAGTTTTATAGTCAAATATGTGGAGTAAATCAGAAGCCTGTGAATCAGTTAATCTACTATTTATTCAGCAGAAGATAAATGGGAGCATAGGAGTTAGGACTACAAATTAGTGAAAGTGCCAGAAAATGTGTGATGTTTTACAAGTGAGATTCAAAGAAGCTTTATCTACTGATGTTGCAAACAATAAGATAAAATTGGGAAGAGATTAGATTTTGTTGCAAACTACTTTACTATCTAGTAGAGAATTATGAAATGATGCAATCTGTTACTTTCAGTAAAGTCGAAACCCTTTTGAATATGCTCTTGTATTAGGGTCACACGCAAGAGTTAAGTACTGGGCAATTAAGCTAAGGGGAATAACCTTGACATAGATTAGGAATCAGTTGAGTGTGCCCCCAATTATAAACTTCTTCTGATAAAATTGGGGTCACCACTAAGGCAAGAAATCTTTGGTATTTAGAAGAGCATACCAGAACACGGAAACGTCAAAGGAGATAGTGTAGCTTCCATAATTATTTCCAGGAGAGAGAATTATATATTTTAGAATCTTAATCAGAGCTGTCTTGTATTTTGTTAAGTTCTTCCCTGTTTCTGAACAATAACTAAGAAATCAAATAAATGACAATGCAACAAAAATTGAAGTACAGGATGCTAATATATTTGTTATCAATCAAATTAAAAATTATGACTATTAGACTTTATGGGCAAGGAGCTTTACAAGATGTGGAGAAGCAAAACACAAAAATTCTATGTGTGATAGATGGAGCTAAAATCATTTATAATTTTCTCTTGATCTCATTGACTAATTCACTTCTTCATCCATAGAATAAATTATATTGATTTCCTAGGATTTTCAGGCACCGTGCTAGGCACTGGGAAGATGATTAAAATAATGACATAATTTCTGTCCTCAAGACCATTTAGTCTATTGTGGAAGACATATATAAGCAAATAATTGTAATGAGATAATACATATAGACTCAGAGCAGAGTTAAGGAGGCTTTTTCTGGGGGTTTTGGGGGAGAGTTCAGAAAAGTTGTGCCATGTAGATTGAGCCTGTCTTCAAAAATGTTAAGAAGTAGCAACATTATATAAAAAGAGAAACTCATGTTCAAAATCATAAAGACAAGGAAAAACATGGCATTACGCCATGCGTTGGAGAACATATATTCTTTCGATCATTCGACAAATATTTACTCAACACTTACTATGTGCCAGGCACTATTGGAGGTCCCAGTGATAAAGCAGAGACTATTACAGATTTGAGGCATCATTAGGCAGCCATCTCAGTGGGACTTGATGACACATTGAAAGTGGGAGAGGAGGCAAAAAGGCAAATGAAAGATGAGCTCACTCACAGTAGCAAGAATAGTTTTCTGGCATGAAGTAAAAATGGATCGCAGTTCTATTTAGCTTTGCTGCTAACCTCTATATGTGGTATATATAAAAAAGCTCAATTTCTACAATTCAATCATTCTTACTATCCTTTTTAATGTCCTTTGCAGGGACATGGATGAAGCTGGAAACCATCGTTTTCAGCAAACTAACACAGGAATAGAAAACCAAACACCGCGTGTTCTCACACATAAGTGGGAGTTGAACAATGAGAACATATGGGCACAAGGAGGGGAACATCACACACTGGGGCATGTCGGGGGGTTGGGGGCAAGGGGAGGGAGAGCATTAGGAGAAATACCTAATGTAGATGACAGGTTGATGGGTGCAGCAAACCACCATGGCACATGTATACCTACATAACAAACCTGCGCATTCTGCACATGTATCCCAGAACTTAAGTATAATAAAAAATAAAAAGAAATAAAAAGACAAAAATATAAATAGCACCACTCTTCTATCTTTATTTTTTCTAAAAATACATTGTAAATCAAATAGTATTCATTCGTTCCTGTCCATTAGCCTCTCCTACTCCATTCATTAAATGGCTATGTTTGCTTTGGGATCTGACAAGTTTCTGAGCAAGAATGTTTTGCCTTCATTTTCACCTATTTCAGTGGTCTTATTTCTTTTAAATCTGTGGTTAAATTTCTGATGTCCTTTATAGCCCTAACAAATTATGATGTTATAAATATTAAAACCCCAGTTCTTAAACATAGTATCAGACACTACCACTCAACATGTGGAGATCTGTGGAAGTTTTTTTACTGGTCCACAATGAAGTACAGAAATTGAGACTAAACCTTTATAAATTTTTATAGCAATTTGAAAGAGTAATTTTATGCTTGTCAAATCTAACAGTGATTTAAGGATGGCCCTGTAGTTTGCACATTTCTTTTCTATGTTTTTAAATAGATTGAATGTTATTCTATTAAAAATTATCCATCTGTGATGAATCTGAGTAATGATATTTAGAAAGGGAATGAACAAAGAGATAAAAGATACTGATCTATTGCTGGGGATAGTATGAAAAGCACTTGCATAGGACACTTTGTTGCCATCTAGAATGTGAAAATCTTTCACTCTCACTCTTCCAGAACTCTTATTAAATTCTGATTTTCTTATGGAAATACAAGTTGCACAAACTATGGCTAAATACTGTCTTCTCTTTCTTAATTGACATTCAGCTTCAGCATGTTCTTCATGAACGTTTATTTTTCTAAAGTTACCTATTTACTTACTTAAAGTAGAATATTGAAATTATTATTTCAGAAAAATTTATTTTGAGGACTTGAAGCCATATTTTAGAGTGTTAATATTAATAATTATGTCAGATCATACTAAAGAGAATACATCTTGCCTTTAACTTTGTCTTCCTATTGTGCATTTTTATCTTGTGCCAAAAAAAGGAAGAAAGAAAAGAAATTAAGGTGTGAGTATCATCAATGTTATTTTGAAGGCACAGGCTTCCTCCTATAGGCTTGCTTTCCCTCACATTTTCATGTGGGGACAAGGAAAACACATTTAGCTGAGGTTTTAAAGGGCATGCACATCAGAGTGAGGCTGTAAG
The DNA here is from genome assembly GCF_000001405.40 of Homo sapiens. Lineage (NCBI taxonomy): Eukaryota > Metazoa > Chordata > Mammalia > Primates > Hominidae > Homo > Homo sapiens. The sequence continues at coordinate 28,089,468 of NC_000023.11, read as the reverse complement.
GCTTATGTGGTTTCAGGTTTAAAGCACAAGGGAAAGCTTGTCAACAGCAAGATGATGCAGAGAGAAGATGGTGCAGCATGCATTCAGAACCTGAACAGGAATTGTTGCTTAGTCTTGCTGTGGCTTGCAGTATTCATTTCAGGTGACATTCAGTCAACATATAAGTAAACTGTGAAAATGAAAGACTAAACTGCAGATGTTAAATCCATACAAATATCATTAGGGCCTAGTTTTAAATTCTTTGGAAATATATCTCTCCTTTGGTTTTTCATAAGAGAGTCCCACAGCTTAGCCATTTCCAAGAAATATCTAACAAAAAGGCATGGATAAATAAAAGGCTATAGTTTGTGAATTATAAATGAAAAAATAAAAACGTCAGAAAATTATTACTGAGGACAGTAATCATGAACAAGCAAATATTTAACCCTGATAAACGATTTTTAAATTGTTTAAATAGAGCAATTTTAACCTTTAATATATACAAGAATCACCTGGTTAAATCAATTCTCAGAGATTCTGATGCAGTAATCGTAGGGTAGATTTGGAATTCTGCATTTTTAGCAAGTGCCACAGATGGGACAGGGATGGGAAATGCCACAAGCATAGCATCTAGGAACTAGAGTAACCTAGGTCTCCATGTGAGCTGGCCTGATGCTCACTGTTAGGCCACATTTTTCTCTTGTTGGTCATAAGCAGTCTCACAGAGCACCAATATCAGACAAGGCCACTCTGAGACCATGCTACAGCAAGATATAAAAAGATTTTGTGCCACCCACAAAACACCAAACATCCCTTTCTGTTGGCTAATACGAGTGACTGTTGCTTTTTTGCCTATTACAGCTTTATCCCCACTCCAGTTTGCCCTTCCTTTAGATGTTTTGAGATACCCAATGATAGGATTCCCCTTGCTTACCGACAACAAATGATCCAGAGTGAGTCTCCATTTCCTTAGATGTTCTTCAAGATTTCCTCACAAAACCCAAATCCAATAAGTCCTTTTCAACACAATTACTGAGATGCTGCACATTCCTCATATTGTATAATATCCCTCACTGCAACAACTAATAAACCCAATTCATTCCACTACAGTTATGTTCCTGGTGGTCTTCCGCTGGAGGACATTGCTATTTATGTAATGAATACAAACAAATGTGATATCAAATATTATTATTACCAAGAAATAGAAACTGAAATATAAACAACCTCACTGCACAACAAACAATAAAAATTTTTCGGAAGTCTAAAGTTTATTTTTAACAATAGATGTTTAGCTTCTTGACTGCAGGGACAGCGACTTTACTATTTACTTAGTGCCTTCCACTATGGGCCATGCACACAGTAAGTACTCAGGAAATATGTGCAAAAGAAAAAATAAATAAAAGAAAAATAGTTTTCCACAAGTGATAAGTGTACTGGCATATGCTCCCTGTGGTAGGCAGAATAATGCCTCTCCTCCCAAAGATGTTCACATCCGAATCCCCTGAACCTGTAAATATGTTACTTTACATGACAAAAGGGACTCTGCAGGTGTCATTAAGTTAAGGATCTTGAGATGGGAAGAATACCTTATATTATCCAGGTAGGCCTAATGTAACCACAAGAGTCCTGTAAGAGAGAGGAAGGACCCTAAGGTAACCACAAGGATCCTATAAAAGAGAAAAAATAATCAGAGGAGGAGAAGTGCAGATGGATGCTGCTGGCTTTGAAGATGAAAGAAGGGGCCATGAATGAAGGAATGCACATCATTTATAGAAACTGGAAAAGAGGAAATGGATTCTTCCCCAGAGGCTCTAGAAGGAATTCAGCCATGCCAATATCTTAATTTTAGGACTTCTCACCTGTAGAAGTAATATAATAATGTTAAGCCAGTAAATTTGTGATAATTTGTTACAGCAGTAAGAAGAAACTAACATGTCTGAAAATAGAAGAAGACACTTTTTGACAGCATTCTGTATGCCTGTTAAGACATATCTGCCTACTAGCCTTCTCACAGTAGGCCTGAGGGTCTTGGTTGTAACGGTGATGAGGTCAGCTGAGGCTTCTCATATAAAGATAATATATAAAATATAAGTCCTTATTCAGAACTTTATAATAAGAGATTTAAAGTGATATTAAATAAATAGATTTAAGAAATTAAACATCTATATGCCCTACACGATTAGCTGAACCATAAATTCAGATGTATAGTAAAATGCAGATTACATAGATATAAATGTAGTACAGCTCTGCTTTATTTTATGTGGGTCCAAGTCAATATATACTACTACTAAAGTACACTAGAAGGTGAGCCCCCAAATTTGTATAAGCAAAACATTAGTCCTTTTAAAAGTCCACACTCCTACAAGAATTTTATTCCCCTCCAGAGGATGCCACACATCTCCTAAAATTAAATCAGGGGCAATTGATACAGATATTTCCACTCTAGACCTGGTAACATTACCTGTGTTTCTAGCTAGGGTTCTACTCAGTCCATCTCTCTCCCTGGGTTGTCTCCTTTCTAATAACTACAAAATCGTCAACGTATAAATAAGGTCACTGGAGTAAAATTAGATATTTTATAGTCTTCCAGAAGTGTGAAGACTGCCCATCTTTTTTTCCCTTTTTTCCAGAAAACAAAATCCTCATGGAGAGAACTATTGCAAATAGAAACCTGAGCTGGGTACTGTGGCTCACGCCTGTAATCCCAGCACTTTGGGAGATCGAGGTGGGTGGATCGCTTGAGCTCAGGAGTTCAAGACCAGCCTAGGCAGCATGACAAAACCTTGTCTCCACAAAAAATACAAAAATTAGCTGGGCATGGTGGTGCACGCCTGTAGTTCCAGCTACTTGAGAGGCTGAGGTAGGAAGATCACCTGAGTCTAAGGAGGTTGAGCCTGAAGTGAGCCGTGATCACGCCACTGCACTCTGGCCTGGGCAACAGAGTGAGACCCTGTGTAAAAAAAAAGAGAGAGAAAGAAAAGAAAAAGAAAAGAGACAGAAACCTGAGAAAAATCATTAGCACACTAGTTTTACAAACAACTTGACTCTGAATCCCAGAGGGGACTCATCTGTAGTACCCCTCTATAATTCATAACTCTCCTTTCAAAGCTATTGTTGAAATTCTTGAGATTACTTTAAATCTTCCCAATTAGGCATTATCCACTGACCTGCTTTGATTCCCGTGCTGATTATTATTAGGTCATGTTAGACCCCTGACTTCATTGTATCAGAACTGATCTACTCTTAAGGTCTTCAGTCTTTATGTCTGCAATTTTACAAAGTTATCTATTAATTGCAGAATGTTGTTAGTATGTTTCTACTGATTTATTTCTAACAGGTGAGATGTATTTAAATGCAGGCGCTGTTCTTCCAGCTCGGTGCCCTCCAGTCTCTTCATCTCACTACCCCTACACACACACACACACAAACACACACAAACACATACACACACACACGCCTCTAATTCCCCTCATCTATTAGTTCTCTTCTAATTTCTTTCTTCTTTCCCATCTATCCTCAATAGTGTGATCGATCTTTGCCATAACCTTCTTTCCCCCTTGTTATTCCATCATCTGTGACATACATTTCCAACCCTGGATAATTTAATCTTTCACCTCTCTCTACATAGGCTTATGATGTTTGCTAGAGAAGTACATTTAATTCTTTATATTGATTCTCCCATAAATTTCTGGTCCTCAGATTCACCCAGGCTCTGCTCTATCCCCCAATTACAGCTTCCTTTCACTTTCAGTGAGTTATCTCTCCTATTTAAAAACAATAGAAGCTATTAGGCAGAAAAATCCTCCCTCTTTAACCCAACCTACAAATTCTGTGTAGACACTCACTATTATCTATATCCCAACAGCCACCTCAATCAGTTTCTAAACAAACTTTCAGCTTCATCTCCTTAGAGAAGTTGCTGTATCAAATATTCCTTTTTCTCTCTCCTGTATCTTTGAGTTTTCCATCTTTATTGGTTTCAACACTATTCTCATCCTCCACTTTGGGCTAGATTAAGGAACCTAACTTCCTTATACACCCTTATATATCTCTTAATTTTTCTATCATAATACTTCTTAAATGAAATTGAATTGTCTTTCTTCACAGTCAATAAATCGGGAACTGAGCCATGTGATTACTTTTCTGTTTCCCCTAAAGATTGCGAGCACTCAGAGAGAATATGCCCTAGACTCTGCAACTCTGCATTCCTACTGCCTACTGCTTATTACTCTCATAAGAGTATTTATTGATGAAGTATTGAATGCATTAATTAATATATTAATTTTAACTCCGCAATAAATGCCTGCCTACTTCAAAACACCATTTACTTTCCTCTCATTTTGTAGAAAGAATTTTACAAGCCTTCCTGTTTTTCAGGGGGGAAAAAGACACTTTGAATTTTACCGGTCCTTGAAAGTCTTTGTGTCTTTACATTATGCAGTTAGTATATGAGGGGGCTTTATTTAAATTTTTAAGAAATAGACAAATAGGATTTTCAAATTTAATATATAATTGGTCAGACCAGTCACCTCAAAGACACATTCACATCCTGCTTGCAAAACTTCACTTTAACATGCTTGAATGCATTAATGTAGTTACAGTCAATCCGAAGGGGATTTAGTTTGATTTGAAAGTATAAAATGAAAGACAAAGAGAGAAAGAGAGAGATATTATTGAAGGACTTATTGGTAGTACAAATTTAAGCACCACAGAGGGGAAATAAATAAATATTCTATTCCATTGACAAGATCTATACAACTTTAAGCTGTATGAATCTGAGTGTCTTAGCATGAGCAAGTAAACATTAGATATATGAAATTCCTTCATTTGGTTTCAATCAATCTACCATTTTATAATAATTTAGGTTCTCTTGTCATGTTTGAAAATTTCAGTTTCTATGATAATAATTCATTTTAAGCTAATATATTATAGTTCTATTTTTATAATAATTTGGCTTCCCTTGTCATGTTTGAACATTTTAGTTTCTATGATAATAATTCATTTTAAGTTAATATAATTCTATTTTTATATATCAGTTTTATAACCTTTGTAAGTATGAATGTGTCCCCAAAGATGATGGAGCTTCTCTCAGTGTGCTAAAAAACATAAATTTCTTAACCACAGCTGGCATCTGAATGATGATTGAGCTACTAAGAAGATGAAGTCTGTTATAATATTGCTTGAATTCTTTCACCAGATGACATAAACCTGTCTGAGTCACCTTATGTGTCTTCTCATAGAAAATCTTGTATCAGTGACAATTCACCTGCAGCTTCATCTACTTTTTACTTTACTGGTTTTTATTATTTAACTATTCCAGGCCCATGTGTTCGTGTACATGTTTCTAAAATCCATTCAATTTTGAGTTGATTCTGTAAGTTGCACAAATCAGGATCAACAGCTTGAAAATCTAGACATCTGATAATTGTTGAATGTCAGTAATAATAATACTAGGGCATTAAATTAAGGAAAAAACAGGGAACTAACAATTGAATTATAATTATCTCTTACAGGATATACTACCTTCATAAAAGTACATTAAACCATTTCCTTTTTCTTCAAATATGTTGCATTCAGGCTTCATATATCATGGTGAACATTATTTACTCATTTAATTTGAGGACGTACTTTTCAGCTTTAATAGACACTAGAAAACACTTTCATAAAATGGTTGAATCAATTTACAATCCCACCACCAGTGGTCAAATATTGCAGTTGCTTTACATCCTTGCCATCATTTAAGTTGTTTTTTAAAAATTTAGTTACTATGAATACATAATAGCTGCAAATGTTCATGGGGGGTAAAAGTGATAATTTTATAAAAGCATACAATGTGTGATGATCACATTGTGATCATAACGTGCGATGATCATAGTAACAGAGATATCCATTACCTCAAGCATTTATCATGTCTTTGTGTTAGGAAAGTTCCATTTCCACTCTTGTAGTTATTTTGAAATATATAATACATTATTGTTAACTATAGTTGCCCCATGGTGCTACCAAGTACTAGATCTTATTCCTTCTATCTAACTTTATTTTTGTACCCAATAACCATCCCTACTTCCCCTCTTTATACCCCCACCCTCACTACGATTACTAGCCTCTAGTTAACTATCATTCTACTCTCTATCTCCATGAGTTCAATTCTTTTAGCTCCCAACGTAAATGAGAACATTCGATATTTCTCTTTCTGTGTCTGGCTTATTTCACTTAACATAACGTTCTCCAGTTCCATCCACGTTCTTGCAAATGACAGCATTTCTTTTTTATGACTGTATGCTATTCCAATGTGTATATGTACCACATTTTCTTTATTCATTCATTTGTTGATAGACATTTAGGTTGATTCTATATCTTGGCTATTATAAATAGTGCTACAATAAACATGAAAGTGCAGATATCTCTTCGATATACTGATTTCCCTTCTTTTGGATATATCCCCAGAGGGACGATTGCTGGATCATATGATAGTTCTATTTTTAGTTTTTGGAGGAATCTTCATACTATTCTCCATAGTGGTTGTGTTAATTTACATTCCTAACAGTGTACCAGAGTCCCCCTTTTCCACATATTTGCCAGCATCCATTATTGCCTCTCTTTTTTTATGAACGCCATTTTAACTTCATGGGGTAAGATGATATTTCATTGTAGTTTTTATTTGCATGTCTCTGATAATAAGTGATGTTGAGCATTTTTTTTACATATTGCCCAATTTTATGTCTTCTTTTAGAAATGTCTATTCAGATCTTATGCCCATTTTTAATAGAATTATTTGGTTTTTTTCTCTTGAGTTGTTTGAGTTCCTTATATATTGTGATTATTAATCCCTTCTCAGAAAAGCAGTTTGCAAATATTTTCTCCCGTTCTGTATATAGTCTGCTCATTTTATTGATTGTTTCCTTTGCTGTGCAGAAATTTTTAGCTTGATATGATCCTGTTTATCCATTCTGCTTTGTTTGCCTGTTTTTGAGGTCTGTTATTTATTACTTTTAATGTTTTTAATTGGAAAATAATAACTGTACATATTAATGGGGTGCATAGTGATGTTTCTATATATATACATATAATGTGTAGTGATCAGATCAGGGTAATTAACATATCTATCATCTCAAATATTTATCATTTCTTTGTGTTGGGAACGTTCAATATCTTCCTTTTAGCTATTTGAAGCTATATAATACATTATTGTTAACTATAGTCATCCTGCTTTTGAGGTTTTACTCAAAGTTTCATTGCCCACAACAATGTCCTGGAGTGTTTACCCAATGTTTTCTTCCAGTAGTTTCATAGTTTGAGGTCTTAAATTTAAGTTTTTAGTATATTTTTATTTGATTTTTGTCTATGATGAGAGATAAAGGTCTAGTTTCATTCTTTAGTATATAGTCATCCAGTTTTCCCAGCACAATTTATTGAAGAGACTGTCCTTTCCCTAACATATGTACATGGCATCTTTTTCAAAGATTAGTTGACAGTAAATGCATGGATTTATTTCTGGGTTCTCTGGTTCTGTTCCATTGGTCTATGTCTGTTTTTATGTCAGTGCCATGCTGTTTTGTTTACTGTATATTTTTAGTATAATGCGAAGTCAGGTAACAAGTGCCTCTGCCTTTGTTCTTTTTGCTCAGGATGGTTTTAGCTATTCTGGGACTTTTGTAGTTCCATATAAGTTTTAGGATTACTTTTTCTATTTCTGTGAAGAATGTCATTGCCATTTTGATAGGGATTGCATTGAATCTGTAGATTGCTTTGAGTAGTAAGAATATTTTAACACTCTTGATTCTTCCAAGTCATGAACATGGAACGTCTTCATTTTTTGTGTCCTCTCCAATTTCTTTCTTTCAGCATTGTTTTATATTTTAGAGAGCTTTCCGTTTTTTGGTTAAGTTTATTTCTAGGTGTTTTATTTTTATTTGTAGCTATTGTAAATGAGGGTAATTCCATTTGATTTCTTGGTTTATGTCTCAGATGTTTGCTGCTGGCATATAAACATGTGACTGATTTTTGTATGTTGATTTTTGGATCCCACAATTATACTGAATTTGAGGATCCGTTCTAATAGATTTTTGGTGGAGTCTTCTTACCATCATTTTGTATTGTCATTTTCCTCACATTATGATCACTGTGCAATGGTATCTCATTTTATATATATATATATATATATATATATATATATATATATATATATATTTTTTTTTTTTTTTTTTTTTTTTTTTTTTTTTTTGAGCCAGAGTCTCACTGTGTTGCCTGGGCTGGAGTACAGTGGTGCAATCTCGGCTCACTGTAACCTCCGCCTCCCAGGTTCAAGCGATTCTCATGCCTCAGCCTCCCAAGTAGCCGGGACTACAGGCGTGTGCCACAATGCCTGGCTAATTTTTGTATTTTTAGTAGAAACAGGGTTTCACCATGTTGGCCAGGCTGGTCTTGAACTACTGACCTCATATGATCCACCCGCCTCAGCCTCCCAAAGTACTGAGATTACAGATATGAGCTACTATACCCTGCCTCATTATATTTTAAATTTGCATTTCACTCATGACTAATGATATCTAGCACCTTGCTACATGCTTATTGGCCATTTGGATATTCTCTGTATTAGTCTGCCTGGGCTGTCATAACAAAATGCCACTAACTGGGTGGTCATAAACAACATAAATTTGTTTTTCCACAATTCTGAAGGCTACTAATATGAGATCAGGGGTGTAAGTAGATCAGGTTCTGGTGAGGGTTTTCCTACTGGTTTACAAATGGCCACCCTCTTGCTGTGTCCTCACATGGCAGGGAGAGTGGAGAGGGGTGCTCTCTAATGTCTCTTCTTGTGGATCGCAGTCACCCTTTTGACCTCATTTAACCTTAATTACCTCCTTAGAGACTCTATCTCCAAATATAATCACATTGGGGTTGAGGGCCTTAACATATGAATTTGGGGAAGACACAAACATTCAGATTATAACATCCTCTTTTGTGAAGTCCCTGCTGACATATTTAATCTAATTTTCAATTCTGGTTGTCAATCCTTTCCTTGTTGATTTGTAGAAATTCTTTATATGTCTGGATATGAGTCCTATATTGGATTGACGTGCTGCAAATATCTTCTCCCATTTTGTGTCTTGCCTTTTCACTTTCTAAAAGTGTCTTTTTATAAATAGAAATTCTTAATTTTAATGAAAGAATTCATCAATCATTCTTTTCTTTTTGATTAGCTTTTATAAAGTTTTTTAATGAAACCATTGCCTACTCAAAACTATGATAATATTCTTTTATAATATCTTCTAGGAGCACTATTGTTTTAACTTTGACTTTTAGGATTACGACACACCTGTAATTTATTTTGTGTATGAAGAGAGTTAGGAGTGAGATTTCATTTTTACCCCATCTCACACAGAATTAATCCAATACTATTGAAAAGAACATCTTTTCTCCACTGCACTGCAGTGTCACCTTCATCTTAAATAAGGTAATCATGTAAGTGTGGGCCTGTTCCTGAATCCTTTATTCCGTTCAATTGATCTGTTTGTTATCCCTGAGCTAACATTATACTTTTCACTACTGATTTTTTTTTTTTAATATCTAGTAGTGTAAAATCCTCAACCTTGTTCTTCTTCAAGCTTGCCTTGACTCTTTTTGGCTCCATATATTTTAATGTACATTTAAAAACCAGCTTGTCAATTTCCACAAACAAAATCTAGCTGCAATTGGGATTGCATTGAATTTATAGGTCAATTTGGGAGAGAACCGTAATATATTAGCAATAGCATGTCATAAATAATCCATTAACATCGTATGTAACATCCTATTCTCTGTGTCTTACCTGGGCATTTGCGCAGCTTGGAGTTTAGCAAATGCTTCAAAAGAGGAAAGTGAACACAGAATACAGAGTTCACTTTTCAGCAGTTTCCTCCTTTCCTGCATCTTGTACACTAATGTTTGACTTTTTGGTAGTCCTGAGTTCTAATTATTTTCTTCCCAGGGTAGTAAGACTACCACAAACTCTAAGTTGCTGCTTCTTTTTAGTCTCAATGTCTACAGTAAGAGTACTTATCTTCCCCAAAGGGAAAGGAATGGGGAATGTAGGACTCCCCTAAACATATTTTCTTTCTCGTCAAGATAACTGTCCTTCAACTATTGGCCACCATTATTGTTCTCTGATGTCTTATATTATTGTGTGTGTATATGTGTGTGTGTGTGTGTGTGTGTGTGTGTGTGTGTGTGTGTGTTTTGTCTATCTTGCCCCATTATACCTGGAAGAGGAAGTCCTGATATTTAATTTTTAAGTTTTTTTTCAAAATTATGGTCTTCATGACCTTCCTTATTCCCCTGCATCAATCTTCAATATAGCTTTGTTAACAACAAAAAATTGAGTGTCAACATGTTGCAAATGTCGTGAAAAATGCAAGAAAGGATAAGCCATGATTAAGGGAAAAAGCAAGCTAGGAAGCCCTAGAGAAGCACGAAAAGTCATTAATGTCAAAATCAAAGTTGATGGAAAGATTTTTTGAGCAAGAGGTAACAAATATCAAGTAGGAAATGTAGCCACTTCCTTCTAAACTAGAGTTTGTATGAAATAATCAAATATTATGCAGTTACACAAGATGAGGACTTGAGCAATTGGAGACATTGGTTTGAATCATATCCTCTCTAGAGTAAAGCCCAGCTACTCAATCTCTCTCATATGGACAGTAGTCTGGTTTTAAATTTTCCTTATTCAATGTCTTCTAAATTACTGATTCAGTAATTGGATCATGTGCTTATTATAATATATCGTTTCACTGTATTGTATCTCCTAAACGGCCAAAAATGTGAAGCTAATTTTAATTAAATTACTTTTTTTTTTCAGAAACATTTGCCTGATCTGCCTATTCCCTGGTCTCCTGTGGTGTTTAGAGTCCATTTTACTCTGGATTTCTAAAAGTCATAACCATTTCTTACAAGATCTGAGAACTACTTATGGAGCCCTAGTATAAATAAATACCAAAACACCCATTTCCTGTATGACACATATTTTACAATCATTATTTCATTTAATCCTCATAAAATAGATAACCTTAATGCAGCATTATCCCCATTTGACATGTGAAGAAACTAAGGTTTAGTGAGATAATAGCTATTCCAAAATGATAAAATGGACAGAGCCAGGGTTTATAAAAAGCTGTCTGATTTTAGAATTTTCAAGTACATAACATTTGATTGATTTCCTGTCAATTACATCTGTCATTGAAATTTAGGTTAGGGACCCAGTTATTTTCAGGCCTTTACTGAATGAAAGTAATGGACGATACATCCATATTTTATAGCAAATTATTTTCTTCCCAAAAAACTCCATGTATAGATTATTTTAGAGAGAGATGATGCAAATGCTTTCAAAAGTACATGTATTCTAAAATAGATTCAGGCAATTTGACAGGATGGAACTGTCAGAAACTAATTATTATTATTTTTATTTCTACGCCATCTGAAAAACAACCATCAGGTTTATTCACACGAGAAACTGAATAAATTTACTTAGGAGAAAATATAAATGGGAGAGCTTGTTATTGTACAAAAAATGTATTATATTGCCATAATGGGCTATTTTTCTCTATTAGGAATTGCCAAATGCAGTTCCGTATAGCTTCAATATGCCAATAACCTGCTATGTGATAGTGTAAATCATATAAACTCTCTCTGCCTCAGCTTTATCAACTAAAAACTAGAGGATTGGTCTAGATTATCTGTAAAGTCCCTTATAGTTTAAAAATTACCTATTGCTTTATATATTTATATTTTCATACATCAGACTAATAATACATATAGAAATGCCTTGTGTGTGTGTGTGTGCCTGTGTGTACAATTTCACCCACAGTACAGTATTCCACAAGTAGTATAATCCAAGTATGAGATTTATTTTTCATTGTTTATAGAAATGCTGTGTAAATAAGGAGCTCAAAAATAAAATGGAAAAACATGTTAAGTCTTCAAAAAGTAGATATTAGCTAATGTTTATGGAATAGCTGAAATATAGCTTTACATCATATAACATAGATAAGACTTGGTCTAGTGATCTCATGACCTAAATGCTTAATACAAGACTCTCCTAATCCAGCCAGGCAATTTCAGATGTCTTATAATCAAAGCTAAGAAACATTAGATGTTTTAATAGCCTTACGAATTTAATAGCCTTAGGAATGTCTATAATTACCCATATTAGCAGCCAAGATGCCTCTCAGCCAGAGACAGTCAGCCTTTAATAGCCAGCAAGCCACTTTGAATAGGGTTGAAAATACTTTTAAACCTTTTGGGGTTATTAGGGATAATTAAAAGTGGTTGAAAGTGTATAATATCATTTATCAAAGCACTAAAAGATGTGCCATAAGAAATATATCTCAACATTACCAAATGCAATTAATATACTTCTTACATTAAGATATAATCAAATAAAATAACCTAAAAAACTGAATAAATATACTATTTTTAGGTTTTATTATATATAACCTATATTATTTAGGTTATACAGATATAACCTATATTATTTAGGTTATACAGATATAACCTATATTATTTAGGTTATACAGATATAACCTATATTATTTAGGTTATACAGATATAACCTATATTATTTAGGTTATACAGATATAACCTATATTATTTAGGTTATACAGATATAACCTATATTATTTAGGTTATACAGATATAACCTATATTATTTAGGTTATACAGATATAACCTATATTATTTAGGTTATACAGATATAACCTAAATAAAACAAAGGTATGTACATAAACATATGGACATATGTATACACATGTTAAATATAAATGTATACACACACAAAATGAAAAAGAATATATATATATATATATAAAACTTATTTCCCAAAGTTCAGACCTTCAGAGCCACTGTCTTAACCTTTGACATGTCATAATATTAAGTCAATATTGTGTATCGTATATGAAGGGACTTCAAACATTTCATGAAAAATTGGAATGAAAAGATAAAAATCAAAAAAACTTTATTTTTCAACACAAGCTCCATCAAGTTCCAGACACCTTTACAAACAACAGTATTTAGTCCAACCCTACAGAACTGAGAGTCCTGGAAATTTAACCATATTAATACAGTCTTTTTTACATTATGAACTGAAGAAAAGTGGGTACCCTTTAAAGATTTTTTAAAATTAGGAAGCAAAACGAAATCAGAAGGAGCAAAATCAGAACTATAAGTTGGATGCCTAATGATTTCCCATTGAAATTCTTGCAAAATTGCCCTTGTTTTTTGAGAGGAATAAGCAGGAGCATTGTAATAGTGGAGAAAGACTCTCTGGTGAAGCTTTCCTGGGGAGTTTTTCTGCTAGTACTTTGGCTAATTTTCTCAAAACTCTCATAATAAGCAGACATTATCATTCTTTGGCCTTTCAGAAAGTTAACAATCAAAATGGCTTAAGCATCCCCCCAAAATTGTAGCTATGACCTTTGCTCTTGACCTGTCTCCTTTTGCTTTCACTGGACCACTTCCACCTGTTAGCCATTGGTGTTAGCTGTTGTTGCACCAGTAGCCATTGCTATGATTGTGCTTTGTCTTTAGGATCATAGTGATAAAGCCATGTTTCATCTCCTGTTACAATTCTATGTAGAAATACTTCAGGATCTTGATTCAATTTGTTTAAAAATTTCCATTGAAAGCTCTGCCCTTGACTGCAGCTGATCTGGGTGCAACAGTTTTGGCAACCAGCGCATGAAAAGTTTACTCAACTTTAATTTTTCAGTCAGAATGGTGTAATCTGAACCAACTGAGATGTCTATGGTGTCAGTGATTGTTTCTGCTGTTAATCGTTGGTACTCTTCAGTTAAGGTACAAACAGGATTAATTTTTCCTCATAAATTGACGTCTGCCAAGCTGATGGTGTGCTGCTACAGGCTTCAAATTCAACATTGTCCTGTCCCTTCTTAAAACAAGTTATTCATTTGTAAACTGCTGATTTCTTTGGGGACACTTTCACTATAAACTTTTCATGGTGAATGATTTCACTATTCTTATACCCAAGATTCACCATGAATTTGATGTTTGTTTTTGCTTCAATTCTAGCAGAATTCATGTTGTTCTGATAGAATGTATCCTTCTTAGTGCCTTAAACTAGATCTTGTTCAGACGTGTTATAAAAATTTAGTACATTTATTTTGGTGCCAAAAGATTTGAAATCCACACATATTTTTTCATAACATGCATTTTCCATAAATTTTTAGAAGACCCCTCATAACTATATGTACGTATACATATATATTTATGTATATATATGTATTTATATATGTATTTATGAAGGGTCTATATACATAAATATATATGTATGCATATGTATATAAAATAGTCATTTTACCTGCATAATTTCCAGTCGAAGAGCTAAAACGCTTATGGAAAAAAGTTCTAAAAATGTTATAGCAATCATGCCAGATAATTTTGAAAGTAAGTGCCACTATTTCACTTTGACCTAGATTCACAATGAAAGCCTTCCCTGCATTGAGTCACTGTCAATTATTGTGATGACTTTAGTGCTCCTCACTGGTTTAATCATGGGAAAAATTATTCTGTACAAAATACTAATAAATCTACACATCTACAGTGAACTCACAAAGGTGCCAAGAACATACATTGGGGAAAGGACAATCTCTTCAATAAATGGTGCTGGGAAAACTGGACATCCACACACAGAAGAATGAAACTAGACCCCTCTCTCTCACCATATACAAAAATTAAACCAAGATAGGCTAAAGATGTATATCCAAAACTTTAAACTATGAAAGTGTGAAAGAAAACATTGAGGAAGCGCTGTCTGGGCACATAATTTCTTGAGTAAGACCTCAAAAGTACAGGCAACAGAAGCAAAAATGGACAAACAGGACCACATTAAGTTAAAAAGCTTTTGCACAGCAAGGGAAGCCATAAAAAAAGTGATCAGACAACATGTAGAATGAAAGAAAAGATTTGCAAACTCGCCATCTGACAAGATCAATAACCAGAATATATAAGGAGCTCAAACAACTCAATAGGAAGAAAACAAATAATCTAATTTAAAAATGGGCAAAAAGATCTGAACAGACATTTCTGAAAAGAAGACATACAAATGGCCAAGTATGTATATGAAAAAATGTTCAATATTATTAATCATCAAAAAATGAAAATCAAAACTACAATGAGCTATCATATTACCCCAGTTAAAATGACTTTCATTCAAAACACAGGCAATAACGGATGCTGGCGGGGATGTGGAGGAAGGGTTACCCTGATACACTGTTGGTAGGAATATAAATTCGTAGAGCCACTGTGGAAAGCAGTGTGGAGGTTTCTCAAAAAACTAAAAATAGAACTACCAAATGATCCAGCAATACCTCTGCTAGGTATATATCCAAAGGAAGAAAATCAGTATATCAAAGAGATATCTGCACTCCCATATTTATTGCAGCACTACTCATAATAGCCAAGATTGGAAGTCAAACTAAGTATCCACCAACATTGGACTGGATAAGAAAATATGGTACATATACAAAATGGAATGTTATTCAGCCATAAAAGAAGGGAATCTTGTCATTTGCAACAACATGAATGGAACTGGAGGACATTATGTTGAGTGAAATAAGCTAGACACACTTCACATGGTTTCACTCATTTGTGGGAACTAAAAATTAAAACAACTGAATTCATGGAGACAGAGAGTAGAATGATGGTTACCAGAGACTGGGAAGGGTGGGGAGGAAGTGGGGATGGTTAATTTGTACAAAAATATAGTTAGAAAGAATGAATAAGATCTAGTATTTCATAGCACAGCGGGGTGACTATAGTCAACAACAACTTGTGTATTTTAAAATAACCAAAACAGTGGAATTAGAATGTTCCTAAAACAAATAAATGTCAAATGCTTAAGGTGATGGATATCCCAATTACTCTGATTTGGTTATTGCACATTGTACACCTATATCAAAATATCACATATATCCAGTAAATATATACACCTATTTCATATCCATAATAATTAAAAAATATTTTTTTAAAAAACTTGAACATCACAGGGTTAAGTTGCATGCCATAACCTATAGTTCCTAGATAAACAAAGAAGTGTGACTTCGATATATTAATCTTTAACTTGCAGTTGGCTGCAATTTGCAAATAGTTATAAATAAAGAGGAATCTCAGGTTGTCTGCAAACACTTTTAACATATATATTGAAGCTAAAGAAAATCATCTGCTTACTAAATAATTTTAAACTTACATGAAAAATCACTTGTACAGTGATGAGCAGTTCCATAACTAATAAACCAAACAGGGTTAATTTACCTCTTCCTATTGTTGTATTGTCCAAAAGACATTTATTTGGTCCTCTTCCTCACGATTTTCCTAGAACTAAAATAAACAACTAGATGAGAGTAGGTTCTTTTTTAAATTTTTATTTTTTTCTTTTAATTTTTATGGATACATAATAGTTACACATATTTATGGGATATGTGTGATATTTTAATATAAGAATATAGTGTGTGACGACCAAATCTGGTTTGTTAGGATATCCATCACCTCAAAAATTTATCATTACTTTGTTTGGGGAACATTTCGTATCTACTTCTGCAGTTATTTTAAAATACACAACAAATTATTGTTAAATATCGTCACTCCATTGTGCTACCAAACACTAGATCTTATTCCTTCTATCTAGGTATATTTTTGTACCAATATACCACTCACTCTTTATTCCCACACACCACTCTCCCCTCTTTCTAGCTTCTAGTAGCCATCATTCTACTTTCCATCTCCAGGAGTTCAGTTGTTTTAGCTTCCACATATGAGTGAGAACATGCAACATTATCTTTCTGTGCTTGGCTTATTTCACTTAACATTTTGTCCTCCGGTTCTATCTGTATTGTTGCAAATGACAGTATTTCCTTCTTTTATATAACTGAATATTATTCCATTGTGTATATGTCTTCTTTACCACATCTTCTTTATCTAATCATTCATTGAAGGACATTTAGGTTGATTCCATATCTTGGCTATTGTGAATAATGCTGCAACGAACATGGGAGTGCAGATATCTCTTAGATACACTGACTTTATTTTCCTTTGGGTATATACCCAATGGGATTCTTGGATCATATGGTAGTTCTATTTTTAGTTTTTAGAGGAATCTCCTTACTGTTTTCCATAGTGGCTATACTAATTTACATTCCCACCAACAGTGTACAAGGGTTCCCATCTCTCCACATCATCGCCAGCATCTGTTATTGCCTGTCTTTCAGAAAAAAGCCTTTCTAACTGGAGTAAGATGCTATCTCATTGTAGTTTTGACTTGCATTTCCCTGATTATTAGTGACGTTGAGCCTTTTTTCATACACTTAATGCCCATTTGTATGTCTTCTTTTGAGTAATGTGTATTCAGAGTTTCTGCCCATTTTTAATTGGATTATTTGATTTTTTGCTACTAAGTTGTTTCAGTTCCTTATATATTCTGGTTATTAATCTCTTGTCAGTTTGATACTTTGCAACTTTTTCTTCTATTTTGTAGATTGTCTCTTCACTCTATTAATTGCTTCCCTTGGTGTGCAGAAACTTTGTAGGCTGATGTGACCCCATTTGTCCATTTTTGCTTTTGTTGCCTGTGCTTTTGAGATCTTACTCAAGAAATCATTACCACACTAATGTCCTGGAGTGTTTTCCCAAAGTTTTCTTCTAGCAGTTTCATAGTTTCAGGTTTTAGATTTAAGTTTTTAATCCGGTTTTATTTGATTTTTGTATATGGTGAGAGATACAGGTCTAGTTTTATTCTTCTGTATATGGATATCCAGTTTTCCCAATACCATTTATTGAAGAGACTGTCCTTTCTCCAATGTATGTTCTGGGTGCATTTGTCAAAGATGAGTTGACTAAATGCGTGGGTTACTTCTGGGTTCTCTATTCGGTCCCACTGGTCCATATGTCTGTTTTTATGTCAATAGCATGCTGTTTTGTTTACTAGAGCTTTGTAGTATAATTTAAAGTCAGGTAATGCAATGCTTCCAATTTTGTTCTTTTTGCTCAGGACAGCTTTGTCTATTCTGGGCCTTTTGTGGTTCCAAATAAATTTTATATATTTTTTCTATTTCTGTGAAGAATATCATTGGTATATTGATAGGAATTGCATTGATTCTGTTGGTTGCTTTGGATAGTATAGACATTTTTACAATATTGATTCTTTCAATACATGAACATAGAATATCTTTCCTTTTTTGCATTGACTTCAATTTTTTTCGTCAGAGATGAAAAGTAAGATATTACAACTGATATTACAGAAATTCAAAGGATCATTAGTGGAAATTATGAGCAACTATATGCCAATAAATTGGAATATCTAGAAGAAATGGATAAATTCCTAGATACATATAACCTACCAAGACTGAACCATGAAGAAATCCAAGACATTAACAGACCACTAACAAGTAAAGAGACTGAAGCTGTAATAAAAGTCTCCCAGTAAAGAAAAGCCCGGGACCTGATATCTTCACTGCTGAATTTAAGAACTAATACCAATCCTACTCAAATTGTTCTTAATAACAGAGGAGAAGGGAATACTTCCAAATTCATTCTATGAGCCTAGTATTACCTGGATATTAAAACCAGACAAAGACACATCAAAAAAAGAGAAAACTACAGGCTAATATTTCTAATAAATATTGATGCAAAAATGGTCAACAAAATAGTAGCAAATCGAATTCAACAATCCATTAAAAGACAATTGATCATGTCCAAGTGGGATTTATCTCTGGGATGCAAGAATGGTTCAAAATATACAAATCAATCAATGTGATACATTGTATCAACAGAATGAAGCACAAAAACCATATGATCATTTCAATTGATGCTGCAAAAGCATTTAATAAAATTCAACATCCCTTCATGATAAAACCCCTCAAAAACCTAGGTATATAAGGAACATATCTCAACATAATAAAAGGCATATATGACAGATTAAAAGCTAATATCATACTGAGTGGGGGAAAACTTAAATCCTTTACTCTAAGATCTGGAGCATGAGAAGGATGCCCACTTTCACCACTGTTATTTAACCTGGTATGAGAAGTCTTAGCTAGAGCAATCTGACAAGAGAAAGATATAAAGGGCATCCAAATTAGAAAGGAAGAAGTAAAACTATCCCTGTTTGCAGATGATATGCTCTTACATTTGGAGAAACCTAAATATTCCACAAGAAAACTATTAGAATTAATAAACAAATTCAGTAAAGTTGCAGGATGCAAAATCAACATACAAAAATTAGTAGGGTTGATATATGCTAACAGTGAACAATGCGAAAAAAATAAAAAAGTTATCCCATTTACAATAACCACAAATAAATTTAAATACCTAGGAATTAATGTAACCAAAGAAGTGAAACATCCCTGCAATGAAAACTATAAAATACTGATGAAAGCAATTGAAGAGGAATCAAAACAAGGAAATATATTCAACATTCATAAATTAGAAGATCAATATTGTTAAAATGTCCATACTATCCAAAGAAATCTACAGATTCAATGCAATCCTTATCAAAATACCAATGACATTCTTCACAGAAATAGAAAAAACAATCCTAAGATTTCTATGGAGTTACAAAAGGCCCAGAATAGCCAAAGCTATCCTGAGGAAAAAAAAAACAAAACTGGAGGAATCACATTACCTGAGTTCAACTTATACTACAGCAAAACAGCATGGTACACGCTTAAAAACAGACACAGACCAGTGGAACAGAATAGAGAATGTATAAACAAATCCACACGCCTACAGTGAACTCATTTTTGACAAAGGTACCAAGAACATACACTGGGGAAAAGATAGTCTCTTCAATAAATGTTGCTGGGAAAACTAGATATCCAGATGCAGAAGAATGAAACTAGACCCCTATCTCTCACCATATACAAAATTCAAATAAAAATAGATTAAATACTTAAATATATAACCTGAAATTATGAAACTACTACAAGAAAACATCAGGGAAGCTCTCCAGGACTTTGGTCTGTGCAAAAATTTCTTGAGTAATATCACAAGAGCACAGGCAACCAAAGCAAAATGGACAAATGGGATCACATCAAGTTAAAAAGCTTCACACAGCCAAGGAAACAATCAACAAAGTGAAGAGATAACTCACAGAATGTAAGAAAATATTTGCAAACTATCCATCTGACAAAGGGTTAATAATGAGAATATATACAGAGCTCAAACAACTTTATAGAAAAAATTCTATTAATCCAATCAAAAATAAGCAAACAATTTGAATAGACATTCCTCAAAAGAAGACACACAAATGGCAAACAGGCGTATGAAAAGGTGCTCAGCATCATTGATCATCAGAGAAACGCAAATCAAAGCTATAATGAGGAATCACCTCACCCCAGTTAAAATGGCTTTTATCCAAAAGACAGGAAATAAAGAATTCTGGTGAGGATGTGGAGAAAAGAGAACACTTGTACACTGTGGGAATGTAAATCAATACGACCACTATGGAGAACAGTTAGGAGGACCCTCAGAAAAACGAAAATAGAGCTAGTATATGACCAAGCCATCCCACTGCTGGATATATACCCAAAAAAAGGAAATCAGTATATCAAAATGAGGTCTGCACTCTATGTTTGTTGCAGCACTGTTCACAATAGCCAAGATTTGGAATTAACCTAAGTGTCCACCAACAGATAAATGGATAAATAAAATGTGGTATTTATAAACAATGGAGTACTATTCAGCCATAACAAATAATGATATCTTTTCATTTGCAGCAACATGGATGGAATTGGAGGTCCTGATGTTAAGTAAAATAAGGCCAGCACAGAAAGACAAACATCACACATTCTCACTTGTTTATGGGATCTAAAAATCAAAACAATTGAACTCAGGGAAATAGAAAGTAGAAGGATGGTTACAATAGGCTGGGAATGGCAGTGGGGGTACAGGGCGGGGAAGGTGGGATGGTTACTGGGTACAAAAAAAATAGAAAGAATGAGTAAGACCTAGTATTTGACAGCACAACAGGGGAACTATAGTCAATAATAATTTAATTGCATATTTAAAAATAATTAAAAGAGTATAATTGGATTTTTTGTGACTCAAAGGACGAATGCTGGAGGGAACGGATATTGCATTTTCTAGGATGTGATTATTATGCATTGCATGCCCATACCAAAATATCTCATGTACCCCATAAGTATATAGACGTGATATGTACCCACAAAAGTTAAAAATAAAAAAAATTTACAAAGTTAGCAGGTCAATCGTGTATGGGAATCAGAATTTACCTACATTGTGTCTTTTAAGGGGCATTGGGAATGGCATCCTCCTTCTTACAATCTAATGTATAGAAAGCCTTCATTCATTGTTGCCTCACAGCCCCAAAATTCACCGAAGGGTTTCATGTTTTCATATGCAAATATTTAGAAGAGGTGCATAAGCTGTTACCTTCTTAAAGTCTATGTGTTTGATTTCTTCATTGCCCTAACACTTGTCAGAGATCTACAGCACTGAGGAACAGAATGAGAGACAAGGGGCAGAAATAGGACAATGGGGAGTAGATGATTATTCTCAGAAATACTCACCAAAAAAAGCTTATTTAGAATTCTTTCTGTTGGGAGTTGTGTTTCTCACATTCAGTGGCTTCGGTGAGGCAGCCTTTGGCTATTAAGCATCCTGTCCCAGCTCTATTGAAAGAAAGGAATCCATCATGCAGGAAGAGCACATGTGAGTTACACATGTCTTCCAGATAACACTCATCTCAGAAGATAATATTTTTATTTGCCTGAAGCCGGAATGTTTTGTAAACTTTGTAAATGAAAAACACCATACTCAGGACAGGCAGAGTAAAAGGGTTAAGGGCATTAGCGTCCTAATAGCAAAAGCATCGTGTGTGTGTGTGTGTGTGTGTGTGTGTGTGTGTGTGTGTAAGGGCATTAGCGTCCTAATAGCAAAAGCATCGTGTGTGTGTGTGTGTGTGTGTGTGTGTGTGTGTGTGTGTGTGTGTGTGTGTGTAGGAGCACAGAGAAAAAATATCCAGAACCAAAGAAATACAATAGGGAGTATTTTAAGGCCATGTTGTGAGGTGCCACTCAGATGTTCCCTGCAAGACTGAGTCAGGACTAAGGCAATCATTCCCCCTGCTGTTGGGACTATTACCTGATGACAGCTTATAGCAGAGACTCCCCCAAAGAATCATCCTCAGACAAAGGGGAAATGCCTCACCTAAGGTTATAGACAGAGCATCCAATGACTGATGTATCCAGGAGTAAAAGACCCAGCCCACTTGCATCTTTTAGCTGAATACACTAAACACTGAAGAGCCATTCCAGCTCCCCAGCCCTCCAAGGGTAACCAGGCTTCTCTTTACTGCAGTTTAACATATCCCTCTACTCCTTGAGGCTATGCTCACTCTATCACAGATTTCGACCCTGAGGGCAGTCACCAGTCAATATCCTGCCAGCAAAACTCCATCTCAGAATTAATTTCCAGGAAATGTAGCCTAAAACATATAGTTTGAACATTATTATAGCCACCAATGTTAGGATACTGGTATGCATGGAACAACAGATAGCTATGTGGATTAGGATCTGGGACTGGACTCTAAAAGAGAACTCAGCCTGAGGGAGGTGAGAACCAGACAAGTCACTTGATCCGTAACAACTTCATAGTTGTCAGGGGAGAGGGGCAATTCCAAGTATTATCCACTCTCCCATCTCTTCATTTGAAGCTGAAAACACAGCAGTAGTGCATTTTTGGAGGCTAAGATACGTGACAGACATGGCCATTCCTCATGGATACACTGATACACGGTAGAGGACAGAAGGACAAAAGAGAACAGAAATACATCGTGGGCACTATATAGTAGAACAACACACATTTTTATGAGAAGATGTGAGAAACTTCCTTGAGACTCCAAGAAACTCTGGGGCATTGAGGATTTATAAGTGGAGGAAATTTCTGCTTTAACAGATTGGCTCAAAAGCCAGGAAGTAACCAGGTTAGAATAGACTGGCTTGGAATAGAGGAGACCACTTGAGTAAGAGAACAAGTTGATTGCATGGTCAATCAAAGAAAATGGATCTAGGCAAAGACAAAAATGATACTTTTGAGGATTAACATAATTTTAGTTTACCATACAAGCTCAAACTGCACATTCTCTCATGTATATATGCATTAGTGAGAGAGAGAGAGACAGAGAGACAGAGAGAGAGAGAGAAAGGTAGTCAATTTGTTCATATTGTGCATGAAGTTCTCTACTGAACAATGGAGGGAGACAGAATAGCAGAGTGATGAAGAGTGTGAACTCTGAGGCCAAACTTACTCGGTGTGAATCTCAACTCTGCCACTTACTAGTGGTTCTTGTTGAATAGTTGAATACGGTTGCTTTGTGGACAAAATGAGTCAAAACTCACAAGTACTCAGAATGCTGAACTTACATGGTAAGCATAGGAAGGTCTTGCTCTCCAGCTGTGGGGCGTGTGGTCAGCAGGCTGCCTCCATCTGGCGGCTCCTTCAGGGTCAGCCTTAGCTGCTGGGAGCTGCCTTGTCAGAGGACCATTCTCTTCTCAGAGCAGCCTGTATCTGGTGACTGAATCAGGCATGGGTGTAAAGGCCCTGCCATTTCAGACAGAGTGGGACATTCTGATGGGCATCTCGTTCCAGAAGCCCTGGCTGGTTTGGCCAACGCTTTTATCAGCCCAGCGTTTGCAGATAGCTTCTTTCTGTCCAGCCCTGCCTTCTCCCTTTTCCCTTTTCTTTCTTTTTTTCTTTTTTTTTTTTTTGAGACAGTCTCACTCTGTTCCCCAAGCTGGAGTGCAGTGGCACGATCTTGGCTCACTGCAGCCTCCATCTCCTGGGTTCAAGCGATTCTCTGGCCTCAGCCACCCAAGTAGCTGGGATTACAGGCATGCGCCACCATGCCTGGCTAATTTTTGTATTTGTAGTAGAGACGAAGTTTCACCATGTTGACCAGGCTGGTCTCGAACTCCTGACATCAAGTAATCCACCCACTCAGTCTCAAAGTGCTAGGATTACAAGCATGAGCCACTGCGCCCATCTCTCCCCTTTCCTTTCACAGGTATTAATTTCTAATAAGCATCTTGCCCCTCAAACTCCGACTTGGTCTGTTTCAGGAGAATCCAGCCAGCAGTGTGTAAGCCTGTAACAAACAAACTGATCAATTTATATTTATATGGATGTCCTTTATAAGCCTAATGTCAATTTGAGGAATTGTATTATTATATAAAATATTCATAAACTGTGTTAATAATGGCAAGTATCTAAGGAATGCCAGATGAAGACATATTTATAGTTTTACGAGAGAATAATAACACATTGATATAAATATCAAGTACTATTAGAATACTGGATATTAAAAACTTGCAACTTTTTATTTGGAAGCCTTCTAGTACCATTACTATTACACCAAATTATTTACTCATTAATTCAGTGGAGCAATAACTACTGAATACAATGTGCCAGCCCCTGTGATAGACATTGCGGATAATAAAGCTGAGATGAGCCTTGCTATTATGAAGTTTATGGTCTATCAGGGAAGAAAAATATTGAAAAAACAATTAAATAGATAAATATATAATGTAATGCTATCCAGGAAAGGTACTGAGCACTATAAAAGGACATAGCAAGTGTAAGCTTACTAAATCCGCAGAGAAAAAGTATGCACTTAAGCTAAGATGTACAGGATGAGCAGGTGAGAGCCATAAAAAACAGATAGGAAACAGTGTCTTGGGTACTCAGTTGGAAGAGTTTTTACAAAACATCCCTTCTTTCTTGGCATCCCAGTGGAGCATGTGCTCCATTAAAAATAATGAGTAATCAAGAAAAAAACAAACAAATAAAAAAACGGAAAACTTGAGGACAAAGTAAACTGGAGATCCAAAACACAAAACAGGCAGCGGGACTATTGAAGATGATGGTGAGAAAAGATCCCTGGATGACAGCTATGTGCCAGGAATATATCTAGGTCTCGGTCAGGATTTCTCAACCTTGACTCTACTGACATTTTAGGTCAAAGATTTGCTTAGAGGGGCTATCCTGTGGATTGTAGGATGTTTAGCAGCATCCCTGGCTTGAACTCATTAGGTGCCAGTAGCATCACCCGCAAGTTGTAAAAACAAAAAATAATATCTCCAGACATTGCCAAACATCTCCTGGGCAGCAACCCCTGCCCCCCAACCCCAAATTTAGAACCACTAGTATAGATGTAACATGCATGAATCATCACCCAATCCTTTCTTTTGGCAAACACATGAACATTAAACCACTAAACTCTGTAACTGTGAATAGTTTTATTTGTATAAAGTATTTGTTATAATTTAAGTTTTGAAAAAAATTTAAAAATTCATCACTTTTTAAATAATTTTGAGTTTAATACTTTGACACCCATTAGTAATTGTATTATGTTTTTTAAATTTGATACACAATTTTGACTTCTATAATAAAATACTTACTTAAAAACATGTGAAGACAATTTTATTTTTGTATTTAAAAAATGTAATTAATTTTACAGCAAGTAAATAAAATTTTGTATACTATGAATGCAATTATATTTAAATATTATTTTTAATCCTTTGGCTTAAGGTTATCAGAGACAAATTATGTGAATGTAAAGATTATGAAAACATAAATGATTTTGCTGAAGGAAATGACAGGAAGAAAAAATAAATGTTATGGATTCATAGAGAATTGTGATTCAATTTATATAGAGACTCCAAACATGCAAACTTAAACAATATGTATTGGGAATTCAATATGTATGTTAAACCTCTATGAAAAGGCGAGATATGACAAATATTAAATTCATGTTAGTGTTTGCCTATGAAGCTAAACAGAAGGAAATGGTAGGAGGGACTTCCCTACAAATCTAATTTAATTTGTAAATTAGATTACAAATTTAAGTGTAATGTTTTATTTTTTTCAAATATGAATGAATAAATGGATGTTCACATTATCACTAATCTTGAAAACTTATAAATTGTGTTTAATATATATTGAACTACTTAATATATAACAATAGTATATGTTAACAAATTTACAGATATTGTTTATAAACTATTTATATTTAACATTAGTTTTAATATTATAAATTAGTAACTATCAATATATAGTTTTAATTATAATATATATATTAACATTTCCAAAGTATCTCATATTTTATATTAAAGGCACAAGAAAATACACATTTAATGAAATATGAAGTTTAATTTACATTAAATATTTAATTTTTATAAATATTATTTGATATATGCTTAATATTTAATAAAAACTTGAAAGGCAGATGATACAAATATAAACCAATGGGAACTCTGGGGGAAATTTTCTATAAAATTAATACCTCAATTATAAAACAAACTATAATATTCCATTAGTTGAAACAATTGATAAAATATAAGAAAATAAATCCATTTTCTCTTGATACTAGAAACATCCTTTTGAATTATGAAAGTTCATTCTAAAGAGAGAAACGGGATCTTTCATTTTGATGGAGAAAGTTCAGAAGACTTTACAATGATTGTATCACATAACATAGATGTTAAACCCTTGCCAACACAGACGTGAAATGTCCATACTATCCAAAGGAACATACAGATTCAATGCAATCTCTACCAAAATACCAATGACATTTTTCACAGAAATAGAGAAAAAAAAAAAAGCCAGGTATGGTGGTTCATGCCTGTAATCCCAGCACTTTGTGAGGCCGAGGTGGGTGGATCACTTGAGGTCAGGAGTTTGAGACCAGCTTGGTCCAACATGGTGAAACCCCATCTCTACCAAAAATATAAAATTTAGCCAGATGTGGTGGCACATGCCTGTAATCCCAGATACTCGGGAGGCTGAGGCAGCAGAGTCCCTTGAACCCGGGAAGCAGAGGTTTCTGTGAGCTGAAATTATGCCACTGCACTCCAGCCTGGGTGACAGAGTGAGATGCTGTCTCAAAAAAAAAAAAAAAACAGTCATAGAAAAAAAAATCTTAAAATTAGTATGGAATCACAAAAAACCTTGGATAGCCAAAGGAATCCTGGGGAAAAAGAACAAAGCTAGAGGCATCATACTACAGGATTTCAAATTATACTATAAAGCTATAGTAAACAAAACAGTATGGCAGTGGCATAAAAACAGACACACATACCAGTGGCACAGAATAGAGAGCCAAGAAATAATTCCATGCATTTACACGTGGATTTTCAAAAAAAGGTGCCAAGAAAACGCAATAGGAAAGGATAATCTCTGTAATAAATGATGCTGGGACACTGGATATCCACATGGAGAAGAATGAAATTAGACCCTTATCTCTCTCCATATACAAAAATCAAGTCAAAAGTTATTAAAGATTTAAATTTAAGACCAAAATCTATGAAACCAATAGAAGAAAACAAGAAAACAAACTCCATGACATTGTTCTGGGCAATGATTTTTTTTTTAATGTAACCCCAGAAGCATGGGCAAAAAAAATGGAAATAGACAAATGGAATTACATCAAATTAAAAAGTTTCTGCACAGCAAAGGAAGCTATCAACAGAGTGAAGGGACAACCTACAGAACAGGAGAAAATATTTTCAAACTGTATATATGATAAGGGTTTAATATCCAAAATATATAAAAAATAACTCAATAGAAAGAAAACAGATGACCCAAGTAAAAAATGGTCAAAAGACCTGAATAGACCTTTCTCAAAAAAAGACATACAAATGGCCAACAGGTATACAGAAAATGCTGAACATCACTCGTCATCAGAAAATGCAAATTAAAACCACAATGAGATATCATCTCACCCCAACTGAAATGGCTATTATTAAAAAGACAAAAAATAACAGACGTTGGTGAAGACGCAGAGAAAAGGGAACTCTTACACATTGTTGGTGGGAATGTAAATTAGTACAACGATTATGGAAGACAGTATGGAGTTTTCTCAAAAAAACTAATAATAGAACTACCAAATGATCCAGCAATCCCACTACTGGGTATATATCCCAAGTAAAAGAAATCAGTATATCAAAGAGATACCAGCACATGCATGTTTATCACAGCACTATTCACAATAGCAAAGATAGGGAATCAACCTATATGGCCATCAACAGAGGAATGAACTTAACAATTGTGGTATATATACACAACAGAACACTACTGGGCCATAAAAGAGAATAAAATCATGTAATTTGTAGAAACATGGATGAAACAGGAGGTCAATCTGTTAAGTGAAATAAGCCAGACAAATACCACATGTTCTCACTCACACGTAGGAACTAAAAAATCTTAATCTCATGGACATAGAGAATAAAATGATAGATATCAGAGGCTGGGAAGGGTGTGAGGGTGGGAAGGGGGATGAAGAGAGGTTGGATAATGTATACAAACATACAGTTAGTTAGAAATAAGTTCTAATGTTTTGTAGCAGACTACGGTGGCTATACTTAGTAACAATATTTTGTGTATCTCAAAGTAATGAGAAGAGAGGACTTGAAATAATACCAACTCATAGAAATAATAAATACTCAAGGTGATGCATACCTCAAATATCCTGATGTGATTATTACACGTTCTATGCATGTAATGAACACTCACATGTACCCCATAAATATGTAATGATGGGACCCTGAGAGGATACTACAGTGGAGAGGGGAACAGGAAACAGTGAAAAAAATAGAGGTGTGAAATTTAAGATGAGAACTGAAACGTTACAATTGTACTGATCCAAATGGGGATTTTAATTGACATTAATCAGAGTAATTTCATTGAAATTGTTGGGACAAGACAATTGTTGAAATATGAATGATAGATAAGGAAATCATGTCAGCAGGCACACGAAAGTAAAACAAAACCATTTCACTAGCTAATAGGAAGGATCCAGAAGAAATTGTAAGACTATATAAAGAAGATAATAGTTAAACATAAGGTTGCTGAGAAAATGGAAGGTCACAGCATTAAAGCAGTACTGGTGAATCTAAATTAGATTCTGTAAATAATTTGCTGTCAACTTTTACTGCATTCCATGGCCTCTACCCTGATTACCTATTTCAAAATACATGGCTTCGGTTATAAGATAGGCCAGCAAGAGAGCACAGCTGAGTTAGGTAAATCTGTTATCTCTCTTGGAAATTTTTTCAAAGTACATATTGTATGAGACAATGAACCAGTTACACCTGGCACATATTTGGCATTCAATAAATGTCTAAAGAACATATTAATAGATGTCATTTTGGTGAAAGGTTAGAAGTGTCAGTTTGGTATTTCATAGAAACTTCGATTTAACCCATTGAGAACTGTTGGGTTATTGTCCCCTGAGTCTGTTTGTTTCGTGCCTTCAACATTTACTGGCTAAATGTCACAGGCTATTTCTGTTTTCCTTGTGTCCTTTCTTGCATGCCAACATGATGCAGTATTTTGGCACATTTGCTAACTTAAATCTTCTGTCCCTAACTGTAATCCAGAATCAATGAAAGAAGCATAAGTAAAAGAAAGAACATTAAATTCATTTGGAATTCTTCATTTGAATAATGGACCAGATTCAGCTACTGCAGTGTAGTATCATGAAACTGCCACAGAGATTCATGGTGATTCTGAGGACAGCTTATTACCTCTTAAAATTTGGCCACCAAGCCAAAAAGATTAAACCTCTGTTCTCAAGGTTGTGATTTAAGAAGGGAATCCTACTCAAATCACTTTTTTTCTTCCAGAGAGGAATCAATTCACATGCTGTGCTTCTTTTATATATTCACTTTTAATTTGGCAAATCTTCAGTTTATATGCTCAAGTTTAATCTGGTTAAGAGTTAGAATAAAGTATATTTAACATCCTTCAAAGTACAGCATATGTATTAGGCACCACTTGAATCAAAGCCAACACAATAATTTTATGGCTTTAACATTTTCCAGAGATGTCAAATAGTTTTAACTATCCAATACATTATGTATACTCAGGAAACATAACTCTACAGCTAACTGATGACACTGAAGACCAGGAAGTAGAATGCTTAAAGGTCCTTTATGTATTTTGCTTCATTTAACCACAATATCTCCTTAAAATTCAGTACCAAAATTTCTCCACTTTTTTATGTTCAAAATTTGAAACTCGCAAAAATACAGAACTTGGTCGCTTCCTAAAGAAGCAAAGCCATAAATATTAGGTAAGCTAGATACAACTGCTTTTATGCCTCCCCAATATTATCTTTTCAAATACACAGCAACTTAAAGATTATTTCTCTTTGACTCAAAAGTAAATAGGCATAGAATGGTGATTCCCTCCGTGGACTACGTGTTTATTTAAAAAAATAAACAAGTCATAGGCCAGTAGTTATGTTCTATAGCTTGCTGAATGAGTTTTCCTTAGGATGATAAAATACAACCACTGACTCCACCAGTTGGCAGTCTGCCATGACAACTGACAGCAGCCCTGATTATAGTAACAGAGAAACTTATATATGCTGTTGCATGAAATCTGTTGTCCTGCAGAATGCCAGCCATGCACATTACCCTCCTTCCTGGCACAGGCTAGCAGCCATCTTAGGCCTTAAAGCAATCACCTCTGTTCCTAAGCTTAAAACCATAGTCAAAACACTTATGTATTATTTGCTTTTAACCACCCAAAACACTGAAAAATTGCATATATATAAATGACATATTGAACATATATTTATATTTCATTAAAGCCAAAAGTTTTTCCCAATCAGAATAGTAACAATTGACTGTGAAACTGAGGGGAAAGAGTATAGAAAGTTTGTGTGTGTATTGATTGCGTTTGTTTTGCTTTATCACCAAATACTGAACTTCATTACCAATTGTCTGTTACCCTGTATAAAAAATGGTGATTGTACTTTCTTCCTGAACATATTACAAGTTCTGCGAGAGGGTTAAAGCAATTTTACACTTACTAAAATAATAAAAAATTAGCTAAAAAGAAAGACACAAGGTAAAGAGGGAAGCCAAAAGTCTCAATGAGCAAACACATTTAAATTAGTATAATTTAAGGCAAAATAAAAAAGATACGTTACACAATTTTAGGAATGGGAAGCATGTAGTGAGTCTTTTAAATCAATAAAGTATACACATGTAAAACTGTAGGAAAAATTACCACTTCCATCTTTATTTTCTTGCTAATTGCAAAGTAGATATTAAAAATTTTTGAGTTAAAAATCTTATGATCATTATAATTTGTTCAATCTACATAAATTGGGCTACCACCCATGTAAAGTATTACTTTAGAAAATGTAGAGTTCTTCATAGGAAGTAAAAGACAGAAGCTCTATCTTCCATGAGCTAATAATAGAATAAGATAAATGATATATCAACTACTCTCTATCTCATCAGTTATATAAATAAATATATAGATGCATATATGTTCATACATATTTATATCTAAATGTATATATTTACAAATATATTCATATATAAATATAAATTCAAATTCATTCATGCATACCTACCCATACGTATATAGAAATATAAATTCAAATAAAATATAATATTAACAAAGTTTCTAGTTTAGCATAATATTCAACAGATTTCATTTATTGCTCTTGCATTAATTAAATATGTTTTCTACCACTACTGAAGTCAGAGCTGGCATTAAGAATGAAATATGATACCAATCATTTTATTAATTCTTAAAAATACTCAAATAATAAAAGAAGAAGACATAGAAATGGCCAATAAGTATGGGAAAAGGTGCACGACATCACTGATTATCAAGGTAACACAAATCAAAACTACAATAAGATATCACCTCACACTTGTTAGGTGGCAATTATCAAAAACACAAGGGATAGTAAGTGTTGTCAAGGGTATGAATAAAAGATATTTCTATTTTTAATTTTATGAGGGACTTCTATACTGTTTTCCATAATGGCTGTACCAATTTACATTCCCAACAGCAGTTCCTTTTCCTCCACACCCGCGCCAACATTTGTTTTCTCTTGCCATTCTGATAATAGCCATCTTAATGGGTGTAAAGTGATATCTCATTGCGGTTTTCATTAGCATTTTTCTGATATTTAATGATGTTGAGCACCTTTTCACATACCTATTAGCCATTTGTGTATCTTTTAATCATAGAAAACTAAAACTGAAAACAAGCACTTGAATAATTTTTCCACCTCACCAGAACCTATCCACTTAATTTTTCAGGAAAAGATCAAGTTCTAGTTCCCTTTCCATTTCTATAGCAATGAAGAAAGGGCAAAATGTATATAAATGGTACATTTTTGGGATTCTACTACTGCTAGATGAAAAATGCTGTTTTAAGCATTTCCCAGACCATAATTTATAAAATTGAAGACTAACATTATATATTTTTTAAAAATTTTATAAAACAAATTATTAGGGCTTGACTTTCCCATTTATTGATGTTCTTGCTTACTCATCATCCCAGACAGTATGTACAGTTCTGAAGTAAACCGATATTTTAAAATTAAGAGATCTATTGCTCTGATGCTATTTCCACTCTCCTTCCTTTCTCGTCAGAGTTTATTTTGCAGACCCATTATTTACGTTCTTTGTCTGTTCGAATTGTGACAAGTGTCCGATGATTTATTCTTAATCAATAACCAGGAAGATGAAATTTGGATCTATCAATAAAAAAAGGACTTGCTACCTTTAGTTAAAGAAGGAAATAATGGTTCACTGAAAAATGCGTCTTGTTAATGCTGACTCACACAATTGGACCCCATTATGTAAATAGAATTATGAAAGATTTCTGTTTTGCATGTCTTTGAAGGGAGGAAAATGAGTGCTTTTTTAAAAAGCTAGTGGAATAATGGCCATGTTTGACATAATGAAAATTTTCATCTGAGCTATAAACAGCAAAATGAGGACATATACATTAGAATGCCTTTGTAGTAAAATATATGCTATGAACTTGGAAGAAAAAGCCAGAAAAAGGAATCCATGGAAGTTTAAGAGACTAGGCTTGGGAGATGTAGAAATAAGCACATATTAAAGATGTCTAAATAAATATAAATCATTTTATAGAAACATCAAATGTTAGGCTATGTATTTGGAGCTGTGTTATACTTCTGCACTTAAAATATTATATATTCCTTTGCATAACACTCGAGTTAGAAATTTTTGTAAATAAGTTAGGGGATCTAAGAATGGACTTCAAGAGCTGTGGGAACCTCCTGAAATTATAGTGTACCATCTGCCTGGAATTTAGTAGAATTATATAGGATGTTGGTAGTGATGGGAATATATGAAAATTTGAAATTTAGATTCAAGTCAGGTTGTAGGGGGTTGGAGGTGGTTCTTGAGCATTAGGTGAAACAACTATACAAACTTTACAAATAATATTGGTAGCTAATATAAATTAACTGTTTATTATTTTACAGCATTTATTTGAACTAATGCAACTGATTTTCCTAACAATCTAATGATGCAGGCACTATTATTATATCCAATTTATAGATAAGTAAACTGAGGCATAAGAAGGTTAAGTAATTTATTCAAGTCCACAGCTAGTGAGTGCTAGATTATACCAGGTGATGGCAAAAAAGGAAGAGGATTTCCTAAAGTAGATTCAGAAGAAAACAGAGGTTCATTTCTGTTTTTTTCACCATTTTCTCAGAATCAGACCACAGGTTATAGCCACATATAATTTTTTTCTTAAAAAGATTTGCAAAATATTCTCATTTTTATTTAACAAAAATGGCACCAAGATAACAGAGCATTTTGGGTAAGGGTGAGTAACTTACATTTATTGAACATCGGTTATGTGCCAAACATACATGTTGTCTAATTAAATTATTAAATTGGCACTGCATATTGGGTGTTAACCCCATGTTTTAAATATGAGAGCACTGAAACCAAGAAAAGATCAGTAACTTCCAGGGTCACAAGCAAATGAAAGGCAGACCTAGAATTCAAATATAGTTCTAATTGACTCTAAAACCTGTCTTTTCAAAAATAACATGCTGCTGCCCAGAGAGAGACAAAGCAGATTTACTTGGTGTATTAAAAATAATCCAATTTGAAAATAATCACCTTGCACAATTATGAAAGAAAATCACAGCAAGAAGAAAAAATTAAAACAACACTACCAGATTTGGTTAATAAGATGGTTATAATTAACAACTATTATCAAAAGACAATTTTTAACACACTAATTCCACTCAATGCTATGCTATGCATTGTGTTTAGATTCCAGCTGGTGATATAACTGAATTTTTCTAGCTGAAGCACAGAAATAGTTTTAGTAATTTTAAACATTCCTTTCTTGCCTATAACTGAATATATCTCCAGGAAAGATATCAGTCCATAGTACGCATATTTTAAGTATAGTGGATGATGGGATGATGATAAGGCCTTTAATTTCTAGAGTTTTGTACATTTGTGAGCTTGAAAAATGCACTCTGCTATTTTGATTTAAGACTTGATTAACTATAGTGTATTTAGGGACACTGGTAAACTCTCTTCTGTTTATGACTTCAACATAAGATGTATAAAATGCCAGTTATGAGTAAGTTTTACCTTCTATTTTTGTAAAAAAAACTTATCAAATTAGTTATTTCAAAGATCAAGAATTTATAATAAGTACAGTAACATTCAACCAATTCATTTAAAACCTTAGTTTGAATCACCCTTATTATATTACATTATTTAAA
Source organism: Homo sapiens (assembly GCF_000001405.40). NCBI lineage: Eukaryota > Metazoa > Chordata > Mammalia > Primates > Hominidae > Homo > Homo sapiens. The sequence continues at coordinate 28,054,889 of NC_000023.11, read as the reverse complement.
TACAGAAAGAACATACACACTTCTTACATGCTATGGCATCTCTCTCTCTTTTTACAGTTTTATACACTTCTTTGGAAATTAAAGTAGGTCCTAGAATAAAATAATTTCTACTTTAATTAATTGCCTAAAATGAAATGTAGGCACACAAATCTTTGTACATAATACAGTCTACCATCATTTGCTAATCAATTTTTAAAAGGATCTAAAATTCACATACATTTTATAGATACTATTATATAGGATATAACAGATCTATGTGTCCCACATTTTTTGCTGTAGATCAATTTGTGAGTGAATTATGGTTTTCTATATATTTGCATTATAAAATTGGAGGAAAACATCTTTGATAAGACTTGAAGCAGTAGACACAATAAAATTAAATTTGAAATTTCAAGGGAGTATAAAAAAGTCACATGTTGAAAGGAAAGAAGATAATATTCAAATAAATATTAGATACTACTATTGTCATTGTACTAATTTTATGAGCAATACAATATCTGTTTAGTGAGGAGTAACTGTTTAGATTCAAGAAAATCAGGAGTCTTAATGTGGTGGTTTTAAAATATAAATTCTTTGACACTCTTCCCTTCTAAAGGTGGAATCTAATTCCCCTCCTCCTTAATGTGGAGAGTTCTTCAGTGATCACTTCTAAAATACAGCATGTAGTGGAAGTGATACTATGTGACTTCCAATGCTAGGTTATATAAAGTATAAATATGTCTGGCTGTCTTTCTCTTGGATAGCTCATTCTTGGAGAAGCCAGCTTCCATATTGTGAGAACATTCAAGCAGCTCTGTGGAGAGAAAATAAGTTCCCCTGCTAACAGTCAGCACCAAATTGGCAGCCATCTGAGCGAGCCACATTAGAAGCAGATCTTCTAGCCCTATTAATCTTTCAGAGACTGCAGTCATACGAAGATGTGAGTGCAGCTATCCAGTCTGGGAAACACGAATGTGAAGGCTGAAAAAGGCAACATGTCTTAGCATTTAAGGAATGTGGAAGAAATCTAAAGATGGTCAATACAACTAAAGCATAATGAAAAGAGGGTGAGTAGAAAGAGGAACTAGATCATGAGGTAAGCTGCTGAGTTGAAATTCAGTCATTTTTCACTTTGAGGTACCCAGTGTTCATCTCAGTTCTAGTAACTCAATGTCTCAAAAAAAAAAAAAAGAGCACAGCTTATATCAGAAAAGCTACAGAAACAGCCATTTCTACTTATTTAGAGCATTTCTGGAAAGCACATTCACATTGCACTTGCTTGACATTTAATCAGATATTTAGATTGGCAAAAATGATAGGTTGAAGTTGCTCACTGTAAGTCATAACACCTCATTTGATACCTTGCTGAATAATAGATGAAAGTATTATATCCATTTCAATTCATTCTTTCAATTCATGTCCATGAGTACCAACTAAAATATGATTGTCTTTACAGGCAAAAAAGTATAACCTCTGTAATATTATCAGAACTTCATTGCAATTATTTTTTAAGATATGAACTCAATAACCCCTTATATTTTTCTTCCTCTATCATTTATTTATGGAGAAAAAATCATAATTTTAACACTCAAAGATATATTCAGGTTTAAAATGGAGGATATATTCATGGTTTTAATAAAAATAAAAATCCATTTGCATTCTCATTTTAAATCAGGGTTGCTAGAACATTAAAGACATTGATTCCTTGGCTATTACTAAAAAGGAAAAAAAATAACAGACATTGGCAGGGCTGCAGAGAAAAGGGAACACTTATATACTGTTGGTGGGAATGTAAATTAGTTCAGCCACTGTGGAAAGCAGTTTGGAGATTTCTCAAAGAACTAAAAATTGAACTACCAGTCAACATAGCAATTCCATTACTGGGTATACACCCAAAGGAAAAGAAATCATTCCACCAAAAAGACACATGCACCTGTATGTTCAATGCAGCATTATTCACAATAACAAAACATGGAATCAACCTAAGTGCCCATCAAAGGTGGATTGGATTTAAAAAATGGTATACATCATGGAACACTATGCACCCATAAAAAGAAGAAAATTATGTCCTTTGCAGCAACATGGATGCAACTGGAGGCTATTATCCTAAGCGAACTAATGCAGGCACAGAAAACCAAATATCGCATGTTCTCACTTTCAAGCGGGAGCTAAACACTGGGTACACCTTGACACAAAGATGGGAACAACAGACACTGGGGACTACAATATGAGGGAGGGAGGGAGAGGAACAAGGGTTGAAAAACTACCTTTTGGGTACTATGCTCACTACCTCCGTGATGGCTTTAATCATACCTCAAATTTCAGCATCACACAATATGCTCATGTAACAAACCTACACATGTACCCCTGTATCTAACATAAGAGTTTTTAAAAAAGGATATCGATTCTAATCCTACTTTACATATAGGCCCCAATTCTACTTTCTTAAAACAGGGCAGATTGGGAGAAGAGAACCCTTCACCTCCAGGTATGTTAGCAAATCTACATGAGTCATGTCATGAAGCCTTACATGCAATCATATTCAAGATACACTTTAATTGCGATGCTAAGCTGCATATTATGGGAAAAACCTCAGAAATAAGGGAGATAAGTGTTACCCTAAATTCAGCCCAGAAAGAATCACAGCAGGGATATATAAAACTACTTTAAATATTAGTATAACTCTTGGTTTTGATTAAACATATTTTATATACATATAATATATTGATATAACTTAATACCTTAGGTCAAGCTCCATATATTTATTTATTATTAATAAATAAATAAGATAATCAGATTTAATAAATAAATCACATCATCCTTATGCTATACTTATAATCAAAAAGATGTTTTCAAGAACTTCAGCTGTCATCTTTGGAATATGATCCCTTTGGGTAGATGGGCTTTCATACATATATATTTTTTTCATATGTATATTTATATTTCATATGTGTGGCCAGGCGTGGTGGCTCACGCCTGTAATCCCAGCTCTTTGGGAGGCTGGGGCAGGCAGATCATGAGGTCAAGAGATCGAGACCCTCCTGGCCAACATGGTGAAACCCCGTCTCTACTAAAAATACAAAAAAAGTTAGCTGGGCTTGGTGGCGCATGCCTGTAGTCCCAGCTACTCAGGAGGCTAAGGCAGGAGAATCATTTGAACCCGGGAGGTGGAGGTTGCAGTGAGCCAAGATTGTGCCACTGCACTCCAGTCTGGCAACAGAGCAAGACTGTGTCTCAAAAAAAAAAATTAATACATTTATTTATGGGGCTTAACTGAAGGTATTAAGTTATATTAGAAGTGGTTTAGGTTGGGGTTCATTGCCAATGAAAATAAAGAAGAAGAGTTGAAGTAGGAAATGTGTGTGGAACTCACCCAAGCACTGTCTAGGGAACAGTAAGTCTTTATCATAAATATTATTGTGGTACTATTATGAGGATGAGTGTTTAAGCTACCTTATGGTTAACGAATACATCCTAAGATGAATGTGTCTTCTCTCATCATCCCATGCTTCCTTAGCAGTGTTTCAGTTATGGTTCAGCTTCTCACTATAGATCTACCTAAGGAAAGAAAATATATTGGTCATATCAACTTACACACACTACTGCATATGAACTCTAGTCTATAGATTAAAACAAATTGATAATTTTTATTTTAATGTTACGAATTTTGATTATAACTTTGCACACAGTTATCTCTTAGCTTAATGAATACAAATCTGATTTTGAGTGACAAACCTGTTCATGTTGTGCTCTTGAAATCAATTATCTGAGCTACCAGACCTGCAGACCTGAGCCTAGACAACAACAGATTAACCAAAATAGTGGCCCCGGGTGATCCTTTTGGGTAGATGGGATTTCATCATTTTTTACACATCTACATTGCTTTGTCTCACTTTTGAGTTTATAAAGAAATATTTAAGAAACCAGTCTCAAAAGATCTCCTTTAGGTTTCTTTCTCATTGGCACTCCGACTCCCCTCTAAACACATTCTCTTCCCCCACTGTCAATAAAGCAACTCTGAAACATTCAAAAGGTTAGGAATTTTCGGCTTACTTTGGAAATTTTAGGGTGATGTACACCTCAATGTGTTCTTCAATCATTTTGCTACATTGATCAGATCAACCTTATGTTATACTTATGAACAAAAAGATGTTTTCAGGGACTTTGGCCATATATTGTATTAAAATAAACATTATTATATAAAATTTCATACCATGAGCCGTGGATTATTTCAGATAAATAATCCTGTTTTAAAACTATTTATCTTTTCAAGATTCCAGAACTAAATTCTGTAGCACAATGAGGTTTTTTTTAGCATAATGGAGATAAATATTGAATGTAAATAATCCAATGTTGTCAATGTCCATTTCCCCACTTCTAAATAATAAAGCATTTTTCATTTAAATATAAATAATTCTATGACAAATTCCTCTTGGTGCTTATAACAAGGAAAAAAATCCCTCCTCTTGCCTTAGTGCATTTCCTTTAGGTAATAAAAATCCTAAAATGCTTCACATGAAATTTAGAACTTGGTTGCTATAGCTTGCATTTTCTCATATAATATTCCCATTGATCTGAAAGTTCTTTTATTTGTCGGTCTGTCTTATTGTATGTGTGTGTTTTTTTTTCAGTTATTTGAATGATTTTTTTTGTACGTGTATTTATTGTAACCTCCCTCAAAACACTTTCAGAAAGTAGAAAACAAACTATAATCATTTCCTGCCTTAGGACAAATATAAGATAGTATGTTTCATCGCCTATATATATTTAAGGTGTGCTACATGATATACCCTATTAATAACTGTTTTAACATTATTATATATATATATATTATAAAAACATGGTCACTTTTTTCCTTTTAGAGGCTGTTACGATGTAAGTTATGGATTCCTTCCATTTAAACTGCCATAATTGAATTGTGATCTATTGTTTTCTCTTCTCCAAGGGGACTTCATACTCATTAGTTACGTCCTTAAGATATTTTGCTAGATCGGACATGGGGGAGACATTTATTAAACTAATGAAAATAAAAGTTCACAGACAACCTTGAAATGCCAAATATCTGCTAACAAAAAGTCTACCAGCAAACAAATACATAAGAAAAACAGGGATGGTTACGTGAAGATACTAGGCAGCTAAGTGTAACAAAGTAAAGGGCTTGACTACCATGGTAATGATCTGATCACAGCACCTTGGCAGTGGAAACTGTGTTTTATGATCAAGAAATTGAATCTCCAGCCAAATCTTGGTTATCAGGAAACAGCGGCAGAATGGAGAAAACATTTTATTTATACCTGAAATAATCCCCAGCCTTCTGATGACACGTTAACCTGATATTTATCATAAGCTAAACTGAGAGTATATGAACTAAGAAAGGATTCTCTAACTTGTCTACACGATAGGGATCATTTCCTTTCCTTGAAACCTGGAGATGAAATCCTGTGTGTGTGGGATGTAATGAAATCTCACTGGATTCTGAACAGAAAAGGGAGGATTTAGTGATCTTCATTTAAGCTCTTGATCCATCAGGTTTTGCCAGCCAACCGAAGAGAAGATTAAATGGCAAAAGAAACTGATTTAGAGATCTACCAAGTTAAGGCTTTGGGAACTTGCCCTAACTGGCCCAATACCTAAAGTTTGAACCCTGGAGTTACATAAAGATTAAACATGACCCCAAAGATTGTGTTAGTCCTTCAGTCACATGAGGATGCATGTATTGGTAAATATGATAGTTCTGAACTATTCTATGTAGTAATACATTAAGAACTCTGATTTTGTTTCAAAATACATTGGCCCAAATCATAGACAACTCTCATTGTTTCATCTGGAAAACCAGCTCAACTAAGAAGGACAAAAGAAAGGGAGATGGCATTTAGTGAGTATCCACTACATGTTAGCATTGTTGCTATTAGTTTTCAGATACTCTACTTACTTTAAAACTCTGACTGTCTCTAAGTGGACAGTACTATTGATTCAAGATAACAGTGGTAACTGAAAGTGCATGGAAATGAAGTAAACTACCTATGTTCTGTTTTGTCCTACCTGTACCCACTTCCAACCTAAATTTCACCCAGACGTCTAAAGTCATCACATAACATTCTTGCTCCTCTCTGCCAAACAAATTGAATAATATATACAAACTACATAAGCATGTGTAGATTTTTAATTAGCATCGCACTATATTTATAAAATGGTTTAAAATTTGGAATCTTTAATAGTGGGTCTATCCAGTAATAAAATAAGTCACTCTAGGTTTATTTTTAATGTTCTGCTGTAGTGTTCAAAAGATTTTGGTAGCAAAATAAGCTATAAATTTAACATTTAAATTTTAATTACCCAACTTTCTGAATACTCCCATAATTCTTTAAATGTTTGGTTTTTGTCTGTTTTGTGGAATTTTTCATGTATAGAGCCATATCATGTACAAATGAAGATGTATTTGTAACCTTTTCAGTATTTATTACTCTTATTTTTCCTTGTTTGTTTTTGCTAGCATTTCCAAAATGTACATAAATAATAATATTTTAGATAGCTCTCTCTTTCTCCAAATTTAATAGAAACGCTTCTGGTCTTTTATCATTTAGTGTGTGTATGTACCTGTGTGTGTACGCATGTGTATATTAAGTTGAAGAAAACATACATGTGTTGAGGATTAAGGAGATATCTTTATGTTCCTCTTTTAGTAAAAAATTTTATTATCAGGAATGAATATTTAAAGTTTATCAAATGCATTATCAACTTCTATCAAAATTACCTTTTAATTATTTTGACATAATGAAATTCTCATATTAACCATTCTTGTAATTGTAGTGTAAATACCAGTTTGTCTTAAACCTTTATTCTTTTAATGTAATTCTAGATTATATTGGCTAATATTTTATATGGAATTTATATGTAACCATAAAGAAGCAATATTCAGTTGTTTTGGTTTGAATAATATAACTGTATTGTAGCTTCATATAAACATCTTTTATGTTTTTCTGCATTCTTTTTTTTTTTTTTTTTTGAGACCAAGTCTCCCTCTGTTACCCAGGCTGGAGTGCAGTGGCACGATCTCGGTTCACTGCAAGCTCCACCTCCCGGGTTCACACCATTCTCCTGCCTCAGCCTCCTGAGCAGCTGGGACTACAGGCGCACGCCACCACGCCCGGCTAATTTTTTTTATTTTTAGTAGAGACGGGGTTTCACTGTGTTAGCCAGGGTGGTCTCAAACTCCTGACTTCGTGATCCGCCCACCTCGGCCTCCCAAAGTGCTGGGATTACAGGTGTGAGCCACCACGCCCGGCCTTTTTCTGCATTCTTTATGATTTGAAGAGTTAATGCCATAAAATCTATTCCCAATAATTTGAATGAAATGATATGAAAAACAGCAGTATAGGTTTTGACAGAGTAGTTCCTTTGACCACAATCTCTAATTCTTCCAGAGTTAAGTGGTTTATTGTGGCTTTTTAACTGTACTTGAGTCAAATTCAGGATTTTATATAACACTGGAAAAGCTATTAGCGCAGAGTTACAGAAAATAATCTCCTATAATCCTTTCATTTTTGCGTGAATTTGTTATTTTCCACTTTCTCATATCTAATTTTGCGTAACTATTTATCAAAAGACTACCTCTTAGATTTATCTGTCAATTGCTCTTCTCTTTTCATTTATTACTTCCTAAAAAAAATCAGTTTCAGCTTATTTCATTTAAGATATTTCTAGACTTCTTTATTTTTGTCATGTATCAACCAGAGAAGCAGAACCAGTAGGGTAGGTATGTATAAGATAGGCATATGTAAGATAAGTATACATAAGAGATATAGACATAGATATATTAGAGAGAGAGATTGATCTTATACAAAGAAAATGATTGTGTTGGCTAGCTAAGGAAGTCCAATATCTGTAAGGCAGGAAGTCAGGAAGGAATTATCATAAACATGTTGGGGCCGGTTGCGGTGGCTCTCGCCTGTAATCCCAGCACTTTGGGAGGCCAAGGCAGGTGGATCACGAGGTCAGGAGTTCAAGACGAACCTGGCTAACACGGTGAAACCCCGTCTCTACTAATAATACAAAAACATTAGCCGGGCGTGGTGGCAGGTGCCTGTAATCCCAGCTATTCAGGAGGCTGAGGCAGAGAATTGCTTGAACCCAGGAGGCAGAGGTTGCAGTGAACCAAGATCACACCATTGCACTCCAGCCTGGGCGACAAAGCGAAATACCGTCTAAAAAAAAAAAAAACATGTTGGAACCCATGGACATGGGTCAAAACTGTGCCCACAGGCAGTCAGGAAGAGACAATTATGAAAAAGACAAAAGTTGTCCATGGCACAGGTGGACACTACTGTACACAGGAAGAATATCTTCTCTGTCACAGGAAAGCCTCAGCCCTGCTTTTAGACCTTCTAACTGATTAGGTCAGGCTCAACCTGATTGAAAGTCAATTAATTAGAGTTTAATTACATTACAAAATCCCTTCACAGCAATACCTGGATGAGTGTTTGAATAACTGGGGACAGTAGCCTAGTCAAGTTCACATATCAAAAAAGCTGTCAAACATATATTTCTCTGTGTACCCTATTTTCCTTTCCAATGATTTCTAAAGTAAACTGTCTTTGACATTGGACGTTGCTACCTTTATAAATGAAAATATCTTACTCAAACTTATTTTCCTCAGTTAATTTCTAAAATGAAACCCTGACTATTAATTTCTTCCTCGCAATTTGTGATAGCATAACTCTGGTTTTTGCTGATCCCTCTTCAATTAACTTTCTCTGATATTTGGGGTAAAAGAAATTTGGCAGTGGATTAAAGATTTAAATCTAAGACCTCAAACTATGAAACTACTACAAGAAAACATCAGGGAACCTCTCCAGAACATTGGTCTGGGCAAAAATTTCTTGAGTAAAACCCCACAAGCACAGGCAATCAAAACAAAAATAGACCAATGGGATGATATCAAGTTAAAAACTTCTGCACAGTAAAGGAAACCATCAACAAAGTGAAGAGACAACCCACAGAATGGGAAAAATATTTGCAAACTACCGATCTGACAAGAAATTAGTAGAAATATTAATAATATTAATATATATTAATAACTAGAATATATAAGGAGCTCAAACAACCCTACAGGAAAAAAAATCTAATAATCTAATTTCTAAAATGGGCAAAGGATCTGAATAGACATTTCTCAAAAGAATACATACAAGCATACGAAAAGATGGCCAACAGGCATAGGAAAAGGTACTCAATATCATTGATCATCAGAGAAATATATATCAAAATTACAATGAGATATCATCTCACCCCCATTAAAATGGCTTATATCCAAAAGACAGGCAATAACAAATGCTGGCGAGGATGTGGAGGGAAGGGAAGCCTTACATGCTGTTGGTGGGGATGTAAATCAGTACAACCACTATGGAGAACAATCTGGAGGTTACTCAAAAAACTAAGAATGTAGTTACCATATGATGCAGCAATTGCACTGCTGGGTATATAACTAAAAGAAAGGAAATCAGTATATTGAAGAGATATCTGCACTCCCATATTTTTTGCAGCACTGTTTACAATAACCAAAATCTGGAAGCAACCTAAGTGCCCATCAACAGATGAATGGATAAGGAAAATGTGGTACATATCCACAATGGAGTACTATTCCACCACAAAAAAGAATGATATCCTCTCATTTGCAACAACATGGATGGGACTGGAGGTTATTATGCTAAGTGAAATAAGCCAGGCACAAAAGGATAAGCATGTTCTCACTTATTTATGGGATCTAAAAATCAAAACAACTGAACTCATGAAGATAGAGAATAGAGAGATAGTTACCAGAGACTGGGAAGGGTATTGGGGGTATGGGGGGAGGTGAGGATGGTTAATCAGTACAATAAGTAGTTAGAAAGAATAAGGCCTAGTATTTTATAACAGAACAAAGGGGCTATATTCAATAGTAATTTAATTGTGCATTAAAAAATAACTAAAAGGGTGTAATTGGATTGTTTGTAACACAAAGAATAAATGCTTCAGGGGATGGATACCCCATTTTCCATGATGTGATTACTACGCATTGCATGTCTGTATCAAAACATCTCATGTACCCCATAAATATATACACCTACTATGTACCCACAATTTTTTTAAAAAAGAAATTTGTCATCTAATTTCTGGGTCATACCTTTCTGCAAATAGATGTTCTCTTATCTCCTATTTCTACCGTCCTCAGCTCTGCTTTGGGTTTGGAAAGCCAAACTCACCAGAGATCTGGTGCCTGCAAGGTTGGACTTTCCTTGTCTTATAAAAACAAGTTTAATGTGTATAACTAAGAGTTCATAATAGTTTGAAATAATATAGGGGAATATAAGCCAGCATAGAGCTGAAAATATCTTAACATTACTGTTCACAAAGGCCATTAATTCATCTAATCATAAAAATTTTTCCTAGTCCCTGCCAGGTGAAACTTCTGGCATATGTGTGTGTGTGTGTGTGTGTGTGTGTGTACATATATATTACATCTACGTATATAATTTATGTATATGAATCATATATATACATATATCATAATCAGGCAGAATAAATTTTCCATCTGCTTGTACTTTATTACATATAATGATTCAACTCAATTTGGTCTTACATTTCTCCATAATAAGGGCAATTATATAATTTTAAAATTAACAAATTTTAAACATAACAAAATCATTTGCACTAACAACAATTTGTACCTGAACCCCATGCCCAAAGGAGAAGGGATAAGGCCAATTTGTGTTTCCTGTTTCTTTTACTATGTGAATTTATTTACTGGGATTTTGGTTCTAGTCCACTAGAATCAAATTATAATTATGCATACATAATGTAGCTTTTGTTTCAGGAATTATAATCTGCATATTATCTTCTGTAATAGCATTAATCAAAATTACTTAAACATCCCTTTATTTACATGGATAAGATTTGCATTGCAACTTCTTTTGCATATACTTCCCTGCTTTTCTTGTTTATACAAGAAGAGTTTTCTGGACTAGTGCAAGGATGGTAAATTTCCAAGTCTCTTGTTTTTGAGAATTTGTCATCTTGTTTGTAAAAGGCAGTTTAGTTAAATTTAGGATTGCAGTGGGATATATTTCTCCCTGGAAAAGTACTAGATAGGAGTTCCAGGAGCAAAGAGTACATGAGGAGCAGCCACTGTTCGTGCTGGGGCTCAGGGGCACTATCTAGTCATTATCTAGCTCTCATGCAATGATCCCAGAAGAGTAGAAGCCAACCAAAAATCCCCTATGGGGAAACATGGTCCTTGCAACACAAGCCTGATGAGGCACAGGTGGCCAGTGGTCCTTCAGGCTAATTTACAGCCCTCCAGATGCCGACCCAGATCCTTAGGGGCACCAGCATGACCAAGAACTGGTGTAGCGAAGGCCTTGGAAGCATCAGACTGTTTACCTAAGACAGCCTAAAAGAACCCAGGGCCCTGGCAGCAATCATCTCACCCGTACGAAGGGCCTTGGGGGACCCTTTCCGTGAACCCAGAGCTATCAGCAGAACTAGCCCGTTTGGCCTGGGTCCATCTCACGCTCAGAATCCAGGACTCTTTCAGACTTGTACCTGCCACTTCAGTCGTATCTGAGAGCACTTCCGGACACTTTCTGTCCTGGCGCTGGGGGCCTAAGAGCCCTTTCTGAAACCAGACTGCACGCGCATTGGTTTCCAGGGGTGCCTTACAGGTTATAACCTGCTCCTTTCCGTGGGTAACAGGGATCTACTATCATCCTTCCAGAGTTGGGGGGAGGGGGAGGCGGGGGCTTAGGGAACGCATTTGGTCTTAATTCTACCCGGCTAGTACCCTGGGGAACCTTCTGTCCTCCAAACTTCCCACCAGCTAGGGTTCCGGGTTGCCTCCTACCACAAGACGGCGCGAGCACTGGGGAACTGAGAAGTTCTGCAACCCGCCGGCCCGCCAGCGATGTAAAGAACATTTCCAGTACCGATAGTGGCTTCTTGCAGAGGAAATATGATCCTTTCAGAACCTTCGGGGTCATCCAGCAATCTAGGGAATACTGAGCCCACTAGGCCACCGTCTCTCTTTCACACAGGTGCCCTGGAATCTTCCGGTGACCAGTTAGCCATCTCCCCAGGGTTCCGGGGATCCCTAACACCCCCCCCCGACAGTCCTCATGCGGTGGAACCCTGGGCTCCTTTTAGGCTTTAAGTAGCACGAGTCCTTTCAGTTTGAGTCTATTTCGCTTTCTTAGACCCTGGGACTTTTCCAGATAACATACCTGCTACCGTATTGGGGCGGCGAGGAGGGCACTGTTGGATAATATCTACCCAGGAACTGCTGCCCTGGGAACCTTTTTTTTTGTGACCAGAATGCCCACGACATGAGATAACAAGGGACCCTAACCAGCTTTTGTGCAGCGGAATATATGGCACCACTGGCAACCAAACTTCTAGCATGTTGCTGCCACGGGGCGCCTTTTGGCAGCCGTACTCCGTGACACTGATGTCAAGAGGTCCCTTCCGGCCCTAAAAGTTTCTGAGATCGTTCCTGCCTACAGTCCGCAGACATGCTTGGTACCTGGTGTTTTTCTGCTCGTAAATTCTTCTAATGTAGAAACCTGTGCAAGTTCGGTGAAAGTACAGACCTCACACTGGGATATTGCGGGGACTTTGCGATCAGAAATTGGAGCAATTTTGGCCACACTCTGTACTCGTACATTCCTTCCTTTTCCCTTACGCCCCCACCCCCAACCCCTGTCCCCAGTGTGGGCGCTCAGAGGAACCTTCTGACCACTGACATGGTCCCTTGCTAGGCTTCCAGGGCCCCTTTTGGCCCGGAAGCATCTGGGTTGCCTGGAAAACAGAGGTTCGTAGGCCACTGGCCTGCCTCTATGATGCAGAATCCAGAACCCTTCCAGTTACCAGGCAGGCTTGATGCTAGAAAAAAAATCTATGCCATGTCCAATCTTCATTGCCTGTATGCAATTGAATCTGTAACTCTTTTGATCACATACCTGCCCACGTGCTGGTGTTCCTGGAGACTTTCTGAACAGCAACTGGCCCAGTCCCTAGGTTCCGTGCATCCTTATGGTGCCAGTGTGACTGTGAGCTGGGGCATCTTGTACCCTTGCACCCCTCACCTCCCTACAGGCTTCAGAACCCAGAGCCCACTGGACGTTGTGTCCATCCCCACCTCTAGGTCTCTGTCCATTATTCTGGACTTACCCTGCCTGGACACTGGCACCCCAGGAGCACTTCCAGATACATTCTGCACTGGTGCTGATGCCATGTAGGCCCTTTCTGAGACCAGGCTGTCTGCCCAGTGCGTTCCAAGATAGCCCTTATGGGCACTAGCCTACATCCATGCCATGGATCACAATTCCCTAAAGGCAGTGGTATAGTTTGGATATTTGTCCCCACCCAAATCTCATGTTGAAATGTATTCCCCAATTTGGAGGTGGGCCTGGTGGGAGGTATTTGGATCAAAGGGGCATATCCTTCATAAATGGGCCATCCCCTTGATGTTAAGTGAGCTGTGGCCCCGATTTCACAGAGTTGGTCCTTTAAAAGTGTGTGACACCTTCCCTCCACTCTCTTTCTCTTTTACTCTTGCTTTCACCATGTGATGTGCCTGCTCCCCCTTTGTCTTCTGCCATAATTGGAAGCTTCTTGAAACCTCCTCAGAAGCAGTTGCCACTATGCTTCCTGTACATCCTGCAGAACTGTGAGTCAATTAAGCCTCTTTCCTTATAAACTACCCAGTCTCAGGTATTTCTTTATAGCGGTGCCAGGACGGCCTAATACAAGAAGACATCCATCCAGCACTCTAGTACTGGGACCCCTTTTCTCCACTGCCCCTCTACCAGGGCATTGCCTCAAAACCATCTGGCCACTAGACTTCTCACCAGCTAGGGTTTTTAGATTCCTGCTGTCGCGTATCCTGTGTCTCTGGGGAAATGAGAGTTATCATATGATCCACCTGCCTTCCTGTGGTGAAAGGAGAGCATTTGTATTATTTATATTTATATTTAGGGTACTGACTTAGGACAGGGAAGAAGTGAGTTCTTCAGGCCTTGAGCTAGCTGCAATTTCAGGAATTATGAGCACTAGCAGCCATCTGCCCCTCTTGTGGCTGCCCCAGGGAAAGGACAGGCCTTTGGGGAGAGGTTTGGGGAAGGAAACCTATGGCCCTTCCAGTCCTGTGACCCCATTTGCAGTGGTACCAAGAATCCCTGTGGACCTTCCCATCACCCTCTGGGCTAATGTCTATGGTTCCCTGTGTCCTTACAGTCTGTAGACTGGTTGCCCATCAGCTGGGGAACAATGTATACTTGCGACCATCATACTTTTTTTAGGCTGTGGAATCTAGACACCTGGGCATTTGTCCATCTCCGTTCTGACATTCAGGATATTTAGGATTCTTTTGAACACGTGCCATCCAGGACACTGCTGCCCTGTAGAATCTTTATGAAGCCAGGCTGCCTTCACACTGGGTTCCAGGAGAGCACTTATGGGCACTTACCTGCACCCTTGTGTGGAACACAGGGTCTTGTTAGTGACCATCCTTTCAGAACCACTTCCCTACCATACCTCCCTCTTTGTGGTACCCTGGGGAACCTTCTGGTTATCATACTTCTGCCAGCTAGGGTTCCAGGTTTCTTGTTGGCCTCCAGCCCCTAGGGGTGAACAACCTACCTGCATGAGCTGGAAAGAAGCACATTTTTGGTCACAGCACTTTCATCGGGCAAGTGAACCATAAGCTCTTCTTGCCTTTGGCCAAGCTTCAAGTTCAGAAATTATGACCACTCTCGGCCACTGTCTGTGCCTTGCAAATACCCCTAAGAATCTTCCTATCCATAGTCTGACTGCTCACCAGGGTTCTGGTGATCCTTTAGTCCCTACCACCATCCTTCCCCCGGTGCGTATATCCTGGTGAATCTGACCACAGATGTGCCCCTTCATTTAGGGTTCCAGTGCTCTTTCTGGCCCCATTATCTCATGTACCTCAGAAACAGAGGTTCTTTGGCCATCAACCCACCTGAATGATTCAGACTCCAGAATCCTTTTGATCACTGGACAGGCCAGGGGAACTTATGTTTCTTCTGCTCCTCAGCTAGTCCATGTATGGAATTGAGGCTGAAATCATTTCAGTCACTGGACTACCCACATGTTAATGTCCTTGGGAAGACTAAGTTTCTTTTGTGACAAGTCTGCCTTCCTTTGGTGGAAGAAGAGCATTTACCATCGGGCCACTGGCATTTTGCGGGAGAACCACGAGTCCTTTAGGCACTGAGTGAATTCACAATCTCAGGAATCACGATTTTTTCAGCTACTGTCTGTCCCTCTTGTGGGTGTCCCCAGGGAAGCTTCCAGCCACCAATCTCTGCTCTCGCCAGCGTTCCAGGGATCCTTCATGTCCTCATACAATCCTTTTAGGGTGGAAACGGGGGCTTCTCCTACTAGGGCCATCAGCAGGACTAGGCCTTTCAACCTGGGTCCATCTCAACCTCTTACACCGCAGGATCCTTTTGGACATATGCCAGCTCCTTTTGTGGTGCCAGGGGCAGGGACAGAGGACTTCGGGACACCATCTGCCCCAGCGCTGCTACTTTGGGAAATCTTTTTGCGTCTAGACTGACTGTGAACTGGGGTCCTATGGGCCACAGCAAGATCACATACTATGGAATATGTGGCCCTAATTGAAAATCATGGTAACAAGACTCTAGAGATCGGGGACCCCTTTTGGCACCTTTACTTCATGGTGTTAGTGACTTCAGGGCCTTTCTGGCCATAACGTTTCTGGGTTCTTCCCTGCCTGGCCATGCTTGGGTTCTGAGAGGTTTTTGGTCATGAGTTTTCCTGCCTGCTGTTGGAACTGGAGCAAGTTTAGTCACCCTATACACCTCATAGTGGGGAAGCCTTGGTACTCTGCTTTCACGGATAAGTCATTTCGGCCACTGTCCTTTTCCCCTACTAAGCTAACCGTGTGGGTACCCTGGGGAAATGTCTGATCCCCTATGTGGGCCCTGCTGGGGTTCTGTAGCACCTTCTGACCCAGAGTCATCAGAGTTTCCTTGGAATCAAAGTTTCTTCAGCCACCAGCCTGTCTGCATAATGTAGAATCCAGAATTCTTTCCACTTACTGGGCAGGCCTAGCATCAAGATCCTAATGGTCTTTCCTGTCCTACCTTACACTGCTTGTGATGGAACCAAGGTTTCTTTTGGTATAGTTCTTTCCCACTCATTAGTGTCCCTGGGGACCTTTTTATAGCCATCTGGGCCTGCCACTATGGTTCTGTGTGTCCTTATGTCCCCTGTGCTCACCCCAACACTGCGAACTGGGAAATTCAGTCCCCTTAGGCATCATATCCATCCCCATTCCGACCTATATGAACCCATGGGCTCTTCTTCTGTACATGTGCTGTTTAGGGAACTGGCACTCCAGGTCCTTTCTGGGACCAGATTGCCTGCACACTAGGTTCAGGAGAGCCCTTACGGGCACTAGCCTTCACTTGTACAGTAGAACACAGGGCCTTATTTGCAACCATCCATCCTGAACCCTGGGACACAGGGGCCTCTTTTTGCAATCACATCTCCATCTTTGGAGTGCCCTGGGGAACCTCCATCATATTTCTTGCCAACTATGGTCCCAGGTTTCCTGTCAGCCCTTAGCTGTGTATGCCCTCGGTAACCAAGGGTTCTTTAGGGACCAGCCTGCCCATCCTAGGTGGAAAAGAGACTATTTGGTCACAGCCTTACCATCTTGCAAGGGAACCATGAACTCTTTGCGCCTTCAGGCAGACCAAAAGTTCAGGAATCATGATCCCTCTTGACCACCATCTGTCCCTCACGAGTGTGCCCTGGGGAATCCTCCTATCAACAGTCTGACCTCCTGCTAAAGTTCTGGTGATTGTTCAGGGCCCCACACAGTTAATCTTTTGGTGTGAATAACCTGGTGAATCTTCCCTCATTAGGATTTCGGGACTCCTTCCTGTCACAAGTCATTGAGCGTGCTTGGGAAGGTTCTTTAGCCACCAGCCTGCCTGCACAAGTCAGAATCCAAAATATTTCTGGCCTCTGGCAGGCCTCGCACTGGCAAGCCATTGATTCTTTCTGCTTTCAACTACCCCATGTGCAATGAATCCTAGAACTCTTTCAGTCGCTTCCCTCCCCACGTTAGTGTGCCTGGGGAACTTTAGAACACCAGCTGTCCTGGCCCCTGGAATTCCACATGTCCTAATGGCTTCTAGACTGCCTGAAGAATTGGGGAACCACATACCCTCTGATCATCAATCACCCTTTCTATAGGTCTGGGAACACAGACCCCTTTGGACCATCCCTACCTCTCTTGTGTACCCTTCTGACCATCACTTTCCCTCACATGCTGTGGATCTGTGCCATTTGGCATCCAGTCATCCTGAACTCTAGGACCCTGGGTGTTTCTTCGTACCTGTACCAGCTAGGGCGCTGGCACCCCAGAATCACTTCCAGAAACATTCTGCCTTGGCGCTGCTGCCCTCTGTACCCTGTGACCAGACTGCCTCCACATTGGGTGCCAGGGTAGCCCTAATAACCTGCTCCCATGTGGTGGAATACGGGGCCCTATTGACAAACATCCATTCAGAACGCAGATGCACAGGCCTCTTTTTACCAGTGCATCTCCATCTGGGATGTGCCCTGCAGAAACTTCCTAGTCACCATATTTCCTGCTCCTTAGAGTTCTGGCTTTCCTTGTGGCTCACAGGTTGCCTGCATGCTAGGGTACTGAAAGCTCTTTGCCAATTTTTCCTCTGCATGCTGTGGAAACAAGAGCACATTTAGTTATATTACTGGCCTCCAGATAGGAAACTATGACTTCTACATGCTCTCAGTTAGCTATCAAGCTGAGAATGCAAAAGCCATTTTGTTCACCATCCATCCATGGAGCTGGTGCCCTAGAGAAACTTCTGACCAACAGTCAGCCTGCCCCCTAGGATTCCAATTATTTTTCCCTGGCTGTCTTTGTGTTGGTGATATGAGGGTTCATAGGCTGTCCAATCTGCTGTGGAATCCACAACCTTTTGGGCATCACTCCATCTCATCCTGTGCTACCTTGGTGCCATTCTGGACACTTGCTTGGCACAATGCTGGTGACCAAATTTTTTGTGCCTCCATAGCACAGGAGGAGGCTGGTGTTCATAAGTGCACCTAGAAACCTATTGTGAGGGCTATCTGGTCACCAAAAGGGCCCCAAAAGGACCTTGCAGCAGTGCATGGGCAGAAGTTTCCGGAAGAGCCCTGGGGAGGCAGAGGGTGGGATGATGCAAAACTGGAAGAGTTCCATATCAGACGGGATGGCTAATAGCCAATGATCCCTGTTTCCAAACACACAGGATTTAGTAAGGGGCAGAACATCTAAATACAGTTTGCCCATCTACTGGTGTCCTGATGCCCCTTCAGCAAGAGGACTACCCACATTCTGGTAGTATGGGGGCCTTTATAGGCACTAGCCTGCTTCTGTGCTGTGAAATATTTTTCCAATTGGCAGCCAGCTGTTGAGCACACTGATGCCCCTTTTGGCCACCATACTCCTAATACTCCTGCTCAGGGGAAACTTTCAGGCAGCCACTTCCCATCGGCATGCTATCCAGGGGTCATTTCAGCTCCGGTTGAGTCTATACACTGCAGAACCAAAGGTTATTCGGCCATTAGTCTTCCAGTGGGATGAAACCAGAATCCTTTTGGTCATTGAATAGGCCTTGTGCCTTTCCTTTCGATGGCCTTTTCCATCCTTAACTAGCCAGTGTGCAATGAAAATTAGTACCCTTTTAGCCACTGACATCCCTTCATTAACATCCTTGTGGAACTATCAAATACCAGCCAGCCTGCTCCATAGCATCTATGGGTCCTTTTAGGTACAAGTCTGTTTGTACTTAGTTTCTGCTGGGAGTTTGGATTGTAACAAACCAAGTACTCTTCTGACTAGCACCCTGCCTGCTGTTGAACTGAGAGTCCTTTCTTCCTCAGTCTATTCTACCTTCTTCAGATTTGAGACTCTTAACTGACACGTGGCTTGCAGGGTGTTGGCAGAGCACTTCCAGTCTAAGTTTGTCCCCGCATTGGTGCCCCGGATGCCTTTTTGGTGACAAGACTGCCCATTCACAGGGGTCTTAGGGACCCTTATGGGCACTAGCCTGTTCCTGTGCTGTAAAATGTAGGACCCCATTGACAACCATTTATCCAGATTGTTTGTACAAGGGGGTATGTTATGAGCTGAGTTGTGCCCTCCAAAATTCATGTTTAGGTCCAAACCCCCAGTATCTCAGAATATGATTGTATTTGGAGACAGGGTCTTTAAAGTAACTAAAATAAAATGAGGTCATATGGCTGGGCCCTAATCCTATATGATTTAATGTCATATAAGATGATAATATTCTTATAAGAAGAGAAAATTTGAACACAAACCTGTACACACAGAGGAAAGATCAAGTGAGGGCATGCATTGAGAAGGCTGCAAGTCAAGGAATCTGCAAGCCCAGAAATCTGCAAGCCAGGGAGAGAGCCCACAGAAGAAACCAAACCTGCCAACACTCCGATCTTAGGCTTCCAGCCTCCAGAGCTGTGAGAAAATAAATTTTTGTTGTTTAAGCCATGATGTCTGTGGTATTTTATTATGGCAACCCTAGCAAACTAACACAAGACCCTCTTCTTCTTCTTCTTCTTTTTTTGAAAGAGTCTTGCTCTGTCACCCAGGCTGGAGTGCAGTGCTGCGATCTCAGCTCACTGCAACCTCCGCCTCCCAGGTTCAAGCGATTCTCCTGCCTCAGCCTCTGGAGTAGCTGGGATTACAGGCATGCACCAACATGCCTGGCTAATTTTTGTATTTTAAGTGGAGACAGGGTTTCGCCATGTTGGCCAGGCTGGTCTCAAACTCCTGACCTCAGGAGATCCACTGGCTTCGGGCTCCCAAAGTGCTGGAATTACAGGCTTGAGTCACCGTGCCCAGCCCATGGGGCCCTGTTCTGTTACTAAACCTCCAGCATACTTGTGCCCTGGGGAACCTTCCAGCCACCAACCATCCTGTCACCAAGGGTGCCTAGCTTCCTTCTGTCACCCAGCTTGTCTGTTTGCCGGGGGATTGAGGTTTCTTTGGGGATCAGCCTGGTGCCTGCTGTGGAAAAGAGAGCACTTTCAGTCACAGTATTGGCCTCTTGCAGAACTGTGGGCCCTGCAGATCCTCTGCTAGCCCACAAGCTGAGGAAGCAAACCTTTTCACCTGCGGTCTGTCCACAGAACTGGGGAACCTTCTGACCACCAGTCAGCCTGCCCATTAGGGTTTCCAGAGTCCTTTCACCTCACCAACCTCCACAGCCTGCCTTTGTATTGAGGGTATAAAGATTCAGGGCTACCAGCAGTCTGAACTGTCATGGAACCTAGATCCCTTTTAACTTTGATCCCCGTTATGCACAGGGACGCTTAGGGACACATGCCTGACTTGGTGCTGGTACCCTGAGGGTACTTCCAATCATGGTTTGCCCCATGAGCTGGTGCCCTAGATACTCTATCAGTGACCTGACTGCTCCTCCCTGGTATCCTGGAGGTTTGTATAGTCACTAGCCAACTCCCCTGCCATACAACATTGGCTCTATTAGTAAGCCCATTCAGAATGCTAGTGCTCTGAGGCCTTTTTGGACACTGTACCTCCATTGCTCTGGTGACCTTCCACTATTTAGGGTTTGTGGTTTCCTTGTGGCCCCCATTCTGTCCTCTTTTCAGGGAACTGAGGGTTCTTCAGCAACTAGCCTGCCCATGTGATGCAGAAACTAGAACCTTTTCAGTTCACAGCACAGGTCTCTCACTGGGGAACCAAGGGCCCTTCTGGCCTTCAGTCAATCTCTGTGTTGTGGAATCTAGAACCCTTTTCCACTGTCCTTCCCATGCATTGGTATCTCTAGCAACATACCAACCACCAGCCAGCCCTCCCACTGCGGTTCCACAGGTCCTTATAGCCTGCCTGTGTGCTAGGGAACTACGTACTGTTTTGACCATCAGTGTCTCTATAGGCTGTGGAACCCAGGGCCCTTTGGACATTGGTCATTCCACCTTCTTTGTCCCTGGGATTCCTCTGGACACAAGCCTACCAGCACACTTGTGCCTCAGGGGCACTTTTAGAGACTCCTGCCCTTACACCGATGTCCTACTCACCTGTTTAGCAACCAGGCATCCCACACACTGGGTTCCTGGGGGCACTTATGGGCACACTAGCGTGCTCTTGTGCCATGGAACACAAGACCTTGTTGGCCATAAGCCAGCCTGTGTGCTGTGGACATTAGTACCCTTTTGGCCAAGGTACTTCTCATGTGTTAGTGTCCAAGGGGGCCTTCTGCCCTCTACTAAATCCTGTGTGTTTGGAAACAGGGATCATTGGCTATTAGCCATCCTGTCTGATATGGAACTCTTCCAGTTTTGTATCATCCCACCCTCTGCCTCCCCAGGGCTCTTCCGGAAACTTCTGCCCATGCACTGCTGCAAGGTCCTTTTGGGGCCCTTTTGGTGACCAGATAACCCTCACAATAGGTTTCTAGGGGCACTTATGAACACCAGCCTCCTCCTGTGCTATGGAGGCACAAAAATTGGAATATAAGGCCCTATTGGCAACAATCAGTCTAGAGTGCTGGTGTGAGGGAGCCATTTCTGTCACCATATCTCCACTCCCTTTCACTGGTGTTCTGGGGAACCTTAACAACCACTGAATTTTCAGCCACCTAGGGTTTCAGGTTTTCTATTGGCCAAACCTTGTTCATGTACTGGGGAATCAAGGAGTTTCTGTAATCAGCTGCTGTCTGCTGTGGAAATGAGAGCACTTTTGGCCATAGCATAGACCAACCATAGGGAAACCATGAATCCTATCAGCCCTTAGACAGCACATAAGCAGAGGAATCAAGAGCCATTTTGTTCACTGTCTGGCCACCAAACTGGTGTCCTGGGGAAAGTTTTGGCCAGCAGAAGTCCTTCTCATGAGGGTCCCCAGGGTCCTTCTGCTTCCAGCCTGACTTTGTGCTAGGGAAACAAGATTTTGTGGAGTATCAAACATCCTGCGAGATGTAGAACTGAAAGCACTTTCAGCCTTGGCCCATCTTAGCTTCTGTGGCCCCATGGCTTTTACAGACATGTGCCTGGAAACAAATTGGTGCCCCAAAGGCCCTTCGACACAGTGTCCCCTTGCATTGTGCCTTGGATGACCTTTTAGTTACCAGAAAGCCTCACACTAGGTTACAAGGGATGCTTATACACCAGCTGTCTTCTGCACTGTGAAATTTAGAGCCTTATTGTCAACAATCCATCCAGAAAGCTCGTGATTTAGGGCATCTTTGACTGATACACCTTCATCACGGTGGTGACTTGGGGAAGTTTCTGGTCACAAGGCTCACCAACTCCCTGAGTTCTGGAATTCCTTCTAGCACATCTGACTGTGTGCTGGGGAACCTCGGGTTCTTTAGCTACCTGCCGGCCTGCCTGCAATGGAAGGAGAGTGATTATGGTCAGGGCACTGACATCTGCCACAGGAACCCTTAGCCCTTCATGCGTTCAGGAAGTCCACAAGCCTGGGAGTTTTGAGGCCTCTTGGCCACCGTCTGTCCCTCACAGGGGTGTCCAGGGATCCTTCTTTTGTTAAAACAAAATCATTTATTTATTTTTTAATTTTTTTCATTACACAGTAGGGGTATATATTTATGTAGTACATGAGATGTTTTGATACAAACATGCACAACATGGGGAATGGGATATCCATCCCCTCACACATTTATCCTTTGAGTTACAAACAATCCAATTACACTCTTTAAGTTATTTTAAGATGTACAATTAAATTATTGTTGACTATAGTCACTCTATTGTGCTATCAAATAGAAGGTCTTATTTATTCTTTCTCTTTTTTTCTGTAACCGTTAGCCAACCCCACCTCACCCCAGCCCACAACTACCACCCCCAGCCTCTGGTAACCATCAATCTGCTCTCTATGTCCATGAGTTCAATTACTTTGATTTTTAGATTCTGCAAATAACTGAGAACATCAGATGTTTGTCTTTCTGTGCCTGGCTTATTTCACTCAACATAATGATCTCCAGTTCCATTCATGTTGTTGCAAATGACTTGCAAAAGAAACTCATTCTTTTTATGGCTGAATAGTACTCCATTGTCTATAAGTACCACATTACATTTTCTTTCTCCATTCATCTCTAGCTCTTTTATGTGATGGAACCTGCGTTCCTCCTACTAGACTGTCAGCAGGACCAGGTCTTTCCGCCTGGGTCTAATGTACCCTTTCAAGGTCCAGGACTCTTCCCGACATGAGCCTGTCACCTCACTGGTGCCTAAGATCATACTTTTGGACACCATCTGCCCTGGCACTGCTGCCCAGTAAGCCCTTTTGGTGACCAGACTGCCCATGCACTGGAGTTCTGTGGGTGGTTAACAGTAGTCAGACCCTGTGTGGTGGAATGTACAGCCTTTTTGAGAACCATACTTCCAGCATACTGGTGCCCATTTTGGCCCTGTACTCCTAACACAGTAGTGTCATGAAGGCCCTTTCAGCTCTAGACATTTCTGGATTTCCTTCTGGCACACAATACACAAGCATGCCAAGGGCCTGAGTTTTCACCAGTCATCATTTTGCAAGCCTGTTGTTGAAACTGGGTCATGTTGGGTCACAGTACAGGTCACTGCAGGAGTACTCTGGGCCCTTTTTTCCACCAAGTGTCCACCCTTCTCCTATCGAGAGGACCTGTGAAAATACCTGACCATCAGCATGCCCGCTTGCTAGGGTTCTGGAGTTCCTTCTGGCCCAGAATCATCCTGTGTGCCTGGAAACCAAAGGTTCTTCAGCAATTAGCCTGCACATATGATGTGGAAAGGAAAACCCTTCTCTTCCCCACAGGCATGGCTCCAGGGAACCAATGACCCTCTTAGCCCTCAGCTAGCCCATCTGTAATGGCAACTGGAACTCTTTGGTCACTGACTTTCCCATAAATTCTGTCCCCGGGAACTTTCTGAACACCAGATGGCTTGGTCTTTAAGGGCCTCTGGGTCTTCATGGTCCCCACCCTGTCTGCACGCTGGGCAACTGCGATAGCTTTTGGACCACAACCTTCTCTATAGGTTGTGAAGCCTAGAATCTGTTGGGCACTGAGTACACCCCTACCTCTAGGACTCTGGGGCTCTTCTAGACATGTGTTGGACAGTGCGCTGGTACCCTGGAGAACTTCCAGACACATTCTCCCCTTGTATTTATGCCCCCATGGACCTTTTCGGAGACCAGACTGCCCACACATTAGATTCCAGTGAGACCTTATGGGCACTAGATCCATTACTATGGAATTAGGGACCTGTTGGAAATCCCAGCACAGTGGTGCCTTGGAAACCCTTTCGGCCACTCTACCTCCAGAGTGCTTGTGTGTCGGGAAAACTTCAGGCCACCAGTTTTTCCTCAAAATGTAGGGTTGGGGTATCTCTGCCTGTCCCCAGCCCATCCTCTGTCTGGAGAACCTAGGGTTCTTTGGCCACCAGACTATCCATGGGTAGTAGAAATGACAGCATTTTAGGTCACAGTACTGGCCTCTCCTAGGGGTACCATAGGGTCTTTTGGACCTCAGTCTGCCTTACAAGTGAATAAATCAAGAGACATTTGGCTACTGTTCAACAAATTAGTGCTCCAGGGAACATTTCAGGCACCAGACTTTCCATTAGGAGGGTTCTGGCCTTCTTCCTGCTATACACTGCTGGCATGCTGCTAATCCAAGGAGTGTTTTTTTCTTTTTTTTTTTTTTTGTGCCATCAGCCTATTGCCTGCTGTGTCAACTGGAGCACATTTGATCATAGATCAAAGAGATAAATGTAAAACACAAAACATATAAAAACTCCTAGAAGATAGCATAGTACAGAATCTAGGTAACCTTGGTTTTGGCAATGACTTTTAAGATACAACAGCAAAAGCATGAGTCATGGAAGAAAAAATGGATAAGTTGGATTTCATTAAAATTTAAAAGTGCTCTGTAAAAGACACTGTTAAGAGAATGAAAAGACAAGCCACAGACTAGGAGAAAATTTTTGCAAAAAAACATTTTTGATAAAAGACCAGTATCCAAATCACACAAAGAACTCTTAAAACCCAACATTAAGAAAGCAAACATCCAAGTTTAAAAAATAGGCAAATGATATGAACAGACACCTCGCCAAGGAAGTGTTAAATAATTAACATATTAAAAGATGCTCATCATCATATGTCATTACGGAACTGCAAATTTAAACAAGTTACCACTGCACACTTATTAGAATGGCTAAAATCCAAAGCGCTGACATCAGTTGCTGGAAAGGATATGAAGCAATAACTTTAATTCATTGCTGGTGGGTATGCAAAATGGTACAGCCACTTTGGATGACAGTTTGACAGTTTCTTAGAAAACTAAACATACTTTTATAATACAATCCAGGAATTTTCCTTATTGGTATCTACCCAAATGAACTGAAAACTTATATCCACGCAATAACCTGCACACAAATGTTTCTAGCAGCTTAATTCACAATTGACAAAACTTGGAAGCAACCAAAATGCCCTTCAATAGGTGTATGAATAAACAAACCATGGTACATCCATACAATGGAATATTATTCAGCAATACAAATAATATGAGCTATCAAGTCCTGAAAAGGCACAGAGAAGCCTTAAATGCATATTGGTAAGTGAAATAAGGCTACATGCTGTATAATAGCAGAGATTTGACATTTGGGAAAAGGCAAAACTATGCAGACAATGAACAGATTAGTGGTTGCCAAGGGCTCAGAGAAAGGGAAGTAGGGATGAAGAGGTGGAGAATAAGGGATTTTTAGGACAGTGAAACTATTCTGTATTGGTGGCTGTGTGTGGTGGTTCATACCTGTAATCCCAGTGCTTTGGGAGGCTGAGGTGGGAGGATCACCTGAGGCCAAAAGTTCAAGACCAGTCTGAAAAACATAGTGAGACCCTTTCTATATATGTATATATGACATTTAAACAACTGTAATGGTGGATACATGTCATTATACATATGTGAAATCCCATAGAATGCATAACACCAAGAGGGAGCCCTAATGCAGACAGTGGACTATAGTTAATAATAATGTATCCATATTGACTCATCAATGGAAACAAATGTGCAACAATAATAGAAGATATTGATAATAGAGAAAACTGTGTGTATGGGATGGGGAAGCAGTAGGAACTCTGTAGTTTCTTCTCCATTTATCTATAAACTTAAATGTGGTCTAGAAATTAAGTCTACTAATAAAAAAGAAGAAAAATATCAAATCAATAACCTGACTTTACACCTTGAGAAACTAGAAAAAGAAAACTAAAACCAAAGCTAGGACAATGAAGGAAATAATAAAGATTAGAGCAGAAATAAATTAAACATGATAGAAAAACAATATAAAGAATAAATGAAAATAATAGTCGATTCTTTGAAAAGATCTACAAAATTGACAATCCTTTAACCAGACTGACAAAGAAAAAAGAGAGAAGATGGAAATAACTAAAATCAGAAAGGAAAGTGGGAGCATTACTAATGACCACTGAGAAAAAAGGGATTATAAGAGAGTACTATTATGAACAATTGCATCCCAATAAATTAGATAACCTAGATGAAGTGGACAAACTCTTAGAAATCCACAAGTTACCTAAATTGACTGAAGAAGAAACAGACATCTTGACCGATCTATACCAAGTAAAGAGATCTAATCAGTAATTGAAAATCTACCAACAAAGGAAAATCCAGGACCAGATGGCTTCACTGGTGAATTCAGCCAAAGATTTAAAGAAGAATTAACACCAATCTTTCTCAAAAGCTTCCAAAATCTATTTTCTTAGATTGAATAATCACCCCTTAAATAATATATGCAGTTAAATACTGTAACAATAAACTTTTGAAAAACCATTTTTTAACTTTTCTTTCAAGCAACTGGAATCATTTAAGCAATGAGTAGCCTTAACTTAAAATGTATATAATAAGGTAGCTTAATAAGATATAATAAGATAGTTTCTGATCTCCTTGAATTTGAATTTTCTCAATACTGTATATGTAAGACAAAATACAGAAATACGTTGGATGCTGAGGTTGACATAACACTGACAACTAATTGAAAGTGTTTATGTTTCATCAGAACAGATTATTCTTATTTATCTACTTTATATTAGTAAAAATTATGAATCTGATTCTATGCAATAAATGCATATTAGTAAAATACCTCTTGTAGCTGTGGAGTTCCATTTTAGATTTACTTGAAGGATTCTGCTATTAAAAAACAAGTTTAAAACCACTTTACTGGTTTATTCTGCCTTCTTTTAAGATTTAAATTTGATTTTTGAAACATCCTAGGCATTGTTCCTGGAATTATATAATAGTAACTGCTATAGCCTGGTACTCCTCATGTGTGCATTGCTTACATTTCATTGGCTATACTCAGGGCTAAGCAATTGAAGGCAGAAATATTAATAATAGGAGCTAACCAAAGTTTTCATCCTTGAAAATAAAAATCTAAAACTTGTAAATATTTAGCTGTATAATAAATTGGATTAGAAGTAACTCACTGCCTTATATTTAATGGACAATAAGTAAATTTTCATTTTCTATAAACCTAAATTGAAAACCTTTTGCCCTTTAAAGTTGCTAGTTTAAACAAAAATTATTTAACTAAACCCATTTTTGTACCCTCATCCCTTAGTCTATAGGGATCTTGTTAAAAGAACACTCTTCTGCCTCCATCCTTTAGTGGCTTTTGTTTTCAATCAGAGTAAAATGCCCTTCTCCTCCCCCAAACTGGACAGAGGATAATCACATGGCTCCCTTGCAGACATCATTCATGTCTCTGCTCAAAAGTCACCTTAGCGGTTGAAATTTCCTTCTTCACTCTACATATAATTGCAATCCTCCCCATTACCCTTCAGCATATTTTTTTGCTTTATTTTTCTCTGTAGCACTCATTACATGACATATTATACATTTACGTGAATACTTGCTTATTATTTGCCTCTCCTCATCAGAATATAAATCCATAAGGTAGAATTTTTACTTTGTCTCCTGCTGTAACATTAGCATATTGAATAGTGCCTGGCACATATCAGGTGCTCAGTAAACATTTGAATGAATGTATGAACTTTGGATTTCTGTTCTTACAGTTTCTGAAAGTTTGAATTAGATTAAAGCTAATCTAGTCTTCAAATGTATTTGTTCTGCCTAAAGTAATTTTGAGTACATGTATACTGTTTGGGACAATTTTAAATGGACATTTTACGTTTTTCATCATAAGTTTAAATAGAGTCAAATAGGACAAAATTTTGGCATATTGTAAATATTGCTATGTTAAAATAAGTTGCTGCATCACTCTTAAAGAAAAAAAAGCTTCCAAAAATAGGACAGAACACTTTTTCTTTTTTCTTTTTTTTTTGTTTTTTTGAGACGGAGTCTCACTCTGTCACCCAGGCTGGAGTGCAGTGGTGCAATCTCAGCTCACTACAACCTCCATCTCCTGGGTTCAAGAGATCCTTCTGCCTCAGCCTCCCGAGTAGCTGGGACTACAGGCGCGCGCCACCATGCCGGGCTAATTTTTGTATTGTTAGTAGAGATGGGGTTTCACCATATTGGCCAGGTTGGTCTCGAGCTCCTGACCTCATGATCTGCTGGCTTTGGCCTGCCAAAGTGCTGGGATTACAGGCATGAGCCACAGCGCCCGGCGAGAGCACTTTCTAATTCACTCTAGGAGGCTGACATTACCTTGATACCAAAACGAGATAATGTTATCACCAAAAAAAGAAAACTACAGACCAGCATCCCTTATGAATATAGCTGCAAAAGTCTCAACAAAATGCTAGCAAGTCAAATTCGACATCACACTTTTTATTTTTTTTACTTTTTTAACTTTTCAAATAAAAGTTACATGTGCAGGATGTGTAGGTTTCTTACATAGGTAAACGTCATGGGGGTTTGTTGTACCGATTATTTCATCACCCAAGTATTAAGCCTAGTATCCATCAGTTATTTTTCCTGATTCTCCTCCCACCCTCCACCCTCCAATGGGCCCCAGTGGGTGTTGTTCCCCCTATGTGTCCATGTGTTCTCATCATTTAGCTCCGACTTACAAGTGAGATAATGCAATATTTAGTTTTCTGTTCCTGCGTTAGTTTGCTAAGGATAATGGCCTCTAGCTCCATCCATGACCCTGCAAAGGACATAATCTCATTCTTTTTTATGGCTGCATAGGTTTCCATGGCATATATGTACCACATTTTATTTATCCAGTCTATCATTGATGGACATTTTTGTTGATTCCATGTATTTGTTACTGTGAACAGTGGTGCAATGAAAATACGTGTGCATATGTCTTTATACTAGAATAATTCATATTTATTTGGGTATATACTCAGTAATGGGAGTACTGGGTCAAATAATATTTCTGTCTTTAGGTTTTTGAGAAATCACCACACTATCTTCCAAAATGTTTGAACTAATCTACAGTCCTACCAACAGTGTATAAGCATTCCATTTCCTCCATAACCTCGTCAGCATTTGTTATTTTTTGACTTTTTCATAAGAGCAATTCTGACTGGTATGACATGGTATCTCATTATGGTTATGATTTGCATTTCTCTAATGATCAATGATGTTAAGCTTTTTTTCATGTGCTTGTTGGCCACATAAATGTCTTTTTTTGAGAAGTGTCTGTTCATGTCCTTTGCCCAATATTTAATTGGGTTGTTTAGTTTTTTCTTGTAAATTTGTTTACATACCTTATATTATAGATGCTGGATATTAGACTTTTATCAGATGCACAGTTTTCAAAATTGTTCTCCCTCTATTAGTCTGTTGTCATGCTGGTAATACAGACATACCTGAGATTGGGTAATTTATAAAGGGAAGAGGTTTAATTGACTCACAGTTCCACGTGGCTGGGGAGGCCTCACAATCATGGCAGAAGGCAAATGAGGAACAAAGTCACGTCTTACATGGTGGCAGGCAAGACGGCTAGTGCAGGGCAACTCCCACTTACAAAACCATCAGATCTCATGAGACTTACTCACTACTACAAGAACAGTATGGGGGAAACTGCCCCCATGATTCAATTATCTCCACCTGGCCCCACCCTTGACACGTGGAGATTATTACAATGCAAGGTAAGATTTGGGTGGGGACACAGCCAAACCATATCATTCCCATTCTAGGTTGTCTCTTACAGCACATTTAAAGGATTATAAACCATGACCAAGTGGAATTTAACCCAGAAATGCAAGAGTGGTTCAACATAAGAACATCAATTAATCTAATACATCTGATTAATAGAACAAAGGGGAAAATGCATAATCATCTCCATCGACATGAAAAGAATTCACCAATTCTTCATGATAAGAATTCGCAAAAAACTAGGAAGAGAAGAGAATTTCTTCAACATAATAAAGTATGTTTATTTAAAAAAAAAAACCAGCTAGCTTCATACTCAATGGTTAAAGACTGAAAGCTTTCCCCTAAGCTCAAAAACAAGACAAGGATATCTGCTTTCACCATTGCTATTTAACATTTTACTGGAATTTCTAGCCAAAGAATTTAGACAAGAAACAGAAATAAAAGGCATCCAAATTGAAAAGGAAGAATCAAAACTATCTGTATTCGCTTATGACATAATCCTTTATGTAGACAATCCTAAAGAATCCTGATATGGTTAGGCTTTGTGTTCCCACCCAAATCTCATCTTGAATTGTAATCCCCGGGTGTTGAGGAAGATACCTGGTGGGAAGTGATTGGATTATGGAGGCGGTTACCCCCAATGCTGTTCTCATGATAGTGAGTGAATTCTCATGAGATCTGATGGTTTTATAAATGGTAGTTTTTCCTGTGCTCACACACTCAATCTCTCTTTCCTGCCAGCATGTGAAGAAAGTCTTTGCTTCCCCTTTGCCTTCTGCCATGATTGTTAGTTTCCTGAGGTCTCCCCAGCAATGCGGAACTGTGAGTCAATTAAAACTCTTTTCTTTATAAATTACCCGGTCTCAGGTATGTGTTTACAGCAGTCTGAAAACGGACTAACACAAATCCACAAGAAAACTATTACACCTAATAAATAAATTCAGCAAAGTTGCAGGGTACAAGATCAAAACATAAGATTCACTTGCATTTTCACACACCAGCAATGAAAAATCTGAAAAGGAAACTAAAATCAATTCATTTATAATAGTATCTAAAATAATAAAACACATGGGAATAAATTTAATCAATGGGGTGTAAAAACTGTACACTGAAAAATACAGAACATTGCTCAAAAAATGTCCTAAATAAATGGAAAGACATCCGGATTCATGAATAGAGAGACTGAATATTGTTGAGATGTCAGTACTACTCAGAGCGATCTACAGATTCCATACAGTCTCTATAAAAGATCCCTATAAAAACAGCTTTGGTTCTGCAGAAGTCAAAATGCCAATCCTCGACTTCATATAAAATTTCAAGAGATACACATAGTCAAAAAATTTTTGAAAAACAGTGTTGGAGGACTCATTGTTTCTAATTTCAAAACTTACTGCAAATCTACAATGATCAAAACAGGGTGGTACTGCCATAAGGGTAGACATATAGGACAATGTGGCAGAATTCATATTTCAAAAACTGACCTATGCATCTATACCAGTTGCTTTTGACAGGAGTGACACACTCATTCAACAAGGGAAGAATCGTCTTTTCAACAGATGATGCTAGGACAACTGGATTTCCACATTCTAAAGAATGAAGCTGGACCCCTCTACATCACACCATATACAAATGTTAACTCAAAATAAAGCAACAACTTGAATATAAGTGCTAATACCATAAAGCTCTTAAAAGAGAATATAGAAATAAATTTTATGACCTTGGATTTGGCAATGGATCCTTAGATATGACACCAAAACCATGAGTAACAAAAGAGAAAAACAGATAATGAACTCCATCAAATTAAAAACTTTGGTGCACCAAAGTACACTATCAAGAGTGTGAAAAACAACCTACATAATGGGAGAACATATTTGGAAACTATAGATCTGATAAGGTTTAATATCCACAATATATAAAGAACATCTACAACTCTAAAACAAACAAACAACACAGTAAAAAATTTGCATAGACATTTATTCAAAAAAAAACAAATGGCTAATAGGCTCATGAAAATATGTGCAACATTAGTCATTAGGGAAATGAAAATCAAAACCACAATGGTATACCATCTCACACCTTCTAAGACAGCTATATTTAAAAATTACAAATGGAAACTAATGAGTGTTGGCAAGAATGTGGAAACGTTGGAACCCTCATATATTGCTGGTGAGAAGGTAAAATGATGCAACTGCTAGGGAAAATGGTTTGGCAATTCCTCAAAAAGCTGCACATAGAATTACTAATGAGCCAGCAATTCCATTCCTAGGTGTATAACCCAAGAAATTATAGCAGATACTCAGATACTTGTTCTGTTCAATACTTGTTAGATGTTCTTTGCCGTATGATTCACAAAAGAAAAAAATGAGGAAAAAATCTAAGTGTCCATCTAGATGAACAGTTAAAATATGGTATATGCATACATGTTATTCAGCCATTAATAGGAATGAATTTCTGATACATGCTGCAACGTGGAGGAACCTAGAAAATATTGTGTTAAGTGAAATAAGCAAGACCAAAAAAAAAAAAAAGGACACATATTGTGTGATTCCATTTATATGAGGTGCCTCCAATAGGCAAATTCATAGACCAAGAAAGTGTAATTGAGGTTCCCAGGGGATGGGGAGGATAGAAAGAAGAGTTATTGTTTACTAGATACAGAGTTTTTATTTGGGATGATGAAAAAGTTCTGCAAATGGATGATGATGGCTGTACAACATTGTGAATGCACTTAATGATAGTGAATTGTACACTGAAAAATGGCTAAAAGGGAAATTTTATGATTTTTTTAATTAGTAATATATTAATAAAAACTGTTGAATTATACCCTTAGGGGGCTGAATTGTACAATATATGGATTCTATCTCTATTCAGGTGTTCAAAAATTTTTCATTCTTTGCAAAATCGCTATACTGTTTTCCAGAGAGGTTGTACTAATTCACATTACCACCAACAATGTATAAGTGTTTCCTTTTCTCTGAATTATCACCGACATCTATTATTTTGTGGCTTTTTAATAGTAGCCATTCTGACTGTTGTAAGATGAGGAGGGAGAGGAAAGTGGGATGAGAAATTACTTAATGGGTACAGTGTACATTATTAGGGTGATGGTCATACTAAAAGCCCAGACATCTCCACTACACTATGCAATGCATCCATGTAACAAAATTTGTACCTTCAAATTTATACAAATAAAAAAAAAGATAGTTTCAAGCTGTTTAGGTAACTGAAAACCCTAGACTTATCTAAATTATTTAATAAATATTTATTACATACCTAGATCATTAAAAATGAGACAAAATACTGAACTAGTATTATAAATAATTGTAAGCACATATATATGGATTTGTTAATGTATGTTTTCATTTTTGCCAAACTAAGAAATTGTACTTTAAGGATGTAGTACTATATCTTTTGTGTAACAACAACAACAAAAAGTTGTTACATGTATATCTTGAAGTTTTGCTAGTTTGCTATAAAATGCCAATGTATGTCAGACAGTTCACAGTTATCCACCTCCAAGTTTATTTGTAAAACAGAATTACCAATGGTAAAAGTTATAATCAACATACTGTACATATGCAAGGTAGGCAGAACATATTTGTATTAAGAAAAAGAGAATAGTTTTGTCCTAAGTCAAAAAACTGTTCCAGAATGGGAAAGAAAAAAGCATAGGATAAAACCTGAATAGATACAAAAAGTTATAAAAAGTCATAGAAAGGGAATTTTGCTGTGGTCAAAACAAAGGTTGATACATTTATTTATAATATTTAGAAAGCACTTTAGTGTCAAATGTACTGATACAAAACTGGAATTCGCTTTTCTTTCTTAAAATGACAATATTTTCTTGAACTACTGGTCTTCTCTTAAGAGGTTGTAAAAGGTTTTTCTTTGCTTTCTGAGTATTCTACTTTGATGCTAAATAGTCTGTGTCTTATCAGAGTAATTTCTGATGCTTTGTGTTGACTTTATCATGTCCCTGATTATTTAAGGAAAAAATTCATCTCACATTCTTTCCTTTTATTCTTTTTTTATATTTTATTTTTTATTAGAGATGGGGTCTTGCTATTCTGCTCGGGCTGGTCTAGAACTCCTGGGCTCAAGCAATCCTCCCACCTCTGCCTCCCAAAGTGTTGGGATTATAGCAATGAGCCACTGTGCCCAGCCTCATATCACATTTGAAAGCATGAAGGTTTTTTACAATCATGTTACCTCCTATATTTACTTTTAAATTTTTCATTGTCATTTGGATTAAATAAGTAACCAAGTATTGTTTTCCACTCACCCATGATTTTATTTAATATAGTGTTCAAACCTCCTGACAAATTTTGGCATTTTATCTTCCTGAAACTAGATCTTAAATGTTATCTTTAGCACCTAAAACTTCCTTTGCATCCCAGAAGGTCCCTGGAAAATCACAAAGGAGTTGTTCTTTCACCTTGTTCAAAGGGAAATACTAGAAATAATTAGGTTTATTTGAAATGTTGTGAGTTGCATAGGAAGGGTTGTAAAATCAGAAGAGACATTTAGCCTTTCCCAGGTTAAATCTTTATTGGGTAAAATGTTATTAACATAAATATTTCAGAAATTATATGAAGTTCCTAGAGAATTTTCCACATCCTTGCTGTCCATGATGTTTCTATTTATCAGAGTCCTGGTGTTATTTCACCTAATATTAGACAACAGTATAGTGTTATTAGTGATAAGTTTAATTATTTTTAAAAACATTAACTTGGTCACAATTTTACCTCTTAATATTGAATCTAGTATGTTCTAGACCAGTGGTTGTCAACTGGGGATTCACATCACTAACCTGTGGAGTTTTCATTTACTGTTGTTTAGGACCTACTCCAGACTGACTGAATCTCTTTACTTGATATCCTTGATACACTCTTGGTATATTCTAACCAAATACCTGATATACTTATGGTGTGTTATGTCTCAGGATTCTTACACATCTGAAGATTTTTTTCTGTTTAATGATTGTGCTTATTCATTTTAATGAATGAGATATTCACTCTTCTTTGAAAAGAAGGCTAATCATGTTATAGATATTTTGTATAAAACTTTTTTGATTGACATTACTGGAATTTTCACGCCACAAAACAACAAAATAAAGAAAACATTTGCAAACTGTGTATCTGATAAGGGGTTAATATTAAAAATATAAAAGGAACTCATACTAACCAATAGAAAGAAAACCCATAACCCAACTTAAAAATAGGAAAAAGACCTGAATAGCTATTTCTCCAAAAGAAACATAAATGACCAACAGGTATGGGAGAAGGTGCTCAACATCGCTAATTATCAGAGTGATGCAAATCAAACCATAATGAGATATCACCTTAAACCTGTTAAGATGGTGATATTGCTTGTCTCTGTGACCTCACCCAAATCTCATGTTCAATTGTAATCCCTAATGTTGGAGGTTAGGCCTGGTGAGAGGTGATTGGATCCTGGGGGTGGATTTGCCCCTTGATGCTACTCTCATGATAGTGAGTGAGTGCTTGTGAGATCTGGTTGTTTAAAAATGTGTATCACCTCCACCCTCTTTCTCTTCCTCCTGCTCCAGCCATGTGAGGTGCTTGCTCCTGCTTTGCGTTCCACCCTGTTTGTAAGTTTCCTGAGACCTCCTCAGAAGCCAAGCAGATACCAGCATCACGTTTCCTGTACAGTCTGCAGAACAGTAAGCCAATTAAACCTCTTTAAAAAAAATAAATTATAGCAATGCTAGAACTGACTAATACAGATGACTATTATAAAAAAAAAAAAGAGCCAGCAAGTGTTGGCAAGAGTGTGGAATAAAAGTCAACTCTAGTACACTGTTGGTGGAAATGTAAATTATTATATCCATTTTGGAATGTAATATGTAAGTTTCTCAAAAATCTAGAAAGAGAATTGCCATATGAATCAACAGTCACTCCTCTGAGTATATACTCAAAGGAGATCAAATCACAACTTTATAAATGTATCTGCACTTCTTTGTTCACTGCAGCATTATTCACAATAATGAAGATATGCAAATAACCTAAATTTCTGTTGATATATAATGGATAAAAAAGTAGTGGTGTGTATATATACATAATTCCGTAAGATTATGAACAAATGGCAGAGTATCCTTTTTTAAGTCTGAATAATATTCATATGGTTGTTCAGCCCTAGAAAAGGATATTCTGCCATTTGTGACAACATGGATGAACCTAGAGGATACTATGCTAAGTGAAATAAGCAGGACAGAGAAAGAAAAATACCGCACAATCTCTCATTAATGAGGAATCTAAAACAAACAAATTGAATATATAGAAACAGGGAGTAGAAAAATGGTTACCAGGAATGGGGGAGTAGGGGAAATGGGGAGACATAGGTCAAAGGGTACAAAGTTGCATTTATGTGAGATGAATAAGCCTAGAGAGCTAATGTACAATATGAGGACTTTAGTTAATATATTGTATGGTATATTGGAAATTTGCTAAGAGAGTAAAGTTTAGGTACTTATTACCACACAAAAAAGAAAGGGAACTATGTGAGATACAGATGTTAATTTATTTGACTATAGTAATTACTTCACTATGTACATCTATATCAAAACATCATGTTGCACACTTTAAAAATATACAATAAAAAAACTACAGCCTACCTTTATGGATTATCAGATTTTGGTCCTTTTCATTGTCTTTGAGCTACTTCTTCCCTCTTTGTAACTGATGGATATGCAAATTCTATCTTGTCTGGTAGATATTCAATTGACTTTTATTCCCACTGTGGGAGAAAACAGTTTTGTTACCTATCTATAAATTGGATTAGATTCTAAATTGTCAACCCATACCAAATTTTCCATTCTTCCAGTTTCTTTCAATATCTGGTTACATTACTTCAAAGTAACATTTTCAATTTTTTTCCCTCCTTCTTACCTTGGCATCACCAAGAACTAAAACATGACTACCCAGATCCTTATAGGGACTTCAAGTAAACCCATCGCTGTCCTTTTCCCCAGGATCTGAAGGAGCACTGTTACTTAAAGCCCAAACAACTTGATATATACCTTAAAGGATTCATTACTGGCAGACTATGCATGGGTAGGATTTCTCACTGGACAAGTGTCTGAGACACTAAGAAAGTCTGGTAGAATGATCATGCAATGCATGTCCTTATAAGTGAGGTTACAAATACTGTGAACAACATTACCAAGAGTACCAGAAGCTCAAAGAGCAATGCTGCATAATCAAAAGATTTTCATCCATCAGCCTCTTGGAATTTGCTTAACTGGATACCCTTAGTGCTCAACTCCTGGCTGTTTACTTTCATATAACCTTTTATAATAGCACGTATCATTTTCATTTTGGGTATCACTCTTTTAAGATGCCTCAACTGCAAGACCCTAAAACAACTGAGCTCTGCCAGCTGGCCCAACAGATGGTTCAACTGGTCCTACAGGGACAACCCCACCAAGAAAACATTTACCCTGAGGATTATTTCACTTAGCTATTCCCTGTTTCTGGTTCCCCTTATCCTTGAGTTGTTCAAGAACAGTCTCTGGCTGAGTCTGTCTTGAAAAAGAGCAGGTACTGACAAGATTGGTGAAACTTTGTGCTTGACTTAACTAGACTGACTTGACTAGGACAGCTCGATGCTAATTTTTATGGGAACATCCTGCACTATAACTGCTTTGCTCATCTCAGTCCCAAACCTTTGCCTTGTGCTTAAACACAAACACTTCTTGCCTCAACATGCTCCTTATTGCAATATTTTATACAGTTGTGTAATTTCAAGCCCTCTGGCTAGCAGTTGTAGCACTCACTTCCTCCTTCCACAGCCACCTATCCCATGGTATCTGCATATAAAAGCTTTGCTTGCCTACTCCTTCCCTGAGATGTTTCTACATTAGGCTTTGAGCATATCCCTAGTGCAACTGTCCTCCTTTTCCCATTCCAATAGTCCTGGTTAAAGTCTTTCTGTATTAATTTCCAGACATGCTTTTTCTTGCCCTGGACATGACTTTCCAGTCACCACTCTGCCTATGTGTTGAGTAAACTTGGGTCCTTCCAGTCACCTTCCATCCCACACTGAAGTAACTGGGCTGTTTCAGTTTTCTACCACTGAGCTGCCCACAAGTTAGAGAACCAAGGGCTTTGGCGGCCATCCTTCTCCTGTTCTGGCAACCAGGCCTTCCTTCTAGTCACCAACCTGCCTGTGTGGTATGGAACCTACAGCCTTATCAGCAACCAACTGTCCAGCCGGCTGGAGCCTCGGAGTCCCTTCCAGCCACCAGGGAAGCCATATGTTCAGACCTTGTTGCCCTTCCAACCAACATTTTTCCTGGGCGCTAGTACCCCAGGGTCCTTTCTGGTCAGCAGCCTGTCTGTGGTCTGTAGAACTTCAGGCCCTATTAGCAATCATGCATGCCACATACTGATGACCCTGGGTCTTTTCCAGTCACTGACCCACCGCTTAGCTCTGGACCCAGTGGCCCTTTCAATCATTGTATAACCTGTTGGGGTTTCTAGCCACCACCATGCCCATCCGCTGGGGAACCCGGGCCCTTCTGGCCATCTACCTGCTCACGTGCTGTGGAAACAAAGTCCTTTCCAGCCTCTGTCTGGACCTCATACTGTAGCCCCAGGGGGCCCTTCCAGCCACTTCCTTCCTTCATGCTGATGCCCCAAGGGGCTTTTCTGACCACCAGCATGCCAGTACACTAGGGTTTTGGGGACCTTCGGGCCACCAACCTGCCCTTGCGCTTGGAACCTGAGATGCTTGCACTAGTCTGCCCAGGCGCTGGAGACCATGCCAGGCCTGAAGGCAGCTATATGTGCTGATGACCTGATTGTCATGGTGGTGGCCTCACTGATCCTGGCCACCCAGAATCCTGACTCTGTCCAGCCATTTGGTTACTGCAGTGGTGCCAAGAAACTGTCAGATGTCAGAATACTGTGGAGGACAATAGGGGCATCAGAGGTGTGAGAAGAAGCTTACAGGGATGTGAGCTCAGCCACCTTGGCTTCATGGAGACATGCAGATCCAGGCACCTGGTGCAGCCTCCCTGCACCAAGTGAAATAGATCCTGCTTTGCTGTGACCATGACAGAACAGGCCTTGCTGGGTCCAAGCAGATGAGCTGAGCATGGACAAGGCCAGGGGGAGGTCAGTGGCCAGCAAGTGGGCAGTTGGCCTACTGCCAGGCCTGGAGAGTGGGTGAGAAAAAAACTAGAACAACGTACTTCATTTGGTCAGCAGGGAGTGCCCAACAACGTTTTGAAAGATGCTCAGGTCATTTATAAAAAGCTTAACGCATATAACTATAAAAAGACTTCTCTCAATTTTTGTCAACCTTTTAAAAGACAACTTTAAATTCTCATTTTGCCACATCTAGGCTTCTAGAAATAAAGAGGTTGCTGATATATGGTAAAAATGTAGAGTTAGAAAATCACAGGTCTTGTACGTGACCTTTTGTTTTAAAAAACACTTAAAAATAAATATCTTCTGGAAATGACTTCTGGAAATATAACCACTAAAAGGGATATCAGGAGCAACACATGACCACATTTGTTTGATGGGTTAGAGGAGGTGGAGCAAAAGGCCTTGAGAAGAAAGAAAGAAAGGAGTTCATATTTAGAGGATATTTCACGTTATAACAAATTCATTCTGTGTATGCATTTTTTCTCCCCCAACCCCCACACCCTCCTCAAAACATTTCCCTTACTTTTTGTTATTTTAATTATTTTGTTATTATTTTTCATTGACATACTTGTACATATTTATGGGGGTACAGTGTGATATTTTGATACATGTGTACAATGTGTCATAATCAAATCTGAGTAATTAGTAAATCCATCACTTAAAACATTTATCATTTCTTTGTGCATTGGTTCCCCTTTTGTTATACAGTTAATAATATTACTTTTCTTTGAAATATCTAGTCTTCCTACATGTTCTTAGATGCACAAAGCATGTCAAAAACAGTGAAATAAAATAACACATTTCGTTAATTATATTTGTTACAATTCAGATGAAATCATATCTTTTGGAAATGAAATAGCTAAACTTCCTTTGTGAGCAGTATTTTGTTTTACCATATTTATAAGTACATAATGGACAAATAAGTCCCAATTTTGCAAACTCTATTATCTAGATGTTAAAGAATTCATAGAATTCTTTGAATTCTTTATTCTTATTCAAATAAAGATTAAAGAATACCAATAAAATTCATATTCACATTCAAATAAAGAATTCTATGAGTTATTTAATTGTATGAATAAAACTAAAACATTGTACACTTTGTATTGGAACTCGCAGGAAAGCATGTCTTCTGTAAAACACTTTTGGAAATAAATTTAAATTTCTTCAACCACCTCGGAGCAATACACTTGTCTATACTTGTCCACTGAATTGATGGTGAAGAGGGTGAAGTGAGGAGGACATGGTTGAAGACCAGGATGGGAACAATTAGGAGACACCTCAAACCATAAGCATCATTTTGTGTGTGGAGTTTTGCTTAATGGCACTCTGCATAAGTGGACAAATAAGTTCTTATTTCAGATATGCAGACTTTCTAAATGTTCAGAAATGTTCAATGTATTTATACTAGTGGTAGTAAAATAAGACTTTCATATGAAATTTAGGTGAAATGTTATCTTTGAGGAAGGAAATGGCTAAACCTTCTCTTGGAGCAATACTCTTTGTGCTTATGCACTTGGTCTGGCAAGAGGGAGGAGAAGACAGCACTCAGGGCTTTGTGACAATGTGTTCATAATTGCACCATTTTAGACAAACACTTGTCCTCTATGTACTGCATATGTCGTCTTACTTTGTTAGTCTATGGTGTTTATAATGGACTAACCAGTTTTGATTTTACACCTAGTCTTTCTAGAATTTAAAGAGGCTGCCAGTTATGACAAAAGTAGAGTTAGTAAGCTTTTCTTCATTCTTGTTAAATTTCATATTCAAGAACATCTTCTGAAAATAACTTAGGGAAATACAATTGTTAAAACCACATCTTAGCATTACAAATGCTTATACTTGTCCATTCAGTGGACAGAAGTGAAAAGGAGTGAGAAAAAGAAACTTTCTAGGCCAAATTGTCCTTATTTAGAGGACAATTTCAGATTATAGGTTTATTACATCTATATGATTTAGTCAGTGCTGTTGTGTGTATAGTGAACAAACTTAAGTCCTAATTTGAAACATGTAGTATTTATAGATGTTAGAAATGTATAACATATGTTAAAAGTATATAACATATAACCACGGATATATGTATGCATTTCTTTTGACCATAAGTATAGTTTTGGACTTATGAATACATTGTAAGAAAATTCAAGGGAAACATCTTTTACCTATTATTTTAATATTATAGACCCAATAATGAATTATTTTAGAAGCATTATACCCCTTGTACTCCATTGCTTTGTGTCTCATTTTAAATTCAACATTAAGACAATGCAGTACAGGTTGAGCATCCCTTATCCGAAGTGCTAGGGACAAAAAGCATTTCAGATTTTGGATTTTGTTCAGATTTTGGCAAATTTGCATATAAATAAGATTTCTTCTGGATGGAATCCAAGTCTAAACATGAAATTTGTTTCTGTTTTCTATACATATTATACATATAGCCTGAAGTAATTTTATACAATACTTTAGGTAATTTTGTGCATAGAACAAAGTTAGTGTACATTGAACAATCAGAAAGTAAAGGTGTTGCTATCTCAACCACTCATGTAGAAAATCGCGTTGTTTGGCATCACAATTATTTTTGACTGTATTTATGTGCTCCTGATAAGAAATTATTTGCTTACACTTATTCATGCATAAGTACTTAGTAAAAAAATATCATATACCATTGGTACAGTGGAAAATAATTTGTTCAGGGTAACTAAACAGCACAGTAGCGACACCAGAATACCTGTATCAACTGTTCAACAGCAACAACAGCAGGCTTTCAGTCTCCACCTGTGATGCTGTGTTTTGAGTAAAAGGATATTGTACGCTGTATTTTATTTTTTAGGTGCAAAGAAACATCAGAAGCAGTTGAGGGACCAGGAAGTGGGTTCTCTAGTGATGAGGAGGCATTCTGCTGGATGGCTTTTAAAAATATTCCCTCCAGAGTCATCTGCCTCTTTAAGAATGTTTTTTGTCTCAGAGGTTTCTCTTTGATTTTATAAAATGACATGATTTCTTGGTCTGTTATGAATGTACACTGCTCTATTCCTTCAATAAAACAATCAGACATTTCACCATATTGTCTATAGGCACTTTTTCTGCAATTTTTGACAATGTCATCTTCATCATTTCCATGATCATGATCACCTTGATTCAATAAATGTACAACTGAAGCCACATTATTGATGTTAAAAACTTCTTCAATAGCCACTTCTTCCACCTTAATGGTGG
The DNA here is from genome assembly GCF_000001405.40 of Homo sapiens. NCBI lineage: Eukaryota > Metazoa > Chordata > Mammalia > Primates > Hominidae > Homo > Homo sapiens. Next base: position 28,012,369 of record NC_000023.11, on the reverse strand, counting down.
ACTGTGGACTCTGAAGGTATACTTTTTGCATATGTAAGGAAGTCAGACATCACTTTTTAAAATTTGATATTTGGAATCCTTTGAAGTCACCACCTTGTTCATCACCATTACTGAACATAGTCGCAGGCTAGAATAAAAACAACTGTGTTTTTAGTCACTGTATTAAAAGCATTAGCAACAGCATATAAGGCATTCTTCATGCTAAATTCCTTTTGAAAAATCTTTCACACCCTCACTTCTGTTCAGTGCTGCTAGCATGCTGTTCAAGAAAGTGTTTTTATATTTACCCTTCATTGATCTAAAGATACCCTGATCACATGGCTGAGTTAATAAAGTCACATTTGTGGGAAAGTACATGACATAATTTTTCATAAGAATTTCAGCTGGAAGATAAGCAGAATAATTGTCAAGGAATAACAACATCTTGCAATTGACACGCAGTCCAGCTTTGCGGCAGGGAGCATGAGATGCTGGTAGAAAATGTTTATGAAACCAATCAGAAAATATTTCCCTGGTAATCTATGCCTGTTTGTTAGTATGATAATGGATAGGTAAGAAATTAATTTCTTGAAAACAGCGAGGATGCAAGCTTTTGCCAACGACAGCACGCTTACACGTAGGTGTGCCTGCTGCATCAGCACATCTCAGCACAGTTACTCTATCCTTGGCATCCTTAATTCCTATGCTGTCTGTCTCATCAGCTGTAGCCAGTGTCTTTCTAGGGCAGTAATGCCCCAACGATAATGTTTCATCAGCATTATAGACTTGTTCTGGTGTTGTATTTTCTTCAGCTATAACCTTAGCAAACTCATCAATGAATTTCTCTGCTGCTTTGTGATCGGCAGATGCCTTATCATCCCACATTTAAAAAATATAATGCTGTGTATATCTTAAATGTCTGCAACAAGCCTGTTGAATATTCACTGTTCCCTTCAATTTTCAGTTCATTGTAGATCTTTGCTTGTTTCATAATTGGCATACTGTTAAAGTGGCTCATGTTCACTGCAACACTGACAGATGCACTCTTTCAGTACATGATCAGGATCTTCATTATTAGCTTTATGCAGTGTTTTTCTATTTTTAATTAACTTCTGTTCATCACTCTCAGCACAGAACTTCAATATTTTATTTTTCTGTTTTTCAGGTTATATAAGGTGGTCATTTCAACACCATATTCTTCTGTAAGTCATTTCACACACTGCTGTCCAGTTTCTCCAACAGCTTGACTTTCTGTGACATATATAAACATAAATGCTTCCTCTTTTTCTTATCACTGTTACCCACAGGGGTGTCTGCAGGCCTTTTTGACACTTTCAATAATATATTTACACCACAGTACAGAGAATGCACAGTGAAGAGTGCACGTAGGTTTTAGCCCTGTGCCTGGCATCATGGAGAAACTGCTGTTGTTGAGTCTGGCCTGCATACATGCCATTTCATTAAACTTCTTGGGCGTGCTTGAGGAGGGAACTCTGGATATACCCAGAAAAGATATATTGCAACCGAGGGGGGCTGAGGAATTATGTTTTTCCATTAGAGATGCTAAAGAAAGTGTATATCGTGCGTATGCATTTTGCTTATAACACTCACATGAGGTCCAGTATGGAATTTTCCACTTGTGGTGTCATGTTGGCACTCAAAAAGTTTTGGATTTGAGAGCATTTCAGATTTTGGATTTTGTGCTTAGGAACACTCAAACTGTATTTTAATTATAATTCTGCCAACATTTTTTAATCCAGAGGCTTGTCATCTTTGTTGTTTAAACAATTTTTGAGCTTGAGAAAGGGAGGATTGTATTTTTCTCCTCACTAAGTTGGTGTATTCTATTTTTGGTTGTTAAAATAGTCGTGGCCTTGGGGTTTTTAATTGGTAAACCACCTAAATGTATGTTATCTGTGTATATATACACACAAACACACAGAGAACTAGAAGTTTACTTTAAACTGTAAACTGCTTTGATTATGGATACATTTGTGTTCTTTGCTTCTTGTATTTTCAGTTTTCTACAGTACACATATTAACTTTAAAAAGCCGGAAAAATAAATACTATTTGTTAAAAATTCAGTAGGTATAGTTCTTTTTTACTTCTCACATCTGCTGTTCTTGAAGAGAAATAGTAGTTTGTCTTAGCATTTACCCCCAACTTAATGGCCCAGTTTTTCTCTGACTGCTTATAGGACTTTTGGTCATTTCACTAGGATATATGTTAGCACTGATATTCTTTATGAATTGTCTCAGTACACAGTAAGCTCTTTCAGATTCAATATTGGGTCTTCTTTCATTATAGAAAAACTTACATTTTTTAAACACTTATTTTCTGTTCCAGGTATTTTTTTTAACAGACCAGCCACTATACTTGCTCTTTACTCTCTCCATAACTTTACCAGTACTCACTTCTAAGCCACTGATTCACATCTTTGCAACATTGTTTTTGCACTTCTCTAGTTTGTGTGCATTTTAGATTTTTGTGTGTTTTATCTTCTGTTTAATTCCTTAACTCTAGAAGTTTTCTTTTTATTTCATCCTGTTTTTATACCATCTTGTAATTCATAACCTTGTTCTCCTAGATGAAGCTTTCTTTTTAATTTGCTTGAAACTATGAAGGGTTGTCTAAATTGTTTTTGTTACCTTTTTTTTAAGAAGAATACTTCTAAGGTATGCTCCACTTCTCTCTCTTTTGCCAGACTCCCTTCCTTCCTTCCTTCTCTATTCTTCCTCTCTCTCTTCCTCCACTTTGTCCTCCTCTCTTCTCCTCCTTTTATAATTTTACATAATTCTCAGTTTGTTCTGTTTCTTCTATTATTGCTGAATCAGTGTGTGAATAACATTTAAAAAAAAATTGCATGTGATATGGTTTGGCTCTGTGTTCCCACCCAAATCTCATTTCAAGTTGTAATCCCCATGTGTTGAGGGAGGGACCTAGTGGGAGGTGATTGGATCTTGGGGGCAGTTTCTCCCATGCTGTTCTCGTGATAGTGAGGAAGTTCTCAGAGATCTAATGGTTTAAAAGTGGCAGTTTCCCCTGTGCACTCTCTCTCTCTCCTGCCTCCATGTAAGACGTGCCTTGCTTCCCCTTTGGCTTCTATCATGATTGTAAGTTTCCTGAAGCCTACTCAGCCATGTGGAACTGTGAGTTAATTAAGCCTCTTTTCTTTATAAATTACCCAGTCTCAGGAGTTCTTTATAGCAGTGTGAAAATGGACTAACACAGATAACTGGTGCTGGGAGTGGGGCACTGCTATAAAAATAACCTGAAAATGTGGAAACAACTTTGGAACTGAATAACAGACAGAGGTTGGAAAAGTTTGGAGGGTTCAGAAGAAGACAGGAAGATGTGGGAAAGTTTAGAACTTCCTAGAGACTTGTTGATTGGTTTTGACCAAAATGCTGACAGTGATATGGACAATGAAGTCTAGGCTGAGGTGGTCTCAGATGGAGATGAGGAACTCATTAAGAACTGGAGTTAAGGTCACTCTTGCTATGCTTTAGCAAAGAGACTGGCAGCATGTTGCCCCACTCTAGAGATCTGTGGAACTTTGAACTTGAGAGAGGTGATTTAGGGTATATGGCAGAAGAAATTTCTAAGCAGCAAAGCATTCAAGAGGTGACCTGGCTTATTCTGAAAGCATTCATTTATATGTATTCACAAAGAGGAGTTTTGAAATTGGAACTTATGTTTAAAAGGGAAGCAGAGCATAAAGGTTTGGAAAATTTGTGGCCTGACCATGGGGTAGAAAAGAAAAACCCATTTTCTGGGGAGAAATTCAAGCCAGCTGCAGAAATTTAGATAAGTAATGAGGAGCCAAATGTTAATAACCAAGACAATGGGGGAAATGCCTCTAGGGCATGTCAGAGATCTTTGCAGCAGTCCCTCCCATCACAGGTCTGGAGGCCTAGGAGGAAAACATGGTTTTGTGGGCTGGGCCCAGGGCCATGCTGCTCTCTGCAGCCCCAGGACATGGCACCCTGCATCCCAGCTCCCCCATCTCCAGCACTGGCTAAAAGGGGCCAAGGTACAGCTTAGGCTATTGCTTTAGAAGGTGCAAGCCCCTAGCCTTGGCAGCTTCCATGTGGTTTTGGGCCTGCAGGTGTGCAGAAGACAAGATTTGAGGTTTGGGAACCTCCACCTAGATTTCAGAGGATGTATGGAAACACCTGGACATCCAGGCAGAAGTCTGCAGCATGAGCAGAAACCTCATGGAGAACCTCTGCTAGGGCATCACAAAGAGGAAATGTGGGGTTGGAGTCCCCACGCAGAGTCCCCACTGGGGCACTGCCTAGTGGAGTTGTGAGAAGAGGGCCTCTGTCTTCCAGACCCCAGAAAGGCAGATCCACCAACAGCTTGCACTATGTGCCTGGAAAAGCTGCAGGCACTCAATGGCAGCCCATTGAAAGCAGCTGCAGGGGCTGTACCCTACAGAGCCACAGGAGCAGAGCTGCCCAAGGCCATGGGAGCCCATCCCTTGCATCACCACGGCCCTGGATGACATGGAGTCAAAAGGAGATTATTTTGAAACTTTAAGATTTAATGAGTGCCCTGCCGAGTTTTGGACTTGCATGGGGCCTGTAGCCATTTTGTTTTGGCCAATTTCTCCATTTTGGAATGGGAACATTTACCCAATGCCTGCACCCTATTGTATCCTGGAAGTAACTAACTTGTCTTTTATTTTACAGGCTCATAATCAGAAGGGACTTGCCTTATCTCAGATGAGACTTGTAACCTGGACTTTAGAGTTAATGCTTGAATGAGTTAAGACTTTGGGGGACTGTTGGAAAGGCATGATTTGTTTTGAAAAGTGAAACTGACATGAGATTTGGGAGGGGCCAAGGGCCGAACGATATGGTTTGGCTCTCTGTCCCCACTCAAAATCTTATCTTGAATTAAATCCCCGCATGTCGAGAGAGGGACCTAGTGGGAGATGATTGGATCATGTGGGTGGATTTCCCCATGCTGTTCTCATGACAGTAAAGGAGTTATCAGGAGATCTGATGATTTAAAAGTGGCAGTTTCCCCTGTTGTCTCTCTCTCTCCTTCTACCTTGTGAAGAAGGTGCTTGCTTCCCCTTCACCATCAACCATGATTGTAAATTTCCTGAGGACTCCCCAGCCATTTAGAACTGTGAGTCAATTAAACCTCTTGTCTTTATAAATGACCCAGTCTCAGTTATTCTTTATAGCAGTGTGAAAATGGACTAATACAGCATGTATACAGATATTTTTAAATGCTAGATGGGAGAAATCTCTCTGGACTTTCTCCTTGCACCAAAATGATATAATCAAATTCAGTTTGGCTTTCTTCACTAGCTACTTGGACACTATGAATTTTCTTCTTTGATATGAGCTGAAGAGCTGAAAATAGATGGATAAAAAATGTTATGGATTGGTTGAACTTCTAATGCAAGCTTAGACTATTTCTTTAAGTCATTTCACACATTATATCTTTTCACTGCACTAGGTTCTATGAGGAGACATTCTGCCTAGTTTCTATGAGGGGGTATCCCCATACCTAAAATAGACTTTTTATATTTGGATATATTAGTAAATGTTTTTCTTTCTTGTATGCTTATTTATTCTATATCATTCTATTTAGAAGTGGAGCCCAGAATTTCTTTGTCAATACAATCAAAATTGTTAAAAGATATTGTCTAAGCTTGGAATTTAAATTTTGACTTCCTTCTTTAGTTTAGAGCTGATTACATACTCTCTTATTTTAACTTCTTTTTATTCCCTTCAGTTAGTTTTCAAGAAAAAGTTTTTTTACCTTCATGGACAGCACCACTTATATATTTGCCATCATATGTTACTATATGCATTGTAATAAGAACTATATTTATAAAATGCTTACAATATGTGTCATGCACAGATCTCTGCATAATTCTGTTTTAGACAATGGATAACTTCATTTTTCAAAGGAGGAAATTGCTACTCAGAGATAATAAAAAAGTATCCTTGTCCACCCACTGACAGATTTTTATTCCAGATTTGTCTACTTACGGCTGGTGAGATTTGTTTGTTTCTGTTTGGTTTGCATGATTATTTCTATGGTGTGCTACCTTTAGCCAGAAACAGAGATACAAAAGTGTAATCTTTACTTGACTTTATCGTTATGGTCCAAAGGCCATGTATAAAATCCTCAATAATATCAGTTCATCTATGGTTTATTTTGATAAGCTTGCTAATACACGTGGATTATACCTGTTCACTATATCTACTCTATGCTTTAAATGATCATTGGATTCTTGAGGGCAAGCATGTCTCCCTATAGAACTTAGTACAGTGCTTCACATCTGAGTCTGTTGAAGTATAATATTATTGAACTGAGATGAAAACTTCAGAATGAATTCTTGGTGATGCACTGAGGCAGGCATTTTCGCTGCATCATCAGCCACATAAAGACAAGAACAAATAAAGATAGCTACAAAAATACAAGAACAATTTTACCTCCATGTCTTAATTTTATGTGAATACATAACTCTATAGTTTTAATTAATTGAAACATATTAAAATAAATATGAAGTAGTTATGAAATGCATAAGATAAATATGGAAAGTTTGGTTTAGGGTCTACTAATTAAGCTCAATTTCTCTTCTTCCTAGTGGAAAACTGTAAAATAAACAATTTATCCATTAGCAAAGACCTGCCTTAATTTTTAGCCTGAATTGTGAAAAGGCAGTATGAGCCTTTAATTCTGTCATTTGGACAATAGTAACATATTCCTTGGTCTACATGAAAATGGTTAAGGAATACCCTATTGAAACAAAAACATTGTAGTGCCTCTTAATATCTAATACTACAATTTCTCCTTCTATGGGTATTTTGAACATTTGTTAAATGTATTTCTGCTGATTTTTATTTAGTACCATTTGATATTAAATAATAGTGTTTCATCAAAATCTCAAAAATCACTACTAAAAAACTTACTCATGTAACCAAATACCAGCTATCCCCCCAAAACCTATGGAAATACAAAATTTAAAAAAAATTTAAAAAGAATTCAGCCATCGACAACAACAAAAAATTGGTGTTTCAAATTTTTTAAAAATTCACACTTATCTTTCAGTTAAATTAAGCCAGATTTCTTTTTATTTATTATGGAGAAACTAAGTGTTTTCTTACTCTGTTGCAATTCAGAAATTCTGATTAGCATTTATGAGTGAAATACAAAATATCTTCTCAAAAATTAATTTACCTATTAAGATAGCTTTGGATTGGTGGGTGAGAACAGTAACACACCCTAATAACATTCTCACAGTGGGTGTAGATCTGGAAAAAAAAACTACATTGTTATCAACAATAGTAACTCTCTATGATGTGCAGTTCAACAAAATCATCCTTAGTATGAATGCTGTGGATCTGAGAATTAAGAATATAAAAAGTGTGTTTAAAAGTCCATGATTGACATATTGGCTAGGTGCAGTGGCTCACACCTGTAATTCTAGCACTTTGGGATGCCCAGGCAGGCAGATCACAAGGTCAGGATTTCAAGACCAGCCTGGTCAACATGGGGAAACTCCATCTCTACTAAAAATACAAAAATTAGCTGGGCGTGGTGGCGGTCGCCTGTAATTCCAGCTACTCTGGAGGGTGAAGCAGGAAAATTGCTTAAACCTCGGGGGCAGAGGTTGAAGTGAGCCGAGATCATGCCACTGCACTCCAGCCGCGGCGACAGAGCAAGACTCCGTCTCAGGAAAAACAAAAAAAATTAATAAATGACTGACACATGAAAAATGAAATGCCAACTAATCTTTTTTCTTTGTAACCTTGTCAATTACTCTCCCGTTATCACAGTAGTCTGTGCATATTCAATAACTGGAATTTTAAAAATATCATATATGATAATTTAATTATAATTTTTCCAGTTTATATTTACCTATTTTGACTTCTGTATGAATAATCCATTCAGAATGTTAAACAGAGCTATTTTAGTCTCATTTGTGTCTGAAGCTACAAGAAAATAAGAACAAATAACCTCCTATTCTGAAGCATGAGAAAACCATCTATGTAGGGCTTGTAAAGAAGAGTGTGAAACACAAGTTTTAAAATGCTACTTGCTCACCGACTTCAGCATATATACACGGGTTAAGGTTGCAGAAACAGGGGTAATAGAGAAAGAATTTCATGGAGAAAGTTGAGAGGCATTTTATCTTCCCCTTAATGGCAGGAATGAATCTCTGGAGCTCAAATTACCAATGGGAGTCAAATAGTTGTGGAGGAGAAGGCTACAGTGTAAACTGCATCAGGGACAATAAACTCCTTTCCTTCTCCCTCCCTGGAAATCCTCATAGATTTTTGCTGATGACTCTGTTTCTCATTGTTCATAGAGTCAGGATTTAAGTTATTTTATACTATCTTAAATGAAAGGATAACACCTAAAACAAGGTGTTATTTCATAGGAGCAGGTACATCTGTTAAATTTAAGAAATTGGAGATTAAACATTAAATCTCTTATTTGGCAGCCTAATGTAATAAACCTTTAAAAAGAAAAAAAAGTTACTATTATATTTTTCACCGAGACACTGGTGGATCCTCATAACCCAAAATGGTCATATTGTACTTGACCAAGTAAGTGCCCACAGTTGCCCATTTCTTACCCTCCACTTTGTCTTGACCAAATTTTAGTTAGGCTTCTCTCTTTCCTACAGGACCCTGAACTCTGATTGCCCTAAAGCCTTAGCAAACACTAAAAAATGAAGTGTGCCCCCGTTGTCAGCTTATCCTGGGAATCAGCTGACCATAGCAAGGTACTTTTCCAGGCAAGCCACATTGATCATTTCCCCTTGTTTGTCCAGCTTCCCTTTAAAAGATTGTGCTTATCACTGCTTGCCCCTCCTTTATACTATAGAAGAAAAACCTTCGGTTTGATTCTGAGACACAGATTTCCTAGATTACAGTGTTCTCCCTTTTGCAATAGTATTTCCTTCTAAATAAAGTCTCTCTTATCTAAGTCTGGTTTTATTGGAGATACTTGATGCACCTGAAAGTGTTTGTGTGGGGAGAATGGAAACGTATGTTCATGTTGGAGGTAACAGAAACCCAATGCAAAATACTTTAATCAAAAAGGTTAATTTATCAGTGCTTGGAACTAAGAGTTTCAGAGGTGCTTTTGGCTTTGAGTAGAGGAAATATTCACAAGATCAAATTCCCTTATCATGATATTTTCTTTCTCCATGTTTTGGCTTGGCTTTCCTCTTTATTTCTGCAGAAAGCTCTTCCCATACAGAGATAAAAATGACCACCAGCACCTTCCTGAAGGAGTCTCAAATAAAGACTTCCAAAGTGGAGCAACAAGAAAGCTTTTATTGCCTGGTGGTAGGAGAGCCAGTCTTAAATGAGATTGCTGTGCCTTCTAGCAGTTAGCTGAGTGTTTATGTGTTATAAGCACTCAGGTGTTTAGGAGAAAGGGAATAAAAAACTATGTGATATATGGGGCAAAACAAATGGACAGTTGTTAATTTTCCGAGGTAGATGTTCTACAGATAAGCAATTCTGAGAAAGTACATACTCCTGTTCAAATTTAGCGAAGAAAATGGACAGTTTAAGAAAGTCTAGTTTTGTGTTTAGCAGGAAGACCTATTGCTTTAGGCTAGGAGCTTGCAACTGTTAGTGAAGAGGTAGAACAAAATGTTAACCCTTTATAACCTCTAGGCCTAAATGGCCTCATTAATCAAATCAGTACACCTTTTTCCAGGTAGCTTCATCAAAAGTTCTGTGGATGTAGGCTGTCATTGGCCCACCTTGGGTCAAGTACTCTTCCCTTAACCAATACCTGTAAACTGAGAGATACAGAAATCTCATCAATCAGACCTAAGCCAAGTGGCCATCCACAGGGAGGGAGACAGAGTCAGCCCTACCTGAATCAAAATCTCAGAATGGGCAAGAGGTTACATTCTATTAACAACCTAGATGCCTGCTGAGAAAGAAAAAAGCATCCCTAACAGGTGTCATATGGTAGCTGGCTATGGTCTTCTCTTGATGAACATGAACTCACAGAAGACTAACATCAATTGAGTTCAGTTTGTATCCACAATGGAGTGAGACAAAAACATGACCACTCTGTAATCATGCCGGAGCTCAGATAGAAACAAGAACTCTGCAAACAAACAAAAAAATATGCACGGGTATGTTCATTGCAGCGCTATTCACAGTAGTAAAGACATAGAATCAACTTAAATGCGCATCAACGGTAGACTGGATAAAGAAAATATGGTACATATTTTCCTTATGGAATACTTCTTTTTTCTTTCTGGAATACCGCATTGCCATGAAAAAGAACAATATTATGTCCTTTGCAGCAACATGGATGGAGCTGGAAGCAATTATTCTAAGTGGACTAACATAGGAACAGAAAACCAAATACTGCATGTTCTCACTATAAGTGGGAGCTAAACATTGAGCACATATGGACACAAAGAAGCTAACAGCGGACATGGGGACTTACTTGAGGGTGGAGGGAGGGAGGAGGGTGAGGATCGAAAAACTACCTTATCAGATACTATGCTTATCATCTGGGTGGCAAAATAATCTGTACACCAAACCCCTACAATATGCAACTTACCTATATATGTACACCTGAATGTATATGCACATGTACACCTGAACCTAAAAGAAAAGTTTTTAAAAATTGTCCAAACTTATCCCTCTCCCAGCTTATAAGAATGGCTGCTGCTTTTTTACCCATTACAGTCCCAGTTCATCTTTCACGCCTCTTGGATAAAAATTATTAAGGTACCTGTCACCAAATTGCCTCAGATTTCTGACAGCACCCAATCCAGGTAAAATGTCTGCTTCTTTGAAAATTTACCAAAAGCACCTCAGGCCCTAATCTTATGATAAGCTCCTCCTACTAGCCTTTTGTAGACATGCCACCTTGTTGGGCAGTTTTCCCTGTTACAGCAAGTAATAACTCCAGGTGTGTTTCCTTATGGTCTTTGGCTAAAAAGCATCAAGACTATTACACTCCTGACTTAAGAAATCTTGATTTCTCCTCAATGACCACTGCCTTTGTGCATGGAAAAACCTAAAAAAGCATATATTTATACTGAATAAGAACAAGGAGGCTTGGGGTGACAGAACACACATAGCCTCATATTCAGGACAGCATGATGATGCTACTGATATTCAGCTTCGATTGTTATTTTCTTCAGCATCGAATAATATAGTTTCCAAAGCAATCCAGTACTCTCATTGAGACAGGGACTTAAATGATGAAGCATTGCTTGAGGTTACATCAGAATAAGATAAAGTGTTGGTAAGCAAAATTATTTTTCAATGCTTTTGGAAATCCATTTTCAAAAGGACAATTATTGCTTTGCATTTTCAAAGGCCATGCTAGAAAAAGTAATAAACAGGTAATTTTCCTTAAAATGTTAACATTTTGTTTACCAACCCATCTTCGCTTTGTCAGAAGGCACATCTACCTAGAGGCATCGACTGTTGTCCTGCTGCTTCTCAGATATTCCAGACATTCCGCAGGCTGAACAGCACTCCATTCCCATGATATTTCCTTTCATCTCTCCTGGCACCTCTTCCTTCAGGGTTCTCTGCTAAGGGGAGATGCAAATTTAAGCAGAAAGGTTAATGGCTGTTAATAGCTAAATGTGTTTCCTTTTTAGAGGTAAAATACTATCACAAAAAAAAATGGCCTCTGTTGTGGATGGCCTGAGTTTTAATTCTTGTACTTTTGGGTACAGGCTTTGCGGGGCAAGTCATTTATTCTCTTAGAACCATAATATTTTGCAACTGACAAAATAATTCTGTTTCATTTAAGCACTTTCTGAGGGCCTCTGATGCTTTCAGAACCATGGATGACCACTGAGTTTACAACTATGCCACCTGAATTTGAGAATCTCACATTTGTTTTGTTCTTGCCTCACAAAATTGTTATGGAACTCAAATTAGACCATTTATATGAAGACATTTGGACAATTCTGTGTTATCATTAGGACAGCAGCATTTAAAAAATTTCCTTCATTGTGTTGAAGCACAGGAACAGGTAGGAGTGGGCATTTCAGGGAAAGAAATGGGCTAAACATGAAGAAATCTCTGGTCAGAGGTAACTTGCTTGGTGGTTTAAAGTTAATTACAAGAAAATTACTGTCCAAACTGAAGAATTGTTTTCTCTATTGTTTTATTCCCTAATATGTAAACTAAAAAGCTATTCTTTCCTTCCCGTCCATATGGAAGTGTCTTATTCTTTGCTTCTAGTCTGCAACACCATTAATGCTTTGGAGAAGGACAAATGAAATAAAGCATAACCCCATATTAGTTTCTACGCTCTGTAACAAATTATCACCAATTTAGCAGCTTAATACCACACATATTTATTATCTCACAGTTTTCATGGGTCAGAAATACAGGTTTCTTCTCAGATTCTCACAAGACGTCAATCAAGGTGTTGACTGGGCTATATTCTTGTCTGGAGGCCTGACAGGAAAAAATCTGCTTCTAAACCATTTCAGTTTGTTGGAAGAATTAATTTCCTTGCACCCGTATGACTGAGGGTCCTGAGGTTTTGCTATCTGTCAACCAGAGGCTGCCTTTAGGTTCTAGAGCAAGTTTGTCCAACCCGCGGCCCACAGGTAGCGTGAGCCCGGGACGGCTTTGAATGGGGCCCAACACAAATTTGTAAACTTTCTGAAAACATTATGAGTTTTTTTTTTTTTTTTTTTTTTTTTGCAATTTTTTAAAAGCTCATCAGCTATCATTAGTGTTAGTGTATTTTGTGTGTGGCCCAAGACAATTCTTCTTCCAATGTGGCCCAGGGAAGCCAAAAAATTGGACACACCTGTTCTAGTTCCTGCCACATAGGCTTTGTCAACACGGCCACATACTTTTACAAGTCACCTCAGGGAGGACCATCCTAGACTCATTTTAAAGGGATTCATCTGATTAGGTCAGACACATCTTGGGTACTCTCCCTTATGATTATTTCAGTATATACTGATTTGGGATCTTAATTACATCCACAAAGTCCCTTCACCTTTGCCATATTTTATGGCTAGAGCAAGTCACAGGTCCTATCCACACTCTAAGGGAGGGGATTATAAAGGGCATGAAATATCAGAGACTGGGAATCATGAGGGTCACCTTAGGGGCTGTGCACCACAGTCCTTAGAAGAAATCAAAGAGAAAAGTTTTTTTTAACAATCTAAATTCGCTCTATTCTCAAATCAAATGCAGCGTACCCTTTACTTAACTTATCTATTACAGTTCTTTTTGTTTTGTAAGCAGCTTTAGGAAATAGAACTGTATCTCCACAGGGGAGATAGGCAGTGCACGCATGCAATGGATGGAGAGTAGGAGGGCTAGTTTGATGATATTAGCGATAATAATACTTAACTATTAACTATATGTTATGGATTGTTTTAAGTATTTCACATAAATTTTCTCACTTAATCTTCACAGCAATCCTCTGCAGTAGTTTATCTTATTATGCAGAGAAAAAATGAGATCATCTGGAAAATCAACATAGGAATGCCTAGTAATCTGGAAGATCAACTCAGGAATGCCTAGTAATATCTGTGCCCTTGGTGCTTAATGTGGTATGTAAGTGGTTGTTCAATCCAGATTTGTTGAGCTAATATGCTGAAATATTCATAATCAACATTTGGAATCTACAATACTTACATAGTCATTAAACTAAAGGTTCTTGGCAACTTGAAATCAATAAAAAACAAGCTGGTTGTTAGGTTTTCTAGGATTCTGAACTTGACTCTCCTTTTTCACTTGTTGAGAACTTGAGATAATCACCTCAAATTCCCAGATTCCCATAACCTTTCCTTTAAAAATAAGGATGTGAAGCTGGATCATCTGTAAGGTTGTGTCTATATTTAGGTAAAACACATTCAAAATGCATGGGGAATTTTTCACACAGAGTCTGTCTAATAACTAAAAAAATTTCCAAATACATTAACTATATATATTTACAGTAGAAATAATGCTAAGCGAATGGAGTTTATATTTGAACAAGAGTTTTGCTACTAGAGAGACCTAAGTTTGCATTCCAGCCCCAAAACTTATTAGCTGCAAGTAACTTTGCCTCTTCAAACCTAAATCTCCTCCCCTTTGAAACTGAAAGAAAAGAACTACCTTGCCAACCTTTTTTGGGATTCAATTAAAATAACTTACATAAAGCAATTAGTGTAATATCTGGTGCAGTGATGTTGCTCACTTTCTCTTCTCATTTGAAAAAAATAAAGAAATAAAAGAACAATCTAAAAATACCACCAAATGAATTTTATCTTCACATAGCAATTCAAACTTTGAAAACATAAACTTCTGAAATTTTCATTTGGATGTTTGTAAACATATAACACCCCACAGTAGATGTGTGTGTGTGTGTGTGTGTGTGTGTGTGTGTGTAAAGATATTGTGTGAATAAAGAAGTTCCCTTGTTAGCCGAATGAATCTTATAAGTCGGAAGACTTGAATATAAAATGTTTCCCTTGGTGGTTATAAAGGAAAGTCATGTGTGCATTTCTGAATGTTCCATTACACACACTTTAATTGCAGTGGTATTTTAATTGCACAGTGATTGCAGTTTTATAAGCAAGACTTATAAAAATAGTCTATGCTATACTATATTGAATGAAGCATTCCAGCATTTAAGAAGATGATATAAATAAGGGTTGTAAACTACATTAAGCTCTTTTTATAAGGTGATTGCTCTTTAATTCCAACTTCACTGCCCACAGGCTGAAAACTGTTGGAGAATGAACACTGTAATTGACTAGCATGGGAGATTTTTAACGCTTACTTTTAGTGTTGAGGGAAATCAGTTTTTGCACATCTTCTGAACTGAGCTAAAATCTCTATCTAGAGCATTCCTATTAACTGTCCATCTTATCAACTTGCTTTTATATGTTTCTTTCTAATTTCTTTGTGGGATACCCTTGCTCACATAATCAAAAATAAACATGGATATGTTATGCTTTTAAGATCAGATATGGTTTCTTTAATCACTCTTTTGTGACTATTACAGGTATTAAGAAAACACATGGTTGAAAGATTATCTTTTTAGAAGTCCTATGCCCACAATATCTGCCTCAGTCTTTTCCCATGTCCCTTTGTTATTAATTCCTTTTCCATTTCTGGCCCAAAATATATTCAGAGAAATTGAAATTGCTATGAATAACACACTGACACAGACAGATTTGTTTAAAGAAATTGAAAAGCCTGAAGGACACAGTAGCTGTTTTTCATCTGTGGTCGCTCTACACAGGACCACTTTATAAATGAGCAGCTTGCATTTATGAGACTCTAGCCATCAGAATAGTTCAGGATTGAACCAGCTTTGCTGAAACATAATACAACTAGTTGTTGGAACTATTTTGCTTCTGAATCTACAGAATTAACTAAATCTGCTTCCAATGTCCTACTTAGCACGTATACTAGAAATTCTTTGGCTTCTAACTTGAGAGTACTGTTTGTACATGTTTTAAGTTTGTTTTCTCCTGTCCTGCAATGTGAATTGAAAAAGCATAGCATGAACAAATGTGTTTCTATTAGTTTCCCAATCTTATGAAATAAAGAAGTTGGGAATTAACTGGCTTTTAGGGCTTTTTTTGAGTTATAATCTATGATTTTATCTTTCTAGGATCCCATATTTTTTCATCAGATAGTTGAAAACAATTGATACCTTTTATTTCTTTTCTTATTTTCTCCACGGGCCAAATTATCTATAACATGCTTACTTGATTAGTTAATGAGATTGGAAATAGATACATAAAATTGTATCACTTCTTTCCTTGAAAACAATTGACAACAAAAATCATGGAAAAATAAAGAAGTAAAAAATCAAATGATGAAACAAATAAACAAAAGAAATCATCAAGTCCTCAATGAATTAGAGTAAAATTTGGACCAAACCAGATAAAATCCTCAAAGAGGTTATTTGCCTTTTCAGTCATCAGGCATCTAACTTGCAGAGCCGTTCAGAAGTTGGTGATCTTCTAAACTGGCGATCTATCCACTGAACCATAACTACATGGACTTTAGACAAGTTATAGACGTGAGGCAGAACTCACATGATGCCAAGAAATGTCAGGGAAAGGTAATAATCAAATTAGACAGACATGTCATCATGAGAGAAAGCAGATTTTCATCATGGCTGAGGATTTAGCTCTATAGTTGCTGATCTTGGTTAGCTGAAGAGTGGTGGGAGAAAAATCACCATATAGAGACTCACTGAAGGGCTGGATTCACTGAGAGTCAGGCCTCCTCACAACTGGTAAGTGGAAATACTCTCAGCATTGAGTGTCAGAGACAAAGAATTTTAATTCTGTTGCTCTAAACCTAAGATGCTTACTTTCTCAACTCATCTCCTGGGTACTTCTCCCTCATTGTATTTAATTAAAGCTTGGTTGTAGTAGATATGTTTGATTGGGACTTAATACTCATTTCAATATCATTTTAGTTTGTTCTTCTGTGCTTCAGAGTTTAGAAAGCTAAAAGCCCTATTTTCTAGCTCCCTTGTAGCTAGGGACGTGAAACTTATGTACGTTCTGCCAATTAGATGCATTCATATGAATTTTGGAATGAGGAAGTGTTGTTTCTATTTTTTCTGCTGTCAAGCTAGGTCATGTTCCCTCACACTCCCCCGCAACATTCAGTGTTAGTTCCTAGCATTCAGGGTGTCAAGAGGCAGAATATGGGACATCTATTTTGTGCTGGTGTGCATCTGCATAGGATAGCATGGCTATAGGGTCAGGAACTGAAGCCACTTAATGACCAATGGATTAAAGCTACAATGATATGTACTTGAAGTCAACGTAAAAGAAGAGCTAGTAACTCCACTGGAAGATCAGTTCTGTGTTGCTTATCATGGAATAATGCCTGTCAGACCATTCCTTTAGCTCTTCTAATTTGCTTTAAATTTGTTCTTCTTAAATTAATTGGAGGCATTTCTGTTCCATATAACTGAAATCTGCTTGGACTGTTGACCCAAAGGCATTTACTTATTCAAAGATGAATTATAACTAGTATAGTTATAATTATAATATAGTTATAATTATATAATTATATATTTTATAATATAGTTATAATTATATATTTATATATTTTATAATATAGTTATAATTATATAATTATATTAGATAATATATAATATAGTTATTAATAACTATATTATTAAAGTTAATATATAATATAATATATATAATATAATTATTAGAATAACTAGAATTATACAATGGTTATAAAATTACTGAAGACAGGGGTCAGCAGGCTTTTTCTGTAAAGGACCAGATGGTAAATATTTTTGGCTTACTGGGCCATACAGTCCTTATTTCAACATTAATTTTATATAATTATAATATAGTTATAACTAATATAGTTCATAAATGCCCTTATTGTTTAAAAGTACTGCAAAAGTACTGCAAATAAATAAAAAGTTCAAAACATTAAAAATAAAAGACAAGGCCGGGTACAGTAGCTCACACCTGTAATCCCTACACTCTGGGAGACCAAGGCGGGCAGATCACCTGAGGTTGGGAGTTCGAGACCAGCTTGACCAACATGGAGAAACCCTGTCTCTACTAAAAATACAAAATTAGCTGGGCGTGGTGACACAAGCCTGTAATCCCAGCTACTCGGGAGGCTGAGGCGAGAGAATCACTTGAACCTGGGAGGCAGAGGTTGCAGTGAGCTGAGATCATGCCATTGCACTCCAGCCTGGGCAATAAGAGCAAAAGTCTCTCTCTAAAAAAAAAAAAAAAAAAAAAAAAAAAGACAAAAACAATTTTAGAAAACAGTTACACACTGAATAACTACGCATTTTAAAGAAATCTACATTAAATCAAGGATATTAGAAAAAAAGGGGCTTCTCTGAAACAAAGGTTGAGATGCTATATAAGACTTCAAAGAAGAAAAATGAGAATAAAAGAGAAATATTAAGTTGCGGAGTGCAAAAAGAAAGAAAATTCATTGAAAGAGGATCAAATTTGGATCAATATATTAAGAATGGAAATAAACAAAAGAATGAAACGTCATTGAGTGTATTTAACTTACTTCTATTAATTCCTGTCCAATCAAGTAAATACAAATTTGAATGGCCCTCTAACATGTATACCAAAATCTGCACCCTAATATCAGTGACCATATCTTCATCTGAAATGCCTACATGACAAAATTTTACAAAATTGACTGTATGTTTGGTCACATACATTAATAAGAATAAGAAAATTATTAATTTTCTAAATATTAAAATATACCGCATTCTCTTTTAATGTAATAAAGCAATTTATTAATAATAAGAAAAACCACTATGTCTTACGCACGATATACATAAGTTTTAAACACTTTTAATTCTGTAAGAAAACAAAAATTAGAAGTCATATATAGCCAACAAATACTCATAAGCAAGCATTATATATCAGTACCAATAGAATATGGCTAAAGCAGTGTTCAATGTTCTAATAACTTAACATTTTAAATCTTAAAAACTGTGGCAGACATTGTTAGTTTCCTAACCAACATCTCCCTATTTCCTAATCACTTGCTGGCAGAAATTTCTTTCCACAATTTGGGCTTAAAATAGCAAATGCTTTGTTGGATAGAGTTAAATTTGCATGTGGAGCTGAGAACTGCTGTAGCTACCTAGAAAACATGAGTGGTGATAACTCTGATATGGCAAGAATGACAGACTAGAAAGATAGAGAATAGAAGATGATCCTTGAAAACATGAAGGAACTGCTGAATCAGCTGTGGAATCACCCTGCCTCCAGATTTGCTATGTGAGATAATAAATGCCCTTATTGTTTAAACTACACTTACGGTTATGTACTCTTTCAGCAGGAAGTGATACTACAAGCAAAAATGAAGATAAATGAATTTGGCTGGGCGTAGTGGCTCACGCCTGTAATTCCAGCACTTTGGGAGGCCGAGGCGGGGGGATCACCTGAAGTCGGGAGTTCGAGACCAGCCTGACCAACATGGAGAAACCCCGTGTCTACTAAAAATACAAAATTAGCCAGGCATGGTGGCGCATGACTGTAATCCCAGCTACTAGGGAGGCTGAGGCAGGAGAATCACTTGAACCTGGGAGGCAGAGGTTGCAGTGAGCCGAGATCGCGCCATTGCACTCCAGCCTGGGCAACAAGAGCGAAACTCCATCTCAAAATAATAATAATAATAATAAAATAAAATAAATAAATAAATACTCAATTTAAAATTTAGCAAGAGAGCAATAAAATACATATAAGGAAAGAAAATGGAGGAAACAGAAAATGGGAGCAACCTAGATGAATGTTTAGTAGACCCTAAAAGAAATACATATAATAAACAAACTGAAAGCTGGTTATTTGAGGGGGAATGGAGCAAATAATAACATAATCAACTAGCTAATTTAATTTTTAAAAAGAAAGTACAAATACATCTTGAAATAAAAATGAAAGAATAACAGTTAAGAAAAAAAGATAAGATCTTCCTCAAATAATTGCAAGGACCACAAAGTTACTTAATTGTGTATTTTAGAATATATTAATTATAGTAAGTTTATTCCAGAAGTAAACAATCTAAACATTACAATTCCATCAAGGAAATTGAGAATACTTTTAAAGAATGTGTCTCAAAAAGGTACCAAATCTTGGTAGTTTAACATAAAATTGCTAGGAAACCTTCAGGGAGTATAAATGCAATGATATTTAAACCGTAGAGTGTATAAAGAATAGGGACAGTTCCAAATTCTTTTCATCAAACCAGCATAATTTATATACTTATTATTCCTTACTCTTGTCTAATTCCATTGGCTAGTACTAATAGAACAAAGTAAAATCATTAAGATATGTATTAATATATTTCATCAAGAGAAAAAATATATATGATTCTCTCTGTAGGTGTCCAAATGGATTTCATCAAATTCAAAACCCAGTTCTAATTTGCGGAAGGGTAGGATACTTTTATACACTAGCAACATGGGAATACTTTAATATAAATATTAAAAGCCAAGTGTATGATTAATTGTGAAATGCTAGATGAAATTTTATCTAATTTAGGATTATAAAAGTATTTTTACTGTCATGACCATTATTTTGCATTGTTATTGTAGTACTAACCAATGGAATTAAGCAAGAGAATAGAATAAGAGATACATAAACTAACATGAAATAGCAAAAGTTTTATTATTTGGTAATAGATTCACATGCCTGGAGACCCAAGAAAATCAGCTTAAAATTATTAGAATAACTAGAATTATACAATGGTTATAAAATTAATGAAGGCAGGGGTCAGCAGGCTTTTTCTGTAAAGGACCAGATGGTAAAAATTTTTGGCTTACTGGGCCATACAGTCCTTATTTCAACATTAATTTTGTTTTTATAGCATTGAAAGTAGCCATAGATAATACACAATCAAATGGGCATAGAGGTTTTCCAATAAAGCTTTAGTCGCAAGCATATAAAGTGGACTGGATATGACCTGATAGCCTTAGGTTGCCGATCCTTGAATAGGTATAAGATCTTTGATTTGAACAGCACCCAGTTAAAAAATGTAATGAAATAAAACAATCTCACTTATAATAAGGAGAGAAAATAAATTAAATTTTAGAAATGTATAAGATTTGTATGAAAAGATTTGAAAGTTCAATTGAAGTAAGACTATTAGAAGCCTAAGATTGCTGTTAGCCTTGAAGACTAAATATATAAATATATCTTTTCTCCACAAGTTAATGTAGAAATTTAATATGACCCCTATAAAATAAACAATGTAATTATTTGTCATACGTTTAAATTTCATGTGAAATAAGAAAACTGAACAAATTACAGTTATTAAACTATATTTTCATTTGTAAAATAAAGCACAGGCAGAATAAACAAAACAGTGAGTTCAGAATGAGATTTCCAAAATATGAAAATTTAGCATGTATTAAATGTGGCATTTCAGATCAAGTAATTAATCAAAAACAATGTTTGAGGACAACTGGAGTGAAAACAGAAGTCATTAAAAAAATCTATTTAATAATTTTACACTGAGCAAGAAAGAAGCCAAAAAACTAGAAGCTCTAAAATAATTGACAAATCTGTTTAAACAACCAAAATAGCTGTGTCAATGATGCTTCTGCTGCTGCCGATAGTTGCAGATTGCTTAATATGTGCTAGTTGTTATTCTAAAAATTTAAATGGATTAGCTGCTTAAATCCTTCCAAAGACAAAATACTAGCCCTACCTCAGACAGAGGTTTTACAGATAGGGATCTGGCACAGAGAAGTCAGCTAGTAAATAGTGGAGGAATTACATTTTCTTTATGGCAAAGTAGAACATACACAGTTATCAAAATACAAATAAAACATGCAAAAATATTAGCCAGCTACATGGAGAAGGGGTTATTTCATTGACATATGATAAGTTATTTTATACTAATAATAAAAATCTACAAAACAATAAAAAATGGGCAGATGTAATAATGTACACTTTATAAAGAAAATAATGTGCAACGTATGAGCAGACATGTTAGAAGGTTCAAATTCTAAATAGAAGAATAAAAGAATAAAAAGTTGCGGTACAGATTTTTATTATAGTAACAGAGATCTGAAAGTTTGTAATTCATTGAGGTATTTGGTGAGAAAAAAATGAAAGAAAAGAATCATTTGAAGTGCAATTTGGCAGTATTTTACTTATCCTACACATACATTTATAAACATGATAAAAACACACTAAAATATGTAAAATCTTTGCCATTTCAGCATTACTAATTAATAGCTAAATCCTGAAATGCACCTAAGGGTTGTTTTAGTCATATTTTATTTTAAAAAAATTATGATAGCTACAATTGCAATATTAGCTATTAAAACAAATATAGATCCTGTCCTTACACACTGATATTGAAGCACATAAACGATATTCTAACAAAACATAAACAAACTGCAAATACAAATGTAAAAAGTGTGTATATTACTCATTTAAGTAAATTTTTTTTTTTAAATATGGATATATGCTAGGGATATTTCCAGAAGGTTCACAAGAAATTTATGATGGCTCCTGTAAGGAAAGAGGGCTGTAAGTTTGTATACGCAACTGTGTGTGTTTAGGACCTTTTTATCATGTTTTTTCCCCAATAAAATAACTTAAAATTATGCTAAATATCCTAGGTGCAAGGATAAATACAGGTAAACATAGTAAGAAAATAGATAAAGATATACAAAAATAGTAATATAACTAACAATTACACATATGGATTTGGGCAGTGAAAAAGGACTTTTTGAAACAAAGAAACTGTTATAGAATATAGATATACCTTTTGTGTATCTACAGAGATATACTATATATATATGTGTATATATATATACACACACAATAGATATACAACATACATATATCTTTTGGCAATTTCTTTTCTGAAGAAGTAAATTTATGGAAAATCAAAACTTCTACTGATAAATAGCAATTCTGAATAAACTTTAGAGATTATTTTTCTGAAGTTTTTATATCCTAATACATACATATGTATAATTTTTCACTCATTAAAAATGTGATGAATATAGGAATAATTTCTATTTATGACAATGCCATAAAACACTGTGCTCCTATTAATGAATCTGAGGACAATTATTTGCCTGCAAAGGATTTTATTATTTTTTCTAAAATAAATTTTAACCCAGTAGATTGTCATGGTATACTCTCCCTTCACTTACTACTTTTCTTCTCTTGCCACCAGCTAGAAATGAAATATCATAAGCATACTTAACAAACATGGGATGAACACAGAATATTTTTCATTAAATAGAGGGTTAAATAATACTGCTTTGTCTTAACCTTATATTTAATTCTAGCTGTTTACACTTTAATAACATTTATAGCAATTACCACAGTTGGATTATATCTAGACTTTGCATGAGGGAATGTGTAAAATAATTTAATAGCAAGAACTTAGTCTGATTATGTTTAGAAGTTGGTGGGAATATTTTTTCTGTTCATTTTGGTTTGAGTAATGGCAAATTTAAGAGGAAAAGTTAACAATGAATAGAGGAAAAGATTCATTGTAGTAACTAAAATAAATGCAGGGGACATGATCTTGTTCCCTATTAGCATGGACATCAAAGCAAGTCATCACTGTAAAAACCAAAAGGTAAGGGAGACACCCTTTCAGGCTAGTCATGAGTATAGAGAATAGAGGATATTTAGTAAATATTAATACATGTACTTCCTAGGGATGACAATGTGCATTTAATATATTCACCACTTTATATCACATTGTTTTGCAGAGATACAGTACTTAATTATTCAAAAGGAAAAGGAGATGGTTTTTACTGTGAAAAAACTTATTTAAGGATATAGATAATATGTAATTACATACTAACAAGGAAGCACTTCAACAAATATATACATACATGCAGTTTCAGCCCAATTACTGTGATAAAATTAATTTATTGAGTACAAAGTGGTAGATCCTTGATTAAAAATATCTCCCAAAACATAAATTAAATCTTCATCAATAAAAACAAAAAAGTTATAGAGAATGTCAATTATAAAATGAATCAAACAGAACTATTTTTAACCATTAATCACTAATGAACAAATGACACAAAGAAATAACATTTGTAGAAAAAGGAGGAAGTGATGTCTCACCTTTTGTTTGTCCTGGCCCCCCGCTCACTAAACATTATACTTAATTTCATGAGAAAATGAATACATGAAGAAGCACCTGTTATTTCCATGCATGTTTTGGAAAAGAAAATAAAGCTATAATAATAGGGTACCCCCATGGAAAAAATTATCAACATTAGGTAAGTATGGTTATTGGCCCCTTTTTGCTAGTCTTTCATAAGCATAAATTCTTTCTAATCTGTAGGGAATTTAACTTTTCTTGGTATCAGTTACTAATCTCACATATTAATTAGAGGGTTCCTCCTAAGTTTCAATTCTAAGTCTTTTCCAGGTCTAACATTCTATGGTGCTCCTTGTTATCCTTTGCTTGTGCTTACAAAGTCCATAAAGGTGTGACAGAAGAAAATAAATTTGAGGATCTATTGCAGAACATCAGAGGGTCATGAAAATGGAATCTAAAAGAAAGTTTATACTTCAGTTTTTCTTTGTTATATTTCATTTCATATCTCTTCTAGGCTGTAGGAGATCAATCAGAGTGGTGGGGGAAACTATAGGGAATGGAGTAGGCCTTCTGAAAGGTCAGAAGGCTCTCCAAAGCTTTAGGGGAGAATAGCTGAAGGCAGCTGTTTTCTAACCCTGAGGCAGAGGGCGAGGAGTATGTGCAAGGAAGTAAAGGGGAAGTTATCTTGATCAGGCTTGTTTGTTTGAAGTTGTCTAGGAACTGACCTTTGAACATCCACCTGTGTGACATTCCCTGAAAGGGGAACAATAAATGTTAATTACCTGCAGGTTGTGTATGCTCCAGGCTTTCAGCATTGTGCCTGCACTGAATAAAAGCAAGCAGCTCCAGCTTCTCAGGGCTGAACTTTGGCCACTAGAGCCAGGCAGTCCCCTAGCTGCTTTTACACTGCATACTGTGTCTGAGTACTCATTTCATCCGTTGGTTGGCTAGGGTTTGTGGGACAGACTGGCACTAGGCATCACTCTCCTTTTGCTCTCTATGGTCCTCTCAGCCTTGTCTTTACTTAACCATCAGGATCTAGGTCCTTCAGATGGGTAACAAGGCTCCCTAGGTACTAGGTTACACCACTGGCTATTTCTAGAAAGAAAACAGATTCTTACTCTTTGTTACTGGAGGGATTTTAGATCCTTTAAATTTTTCAGAGAGGACAAAGCCACCTTTCTTTTTCTAATATTGTCAGCTATTCATAACATAACTGAAACGCATTATTTTATTTTTCTTTCTCTGCCTCTTTGTGATTTTTTCCTAAGGATACCACACCCCTTCAGGAATCAAGAAAAAGACAAAGGATAGAAGAGGTGAACTAGAAGGACAGTTTCATGATGCAACAGAGAATTTCATGGATGTCTCACCATATCTCTTGATTACTCACTATATTTTGAAAAGCTTTCTAATAGTACCAACCACATAAATCATGAAAACAACTGTCTCACAATATGCTTCTTCAAGAAGTTTGCAATCTAATAAGAAGGATCTACCATGATGTAGGTAAAAATAGTAAGGTAATTAAATACATTGTGTAACAAAATGAGGATAAAAGCATCTTGAGACTCTAAAGTTGATAAGATCACAATGGTTGTCATAAAAATTCTTTGACTTATATGGGAACAATATTCCATATAAGTCCCATATATTTCCGTATATTTCCCAGCTCCTCAACTAGATATCAGAAGTTTCTCAAGAGCAACAAACATCCCTTTTCTATTATCCTTCCTCACCACCTAGTAGTGTCTCCCACATAAAAGATGGAGTAAATCTGTGTCGATCAATCAAAACATGCCACTGCAGTATACTGATTCCACTGTGAGATGGGGAAGATCAATGGGATTTTTGCTCCTCACTTATTTTGTATTGAAAGGACACTCAAGGCTCAGGTTCAAATTTCAAGCTACTGCTACCCAAATAGAGCTAAAATTAAAAGCTCAAAACCCCACATGGCAAATAACTACTGACATGTACTTCATAAAATTGTATCTGTGCATTAACAGAAATTTCTGTCAGAAGCTAAATTAGACATACAAAATACTATGAACACTGGATACATCATGTGTATGTGGAGCTAAGTGGTAAGGGAAGACAGATTACATATTTTTTGAGGATTCTCCTTGTACAATTAGAAAGCACTTGCATTTAACCTCTGATAAAGTCTAAATGGTTCCTTAAGGTATGTTTTTTCCTACAGAAATATATTTTCTTTCTGTATTTATTTTTACTTTTATTTTTATTTTTTTTGAGATGGAGTCTCACTCTGTCGCCCAGGCTGGAGTGCAGTGGCGCCATCTCAGCTCACTGCAACCTCCGCCTCCCGGGTTCACACTATTCTCCTGTCTCAGCCTTCCAAGTAGCTGGGACTACAGGTGCCTGCCACCACGCCCGGCTAATTTTTTGTATTTTTAGTAGAGACAGGGTTTCACCGTGCTAGCCAGGATGGTCTCGATCTCCTGACCTCGTGATCCACCTGCCTTGGCCTCCCAAAGTGCTGGGATTACAGGTGTGAGCCACTGCACCTGACCACAGAAATATATTTTATTAATAGAACATTCCAAGATGTAACTTAATGAGTTAGGGCAAATGTTGACGAAAGGGAAAGTTTATACAGGTATGTGTTTACTAAAATTTTAAATAAAAATTAACAAATCAATTCAACAAATGTTTACTGCACGTCTACTATATAGAAAGTACTGAATTAGGTGATGGTTTTTAATTTTTTTTTTTTTTTTGCCAGGATCTCACTCTTTTGCCCAGGTTGGAGTGCAATGGTGCAATCTCAGCCCACTGCAGCCTTGACCTCCTGAGCTCAAGTGATCCTCCCGCCTCAACTTACTGAGGAGCTGGGCACAAGTCCCCGCACCCAACTAATTTTTGTATTTTTGTAGAAATGGGATCTCTTGCCCAGGTTGGTCTCGAACTCCTGGGCTCAAGCTATCTACCTGCCTCAGCCTCCCCAAATGCTTGAATTACAGGCATGAGCCACTGCTCCCTGAGAGATGTGCTTTTTAAAAAGAAGTAAACAAAATGTCAAGGCAATACCATAAATGTCAGTGGGAAAATTTTATTAATACTTAAAATTTAACTCTGTACTATTAATATTGTTTTGCTATGGAATATGCTGCAGGTTCCACCATGTCTTATTTATTAGTTTGTTGAGTTTTTTAATTAAAGAGTAGAATGACATACAAGACCTTTTATTGTTCTTTGCCATTTTTCTTTCTTACTATTTTGAAAATAATATCTTCAGACAATTTTTCATAAAAAATTTGATTATAAAAAGAAAAGGCAAACATATGTGGTAATACTTTTAGTGCACACCTCACAAATGTCAAAGCTTACTGAACTGCTCACAATTTTATTGTTGTTAATGAACCTTTTAGCAAACCACAAAAAAAATTACCTCCTGATTCAAAATCTCTGTTCTTAGCAGAGGCCTAACATGGATACTATTTAAAATTTGTGGCTGCATAGTTTTAAATATTTGATGTTCAAGAATGTTTCCTGCTGACCAAATAACTCTTCCTCTCAGAAACATGGGAAGGAAAAATGGGAAAGATAAGCTGAGAAAAGCAAATTGTTCTTAAAATAAAACAGCTGGCTGAATTAAATGGAATCAATTATACTTTACATCTTACATTGAAATGCAGTGGTTAGTGAAGAGACAATAATATTATGATGATTTAATTTTAACATGAGATTCTCACAAAACATGTAAAATGTACAAATATTACAATTATCAAGAAATACATGTTAAAATTTTAACCCTCTGGGTTGACAGACTGTGTCACACTGAAACTTTTCAGTGACAGTAGAGCTAGAAGAAAATGTGAAGGTTATCGTTTAATGCAGCAGTAATTAAGCAGGCAGATGTCTTCATTGTGGTGCGATTGGCCTACTTCTCCACAAGCTAAATATCTTTGCCCATCTGGACGTGGTCAATGACCTACTTTTCTCAATTCTACCAGTATTGTACACTAACTCACAAAAGTGAAAAGTAATCTAGTTATTATGAGAGGAAGTAATGCAGTTGAAATGATGTATGATATTTAGCAATTAATCTTACTTAGATTTCTCATACATTATGGGTAAATATACTTTCCTATAAGCAATTTTATGTTGAGTCTCAAATTTAACCCCAATATATGACAGAAAAGAAAGCCTAGTATGAACATATAAACATACATTTTCTTTTCGTTTTTACATCTTAACATTTTATTTTATTATTATTATTTTGAAATGGAGTCTTACTCTGCCACCCAGGATGGAGTGCAGTGGCATGATCTTGGCTCACTGCAACCTCTGCCTCCCGGGTTCAAGCGATTCTCCTGCCTCAGTCTCCTGAGTAGCTGGGAATACAGGCGCCTGCCACCACGTTAGGCTAATTTTTAGTAGAGATGGTGTTTCATCATGTTGGCCAGACTGGTCTCGAACTGCTGACCTCAAGTAATCTGCCTGCCTCAGCCTCCCAAAGTGCTGAGATTACAGGCATAAGCCACTGTGCCCAGCCTTAATTTAACATTTTAAACATGGTTTTGAATCTGCCTCCCCTTAGCGGATACTTTACAAAGATAACATAAATTTACTGTTTCTTATGAAAATTTCAGAGAATGTTCTTCAGCCTGAGTCTTAGGCAATGTTGTTTGCATCACCCTGATGTAAAATTGTTCAATATTAGATGTTTACGTTAACATTAAACTCAAAATGGATATCTCCCTTAGGCTATTCACTATTATCCATCCTCCATGGAATGTTCAATAGAAATTTTTTTGGTTTTGTTTCATTCTTCTATATATTCATTCATAAATATACAACTTTAATACACGAATTCACCAGAAAAATACTTACTACTTACCTATCCTGTGCTGAGTACTTTGTTGTTTAGGAGCAATAAACATGACTGTCTTGTAAATGGATAGTCAGAAACTTACAATCTTTAATAACTTGGATGTTTTGTCATCCTGTAAATATAAAACATAACTTAATATTCTGACCTAAGTTCTAAAATTTAAATAAATAATCGACAATATAGTTTTGTCTCAGTCAGATAGACTATGCTATTCTGCAATAACAAAAATTCCCGAATTTTCCAAAGATGATGATGATGAAGTTGATATTTTGCTTATGCTACATATCCATTATGGGTTACTGGGGAGGAATAGGAGAAGTGTTCTCTGCTCATGGTAGATATTCGTGGAGATTAGCTGACATCTGGAACATTGCAGGTCATGAGCAAACTGGGGAAAGAGATGTATGGATGGCCACACATTAGCAATTAAACGAGCTGGCTCAGTAATAATAAACATCACTTCCTCTCACAAGGGAGCAGGTAAATCTGGTCACACGGTCCCATCCAACCATATAAAGACCTGAAAGTACAGGCCTACCATATACATCGATGGGAGAAAAACTAGAAATATTTGTCAAATAGCACAAGAACCAGTAGTACTTGACAAATCGTCCCACTTAATGATCACTGAATATTTGGATCACCTCAGTTCTCTCATACAAAGCATATCTAATTGATGAAGGTGGCTACACTAAACAACTGATTTTCACTGTAGAACAAACAGCCTTCTATTGGAGGTAGATGCCATGCAGGACTTCCATAACTGGAGATGAGAAATTAATGCCTGGCTTCACAGCTTCAAAGGCCAGCCTGGCTCTCTTGATGGGGGTTAATATAGCTAGTAACTTTAACTTGAAGCCAATGCTCATTTACCATCTGGAAAATCTTAGGGCCTGTAAGAACCATGCTAAAACTACTATGTGCTCTAAAAAAGGAACAACAGGCCGGGCGCGGTGGCTCACACTGTAATCCCAGCACTTTGGGAGGCCAAGGTGGGCGTGATCATTACCTGAGTTTGGGAGTTCGAGACCAGCCTGACCAACATGGAGAAACCCTGTCTCTACTAAAAATACAAAATTAGCTGGGTGTGGTGGCACATGCCTGTAGTCCCAGTTACTCAGGAGGCTGAGGCAGGAGAATCGCTTGAACCCAGGAGGCAGAGGTGGCAGTGAGCCGAGATCATGCCACTGCACTCCAGCCTGGGCAACAAGAGGGAAACTCCATCTCAAAAAAAAAAAAAAAAAAGCCTGGGTGACAGAACATCTGTTTACAGCATAGTTTGCTGAATATTTTTAATCCCCTGTTGAGTTCTACTGTTCAGAAAAGGAGATTCCTTTCAAAATGTTACTGATCATTAACATTGGTCCTGGTCACCCAAGAGCTCTGATGATGCACAAGGAGATTAATGTTTTCACATCTGCTAACACATCATTCATCGGTAGACCTTGGGTCAAGGACTCTTTTAGACTTTCGAGTCTTATTATTTAAGACTGTCAGTCTCTGCACTTCACCATTGTGCCCCAGATTATTCATTCAACTGGCATGAAGAGGGGTATGGCGACTGTGGGATTTGAACCATCATTTAACAAGATATAGGAAGTGAATAGCATTTGCTCACCATGACTTTAGTTTTAGTTTCACCTTCCAAATTAGGCTTCTATACACTTCTTAAAGTTTTATTTAAGTTGTACTTTCATCAGCATACACAGTAGTAACAAAGCCCTTTCTAATAGTCGCTGTATTAGCTACCTTGTGGCTGTTAATGTTCATGCTCCTGCAAGATCCTTTCAAATCCCTTTTTGTACTATCTACTTCCCTTTCCCTTCCAAGCATCAGTACTAATGCACAGCTCTTTAGTCTTCAAGCTGCTGAAGGAGCTTTTGCCCACAGGTGAAGAGATTTTAAAGCATCTGGGACATCTGGGAGTTGATATGCTCATCCCTCCCAGGGTGGCCTTTAATCAAGGACTGAACAGTGTAGGAGTATGAAAGTTCACTCCCTTGCCTGGTGTAAGGATAACTCAGACGTAACTTACTCTCCAGAGTTCCCCAGGAGGATCGTGCTGAAGCTATCCTCTGAGGGGTGTTCACCTGAGATTTCACTCTTCCTTGGCGTCCGCTGTCTTCCCTTAGATCATTTTCTTAAATTAATCAAAGATACATCCTCATCTCAGAGCCTATGTCTAACTTAAGATACACCTATAGTAGAGACCTCACTGTCATGCCAAAATGTTGCCGTCTGGTGGCAAGACTATCAGAGTTCTTTGCATTCACTTCGTGACCTTTCAAATAAAAGCATTTTCCAAAGTGTGGCAACTTTCGATCTTGAAAAAAACCACAGCTACTCACAGTGTAAGATGCCCGTGGGGGTGTGGCTCTGGGCCTGGAAAAATTAGAGCAGTCGACACTGAGAGGAGGCGAGCAGATAAGAAGTCTTCTGAACCTCACTGGCTCCCATACTGACGTCAGCATTGGTGGATTAGTTTGTCGCCCCCTTCAGCCAATCGGATTGGTGTCTCTTTGCTGCTTACCTACTGCCTTCTCCGACCGTCCGTCCTCGGGGCAGGCGTGCTCTCTTCCCTGAGCTTTTAGGGGTTGGCTTTTCCAGTTCCAGATCAGCTACAGCAAACATCGTTCGAGATGTCCCACCAAGAGGGCAGCACAGGTGGCTTACCAGACTTAGTGACTGAAAGCCTGTTCAGCAGCCCAGAGGAGCAGTCTGGAGTAGCAGCGGTGACGGCGGCCTCCTCAGACATTGAAATGGCAGCCACAGAGCCATCGACCGGAGATGGTGGTGATACCAGGGATGGTGGTTTCCTGAACGATGCCAGCACAGAAAATCAAAACACAGACTCAGAAAGTTCAAGTGAAGACGTCGAACTTGAAAGCATGGGTGAAGGTTTATTTGGTTACCCGTTAGTGGGAGAGGAGACAGAAAGGGAGGAGGAAGAAGAAGAGATGGAGGAGGAAGGGGAGGAGGAAGAACAGCCTCGGATGTGTCCACGATGCGGTGGCACCAACCATGATCAGTGTTTGTTAGACGAGGATCAGGCGTTGGAGGAGTGGATTTCCTCAGAGACATCTGCCCTGCCCCGATCTCGCTGGCAAGTCCTTACTGCTCTTCGCCAGCGGCAGCTGGGTTCAAGTGCCCGCTTTGTATATGAGGCCTGTGGGGCAAGAACCTTTGTGCAGCGTTTCCGCCTGCAGTATCTTCTTGGAAGCCATGCCGGTTCTGTCAGTACCATACACTTTAACCAGCGTGGCACCCGACTGGCCAGTAGCGGTGATGACTTAAGGGTGATAGTGTGGGACTGGGTGCGGCAGAAGCCAGTACTGAACTTTGAGAGTGGTCACGATATTAATGTCATCCAGGCTAAGTTCTTTCCTAACTGTGGTGATTCCACTCTGGCCATGTGTGGCCATGATGGACAGGTACGGGTAGCAGAACTAATTAATGCATCATATTGCGAGAATACTAAGCGTGTGGCCAAGCACAGGGGACCTGCCCACGAGTTGGCTCTGGAGCCAGACTCTCCTTATAAGTTCCTCACTTCAGGTGAAGATGCCGTTGTGTTCACCATTGACCTCAGGCAAGACCGGCCAGCTTCAAAAGTTGTGGTAACAAGAGAAAATGATAAGAAAGTCGGACTGTATACAATCTCTATGAATCCTGCCAATATTTACCAATTTGCAGTGGGTGGACATGATCAGTTTGTAAGGATTTATGACCAGAGGAGAATTGATAAGAAAGAAAACAATGGAGTACTCAAGAAATTCACTCCTCATCATCTGGTTTATTGTGATTTCCCAACAAACATCACCTGCGTTGTGTACAGCCACGATGGCACAGAGCTCCTGGCCAGCTACAATGATGAAGATATTTACCTCTTCAACTCCTCTCTCAGTGATGGTGCTCAATATGTTAAGAGATATAAGGGGCACAGAAATAATGACACAATCAAATGTGTTAATTTCTATGGCCCCCGGAGTGAGTTTGTCGTGAGCGGTAGTGATTGTGGGCACGTCTTCTTCTGGGAGAAATCATCCTCCCAGATCATCCAGTTCATGGAGGGGGACAGAGGAGATATAGTAAACTGTCTTGAACCCCACCCTTACCTACCTGTGTTGGCGACCAGTGGCCTAGATCAGCATGTCAGGATCTGGACACCCACAGCTAAAACTGCCACTGAGCTTACTGGGTTAAAAGATGTGATTAAGAAGAACAAGCAGGAGCGAGATGAAGACAACTTGAACTATACGGACTCGTTTGACAACCGCATGCTTCGGTTCTTCGTGCGTCACCTGTTACAGAGAGCTCATCAACCCGGCTGGAGAGATCATGGAGCTGAGTTCCCAGATGAAG
The DNA here is from genome assembly GCF_000001405.40 of Homo sapiens. Taxonomy (NCBI): domain Eukaryota; kingdom Metazoa; phylum Chordata; class Mammalia; order Primates; family Hominidae; genus Homo; species Homo sapiens. The sequence continues at coordinate 27,979,611 of NC_000023.11, read as the reverse complement.
AAGAGTTGGATGAGTCTTCCAGCACCTCAGATACATCCGAGGAGGAGGGCCAAGATCGAGTGCAGTGCATACCATCCTGAAGGCCTCATATCCAGTCCAGCTAGATGCCACCTAAGTACACTGGACTTTAAAATTCAGTTTGACTAATTTAGAATTGTCAATTGATTAACAGATTTGCTTTTTGTCTTCTGTTTTTGTTACCCCTTATATGAGTGCATACACAACTTATTTATGCCTCTTTTCCTTTGTTCCCTTATAATTGACCTCTAAAATTGCATAATTTTGTTGAAAAAATTAATGGCCTTATTAGATGTATCTACTCATTTCAGACATTCTGAAAGCTATTACTTTTTAGTTTTTTCATTTTTTACCAATTTATTTTGAAGATAAAGTTCTTCAGTTGAGTTGAAAATTTCATAAACGTGTTTATTCTTTAGAGGTAAAATAAGGCAAACCATAGTTCTTTGAATACTGACACACACATACACACAGTCTCAGAAAAGGAAAAGAGAAGTAGTGTGTAGATTAATTCCTAACACTTGGCCACACACACACACAGCTTCAAAAGTTGTAGTAACAAGAGAGAAGAATAAGAAAGTGGGACTGTATACAATCTCTATGAATCCTGCCAATATTTACCAATTCGCAGTGGGTGGACATGATCGGTTTTTAAGGATTTATGACCAGAGGAGAATTGATGAGAAAGAAAACAATGGAGTACTCAAGAAATTCACTCTTCATCATCTGGTTAATTGTGATTTTCCAACAAACATCACCTGCATTGTGTACAGCCACGATGGCACAGAGCTCCTGGCCAGCTATGCACACACACATACACACAGAGCCTTAGAAAAGGAAAACAAGAAGTAGTGTGTAGATGAATTCCTAACCAGATAATTCATCTCCTCAGAGCAAATAACTTGGGATTATCCACATTTTCTGAATCAATATGTTAATAATATTGATTAATTTGAGCACACTGAAGCTGGTAAGAACTAAATTAAATTTAATCACATGACATTGTTTACTCTATGCATTAAATGTTCTTGAAGTTTTATGGTTGGGAACTCCCACAGGATTACATTCCAGGAAGTCCTCCTGGCGCAAGCATCTCCTATAAGATACCAGATAGGAATATAAAAATCTCTCATATTTGAAAACATTTATTTTAATTAACTTTTAAGAATAAGTTGCAATAAAAATTGTTTATACTTACACATAACCATTTGATACAGTTGGTAGAAAAATCCTATTTAACATCCATGCATTGCTTAAAATTTAGCTGTTTTATGAGTTTGTTTTGAAAATTGTTGCAATAAAAATTGTTTATACTTACAAGTGATGTAGTTGGTAGAAAAATCCTATTTGACATCCATGCATTGCTTAAAATTTAGCTGTTTTATGAGTTTGTTTTAAAAATTGTTGCAGTAAAAATTGTTTATACTTACAAGTGATGTAGTTGGTAGAAAAATCCTATTTGACATCCATGGATTGCTTAAAGTTCTCTCAGCTGTCCTCGAGTTTAAATTGTTTTAAAAATTGTCTTAAGCTTTACTTAATATAAATTTAAGTTACTAGATGTTAAATTACTGTTCAATAAAAATATTCATTTTTATTTTATATGTGTTATTTGTGTAAATGAATTCAGAAGATCACCTTTTCCCCAACACCGATGAACTATACCACACCATTTTTTTGGGGAGGGGATAGGGTCTCACTCTGCCACCCAGGCTAGAGTGCAGTGGCACAATCTTGGCTCGCAGCAACCTCTGCCTCCTGGTTTCAAGTGATTCTCCTGTCTCAGCCTCCTGAGTAGCTGGGACCACAGGTATGTGCCACCACACCCGGCTAATTTTTGTATTTTTGGTAGAGACGGGGTTTCATCATGTTGGCCAGGTTGGTTTCGAACTCCTGACCTCAGGTGATCCGCCCGCCACAGCCTCCCAAAGTACTGGGATTACAGGCATGAGCCAACACATCCAGCCTATACCACATCATTCTTTGCAGAATTTTCTTGGGAAAGAAAGATGTAATGAAACATCTTGTGTCCTAACAATGGCTTTTCTTTGATAATACTTCTTGAAATGAGTATTATTTCAAGAGTTTTGGGGAAAATGTAGAGTAATTTGCAAAATGAGATTAGAATTTAGAAAGGAACGTAACGACTGAAGTTCCTGCTCACTGAGATCCAAAGTTATGGACAACTGCCCGGGGGTCTGGGAGCCTCAAGAAGCCCCTACCAAGGTCTGCTGTCAGGAAAGGATCTTAAGAGTCCCAAAAGAGAATTTATGGGCCATAAGAAGAGAGTTATAAACTAGAATTCCAAGTTTGGGGCATCCCGTATAACTTCATGGGACGCATACCAGCAATAATATTAACAAAACATTAAAAACATCATTTGGTATTTCAAGTGACACTCGGTGTCAATGAGAGCAAAAGTGAAAGCAGATAAATTACGCAGTTCTTTTTCCACCTGCTGTTTAGAAGGTCTGCCTCTGTGGGGATTTATATTCTGCTCACTTAGCTAAACTAAAACTTTACTCAGAGTTCCCTGAATGGTTCTGAGATTGCTTGTGCTACCAGAGGCATTTGGTAAAAGAATTGGGAGGCAAAGGTAAAGTAGTAGCCACATTTGTTTTATGCTCAGAAAGGTGCTGCTGCAGCTCATGAATATTTTTGCTTATATCCTGGCTTACCTTGGTGTGAGGCAGCAGTTGGGCCCACAATTGCTCCAGTTCTCCCTCATATCTTCCTCCTTCTTCACCAGCTCCATAAAAAAGAACGCCCACTTTTTTTTTTCAGGGCATTGATGTCATTGAAATTGGAGGTTTGGAGGCAGTGGAAGATCAACATGGGTCCCAGTCAGTCCTTGAGAGCTCCAGATAGTCCTCATGGATTCCATTTATCCTTGCTTCCTCTGCTTTGCATCATCTCCTCTTCCTGACTTCCCTGCTGACTTCAGGTTTCAGCATCTGATGCAAAGACAAAAGCCTCGCTGAGACTGATTAACCAGTTTCCACAATTCAATAAGGCCTAGACCCTATTATAAGTCCCTTCTTATATGTGAATCACTCTGAGCGTTTGTTTCTCTGATTGAACCCTGACTGATGCAACCTCCCCCACATGCTTTGGACTGAATAAATCCCCTGGTTACTTAGACTTGAACGTTTGCCATCTGGAGCAATTATAGGTCCCTCAAGGGAGAAATTGAACTTGATACACACACACACACACACACACACACACACAATTCTTTTAGTTTTTTGCATGAAGAATTTTTTACTCGCCTTTGCATGACATTTTGACAAAGCTACACAGTTCTCCTTCCACCATATCTTTTATTTTAGTTTTAAATAAGTTAAATTTACAAAAAAGTTACAAAAACAGTACAGAGAGTTCTCATATTCCTTTCACCCGGCTTCCTGTATCATTAACATCTTCTTAACAATAGTATAATTATCAAGACCAGGAAATTAACAATATTAACTATATTATAGAGCTAATTCAAAATTCTTCAATGTTCCCATTAATGTTTTTATTCTTTTCCAGTATCCAATAATATACGTTAATTGTTGGATCTCCTTAGCCTCCTCTCATGTGTGACTTTTTTTTTACTCTTTTCTTGTCTTTCATGACCTTGACAGTTTTGTAGTGTACTGATCAGGCATTTGGTAAAATACATCCTATTTTGAGTTTTCCTGATGTTTTCTTATGATCACATTGAGGTTATTCATTTTGGCAAGAATACCACAGAAGTACTGTCTACAGTTATTTTTGAGATGTGTGTGTATGTGTGTGTGTGTGTGTGTGTGTGTGTGCACGCGCGTGCGCATACGCATGCGGGGACTTTGCTGTAACTGTTTTCTTCCCATCTGACACTGAGTCCTGAAGCTAATGCCTCATATTTGAGGTTTTTCTTATGGCAGTACCCATTTTCTAGTAACCAATTTTGTGGCAGTCACAAAGGACTAGATTATGTTATAAAGACTACAACTGGCATATCTCAGTGCTTTAAAAACAAAGGTTTATTTTTTACTAATGCTAAATGTCAATCACAAGTTTGCAGAGGGGCTTTGCTCCTGGTTGCTTCTCAGATATTCAAGCTGATGAAGCATCCACCACTTTCGACATTTCTGGTCATCAATGCAGAGAGGAAAAAGAACTTTGGAGTATCTTACATCAGCAATTAAATGCTTCAGCCTTGAAGTGACACATCATGCTTCTCCTCTAAACTCATTGTTTCAGTCTAGTCACATGGCCCCCCCTTAACTATGAAGCCACCAGGAAGAGCATTCCTACCATGCGCTTGGAAGCAGGGTACCAGAAATATTTGAAAAACAGCATCAATGATGACCACGTTTCTACTATGATGGTTTGTATATTTTAAAATTATTTTACAAAATCATTTTCTGACTGCATTTTATGCATAATAAAAATTTTGAAAAAAGCATAAAGGATAAACACCAAATTATTCCTAATTCAACCTTCAGAAGTTATGCATGAGTGTTTATGTTTGTTTCCTTGCATCTGCTTTTTCTGTGTGTGTGTGTGTGTGTGTGTGTGTATGTGTGTGTAATCAGGACCACACCAGAAACAGAGCTATATACTGATAAATTTCACTTATTTCGAAAATCTTACCATTTCAGCACAAATTCTTTGAAATGACTGATTTATTAAATAACTAAATACTACTTCATTGCATATATGCAGACTTTTTTTACATTTTTCTTTTTAAGACAGTCAATTTTAATATTCTCCTATTATAAAACTGTGATAATATAATCTATTAAGATACATTTATTCTGTTTTTCTAGTTATCAGCACAGCATATAAAAACTGGATATAGTGTCATGAGATATTGAGGCTTATATATGGTCGTTGGTTTATTATTATTCCTGAATTATGCAATCGTGAATAAATACAGTCCTTGCTATACCACACCTCATACCACATAGTGTTCTTACCTGCAAAGCAATTTAATTCCAGAACATCACCATCCCCACAGATGAATTTTAAACCATCTTTTAAAAAATAAATGTTTTGGTGTTCATCTTCTTGGCTTTTCCAAGCATATTGTTATGTTATCTACCGATTCTTGTGGTTTTCTCTTATTTAAAACCTACACTATGGCAATCATGAGAATGAGGCTTTCAGAGGTCTAACTGCGGGGATAATAATTGACAGAGGTCCTCAGCTATTGCCTTCCATTGTGACATTGGCACAAATGCCATGCTTCTCATGAGCTGTTCCCAGCTAATGACAGTGTGGCAGAGATGCTAAGACAAACCCATTCTGGAAAACACAGGGCTCTTCCGACAGCCCATTTTGGCTCAAGGACTGTTGAAATCTTCTTATAACTGTGCCACAGTCTAATACATTTCCTGCCCAAATTTATCTCCTTTTCTCTCCTGCACAGTGGTTGGACTTGCACCACAGTGTGATGAGTCTTCCAGCTCCCTCAGGATTCCTCCCCGTTTTTCCTTCACAGGCATTTTCTCCAATAAATTTCTTGCATGTTTAATCCCATCTTGGCATCTGCTTCTCAAAAGACAGGAGCTAACATATACATCATTTGGGGTTTGTTTCTATTCTCTTTACATTAGAAAAAGAATGCTATGTTCTTTACTTTCTTGTTTTAGATTTTAATGACCAAGATTCTAGATATTTGCCATGAACCATGTGGTTGATCAGAGTAAAATGCACAGTATCATAAGGAAGAGATTAAGGAACAGGTTTCATTGGAGAAATTTACATGGCAAGAGTAGCAAGAGAAGGCCTGTATATTCTGATTTTTCCATCTTTCCACAAGGAGCCATGCCATGGTCAGTCATATGGAGGGACACTTCCTGTTTCCTACTTTTCCTTGTTAGAGGTCAATTGTGAGAACAAACTCATCACTGTGGGAACAAAATGTTGTGGTACTAGGATATCAAGGTTCTCTGGGAAAGCTAGCTGCCCTGCCTTTGGAAACACTGAAGTTCATGATAAGTGTGTAGCCCTGCTCTCAATAGTAGGAAGTCATCCATCCCTGGAGAAGCTGAGTAAAAGTACACCTCCTCTCCCTGGGAGTAGGGGGTGCTCTAGGTCTCAGCCAACTAATTGCTTAGCAAACTGAAATGAGTTCCCAGGATCATACCTGGACATTTTTACTTATTGCTTGCTCCCACTTTAAAATGTTAATTACTGTTAGTTCAACTCACTACTTTTCATGATATAGAGGTGTCCTTATATTCATATTATATTAACAAAATTTCTAATAGTAAGCAGTCTTTTCATTCCTGAAATAGCTCTATTTTTTTTTCTCAGCAGATAAGTCACTTAATGAATGACTGAGGCTTTTTTTCATGAAATCAGGTATTCTCATTTAAATATACTTGAGATTGGACTATTATGAAACATGGTTGCATGGAGGTATGTGTATGTGTGTGTGCACATGCGCTCCTCTCTGTCTATTACCTTTGTCAATTACTGATAGCCTAATTGTGCTCCATTCAAAAGCATATTGCTTGGCTTTCCATTATTTTATATAAGATTAAATAGTTTATTTAGCACGGAACTGATTATATCAGAAAAACAACACAACATCTTTACTTAGAACTTTTTTGAGAATCTTGATACATTTTTCACTTTTTTCCATGTTAGTTAATTGGTTCAGATTTTGTATACTTATGTCATTCTAGATAATTTTTATTTTCCATATATATTAATTTTTTTCAAATTGATGGAATGGACGTATTATGTCTCTATATTTCTAAACAGCACTGAAGTTTTTCTCTTTTATGCTTCAAATTATATTTATCAATGTTTTCTATCATTATTTAATTTGCTGAAATTTCACGCATAAAACACTTTCAAAAAACAAGTATTCTGCACTTAATTTGCCAAAATTTCATGTATGAAATACTTTTAAAACTAGTATTCTATTTATTGTATTATAATTGACTATCCATAATTTATGAATTTGTTTCAAATTTTCTGATTTTTTGATGATTTTCTTGTTTTTTCTTTCTACAATTGCTATCTAATTAAATATTTTTTATAAGGAACATATTCAAACCTATGAACCTTCTTTCAATGAATAGTGCTTTGATCACATTTCTTATATTTTAATCAGTAATATTCTCACTATTTTCTGAATTGCCCACGGTTATATTGGCCTTATGCTTTTCCAATTTACATATTTTAGATATTAAAAATAATGCATGCTTGTTTTAACAACTGAAGTAATACAAAGTTTACGAATAAATGTGATAACTTCTCTCTCCACAGATTACCAATGTTAATCAGTTTGTTCAGTGTCCTTTTGCATCTTTTTTGTGCCTCTATGGATATATTCAAAAGTATTCATAAATACATAGTTGCTTCCCTTCATCAAGGTGTTCACAAAAATGAGATCATTCTATACATATTACTAAATGATTTTTAAATGTTATTTTTACTTAGTAATATACTATATATTAACCTTGCATGATAGCTCATTATTTTTAAAGAATCACTTAATTTTTCTTAGTATTGATGCTCTCTATTAAAGGATTTAGGCTCAGGCTGAAAATTATATTTCTCAATTATGTTCTGTTACCTTTTGCAACTAGTGAGATTCTTTCTAGGTTCTTCAATTAGTTTTAGTTAATTTAACCTGAGGTATAGTGAAGTTTTTTTTTTGCTTGTTTTGCTTTGTTTTATCTTTGGCTCAACAGATACTACTTGGAAAAAATATGAAAGGAGGTATGTTGGTAGCCATATCCAGTTTTAAGTTAGGATTCTCTCTAACTTTTGTATCCATGTATAATTCTTTTTGACAAGTCTTGCTTCTCAATCCTCTTCATTTATGACAGTTTTTGCTTTTTCAAATTAAAGTTAAAGCTACAAAATCAAACTTCTCAGCAAGATATACAAAGCCCTCCGTTATATCTCCTCCTCTTCTCTCTCCAATCTCTTCAACAGCCACTTCCCATTTCCAAACAGACACTCACGCACTCCCCAATCACTTTCCACCCCTAAATTATTCCTTGCTCTCCTGGACCTCCTTATCTAAATCCATGTTTTTCTTTCTGCCTTGAATATCCTTTCTCTTTTTGTGTTTCTGATTGATTCTTGCACATCCTCAACAATCAGCTTAGGAATCACTTCTGTAAAGTTCACCCAACCCCTGTCCCTGTCCAATTCTGGGCTTGTTTCCTTTGCAACTGTCTACAGTAGTACCTATCATCCTGTTGCTGCTGCATCTGACAGCCCCAAAAGTATTTATTAAATTTCCCTGACTCCTCACATTCTCATTATGCATCTCTTCTTTGTTATCGTGAAAAGCAAAAATCAGTAGCACATATCACAAAATTTAGCATTTAAACATAAATGATAAAGCATATGAAAACATATTACATATTTACAAATTAGATAGTATGAATATAGATATAGATAACGGATACTGATATAGACTTAAAGTCTTAGATATCTAAACACAGAAAGCAATTGTAATCATCCATCAGAATCATTTGCAAGTGATTGGTGAACTGTAAATTTCTGTAGAAATGATAATTATTATCCCTTAGGTTTACTAATAGTCTCATTATCTAGTTTTTTTAGGAATAAATCTTTAGTTAATAGGATCAGTCTAAATTACTGAGGAAATCAAAGCATAGCCTTGGAAGGTTTACTTTGTCTACAATAAAAAAATTAAATTTCATTTTTTCCTTAAACATAATATTGGTGAACTTGTTCTATTTTGTAATGAGTAGCTTGAGTCTAATAAAGGAAATTTTAAAATTTTGGTAGGTTAAATAGAAAAATAACATAAATGATTAAAAAAAGAAAATCAATGATTCAAACTATATCCATTTACATACTTGAATATAGTGAACAACATGTGTCTTGTTTGTCTCTGTTTTCTAGAACACAGATTGGTACATAGAAAATACGTAATAAATACTGGATGAAAAAATTTTGCACCGGGTTCTAAAGGAGAAAAAATCACAGAGTAAAATTATTTAAGTTAAAAATAAATCTATTTCCCCAATCATGATCAAGTACTTTGCTATGTGTTTACCTTGAGTTTGGATAAGTTTAATACATTATTAAATATGCATTTTATTTTACAGGAATCTTGCATCATAGATTAACTTGAGTAAGCACATTAATGATTTAATGTACAAGTAAAAGCACCAGTGGGCGGTGGAACAATTCATTTAACCAGCTAAGCCTCAGTTTCCTCCTTAATAAGATCAGGAATTTGGATGTGATATTTCTTTTGGCTCTGACATTCTAAATTTCTGTGATTCTACATTTTACTTAAATAAAAACAAGTTCATTAGACAACCTGGGTTATATTGGTTATAAATGGGAAAACATATACTTAGTTCACAGTACCAAATAATAAAAATAATTTATTTGATTATGTCCTTTGTGGTTCATTTTTAATCTTACTTTCCAGAAAGCATGCATATTTTCTTGGTATTAATTTTATTTTTATCTTGCAACTATAGAAGAAAAAAGTGCCAATTACTTTTGTAAAAGGTGTAAAAATGACTGTGTAGGAGACTTGCAAGTTATAACAATGTGGGAATTTCTGTTTCTAAATTCAGTGTCTGTTATGGTTCCCAAAGGATTGGGAAGTGTTTTAAAACACTGTGAGAGTTCTTCTTCATGACTAATTGCTATGAAGAATATTGTGCTCATATGGTATTAGTATTTATGATACAGAAAATTCAAATCGACATTTGGTAGTAGCCATCTCACATTTTTTAATTGTAAAAAAAATTTAAATTTGCTGATGCACGGTTTCTGTGGGACTACTTTTCTGAGCTTTATCTCAAACGTTGCAAACCACTGGGAATAGTATTATCTGCTCCTCACATAGTCAACAAATCTAGTGTTGGGCTAATTTCAAAAAGTTACACACACTAAAGAAAAAAATTGGTAGAAAATTAAAGGGAAATAGGAAGCCTTTTTTATTTTGATAAAAATAATAAGTGCCTAATAATTTGAGATTTTATTTTTGCTCATCTATGCAGCACAAAAGATATCGGGGAGGGGGGTTGCTCTGTTTATTTAAAATGACATTTGGTAGGCACATAAACCTTATCAGGATGTATTTTAGTTAAATTCCTTAAAATAATTCACTTCTGGGAAAAAAGCAAGCAAGAAATTTCAGCCCCCAAAAGTAATTTTTTCACGGCAAGTAACTGAAGCAAGGATTTGGAAGGAAGGTGCCATCTGAACTCAAGTTGTAGCACTGATAATTTCAAGCCCGAGGAAAACTGATTAGTGTTTGCTCATCTTGGAAGACAGGGAAGTTCTAGGTAACAGAGGGAGGAAAAAATGTAGTTTAAAAATCTAAATGTCTATACTTAAAAATAAATAACACAAATTACAAAAAGACAAAGAGGTTTATTTTCATTATCATGCAATCATATGTTTTAAAGTCTGAATTGGAACCCCTTGAAGTAATAGAACTTACTTGAGGAAATTCTAAGTGCCTCTACTGCTACAGAAAGTCCTAGTGTGTACACAGCCAGAGACAAAAGTCCTAGCTGAAAACTAGACTGAAAGTGGCTCTTTAGATTGTTGCATAACTTGACAAACGTGCTAAAACACAGAGCAGCATGCCTACAAGGATATAGTTGTTCATTATTATGCATACTTTAACTAAGCATGATAAATGAATTTTTTTTCAGAAATGCTGAAAACTTTCTAAAACATGGAAAACAGAACGTTAATGCAGGAAACAAAACTCAGTGACATTTAATTACTCTCCACTTCTTACCTCCCTTTTAAAGATTTGGAAACTGAAGCTTTGGAAGGATAAGTGACCAGATCAAATATTTCTTTTAGTCTACCACGGGGCTGGAATTTAATCTTACAACACTCGGCTCTTGGTTTTTTCTCTCCTCACTGTACTGACTCCAACACTCAGCTTTCCCTTTTTCTCCTTATATATTTTATGTGATTTTTTTTCTCTTCATTGTTCACTGGGTAGCAAGATTAATTAACCAAGCATGCATGTCTGGTTTCCCAGACAATTCTCAGTTGGTATGATTGTGTCCAGGATGTCAAGGTTTTACATAGTCCCATGAGTGTTGCGAGAGGAACAAGCAAAAGCCAGATGCCAGATGCCAGGACCTGCTCTTTTGTCTTCCTCCAGCCTGACATAGTCACTTTCTCTGGGATTCATTTTCTCTGGGATTCCCATACCTTGGAATCCATTTCTGCTTAGTACTCAAAATGATAAGAAAACTCAGGTTGAATTTCTCTCCTTGGGGATTACCTCCTGATGTTTTAATTGTTGACATCTTGGATTGCCTTTTCATATGTGATAACTTCTTGCTATAACTTCAGTCATGAAACATTAGTGAATGAAGTATCCCCAACCAATGGCACTGTGGCCCAACTGTGCAGTCTAGGGGTCAGAAGATGGGGCTCTGGTCCTTCACCTGATTTCTAATCCATCACCATACATAGACCTAGGGTGACAGATGGCTCTGGAACATAGTTGTCAAGAGTTCAAACTCCGAGTTCAAAGTTAGCATGTTTTTAGAAAATAAAACATGCTAAGAGATTAACTTAAGTGTTAATTTTAAGGGAATAACTTGAGCGTTCTGTGCCAGTTTCCTCATCAACCAAAAGAGATAATAAAAAAAAACATAAATCGCACAATCATTGTGATGAAAAAAAAAAAAAAACCCAGCAATTTACGTGAACAGTTTAGCATGTGACAAAGAGCAGCATTTGATAAAACTTATCTATTATTGTTATCATTATTGTGGTGGCTGTTTCAATATCCATACAATAATTGCTACCACTGTCTCCTCCCTCCTAGAAAGAGTTTATTGAAATCTGCTTGTACGAGCTACTAGATATATAAACTCTGGATCAGTTATTCACTCTTTCACAGGCTGGTAGTCCTCATCTGAAAAATGCAGACTGTATATGATAATTGCTTTTAAAAAATAATACTATGTGACAGTTACTAAGAGGGTGTGTGCCTGTTTTTTCCGGCCTGGTGGTGGTGTGAAGGTAAGCATTATGGAAAAATGTGTGCAAAGCAGGAGCCAGAGGAGGCAATGGGAACTAACAGGGAATTCAGAATCCTGAAAAGTTCTTAAGTAAATAATTTAGTACTGGGCATAATTGTGTATTTGGCAGTACTTTGGGAAGTTTTGTATATGTGACTTAGAAAATCAAGTGACCAAATGAAAATATAAGATATCTGTGTTACCCTGTTTAATGTAAAACAGCATCCATGGCAGTTTGCAGCTGCTTGTGGGTTTGGTATGTATTAAAAGCCCAAAGGTTTTTGGAAATTTGAATCCTCATAGCTAATAAAGAACACAAATTAAAATGATAATGTTGCAGTTTCAGTAGGCTGGGTTTTGGATTATTTTGTAATTACAATGTTATGGTTTTCTGTTACGAAAATAGCAACAATTCACTAGGCCAGTAAAGCCTAAAGTTGGTGGCTTGCCAATTATGGTGATCACATTGTTTGATTTGCTCCTGTGGTTGCATAAGAGTTTGAGTGTTTCTGAAGGAGAAACAGAAGAAAAAGAAAGCTTATTTAAATAATATTATCCAGAAGTGGAAGAAGAAGAAGAAGGAGAAGGAGAGGAAGAGGAAGAAGAGGAGGGGGGGGGGAGAAAGGGGAGAAGAGGGAGAAGGAGGAGAAGGAGGAGAAGGAGAAGAAAAGCCTTTCCTGTTGTTCGGGGCTGGTATGTCTATGGTCTATAAAGGTTCCTTCCAGAAATACAGCTCACTTGGGAGATCTGAAATGACACCATCAGTGATTACACTTGTCTTATGTTTGTTTTTCAAAATACACATATGTCTCCAAAAGATAGTATATCAAGTTGCTTATATTGTGAGTCAGTTTCTTACTAATTGTTTTTTTCTCCCAGAGCTAAAGAAGTGGCCGAGAGAGGAAGCAGAGAAGAAAGGAGGGTGTGGTACATTATATTATTGTTCAGAAATATTTACTTACTCTTGCCTCCCCCACTTAAGAAGTGGAGTATATTGCCCCACCCTTGGATTTTTTTGGGTTTGTCTGTGTGACTTGCTTTGGCTAATAGAAGACAGTGAAGTGATAGTTTGCCTAGTTTGAGCCTTGGTCTTCTAGGCCTTCTGTTTTCCTGTTTGCAGTCTTGTGCTTCTGCCATTGCCATGAGAACACCTCTGAGCTAGTCTGTCAAATCAACAAGGAGGAGGACAGATACACTGAGCAGAGCTGCTCCAGCCAAACCCAGCCTACATTAGGTGAACCCAGCTTATGCACTGAGGGATAAGAATTCGATGCGTAGTGTTATGTGTAATCTAGATTTTGTATTTGTTATATAGTGTATCATAGTGATAGATAACTGATACAGTGGGGCATGCTGAAAACCAGTTTTGCCTACCATCTCCAATTTTTCAAGTTCCTTTCTCCTTATGTTAGGTCTGGGGAAACTCGATGAAAGCAGTGTAGTATAGATATAACTCTGCTAAAGTCATTAAGCATTTTCCGGGCCCAAGTAAGACAGCCATGATTACGTTTCCTCTTGTGTTGCGGGAAGTCAGAGACCCCAAATGGAGGGACCTGCTGAAGCCAGGGCAGAAGAACATAAATTGTGAAGATTTCATGGACGTTTGTCACTTCCCCAATCAATACTCTTGTAATTTCCTATGCCTGTCTTTACTTTAATCTCTTAATCCCATCATCTTTGTAAGCTGAGGATGTATGTCACCTCAGGACCCTGTGATAATTGCGTTAACTGCATAACCTGTTCATAAAGCATCTGTATTTGAACAATATGAAATCTGGGCACCTTGAAAAAAGAACAGGATAACAGCAATGTTCAGGGAACAAGGGAGATAACCATTAGATCTGACTGCCTGGAGCCAGGCAGGACAGAGTCATATTTCTCTTATTACCGAAAATGGGTAAGAGAAATATCGCTGAATTCTTTCCCCTGTGAGGAATATTAATAATTAACAGCCCTGGGAAAAGAATGCACTCCCAGGGGGAGGCTTTTAAAATGGCGGCTCTTGGAGTGCCTGCCTTACACAGTTGTAGATAGGGATGAAACATGCCCTGGTCTCCTGCAGCGCCCCCAGGCTTGCTAGGATTAGGAAATCCCAGCCTGGCAAATTCAAGTCAGACCAGTTCTCTGCTCTTGAACCCTGTTTCCTGTTAAGATGTTTATCAATGACAATGCGTGCACAGTGGGACATGAAACTTCATCAGCAATTCTAGTTTCACCCTGGCCTTGTGACCTTGCCCTGCCCATTTGCCTTGTGATCTTTTATTGCCTTTGAGGCATGTGATCTCTGTGACCCACACCCTATTCATACACCCCTCCCTTTTGAAAATCGCTAATACAAACTTGCTGGTTTTGCGGCTCAGGGGGCACCACGGAACCTGCCAACATGGGATGTCACCCCCGGACACCCAGCTTTAAAATTTCTCTCTTTTGTACTCTTTCCCTTTATTTCTCAGACTGGCTGACACTTAGGGAAAATAGAAAAGAACCTACTTTGAAATATTGGAGGCTGGTTCCCCCAATACTCTTGAAGTATATCAAATTGCCTCCTTTAAGTTTGATGTTTTTTAGTTGTGTCTATTGTTTTTATTCCACATCATTCCATGAAGAATCTCTTAAGGCAGATGATCAGTGAGGGAAGTTTTGCTCATCTCTTTTGCTCTAGTTTTCTTGAATCTTCTCATGGTGATTTATATAAGCTGACTCTCTCTCTAAGATTGTCTATTCAAATTCCAGATCCTTAGTCTTAATATTTTCTTCTTTCACTCAGTGCTACTTGTGATTTTGTATTGTGTGGAGGGAAATATAATTACTGGGACTTCAAAAAAGTATATGACAAGGAAACAGAGTTAAGCACATTTATCCTTTTTTATCCTTTCAGACATGCTCTTTCACTAACCTGTGAAACTTAACAGAAAATTGGGCACAGGGTAATCGCATCTTGAAACTCTTTTATTCATGTGCACATGCATGAGTCATTAAGTAAACACAAAGAACTGTAAGTTAAAACATTAACTTCCTTCTTCTCTCTTTATCCAGGTGAACCCTGCCACAGTTTTGTAAAGGGGAGACCCTAGAATTTAGTTCTTTGATAAGCTATAAAGTTTTAGTATGTTGAGTGTGTTACCTGCAATAAAAAAATCTGACTTTCTAAATGTCCTCAATGTTTCAGTAGGAAAAACAGAACTTGAACAAGACTTTTCTACACATCTCTGGTATTTGCATGGTTGATTTAAAAAGAAGACCACTTGTCAATTTTGGCTTTTGTTGCCATTGCTTTTGGTGTTTTAGACATGAAGTCCTTGCCCATGCCTATGTCCTGAATGGTATTGCCTAGGTTTTCTTCCAGGGCTTTTGTGGTTTTAGGTCTAACATGTAAGTCTTTAATCCATCTTGAATTAATTTTTGTATAACGTGTAAGAAAGGGATCCAGTTTCACTGTTGGTGGGACTGTAAACTAGTTCAACCATTGTGGAAGTCAGTGTGGTGATTCCTCAGGGATCTAGAACTAGAAATACCATTTGACCCAGCCATCCCATTATTGGGTATATACCCAAAGGATTATAAATCATGCTGCTATAAAGACACATGCACACGTATGTTTATTGCGGCATTATTCACAATAGCAAAGGCTTGGAACCAACCCAAATATCCAACAATGATAGACTGGATTAAGAAAATGTGGCACATATACACCATGGAATACTATGCAGCCATAAAAAATGATGAGTTCATGTCCTTTGTAGGGACATGGATGAAGCTGGAAATCATCATTCTCAGCAAACTATCACGAGGACAAAAAACCAAACACCGCATGTTCTCACTCATAGGTGGGAATTGAACAATGAGAGCACATGGACACAGGAAGGGGAACATCACACACCGGGGACTGTTGTGGGGTCGGGGGAGGAGGGAGGGATAGCATTAGGAGATATACCTAATGCTAAATGACAAGTTAATGGGTGCAGCACACCAACATGGCACATGTATACATATGTAACTAACCTGCACGTTGTGCACATGTACCCTAAAACTTAAAGTATAATAATAATAATAATAATAATAATAATTAATAAATAAATAAAAAGAAGAGCACATTGTTATTTTTCAAAACATAGTTTTCTCTCATTCAGGTCTCCTCCCTTTATAGTGTGATAACTTGACAATTCTGAATTACAGTGTTTTTCCTTCCCTATTATTCACTATTAATAACATTAGAGAACCTTTATATGTTCTAAAAATTATTTTTTACTCCTACTTTTAATTTTGATCCATTCTTCACTTAATAGTCAAAGTGATATTTTAAAAATTAAAATCACATTGTCTCATTTTTTCACTAAACTTTTCAATCATTTCCAATTGCACTTGGAAGAAAATTTAAAGTCTTAAACATAGTCCTAAATTCTCTATTTCTTCTACTTATGTCAACCTTCCTGTCTTTTACCATATGCTCTGAAAATCCCTTTTCTGAAAAAACTGTTTTCCCATTGCAGGCTTTAGCCATTCATCTGGCTAATTTTCTTCCAGGTCTCAAGTTAAATATCACTTCTTCATAGGGTCCTTCCCAGATGTCTCTCTAATATAAATTGGGCTCACCCTATCCTTTCTGTACATGTCCTTCATGGTGTTACCAAAATTCAGGATGATATATTTATTTGTGTGAGGTTTAATATCTGAATCTCTTCCATATCAAAAGCTACATGGTTTAGGAATTTTATTACTTTCTTAAAGACTCAATTCAAGGCAACATTTCTTACAGAGAAGCATCCTTTTATGCTGGTCTTTGTTCCTCATATCAGTCTCTGTTCTTATTTCATCTCAACATTACTCAGATTAACCTTCTCCATTTTGCAAACCTTTACACTCTTGTATCAGCTCTAAATTGTTCTGCTACTCTGGCCCTGATGATGCCTTGTGTTTTTTTGTTTTTTTTTTTTTTTGAGGTGGAGTCTCGCTCTGTCGCCAAGGCTGGAGTGCACTGGTGCAGTCTCAGCTCACTGCAACCTCTGTCTCCCAGGTTCAAGCAATTATCCTGCCTCAGCCTCCCAAGTAGCTGAGATTACAGGTGCCTGCCACCATGCCCAACTAATTTTTGTATATTTAGTGGAGATAGGGTTTCACTATGTTGGCCAGTCTGGTCTCAAACTCCTGACCTCAGATGATCCACCTGCTTCAGCCTCCCAAATTGCTGCAATTACAGGCAGGAGCCACCACACCTGACTGAAGATGCCTTCAAGTTAGAGAAAATTCTATGCTCCAGAGCTTAATATCTCACCTCAACTCCATCACCTCCATCATCCTTGCCCAGACAACCTCAGCAACTAGTGGGGTTTAGATGGGGAATTGAACATTCAACCTCTAGCCATCATTGCCCAGCCTCCTAATTATTTGTGAACAGCTGGATGGCATTCATCTCATCCTATCCTTTCCATGCCTAAAAAGTATGAATTTTCCAGATAAAAATCAGAGGTGAATTAATAATAGACCAAGGCAGAGGGGGGTGAGAATCAACCTTTCCCTCTTCCTACTTGTAATAACAACATTTCTTCAGCAAAAAAAAGAAAAATGTAGATGCTTCCAAGCTTGAAGTTTTATGGTTGTTTTTTCCTCATATCACATCTATCATTAAAGGAAGAAAGGTGGAAAATATCTCTTCTACCCTGTAAAGGGATTGCTGGGGTTTGCTAATGTCCCTACGGCCTCTACCTTTCCTTCTCCACCCCCAAAAATGTGATCATGACAATCACTCCTATCTGATCTTGCCAGCAGGAGAAAGGAAACAATAATCTAATAAACTTCCAATTTCTTTCTATTGGTTCAACAAGTGAACTGAAATAATCCAACATTTCAGATTCCAGGGTGGCCCATGCATTTTTTTTTTTTTAAGATGGAATCTCACTCTGTTGCCCAGGCTGGAATGCAGTGGTATGATCTTGGCTCACTGCAACCTCCGCCTCCCAGGTTCAAGCGGTTCTTCTGCCCCAGACTCCTGAGTAGCTGGGACTACAGGCACATGCCACCACGCCTGGCCATTTTTTTTTTTTTTTTTTTTTTTTTTTTTTTTTTTTTTTTTTTTTAGTGGAGACAAGGTTTCACCATATTGGCCAGGCTGGTCTCCAACTCCTGACCTCGTGATCCGTACCCCCAAGCCTCTCAAAGTGCTGGGATTACAGGCGTGAGCCACCACACCCTACTGGCCCATGCTTTTTTAACCAGAGGCTGTGAACCTGCAATAAAAACATCTGACTTTCTAAACATGCTCAATGTTTATTCTTTAGTGTATGCATATGTCTGTATGTTTGGTGTTGGGGAGGGAGGGAGAGGAAACAAAGAAGTAGAGCACCCCACCTGAGTCAGTGAAAATGGAATTTTGTAGGGTTAGTTTATCATGATGCACCAAGGACATCCTCTTCAGCAAACTAACACAGGAACAGAAAACCAAACACCACATGTTCTCACTCATAAGTGGGAGTTGAACAATGAGAACACATGGACACAGGAAGGGTATCAGGGGAACTAGCCTCCAGTATCTCAAAGTAGGTTCTTTTCTATTTTCCCTAAGTGTTGGCTGGCCTGAGTAATAAAGGGAAAGAGTACAAAAGAGAGAAATTTTAAAGCTGGGTGTCCGGGGGAAACATCACATGTCGGCAGGTTCCGTGACGCCCCCTGAGGCACAAAACCAGCAAGTTTGTATTATGGATTTCAAAAGGGGAGGGGTGTACGAATAGGGTGTGGGTCACAGAGATCACATGCTTCAAGGGCAATAAAATATCACAAGGCCAATGGGGGCAGGGCGAGATCACAGGACCAGGGAGAAATTAGAATTGCTGATGAAGTTTCGTGTCCCACTGGGCACGCATTTTCATTGATAACATCTTATCAGGAGACAGGATTTGGGAGCAGACAACCGGTCTGACTAAAATTTACTAGGCAGGAATTTCCTAATCCTAATAAGCTTGGGGGCACTACAGGAGACCAGGGCTTATTTCATCCCTTATCCACAACAGTATAAGATAGACACTCCCAGGGTGGCCATTTTAGAGACCTCCCCCTGGGAATGCATTCTCTTTCTCAAGGCTGTTCCTTGCTGAGAAAAAGAATTCAGTGATATTTCTCCTATTTGCTTTTGTAAGAAGAGAAATATGACTCTGTTCTGTCCGGCCCCGCAGGCAGTCAGGCCCAGTGGTTATCTGCCTTGTTCCCTGAAAATTGCAGCCATCCTATTCCTTTCGGATGCCCAGATTTCATATTGTTCAAACACACATGCTCTACAAACAATTTGTGCAGATAACACAATCATCACAGGATCCTGAGGCAATGTCCATCCTCAGCTTACAAAGATGACGGGATTAAGAGATTAAAGTGAAGACAGGCATAGGAAATTATAAGAGTATTGATTGGGGAAGTGATAAATGTCCATGAAGTCTTCACAATTTATGTTCAGAGACTGCAGTAAAGACAGGTGTAAGAAATTATAAAAGTATTAATTTGGGGAACTAATAAATGTCCACGAAATCTTCACAATTTATGTTCTTCTACCATGGCTTCAGCCAGTCTCTCCATTCAGGGTCTCTGACTTCCCGCAACAGAAGGGGAACATCACACACTGAGGTCTGTCGGGGGGTGGGGGTGGGGGAAAAGGGCAGGGAGAGCATTAGGACAAATACCTAATGCATACAGGGGTTCAAAACCTAGATGATGCATTGATAGGTGCAGCAAACCACCATGGCACATGTATACCTATGTAACAAACCTGCATGTTCAGCACAAGTATCCTAGAACTTCCTAAAGTTAAAAAAAAAAAAAACAGCTAAATTTTTGAGTACAGGTAACATAAATGCCAAAAATCAGATGGGGGGGACTGAATACCGATATAAGACTTTTGGACTAAAAGAGTGATGGCATTACCCAAGAAAATATGTTATATATTAAAATAAAGTGTCAGTGGAGGGGATGCTGAGGAAAATTGACATTTAAAGACAAGCAAAGGAAACAGAGGGCTGAGAGGCAATTCCCCCTTTGTCTTTTTTGCTTCTGTATAACTTGAAAGCACAGTCTCTGACTGATTTGTTCTAAATCATCTTTTCAAGGATGTTTGTACAGCAAACATCCTTGGAAGACAGAAATGTTTCTGGAGCAAAAGGCACGCAGGCTTACTACCCAGAATAAAACGTTTGGGCTTCCTAAGCTCAGGACTCCTTTCATACTAATGCAACCCACTTTTTGTGTATGCTTCACCTAGCCCTTTTCACATCACTCTGTGGGAAGCTAGGCTCAGGGAACCAACACAAATGATTGGCTACTGTTATTGCCATTGGTAATAAAGTCCTTTGATTATGACCTAGGAGTCTTGTGTTTTCTGCCATCATCTATACCAAAATGCCAAAACTGAGATGGGGGGACTGAATACTGATATAAGACTTTTTAAAGCTAATTTGTTAGCTTGAAGTAGGATAAAAATCTCAGACTCTTGACCATTCTTGGTAAGGTACTCATAGGAAAACTAAGAAGCTAGATAAGTTGAATGGAAAACAAGAGAGAACTCTATAATATTAAGTATAATACATTGACAATAAAAGGAACATAAGAATATAGATAAATGAATTTCACTACTGTCATACTCCTACATTGTCAGCACCCAGATCAGGAAACAGAACATCACTAGAAAGTCAGAAGCCTTCCTAGTGCTTTTCCCCTACACTTTGAGTAATTCGTCTCCTGACTTCTAATAGTGTGAATTAGTTTGTTTTGGTAAAAATGGAATCATATACGATGTACTTTGTGTTAGACTTCTTTTCCTCAACCTTTATTGTTTGAGTTTGATCTAAAATTGTTGAGTGTGGTTGAATATCAGTAACTCTATTTTGTTGGTAGCATCTGACTGGATGAATATATTATGATATATTTATTCTTTCTGCTATTTATTGGTATGTTGATAATTTCCAGTTTTGAGCTAATGTAATAATGGGCATTTTGATAATTTCCAGTTTTGAGCTAATGTAATAATGCTTCTTTGAACATTTAAATATATATCATTTAATGAGCAAGTGCACATATTTCTGTTGGGTTTACACATGGAAATGGAATTTCTGACCCACAGGTAAGCATATGTTTGAATTTAACTGGTACTGCCCATCAGTTTTCCAAAGTAAGTTGAATAGATTTACATTCCAACCAACAGTCAATGAGAGACATCTTTATTTTCTATGTTCATACCAACAGGTGGTATTGTATGTCTTTTTTTTTCATTTCTGCCATGCTGGTAGGTTTATAGAATAGCCATTAACTTTTAAACATAATTATATGCAGATTCCTCTGAAATAAACAGAGGAGGATCTGACATTTATTGAACACATACTATGTACTGGTCATCACCCTTAAGGTTAAAAATCAAAGACAAATAAAATACATAATAGCCTTCAAAAAGACTATAGTGTGAGGAGAAATGAGAAAATGCCAGGGAAGCTTTCTTAAAGGAAGTGATGTTTAAGCTGTAGTTTAAACAAGAAGACATAGGCAGACAAAGTGGGGGCTGGACATAACACACCAAGCAAGCAGCATTTGCAAAAACATAAAAGCACAAGAAGGTATAGAAAACTTAGGGAAGGAAAAATTGTTCTTTATAAATGTGGCATAAGGGGTAGGTGAGGAGTACATGCAAAGATTAGCTCATGTTTGTTCATATGCTACAGAATGCATTTGTGTTTTCATTTGCGTATGTGTGATAATATACGCATTATATAAATGCATATAACATGTTTTTCTTGGTAAGTCAAGATTAAGTGTTATAAATTCAAGTTTGCAAGTATGATTGAATGTCTCTTACAATATAGGTGATATAAATCATTTAAGCTCTCTGCGCCTCAGGTTTCTTATCTGAAAAAGAGAATAATACTTACAGGCTTATTGTATTGTAGAGATTATTTTTCGTATGGCCACACTAAGCACTCAGCACATTGAAGCTATTTTGTACACATCAGGGAGTTAACTGCAGTGAGGAACATTAAACACAAAACATAGATTTTACTCCCAATGAGATTATAAGCTCCCTCAGAACAGAAATCTTTAAAGGGTAAAAGGGGTAAGTACCCATTAACCTACTCATCTTTTCATATAATGACTGAAAATAGTAAAACTTTTTGGATCAAGAATTCCATTTCCCAAATGCAGACTCCTGCCACGAGGTCATTAAGGAAAGCTTTGATTGTGAGCATTGACCTCAAATATTTAAACAACTAAATTCACCATGATGTGTATCCAGGACCCATTCCCCTTTAGGTTCAACTGCCATATATTTCTTTCTGATTACTACACACTCCAATGTTAACTAACATCTTAAACTTGATTACTTCTTGCTAAGCAAAGCTTCCACAATTACCTCAACAAGCTATATCATTCAGGAAAACAACTTAAAATTACTACACTAGTTTAGTTTAAAAAATATTATGAGCAAGTCAGGTAATAGAGACTACTGTAATGGCCAAAGGAAAATGAATACAGAGAATGTGTGAAAAACAAAACAAGTTAAGAAATTCATAGTTTATGCATTACTTTGCAAAGAGCTCGAAATTTTAGACTTGAAAAAAATAAACTGAACCTTGTTATTTACAAATTTAGGTGAGAAAACTTACAAGGATACATTTTTTTTTACCAGATTGCTAATGCCCCTGGTAACAAATAGAACTACTTTTTTTTTTTTTTTTGAGACAGAGTTTCACTCTTGTTGCCCAGGCTGGAGTGCAATGGCACGATCTCGGCTTACCACAAGCTCCACCTCCCGGGTTCAAGAGATTCTCCTGCCTCAGCCTCCGGAGTAGCTGGGATTACATGCATATGCCACCAGGCCTAGCTAATTTTATGTTTTTAGTAGAGACTAGTATTTTAGGGGTTTCTCCATGTTGATCAGGCTGGTCTCGAACTCCCAACCTCAGGTGATCTGCCTGCCTTGGCCTCCCAAAGTGCTGGGATTACAGGCGTGAGCCACCATGCCTGGCCAGAGCTACTGTTAATGTAACTTATATTGTAACATTCTGACATTCAATAATTTTATTTGGGTCAGAAGCCATAATTGGAGAAAAAGATTATTAAAAACAAATTCAACTTCAAAATGTTGAAGACCCACATTGATATTAAGAGGGAGAGGCCTAACAGAATAAAATGCAAATATTAATCAGGACTTTATAAAGAAACACAACCAATAATAATTGCATCTTATGGAAACTTTTGTTTTTGTTTTTAATTTAGTTTATGCCCAACACAGGACTTGGTCCTAGGAATTTTCTTTTTTTTTAATTTAGAAAGTTTATTTTGCCAAGGTTGAGTATGTGTGCCTGTGACACAGCCTTAGGAAGGCCTGAGACATGTGCCCAAGGTGATCAGGGCACAGCTTGGTTTCATATATTTTAGGGAAACAGACATCAATCAATGTATGTAAGACGTACATTGATTCCATCGGTAAAGGTGGGACACTTGGAAGCAGGGAAGGGGCTTTCAGGTCACAGGTAGGTGAGAGACAAACGGTTGTATTCTTCTGAGTTTCTGATTAGCCTTTCCAAAGGAGGCAATCAGATATGCATTTATCTCAGCGAGCAGAGGGATAGCTTTGAATAGAATGGGAGGCAGGTTTGTTCTAAGCAGTTCCCAGTTTGATTTTTCCCTTTAGTTTAGTGATTTGGGGGCCCCACGATTTATTTTCCTTTCACATTTCCCCCCTTTTCTTTTAAAAATCTTTTGGAGAAAGCATTTTAGAGGAAAATGAGTCTTTGGTCTCAGGCTTCTTCTGATCTCTCATGGCTAGGATGGTTTATTCCCAGATGGGTA
The DNA here is from genome assembly GCF_000001405.40 of Homo sapiens. NCBI lineage: Eukaryota > Metazoa > Chordata > Mammalia > Primates > Hominidae > Homo > Homo sapiens. Next base: position 27,955,786 of record NC_000023.11, on the reverse strand, counting down.
GGACCTGAGTTATTAGGAAAGCTGATTTTTAGCAGTTTCTGAAGTCTCATGTTCTACAAAGAGAAAATAGGGGGAGGAAGGGAGAACAACAACAACAAACAAAGGAACAATCCTGGAAAATCAATATAGGCCACATTACTCTGAAGTCCATAATGCATCAGTAGGCAGGTATGAAAGTGGCTTATGTATGTAAATAGGTAGCTGTTATTTTCTTCTGAAGTTTAAGTTGTCTAGCTTCAGTTCATAGGGCTTAAAGAAAGCACAGCTTAGTTTTCAGTGCTTTCAAATTAGGAAAAATGTGGGGGAAAGGAGAAGAAAGAAGAAAAACATTGAAAACATTACATTATTTTGGAAACTTGTAACCAGGAAAAATTAGAATTCAATCCAAGCTTTAGAAAATAATAAAAATAAAAAAAATAGGTAAGACATTAAGGAGTTGTTTAATGCTTCAAGAAAACATTGTTAATGTGACACAGGGGCCCATATGCTGATCTTGCATCAGTGTGCCTTTGACATTAGCAGTGAATTTATAGAGAAACTGAACTTTTTTCATTCTCAAAATGGGCCCTTACAATCTCAACTCTTCTTACAATGCCCACTTCTTCTGTGATAATCCCCGGGGCCTTGAGTTGATTTTCAGAATAACCTGATAAGTAAGTTTTGTATCACTTTCAACAAGTTACTATGAAGAAATTCATAACAAAATGGTATGTTTAAGTTTTTTAATTTTATAAAGCCACTATATAGTGAAATAATTTTTAATAACATTTAAAAATCTAAACCTCATGAGATATTTTATTTGAAATTTTGGTGTGCTCGGACTTTGCTGTAATTTATAATTTATTCAAGCTATTTTGACAAAATCTTTTAATGCCTGCAAAGATTTTGCTTTCATATATGCTGTAGGCAAAAAATATCATATTGAGATTAAAATGCTAGATTTTTTTCATTTTCATATGTTGGTATAAGTTTATTATACTGATTTTATGGCATTAATAAAACTTGTGTATCATTTGGATATCTGGACAGATAGACCTGGAATTGTCGTAAACAGCTGCCAGGTATTCTTATATTTTATATAAAATGTATTGGCTCCAAAATTTCTTACTATATTATTCACTTCTTTTGTTTTTTTTAGACAGACTCTAGATCTGTCGCCTAGGCTGGAGTGCAGTGGCGCTATCTCAGCTCACTGCAACCTCCTCCTCCAGGGTTCAAGCGATTCTCCTGCCTCAGCCTCCCAAGTAGCTGGGATTACAGGAACCCACCACTATACCTGGCTAATTTTTTTCTGTATTTTTAGTAGAGATGGGGTTTCACTGTGTTGGCCAGGCTGGTCTCAAACTCCTGACCTCGTGATCCACCCGCCTCAGCCTCCCAAAGTGCTGGGATTATAAGCGTGAGCCACAGCGCCCAGCCCACTCATTTTTATTTAGAAGCAAGAGTGAACTGATAAAAATGAGTAGTTACCTAACTGTTAAATGACAGTATCCAAAATAGAATGGACTGAAAATATCACAAGATATAATGTAATAGGCTCACGTTAGGTAGTCTCCAAGCAATGAACAGTTATTCACTTTGCCATCTCAGAAGAAGGGCAAGCACAAAAGGTGGTGAGTGAAAACTGTAAATCTTTGCAATACTTCATGTACTAGATAAGTCATACCTAATTTCTCTGATATTCAGAATAACAAAGCATAGGAATTTTAATATAATTGTCTATAATATAGAGATATTTGATACAATAATAAGTAACTTCCACTGAGAGAACATAGTAAGAAAATAAAAGTGTTAATCAATGAAGGATAAAAATAAAATGTCAATTTCATTGGCAATATAGAGAACTAAATAACCTGGAAATTCCCCTGCTATAATAACCTAGGGAGACATGTTTCTTATCCTTAAGCTACTTATTATTTCAGCCACTATCTTCAACATTATTTTCAGCTACTTATCCTCAACAAAGGACACATGCTATTTCCACAGATAAAGCCTTGATGAACTCAGCACACCAAATTAAAAAGCACATGGGAAAATGATATATTATGAGCAAAATTTGGCAGACACACCCACAAAAGAAATGCTAAACACTGGAAAACTCTAGATAATAGAACAAGCAAATAGCCACATTTAAATACATATACTTGAATATTTTAAGACATAATTATGTAAATCAAAAAGATAAGTAATGAATATTTTTGTTGCAATATTATTCACAATACCCAAGGTAGAGAATTAACCTAAGTGTCCATCAACAAATGAATGGATAAAAAAAATGTGGTATGTATACACAATAGAACACTATTTAGCCTTAAAAAGGGGAAGGAAATCCTGTCATTTGTTATAACATGGACGAACTTGGAAGACATTATGTTAAGTGAAATAAGCCAAGCACAGAAAGACAAATGCCACATGATCTCACTCATATGTGGAATCTAAAAAAGAGGAACTTGTGGAAGCAGAGAGTAGAATGGTGGTTACCAGAGACTTGGGAGGGAGGATATTGTGCAGATGTTGTTCAAAAGTTACAAAAGTTTAGTTAAATAGGAGGAATAAGTTCAAGAGATCCATTGTATCACATGGTAGTACATGGATTATAGTTAATAAAAAGGTTTTATATTCTTGAAAATTGCTAAGAGAGTAGATTTTAAGTGTTCTCACCACAAAAAAATAAGTATGTGAGGTAATGCATATGTTTATTAGCTTGATTTAACCATTCTACAACTTATACATATATCAAAATATCATGCTGTACACCAGATATACAGTATTTATTTGTCAATATAAATAAACTTAAAAAGAAAAAGAAAAAAGAATATGATATTCTTTTAATAAGAAATAGATATTGAAAATAATGGCAAAAAACACACACACAATTACTTTTGCACCAACCTAATAGAAGATCTGGAAGTGAAAGAATAAACTAAAGTTCAGACAGAGTTAAAGAAAGTGTCAGTGCAATAGAAAATAGGTCTGAATTTCACATGAAGACATAAAGATATGGGAAATAAGAAAAATATGTAAAGATATGTAGAGATGTATCAGTTTCCCTAGGCTGCCATAATAAATTACCACAAACTAGGTGGTTTAAAAAATCCCAGAAATTTATTCTCTCATAGTTCTAGAAGTCAGAAGTCCAAAATCAAAGTGTCATTAGGGCCATGCTCCCTCCGAAGGCTCTAGGAAAGAGTACTTCTTTGCCTTTTCCAACTTTTGGTGGCTTCAGGGATCCCTTGACTAGTGGCTGCATAACTACAATCTCTCTCTCCATTTTCACATAGCTTTTTCTTCCTCTCACTGTGTGTCTCTCCTATGTGGGTCTCTGATAAGGACCCTTGTCGTTGGATTTAGGGCACGCCAGGATAATTCAGGATGATCTCATCTAGAGGTCCTTAATTACATCTGCAAAGAGCCTTTTTCCAAATAAGGTCATATTCACAGGATCTGCTGGTTAGGACATGGATATGTCTTTCGGGGGGCCACCATTCAACCCACAATAAGGGAATATAAAACTAAGTTCTAACATTATTTTTAGTATGCAAATTTTTATGAGTTAATATTTATTAGTTAATATAGCTTCAGCTATTTGTAAAGCAAAACTTCAGAAAATATGGGAAATAGACAGAAATATCACAAAATAGAATGTTTTCACTTATATCCTTTAGTCCAAGACAAAGCAAGCATATAACACATTTGTAGAGAATTTATCTGGAATAGGGAGTCAGAGGATTTCCAGAATCATCACAAAAGCTTACCCAACAATTTTGAGCTACAGAATACCCTTCCAAATGTTATTTGACACATGAACAAGTAGAAACATAAATAACTATTAGAGCAAAGAGAAAGCAATAAAATGTGTCATAGCTAGAAAATAACAAATAAAACATTGGCCATTGAAATCTGTGATATTTTGGCTAAACCAACTTATTTTTAATAGAAGTTACAAACAGAAAGAATTAAGAAAATGGGGGGAAGGAAATATTTCAACTGGTAATAGCTAAGAATTATCCAGAATTGAAGAAAAACATGAACGTATAGATTCAATAAGAACAAGTCCTAAGAAATACACACCTATAGATACCATTGTGTAAAACTTTAGAACTTCCTAAATAAAATAAGAGTATCTTAAAAGCAACCATGGAGCAAAATATGTTAATTTCAAAACAATAAAAATTATATTGAAGAAAATTATTGAACATTATAAGCTAGAATACATTGGAATAACATCTTTAGACAATAAAGAAATGTTAATCTATATTCAGAAGTAGGATTAAAATATCATTTCAGACTAAGTTAGAGGGTTTACAACTGAGGAGTTCTTGTTTGCATACACACTAAAGGATGTACATATAAAACAAATAAATAAGGACAACAAAAATAACCAAAAGATGTTTTCCTACGTAAAACAAATGGCAGGCAGTGAAGTAGTAAACACATGTGTACATTTAATTAGGCATTCACTGTATGAAACAAAATAAATATAATGACTAAATTGGAGTTATAAAATCAATATGAAAACTAAAAAACTTTATGTAGACGTTTTTTCGTAATTGTATCTTGAATGAAGAGAGATCTGACAGGATTCATTATTTTATAACAGAAAGTCTAAATTTTTCTTGGCTATGCTTACAAGTCTCTTAACTGATATTTCACTATCCTGCCTCTACTGGAATAGAGGCTAGTGTGCACAGTTGCCAGCCATTTTCAGCCAGATTGCAAATACAGAAAAGGCAGAGCATTCTACTAACCTTGGACCTGTTAGGAAGGTAAAATGGTAGGATAATGGCAGAAAAATGCATTATGGAGATTGCTGATGAGTGATTAAAATGTTAAAGCATATATCTGAAAGTGGATATGGAAAGATGATAGTGGGAATCAGGTGCTTATGAGAGGTGCTGAGGAAGCAAATAGGTCAAGTAGGGCTCAATGAGGTCTAAGCATAAAACTAATGAAATTTATTATGGTTATAGTAGATATAGTGGGTATGTAAGTTAGTTAATAGAAGATTTAATTGTAAGATTTCAGTGCTACAGCACTGTGAGGAAATATTCTTCCATTGGAGTGGATAGTTGAAGTAATGATGAGTTGAAGGTTGCTGGAGAGAAGGAGATTAAGTACTTGAGAGCCTAAAGTTTTGATAGTTAGACATTGAAATCACCAATGATAATAGCAGGATCTGGGATAAAGTAGGCAAAAGTAAGGCAGGTGTTAAAGTCTTTAATAAATAAGACAGATTTACTGAGATGATGGTAAATGGTAGTATAACAGATGACATGATTGTCAAAGGGAAAGAGGCATTGCTTGGTATTTGGGGACGTCTATCCTGAAAGTAGTGGTGGAATACACTGTGTTCTCTGAAATACACGAGATAGTGGAGCATAAGCAGTATGCCATGAGGAGGTATTAGAGAATAGCTGGGCTTTTGAAGTAGCCCAGATATAAGGCAGGGAAGTGGATGGCATATTCAGTGAAAGGAATGAGAATTTAAAGGCATTTCTCCATAACGAAGGGCTCGGAGAAAAGTCCCTAGAGGTACAGACAAAGTGAAAAGGAGAACCAGGTGAGAAAAAACATCATGGGCATACGAGTCTTAAGGCAGACAGATAACAGGAGTGGCTAATATTTTGGGCTGTGACCAAGGATTGCAGGCATATAAAGCATGTTGGGGTTGGTTATTTTAGCAGGCATCCAAATTGTTATTCTCGGCAGCTCAGTGGTAGAAAGGGACCACAGCAGCCTCCAGGTCATGAGATCAGAGATTGCAGCTTCATCACATGAGAATTACTGAAAAAATTCCCCCAGGTTATGGCACAAAGTTCTCAGAGTGTTTTAGTCTTTGGCAGTGATATAATCTTTTTTTCATCTTTTGTGAATACGTCTTCACGATATTTTAGAGGCAAATTGGGACATATTGCATTGGGACCTGGCTGCTGTATTAAGCTGAATTTCAATCTAGAAATTATCTAGCAGTCCTTTTCATAGGACTGGATCAATAGCTCGGAAATAGCAGTTCAACAAATCTTCTCCATATAAAAGCTGAAATCCAAAGAATTAAGTGTAGTTTGTCCTGGGATGGTCCTGACAAAAACTCTTTTTCTAGAGTGACAATGGGTACTTTATTTATTATTATAGTAGTCCCTAGTATAGAACAAGATAGAAATAGAATATCACCTGGCTCATGCCTGTAAGCCTAGCACTTTGAGAGGCCAAGGCGGGAGGATCACTTGAGCACAGGAGTTCGGGACCAGCCTGGGCTACATAGTGAGACACTGTCTCTGTTAAAAAGAAGGAGAAGGAGAAGAAATAGAATGCCACTTTGTACAAAAATGGAGATTTGATTTGCTAATTTTGGAAATAATTATTTTTAAAGAAGGGTTTAGATTGTTTGAAGACACCAGTGTTGTATTACTGTTCTCGTCACATGCATAAGTGCTTCATCTAATAAATTTGGAAGCTAAAGGATGAGGCACTCACTGATGACAGTTCAGGAAGTTCAATCTGAAGAATCTACTGCTAAATAAAGCCAAGGGACCTTCAATATCTCAGAGCAGTGTCCCAAATAACTTATGCTGGCTCCAGTGTACCTACAACTTCCTCAGGTAGATTATAGTACAGAGAATTAAACATTAAGGAGCATGATAGGAGCAGTCATGTAGGAGCTTGGAATAGGTGGATAGAGAGCGTACAGTTAAGGATGGTGCTTCTTAGTGGACAATTCTAGAGAGAAAGTAGTAAGATCATACCTCTTGATTATCCTATTTCAGCATCACAATGGCAAATAACCATAAAGATTATAAGATAAATAATTTATTAAAATGACCTTGGTGTATGGAGTACTATGCAGCCGTAAAAAAGAATGAGTTCATGTCCTTTGCACAGACATGGATGAAGCCGGAAACCATCATTTTCAGCAAACTGACACAGGAACAGAAAACCAAACACTGCATGTTGTCACTGATAAGTGGGAGTTGAACAATGAGAACACATGGACACAGGGAGGGGAACATCACACACTGGGGCCTGTAGGGGGGTAGGGGGCAAGGGGAGGGAGAGCATTAGGACAAATACCTAATGCATGCAGGGCTTAAAACCTAGATGACGGGTTGATAGGTGCAGCAAACCACCATGGCACATGTATACCTACGTAACAAAACTGCACATTCTGCACGTGTATCCCAGAACTTAAAGTAAAATAATAATAAAAAAGTGACCTCAGTGTTAGAGGATGCCAACTTTGGTAGAGTTATCATCATCATGGTGAAACTTTCTTAAGCGCTTAGATTAACCAGGCAGTTTTCTACGTATTTTTAAATTTGGTGCTTCCCTAAGGACCAATCTTCAATTAGACAAGGACCTTGTGCTAGAATGAAACTCAATGCACCGCTTCCTTCATTGAGAAAGTCTCACTGTGAAAAACAAAAGTTAGCTAAATTGGATACTGTGCTTAGTGATGTAGTTGGTTCACATTCTGGCATAAGCTCCTTGTAGCATTGCAGCCTGTAGTAGTAGTTCATGGACAGACAGCCAGTATGTGAAGTTGGTGTAGCATAGTTTTACATGTATCATTTAATTTAATCCTCAAATCAATGTAGTGAGGAATAATTATTAACCCTATTTTATAAGGAATTGAGATCCAGGGAGTTAGTGTAATTCACTCAAGTTTCTGCACTTAGAAAGTGCTGGTTGAAGATTTTCAATGCAAATTGACTCCCGTGTCCCCTTGTTTAATTATGGTGCTTTACTGATATTCAGGATATTAATGGGCTTTAGAAGCTTTTTCACAATACTTTTTAATGAAATATCATGTATATACAAACATATAAAATACATAAAAGTGGATATGCTTGGTTTGATTTGAGAAAGGAGGGAATTTGACATCTTACCTACTAAGACTCCATGACAACCACTTGCCTTATCCTGTGTCTCTAAATACGGCTTGGAACACTCCAGACGAGATAGCCTGGAGAATGGCATCGTTATTAGAGCCAAAACATTTTATTTTATTCATTTTATAACAGAACTTGTATACACGTTGTTACATGTGTGTACACACGTACATACACGTTGTTACATGTGTGTACACACGTACATACACGTTGTTACATGTGTGTACACACGTACATACACGTTGTTACATGTGTGTACACACGTACATACACGTTGTTACATGTGTGTACACACGTACATACACGTTGTTACATGTGTGTACACACGTACATACACATATATACACACACACACATATATATATATATCAGAGTGCACAAAATACAATTCCATTTTGCGGATGAAAACTATAGAGAACAGAACAAAAGGAAATACATATTTAAAAGTCTGGGGGAACATTGACAGAACCTACCCCAAATCCTGTCTGGGAATATCTTAACTCCCTGTGGCAATGGATCCTGTAAGTCGCTTTTTACCATGTCTTTATTGGCACAAGGAATCACTGGGAAAGCTCAAATGTGATAGAAGAAGCGTGATTCCTCAGTCTATTGCCTCTGGCTAAGTAGGCACCTGTTTATTCCATTTTTTAAATTTTTTTGGAGGGTGTTGAAGGTATATCAATATTTTTACCACTTTATTGAGAACACCATGTTAGGGTCAGTTGCCTCAGGTTTTTTTTTTAAGTGTAACTATGTTGTTTCTTTTACTGAAATGAGCTTTTCTTAAGGCCCAGAGGGATAAAGTCCGAATTGCATCTGTGATTACCGATGCTCCTAAATTTAAGTTTGCATACACTTAAGGTTCTACATTGTATTAAAGGAATCATCAACAAATCTGTTAAGTTTGCATTTCTTCCAGGCAAAAGTTAAGAATAAAAGTTTAGAGTTAACAAAGAGACATTGCAGTGTGAACATGTTTTATATAAAAATAAACATATAAACCAAGTAAAATCTTTACATATCATAACCTTGTTTTCAGTAAAATAATTTTATACCACAGGTGTGACTATTCTTAATAAGTGATCAAGCAAAATAGAATATTGATGCTAATTATTTGGCTTATCCCCCTCAAAATATTTCTTACAGTATGCTTCCACTACTAAAACCTTAACTGAAAAAGCTACAATATCATTCAAATAAATATTCCTGATTATGCAGTTTGCCATCAAAAGAAAATGCATTATTAAATATCAGAGCATTTACTAGCTCCAGTCACATTCTGCCGGATAGTAGTTACTGCCATTTGCCATTACATAATTTACACCCCACTCAGACCTAACTGCTTGTAGCTTCTAAAACAAACAAAACTGTCTAAGTCTCGGGTGCTTGCTGACACTGTTCTTTTTCTCTGGGAACCACATTCCACTTCTAATAGAGTAATTAATACTGCCTGCTGTAACAAAACAAAAAAAAAAATCTCTCATAATCTTATTGTCTTAACACATGAAAATTTTCAGCGTTTCATCAAATCTGCCATTTATTGTAAGATGCATCATTTTGCATAGACTTAAGAAAAAAACAAATTATTCTAATTAAGCGATGGCACATTGCTTTCTTATCACCTTCATTTTAAGACATACCCTGATTACAAAAAAAGTGAAAGTGTGTGTGGGGAGGGCCGGAAAGCACCTGAGACTCAGTACAATATTGCATTCTCTTTTTGCATTGTCTAGGAGGATCATGTAAAGAGCTCCACCAGGCTGTGTGTAATTACGGCATCCAGGCTCTTTCCATCTTGAGGCTCAATTGTCTCTTGGGAACTCCTCAAACCTTTCCATAGGATCCCTTCCATCTGGATTGACAAGAAACCAGGAGAGAAAGAGGGAGGTGAGGGAAGAGAGAGGGAGAGAGAGAGAGAAAGAGAGAGAGAGAACATAGAGGATAGCAGTGGTTGTTTCAAGAGCCAGCCATTTATTTTGGTTAGAATGTGTTGTCAAAAAAAGCTAAAATTGATTACAGAACAGTGAACAAAGGGAAATGATATAAACAGTACTTCACCATACAGTTAGATGTTATCAACAGTGGTGAGTTAATACTGTTAATTTTGAGACTAGTTATGGTTGGTATTTTTAGAAAAATAGATTAAGAAAACAAAAGAATACTAATTTATTTTTCTAAGTGGGAGGAAGTTAAGAAAACATACAAATATTCAAATGAAAAATATATAACTTTAGATTTGCAAATGTTTTAAAATATATTTATTTCTCTGTAATTACAATGTTTGGATCTTTCAAATGATATGTCTCTGTAGAAAGGCAGGAATTGAAGATTTTAAACTATGTCTCATTTATCTATCTAGCAAAATTTGGGTACAAATCAAAATAAAAAGGCTGTATATATACATATTAATATATTTACTACATAAAAATGTGTGTGTATATATATAAAATTGTATATATATATCACCAATGATCATTAGCATTATTGGGCCACACTATATGTCATGCAACATACTCAGTGATTTGCAATAATATCACAATAAATGTTCACATCAAGCAGATAAAGTAGGTGCAATTAACATATTGTTTCATAAATGTGGAACCTGCGGCATTGGAATTTCATGCCAATATTATGCAATTATAAAGTTGTGGAGCCAAAACAGTTTGGCTCTAGGATCTGAGTTCTTACCCTCCACAATACTAGATTATTTCTGATAACATTGGAGCATCAATTATGTGATTCATATCTAGAGAAAATAAAGTCTTGATAAATGTCATACCTCTTGTGTGTGGATGTAAGTAACTTTTTATAGCATATAATTAAGAATAGATTAGAAACACTTTATTTCTATTCCTGCCACAGATGTACAAACAGAATATAGCCATAAAAACCAGCAGACAAGTACTCTACAGAATAATTGTAGTTTTCCAAAATGTCAAGGTCAAAAAATACAAAGAAAGGCTGAGGAGCTGTTCCAGAATAAAGGATAAGGAGACTAAAGAGGCATGACAAGTAAATGAAAGCATGACGTTGATTGGATTCCAGACTTGGCGTGAAGGGGATAGATAAAAAGGAGATTATTGGGAAAATTGACAGGAATAGAATATGAGCTGAGGTTTAGATAATGGTGTTGTATCAATGTTAAATTTCCTGTACTGTGGTTACATAAAAAAATACACTTGTTCTTAAGAAATGGACACAGAATAATGTGTATATATGTATACATATGTATGTACATATACTATATATATATACATACGTATATGTGCATACATATATACACATTTGTATTATGTTTTATATATATAAAATGAGAATGTTAAAGCAAATAGGGTAAAATGCAGATATAAACAATTGAGAAATGCAGTGATGGGAATAAGGGGATTTTCTTGCAACTTTTCTGTAAGTGTGAAATTATACCAAAATAAAACACTAAATTAATGGAACAGAAGAATGTATGTTATCAATTATTTAATTCCTAAACATTAAAATATAGATTAATAAACCATCAAACACTACAGCAGGCACTAAGGATCAAATGAAATTGAAAATAAGTATCTACATCAGGAATGTAATTATCTGAGAAGAAATGCTTGAAAGTAATGAAAACCTTCAGTTAAATAGAGAAATGGGATTTATTAGTTTAATTGTTTTTTAATGAAAAAAGTATCAAGAGAATAAAAGAGTATTTTCCAACTAATAATATTATTAAAATATGTTGGCTTCATTCACAGAAAATATCCATTTTAACCATAATGTTTCCTTTCTTGTGGATTTCTGCTTTGGTAACATTTTTGAATAATTTTTTTATTATTAAAAAATATTGTTTTATTATTTAAAAAATTTACGTAATCATTCTGAGTTGTGTTATTAGCTCCATTTTGTAGATGAGTAAACTGAGGCTCATAGTCATTAAATAATTTGCTCAAGGGGATACAGGTAGCATGCTTCTTGGATTTCACACCTGCATCAGCATGATTTTAATCCCATATTTTTTCTACCATAGCCCTCTGGCACTTAGCACAAGGTCATTCCTTAAAATATATTAAATTAAAATAGGCAAGATCATTTTCAATGAAAAATGAAATGAGATTCTTCTGGATGGCAAAATGGATTTTGAGCTGTGCTTTTGTTATAAAATGCTACCCCTTTACAAATTAGAAGTTTGATCTTTAAACAATGGCTATTTTCAGTCTGTTTACTGGAGGAAATAAAAAGACTGAAAATGGAAAGAAAGAATACAAGGAATAAAGCTCTTATCCAATAATGTCCTAGACATGAAGGTGGCTGATTAATTGAAAATTTTCACTTCTCACATAGTTGGTCTGATACTGAACAGCTTCAGACACAGTTGGCTTAAGACCAAATGATACCTTCGAAGCCTTTTTCTACCCCCAAAGCAGCAATGCACCTTAGGAAACCCTCCTTGGCAGGATTCTGAAAGCTGCTGCAGCGTTTTGTATGACAAAATATCTGACAGGAACTCCTCTCACTGGGACAACCTTTAGGATCCCAGGAAATATGCCAATAGAATAAGCAACCCATCAGCCTAGAAAGATGTGCCTCCTTGGCTTTTTCATTCTATTTTACACATAATCATAAAATAAATGTGAGTCATTGATATCTGAAATACTTTTGAAGAACTACATAATTATTTACTTAACTATTTAGTAAAGACAATGACTTGTGTTCAATGATAATTTAATACACTTATTGCTCCACAATAGTTATTTTCAAAAGTGCATTAGAATCACCTGGGAGGACTCTTTAAAGGTAGATTGCTGGACTCCCTACTTTCAAATCTCTGGTTTAAGTTTTGAGTGAGGTTTGATAACTTACATTTCTAACAAGTTCCTAGAGGATGCTGCTGCTGGTGGTCTAGGGACCACCCTTTGAGAACCATTGGCCCAAAATATATGTAAAATTTTTAGATTTGTGAAGTAAGATTCTTCATAGATTTTCTATAATCACCTAAAATCTTTTGTATTCAATAAAATATAAATACACAAACATAACTATCTTTAAAAGACTAAATCTCCAGATTTCTTAACTAACCCTTGGGCCTAGATCTTCCCTGTTCGATACAGTGGCTCTTAGGTACATGTGGCTATTTAAATCAATTAAAATTATGTAAAATAATAAGTTCAGTTTCTCAGTCATACTAGCCACATTCAAGTGCTTACTAGCCACGTGTCGCTAGTGGCTACTAGATTGGACAGAGAAGAACATTTTATTCATCAAAGGAAGTTATTCTGGATAGTTAATAGAGTCTTCCTTTACTTTTGTAAGTAGCTTAAACCCAGGCCAGCCTTTTGCATCAGCAGGGCAGGCAGATCCATCTGTAGTGTGATTTCAGGCATTTGGCCTTCCTCGCCATCCCCCTCCAGCTTGAAGCATCTGTGCATAAGCACACACATATGCACACACACACACACACACACACCACACACGCACACACGATTTTTTTTTCTCATTCGGTAGTTAATATCTAAAAGCTAATATTTGTGGCTTCAATCCAGTTTAAAGACTTACAAACTGGAAAAGATTGCCTCCTACACATTCTAATCTGTGAGTTATGCTCTGTGAGTTGTAAGAGTTTCATAAAGTTCTCATTTGAGGGTACAAATAATAGAAAAAAAACATATTTTGATCCCTGGATGTTGCAAGGGGCTGACAGAAAACAGGAGAATATACCATTTATGAAGCAGTAGCAGCTTCAATTTAACTTCATTTTCTTCTAAATCAGCCTGGGTATTACTTTGCAACTTTTCTATGGTGCCGGTTGGGCTGTGAGGAGTGGAAAGCAGAGGGCTATGAGTTCCTATAAGGAATACTGTGTGCCCATGTCCCCACTCTACTACTCTTCTGTGGTACTGTGTGACATCTTTGGATCTCAGTGCCTTGTCGATAAAATAGAACCAATTGGAATGTTGTGAAGAGGACATGAAGAAAGTGTGCTTGAATATACTTAGTACACTGTCAAGACTTATGCAAATTATGTGTATTGCATTTCTCTAATGCTAAAAGTTGATCTTCCGGTTGTGAAAGAAAGCTGATAAACAGCTTCACAAGAGAGTATGGCAGTGCAACCCAAGAAATTCTCATCTTCTTCTCTGTGAAATAGACCTGTCAACTCAATGCTCTTCACAGAGCTGTGCAAAGATAAACAACAAAGTATTTCAGCCTTTTAAAGCTTTGCATATTTTACTTAGAAGCATAAAATCAATGTGTTGAGTAGGGTTGTCAGATGACCCTCAATGTCATTCATCGGCCCTTGTGTGATCTTCTGCCCATGAGTGTGAGTGGAACCCTTGAACATAAGAAGATATTTCTTCTATGATTATATTAGATTACACAGCAAAAGGAATTTCACAGATGTCATTAAGATCTCAAGTCAGTTGATGGTAAAATAGGGAGATTATACTAGATGAGTCAGACCTAATCAGATGAACCCTTAAATGACACTAGGGGCACCAAAAACATAGTTAGAAAGAATGAATAAGACCAAATATTTGATAGCACAACAGGGTGACTATAGTCAATAGTAATTTAATTGTATATTTTAAAAAATAACTAAAAGAGTATAATTGCATTGTTTGAAACACAAAGGATATATGCTTGAAGGGATGGATACCCCATTTTCTAATATGTAATTATCATATCTTGTATGCCTGTATCAAAACCTTTCATGTATTCCATAAATATATACAGTTACAATGTACCCATCAAAAAAATAAAATTAAAAAAAAAGGCACTGAGCTCTTCCTAATGCAAGAAATTTGAAATGTGAGGGACAGTCTCTGTTGCTGGCATTGAAGATGGAGGGGGCTACATGGCAAGGGTTGTGGAAGGTCTCTAATAGCTGAGATTAGCCCCAGATGATAGCCAACAATGGAATGGGGACCTCAGTCCTACAACCACATAGAACTAAATTCTGCTAACAACCTGAATGAGCTTGGAAGAGGATCCCAAGCTCCAGGTGAGAATGTAACTGGTCAGCACCTTGAGCTCAGCTTTGTGAGATTCTGAACAGAGAACTCAGTCATGCTATGGCAAACTTCTGACCTCAGAAACTGTAAGCACATAAAGATGTATTGTTTTAAGCTGCTAAATTTGTGGTAATTTGTTATAGAACAATAGAAAACTAACATTGAGGACAATCACTTGGTATTCTGAGAGAAGACAGTTTGTAACATTTTTATATTTAAAGTATTTGAAATAATAGAATGTTATTAATATTCAGTATAATTCAATTCCTCAGAATTCAGAGGGGTTAAGGGGAAGAGAGTACATAGTGAGTAGACAATAATTCCTGGGCTCTAAGTCAATAGGTCTGAGGATGTGGCCTGTAGATAAGGCTATCCAGGAACATCTTTCAATGGTTCTTGGGAAAAAATTAAAGTCAAGACCACTTGGCCCACACAATGAATTTCATGAGATTCTATGGATATGCAGCATGAAAATCAGTAATAGCCTTCCAAAACTGACTTAAAGAGAAAGGCAAATGTACAAATAAACTAATGCATTTGTGATTACCAATGTGTCAACAATATCTTAAGCTTTCTTATAATTCTTCCATTTTCCATTCAAATAACATACAATGTTCTGGAGGAGAGAGGGTGGAGAGAGCCATATTGAGAGGTGTCTATGTTCTGGAAAAATCTAACATTCGAAAAAGGCCTTGACCAGGCTACTTGTCACCTTAGGCTACACATCCAATATTTTGATTCTATGTTATTATTATTTCTTAAATAATTACTATTATTTTAATTAAGGATAGCCAATTATCCTAACATCTATCTTTGGTATTCAACTCAGTTATCTGCAAAGCCAAGAAACGAAAGACTTTGCTTATTAAAAGCCATCCTGTCTTAACATCTGAGCCACAAAAATGATCAAAAGATTGAACATTTTCTACTTTTTCTCAGTTAACTGCAAATTTTCCTCTGACATTAATATTTGACTTTCAAATGTTTAATTATACTATTTCTCAACACCAATGAATCCATATTTTTAGTAATTCTCCAATCTGATTCTATTAAAGCTGGTTCATTGATCTACCTTTGAGAATCAATCAGCAGCATCACTGATAATGAACACTAAGAGTGGCTGAGAAGTAGTTTGATCAGACCTGAGAAAGTTACCAGGTTTGCCTATGGAACCAATGTTGACAGTGAACTCCTGGTATAGGGATTTCTATAGCTTGAAAATGATCTCATAGACATACATAGTGGTGTTTCTGAAGTTTGTTTCATGAACCACCCATATCAGAATCACCTAGACAGCTTGCTCAAATGCACATGTCTTGGCCTCACCTCCAGCCTACTCAATTATAATTTCTGGTTTTAGAGCCCAGATGTCTGTATTTTAAAGAATCTCCCTACAAGATTCTTATGAACATCCAAGTCAAACAAATAATAATAAATGGAGGATAAGACTTGGAGTTGTTTGGTTTCCTTACGAGGGAGTGCCTAGACCCTTTCAATCTCAGCATTCCTTCTCTTATGAGCTTCATGAGGCTTATTTTCCTGGACTCTGCTCTCAGTTTTAGTGACAAATCTTACCTCGATATTGAGTATATTTCTACCTTCTGTCAATAATATATTTCAATTAAGAGACCATTTCCAACTTCTCTCAAGTTTTGTAAATTTCTTCAATTTCTCTCAGCTTTATTCAGAATAGCAGATCACCTAAAAGGTTTTTGAATATGCTATCACTATTTTATCCCAGGTAAGTTGAGAAGCTAGGAAGTCTGTGCTTAAGGGCTTCGCATTGTTATATTTTACAGCAGCAGAAGAAAAAATGGTAAAATTTTAAAAAGTGACTTTTCAGTACAAAGCAAGTTTCATGAAAAGTTCTATTAAGTCAAGTCATGAGATTACGTGATCAGAATGAAACTTCTGGGAACCTAAAGAGGGATAATTAACTTGTGTAACCATGGATAAAAAAGAGCCCCCCAAAAGTCAAGAGGTGACTTTTCACCTATATTTTTCATATGAAAAAATATATATGAAAAATATAGTTGAAATACACACACACACATACATGTATAAATCAACAAATTAAGTCTAGAGAATTTCTGTGACATAAGACAGTGGAGTAGGGTAGAAAAATTGGGGGCTTTGGAGATGGATAGACCTAAAATTGAATTCTGATACTGCTACAGTGTTACATTCAAACCCTATGTATCTCCATTTTGTCATCCGTAAAATTCACCTGCCTTTTATCATAGGGTTTCCAAATAAAACATAGGATGCTCAGTAACATTTAAGTTGCAGTTAAACAATGATTTTTTTAAGAATAAGTGTGTCCTATAGAATATTTTGGATATATTTACACCAAAAATTATTTATTGTTTATCTGAAAATAAAATTTAGCTGGGCATTCTGTACCTTACGAAGTTTCCTAACTCTGTCTTAGAGATAAAATTGCATACCTCTAAGGATTTTTGTAACAGTTAAATGAGCTGGCACATACAAAATGCATAAATGAATGCTTGGCAAATATTTGTCACTATTGTATACCATTCTACTATTTCTTTGCCTTAACTTCTGCCCCAGTGTGAGCACTCTGTATAGGTAGAAGCGTTGATACAGAGAGCTCTACTGGCCTTCAAATTTTCCCATCTGATAAAACACAACTTTTATAGCTAAATTTCTATTAGTTTTCATAGCTTAGCGATGAGTAAATTAATAAGAAAATAATTACTTTTCTTAGAATAAGTACATTCCCATATTTTACCTTAAAAATTATCCAAACAGAAAAGGTGAACTAAACATTCTTTTATTTACTCTAACAGGTTAATATATATATCTAATAATTATCAATGACAAGTCCTTCTTATTAATATGAAATATCTAGGTTAGAAGTAGGGTATATTACAGAGAAAGTTATTTCCTATGGGTCTATCTTAACAATTTCTGAAAAACTTTATGCAATTGCATAAGCAGCTTTTCTCATAATGCAGAAATATTTCAGGAAACCAAAACAGTAAGCCAATTTCTGTATTACTTCTTCATAAACTAAAATGATCTTTCAGCCTGAATTCTAGTTGTGATTTTGTTGACATGAACTTCTGTATAGAAAGAAAACGTTTTTGTTTTTAAATTTCTTGTTAGATACTTACATAAATAAGTCCAGATTTACTTAGTGCAATGAAAATTGGAGATTTGTTTATTATCTTTCACATCGAATTGACGATTTGATTTTCAGATGGGCTCTATTCAGCAGGTCCAATTAATTTGAACTTCCCAGCACAGTTCAGCAAATACAGCTAAGTGATTTTCAATTGTCCTCAGGCAATGATTAGGAGGATGGTAATTTTTCTGGCCTTTTTAGATCAAATATCCCAATATTTCAGATTGAATATGTCTAATAGTAAATAGACATGTAGTACTACATGCTAAAGTATCCTATACATGCTAAAGTATACATACTATAGTATGTAATAGTACATACTGTAGTACATACTATAGTAAAAACTATTTAATATTCAACACAGACAGAACAAAGGAAAATGAAACAGGGTGCCTCTGATAACTTATAACTCATTGTGGAGATAAGTTTGTAATTACTTATCTTTCTGGAGTTTTGATAATATTCTTTTATTCAAGTTCCATATTGGTTTCTCAAATCTCAAGAGATTTTCATTTAACAATTATGTCAAATTTTGGTAGAGATACTGTATTATTGATCACTGGACCGTGTGGTCCCCAACTTTTTCCTTCTTCCAAAGTTCAGGGACTTTCTTGTAAGGGGGAGGAGAATTAATGTGAAACAGATGGCCTACTCTGCTAAAGGAAAAATGGTTCCCTCAACAATTGACCCTTTCAAATTGCAATGTGGATAGTTGCAATTCATTTGTGATCTTTCTTTCTAATCCTATCTCTCCAACAGAAAAGACCATGTCTTCTAGTAGTAGCATAATTCCCACTGGGTCATATCCCTTGAAAATTTCCAAGCTTTTAGACAAAGATTGCCCTAGGTATGTGTTAGAGAATCACCTTGAAAAAGAACACAAACAAATACGGTTTATTGTAAGCTTAATTGACTCTGGCAATCTGCCAGGCACTTTTCTAAGTACTCTACATATATTGGCTCTGTTTATATTCTCCACAAACCTGTGAGATGGACATCACTATCATCATTTAAAAGATAAGGTAGGCGGGGCACGGTGCCTCACGCCTTCGGGGCGCTTTGGGTGGCCAAGGCGGGTGGATCACGAGGTCAGGAGATGGAGACCATCCTGGCTAACACGGTGAAACCTCGTCTCTACTAAAAATACAAAAAATTAGCCGGGCATGGTGGCGCATGCCTGTACTCCCAGCTACTCGGGAGGCTGAGGCAGGAGAATCACTTGAACCCGGGAGACGGAGGTTGCAGTGAGCCGAGATCGCGCCACTGCACTCCAGCCTGGGCGACAGAGAGAAACTCCATCTCGGGGAAAAAAAAATGGTAATTGGAGCATAGAAAACATAAGTAGCAACCTAGTATCACACGAAAATGAACTAACTAGTGGAAACAAGGTATGAACCCAGGCAGTCTGATTTCAGAGCCTCTGCTCTCATTATTTTTATACCACATAATTGTAGAGAGATGGTTACTCCTTCTTCATAATTCAGCTTTCTCCAATCATGAAACTACTACTATTGAGTAGCACCCAAGTTAAATCTGGTATCAAAAATGTTAGCCTAAATTATTGTTTTCCTTATTGTCTGTCACATATCTTTAGTTTCTCAGCACATTCTGCCATTCAACAAATATTTATAGAGCATCCACTACGTTTTGGGGATAACTTGAAATTTCAAGGTAAGGATGCAAATAAAATAGAGCTTGTGCCTTTAGGGAAATAACAGCCTATTAGGAGAAGTCAATTATTTAAAAAGTAAGGTCAGGGAGGTATCAGAGACACCATGTATAATATGAAGGTTTTTCATATTATAAACAAATAAGAAGGGTTTTCATTCTACCTGGGCCCCTAAGAAAGCCTTCCTTCAGATTTCCTCTTTAAAATTATATGGTGTTAAGGGCAACATTAACATAAAAAGATTTTGATTGTGAACATCAGAGATCTACAGCAATCACACACTGCCTTTACTAGTCATTACATCAAAAAATAAGCCATACAAAATATGATCTATTTATATAATTTTGATAATGCGGAGCATGTCCTACCAGTTCTCACTCATAGATTCTGCTGAGCAAACACATAAATATACATCTATGGTATCTAGTAATGCTCAGAATCTTCTTCATGTAGAGTATGACATCTTGATATCCTTCTGGTGCTCTGCCCATCTACACTAGGAAATAAATTTTCAAAAGTTACTTGAACTTATAACATGGCCATTTCTCTGCCAATCCTCTCTGTAATGATGTCTTAGAATCTTCATAAGATGTTTAAAATTATTCCATTTAAATAGACATGTTTTTACACCAGTCTAGGTACTACTAGAAATATAAATAAGTAAGCCAGCATGTTTGCATATGCAACTGTGTACATATATGTATAAATATGCATGTGGATGTGGTTTCTGAACTTTGGGAAACAGGGAAAAGTTTTATGTTGTTACTTGAGGCTATAAAGTTACCTGAGTTACCTGGTATTCCTATGCCTGATTTAAGATAATATAGTAAGTTGGTACAGAAAAAGTATCAAACCTTGAATTATATTCATAGTATAATATATAATCCTTATTTCACAAGCATATTTTTATGTACAGGTGGTTTAATCTTTTCCTATTGAATCATCTGTACATAAGAGAAAGGTAGAAATAGTTATAATAAATCATGTAATAAGCGATTGAATTTAGGGGCTATGGAAAACTTACCATAATAAATGAAGCTTATCATAGAGACTTCTGGTGCTTTCCCATATCCAGTTCTCTTTCAAGAACACAAGAGGTCTATGCATACTTACTCATCTACAGTTATGTTGGGCTATAGTGAATTAAAATATTTGTCTTGAATCACTTCTAGTCTGAAATATTTAACTTTCAGAGTAAGACTCTAGTGCTTTTCTTTCCCTATTAACCAAGTAGACTGCATGTTCCAGATGGTACAGCAAGAAGATAACAGAGCGTTCATAAGCTTGGACTACTATGTCGCCACATGAAGTATTGCTGACCTGAAGAGTTGCCCAGGACTGCAAGGAAATTTGCGTGCTGTGTTAAGCCACTGAGATTGGAGATTGTGTGTAATGCAATCCTGTTTAATACATATTTCAAGGGATATTATATAATTTTGCAATAACATGTTTTCAAATAGTCTTGGCCACTGGGGATTTTTCATTTATTTTGAATGTCTGGTAAGATTTAAAATGAAGCAACTAACAATTATGTTACAGATGTATCATTGATTACAATTCTGCAAAATGATTTCAAAGATTTTATGCCATTCGATCCTCAGTCTTTATACAAATTTAGTGAGAAAACTGAGGCATAAAAATTTAAAAGATTTTGTCAAAAGGCTCAGCAAGAGGTGGAGTACAGATGATTTTTCTTGCTTCAGCATTCCTTCTATTTTACTAGCATTGATAAATGTAGTCTTATTTTTATATGAAATAACCATATCATAGTAAATCTGATCACAGGTGGAAGAATGAAATATAGTTTGACACATTTAGGTCTTCAGTAATTCTTTAAATAATCCCATAACTGTTTTTCATGGTATTAATCTCTTACATTTAAATAATACAGAGATTGTTCTTATATCTTTGTTATGCATTCCACGTGGTTATTTGGTGTGTCCACCAAAGCAGATGGTTGGAACCCCAAATAGTCCTTCTGGGAGAGTTTAATTTGGGAAAATGGGTTCTGATGATCATAAAACCTCAGGATCATAGCTATAGCAATGATGCCTATATTACATCAACTTGACTCTATACGAGATTATCATTTTAAACAATGAAGCAGTGAGCAATTAATTATTTTCAGGAAAAATGGCTGTTACCTTTAACACTAACTAAGAGAAGAAGAAAAAGAAATTCCCCTTCCTATTCTTTTTTATCTGTACAGTTTTTGGTGGTTAAATTACAGATGGAGTATCATAGCATTTAATAAACACATTAAATGTATACACTAGCAAACGTGCTTCCTCTTCCTCCCATAATATATGCATACACACACTAATACACACTACACACACACAGGAAAATACAGACTCAGCAAATGTCCATTTATCTTGCATTTCATATACAGCAGAAAAATACTCATATTTGTTTTTCTCCTTTCTAGTTTGCTTTTCTAAACAATTCAGGATATATGACAATGAGATGACTTAGATATATTACTCCGTGGAGATATGCGCTTTCACGACATTGGCAAGTGGTTTGAGATTGATGACACAAAACTGCTCCAGCAGTTGATTTGGCATTGTATGCTCTTCTCCTCTAATGAAAGAAAGAGCTACACATGGATCATAATTATCAAGAACTATCTGTTACTGTCAGTGACAGAAGAAAATCATATTCAGTTTCACTGGGTGTATTAGATATTACTGCTGAAGATTAAATAAAGGTAATACGTTGTAGATGCAGAGGGAATACATTAAAAATTAGCTGAGATATTTATAAGATGCCACAATAGGAAGCAGAGTTTATGGCATTATCCAAGGTAATGATGTTTTGGCATTGAACGTGACTTACATATTCATGCAATGGTAAAGGTTTTTCTGTTTCAGAAGTTTCTTTTTATAGAAAAAGGAAACAAGCATGTAATCACTGGTATTAAGTGTATTACAGGAAGTAACTAGGCAGATGAAACCTTTCTGAACAGTCTCCAGTGTTGCAAAAATATGCTTAACTCATGGCTATATCATTGGGTACATGACCTATTTTTTTAAAAATCTAAATATGAAGCACAAATACCTTAAAATATTTTCAGTGTTAAACGAAGCAAAAACAAATACTGAGTTTTTGGTAAGAAATAGAGATGTATGAAATGTTATCTAAGTTCTATAAATTAGAATGACTTTACTATGTTCTTTAGTATGTTTTTAAAAATCTCTTTAAATTCAATATTATTTAACTTTGAAATGGAAATGAGATACAGAAATATCATTTACATTACTGGATGTAAATTTTCAAGTATTCATAATAATGGAGGGGAACCTG
This sequence comes from Homo sapiens, assembly GCF_000001405.40. Classification (NCBI taxonomy): domain Eukaryota; kingdom Metazoa; phylum Chordata; class Mammalia; order Primates; family Hominidae; genus Homo; species Homo sapiens. The sequence goes on along the minus strand of NC_000023.11, from coordinate 27,932,788 downwards.
GAAAATACTGGTCTCAATTAAATTTGTATTTAGAGTTGTAGTTACCTATTCACAACCCTAGCATGCAGCTAACTCTGTTTTTCTACTGCGTTGTTAAATTATATTGGCTATACCTATGCAAATATTAGAGGACTTGAGAGTATAATAACTTAACAATTTCCTGACTGAGGAGAAAGTGAGTGATCTTCTATCACATTAATCAATTGCTACAATTGATGACACTGAGCAGAAAGAACAATCAGAATGAAGAGCCTCAGAATTCCCAATGGATACAGTATGGTTTCATTGCAGCAGCTGTTCTACTTTGTCTGTGTTTCTGCAGTGGTAGAACTTAGTCTCCCTAACCACTCTTGCACTTGTGTATTGATGTTATGCTCTGAAATCCACTTTCAGAGAGTCTATTAGGTTTTTTTTTTGCTTGTTTATTTTGTTTATTTCACTAGTGTGATAAGTAAGAGTATGTTTCTTATAAATCCAGCCAATAAGTTCATGCAAAATTGGTAGTTAGCTGTAAAGACAGAAGAGCCATCAATACGTATCCTATAGAGAAATTCCAAAACAGAAGTAGAGTTGTCTGGTGTAATTGACTTGGAGTTTAACAGGGTATAATAATAATTATAATAAATGCTATTTTCTGGTTTGTTGTTTTTTTTCACACCTTTTTCTAACTGGACAAAGTTTCTTTACATGTTTTTCTTTTTCTCTGTCATTTAGAAGGCAAAAAACTTTTTAAAACCTCTACATTTGGATGACTAAAATGTTTGACATTATCAAGAGTTAGGGATATGGAGATATTAGAACGTTTACATTGCTTGTGATTATTTAAATTTGCACAGCTGTTTTGGAAAAAAATACCTAGCAGTAAGAACTTAAGCTAAACAGCAACTTCAGCAACTAATTTTACACCTGGACATATACCCAACAGAAATAAGTGTTTATGAATGTGCAAGAAATGTACAGGAATGATTACAGAATTTGTATTCATAATAGCCGAAAGCTAGAAACAACTCAAATGTCCATCAAAAAATGAATGGGTAAATCGTGATATATTTATGCAATGGAATATTACACAATAATGAAAAAAGAAAGCTGTCATTACGTGCAACAATGTGGCTTAGTTCCACAGACATGATGCTTAAAGAAAGAAGTCAGGCAAAAAAGAGTATACACCGTATAATTCCATTTATATGAAGCCCGAAAAGGCAAAATTAATCTGTGGTAGTAGCAATCAGAATAGCGTATATCCTCGTAGGGGGAGGCTACTGGCCGTGTAGGGGCACAAGAGAGTTCTTCTGGGGCGCTGGAGTTGTTTCATAACTTGATCTGGATAGTGGTTACATATGCGAACAAATGTAAAAATCCACAGAAATTAAGATTTGTACATTTTAATGTATATCCTCAATTAAGAAAAATCTACTGGTGACTACATAAACTTCAAGAATTACTGAGTTCATACTTCTTTATTCGACAATGTTAAGAATTAAACTAGACCTTCTGGAGTTGTCCATCCCTATATATGAAAATAAATTGGTACCTTTTCTCTAGATTTTGTTTGTATAGATTGGTATCTTCATTTTAAACATTATTTTGGTTCCTGTTTTTCTTGTTGATTTAAGACTTATAGATGCTTTTTATTTCTCTTTGTGGCCACATTTTAAACAATTATTTAAAATTAAATTTTTGTTAAATGGTTTTAATTACTCCCATCAGTCTCCCTAGTTCTTGAGTTGTTTTGATTCATTTCCGAATACTCCTTCAAAGTTGAGGGATCTATTTTCTAATCCTTGTTCACATGACATTTCAGATGTAAACAAAACCTCTTCTCGGGATAGAATTCTTTTTCATCCAAAACTGTACTTATTCTTTAATTTCTTGCTTTTAATTTAAAACAGGAGGAGACTGATAGCAGTAAGGCTTTCTTTCTTTAGATGAAGTATTTTTTAAATTCTCTCTTTCTGCCTGTATGGTTGTAGATATTTTTATCATATTATTGAAAATTATATATTTCAAGCCCATATTTGGAGGTATTTCCCTTTTCAACAACTTTGGAAATCAAGAACCTGGCTTTAGACCAAAGTTTTATGTCTATATTCACATTAGAATTGGGTTTCTTATCATATTTTATGGCATTTGTTTCAATTTTTCTGGTCGCTTTATGTGATCACAAATTTTCTATATATTGGATTTTCCTTTCTCTATTTCACATTTGTCATTTTCTCTTTTTTTAACATTATGAACTGAATATTTGTGTCTCTCCAAAATTTGTATGTTGAAATTCTAGCCCCCAGTGTTATAATATTAGGAGGTGGAGCATTTGGGGGGTAATTAAGATTAGATCATAAGGATAAAGCCCTTAAGAATGGAATTCGTGGCCTTATAAGTCAGGAGAGAGTGAGCCTGCTTCCCCTCTCTGCTTTCCACCATGTGAGTATATAACCAACAGACAGCAGTCTTCCACCTGAAAGAGGGCCTTCACCAGAACTTGACCCTGCTGACACCCTGATCTCAGACTTCCAGCCTCCAGAGCTGCGAGAAACACATTTCTGTTATTTATAAGCCACCTTATTTATGGTATTTCAATATAGCTGCCCCAGGTGACTAAGATAATTTATATCCTCTTGACTTTTCCCTATTTATTTTTGAAGAGATTTTCAGATTTGTCCTCCATATTGTTGTTTCCATAATTTTGGAATTATGATTTTTGCCCTTGCCCTTTCTTATGCAATTTAATTTTTATAATCAGAATTATATTGGCCTTACTTTCCTTATGAACTAGAGCTTCCTAATCTTTGCTTCTGCATGTTACCCAGTCTCCTTTCTGGATAACTCTGTTGTCTCACTATCTCATTGCCTAATCTTACTTCAGAAATCCACATCTTCTTGAATTTAGTTGAAATGACATAACAATTGATTACTCTATTTTTACATTTCTCAAATGTTTGTTTTCTTGGCTCTTCTTATGTTTTTATATTATAAAACTTAATGTGTAAACTCCATATGTCTTTAGATTCTGTTTATTTGAACAATGGAAATTATGAACAGGCCTGGTATTTGTTTTCCCAATGTCGCAAACAAGGGCTACTTTCATCTTTCCGCTTTCTACCACTATTACAAGGCTCCCATCATTTACTAAGCTCTAGAGCTGCTTGGTAAATAGTTATCCATCAGCTATGAGACAAAAAGGGGCAGTGAGGTCTGTAGGACATCTAATCAGGGAACATTTACATCACTCCCTCTTCTCTGTGTTTGATGAAGATGGCAAAGTATAGTGTGACTTGCTTGGCTCCTTCCTACTGCTGTCCTTGTAATCAGGTAAAATACATATTATTTGAGTGGTATCATCCTCACTACACCTGCAGATGAATTTCGATTTCCTATTGCAGCCCCTATCCTGAGTCTAACATCTATCTACTCCAAGTACTGCTGATCTACTGCAGTAAAGAGGCCACCACATGGTGTCTTCTTCCTCTGCCTAAATAGCCAGCTCTTCCCTTCTGCCTTTACTCTTTTAGCCTTTTTTCTTTTGAATTTCTATTTTCACAGATCCTTACTTTATAAGATAAGCAGAAAGTTATTTCTTGGTCTCTTTCTAAGATTTATTATCATCTGCACCACATTTAACAGAAATACTTTTCATGTTCTTTCCATGTGTATAACTCTTTCCCATAACTCACATGATTCCCAGTACCCATAAAACAAAAACAACAGTTGCTCAGAAATAGCAAAGTTTTTTCGTGTCAGAATAAGAGTGATTTCTCTCAAGAGTGACCATAAAACACTGTATTTTTTCCTTTGCTGTACAATACACTTGACTTCTTAATCATCAATAAGTGAACTGTTTAAAATCTCAATTTGAAGCATAAGACATTCTGACCCCATTTCTTATCCTTCTAGGTCACTTATATCAGTACTCTTAATTCAGTGGCTATTTTTCTTTATGGAGGCCTCTCACATACAGATGATGGATTATCCATTGCCTGTGGTTGTCTATATCCCTTTCTTACCCAGCTAAGGGTCCTTGATCCATCATTAAAATCACTCCTTTGCAATTATCTTTAATTTAAATATTCTTGCTCCACTCTTTCCCTATTATACATGCCTGACTAAAGGAATCTCTCCAAATATTTTATGACTTCAGCCAGGAAGTTGCAATCAGCATAAAAATGCACACAAATATTCTACTTGGACATACTTTACATTCATGATCATACACTTCAAATACACTCAACATTGCCAGACGATCTTCTTTTACTTTCTTAATTTGACTGATTGCCCACTCTATATTTTCATAATTTGCCCTCTTTGCTCAAATAGCCAATATTTTTACATCTATCCTATCTCTCAGCTGTATTCTTTTTTTTTTTTTATTTAAAGAGGTCTTTTATTTAAATCATCTTGTATCATGTCTGACACATTTTTTTTTTTATACTTTAAGTTTTAGGGTACATGTGCACATTGTGCAGGTTAGTTACATATGTATACATGTGCCATGCTGGTGCACTGCGCCCACTAACTCATCATCTAGCCTTAGGTATATCTCCCAATGCTATCCCTCCCCCCTCCCTCCACCCCACCACAGTCCCCAGAGTGTGGTATTCCCCTTCATGTGTCCAGGTGATCTCATTGTTCAATTCCCACCTATGAGTGAGAATATACGGTGTTTGGTTTTTTGTTCTTGCGATAGTTTACTGAGAATGATGATTTCCAATTTCATCCATGTCCCTACAAAGGATATGAACTCATCATTTTTTATGGCTGCATAGTATTCCATGGTGTATATGTGCCACATTTTCTTAATCCAGTCTATCATTGTTGGACATTTGGGTTGGTTCCAAGTCTTTGCTATTGTGAATAATGCCGCAATAAACATACGTGTGCATGTGTCTTTATAGCAGCATGATTTATAGTCCTTTGGGTATATACCCAGTAATGGGATGGCTGGGTCAAATGGTATTTCTAGTTCTAGATCCCTGAGGAATCGCCACACTGACTTCCACAATGGTTGAACTAGTTTACAGTCCCACCAACAGTGTAAAAGTGTTCCTATTTCTCCACATCCTCTCCAGCACCTGTTGTTTCCTGACTTTTTAATGATCGCCATTCTAACTGGTGTGAGATGATATCTCATAGTGGTTTTGATTTGCATTTCTCTGATGACCAGTGATGATGAGCATTTTTTCATGTGTTTTATCTTACTCTTCCGTGATCAAATAGAAACTTTAAATGAGAAAACTCCCTCAGCTTCCGTTGACCAAATCTGGCATTGTGACTTCTTTTGTACTCACATTCTCTGCATTTCTTTCTTTGCAATGCCCCTACTTCTAAGGCCAGCCTCAGCAATTGCTACTCTTGATCTCAGACTTTATCTTCTTAAGCATGATATTCTTGCAATTACATACTCTTTCTTCTGCAATATCAAATCTGTCTACTACGCAGTTTCTAAAACATGCAAAATAGTATTTTATCAACAATCTTAAAAAACTGCTGGGGTATTAGTTGGGATAGGCTTAGCTCTGATGAAGTAATACATGCACCTAGATAACTCAGTGGCCAAACACAGCAAAGGTTTGTTTCTTCCTCATATCACAGTCCAACATAGGTAGCTTGGCTCTTCTTGCTGGCTCTCCTCAAAATGGACTCAGCAACCCAGGTTGCTTCCACTTTGTGGTTTTACCATCTGGAACACATGACTTTCCAGTTTGCCATTGGAGGGAAAAAATAAGTGGAAGATTGCATAGAAGACTTTTAAAACTCCTTGTTGGAAATGGCATGCATAATTTCTAACGACACTCCATTGTCCAGATGTAACCCCATAATAGAAACTTAACTGCAAGGAAAGCCGAGAAACTCACTCTTTCTATGCTCAGGAAAAGAAAATGCTGTTGTGAGCACATAACGTGTTCTCTGGCATGGTAGCGCTGAACCCACATATCACAATTAAGCTATTGCTTTATGCCTCTGTTCTTCCTAAGAACAAAGATTTTTAAAAGTTTTGTCTTTATTCTCTATTTCAACATCCTCAAATTCTTTTTTTCTCTTCAACATACAGAGATCCATTTTTCCACTCCACTAATTCATGCTCCTCTTATCAATGATCTGAAAGGTGACAAGTACAATGGTTGGATTTCTATCTTCCTCTTAGTTGTACTCCAACAACAGTCCACACAGTTGGCCACTTCCTACTTCCTGGTATTTCTTGATAAGAATCATTTTTGGTGTCCATGAAATATTAGTTCTTGTCTTCCATCTATTCTGCTGACTTCCATCTACTCTGCTGACTTCCATCACAGTTTGCTTTATAGCTCCTTTAACTCTCCTCAAGTTTTTTCCTAGGCTCTCTATTTTTTACTCCTAAGGATAACATCTGGTTTCATGTCTTTAAAAATGTATCTTCAGTATAAACCTTCTTTCCATCTCCACTGCTCTTCACTAAGAGAAGCTTATGTATTTTTTCTCACCTAGCCCAGTACAGTCGTTTCATAACTAGTCTTCTTGCTTCCTTCCTGTTAAAGTTTGTAACTCTTGTCTTCTTAAAATCTATTCCTTCTCCAAATAGCCAGAGTTACTTAGAGATCAAATTACATCAGTCCCTGGTTTACAGTCTTACAAAGGCTGACTATAAGACTGAACTCCTTAATATATATACACATTCCTGTAACACTAATATTTTACTTGCCCCTTTGACCTCATTGCATACCACTCACCACTTACTCTACTCTAGCCACTCTGGCTTTAGTGCTCTTCATTCTCACCTCGGGGCTTTTGCAGTTGTTCTTGATTCCACCAGGAACTATCTTCCCCACATCTTCTCATGCATGGTAACTTCTTGCCATTTAGATCTCATTTCTAATATAACTATCTTAGTGTGATTGTTCTTAATCATCCAGTTAAAATATTCTATATCCCCTTCCTACTATCTTACTTTCAGTTTTCCTCAAAAGTAAATCTTGAGACAAGGATTTGAGTGTAAGTTGTTTATTTAGGAGGTGACACCAAGAAACAAAAATGAAAGAGTAGGGAAAATGAGACAGAGAAGTGAAAAAAGCCTAAAAATATGTCTTAATTGGCAGGTTGCTGCTTTGAACAACTAGGAGAAAATCTTTCAGGGAAACTCTAAGAAACCGTAGAATACACCTTAGAAAGAGAAGGAGGCTATGATATTCGTATACTAACTCTCATCCCCCATTGGTTAAGGGTTGAGGTCAACTCTTCCTGCAATTCTGAGTTGTGCCTGGTCAACCACGTTCCTGTGATGCCAGAGACAACTCTAGAAAATGAGGCAAAATATGTAGTACTTGATAATTCCAGAACTACAGTCTACCATAGCTGCAGGTGATCTCAGATGTAGGCCAAGGAGATACAGGGCAGAACATCAATAGCATCTGTTACACATCCTTGTCCCTCAAACACACATGCATATCACAGGTCTACACAGCTTGTCACTTATTAGCACATTTCTATTTCTTCTCATTTATCATTATCAAAATCATCTTCTTTACATATTTGTTTGCTTGTTTATGTTTGTTCTTCCCACAAAGAATGTAAATTTTACAAAAACAAGTTCCTCATATTTTTTATTCACCATGACTTCCTTGAGTGCCTTGGACAGTGATTGAAATGCAAAGAGCAGATATCTTTTAAATGAAGGAAAAATAATATTCTTAGCAAATTTCTCACTGAAAGTACTGGGATCTTTTTCTAGAACACTCTGAATTAAGGTCTACCTTCTCATATTCTTAGAAGTTTATGATTTTCCTTTTCTTATAAATGCAGGAACTGTGCTTTCTAAACCATGACTGTCTTGCATTATGTACTGCTGGAGATGTCAGCATATTTTGAGCAGCTGATGATGCTTCTTCTAAAAAATGCCATCTGTCAGCTATATCAATCAGCAAGTGACAAGAGATATATAGAAAAATGTCTTTAAGCTCAAGTGACAGGAACATATAAGCAAGCATTACCAACTGCATACAGCTGTCCCAAGAAAGAACTAAATGTTGTACATAAGATGAATTGGAAAGAAAACTGAGATGAAAAAGAGAGAGGAAAAAAATCATTAAAATAATAGGAGTGATACATCTTAAGTAGGTTCTGACATAACATAAAAGGGAGATACATTGAAGTAAAATTTGAAGGAGCATAAGGACATGGGTTTATAGAGAAAGTACATCGGGGAAAGGCATACATATTTCCTCAGAGGTGAGTAAGAGTGAATTGAAGATGAGTAAAGATCTTAACATTAATTGTGGAGAGAACAAACTGGGCTGTGGCTGGAGTGGAGATCAATGCTGTGAAATATGACTCATTCGCTAAGCTCTTTAGACACTAACATATATGTCTGTAAGTGCTTACACCTGTGAAATGACTTCACTTGTTAGATAACTTTAGTGGGGAGATAATAGCTTAGAGTTCAGCACCTATAGCTTTTCCTCCCAAATCACTACCATGGTATTTTTATTTAGGATGAGTTGCTATGGTGATTCACGTCTTCAATGGTCATAGAGGGTACTACGATAATGCATGATTATATGGGATGGGTACAGTGAGTTAAACAAAAGCTATTTCTGAAGCAAAATTAGCTTATTACTTAAGTACAGATTCCCATTTTTGCAGATTACTCCTCAGCTTTGTTTCTTCCTTTTGTTTCCAGATCAATCTTTAATTCGGAATCTTCTGCCTTTATTTAAAGCATGAAAGTATTTGACACACAACTTCTTTAGAAAGAAAAGAAAATGTGGATGAATACCTTCAAGTTTTTTTTTGCAATATTTTAGAAATCATTCAAGGTGAATATTGTTGACAAAATGCCTAAAAGGAAGATGGGAACATTTTTAAAGGAAATTAACAAAATAATATTTTTGCTCATTTCTATCCACATACATGTACATTCGTTTTGAGGCATGGAAATAAAAACATTTAAAGGGAAAGGAATTATTTTACTATATACTTTCTCAAGTCACTGACATCAATATCTGTTTATATATTATTTTCTCTTTACATGCATGTTAAGAATTGGTGTGCAGCATGTTCAAAGCATGTCATAATCAAGCAGAAAGGGCACTCAAATCTATTCTAGTATCTACCATATTACAGCCTCACATGGTGTGACATGACTGCAGAGGGAAAGGAAAACTACTATAACCTGCTTTCTTGCTTCCTGGACTCTTTTAATCCAAGAAATTCTCTGTTTGAGAGCAGATGAAAACGCAACTGAGATGTGAAGAGGGGGAATAAAATCATTTGCTGCTTTTCCAGAGAACAGCTACAGACTTGAATGGGGTAAGATATTTCAGTGGCCCTCAGGGTAGGAAGTCATTGATCTTGAATTGTTCATGTTAGAATTTCTCAGGCCACACATAGATTCTTATCACTGAGAATAGCATTAAATTAATAATAATAGAGGTTGATAATAAATGTATGAAGTGGCGGTGGTCCAGCGAAATTCAAACCCACAACTAAAAAGGCTCTTCCAAGTGTTGGCACTGCAGCATTCGGATTGGTTTGGGGTCATCATTCCCCAGAGTAAAAATCACAATAGAATAATCTAATTTGGGAAGGTGAAGAGAGGTAGGCACAGTAGAAATTATACACAAGCAAGAAAATAAAGAAAATGAAAATAAAGGGCAGCAGTAGGATATAGGAAAAAAGAGAGAGAAGGAGAGTGGGTGGAAGGAAAAGAAGAATCAACATTCTTGGGATGATCACTAAGTTTTGACTCTGTTAGGCATTTTATATAAAGCAATTTAAAGTTCTGCTTACAACTTTATACATAACACTCTAAGGTATCTAATTTTATTTATGCATTCACTTGTCTATAATTGGACTTCTCTTCTAGTTAAGTGAACTCCATAAGGGAAAGAACTTTGTCTTTCCTATTCATCATTGTATCCCCTGAATCTAAAACTGAGTCTGACTCATGGAAGATATCTATGGGATATTTGCTAATTAAACAATCAGACAAGGTAGGACTTTTTTTTTTCAGAAAAGATAATAATTGAAGGCTGAGCTGATGATGGGAGGAACAAAGAATTTTTCACCAAAAACTTTTTTCTTATTAAAGACTGTTTTCAGATGCCTGATGTCCTGTCCAGTTCAGGGTTCTATTATCCCTGTAATGACAAGGTTCTTTTGTATCTAGGCTGTAGTTATATTTAATTCTACTATAAACTCTTACGATATTATTTCATTTTTATGCCTCCCCCACATATTGAGAACTGAGAGAGCATTTGAAGGCAGAACTATTCCTCCTTTTTTTTTTTTTTTTAACAAATAGTAGCCTCTTGGCTGTTGTGCCAATTAAAATTCCTCCAATAATACAATAATATTTGATAGTGCTTTTAATAAGTAACTTTTACACGTTGTCAGAGAAAAAGGTCCAAATTGAGTTATATTTAGAGAATTTCAATGGTTAGATTAAGAAGATAAATAAAATTTATATAAATATTTGATAAATAGGAAAATCATAATGACCTTATCAGAATAGCCATTTTATTTTTGTGTGGGGATAATTTGAGTGAAATTGATGAAAATTCATTTGATCATGTTAGCTTTTTATTCATTACAAAAATTCCATTTAACCCTGAATTGTCAAAAGCAAAAAGCTTGCTTAAATTTTACACTTCAAGGGATAATTCAGCCCTCTACTTTGTCACTTTAAACTCGGCTGCTTACACATATCAAATTAACTTGATGCTTTACAAACTTTTGTGTGTGCTGGATAAACTTGGTCTATACCTGACAAATTACTTTATCATCTCCATATCGGTTTGTAACCTGCTTTGAACTGAATTCTAATTTTCACTTCCCTATTCCTAGTTATTGATTATTGCACATTGCCTATCAATAATTTTCCCTTTTAAGCCTGTGCTGTAATTGACACATATTTATCTAGTTATTTTCCTCTTTTATAGGACATTTTGTCAGTTAATTCTGTAGCCTAAGTACCATTTTGTAAAGAAATTTTACTTAAATTGCTTATAGAATAATATCCTCCTAAAATTCGATTAATCAACCCCTTGTTTTTCTAATTAGTTATTACAGTGGTTCAAACTGCTTACTGGAATCATTCTATTCCTTTCTGTTTAAAATCTCTGTGCCATGTAGTGATCTTACAATTTTGTTTCCTTAACTCTGCCAGTCAACTCTGACTAATCTGTCTTTACAATGCATACCCACAACGCTGAACTATTTCTGTGCCTTCTGATCCAAGCTTTTCAGTCACTACTATCCTTTTCCTGGCTTAGAGAGACTGGAGGTAAGCCTGATATTTCAAATATAATACTACCTTCTTTCAATGGGACAGATCTAATAATGTTGTTATAAAGTACATTTTATGTTCTTTTTCATTCATATGCTCAGTTTGAAAATATTTTGGCTTTTGTTTGATCCATTGTTGATACACTAAAACAAAATAAGCTATGCTTAATAAATTTGAAGCTGTTACATGATACAATGTGTCATAGTTAAGATTTAATAGTAACTGATAACAAATTATAAAATTGTTTTATTCTTAAAAATTTTTTTTTGTTACACACAGCAGAGTTCATTCTTTATGGTATACAATTTTATGAGGTTTTACAAATACACGAAGTCTTGTACCTATGATCAAAGTCATGATACAGAACAGTTCCATCAACTGAAAAACTTTCATCATCCTTTTCTTTTGTAGTCAGTTCTGTCCCCTACCCCTAGTCCCTAGTAACCATTGAACTATTTTCCATTTCTATAGCTTTGCCTTTTCTAGAATGTCATAAAAATGGTTATATGACATTTATATGTCACATAAATAGTTAGAGGCCTTTTGATCTGGTTTCTTTCAGTTGGCCAAATGCATTTGAGGTTTATCCATGTTGTTACTTGTATTAATAGTTTGTTTTCTAATCAGTGTTATTGCTGAATAGTGTTCCACTGTAAAGATATACTACAGTTTGTTTATCCATTCACTGATTGAAGGACATTTGGGCTGTTTCCAGTGTATGAATAAAGGTGCTATACACATTCACATAGAGGTATTTGTGTGAATACAAGTTTTCTCTTTTTTGGGGAAAAGTGGAATTCCTGGGTTACATGGAACATGTATGTTTACTTTTATAAGAAACTGACAAACTGCTTCTGCTTTCCAAAGTGACTGTACCATTGTGCAGAGTATGTTCCAGTTGCTCTACATGCTTGTGAGCAACTGAATTTTTTAGCCATTTTACTAAATATGTGTTAGTATTTCATTATGGTTTTAATTTGAATTTGTCTAATGACTACAAATGTTGAGCATCATATTATCTGCTTTTTGCTAGCCATATATCTTGTTTGACTAAGTGACAATGAAAACCTTTTGCCTATATTTTTATTGGGTTGTATATTTTCTCACTGATGAGTTCTGAAAGTGTTTTATATATTCTGGGAACAGATATGTGATTGACAGATATGTGTTTGACAAATATTTTTTGTCCTGTCTGTGGCTTGTCTTTTCATTTTCTTGACAATGTGTTTTGCCTTCTCAGGTCTTCTACCAATCTGTGTGTTTTGGGGCAAGGGATGGGGAGTCCAGGTTGGCCCAATAAGGTTAGGTTCTAAGAGTGGGTTTGCATTCTCCCTCTGTAACCCCCAGGGGCTCTACACTGTCTTGCCAGTCCGCATTTGTCCTTTACCAATTTGTCACCTGAATTCTTTTTAGATTTTGGGCTAGTTGGTTGACCTGTGACTGAAGCTCACTTATACATCCAAATAAAATTGTAAACTTGTAGTTTGTTCAGCTTTTGCTGTTATGGTAAGGGTGAGGATTAAAGCTCTTTCTAGTTCTCTACTTCCCAAGTAGAAACTAGAAGTCCCTTGTTCTGTTTTTAATGTACATTTTCATTTATCAGTGTTGGGAGAATATAATTAAAAACAAAATCTCCTGCCAAGTCAAAAAACTTATCCACAAAGTTAAAAGTGAAAGAAAACAGTTTGATTACTATTAAATAAGCATAAAACCAGAATCTGATGCACATCATGGGCAATCTCTTTAGATTGTGAAAACGGAAAGAAAGCTTAACCTTTTATACGTCCAAAGAGATGCAACCAATTATTCTCAAGATAAGTGATAACTAGTCCTTAAATAAGAAGACTTAACAGTATTCTTTGTCACACATAATTCATCTTAAATTCACCTAGTAATTGGATTGACCATTGGTGTTTCTAATTGTCTTTATCTTAAGGAAATATGAATTTCTCAAATCTTTATGACAGAAGTTAGCTTTGTAATTTAGAACCAGGCCTGAGCCAAAGTTAGGTTTCTACCTTCCCATGGAAACTGGGAGATAGGGGTGCTATATTCCTTAATGATAACGTATCAAAAAGATGGCTCTTGGGTCCTTGAAAAGACATTTTTCGATTTAAAATTGGCAAGAGGCATATTTAGCTTTCGAAAAAATTTATGTACATTTCAAATAGGCAGAGAAAAATGATATAATTACAAGTTTTTTGCAGTAAATGTGCTTTCAAAAAAGGGAGAAGAGAAAAGCCTGTTTCCCTGTTGGCATCAGGGAGAATTAATTTTTTTCTTATTTTAAATGTGTATTTTCCCTTATACCGGCAAACATCAGGAACACTCCATTTATACAATATATTTAAATGCCTTAGTTTACTTAAATTTCACAATGTTTCCATGAGGTAAGCCAGAAAGTAATTATTTCTATTGATCTGATTTAAGAGATGAGGAAATTAAAACTCAGAAAAGCCAGTTGACTTGTCCAACTGAACACTTCTAAGAAGAAATAAAACCAAGGCCTCAAATCCAGCTTCTCTGGCGCCATCTCCAGACCTGATTGTCTAGGCTGCCGTCTCAAAAGCACATATATTGATAATTGAGTTTCTGCTTAGGGACAAAAAAATACATACATGTATACTTTGCAGTTCACAACAAACTTTTAGGATATATAATCTAGTTACATTGAATGTGTCAAAGATTGGTTCAGTTGAAACATCATTACGTTAAGAGCAAAAGGGCCAGCAGAGAGTCAATACTTACTGACATATTTATCATCATTATGTATCATCTAACCTTATTCTTTCCTTCAGTGAACATTTACAGAAAATCTGTTATGTACCACACATCACTCTAGGGGCTGGAAAAGCAGTACTATCCAAACTGATAAAGTCCCTGCCCACAGGAAGCTTATATTCTAGTGGGTGGTAGAGAGAATAAATTTTAAGAATAGATAAAATGTCAGCCGTTGATATATACAATGCAGAAAAACAAAGCAAGGAAAGAGGAGCGAAATGTGTTAGGAAGAGGATACAAAGCTTGCTTTGTTGTTGTTGTTTTTAGTTTTGCAGAGGCCTGAAGGAAGACAAAATTGTGCCATGATGATACTGGGGAAAGAGCATATAAATAGGAGAAGAATAAGTAAAAGGTTCTGAGGCAGAACAATGTCTGTGTATTCAAGTAACAGTAAAGCCAGTATGTGACTGGAGCTAAGTAGAGGAGGAAAGAGAGGTCATGGGGCTAGATGATTAAGGTCCTTGAAAGTGAAATCAGAAGCCTTTGGGTTTTGAAGATGAGTGATATGATCATTTTAAAAAGTTCACTCTGTCTCATAAGACACTGTAGTGGGACCAAGGCAGAAACAGAGAGACCAGGTAAGAGACCACTGCAATTCAGCTGAATTACTGGTACTAAATAGGGAGAAACTTCCCTGCTTTGTCTAATTTTTAAGTTTTGAAATTCCCTTTTCCTCAAAATTATTTCAATTTTTTTACAGGAGTTTATGACACCGTGTGAAGAGAACACGCTGACTTTGATACATCAGAAATGCATTTGTTTAGAAAACATTTCGTTGACATTTCTTGTAGAAAATAGCTTCACATTAGCGTAGGATAGGCTGAGACTGTGACAGTATGAGTCAGTAAGAACTCTCTGAGTTTCGTTTTTCAAGTAAGAATTTACTGGATAGTTTAACAAGTGGACAATATGTGGGGTGAAAGAGTTTACACATTTGAATTTATTTTGTTATAACATTTGGGATTATTACTAAGAGAGATACACTGAGGTAAATTCCAGTTTACTTAAGAACTGACAAAACTTGATTTAGGTTGGTCGTCTTCTCAGATATTACTGAAACATCTACCGGTCTATTAATAAACATTTGCAGAATATCTTCCATAAATTCAAGATCATTCTGCATGGTGTCTTTGTTTTTATCAAGTGACAATATAATACGTGATTCTTCAACTTTAGAATAGTCTTCAAATTCCTTTTTATGTTAAGTAAAAATCTATCCCAGTTCTTTTTAATTTTTTTATAACTTCACTAAGGTCTGAAATGCAATTTCTCTGGTCTCTCTGTTAAGTTTGAAATGGGTAACTGTAAACTTTAGATGAAAAACAATATTTATAAATGTTTTTCCATGTTTAATGTTAGAATAAAAGAAAATAAGTAATGAGAGCTCTTTTTTCACCTTTAGATTTCTCATTACCCTCAAAGCATTCCACTGTTTTATGCTGCCTTAATTGAAAGCCTCATGATCATAAATGTTAGCACACTCATGTAAATTAATGTACTTCTTGTGTGGTACTTGTTTCTTAAGAAAAAACTTGCTTGTTATTGTTTATCTTATTTCACATTAATGGGTGCTTGAGAAGCAGCATCTGTTCTCTGTTTTTTTCTTTTCTTTACTAAAAGCGCCTACCTTTTCTTTCTCTTTGAATTTATCCTTATTATTTTTAATTAATTATTATCATTTTTAAGAATCTAGGTCCTAACCTTAGCTTTTACATAGACTTAACAATAAGAATGATTAAAATAAAGGTGTCATTGACTTCTCTAGGCCACAACATAAATAAGCCCAGTCTAAATTAAAAGCCATCATCTTCCAGGCGTCCATTTCTTTGACCTAATGCCTAGATGTTTACCTTTCTCATGTAAGTATGCAAAATCAGTTTTCTTCATTTCCATACTCTTTCTAAGATCATAGAAATGTAAGTCCTTATTCTATTAATTCCCTTATTTGACATATATGTACAGCATGTAGACCTATTAATATCAGAAAATGCAAAGGAATATGCATTGTATGTTAAACTCAGATATAATTTAGAACTAGAATGAAGCTTCTAGATTATTTTTAGCAGTTCTTTTATTTGTAAGCAGAGCAAAGGCCTGAGAAGTTAAGTGGTACATTTCAGGATACACAACAAAGGATAAGTGCTGAGTTGGACTGTTTTTATCATGACTGCTGTTTGATGTTTCTGCTGCTATGCCACAAAGATCTCACCTTAATAAGTAGTCATAGTAACAGTGAAACAATATTGGAAAAGTAGGAGAATTAAGATTACATTGACGATGATAATTATGTTATTAAGCACCTCCTTGAACACGCCATTCCTCTTTCTTTCATCCTTAATTACTAAAACAGAATATAAAGCACTTAGATACAATTACTGTCTTATAGCAACTTATAAGGATGATGCTGCTTATTATATAAATAAGTTCCATAAGTATATCTAATTATGAAGCATTTTTGTTTTATAAAAAATAAAGTGGCAAAGTTTTCTTTGATCTGAAAGAGAAGAAACCAAAGGAGGGTCAGGTAAAGTTTAATACGCCCTTTTATTATTTTTTAAGAAGAGTAAAAATTTTAAGTGATGATTTCTATGTGAATTTTACAACATAGAAAGTCACAAAGGCATGAGAGGTTCTAAGAAAGAATCAAGAAAAATAGTAATTCAACAATAAACCCTATTTATTGCGTTCTTAATATGTTCCAGATGTTTCCTGGTTCTGGGCGATGAAAGAAAGTAAGACTAAGTTTTGTCTCTTAGGGACTTCAAAGTCCAACTGGAAGATGAATATTGAAATGAATAAATAATATTTAATAAACTAATTACTACAATATAAGTAGAAAACATGACCCAGAGCACAAATGAGGAAGTGGTTTACTCAACATATTAATGTCAAAAAAGGCCCTGCCAGGAAGTGATGACTAATATGGATGCCAAAAGGTCAGAGTTCTCTCGTGGAGATGCGTGGAGTGTCGTATCTTAGCAAGAGAAGTAGCAGTCTGTTTAGTGGTGCAGAAAATGGAGGCCTTGTTTGAGCAAGGGCCAACATGTTTTTTTATGAGTTCTGCTGACTAGTTTCAGGAGATGGGGATGTAGAATTAGACAGAGGACAGTACCTGAGAAATCTTGTACTATATATGTATCAAATGACTTTTTCATGAGAAGAGAAACATACACATGGATAAAGGAAACAACAATAAAAATGAGAAAACCTAGATTTGTTTCGTGGAAAATTGTTGAATCAAAAGCTCAGGATTATGGATATAATATATAGTGTAGTGTAAAGTATTGTTATAGCTTCAGGTAATACAGAAAGTGGTCCACAATTGCATCATTTACCTGACCCTTTTGAAAAGTAGTGGCATCACACTCCCCTCTACGTGTCCCTTTTCACTTGACATTTCCACTAAGAGCTTCAGTATTCTTCCTAGACATCTAGGCTCTTTGCTGTCATCATGCCCATAACCTCGTGACCTGAGGAGATCATGGGACTGTAAAGTAATTCCTTAGCAAATAACAGTGAAGCCTCTGATTTCAGAAAAGGAAGAATGTTCAAATCAACTAATTCAGAGGAGAAAATAGTTTGGTTAAAGGCAACGGAAATGGAATGGGAGGCTGATGTTTGAGTTGACAAAAAATGAGGACGAAGAAGATGTAGTGATTTGTATGAAAGGTACTAGAGACTAGGGCCTATACTAAGACCCTTAGAGCTGTATGTTAGATTAAATGTACAAAGTGATAGTAATTTCAAGCGAAGCTATTGGAACAAAACATAATAAAAAATCCAAATTGACTGTGCCTTTTCATAAGCAAAGACCATGATTTAGTGGCATTTTCTTTGTAATGGGTACTCTATAGGAAATCTAAGACCAATGCCGGATATAGATTTACTTGCATTAAACGTGCTGATTCTATGCTATTTTGAAAGGTTAAGAAAATATTTCAGGAGCCTGATGAAATGAAAAGTGTTTGCTTGAATTCTTTTTTAACTTCAACAAGTTGAATTAAACCCTAAAGTGATTCTGTAAAATAATACTTGTAGCAGACATAGTGGCATCCCCCCTGTATGTATCATCTTACCCTTACCATCTCTGTTCATGCCTGTGGACTTCAAAATTCACCCAGCTCCTGAATTTATACTTTTTTTGGGCCCAGGGGCTTGGTTTGTAGCTAGGTAGCAGGCCAGAAATGATGATCAGTTATTAGCTCCCAAGAACACCCCTCAATCAATGATTGATGGAAGTCAGTATAAATATTCCCACTTTCTTGCCTCTCAAGTGGGATAACTATGAGATATGTGTCTTCATTAGAAATAAGCTTCATTCACTCACACTGGTAAATTGCTTAATAATCACCCTTTATTGGCTAACTTCCCTTTCCTTGCTCATTTTCCCAATCTTTTATTGCTATATCTTTAATCTCCAAATTAAATTTATTTTCACTCAATCCTTACACTCAGGATCAGTTGGTTTCTAGTGGAATTCAAAGTAAGACTATATAATTTCCTTACAATGAGACATATCAAAGGAAGATTGTACTACATTATTGAATTTCTATGGTAAACTTGAGGAGACATGTTATATGTCAAATAGTGCAAAATACATAAAATAATAAAGACTATCCTAAGTATATTAACCCAGAAACTAAGTGTCTACATGCAAATGATAAAGAACAAATAGAATATCTGTTGTTACGATGATTGCAAACTCTGAAAGCTTCTTTTTTTATTTTCCATCTTTTACAAATTAATTTCTAGTTTTTTTTCTTTGTTTAAAGGGTAAGAGTAAAGTCATTGCTGGTATCGGTTTTGTAGGTTACTGTAACTTCTTATCAAAGTTATGGCATTATCAAAATTGTGTGCACCATGACTTGAATATTTACATCTGAATCAGTTAGTATTTGCTGCATGATAAACCATCCCAAAACTCAGTGGTTTAAAACAAAGACCATTCATTTATCTTGCAATTCTGCAGGGCATCAATTAAGGCTGGGATCAGCTGGTCACTTCTGATTTCAGCTGGGCTTCTTCCTAGGTTTGTGATCTGGCAGATTAGCCATAGGCTGGAAGGCTAATGGTGCCCTTGGCTGGGAGTACATGTCTCTACTCCATGTCTTCCAGAAGGCTAGTTGAGGCCTGTCCTTGTAGCTGTGGCAGGGCTCTAACAGAAAGAGAGCAGGCACACAAGGCTTCTTTGAAGCCTAGGCTTGGAAGTAACACAATGTCCCTTCTACCACATTCCATGGGTCAAAGCAAGTTAGGAGGCCAACACAGATTCTAGAGATGGGATACTAGGCCGCATTTCGTAATGGGAAAAACAATGAAGTCACGTTCAAAGGGTATGCATTCAAGAAGGGGAAAAGAATTGGGTTTCTATTCATAATCTGTTTATACATTTTCAAATTAAAACTAAATGATGATCAACTTAAAGCTGAGAAAAAGGAAGCAAAAATATACTTATGTGTTTTTTAAAATATTTCTATATTTTATAACAGTTATATATTAGTTACGATATAATACAACATATTTGTCAAAAGGAAGCATAAATTTAGAATATTTTTCTATGGATACGTTTGGAATTACCTAGGGAGGGCAGTGTTAGTCACAGTTAAGAAGAAACAAAGCCTTTGATGTAGAAGGTAATCTCACTTAACTACATGTTATAAATGACCAATGTGCCACCAACCAAATTTGTTAAGAAGAAAATGCCATTTAAAATGACTTCAAATATTTACTATGTGTCTGAGAGATTATTTTATTTTAATATCTAAATGTTAACCCCTGGAAAGGAGGCAAATTGTGTGAAAATAGTGACAGGTCCTTAATTCTGGTGTAGCTCTGCATCGTCTTCAATGACAAGTCCAATTGGCCTATTACAATAGAAAAAATTGATTTTATTCATGTAACTGATTATATCTTTTTTTCTATGAATGTCGATCACTGAAGTTTGCAGTTCTTCCAATTTCCCAAACATACTCATATATTCTAGACAAAGAATAAAGATCAGTTTAGCTTTGACATTCCTAAACTAGCCACCCTAAATCAAAATTCTACCACCAGGGTAAAAAAATGGAGGTGATAGGATGTTTGTAACGGTAATTTAAATTTTGCAATGTAGAGATGTTTCTGGCCTCTTCTTTAATTCTTGTTATGCCCCCAGATAAATTGGTAGATCTTGGAAAATTAATACTTTCTTTAAGTCATAGAGGGTCTCCTGTAAAAATGAACACTACCCTCCCAAACACATACACATACACTAGTTTCACATAGAGATCACTCTGTTAGGCATTTTGTGGCATATTTATGGTCATTAAGTATTTTTCTAGTATGAAATGAACTTCCATATAGAAAAAGGGGGAGAAAAATATAGTTGTTGGGCAGATAAGAAGTCATAATAATAATAGATACCATTTATGGACCACTATACACAAAGGTCACAAAGCTGAGAAGTGGTAGAACAGAATAGAATACATTTTTTATCTAATCTGTGTTATCCAGAGTAATCAGAGATCTTAGATATTTTTTCTTTATTCCTTAAGAATATAAAAAATTATATTGGAAGAATTAAATCTTGTAGTTTGTACAGAGATTTTTTACTTCTTTGATCATTAAGATATGACAAATTTTATGTATATTAAAATTATTATTTTTCAGATCTTAAATTTTGTAGAAAATACACGTATCTTTCCTCCTTGCACTTTTGCTTTTCCTATGCTTCAGACGTCCTCATTTCTCTCCTTTACCTTCTTACTTTAGAAAACAAACCAACGCAAAATTCCCAGGATAGCCAAACATTCTCATCAATTGGCAAAAACATGATTAGACATTAGTTTTGAAGATCTATAAGAGCATACAGGACAAAATAATCAATCACTAGATAAATGTCTGTATTTTTTACATCATTTATTATCTTTCCATTTCTGCATATATGAACACACACATACATACATACATATAGAGAGGGATTTGCTTTATAACTCCTGCTGTCATAGCTCATGGACGATGCAATTTGAGTATATAGTGTTGGAAATTCAGAGTTATTTATTTGTTCGTGGAAATAATCCAATATGGATTTGTGTGGGATTCATTTCTAAATCCAATATTACATGGTTCACCATTACTTTGGAATGTCTTTATTTACCCTTTGTTCACAACTATTATTTTTTCCTTGAGGTCTTACATTTTGTCTAAATTCTTGCTACTTAAACTGTGGCCCACAGATCAGCACTATTATCATTGCCTGGAAGCTGTCAGAAATGTAGAACCTCAGACCTCACCCCAGACACTGAATCAGAATCCGTATTTTTAAAAGACCCTCTCCTTGGATGAGTCATATGCACACTAACGTTTGAAAAGCACTGCTCAAAAATATTTCCTGAATTGAAAAAGAAAACTTCACTTGGTCATCCTAATTTGCAGATAATATACTCACTACTTTTCTCAGGCCTAGACCACCATGGGCAAACACATCTTTGCCTGGATGCTGACTGTTCAAGATGTCTCAAAATATACACTTTATTTTTTCAGACACTAAATTGAAAAGGTACCATTTTCATGAAAATGCTTTTTCTACATTAACATGTGGCATTTTATTTTCTGAGTCAAGAGCTTCACTAATCAATAACACCACACAATACCCACATTTGGCTATTTAGAGTTAAATTAACTAAAATCTAAATAAAATTTAAAAATATGTTCCTCAGTCACTCTGCTTGCATTTAAATACAGATTCTGTATTGGATAGTGCAGATATTGACCATTTACATAATCACAGAAAGTTTTATTGGACTGCAATTGTCTAGAGGCTACTACATTCTAAGTTGGGCTTTGCGACTGTCGGTTGCAACTGCTTCCAGATCAGACTGGCAGCTTCAGTGAACCAGAATAACCAGTTGAAAGAGAAAAATCTAGTTAACTCAAGGGGTTATTCCCAGTGCACTTGGTCTATTTCTGAAATATCAAGCTATTTTATGCAACTTAGGAGTGTAGGAGGAAAGGTAGTAGAAAATGCCCCATCCTCACATTCCTCTACCATTATAAGGACATCATGGCAAGAACATCCCACTGGAATGGGGACTTAGAATAAGAGCATAGACTCCAGTTCCCAATCAATCACTGAATGTGTGATACCGAGTAAGTCATTTGACCTGTCTAAGTATGTGTTTGCTCATCTGTACAATGAGGGTATTGTGTTCAGTGGCCCTTAGGATTCTATCTGTTTCTGTAATTCTCAGTCTGTGTATTAGAAACCTCTAATTCTGCTACCTGAAATCAACCTATAATTATCATGAATATCATTTAATGAAGGATGTGTGTTTGCTCTGCATCAAACACAGGTGCTGGAGTTACAAATAATTTTTCACAAAGCATCTTCTCTCAAATAAATCATTATATTGAGAGGAATTGTCTGAAAGTAAAGTCCCTTATACCTCAGGAGGATCCAGACTGAATCACTGAACTGAAGGAATGGTATGTTAAAACTTCTTTCTATTTTCATTGTTTATTATAAAACAAGTCTTGGAAGAATTTATTATAAGGATTAGTAGTAGTATGCATATATATGAGTGAAATATTGTCAAAAAACTTACTTATCAAGAAGTATACATATAAACATAGATCTCAGAGAGCACACATTTATTAGAAGTGCATGTTCATATATTTTTAAAGTTTTAGAGTAGACAGTCATAGAAGTTTGTACAGTACTTGCCTGGTGGAGAGATAGACAGGAAAACAATAATAGTGTGAGAAAACTGCTTTAAAATGACTATAGGATTCAATAAGTGCACAAAAGAGAGCACGTAACCCTGAGTGGGGGTCAGGGGCAGGACAGCTTCTTGGAAAATGTGGTTCTTGAATTGAATCATCAAAGTGGAAAGCAAACGTGATCCACACAGAACCAATAGCATGTGTGAAGACACATATGAAATAATCGGCATGAAAAATGTAGGAACTGCAACTGTTTTAATGTGGCTAGTAGCTACATTATGTCAGGGAGAGATTAGAGACAAGGACGGAGAGGAGGACATAAGCTATGAACATCAACCTATATCTATACCTATATACACCTATATCTATCTATATATGGCTTTCCAGAATAACAATTTCTCAAAGTATTTCAGCTATAATGCTTTGGCCAAAATTAATTTTTCTTCAAATAGTTCTCTTCAAAATTGGGGTAAGGTAACTTTTAAAAATAATTTGAATGATTGCCAAATCATTATAGAGGAAAAAAGGGAGCATTTTGATAATTTTGCAGGTTTCCATGTTTTATTAAAATAGCTTAAGCTTAGTGCAAACACTGAAGCACTTAAGTAAGACCTTTGAAAGTCTCTAAGAATTTTCCAAATGCTTTCAAAGATTTGACCTATTCTAAGCAGCAGATATTGTTTATCTTTCTAATTTCCAATGTTTAGCACTGTTCTTATTTTGTCTTTTTATTATTTTTTTCAAGCCTAATATTTACAGAAACATAAATAACAGGGGAATATGACTTTGATTTTTCGCAGGAGAAAAAGAAAAATATTATTTTTCTTTTTGTTTTTTTGTTTTTTTTTTGGTTGAGACGGAGTCTTGCTCTGTCGCCCAGGCTGGAGTGCAGTGGCATGATCTGGGCTCACTGCAAGCTCCACCTCCCGGGTTCATGCCATTCTCCTGCCTCAGCCTCCCCAGTACCTGGGACTACAGGCGCCCACCACCAAGCCCAGCTAATTTGGTTTTTTTTGTTGTTTTTTTTTTTTTTGTATTTGTAGTAGAGACGGGGTTTCACCGTGTTAGCCAGGATGGTCTTGATCTTCTGACCTCATGATCCGCCCGCCTCAGCCTCCCAAAGCGGTGGTATTACAGGCATAAGCCACCGCGCCTGGCCAAAAAATATCATTTTTCTAAAACACATGATGCTACTTACAGTCATGGAAATGGTTGAATGTTTATCAAACTGATAAATACCCCAATAAGTATACCAATAAAGTATAACAATTATCCAGCATAATTTTCTATATTAATCTAATTACTATAAATGTATTTATTTAACAATTACCTCTGATTAATTACAGATGCTACTATTTTTTGCTAGAGTTATTTAATGAAGAAAAATAGGTTCATGCCTGTAATCCCAGAACTTTGGGAAGCCGAGGCGTGTGGATCACTTGAGGCCAGGAGTTTGAGACCAGCCTGGCCAACATGGCAAAACCCGTCTCTACTAAAAATACAAAACTTAGCCGGGCGTGGTGGTGCACACCTGTAGTCCCAGTTACTCCGGGGGCTGGGGT
Organism: Homo sapiens; assembly: GCF_000001405.40. NCBI lineage: Eukaryota > Metazoa > Chordata > Mammalia > Primates > Hominidae > Homo > Homo sapiens. The sequence goes on along the minus strand of NC_000023.11, from coordinate 27,908,488 downwards.
GGGAGGATCACTTGAGTCCAGGAGGTGGAGGTTGCAGTGAGCCCAGATCGTGCCACTGCGCTCCAGCCTGGGTGACAGAGAGAGACCCTGTCAAAAAAAAAAAGAAAAAGAATGTGAAAATCAAAGAGACTTCAAAATAGATCTATGTTTACATTATCTTATAGGAAATAAGTATTTTACTGGGAATATATTGCCTACCCACCTGAAATACTTGAGTTTATTCAAGGCATAAGGGCACTAGACAAATTAACTTTCTTCTGCCAGGCCATAAATAGTATAAGAAACACCATTACACTTTCTTTTTTATATCTTTCACTGATTGCATATCTCTTGGCTTGGAAATGTAACTATAAAATACATAATAATAATAGGGTTAAGACTTAAGTTGCTCTAATTTTTTTGTTGGCTGGCCAATAGCATCAATTCACTCCTAGGTTTGCATTGGAGAGGAATTATGGATATCTAAAAACCCTATTAGGAAAACAGCCACTATTTATCATTTCTAATTTTCAGGTAGATTAAAAATAATATTGATTAACTCTAAATATTCAGCATAATAATGAGATTCCATAAGTTTTACTTTAACATTAAGGAAGACATCTGTACTGTAGGCTAGAAGTTAAAAAGTTATATCAATTTGCATCTCAGTAGAAGACTCTTTTTAAAATCTTTTTAAAATTTTTAAAAAAGATTCCCTGTGAAAGCGTTTCATTGAGTTTTATCACCTTAATTGACCATGAAAAGCAAGTATTTTTGTGATGTTTTCAGTTAATAACATTTAAATTACAGTCAGCAAGGCAAAATTTCCTTTCAGAAATTAAAGAACAGTCACAACTTTACTACTTATACTATTGATTCCAGGAATGGCAAAACTCTGAAAATGCTGAGAAGGAAAAAATTCTTTATATTAATATTTTGTTTTTTATAGTATATTTCTTTGTTCTCCATCCTATACAATTATTTTGTAGTATCAAAGCATTTTCAATAGGGAAACAGGAGAACAAGATGCTTTTTAAAAGACATTTTCACTCTCTGTTAACAATAGATGGATATTTGGGAATATAAAATTTTATCAAATTCACTTTTGACTATACATGACTTAGAGGACAAGCTCGAGAGACGAAGATTTCATCAACTGTGATATATTGACATCAACAATGTGAAAATTACAAATTAGCAGTAAAATATTTTTAATTCACATAATATCTTAGGATATTGAAAACTTAAACTTATGTTTAATAGAAAACATTTATTACATACTATGCACCAGTCATTGACTAAGCCATTACTTAAAATATCTTTTTTGCAGACTCTTTAAAAAATTATGTTACATCTTTTTAGCAATTAAACAAACCGAGTTTCAGAAAAAACATGGTGCAGAACAATGAGCAAATAGATGGTAAAATATTATGTGGATTTCAAAGCCAGAGTTTCTGAGCTCTGGTATACTCAAAGCCTCCTCTGTTTATTTGAATGGACATTCAAGTTTTGACTTGTCTTCCTTCCCAAATGATTAAGTTGATTATAATTTGTGGATGCCATATACACATACCTATATAAGAAAATAAATTTCTCTATCAAAAATAATGTATTGGTCAAGGGAATAAAGTACTTGGACTAAATAAGAACAGCCAGGTTTAAAATCTGAGTGTCTGTTGACTTGCTATGTAGCCTTGAGAAAGGCCCTTTTCTTGCTCTGCATATCAGTTTCCTCATTTCTTCTTGTATCCTTTAGTTCTCTGCTACAATAATACTGCAAAAACAACTGCTAAATCCCAACTGCTTACAACAATAAACCAATAAACGTTCTTTTTTTTTTCTTTTTTTTCTCACTGACAAGTTTGCAGGTCAACCAGAGGAACTTTGTTTCAGACTGTGGGCTGGGTCTAGGCCTTATCCACATGTCTTTCATTGGAAAGGAACAGTTATTTCTGGTGCACACATAGAAGGACAAGAGGCCAAGCCAAACCACACAAACACAGTTAAAGCTTCCACTCACATTATATTTGCTAACTATTCATAATCCAAAGCTACTCAGATGTTAAAGCTCAAAGTCAATGGAGCAAAGAAGAAAAATCTACCTATTGGATTAATAGACAATACCAAGTTTCAGGGCAAAAGGAATGTGTGGAGAATTCAGTTTCAGGGAGAGAGTAAAAAGTGAAGAATGACAATTCAATCTACTCTGTTCCTTTTCAGCCACTGGATATGTAGCTGTGCTTTGATATATGAAACTATTTCAACAAACCTCATTTCAAGGAGTTGCATATTTACATGTAGCTTTAGAAATGATGTGCATGTGCAAGAATCCTTTGGTGGAATTATGTTATATTATTTACAGGCTAATAAAAAATTCACATTAGAACAATATGCTTGCTTTTAGTGGATTAAATTTTAAATACATACTATGAGGCTCTGATAGCATTAATTATTCATTTCATCTACATTGTTGTTTTGCTTACATTATTTCAAGAAATAGAAATCTTATGGAAGCTCAGCAATTATATGAGTAGAAATGTGATTTTTAATTTAGTTTTACATATTTCCTTTGTTAAGTAGGGCATGTAGTTTACCGGACATTGCATAAAACGCAGCTCTCCCTATTGGTACCAAGTTGGCAGGCAATTTGGTTTTAATCCTGTCCAGAGATTGCTTGTGCGTTCCCATACATTTCAACTCTGATCTTCTAATGGTCATTTGTTGTGCTGTGATTACATGGATGAACTGCAAAGAGATCATTTGACTAAATTGTCAACTTAAGTGCACAGTATCTGTACAAGGGAAAAATGCTGCAATTCAGAATAATTTTGGTTTTGGTTTGGTTGACCTCCTACCATGTTTAAACAGTCTGAGGCCTTCGCCACATGTAGATGCCTAGTCTTAACATTTTCAACCACCAGAATCATGAGCTAAATAAACCTCTTTTTTATATAAACTTTTTTATATAAACCTCTTTTTTATATAAACTACTCAGTCTCAGGTATTCTGTTATAGCAAAACAAAATGGACTAATACGAGTGCTTTTTAAAAAGTGCCCAGAATATAGTAAAAAACTAAAACAATGTATTTCCCATGGTAGGAGGTCTTAGTGGGAGGTGTTTGAGTCTGACTTTGTTGTTTTTTCTGTTTTGGTTGACCTCCTACCATGTAAACTCTGTGCATGCTGGCTCCCCTTCTGCTTTCCTCCATGAGTTTAAACAGTCTGAGGCCTTCGCCACATGTAGATGCCTAGTCTTAACATTTTCAACCACCAGAATCATGAGCTAAATAAACCTCTTTTTTATATAAACTACTCAGTCTCAGGTATTCTGTTATAGCAAAACAAAATGGACTAATACGAGTGCTTTTTAAAAAGTGCCCAGAATATAGTAAAAAACTAAAACAATGTATTTCCATCCATCCACTCAACAAATATATCACAAATATCTGCAACATACCCATACATTGTTCTAGGCACTGGGAATTCAATTTTGAACAAGACAAATAAGAATCCTATTCTCATGGAGTTGATATTTCAGTGAGAAGGTACAAACAATAAACAGATAAAATAAACAAGAAAGGTACTAGTAATGAAACCATTTTATAAATGAGGAAATTGAATCTGAAAGAAGATAGGCAACTTGCTGAAGGTGGTAAAGCCAAGATTAGAACCTAGGATTATGGTACTTCAAAACACAGGCTTTAAACCTGCCATCATCCCAATGCTTTTATGCTCATTATGATCCCTGAAACAGTTTCCCACTGCAGCCTTCCTCTTGTACCCTTTCTACTTCCTACTTTAAAATCACTGTAACGTATTTTTGCCTTTACTGAAACTTGATTCTCGTTTGAATTGATTAAACCATTATTACAGTGGTTCTCAAACTTCACTGCATATTGGATTCACTTGGAAGTCTCTGATACAATACTGATGCTTGGGTTGCTGGCATAGATTCTGCTTTAATTATTCGGGGGTATGGACCAAGTGATTCCAATTTGCAGCCTTTTAGAATTATGGCTGTTAATACTTCTACTTTGCATGTATCTGAAAGGGTTATCATAGGGTCACTTACTTTTGAACTTTACTTTCTTTTTTTTTCCTGGGAAACTTTCCTGTAGTCTTTGGAAATCCCTGTCATTAGGAATCATTCCTGCAATTCCTTTGATACAAGTAGATTTCTCTCTCTTCCAAATGATTGCTTGCAACTTTTTTCAAAGGTCCAAGTATTCAAAGTATTTCCAGTTACTTGATGATGGTGTCTGCTTCCCACTATATGGCCTTGTTGGATAGTCTCTCAATCTCTTCATTTTATTCCAATCTCTTTACTAGCCCAATCACAGCCACATTTCTGGGAAGTGTCTCTCCATTATGTCTACATTACTCATCTGCAAGTCATCTTCACTAGTTGCATTTCTATCCAGTCTGTGCCTTCATGTGTTACCAGAATATGGAACGCTCAACTCGGGATATGAGCACAGTACAATTTTTAGTCTCATCTTGCCAATTTTATTCAGTGGTGTAATGTAATACTATTAATGAACAGGACTCAAAACAAACTCATCATTTTTCTCATATCTAGTCCACAGAACACACTTGAACATTTCATGCTCCCAAAGATTTTAGGCTATTCCCAATGTAACCACCTAAATCTGGTGATTACAAATACTTTAAGCTTGCTCAAACAGAAGTCAAGCACTGGTCCTCCATGTCTCATTACTGCAGATGTAGAGCTTTCTGAGTGTCCCTATGGAAGTCTCCTTTTAAAGAGGAAGGTGGTGAATCATAAATGTCCAAATAAATCTCTTCCCTACCCATTATTTGACTTATTTTTATAATGAAATGGAGTGGAATGCAATCCATATTTAGAACGGAATACATCCTCAACAATTTTTCCTTCATTTCTTCACCTGAATCCATTAAGATCAATCTTAGCATCATTTTAACTGGCACGAAAAGACATCATGTGCCTTACGATGTGATGGAATGAAGTATTATTGCTCTAAAAATTGAACCTAAATCAAATTATCTTCTAGATTTAACTCAGAGCTTACAGGAAATACATGGCATAAATGAACAAGGTAAATTATTAAGAAAGCACAGAACTAAAAATACGTAAGGACACGTAGGCTAGTTTCTCCAGAAAATCAATGACAAAAGGAAGAAGTAGGAGTGGTGAGCTCTTATAAAATAAAAGAGACTTAAAGGACAAAAGAGCCAAACATGAGAGGCAGATGTTTGGAATCTAATTAAAAAGAAAAAAAAAAACTAACTGCAAAAATCATCTTTGAGAGAATGAGTGAAATAACTAGAAATATTGTCTGGTTTTTACATGGCATTAAGAAATTATATAAATTCTGATAGATACAAAAATAGCATAATTGTCATGTTAAAAATAAAAATATATGGCCGGGCGCGGTGGCTCACGCCTGTAATCCCAGCACTTTGGGAGGCCGAGGTGGGCGGATCACGAGGTCAGGAGATCGAGACCATTCTGGCTAACACGGTGAAACCCCGTCTCTACTACAAATACAAAAAAAAACAAATAGCCGGGCGTGGTGGCGGGCACCTATAGTCCCAGCTACTCTGGAGGCTGAGGCAGGAGAATGGCGTGAACCCGGGAGGCGGAGCTTGCAGTGAGCCGAGATCGCGCCACTGCACTCCAGCCTGGGCGACAGAGCGAGACTCAATCTCAAAAAATAAATAAATAAATAAATAAATAAAAATAAAAATATTTGTATCATTTATGCATGCACAATATTTGCATGTAAAGAGATACAGTGTCTGAAATCTATTTAAATTTTTTCACCTCCTAAAATTTTGGAGAACAAAAAGTGCACAATTGTTGATTTAGGGAGTAGATGTAATATATTAGTTTCTCTAATTTTGTGTATACTTAAAATTTTCTGTAATGAACTTGTAATATCAAGTTTTGCTTTCTTAATTTGAGTTCCTTGTTGTGTTGTTGAGTTTTGTTGATTCTCTCACATCTTCAGGGATCTGTACATTTAAAACTCCCCCCAGGTGAGTCTGCCCATTGGCTAGATGTAATTATCCATGCAAGTGATGATTCCCAGCTGGATGTTCAGCGGCAGTTTCTCAATAGCTCAGGTGTCATATTCATCTGAAATTAGACCTACTTAAATCTTTAGCATTGGAAACAGATCTCCGGATGTGTGGCTATGCAAATCACCCTACTTTTATTTTTGAGCAATTAGAAAAATGTGGCTATTTTGGGGTTATCCTGACACTGTTGTTTTTAACTTTTAATTGATACAGACAGTAAACAAATCATAAGTGTTATGATCTATCTGATTGTAGTTTTAATTTGCATTTCCACAATAATTAGTGATGTTGAGCATTTTTTCATACATTTGCTGGCCATTTGTATGTCTTCTTTTAAGAAATGTCTATTCAGACTCCCTGCTCATGTTTTAATTGTTTTTTCCTTGCTATTGAGATGTTTTAGCTCCTTATATATTTTGGATATTTATCCCTTACTGGATGTACAGTCTGCAAATATTTTCTCCAAATTCATGTATAGTCTTTGCACACCGTTAATTGTTTCTATTGCTGTGCAGAAGCTTTTTAGTTTGATATAATCCCATTTACCTACTTTTGCTTTTGTTACCTGCACTTTTGAGGTCAAATCTAAGAAATCATTTACCCCTCACTGTACTGTCCTTTTTTTTCCCTATTTTCTTCTAGGAGTTTTACAGTTACTGTTTTTTATAGTAACTTCTTTTAGTAAAATTTTCAATAGTTCCCCTAAAAGAAATTAATCATGTTGGTTATCTCAGGCTTGCAAAGATTGTTAAAGCCTAATCAGAATATGGCATCCTGTTTGCCTTTTGATTGTATGTATTAGCATTACATCAAAGTCACCATATTTTAAAGAGGGTAGACTTTATTCATTTTCCTATGTGATAACAGGATGTCCTTTTGGAAATACAAGATATTGAAAGTCCAAGGTCCTAATCCATAATAGTGATTCTTACCAGGCAGTGTCTAGCAAATATGCCTTATCATAAGTTTCACCTGAGATACTTGTTAAAAACTCAAGCTGTGGGCTCCTTTCCTGGAGATCCCTAAAGATTTTTATTCAGTGGGTTCTGAGTGGGCCGCTTACTGTATTTTTAACAAGCTCCCCAGATGATTCTTATGAAAACCTAGCTTTGAGAAGGATTGCTCTAAACTAATGTAATTCACTCTAGGTATGGGATATGCAGACATCTTTTTACTGCCACCAGCGAGCACTGCTCCTGGGAGATGGCTTGTGCAGAAAGTGTACAAAATATCCAGCTGCAAAGACATAGCTAAAATAGTTACATCCCTGCCCAGGTTTGTTCAGCCTGACAGACTCAGCTTGCAGTAGGTCTGAACTCCATACTATACTCACCCGGGAAACTAGAAAAATGCTAGTACACAAGACAAAACACCAGATGGATATTATTTCATTGCTACATAGTACGGCTCCCGTATTTTTATTTTTAAGCCTCCTATGTGGTTCTAAAATAAAGCTAAATTTGAGAACCACTGATGTTGAGTTACATAGTAATCAGTTGCAATTTTAGCTAATACTGTGCTTCTTAAAGAGCATGAGTTTAACAGCGATGTCACTGTCCCAGGAGGTATAAAAGACAATAGCTCAAATTCCAATCTCATTCTTCCCCAAAGATTTATGTTGTATGTTCATCTGTGTTGTATGGGATGAATAAGGTAGGTTTGGACTTAACTTCTTGGTCACCTTTGACTAAATTTCCCCTTTGGTGACTTTTGTTCTGTATCCTCTGCATTATATATATATTTTCCTTTTTATCCAGGCATTCAAATTAAATGTGGAATTCAGTCTCTTTCCCCATTCAATAAACCTTTATTAAATAAAAGTAGACTGGACTAAGAGGAGTTTAAGTAGTTTGTTGCTTAATGACATACACACACATGCACACACACGCACACACACACTCATGCACACACACGCACACACACACTCATGCACACACACACACACACACATATTTAAAAATATTTACTGAACGGTCCTAAAACACTCAGCTACTCTGCCACATTACATGAATATTGCAACTCTTCTCTGATCTTGAGAGTAGAAAACAAAATACAGAAAACCAAATTTGGAGTTGCCCCATTGCTTTAAATATAATATAGATTAGCTCAAAACACCACTCCATGGTATGTAGAAAGTCCAAACATTTGTATAAAGCTTCTCAAGGCCAATGTTATCATGCGTACTTCTGACCATAAACTGCATTTTCCCTTTAAATTGGTCCAGTTGATGATGATCTAAAGAGTCATTCATGTATTCCCTGTTCTGCACCATGCTGAGTTAGATATAGAACTCAGTTCATTTCATTCGTCAGCACAAAAATCCATTGGATAGCAAAATTTATTGAAATATGGGGCAGATGGGGGGATTTGCAGAGCTGCAATGTAAAAGTAAAACCAAATAATGGAATATCTGTATAAAAGAAAAGTCTTTCCATAATTTCTACAACTTAAGCTTAAACCTTGCAAGTTTTGTTGCCTATAGAATACTGCAAACATTGGCCTGGTGGTGAATAAGTTTACCCCAAATATACTTTATTTTATATATATATATATATGCACATATATACATACATATAATGTATATAATATAGTTAAAATTGCTATGTGGCAAATTTTGACTTAAATTTTAAATTTCAACATTTTCTAAAATGTATAGGTTTCAAAGACTAAAATGCCTTTTGTCTATTGAATACTTGTCTATTGAAGATTAAAGAATTGTGGACAAAGTTGAAATTGATGTGTATGAGCAGGATGAGGAAATAAGTTATTTGACATTCAATAATTTTTTTAAATGTAAAAATGTTCATAAACAAAATTATGTACAAATTCCAAGATGGGACATTTACAAAATGGGAACTCAGACGGCCAATAAACATACAAAAAGATGTTAAAACACACAAGTTACTGAGGAAATGCAAATTAAATCCCAATAAAATGCAAATTATAAGCACAGTGAAATACTATTTCATATCAATTATGCTTAGAAAAAAATTACTAAGTTTTATCAAAGACGTGAAGAGCACAATTTAGTTGACATGAATTTCTCTCTAAATTAAAACCTTTTAAAATTATCCACTGGATTAATTCCGTGTCAAGATAAGAAACACCACCGAATTCAATAAGCACTACACAATTTATATATTACATTGCATTGACCATGTATCTTGTTTCTTTGTTTCTTTAATTGTTGACAGTCTTCCCCTTAAGTATGTAAACCCGCTCAATGAAGTCAAGAATCATATTCATCATATCCACTGGATCATAAATATATTCCTATCACTTAGCAGAGAGATCCACATGGTTTCTGTCAATAATATTTTTGAATTGATAAATAAATATAATTTTTAACATTTAAAAAATTCATTATCTTATGGTAAATTGACAATTTATAATTGTTTATATTTATGTGGTACAAAGTGATTTTATGATGTGTGAATACAATGTGGTGTAATTGAATCAACCTAGTTAATATATACATCACTCCAAATATTTAATATTTCTTGCAGTAAGATCATGTGAAATGCACACTCTTAGCAATTTTGAAATGTACAATGCTCTATTATTAACCATATACACCATGCTGTGCAATAGAGCTCAAAAATAAACATATTTCTGCAGTGCAACTGAGATTTTATATCCTTTGACCACCAGTCCCCCTTCCTCCAGCCTCTATAACCACTATTTTACTCACTGCTTTTATGATTTTGATTGTTTTAAATTCCACATATAAGTGAGAACATTCAGTATTTGTCTTTCCATGCCTGGTTTATTTCACTTAGCATAATGTTCTCCAATTCCATCCATGTTGTCACGAATGACACAATTTACTTCTTTTTAAAGGCTGAATAGTATTCCATTGCATATACATATTTTCTTTATCGATTCATTTGGCAATGGACACTTAGGTTGCTTCCATAACTTGGCTATTGTGAATAGTGCTGCAATGAACCTGGACGGGCAGACATCTCTTCCACAAATTGATTTCTAATCTTTTTAGTAAATAACCAGAAGTGAGATTACTGTATCATATGGTAATTCTATTTTTAGTTTTTTGAGGAACCTCCATACCATTTCTTATAATGACTACACTAATTTACATTCCCAACAACAGGATATAAAAGTTCCCCTTTCGGGGCGAGGTGCGGTGACTCACGCCGGTAATCCCAGCACTTTGGGAGACTGAGGCAGGCGGATCACGAGGTCAAGAGATCAAGACCATCCTGGCCAACATGGTGAAACCCTGTCTCTACTAAAAATACAAAAATTAGCTGGGCATGGTGGCGCGCGCCTGTATTCCCAGCTACTCAGGAGGCTGAGGCAGGAGAATCACTTGAACCCAGGAGGTTGAGGTTGCAGTGAGCTGAGATCATGCCCCTGCACTCCAGCTTGGTGACAGAGCGAGACTGCATCTCCAAACAAAAAAAAAAAAAAAAAAGCAGTTCCCTTTTCTCCATATCCTTGCCAGCACCTTTTTGGCAATAACCATTTTGGAAGGTGTGATGTGATATCTGATAGTGGTTTTAATTTGCATTTCCACAATGATTAGTGATGTTGGGCATTTTTTTTTTCATGTATTTGCTGGCCATTTCTCTTGAGAAATGTCTATTCAGACTCCTTGCTCATATTTTAACTGTTTTTTCTTGCCATTGAGATGTTTTACCTCCACATATGTATTTTGGATATTTACGCCTTATTGGATGCATAGTTTGCAAATATTTTCTCCCAATTTATGGGTTGTCTTTGCACACTATTAATTGTTTCTTTTGCTGTGAAGAAGCTTTTTATTTTGATGTAATCCTGTTTGTCTATTTTTACTTTCGTTGCCTGCATTTTTGAGGTCAAATCTAAAAAATCATTTCCCAGACCACTCTCCTGTAGGTTTTCCCCAATGTTTTATTTTAGGAGTTTTACAGTTCAGTTACTGTTCTTATGTTTAAGTATTTAACTTGTTTTGAGTTGATTTTTGTATGTGTTTTGAGATAAGGGTCCAATGTCACTCTTCTGCTTGTAGATATCTAGTTTTCCAAGCACCATTTCCTGACAAGACTATTCTTTTCCCATTGCATATTCTTGACACTTCTGTCAAAAATCAATTGACTGTATATGCATGGGTTTATTTCTGGGCTCTTTATTCTGTTCCATTGGTTGATGTGTCTGTTTTTTTTTTTTTTTTTTGCCAGTATCACGCTGCTTTAATTACTAGAGCTTTAAAGTATAGTTTGAAAAGAAGTAGTGTGATACCTCCATCTTTGTTCTTTTTGCTCATGATTGCCCTGGATGTTTGTTTTTTTTAGTGGTTCTATGTGAATTTTAAGGTTGCTTTTTCCATTTCTATGAAAAATGATATTGGAATTTTGATAGGGATTGCATTGAATCTGTAGGTTGCTTTGGGTAGTGTGGTCATTTTAACAATATTAATTCTTCCAATTTGCTAAAGTCCTGAATATAATTTGCCATGAAAAGTGTATTATTTGGGGAAAGGATGAGGCTATTGGGAGGCTGAGATGGGCAGATCACGAGGTCAGGAGTTCCAGACCATCCTGGCTAACACGGTGAAACCACGTCTCTACTAAAAATACAAAAAATTAGCCGGGTGTGGTGGCGGGCGCCTGTAGTCCCAGATACTCGGGAGGCTGAGGCAGGAGAATGGCGTGAACCTGGGAGGTGGAGCTTGCAGTGAGCCGAGATCGCACCACTGCACTCCAGTCTGGGCAACAGAGCCAGACTTCGTCTAAAAAAAAAAAAAAAAAAAAAAAAGATGAGGCTATGCTGAGGTCTGTATTAAAGCTAGTTAAGGAACTAGCATTACATTTCTGTTTCAACATGTACACCAGAGTGGTTAAGCAAAAATACAGCTCAATCAAATTCAGTTCAATTAATAAAATATTTTATTTTTGTCAACTTCATAACTTTTTAAACTATATTTGGAACCACATCCCTCATTCCAAATAATTCTTCTTGATCTTATATAAGAAACCACCACCTTAAGGTCACCCAATAAAAATGTGTTTTATATTCAATGGCAGCGACAGCAACCCACCACAATATCTTGTTAGCCTCAGGTAGAGGTAAAAATTAAAAAGACTACATATATATAGTTCAACATGGATGAACTTTGAAGACATTATACTAAGTGAAATAAACCAGCCCAAAAAAGACAAACACAGTTGTCCTCTCAGTATCTGTGGGGGATTGGTTTCAGGATCCCCTGTGTATATCAAAATCCACAGATGCTCAAATCCCTTATGGTGTAGTATTTGCACATAACCTACTCACATGCTCTTGTACACTTTAAATCATTTATAATACCTTGTAATACCTAATATTAAATATTTGTTATACTGTATTGTTTAGGGAATTATCAAGAGGAAAAAAGTCTATATATGTTCAGTAGAGATGCAACCATCCCTTTTTCTGAGTATTTTCAATCCATGGTGAGTTGAATCCACAGATGTGGAGTTCACAGATACAGAGGGCTGATTGTACTGTATAATTCCACTTGTATGAGGTACTCATGTAGTCAAATTCATAGAGACAAAAAAGTAGAATGGTGGTTGCCAAAGACTGGGAAGGGAAAGAAGAATTGGGAGTTTTTGTTAGAATGTATAACCATTCATGCCCAGTTTCAGTTTTGCAAAAGGAAAAGAACTCTGGAGATTGGTTATACAACAAAGAACAAAGTGAATGCAATTAACAATACTGAACTATATACTTAAAAATGGTTAATATAGTAAATTTTGTGTTCTTTCTATTTTACCACAATTTTAAAAATTATTTAAAAATGCTCCATCATTACTGACTGAAATGAATTACAAGGTTGAGCATCTCTAATCTGAAAATCTGAAATCTGTAGCGCTTTAAAATCCAAAACTTTTTGAGCATCAACATGATGCCACAAGTGTAAAATTCCATACATAAATACTTAGCACAAACTTCGCAAAAAGTCATTTAAAATATTGTATAAAATTACATTCAGGCTATGTGTATAAGTTGCATATCAAAAATAAATTTTGTATTTAGACTTGAGTTTCATCCCCAAGACGTCTCATTGTGTATTTGCAAATATTCCAAAAGAAAAAAAAAATCCAAAATCTGAAACATTTCAAGTAAGAGATACTCAATTTGTATTGTTATGGTAGTTATAACTATTATATTATATATATATCATTACTACTTATATATCTTACATTATAAATGCATAAATTTCATAAAACATTAATAGTTACATTAAATATTTGAGCTATCATTATAGCATTGAGGAAAAATCAAAATAAAGGACTAAGTAATTAATCTGAAAGTTTAGTTCAATGATACAATTAGCTTCTGCTTTCCTATGGCCTTTCTCTGATACCAGTGATTCTAAAAAATTCCGAGTGAAAAATTATCCAATGAAACAGTTCTGAAGACTATTGTCAATTAAATATTTAGTATCTTTTCTAATTTTGTTTTATTTTAAAATTGGGATAATCTTTTTTTTAAAAAAAGTGAGATGTTTATTATTTCTGAAGAATTTTAATTTGCAGACTGATTACATTGCAGAGACAGCCTACTAATTCCCTGGTAAAAGGCTTGTTTGCACCAAAAGCCTCTGCCACCAGGAAGGAATGATATTTTATATATATATAGGAACCCTACAGAAAGCAGAAAAAAAATCATAAGCCAATACTCAAATCTCAGTCTTAAAATGTCCAACATTCTTAAAAGACAAAGCTGTTTTTAAAAGTACATTGAAACTAGTACATTTTGAATGGTTTCTGCTCTAAGTGTGATGGTTATAGATGTATATGTACATTTTTTCACATATGCCACTGCTGTTACCTGGGTCCTACTATATTTGCTCATATCTTCCTCCTTAGACAGAGGAATTTTGGTTAAACTTGGTTTCCATGGAATTCTTAATTATATTTTTCCTAAATTTGAATAAAGAACTAAATGTGTAAATACAGAATCAAAAATATTTTGAAAATATAAATATTATAAAATCCACAATAATTTAAAGTGTGGGTTTATTTAATGAAAAAGTAAAATATAGACATCAGAATATATTTATCAATAAAATTCTACAACAGTAGTTCGCAACTGGGATCACTTTTATCCCCAGGAGATATTTGGCAATGTCTGGAGACATTTTTGGTTGTCAGAATGATGTATGAAATGGTGATAGAGGTTGCTACTGGTACCTAGTAGGCAGAGGCCGAGGACAATGCTGAATATGCTACAGTGTGCAGGACAGTATTGCCAGCAACAAATAATTATCCATCCCCAAATGTTAATAGTGCCAAAGTTCAGGAAGCTTGCTCTGGAGAAGCTTCCCATTACAATGTACAAAGGCCAACACATGCAATCCATAATAAAGCTACTGTAACATAACTTGGAAACTGTCTCTGGAGACTATTGTACGGCTTGTGAGCAGTTCAACCTTCTGTGGACTAAAAACAAAACATAATGTACAATCTCTTTGATTGGCCCAATCACAAGGATGTCCCACTTGTGATCCTCACCATTCATAACACAGTGGACCTATTAGAACAAATTATGATGAACCAGGTGTCTAGTCTACTGGGTCTTACAAGGATGTCCTTCCAGTGCTGTACACAACAGCCAAACTGCAGCATAGTTCAGTGTCCTGACTCAAACATTTAAAGGCTTTTGAGGATGGTGCCTCAAGGTAGTAGCCCTCTCTGGAGATCCATGATGGCTATGTGGATATTTACAGGCATGCCACAGAGATCTATGAGTGTTCCCAGCAGAAGCCTAACTCCTCTGGCTTGGTCACTGTAGCCAACTTTATCAACGCTGTGGATCAGATATTTTCATTTGCATACATCACCGCCGTAAAAATTTCCTCAGTTCTCCCTGAGAACTATCCTAACAGTGTTCTGCAGATCAGGACTGGAAGCAGCAACATTTCAAAAGGTATACAATAAGCACATGGCTCTATGAAAAATAAAGGGACTGCTGCACCCTACCATGTCAGAGACCGTGACTGTGTGTTCATGCTTGGTTTCCTGTCCCTTCTACTCGTGGAACTTATTAAGAACAATCTGTTTCTTTGTGTGCAACTCAGCATCAGCCAGAATGATATGCTGTATATCCTAAAATAAGCAGTGAAGGGCTTTGAAAGGAAGAACTATGACTTTCTGTTTTAAAAGAGCTTGACGTCTTTTATCAAATGCATGGAATTATTGTAGCAAAATATACTGAATGGAAATCTATATGTCATGTATTTTGAATGCTCCATTAAATAATGTGCTTTTAAAAGAAGAAGCAATTAAATATAGTTACCTCTCTATGACAGCATGTACTTCTTTGGAGCATAGTTAATCGCGAGGCCATCTCCTAAATCTCAATCCCAAAGCATCCGTTTGTTCACCTGAAAACTATATATTTAAACACTAACTAGTATCATTATGTTGGGAAAGTCAAGATCAGTTTTCTGGGCTTCAGTTTTATCATTTCTAAAACTGGAAAAAGGAAAGAAGCTGAAAATACTGGAATCCTATTATATAACATTTTTTCCACCTATATCACTCTAATTCGTATGGCAAATGATAATAATTCTTAAGTATATCTTATTACCCAGATTATAAATCCCAGAGACATTGGATAAACATTCTCTTATTTTTTTATTTCTTCAACATCTACCACAGTGCCTGGCAAAACATATGGTGAAGTCAACTAAACAACAACAAAATAATCTTACAATGAGTCTGCCAGCATATTTATATGATTACAAAAAGCTAAGCAAATCAAAGGTTAATTTTTCCTTTTTTTTTTTTTTGAGACGGAGTCTTGTTCTGTTGCCCAGGCTGGAGTGCAATAGCGCAATCTCGGTTCACTGCAGTCTCTGCCCCCCAGGTTCCAGAGATTCCCCTGCCTCAGCCTCCTGGGTAGCTGGGATTACAGGCGCACGTCACCACACCCGGCTAATTTTTGTATTTTTAGTAGAGACGGGGTTTTGCCATGTTGGCCAGGATGGTCTCGAACTTCTGACCTCAGGTGATCTGCCCGCCTTGGCCTCGCAAAGTGCTGGATTTACAGGTGTGAGCCACCGCGCCTGGCCCAAAGGTTAATTTTCTAGAATAATAAAACACACACACACACACACACACACACACACACACACACACACACACATCGGGGTATAGCAAATATTTAAATTGAAGATGACAGTGAGAAAATAAATAGAAATGAAATGAACAGTGGACCTTCCACCTTGGTCAGCCAGGTTTTGGTTTAAAAGTAGGCAGAACATGACACAGAGCTAGCCTGGATTGAGGACATATGACTACAAATGTTTTGTTTCTTCACTTCAATGATCTACTTCTTTGGACCTCTTTCTCTAATATGATTTTCCATTCTTCACTCACTACTTTCTCAACTCTGGAAATATCTGTTGAATGTTGAAAATATTTAGTTGTTTACCATTCACACACTGCACTGCATGCAATGGGTCCATTCACTGTCATGGTTTTACCCTGACCATTAGGCTACACAGATCTCTCCTGGAGCTACACACTAAGTCCAGCTGTCTGCAGGCACTTTCACTGTAGCACATAAGAACACTGCACTAACCTTTCCTCAATCAAATTTTTTTCCTTCTGGATTATTTTACATCTTGTTTAGTTATACCACCATCCACCCAATTATTCCAGCTAGATACCTGAGGCTTATCTTTTTTTCAGCTTTACTGACATATGAATGACAAATAAAAAATGTGTATGTTTAAGGTGTACAATTCTGTTTTGCTACATAAATATATTGTTAAATAATCACCACTATCATATTGTCTGACAAAATTCAAAACTCATGTTTAAAAATTCTCAAAAATGTAGAAGCAGAAGAAAAATTACCTCAACATGATAAAGGCCATATATGAAAGACCACAGCTAACATCATATTTGATGGCGAAAAACTGATAGGATTTCCTGTAAAATCACAAACAAAGCAAGGGTACCTGCTCTCGCCACTTCTATTCAACATAGTACTGGAACTCCTAGCTAGAGTAATTAGACAAGAAAAAGAAATAAAAGGCATCTGGATTGGAAAAGAAAATGAGGCTCATCTTCAGATCTCTTTTTCTCTCAACTCTGACATCTCATTTGTTGTAATATGCTGCCATTTCACCCTCTAAATATTTGTAAAATGAGCTCACTTCTATTCGTCTACATAACTTTTTAATTTCAGGTTTTAATCTAACTCTTCAGTATTACAACAACATCCTAAGTATGCTTGTTGGGTGAGCAATCAATAATTAATGTTCCCTCTCACTCGACCTGTGTAAACCCACCTTGCAAAAAGCCACCAACATGATCTATTTTAAAAGCAATAAAGCAATATTGCAAATAATTCATCGCTTAAAACGCTTCCATGGGTCATAATTTCTCATAGAATAGTTCCAAAAATTTTAAATTATCATATGATTTGGCCCAACTTCCTTTTTTGTCCCTGTTACTGGTCATTACCTATTTTAGACTTCAATAACCCAGAGTGGCCATTGTTTTCTTCATACACTATATAATTTTGCTTTACAAAGACTTTTATTATAATGCACTAATGATCAAGAATATCCTCTTCCCAATCTCTACCTCATCTCTTTCCTGTCAGCATTCCTACAGCCAATGCTGACTCATACCATGACTCAGTACATGGGTTATTTCCATGCTGAATTCCTCATCTTAAATGATATTATATGCTTCTCCCAGGCATGCGATAATATTATGTACACATTTTTATTATGTCATTTACTATATTGTTTTATTATTTGTATTTCATCTCCAGTGTTTATCACAATAAATTATAATTGCTACTTAATGCTTATTGAATGCATACATCGTCAAATGAAGAGAAAAGGAAGGAAGGAAATAAAGAAGAAAGACTGATAAAATCAAAGGAAGGAATTCTTTTGTAGGCTATTTTTGAAATTAGAGTCTCTTTTCTCTCATTTGTGTGGTCTTTTCTCATTCTTAGATTCTACCATTTGGGGGAGGATAGAGGAGACTCTAACAATGGACTGATATTTTGCTTTTTGTCCCACAAATACCTTATGTCTAGATATGTCAGATAGTTTGATACAGACCTTATATAAAGTTATTTTCTTCCCAGTGTTAAACATTTGTATTCAAAATGCTGATTTCTAAAATCAGAATCTTCCTAACTATTACTTTTCTCTGGTCTCTTGATTGAAAATCAGTAATGCTTTTCATGGCAGGTAGGTTTGCCTATTAAATTTATTGTCCAGCTTTATTATACTTTAACTTGCAAATTGGACAGTGCTTGCAAAGAGAGATTTTTCTAGTCCTCACAGCTCTGTAGCCAGGTCTTCTTTTATTCAGGAGGTAATACAGCAGTCCCCTGCAGCCAGACAGAGGGAAAGTTGAACACTCAGGGCTTTTGTTTCATGTCCCAAGCCTCCACTGTTACAAAATATGCAGTCTCACGGCCTATTTATTGCCAACCACAGCCGTTATTATGCATTTTTCTATCATCATAGACAAGTATAAATAAAATTAAAAAGCAGATAAAAATGGAAAATGGCATGACACAGATAATTTAAATGAAAAAAATAAAATAAATTCTGAGAGTGGAAATGAGACATAAATGTCATTTCTATATTTTGAAGAGTCCAATTATACATTCTGTTTTTATACTAGATATATTATAAAATTATAAAGCTACTTTAAATCCACAAAAGCAGTGAAATTTAAACATCAAGGTTGACAGTCTTATTATGTAGTACATTTGCCCATCATCAAGATTGCTTCAGAGATGACCAAAGAAAATATATTCCTACCAACCATGGAAATTTCTGGTCCCCAAACACTTCTCTGAAGATTCTACAGTCCAGAATCTATTTATTTAACGAATCCAAGAAATTAAGCTTCACATACCAAAAAAAACAAAAACAAAAACAAAACGAAACAAAAAAACCCCGAAACAAAAACAAAAACCAAAAAAAGCAAAAAACAAAAAAACTGTCTCTGGATTTCTGCTGCACAATTTCCATCAAAATTCTTACTCAAGCCAGGTCTTACATATCCCACTTATCCAGATTTCAAAGGACTGTTCTGATATCAAAACAGGACAGGACAGGAAATTCTGATAATCAAAAATTCCCTAAGTATTCAAAGTTCTACTTTCAAAATTTGGTATCAACTTTTAGGAAAAAACCTTCATTAATGCTGTGCATTTTCAGTTTTTACTAATTAACATTTCCACAGTGAAGGAAAAAGTAGCAATGAAATCACCTCAAGTTAAGGAACATATTAGGGTATAAATTTTTTTAAGTTATGTAATAGTGAACTCTACCACACTTCATGATCTTATTGAGCATTCAGGTTTTTTTTTCAGAACTGGAGGCAATCAGAAATTAGTCCGCTCTTCTGATTTGAAATTAAATGGTTTTTACAAAAGTCAATAACTAAATCTTTTAGTTCTTTTCACCTCAGCATCTTGTCCCAATATTTATTATTTATTTGAAGAGATACATCCTCCTTTCCCTCTAACCAAAATAAAATTCTCTTGTACTCCAGAAATCGATTTGGATCTGAACACCCTAAATGAAATGAAGTGGTATTCTCTTACATAAAGCCACATCTCTCTACCCCTTGTCATCCATCCATCTATCCCTCTATTAATTTAATTAAGATATGGGTATATATTCAACACTTGCTTCATTTCCAACAATAAATAGGAGACAGCAAACTTTTGGGGCAAAGGGCCAGATAGCAAATATTTTAGACTTCACTGGCCATATAATCTTTGTCACAGCTATTCAACTCTGTTGTTGTAAAATAAAATCAGCCATAGATAATAGGCAAATAAATGGGAATGGCTATGTTCCAATAAAACTTTATTTAGAAAAACAGGTGGTGGGCTGGATTTGGCCCTTAAGAGGTACTTTGTTGGGCCCTGCATAACAAGACAGACACTACATTGTGTATTGTAAGCAAATATAATCATAGGGATGTAAGTGATAATAGGAAAAGGTAAGAAAATACAAAAGCAAAGCTTTTGGAAGTTGGTTAAATATCCTAGCCATTTGGATATGGGCTGTTAAGGTAGTATATTCATATTTCATCCAGAATTACAGAGTAAGAGAGAATGAGAGCAAGAGTGAAAGCAAGAGAGTGAGATGGCACTCATGTACTTGGGAGAGGGGTTGGTTAATACAATAATATTGTGGTTTTCTCTAAAAGTTAAAATATATTATATAATTTATTAAGAACAGAACATTAAGCATTCAGTTTTTGTTTTAGAAACAATAACCTCAACATATACTACAGTATCCTATAATAATGGAAACATTATTTAAGCAAAAGTAGGACTTTTCAGAAAGAATAAAGAACTTAAACCAATAAGCAAAAAACAACCCCATTAAAAATTGGGCAGAGTTGGGAGACCGAAGTGGGCAGATCACGAGGTCAGGAGATTGAGACCATCCTGGCTAACACGGTGAAACCCCGTCTCTACTAAAAAATGCAAAAAATTAGCCGGGCGTGGTGGCGGGTGCCTGTAGTCCCAGCTACTCGGGAGGCTGAGGCAGAAGAATGGCGTGAACTCGGGAGGCGGAGCTTGCAGTGGGCGGAGATCATGCCACTGCATTTCAGCCTGGGCAAAAAAAAAAAAAAAAAAAAAATTGGGCAGAGGACTTGAACAGATGCTTCTGGAAAGAAGAAAACATACAAGTGGCCAACAAACATGAAAAAATGCTCAACATCACTGATAATTAGAGAAATAAATCAAAACCACAATAAGACACTATTTCACACCAGTCAGAATAGCTATTACTAAAAAGTCAAAAAATAACAAATATTTACATGGATGCAAAGAAAAGGGAAAGCTAATACACTGTGGGCGGTAATGTAAATTAGTTCAACCTCTGTGGAAAACATATGCAGATTTCTCAAAGAATTAAAAATAAGACTACCATATGATGCACCCAGTAGATACTGGGTGGTATCTACTCAAAGGAAAACAAATCATTTTATCAAAAAGACACCTGCATGCATATATTAATCAAAGGACTATTTACAATAGCAAAGCCATGGAATCAACCTAAGTGTCCATCAATGGTAGGTTGGATAAAGAAAATGTGGCATATATACACCATGGAATACTATGCAGACATTAAAAAGAACAAAATAATATGTTTTGCAGCAACATGGATGGAACAGGAGGCCATTATCCTAAGAGAAGTAACTCAGGAACAGAAAACCAAATGTGTCAAGTACTCAATTATAAATGGGAGCTAATCAGTGGGTACACATGGACATAAAGATGGAAACAATAGACACTGGGGACTCTAAAAGTGGGGAAGGTGAGAAGGAGGCAAGGGTTGAAAAACTGCCTATTGGGCACTGCGTTTACCTTTTGAGTGAAAGGTTCACTAGAAGCCCAAACCCCATCATTATGCAATATACTCATGTAACAAACTTGCACATGTACTCACTGAAACTATATTTTTTAAAAAGAAAGAAATACAACAATAAATCCTGTATAATTTAAATTGCCTTACAATTATTTTATCAAACCTCTGATTTCTTGAATGCAAATGATGTACCCAACATATAGTAGTCACTCAATAATGTTTCTTGTTTTGTTTTGTTTTGAGACGGAGTCTCGCTCTGTCGCCCAGGCTGGAGTGCAGTGGAACGACCTTCGTGCACTGCAACCTCCACCTCCCCAGCTCAAGTGATTCTCCTGCCTCAGCCTCTGCAGTAGCTGGGATTACAGGCATGCACCATCACGCCCTGATAATTTTTGTATTTTTAGTAGAGACAGGGTTTCACCGTGTTGGCCAGGCTGGTCTCGAACTCCTGACCTCAAGTGATCCGACCGCCTTGGCCTCTCAAAGTGATGGGATTACAGGCGTGAGCCACTGTGCCTGGCCTAATGTTTTGAACTTACTAATGAATTAACTCTCTTTTTGCTTATCTTGAATAACCTTCAGATTTTTAATATCTACAATGCTAACAGAAATTTTAATAAACATTTTCATGATGTTTCATTTTTGAAATAGAGTTTTTTCGAAAAATAAAAAAATGAAAGAGTATTTGATCATCTAAAATAGCTTGGGAGGCCAATATTTTCTGTATGACAAATAGATTGTTCCTAAACAATTTTCATAAAAGACTTTTCAGGAAAAAAATTTTGGTCAAAATCTTCTCATTTTATATTAAAATTAAATACACAAAATTAAACTTGAAATCCCGTTTTCAAAAAAGTTTGAGTAACTCCAAAATATTTACAGCCAAATTACATGGGATTATAAGATCTGATGCAGATTTGAACATTATATTACTACATTATGCCAACTGGTGAGACAAAAGAGTAAATGTAAAATATTATTTATTCTGTATATCATCATTATTTTTTTGAATCCTTATTATAAACAAATGTTGGCTGGTAGTAAACTATTTGAAAATGTAACCATGATGATGATAAACATTACATAGTGTTGAAGTTCCAAAGAGCAGCTTCTATGAGTGTGAAAATAAATAAGAAGCAGTCAGTTTAAGTTTACTAAATACCTGAAGAACCTCAGCTACGAAAATCATCCAATTCAAACTTAAAGGGTAGGGTAAGGTTTTACGGATAAGGTTCAAACTGTCATTTTCCATTCTCTTGGTTTTCATTAATATTTGCTAGCTACGCTTCTCAGGGTAAATCTTAATCAATTTTTTTTTACTTTATTAAATACATTATATAGAGTGTCTAAGTATATTAGTCATACAATACATTTTAGTTACACAGTCTCATTTTTTCTTATGTCTCATTTCTAGCTCTTGTTTTCATTATTATACCTTTTTTTTAAAAATCCAGAAGTTGTTTCTTCCCATTATCAATGGAAATACACACCAACCCTACTGGCCAAATATTTTTAAATGTTCTTTAAAACGGATGTGGTACATTTAGATTATGTTACTTTTATCTATAAAATGTTTCATTTCGAAGTAAATGGGGGATTGAGTTTATCTTCATCTTGAAATTTAATTACATATATGTTATGACATAAAACATATGGATAAAAATCCATGGTCATAGCTTACAAAATGCTCAATTGTGGATTGTTTTGAATACTTATATTGTTTTTAGTAAACAGATTGCATTTTGGAAAATTTTTTAAAGAAACATCATGAGGAGTAAAAGGAATTTACCTGTCAGTTTCTCAAAACCAAAAAGTTTATTACACAGTGTCAATATGTTTTAAATAATTATTTAATATTTACTCTTGGTCAGGTGCTAGACTAAATGAAGTGGCTACCCTTGTCTGGATACCTGGGGTTCCTCATCTTGCACCAAGAAAATGTACGAGATGGACACACATGAGTTTAGGAGTGGAGGTTTAATAGGCAAAAGAAAGAGAAAGAAAGAGAAAGGAAAACAGCCCTCTCTAGTGAGAGAGAGGGGACTTCTGAGATGGCCTGTGGCAGATGGGCCCTATTTTATAGTCAGGTTTGAGAAGGGGGTGTTTAATTTACATAGGGCATCAGGTATGAAGTTTACATAGTGCTCTGGGAAGGCTGGCTGCCCCACCCTAATCTTAATATGCAAATGAACTTTCCCCTTGGCCAGCGCCGTCTTGTCTGCTCCTTACTGTATACCTGACTGACAAAGAGAAGGGACGTTAGAGCCGCCATCTTGATCATGATTAGCATAACTGTCAGCATCTATGTCAGCAGCTTGTTTTACAGGCTGCTCTTTGTTAGAAAGGAAAATGATTTCGGGCTGCTTTTCATTAAAATAAAAACTTTACTGAGGACTTCCATACCCTCACTATCTGCCTAAGTAATTTCTTCTTAACTCCTGTGTCATAGAGACACAGCAATGGAGAAGTCAGCTATGAGCATTTATGCACTGTGGAGTTCACAAACAACTAGGACAGGTCATTTAAAAATAAACAGTTATGCAAATATTTAAATAGTTGCAGTTGTGAGCGATGCTTTAAAATACAGAGTGTTATGAACAAATGAAACTGGGAGATTTGCCTTATTCTGAAGAGAAGTTAGAACTCACACTGTTGGGTGTAAGGGAAGAGTAGCATATGAGGTTGAAATGAAAATATTATTTAGAGACAAGGAGATCCTGCATGTATGCCCCATGCAAATTGTCTTTGAGATGACCAAATTGCCTATGAACTCACCTCTTCCACCCTGTGAACTCCTGAAATTGAGACTTTGTCTTCAAATATGATTCACTATACCATTGCTATGCACTGAGAAGTTACTGTTAGAAAATCTGAAAATGAATGAATCTTCTTGTAACAATTTGGAGTTGGTAATTAGGTGCAATTGTCCTTACTACTTTCCACTCCTTCTTTTTTCCATTCATCACTATTGAGTTTCTTGAAGTTGATAACCGAAAAAAAAAAGCACTAATTTAAGCCTCAGTTAGGGTGATAAAATGTGTAATTGTGTAATTTGGTTACAAAAGGGGAGTACAAGATATTGCTGAATGGAATATTTATTTTTCTGACTGAAATTCAAATCAGAAATTACTATTCTCAGCAGTTAAGTTTCAAAATGACATAGTTCACTGTGCATTAACCAAGACGGCCCTAATGTTCCCTTCAGCTTGATTAAATATGAGACAGGTTTCTTCCTGACTACAGGCCCCGTCCTTATTTTCTTAGATAATTTTCTTTAGAAAACTTTCAATTGTAAATTCCTTTCTCTGGCTCTTTGAGATGTAAATCTTTTACAAACTAGGGATATCTTCCTCAAGAACCTGTGAGCCATCCCTTTGAAATGTAATCATCCAGAAAGACAGAGCCTTGGTCTCCCAGACTCTGTGGGAGAGTAAGAACCTAACTTAGATAAGTGCCAATTAGCAAACACAGATAGCCTAATCATACAGACACACCTCCCCCATTCTATCTTACTTTTCTATTAGCTCTCTTTAGCATTTAAAATCCTCTTGCCTTTTGTTGAGTTCAATCTCCCTTTCCTATTGCAATAGTCTTGAATAAATTTTTCCTTCCCCGTTTAATTGGTCTGGTCTAATTTTTCTTTTACAGTATAAAAGAAAAGCTGTTCCTCTTTAATGTTATGTAAAATAAGATCAGTTATTGCACCTATACCAGGGACCATAATCGACATTACACTAAACATATCAAAAGAGGTGCTATGCTTTTTGTACAGAGAAATTACAACATAGACTTTATTATTAAAGTCCATTCTTGGAAAACCCAGCAAGGTCTACACAATCAGAGCTTTGAAAAAAGATATATATCCCAACGAAGATTTTGTGGAGTGGAACCATAGCAGCTTTTGACACTCAGAAGAGAAAGCCAACTGCTTAACTATTATTCTAATTCATTGATTAAGAGGGAAATAGAACATTATGCATGCATATTAAATTGTATACAGTTTAAATTCTAGTTTGGCCTCTGTCATTCTCAAGAAATTTTAATTTTATTTTCTGTTATCTTGCTCAATTTCTCTACTCTAGATATTTTTTTGTGGGTGCATGAGTGATCATTATAAAAGTAGATAAGCTTTCTTACATCATCTCCCCCACACATATGAGATATCACTGTGTCAACAATATTTCACTTTCATTTTGTTAATGTGTGGAGTCTCTGGATTAGCACTGTGCAACAGGACTTTTTCTAATGATGGAAATATTGAAATACAGTAATCCCTAGCCACATGTAGCTATTGAGCACTCAAAATCTGGCTAGTGTTACTAGGGAACTAAATTTTCAACTTTATTCAGGAATAATTTTAATTTAAATGTAATAACCGCAGGCCAGGTGCAGTGGCTTATGCCTGTAATCCCAGCACTTTGGGAGGCCGAGGTGGGCAGATCACCTGAGATCAGGAGTTCGAAACCAGTCTGACCAACACGGAGAAACCCCGTCTCTACTGAAAAAAACAAAATCAGCCAGGCGTGGTGGCACATGCCTGTAATCCCAGCTACTCGGGAGGCTGAGGCAGGAGAATCGCTTGAGCCCGGGAGGCGGAGGTTGCAGTTAACCGAGATCGCGCCATTGCACTCCAGCCTGGGCAACAAGAGTGAAACTCCATCTCAAAAATAAATAAATAAATAAATAAATAAATAAATACAACCACAAGTGGGCTAGTGACTACTATACTAGACAATGCACTAGATATATATCATAGATCTTTCTCTTTGTCAGTAAGTTAGAACTTGCTAGAATGTTAACTATGCAAAGCTCTCTACAACACTATCATAGTAGAAAATGAGATACATACCCATATAGATCAGTGTTTCCCAATATTAGCACTATTGACTTTTGGGGTAGGATAATTCTTCAGGGTGTGTATGGAGGGAGCCTGTGCATTAAAAAATGCCTAGCCTAGCAGCATCCCTGGATTCTACCACTGAGATGACAGAAGCACCTATCATTCAGTTATGGTAACCAAAAATGTCTTCAGATATTACCAAATGTCCCATGGGGCTTTAAGGAGCTTCCACTGGACCACTACCTTTAAGTCTGATTATTCTTGGTAGAATTCTGGCCCTTCTTCAGGGACTCTTTCTCCAAAATTACCTGGCTCAGTTAAGGAAGCTTGTTGACATGTCCCCTGGGCCAGATATCTGAATATATGATGGTGTAGTCACAGTTGGAAAGAAAATACTGCAGGAAAAAGGGAAGTGGAGAACTAATTCCATTACAGACATAAGAAAACACTAAATTTTAAATTTAGATACTTTTTTTACACTTTTGACTTTGCAAAATGACCTGGTCTGAATTTCCTAATGTGTTTGATTACTTGGAATTACCATCCATTTATAGAGTTTCTAATTTCATATTACTTTGGCACATTTAATTTAACAAGTATTTAAACAGCCTTCTTAAATCTCACCCCTGTGAGACAAGAATAGAAATAAAAATCTCTTCTAAATCTGTCTAGGGTCAGCGTCACATTTACAACCTGAAATGAAAGCAAATTAGCTCAGTACAAGTGAAGAGTCCATGTGTATGGCAGCAGCTAGGAGGGTGAGGAAGATATCATCTATGGGCATAGACCTGGATATAAAAATTCTAGAACAATCATATGCAGCCTTAAAAAGAAGAGGCTCTCAACCCAGAATATGTGTGTTCTAGTCTGATCTGGCATGCTCAAGCTGTGTAATCTTTGGCAATTATGCTCCCTTAGCATGAATTTTCTTATCTAATTGCATAAAGCAAACCCTATGCAGGTCCTTCATCTTTGATTTAGCATTGAGAATAAAATGAAATGTTGTGAGTGTTTGTAGCATTGTGAATACAACTAGATAATTATTTCTTTACAAGCTCACCAATGTAGTCTGGGCTGCA
This sequence comes from Homo sapiens, assembly GCF_000001405.40. Taxonomy (NCBI): domain Eukaryota; kingdom Metazoa; phylum Chordata; class Mammalia; order Primates; family Hominidae; genus Homo; species Homo sapiens. Next base: position 27,881,156 of record NC_000023.11, on the reverse strand, counting down.
ATAACTTATAGTTATATTCGTAATGAAGGCCTACGACAGTATAATAACTACCCATGCTTTCTTGTAGTACATAGTACATTTTCATTTTCAGTAAGATATTTCTCACTTATCTGAAAATTTCAACTACAGTCTACTAAATCGGAATTGATTGCACGAACTACCATTTATCAGTGTGCTAGTGTCTTATTTTTATTTTTCATCTGAAATATATGATACCTTTGGTAGTTTTTAACACAACATTTTAAACTTTTTTTTTTGGAAACAAATCAGCATGTGTTTACTAATGACTTAAGCACACATCTCACTGTACTAATTCCCACAGAGCGTAGCAAATGCTTCTATGGTTTGTTGGGACTCACCTTAGATATAGGGCTACATATGATAATAAGGAGAATATAATTCAATTAAACAATTATCAAATGCCCTTCATTTGCAGGTGATTGTTAAGAAAGCAGTATAAAACAGGCCACAATTATATTCAAAAGATATTTAATTCTGCAGATATTCATAAATACATTTCAGATTTGAAGTTAGTTGTTCCCCTATATCCAAAACAAAATATGAGAAAGGAAAATACACATAACTTAAGCTAAAAGAAGGTTTTGACTTGAGTTGAAGAATGTCATTTTGAAAATTGTGATGCTTTGAAATTAAAAACAAGAATGCATATTTTTGGAGATGGAAAAGGGTTTGTGAAAAAATGTGATTAGTTTAAATAAAATCAAGAACTCAAGTTTTGGGGCAGTAGGCTAGGAATTGTGCATTATAGATGAAATTGTTACACAGTGGTAAAACATGATATTTGAAATAAAATACGTGTTTTGAACCTTGAAAAAGTGGGCTACTTTTAAGAAAATGTGGAAAATAAGTTTATAGCTATCATTTCAAAAATAGCACTATATTTTTCATTTATAAAATTGGTATCATATATAAAGCAGGGCCTATGGTATGAATGTTTCTGTTCCTCCAAAATTCATGTTGAAACTTAATCCCCAATGCAACAGCATTAAGAGATGGAGCCTTTAGGAGGTGATTAGGCCATGAGGGCTCCACCATCATGGAAGTGAGTAGCGTCTGTATAATCGGGATTGAGAGAGAAAGTTTGTCCTTTTTTGCCCTTCTGTCCCTTCTGCTATGTGAAGACAGCATTCATCCACTCCAGAGGATGCAGCAACAAGGAGCTACATTGGAAGCAGAAAGTAAGCCTTCACCAGACATCAAATCTACTAGCACCTTGATCTTGAACTTCCCAGCTTTCAGAGCTGTGAGAAATAAATTTCTGTCATTTATAAACTGCCTAGTCTGTGGCATTTGGTTTCTATGGATATTTTTTGAAATGACTGGAGAATAAGTGAGCAAAAGAGTTGACTTAGTTATCTTCTCCATTTATTTGGATTTAAAAAGTTTGACTGCCTTGATTAAGTGTACTACTATGATGCACACGTAGATTGAGTCTGTTAATAAACAAAATAAAAAAACAAAGGATTTCCCACAGAGTTTAACATTTATTTACTGTTACGTGAATTTAAAAATATTAACATAAATATTTTGATAATGCGATAATTTAAATTAAATGAAGTACATCTACAATGGAATACAATACCCAAATTCTAGGATTGATATAATTACGAAAACTTTTACTTCATTGTTATTGGAAGACACCAAATATTTGCATTAATAAATGCTGGCCAGCCTTGGAAAGTAATTTCATATGTTGGGAAGACAGAAAATAACTGTAAGGTATGAAGTTACTTGAATTAATGCAGTTTTATAGAAAAGCTTTTATTATAATGGCTAGAAGACTTCTTAAAGATGGGGAAGAAGTCAATCAACTGGGAGTTTGAACTTTGCAACAAATAGAAATCTAAAATCTGCACATTCTAACCAAACAAATGACAGAAAATCTTTTTTTTCCTGGTGTGGGTGGAGGAGTAATTATAGGATAAATATCTAACTTTTACTGAATATCCACTTTATGTCAGAGACAATACAGATACATCATATGCATTGCTTTACTTAAAGTTTATGAAGCAAAGGTGACCTGCTTCTGGCACTTGGAATTACATAAAACTTTATGTCCTCAAATGCTGATGTCAGCAAGAACCTAACTCTTGCTTCTTGAGTTGAATAGCCCTTCTCCCAATATAGAGTCTAGGTCTGCAACTTTTTTACTTGTTTGTTCATGGCACATATAACCTTGTGCTTGGTGGCCTTTTGTGCCAATAGATATTCTCCATAAACATCGCAGAATATCACTGGGTTTCTAATAATATTTGACTTCCAATGGGATGTTGCCTTTTCCTCTTAGGTTGTACATTGGCTCTTAAGCACATTTATTTGTCCGCTCCCTAGTAAACAAGCTCTGTAACCAAGTAATATTGAGAGGAGCCTTTCTTGCTAGGCTAATATCCTCAAAAATTACAGATATGTATATCTCCCAAGGTTACAGGTGCCTCCCTTTTCGTATAGGCATAATTGATAAGGAACATGTAAGAAGAAGGAGGAGAAGGTGAAGGTGAAGAAAAAGAAGACATAAAAATAAACAAAGAGAAGAGAAATAAGGAGAAGGTAGATTTCAAAGATGAATTGCTTTATAGAAGTATTTGGCAGATTTTTCTTAAATAAAAAATCTAATATGCTTTAAACTTAGTAGATCCATGCAAGGTGGATCGAGTCTTCTCAGTTTCCAATATTCTTAAGGCTATGCATAAGGCTATACAGTGAAATACAGTGTTATGACACATATTAGCCATACATCATTTTAGTGACAATAGGAATGATATCTAGTAAATTCTTCTCAAAATAATTTTATTCGTATATCCCTAAAAATTTGCTATTTTTTGTTTGTGTGCTATTGATTTAAAAATAGATGGCATGGCTGGGCGCGGTCTCATGCCTGTAATCCCAGCACTTTGGGAGGCCGAGGTGGGTGGATCATTTGGGGTCAGGAGTTTGAGACCAGCATGGCCAACAAGGTGAAACTCTGCCTCTACTAAAAAATACAAAAATTAGTGGGGCATGGTGGCTCGTGCCTGTAGTCCCAGCTACTCGGGCGGCTGAGGCAGGAGAATCGCTTGAACCCGGGAGGCGGAGGTTGCATTGAGCCGAAATCACGCCACTGCACTCCAGTCTGGGCAACAGAGCGAGACTCCGTCTAAAAAAAAAAAAATAGATGGCATATGATGTACCAGAGAAAAACAAAAGAAATGAAATATTTTTTCTGTAATAATGGAAAAACACAGAGCCACATCACATATGTAGAGCAAGAATGAGGCACTATATGAAAATTTAGAAAACAAAAGACAAATATATCAGTAACAACCAGAAAAAAATCCACCCTATGCATTTCTATTATAGAGAAATTACACATTTACACAAAAGTTAGAATGGCTGATACAAAGGTAAGGAGGCAAAAAATTTACAATTATTATCTCAGGTGTAGAAATTACAGAGACCACAATGGAAAATTGGAAAATGTAAATTAACACAACTAGATACCACTTTATTCCTTTCTGAAGTTTTGGAAAAAAACTAGAGAGTGTGAAAGGCCTAGTATTGGTTAAGAAGATTTATAGATTGTTAATGAATACACACATCAATGCAATTACTTTAATCATCAAAATACTTTTTGGCAATGGCTGGCTATTGAAAATGTCTTAACCTGGCTACAGCAATTCCACTTACAGAGAAACTCTTTCTCATATTTAAAGGACATATGTATAAAGATGTTCATTGCCAATTTATTTCAAGAGTAAAAACTTTGAAACAATCTAAATGTCCATAATAATAGAAGAAATTAATAAATGGTAGTGAATTCATACACTGAATACAGCTACTGGAAATGAATATCAGCATCGATAAATTATTAAAATGTGACTGAAAAATTTAAAAGGCAAAATAATATATACAACATACTACCCATTGATACATGTCGAAACAATATCACATATAAAATCAATATGATGAGTCTTACAGCACCAGCGTAGATGGAGTAGCCCCATTCCTTCTGGGTCCCCCCTCTTAAAACTAAAACAAACTGTAAACATACAACAAGGAAGCATAGGACAACTCTGAATGGTGGAAAAAAGAAGGTGGACTTTTTAGGAAACTTGGGACTTGAGGACCGACACTGTGGTAAGTTCCCTGGGTTTCCTTATTGCCTCCCATATATCCAAGATGGGCTTTCTAGGAGCCTCCAACCCAGAACCACCAATAGGCACAGACAGAAAAATCTTCAAGAAAAACCTGCACTGCTTAGCCAAAGGACTGGAAATGTGAGACCTAATGATAGAAAACATTTTTGGCAATACCAGCCCTACTCCATCTGAACACCAAAGAGAAAACTGTACATCTCCTTTTAGGGATTTCAGGGAAGCCAACATGGAAGAGATCTTCTACCCGCATCCTGCAGAAACAAGTGGTTGTGCTCTGATTCCCTCACTCAGAGGTGTTGGTGAGACTAAGCAGAGTTAAAATTATACCCATGCCTAGTGGAAGTGGGTAGAACTGCTGTGATTTACCTGTCAGGGTAGTGTTGGTAGAACTGATCTTCCTTTGCCCACTAATGGAAGAAAACAAATCTCCAATTTCCCTGTGCTGATGTATTAAGAGTGGGACCAAGCAAGGGGTTATTCCTATAATCCCCATTTGGTGGAAACAGATGGGAGTTTTATTCCCCTGCCAGGATAGTGTTAGCAGGGGCCAGTGGCAAGATGAACCTCCACCCCTATTTAACATGAAGACTGAACAGAGCAGTACAAGACAGGACTAGTGAGCACTCTACTTTCTCTCCATTCATGGTATCATGGGGGCTTAGTGAGGATATTTACCTCCACGTCCACCCAGTATCAGTGAGGCATAATGAGGCAGTGGGAAGCAGGATCACTTGACACTCTGCTCTCCATTATCCCCTTTCCTGGTATCAGCTGGAACCATCAGGGAGCTGAATTTCCACCCCACAGCAATGAAATGGTGTTACTCAGCCCTCTGCTTAGCTCCTCTCTTGGTGATGTAAAGCCCAGTTGAGAGATGAGCTTACATCTCCACTCAAAGGCAACAAGGGTGCGCAAATCAGTGCTCCCGTTTCATAAGGCAGGTGTTGGAAGCGCCAAAATGAGAGTTGAATTTTCGCTCCACTCATCTGAAAAAGTTGTTAGTAAACATTCTGTATGAAAACAGCTCAATAGAATTTACCAAATTTAAAGAACAAAGGCAAAACTGACTTTTAAAAAGTGAACCAAGTCTCAGGGACACGTGGGACAATAACAAATGAGCAAACATTCATATCACCAAAATTCAAGAAGGAGAAGAAAGACTGTGACAAAAAAGCTTTCAAAGAAATAAATGGCTGAAAATTTTTCATATTTGGCAAAAGATACGAACTTACAGACTCAAAAGCTCAGTAATTCTCAATATAAACCCAAAGAAATCCATGCCAAGACATATCAAAACTAAGCTTCTGAAACCTTTTCTTAATGCGTTTTAATAAAAGTTTAATTTGAAAATCTTCAAAGCAGACAAAAAGAAATGACATATTACTTATAGGGGAATACTACTTTGAATTACAGTGGATTTCTCATCTGAAATCATGGGGACCAGAAGGAAACGGCACAATATTTTTCAAACACCGAAACAGCTTTCAACCATGAATTCTACAACCAGAAAAAGTGTCTTTCAATAAGTAAAAGGGAAAATAAAGATATTATTAGATGAAAGAAGACTAAGAGAATTTGTTGCCAGCAAAACTACCCTTAAAAAATGTCTAAAGAAAATTCTAGGCTGGGCACGGTGGCTCACGCTTGTAATCCCAGCACTCTGGGAGGCCGAGGTGGGTGGATCACCTGAGATCAGAAGTTCAAGACCAGCCTAGCCAACATGGTGAAGTCTCCATCTCTACTAAAAAATACAAAAATTAGCCACGCGTGGTGGCAAGCACCTATAATCCCAGCTACTCGAGAGGCTGAGGCAGGAGAATTGCCGGAACCCGAGAGGCGGAGGTTGCAGTGAGCCAAGATCATGCCATTGCACTCCAGCCTGGGTCGACAATAGTGTGACTCTGTCTCAAGAAAAAAAAAAAAAGGAAAATTCTAAAAGCAGAAAAAAAATGATAACAGAAAAAGGCTTTGAATTTCAGAAAGAAAAAAACAACAGAATGAGTTAAAAAGGCATAGATGAAACTAACTTTTTAAATCATTTCCTAAATAATCTTGGATTGTTGAAGCAAAAATTCTAACACCATTCTGTATGATCTTTAAGGTTTATAGTGGAAAGACTTAGCAGCGGCTCACGCCTGTAATCCCAGCACTTTGGGAGGCCGATGCGGGTGGATCATGAGGTCAAGAGATCGAGACCATCCTGGCTAACACGGTGAAACCCCATCTGTACTAAAAATACAAAAAATTAGCTGGGCGTGGTGGCAGGCGCCTGTAGTCCCAGCTACTCTTTCTATATCTGAAAGATATAGAACTGTAATAAAATGAGATATATATATACCCATTCATAGCCATAAAACAGAACAGCTTGTAAAATACAATTTTATCACAAAACCTGCTGTAGATAATGATGCATCAACATCTTAAATATTATCAATCTAGTAAAATATACAGCTCGGGAGGCTGAGGCAGGAGAATGGCATGAACCCAGGAGGCGGAGCTTGCAGTGAGCCAAGATAATGCCACTGCACTCCAGCCTGGGCAACAGAGCGAGACTCCATCTCAAAAAAAAAAAAAAGAAATTATACCTTAAAAGTGAGGGTAGTAAAGGGATATGAGTGATAAATTTGACTTAACAAAAATTTAAAACTTTGCTCTGTGAAAGATCCTGTTAAGAGGATAAAGAGACAAGCTATCCAACAAAGAACTAGTATCTGGAATATGTAAAGAACTCTCAAAACTCAACAGCAAAAAAATAAAAAATGATCTGATCAGAAAAATGGACAAAAGACATGAAGAGAAATTTTAGACATTAGGGAAATACAAATTAAAACCACAATGCTACAGACCCACTAGAATGACTAAAATAAAAAGTCTTGATAATACCAAATGCTGGTGAGGATGTGGAGAAACTAGATCACTCATACATTGCTGGTGGAGATGTAAAATGGCACAGTCATTCTGGAAACAGTTTGAGAGTATTTTTTCTAAATAAAACCAAATTAGCAATTACTATACAACCCAGCAATTACGTTTTTAGAAATATATCCCAGAGAAATAAAAACATGTTCACACTCAAACCTGTAGACTGATATGTTGCTTATAGCAGCTTTATTTGTAATAGCCCCAATAGGATCAACCCAGACATACCTCAATGGGTGAATGGTTAAACAAAGTGTGCTATATTCATACCATGAAATTACTATTCAGCAATAAAAAAGAATGAAGTATTGATATACAAAACAACGTAAATGAATCTTCAGATAGTTATGCTGATTGACAAAAGCCAATATCCAAAAGGTTAAAAACTATATGAATCTATTTATATAACATTTTTGAAATGACAAAATTATAGAAAGGGAGATGAGACAAATAGTTTGCAGGAAACAGGGAAAGGAGCATGGTTGTTATAAAGACAGCATGAACATGAAGGATTCTTATGGTGATGGAATTGTTCCACATCTTTTTTTTTTTTTTTTTTTTGAGATGAAGTCTTGCCCTGTTGCCCAGTCTGGAGTGCAGTGGCACGATCTCGGCTCACTGCAACCTCCGCCTCCCGGGTTCAAACGATTCTCCTGCCTCAGCCTCCTGAGTAGCTGGGATTACAGGCACCCGCCACCACGCCCAGCTATTTTTTGTATCTTTGGTAGAGACAGGGTTTCACCATGTTGGCCAGGCTGGTTTCGAACTCCTGACCTGGTGATTTGCCCACCTCGGCCTCCCAAAGTTGTTCTATATCTTGACTGTATTAATGTCAATATCCTGGTTGATAGGTAGCATTAATGGTTTTCAAGATGTTTCCATTGGGGGAAACTGGGTAAAGGATACACAAAATCTCCCTGTATTGTTTCTCATGGTTGCTTGCGAACCTATAATTACCTTAAAATAAAAATTTTAATTTAAAAACCAGTATAATTCATGGTTAAAATTCCAGGATCTCGAGACAGACTACCTGGGTTCAAATTTTGACTCTACAAATTCAAATTCCTAGTAGTGTTATCATAGGCAAATTTATTTAGTCTTTCTGTACCTTAATTTCCTCGTCTTTAAAATAAGAATACTAGAATTAACCTCATAAGGACTTACTTACCACAGCTTAAATAAATTAATGTTTGTAAAGTACATAGAACAGTGCTTCTTACAGATTTATACTCAATAAGTGTCAGCTATATTTACCATGATTATTATGGTTATACATGTTTATGCATATGAATGAATGGATATTAAAAATTTTTGAAAAGCTTTTATGGGATGGGTGCATACCAACTATAATATGAGTTACTTTTTGTGGTAGAAACTGGACTGACATGAAAGATAAAACTTTATTTGTGCATATTTTATATAAAAAATTACACATATAAAGCAAATATGGCAAAGTATTCAGTAAAAAATACGTTTTAGTTATTCTTTATCTTTTTTATATGATTATATAATTTACAAATTTAAGTTTTGCTCTTGAAAAACAGGTAAATATATCTTATCTTTGACATAAATATTGTATATTATGTATGTATTTTAATTTATTTTATATTTTATATGTCTTAGGACATCATGTAATGCATAAAAAACACATTTTTTATAAGCTCATTGCATGATTAAGTCTTAAACATTTTCCAGAAATAAACTCTTTTCATTGCATTCTCTTGATTTTCAGTTACTTTATAACACAGAGTATATTACATCTAATTTTACTTTTTATTAATGACTGAAGAAACATTACTAAATAGATTTATTTTATGGCTATAAATTAATAGTATTCCCTGACCTGAATTATTAAATTTTTCTGAGCTTAAATTACTTTCTGAATTATCCGAATTGTAATAATTTTTGACATAGTTGTTGAAATCTGATTTATCCCTCTTTGTCAGTTGTCACCCTCAACTGAAGGTATCTCTCAGTTTTTTCTTTCATCTACACCTATGATATTTCCCTTATAGTACCAAGATCTTAAGGTTGAAAATAATAAGAAAATAAACCAACAACCCTATTTAATATTTTAGACATTTTTCTGAATTAATGGCCTGACTGCACTTGCATATATCTTTTTTTCTTCTAGAAAAATGTTTCATAGGATTAGTTATTGCTATGGTCTCTGAATATGTCCCCCAAAATTCATATGTTAAAATTGAATCACTTACATTATAGTATTAAAAGATGCCTTTGGGAGATGATTAAGTGATGATGGCTCCGCCCTCATGAATGAATTAGTGCTCTTATAAAACAGTCTTCAGAGAGCTGCCTGACTTTTATGTTCTTTCTGCCATGTAAGTACACAGCATTTGTCCCCTCTGGAGGGCACAGCAACAAGGTGTTATCTCAGAAGCAGAGAGCAGCCCTTACCAGACACCAAATCTGTGGGCACCCTTGTTCTTGTACTTACAGCCTCCAGAACTGTGAGAAATAAATTTCTGTTCTTTATAAATTACCCAGTCCCAGGTATTTTGTTATACTAGCAGGAGTGGACTAAGACAGTTATGCTTATTCTCTCGCCTTCTATACACTGATGTCACTAACTGCCATTTAAGTGAAATCAATAACTGTCTTTGTCAACCATGGTCAATATCATTAACATTTTTTGCAGACCTAAGTCAAATTCAGAGTAACATTTATTAAAATATGATATTTTAGTTACTTAATGTGTATTTTTTCAATAATTGTATAACAACACAAGTAAACCTTAAATGAATGATAATCTACTCATGCTAGCCCACATATAATGTGTTAATGTATTAGTAATATCATTGTCCTTTTTGATCCAATTCTTTCCTGTTCTAACAATATGTATAGGGTGTCTAGTTAAGACCAGGCATTTTTATAGGCACTAAATGCACAGAAATAATTCACATGATCCCTGAAATTCAGGTGGTTACCATTTTGGACATCAAGTCTCATAAGCATTGTTTATTTTAAACTGATAAACAAATGGGAAAGTACAATTATATTTATTGTTGAACTTAAAATGCTAAAATTATTATTACATATCTCATTCAAAAATAACATAAATTTTAGATAATATATTCTGATTATGTCAAGAGTGCTGTCAAAAAAGGCAAGTACAAAGAGGTAGAGAATAAAATAGTGGTTACTGGGGGCAATCATAAGGGGAGAGAATGGGGAGATGTAGGTTGGAGGACACAAAGTAGTAGATACATAGGATGAACACATCTAGAGATCTAATGTATAATATGAGGACCATAGACTATAGTTAATAATATTATATTGTATTTGGGATTTTTGCAAAAAGAGTACATTTTAGGTGCTCTTGCCACACAAAAAAAATGGGAAACTATGTGAGGTGATGTATATGTTAATTTGCTTCACTATAGTAAGCATTTCACTATCTACATGTATATCAAAACATCATGTGGCACACCTTAAATATGTACAGTAAAAGTTTAAAAAGAAAAGACCATAGAAATAAATGTATTTAAGATCAAACCATGCATAATCTATTGCATTAGTTATAAGAATCTCCCTATGTTGCCGGGCATGGTGGCTCACACCTGTAATCCCAGCAGTTTGGGAGGCCGAGGCGGGCAGATCATCTGAGGTCGGGAGTTCGAGACCAGCCTGATCAACATGGAGAAACCCCTGTCTATACTAAAAATACAAAAAATTAGCCAGGCTTGGTGGCACATGCCTGTAATCCCAGCTACTCCGGACGCTGAGGCAGGAGAATCACTTGAACCCGGGAGGCGGAGGTTGCAGTGAGTCGAGATCGTGCCATTGCACCACAGCCTGGGCAACAAGAGTGAAATTCCATCTCGGAAGAAAAAAAAAAAAAAGAATCTCCCTATGTTTAATAAGTAGTAAAAGAAAAGAAGATTTATAAATGCAACAGTTTATTAATGCAATCTGGCAAATCATGGTTGTTACAAGAAATATTTTTTATTTACTTATTAAATGTTTCTTTCAGAAATGTAAATTGCTCACTTAGTATATAAAATAACCCACTGGCCTTGTATTAATTTGATCCACACTATCTTTATCTCTATTTCTATATAAGTCTGTCTGTCATCTCATCTCTCTCATATATATATATATATATATATATATATATATATATATATATAAAACTTCTGTTGTTCAGAAAACCTCAGTCTCCTAGGTCTGTCTGTTCCATTTGGAGACTTGCAGACTACAACTAAATAAAGCATGCAACCAGTAGATTTCTATTCAAAAACTATATGAAGCTTTGTTCTTTCACACATAGTAGCAGAAAAAAACACTGCTTAAGGAATTTTATTATGATAAAGTACGTGTTATGATAGAGGAATGTGAATAGTACTTTAGGTCAACAAAAGGAGAATAGTTAATCTGCCTTCCAGGAGTTATGGAAGTCTACTTGGAGGAAATAATTTTTGAGTTAGGTCTCAAAAGTTGATAATGAATTAGTCAGGAAAAAGACAGGGGGGGTTCTAAAAAAAGCAAACTCAGGAGAAATGACACATAGATATGAAGCTGCTGGTTATCAAGGTCTAAAGCGTTCAGTATTTCTATTGCACAAAAGTGAGTGCTGAAAAGTTGCAAGAAATAAAGCTGGAGTGAAAAAAATAAAAAAGGTTTCTGATTACCTAAGACTTTTTACATCATGGCAAGTACTTTGCTTTTATCTTTTGAAGAAAAAAGAACCACTGAAGGTTTTTAAGTATAAAAGAAGCTTGGTTAATTTGAATTCCACATAAATCACTTTGAGAGTGGAATAGCAGGATGGATTTGCAAAACACCACACTGGAACAAGAGATCATTTTGAGGGCCACTGAAGTAATTCAAGCTGGAGGTGATAATGACCAGAACAGTAGTGTTTAAAAATGAAAGAGTAGTTTCCAGAAATATTTGGGTAATAATATTGACAGAAATTGGTGATTAGTAAAGAATAAGAGAAACAGAATAGTTCTATTGGCTATCCTAGTAAATTACCCAAAACTTAGCAGCTATGAAACAACAATAAACATTTATTATCCCATACAGTTTCTGTAGGTCTGGATTCTAGAGCAGCTTACCTGGGTGGCTCTGACCCGAATCTTCTCACATGGTTGCAATCATGATGTCAGCTAGTGCTGTATGTCAGCTGGCTTGACTGGAGTTGGAGGATCTGCTTCCAAAATAACTAATTCACATAGCTGTTAGCAAGAGCTTCAGTTCCTTGCTGGTTACGGCAGGAGAACTAATTTCCTTGCCAATGAACAGCTCCATAGTGTTGCCTGAGTGTTCTTATGAAATGGCAGCTGGCTTTGCCTACAACCTGTGATTCAAGAAGGAAACGGTATAAGCTGGAAACCTTTTTACAATCTAGCCTCGAAATCATTTGTGCAATATCTCGCTGGTTATACAGGTGGGAGGTGACTACACACAGCATGAATACCATGAGGCAAGACTCTGCAGACACAATGGTCAGTAATGAACCCCACATTTTTTTCTTGGGTGTTTAGGTGGATTATGGTGACATCAACAAGATAATCAACAGAAGAGGGGCAGGGATATTGTGGTTGGTTGCTTGGTTTAGTGTCTCTGTGTGTGTGTTTCTGGAAAGTATAAGGTAATAAGTTAGATTTTTGAAATTATACAGCAAATGCCTAGTTATATGCTTAGGAAATGTAAGAATACATTTAGTGATGGAAAATTAATTTGGGTACCATCAGCATTTAAATGGAACATAAAATCTTAAGTTTAGCTAAATACATCCAAGTAGAGCATAAAAATAAGATGTGAGAAAACAACATTGTTTTTAAAAATTGAGCATGAAAGGAATTAAGCAAAATGATTAGGGGGTAGAAACAAAAAAGAACACTGTAGAAATAAATGAAATAAATAATTTATGAAAAAGAGTAGTCAGCAGTGTCAAAGAAAGCAGAAGTATCCAGTGAACTAAAATATACCCATTGGATTTGGCAATACATATGCTATTAATAATGTTGTCAGAGCAATTTCAGATTTGGGAATGTGGGGACAGAAAACAGATAATCGAGCGTTAGGTACAGGTAAATTAAATAAAACTGTGCATAATTATGTATCAGTTATGTTCCAGTCTGGAATCAGAGATCCTTCAGAATACTTAAGACAGAAGAAATTTAATACTGGAAATTGATTATGTAGGAGAAGGAATTGCTGAAAAACCAAACAGGAAATGATGAGGGAAATCAAAGATTAGCCATCTCAAAAGCTACTACAACACCTTTGCTGAAGAGATAAAGAGGCTGGGGTTACTAAAGCCCAGTAACCAGGATCTCCTGGAGGAATTTTGAATCATTTCCTGTAGGAACTGGAGCCATAGAGAAGCAGCTAGTGTTGAACATGCCTCATTGGCAGATTGTGAAAAATACCCTTTCTTCTCCCTTAATTCTCCTTTCTTCTGATAGTGTCTCCAATTGGCAAACTATAGTTAAAACCAGCTGACTCAGGAATCTGGGAGAAGTATTTCTCCTGGGGTCAGCCCCCATGTGATACAAAATGGGAAGAGGAGAGAAATATATATGAGAACAAACAGAGGAGCAACTAACAAAACTTTGTTTTTAACTAGCCAACCTTGTAAAGACAAACCAAATTGGAAGCCCCATGTGAGAAACTTAGTAGAACTTTAATGCATAATGAAAAATAAATTTCACTGAAAATATTTCAAAGACCAAGGCCTATGCTCTAGGTAAAATACCTATAAATTGAAGAGTTTTTATCTCAGCACATTCAATGTAGAAAGATTTAGCCTAACTTGAAATAATTGGGCTTGATATTATCTCTCATAATAATGGAAAGCATTAAGAATTCCCTGCACAGAATACATTCATGAAAGATTTAGAACTCATTTTATTTCTAATTAAATATTGCCTTTCTTTTTGATTCAGTGAATTTTTCATTTTTTAAAGATATAGAACTGTAATAAAATGAGATATATATACACATTCATAGCCATAAAACAGAACAGCTTGTAAAATACAATTTTATCACATAACCTGCTGTAGATAATCATCCATCAACATCTTAAATATTATCAATCTAGTAAAATATACAGCAGTGTACAATTGTAGTGGTCATTGTTGAAGGTCTCATAACATGCATTCTCCTCTACCTAAATCCTGACAGAATCTTGATTTAGATCAAACATTTAATAATCTCATGTACTTCAGGAGAATCTGATCTCATAAGACTCAGTGACATGAGCCTGACTGGCTTACGCTAATTAGTACACAGGGGATACTGTACAAAAGTGGACAAGTGACATAAATGGATAATCAGGAGAGGAAATGGTCTTTTGGAGTACTGGAATGCAAGGGTTGTCTCTCGTCCTTTGCAAATTGTTACATGCTTTTGTGGGGGCCAGAACTGCCTCAGCCATCTTGCTACCAGACTAAACATGGAGAAAGAGCATGGGTAAAGTCAAGATAATTTCAAGTAAATGAAGCATAAGTTATTCGCTTAAACCAAATCTGAAGCCTGACGTATAATTTTATTGTCGGTTATGTGGAAAAAAAAGTGATTTAATATTTAGGTCAGTTCAGTTTGAGTTGTGTTTTCTTTCACTGGCTGTGGAAGACACCTTAAATCAATGTATAAAGTGTATGTGTGTGTGTGTGTGTGTGTATTAGTTCCTAAACTTACATCTACATTTCATTTTTTTTTTTTTTTGAGAAGGACTCTCGCTCTGTCACCTAGGCTAGAGTGCAGTGGCACAATCTCGGCTCACTGTAAACTCCGCCTCCTGGGTTCAAGCGAGTCTTCTGTCTCAGCCTCCCAAGTAGCTGGGATTACAGGTGTGTGCCAATACTCCTGGCTAATTTTTTTTTGTATTTTTAGTAGAGACAGGGTTTCACCATGTTGGCCAGGCTGGTCACGAACTCCTGACCTCAAGTGATCTACCCACCTCAGCCTCCCAAAGTGCTGGGAATACAGGCATGAGCCACTGTGCCCAGCCTATTTTATTTTTAATTGATGAATAATATACATATTTATGGGTACACTCTGATGTTTTGATGTATGTATATATTGTGGAAAAATTAAATCAAGATAATATATCTATCACCTCACCTATTTCTCATTTTTTGTGGTGAGAACAATTAAAATCTACTCTTTTAGCAATTTTGAATTATACGATACATTATTATTAACTATAGTCACCATGCTGTGCAATATATCACTAAACTCTTTTTGTAAATATAATGAAAGGTGCTGGCCCTTTTCTAAGTAGGAAAAATATATAATACATCAATACACACAACAACTTGTATGCAATATTAGATTCTCAGACTGAGTAATGTCAATAGGGTATCATTTATTCAATACCAAGATACAGTTTAAGAGAAAAATCACTAGAGTTAATGAACATCATTAAAAAATTTTGAAATAGGTGAAACAGATATCCCTATTCTTCAGTGAGGGAAAATATATCATCAAGTTCTTGGTCTGAGACACTGGCTTGGAGAGATGAAATGTTAGTTCAGAGATGATGACTATAAGCTCATTCATTCCAGTATCCCTGAACATGTGACTCGTATAAGTTTTGTAACTGATTTTAATGCTGAATTTGTTTTAATTTTGCATACTCAATGTTAGAACTTTTCAAAGATACTCACATTGTATATATTAATATATGATTTATGTAAAAGAGTCTATACTTAAATACCCTGAGGGAGGGGAGAATTAATTTGCATTCATCACACCTAAGACAAATAGTTTTCAGTTACTTTTGGAAATACTGTATCATACATTTGTTCAAGTTTCTGATAATAAAACTGCACATGGATACAGATACTAAGGCCAGATTAACAAAATGAAAGACACATAATTGAATTGTGAGCATGTTGCAAACTTACAGTTTTACATCTACAATAAAAATTAGGAGAATTTGATAAATTTTGTCTTTGATATCCAACAAATGTTTGTTTTATAGGTGAATGCACTGAATGTTATAGACAGAACTCCTTTTGTAAGGTGACCAGCAATGAAAATTAGCATATATATTCAGACCACATTGGACATTTTTTATTGCCCAAACTCTTCTTCTAAGTCTTTGAATCCCCCATAATGTTTTCATATATAATTTTATACCAGCACGGTGTTATACTATTTTGAGGAAGAAAACCAAACCTTTTGGCTTTGTAATCTGTAATAAGGAGTTAAAATGTATTAAGGAAACAAAAGCTTTTCTTGTGATAAAGAATTGTCTGCTGCTTCTCTGGTGTTGTTATGTAACAAGAACACGAATAATAAAAACATTAATAAATCTGACTAACTTATTTATAGCGCATTAACAACTGGACAATTGGAGGGAAACACATAAATCAGGAAAAGTGTCCTCTAGCTATTTTCTCTATAGACTAGCATTCCTTTTTTTTTTTTTTTTTTTTTTTTTTTTATCTAAGAAATTTTATTGCTCAGAACCTTCACTCCCTGGGCAATGGCAAGAGCTTCGGAGACCAGCCCTTGGGGACAGAGTCAGAGGCACTGGGTGGAAAAAAGAGCAAGCGTGTGGCACATTTGGTCCATTGTCGTGTGTGGGTATGGCAGAGGGAGGGAGGACTCTAGATGGCCCTGCATCTAGGGCCTTCTAGGGACCCAGATATACCTCCTTGGGCAAGGCTCACATGCCAAAGCAAAGCAGACGAGGCCAGCCTGGCTTGAGGTGAGGGCTCAGTACCTCTTAGCCTTGCCCTGGGGTTCTTGGAGCTTCCGGAAACTGAGCCACATCAGGCCCACGTTGATGGCATAGGTGGTGATGCAAACGATGCAGCAATCATAGAGCACGAAGAACAGAATTCAGGCCAAGTAGACAGAACCAGCGAGAGACAGCAGGGAGCTCAGCAGCCGCAGGACAGAGGCCCAGCGCGTCCGCAGGCAACCTAACAACTGTACTGTGTATAAGACGCAAGGGAATATGTTATCGGATTGATTGAGGATGCTGTCCTGTCCCAGCACGTGCTCCACCAGCCCGAAGCCCCTGCCCTACCTGGAGGAGAAGACGCGCGGACAGCTAATGGCGGTGCCCACGTCGCAGAGAGCGCGGTAATCCCGGTCCCGGGCGCGCGCCGCCTTCACGTGCAGCGCGCATAGAGCGACAGCACTAAGCCAGGCAGAGCGCGAGCCGCACCCACCCAGCCAGGGTTCCCCCAAGTACTCTCCATATCTAAAGGTCCCGCCCGAGGTGCCCGCGGAGAAAACCAGCCGCGGAGCAGGGGCGGGGTGGGGCCTAGCATTCCTTTTCTTATGATTAACAAATTTGTACATGAATGAGAAGAATAGTTAAAATGTTTAGAGCTCTAAAGTATTCTCATTCAATGCTGAAGTTTAGGTTTTTGGTATTAGACCGCCTACTTATAGGGAATTTTTAAATGGAGAAGGAATAATTTTAGCTATTCCTGGGAAAGGCTGTCAGTATTTTTTAATCGACAAATTAAAATTGTAAATATTTATGATATATAAAATAATGTTTGGATATATGTATACATTGTAAAGTGACTAAACTAATTAACATAATCATTACTCACATATTTATCATTTATTGTGGTTAGAACATTTGAAATCTACTGTGGTAGCGATTTTTAAGTATATAATACATTGTCATTAATTATAATCACCGTGTTGTATAATAGATCTCCTGAATTTATTCCTCCCATCTAACTGAAATTTTGTACCCTTTGACCAACCTCTCCTCAATACTCACCTCATTCTTAGCCTTGGGTAACCACCATTCTACTTGCTACAGCTGAGTTTAACCTTTTTAGATTCCACATATAAATGAGATTATGTGGTATTTGTCGTTCTGTGCCTGCCTTATTTCGCTTAGCATAAAGTCCTCCAGGTTCATCCACATTGTCACAAATGACAGGAATTCCTTATTTGTTAAGGATGAATAGCATCCCATTGTGTATATGTACCACATTTTCTAAATCCATTCGTTTTGATGAACACTTAGGTTGAATCTGTGTCTTGGTTATTGTGAATACTGCTGCAATGAACATGGAAGTGCAGATCTCCCTTCAACATACAGATTTCAGTTACTTTGGATATATACCCAGAATTGGAATTACTAGTCATATGGTAGGTGTTTAGTTTTTTGAGGAACCTTCATACTGTTTTCCATAATGGCTGTGCTAATTTACCTCCACACCAACAGTGTAAAGGGTTCCTTTTCTTGACATCCTCACCAATACTTGTTACCTCTTGTCTTTTTTAAAATAATAACTATTCTAACAGATGTGAGGTGATATCTCACTGTAGTTTTAATTTGCATTTCTCTGATGATTAGTAATGTTGAACGTTTTTTCACATAACTGTTGGTCATTCTCATGTATTCTTTTAAGAAATGTTTTTCCAGGTTATTTGCTCATTTTTAAGTGGGTTTTAAAAAGATCCCAAATAACCAACGCAATCTTGAACAAAAAGAATAAAGCTGAAGGCATCAGATTACTGCAATCTAATCAAAGACTTCACAATCTACTGCAAAGTTATAATGATCAAAAGAGCACAATACTGGCACAAAAACAGACATATAGACCAATGTAATAGAGAGCCCAGAAATAAATTCATGAATTTACAGGGAATTGATCTTCAGGAAAAATGTCAAGAACACACAACTGGGAAAAGGCAGTCTCTTCAATAAATGATTTTGGGAAAACTGGATAACTATATGCAGAAGAATGAATGTATACCCATATCTCGAACCTCATACACCATAGTCAACTAAAAATGGATAAAAACTTAAACATAAGACCTGAAACAGGAAAGCAGAAAAACTACCAGAAAATAGAATGTAGAGAAAAAGCTTTTTGACATTGGTCTTGGCAAAGATTATTTTGGATACAACCCCAAGAGCACAGTCAACAAAAGCATAATTAGACAAATCGGACTGCATCAAACTAGAAAGCTTATGCACAGCAAAGGAAATAATCAACAGAGTGAATAGACAACTTATAAAATGGGAGAAAATGTTTATGAACCATACATCTTAAAGAGGTTAATATCTGGAACACGTAGGGAACTGAAACACCTCAATAGCAAGGTGTCAGTATTTTTTAGCACGTAGATACATTTAAGGGTGAACATGTGCTTTAAAGAGGGACACATCAAGTTTTGCTGTACATCTTAAATTCCTGTAGTATGCTTTGCTTGTTTATTATACAGTTAACCCTTGAAAAATATGGGGGCTAGGGGCACCAAACCCCATGCAGTAAAAAAATCTGAGCATAACTTTTGATTCCCCCAAAACTTAACTGCTAATAGCCTACTGTTGACCAGAAGCCTTACTGGTAATGCAGTCAACTAACACATATTTTATATGTTATATGTATAATATACCATATTCTTACAATGAAATAAGCTAGAGAAAATAAAATGTTATTAAGAAAATTGTAAGGAAAAGAAATATATTTACTATTCATTAAGTGAAGTGGATCATCACAAAGGTCTTCATATTCATCTTCTTTGTGTTGAGTAGGCTGAGGAGAAAAATGGAAAAGGAACGGTTGGTCTTGCTGTTTCATGGGTGGCAGAGGCAGAAGAAAATCCATGTATAAGTAGATCCATGCAGTTCAAACCCAAGTTGTCTAAGGGTCAACTGTACAGAAAAACATATACATAAATGGTCTATTAAATAATAGAGCAAGTTATGTCTGACTATTAACAAAATCTGAGACATGATGATAAATCTAAAAGCATCAATTTCTAAATTTCCATGTTATATGAAAAAAATTCTTACTTGTAAAAAGGGGTTAAATATTAGATGAGAGTTTAAGTCAGTGATTTTATTCTTGGGGAAATCACTGTGGAATACTAAGAAGACGTGTTTTGAAAGAGCTTAGTATCTGTGCTTCCATGAACCTCCATTTTTCATAGATTTGAGCTACCGCTATTATTTTACCATCTGATACTTTTTTGACATTCATGTGGCAAATATTTCAAATGGGACATTATGTCTTAAAAGGATAGATAGCTAAAAAGGAATATGAGATATCCTCCTCTCTTCTTTTCACAGTAATCACAACTTGGCCTTTGATCTGACTTGAGATTCTTCATCTTCTCTACAACACAGTGGGAGGAGGCTTCTTCTGTTGGAATTAAGTAGGGCAAGATGCCATGTGGCAGTAATAACTGCTTCCATCTCTCCTAATGTGGAGTCTTTAGATACCAACTATTTGATAAAGACAGGTGTATAATACATTTTCTGGATTTTATCTCCATTTTTTTTTCTGAGTTATCATATTTTTTTTTTTGAAAAATTTCATGTCAGTGAACAGGAACAGAATATTTACAGAAAAATTTCAGAGTTTTTTTGTAAAGATGCACCCCTAGTGATGAAGTGTTTGTGCCAAGAATGATAAGGGTAGTTTCCCTATTGTTCACACAGCAGGTTGTCATCTTTTTCTTCTTAATAGGGAAAGGCCTTATCCTTAGCAATGCTGCATGAGTTGTTCAGTTACTTGGCAACAATAACAAAAAAGACACAAGCAGTAAAGGGCTCATCATCAACATCATGACAAATAGTAGTGCCTCAGCTGGTTTTAATGGCCATATGGAGGCATTAAATTTCTTGTTTTCAAGTATTAAATCCATTGCATATGATCAGATTAAGCCCTGGTATGTGCAGACATTTGAAACATTTCAGCTGTTGTATTTGAACTAGTATATAGAAAAAAGTGAATAAGTATGAGGCACTTATCTGAATAAGCAAAGCACCCCACAATGTACAAGACAGACATAGATTTTTTCCAATTTAAATACCAAGATACATATTTCAGGCACATTCTTACAATCATGGCCAGCTAATATTATGAAGCAATATACTGTATTATGATAATGCCTGTTGTTAAGGAATTAATAAATAAAAAGAAATACTTTCTTAAAAAATACTGCCATTAATAAGCAAAGAGTTAAAACCAATTAGAATGTGGGGGAAATCCAATATGGCATCCAAACACTAACAAATGAAAATACCTGTAATAAAAGTGAAAAACATAACCATACTGAATGCAGGAGGGAAAAGAACTAACCTAAATAACTTTGGAAAATGGGAAGTTGACTTTCAAAAGAAAGAGACATAGGTGACAAGGAATCCCACCGTCCTCTTAAATGTTAAATGGATACTAGGTAAAGGGAGTAGGAGAGGTCTCTTTCCCATAGGAGAGTTTGAAACAGGGCTACGAAGGGAGTGGAGACAGGGATTGGAGTCAGCATGAAGGCAAGGCCTGTGCAAGTTACTAATGAGGACAGTGGGTTGAAGAGAGGGCAGCCAGTCCTGTGCTGAAAATGGAAAAGAGATGAGTGGATAGGAGGACAGAATGTGCCTGTATGTGTCCAGGTGGGAGTGGGGTGGGTAATGAGGGGTTTGAAAACAAGAGAAGGGATGGCAAGGTAGGCTAGGCATGCAGAGGTATGTGACCACATTTCTGCAGTGCTGGAGAGCTAAGCGACAAAATTGGGATACAGTGTATTGGGCAGATGGAATCCACACAGATAGATGCTTGTGCAGGAATGTCAAGTCCATGTCTGAGGAAGAGTCTTCTAGCACCAAGATTTCCCAGTAGTGCTTAGGGAACCCCAGTGATGTGTGGGTTTAAGTGGCCTCAGGCCTGAGTGGGATGAAGGGGCACTGAATAGACAGGACAATTGGCTTGCAGTTCCCCCACCCAGACTTCTCTGCCTTCAAGTCAGATATTTGATTTATGGGGAAGGCTTAAGTTGGAATAAGAGGTCCCACATCTAAAATATTGACAACCATGTTATAACAGTTATATACAGAATATATCATGGAATCCTGGCCTTTGGGGGACCTGTGCTCTATAAACTTGATGATCTCTCTCCCCAGGTCTTCCTGATTTTCCTCACTAGCTGAGAATATCCTGTATAGACCCATTCCCTAGCACCTGGTGATTCTGATCAAATCTTTCTTCCTCAAAGTAAAGGGAACTATCTTACTGACATTTCAGAATTTTGAAGCATGCCCAGGAAAATCCTGGTACCCAAGACATCACTAAAGGAATCCCACTTTCTATAGATGAGAGATTAAGTTAATTTTCTGCTCAACCTTCTTAGAAAACAGGGAAATTAAAATAACAGTGAGATCATATATTATCACCCCAAGGTTTGACCAAAATTTAAAAGGTTGATAAAATAAAATGCCTATGAGAATGTAGATTATCAACATACATTAATATGCAAGAATATGAATTGGTACAGCTTTATTAGAACAGAATTTCAGAAATATTAATAAACATTTACAATCATCACATTTTTTCCACTTTAATCCAATTTACACTTTGCTATGTCTTTCCTGTAAGAAAACACGCATATTTGCCCCAGAATTCATGGTCAATGATGTTGATATCACTTCTACAAATGATAGCAGCAAATGAGAAACAACTAATGTGTCCATCAGGAGGAGATTGGTTAAATTAATTATAGCACATACACACTTTAGAATTCTAGGGGTAGTTAAAAGAGTGAAGTGGATCTATATGTACTCTCACAGAAAGATTTTTGCATTCATTTCATTCAGTGACAATGGCAAGAGGGAAAAACAATATGTACACTGTTATCCATGTATGTTGTATGTTAAAAACTCACAATGTACTTTTTACAGCACATTATGGAAGGAAAAGCCTAGAATACATTTTAAAACAACAAACATTATTAATTGTGATTACTTCTTAGGAGAGGTATGAATTTTGATGAAATGTACTAACTAAGGGGAATTGTGATTTATGCATATTGTTAGAATTTTGGGACAGTGAGAATATCTGCACTATTACTTAAAACCAAAATTTTCCTTAGGAGTAAACAGAAAGACAAGGGGCAGTGGAAGAATGCTGAATTATTTCTTCTTTTCTTATCAAAGCCACCACATCTGCCATGGAACCATTTTCTAATCACCTAGAAAGACTCCTGGGTTTTTAGGGATTTAGCCACAGTAGATGTTTGCTTACACACTGATTCCAGTGGTCTTTCCTCACTGACTGCCTATAGAGGAGGCTTTGATTTTAGACTACCTAGGTAAGTTTACTAACTGGTGTATGTGTTCAGAGGCCAGTCTCAAATAATTAACCCCATTAAAATTCGACCTCAAACCTCAGGATGGTTTCCAAAATCTTCTCTCTAGTCTCCGGCTTATAAAGCAAGAACCAGTAGATTCTGTGCCAAATCAGACTCTCCCATCTAGCAGATTTGAAAACGCTTTGAGTGTGGTGGATGCGTGTAGCGAGATGAAGAGGTGTCCAAGCTTCACTGCTTTAAGTGAACAGTTACAATACAAGAAAGGGGCTGCTTCTGTCAAGGGGGTCCACACTTATGAGAGGTGAAGCCGGCTGGGTTTCTGGGTCCGGTGGGGACTTGGAGAAGTTCTCTGTCTAGCTAAAGGACTGTAAAGACACCAATCAGCACTCTGTGTCTAGCAAAAGGTTTGTAAATGCACCAATCAGCACTCTGTAAAAACGGGCCAATCAGCACTCTGTAAAATGGACCAATCAGCAGGATGTGGGAGGAGCCAAATAAGGGAATAAAAGCTGGCCACCCTGGCCAGCAGCAGCACCTCATTTGGGTCCCCTTCCATGCTGTGGAAGCTTTGTTCTTTGCTCTTCACAATAAATGTTGTGGCTGCTTACTCTTTGGGTCCACACTACCTTTATGAGCTGTAACACTCACTGCGGATGTCTGTGGCTTCACTCCTGAAGTCAGCAAGACCACGAACCCACCGGGAGGATAAACAACTCCAGGGGCACCACCTTTAAGAGATGTAACACTCACTGTGAAGGCCTGCGGCTTCACTCCAGAAGTCAGCGAGACCACGAACCCACCAGAAGGAAGAAACTCTGGACACATCTGAAGGAACAAACTCTGGACACATCGTCTTTAAGAACTGTAACACTCACAGCGAGGGTCCGCGGCTTCATTCTTGAAGTCAGCAAGACCAAGAACCCACCGGAAGGAATACATTCCAGACAGAGTAAGGGGCAGGACTTATAGGCAGTTGGAATGTCAATTAAGTCTTGGAGAAGGCAGGTGAGTCTGGGCTGTGTGTTCCTCTAGGAGCAGGTGCAGGCTCCAGAGAAGGATGCAGTGCAGCTGACCAGCAGGTCAGTTCCATTTTGGACAGGTGGGCACACTGGGGAAGACCCAGGGGAAGGGCACAGTAATGTGAGAAAGTGCTGGACTGAACCCATGTGAAGGGACCAGGGCAGAGTCAGCTCTGGAAGAATCTGGGGCCAAGGGAGGGAGGACTCCAGGCCAATGAACCTCACAGACAGTCCCAGATTGTGTCTGAGTCTCACTCTCATCTTACTTTTTTTTCAGGCCTGCTTTTAGTGCTTCCGCCATAGGATCTTTGTTTTGATTGTCTGAGAGACATCTTGGAGTACTGAGAAGAGAAATGAATTAGTAGACCCAAGATCTGCCTCAGGCTGGGAGGAGTGGAACAGTGTGAGCTCTAGAGGAATTCAGACCAGGAGTCTAGTCCCATCCTGTCACTTACTAGCTGTGTGAAGTAGACGCATTACCCAATTCTGTGAGCATTGAGTTCTTCATTGGTGCAGTGGATTTGATAAGCCCAGTCCCCTAGGACTGTTGGACTGTGTGTGATGCATGTAAAGTACCTGGTACAGTGACTGGTGTGCATTGAGACATTAAAAAGTGACATTTATTACTATGATTTTGTTTTTACCCTAGGTGATACCACCCCTTCAAATGGGATATTTTTGGTTTTGGTTTTGTTTTTTAATCCACGAGAAATAAATGTCCATGAATATGCAGTGCTGTAGGACACAGAACACCAAATTAGCCAAAAATTCTCCCTAGCAAGAAAGAAAGAAAAAAAAAACTTCAGTAAGTCTTCCTCCTTGCAGGGTATATTTAATTTGGATGTTGGGGAATCCTCCCCATCTGGATGCAACTCAATGTTTCTGGAATGTGTGTCAAAATCCAACTGTTACCCTCCCTCCCACTTGCTCTTTGATCCAAACCACCCCTATTTTCATTCATTTAACCCCTATCAAAATACAGCCCTCCCTTAATTTTCCAAATTATACTGAAATTAACCTAGTTAAAATGCTCTTCAAATGCACTCCCCAACCCAAGGCAAAAAGTGCCAACACAATGGCCTCTGGGCATCCCACCTCCCTTGAGGGCATCACCCTTATTTCTCAGAAACTGGATGGAGATGAAACACGTAGAACACCTAGTTTTTGCACTGGGACAATAGCACAGGGCGTTTTCCATCCCTGCACTAGGTGGAGAACTGCCAAAAGCCAAAAGCTAAAGGCAGTTCTCCATTCCAGACTGTCTCTTAACTCTGAGACACACCACCAAGGATCCTGCCCCTCTCACCACTCCCATACCCTCCTCTGATCCGCCACCCAGCTTAACTTAAAATTATTTCCCCTTGAGGGACTTAAAAAAAGCCTCTTAACTCTAAAGTGTCATAAACAACATTAAATATGTAACCAATATTATTCATACAGCTAGATTCTAAAGCTAATTAACCTTTTTATAAAATAAATAACATTTGAAAACTTTCAACGAAAACAAAAGATAAGTGTACAAGTTACTCACGTAGAACAGGAATACAGATATAATACGTACTATGTTCCCTCTAACACCGCCAGGGTCCCCCACTAATTAAAAGATTGAGTGTTCTCTTCAAAGTGAGGAAAGTGCTTCAGACTTCTCTAGGGGTGAAGCTGCTGGAATTGACCCTGGAACGTGCACTGGCCCTGGCACTAGTAGGAAGCATAGCTGCAAATCTGCCTCGGACTCTCTCTTCTTCATCTCGCAAAGCTTCTTCATACAAAGATGGAAAGGAACTGGGGACAGTATCATGGATCTTGGCCAAAAACTCAAGGATTCTCATCTTACTGGTTTCTGCATGGGCTCTGGGACCCCGCAGAAATTCATACCGCACAGGATCACTGTTGAGTACCTGCCGGTGCTCCAGGTGTCTTTCCTTTACACGAAATTTTGGGTGATGAGCTTCTTGGGCTCCCCATAGAAATAGTGGTTCTTTCTGGCATCTATTCCCATTACATTAAGCACCTGCAAGATATCTTCCTCAGTGGCACAGTTGCCCTTCATAAAGATCACACACAGGATAGTCATCAGGAGGCCAGTCTTGGGCATGATCTCCTCACCACTCAGCCTTGCCTCACAGGTGCGATTCAATTTGCTGATAAGGGTATAGTAGTGCCTGGTTGGATGGACTTCCTTCACATCAATGCCAAAGGCCAGCACCATGACCTCAGAGGTTTTCTTGAGGATCTCATGGAAGTGTGCCTTGTCCTTTTTGATGACATACTTTAGCATGTTATGCTTTGTTATGGGCTCCTTCATGTTGTACTTGCGCAGCAGGAACTGCACCAACAACATTGCCTTCTGGTCTAGAGGGGTTGTGCTCAAAAGATCAGTGGTGGGTGGTGCCTGGGAGGTGCTTGGTTTTTCCTCTTCTTGGCTCTTGGCACCTTCATCAAATTTTGTGCATGAAACACTTGCAGAAGTACTAGTAGTGGATGGGGCTCTCTGAGGGCCCGGAGATTTCCTACTTGGCCCAGCACCAGGGGAGCTCTGGAGATTAACACCATAAAGAGGACAGGAGGAAGTAGAGGGCCTTTCTTCCCCGGCTGCAGTGGCCTAAGCACCACAGATATCCTGGGTCTCACTTCGAGCCTGGCCGCGTTTGTCACGGGTACACAGCTTACTTTTCTGACCCCGAGGCATGATTACTCTGGGCAGGAAGTATAGGCAAGAGAGCAAGTAATTCACACACCTTGAAGAGGGAGAATGAGATGGTGTGTACACCTTCAGCAGGGAGAGACCAGGTGGGTTTTAACCAAAACCACCTCTACAGGCTCCTACTAGGGCCTGCCAGAGCCAATAACAAGAAAAGGATTCTATGGGACTGCGCCTCTATCCTAGATTATTAGGATTTTCAGCCCCACCCCCATTAGACTAAGGCTCCCACCTCCCTAAGATCCCCGGTGGCAAAGAAGTGGCTCTTCAGCTTGAAAGCCCTGCCTGGGGCCTCCCAGGGTAGACTGCAGGGGTCTGACATCTGTGTGACCACCCTCTGTTGTGAGGTTGAGATTTACTGGACTGGGATTTCTCCCTTTGCTTACCGGAATCCACCAGCTTCAGATCAAAGTCTTCACTTCCTGAGACCCCAAAGCAGAAATGAGAGTGTGGTGGCCCTAACAGCCATGCCTGGAGCTACTTAGCTTGGAGGGGTGGGGTCAGGGCGGAGTGGATTCCGGTTCTGAGTCCTTCCTCAGGCCCAGGGGAGATTTGCAACTTGGCCCAGTACTAGGAGAGCTCTGGAGATTAACACTATAAAGAGGAGGGGAGGAAGTGGAGGGCCTTTGTTTCTCCAAATCACCTCTCTCCTCTGAAGAGCCTAGGCTGGCTTCCTCAGACTACGGGTCTCATCTTCCTGAGACCCTTGAGGTGGAAGTCAGAGGGTATCTCATGCTGATAGCTCTGCCCTGGGCCTCCCAGGAGTGAAAGCAGGGCTGGGGCTCAGCACTAGCTGGGCTCCTTGCCTCTGGGGTAGGTTGTCCTATCAGATTTCCACCCTGGGTGTTGGGGGAGGGGAGGAGTAGGGAGTTCTCCTGGCTTTTTCATTAAAGGCTTTGTGGGAAATACCTACTCCCTGAAAGCTCTGGGTCGTTTCCATACTGAAAACCTTGAGAATGGGTCAAAGTCTCAGGCTAGATACATATGGGGAAGCTGCACCACAAAACAGCATCCCAGTTTTGGGTGGTTATTAAGCACAGCTTCTAGAATCATGCTGTTCAGCCAACCCAAACTTTTGTGCTGTCGTGATATTACCATATGGTACTGACACACAGGGTCTGAGGCGCCATCTCAGATTGTATTATTCAGTGAAGCAGTATAAATTCATTGTCTCAAGGCACACACTGGGAAGAAGCAAGGGCCAAACTTCAAAATCTTTCCTCCAACTAATTCTGTCATCTGCTTCTATTTCCGGCTACGGACCCTGTTTCCACTTGAGGGTATGCCCCCACCTGTTTCCCACACATAAGTAATGGTTCAACCCAGACTTCTTGTCCCTCAGGAATTTCTCATTTTTGCTTCTTTCCTGTTGTTGATACTGTTATCTCATTCTTTCTATAGTTTCTCCAGGGTTGATTTTGGAAAATACTAGCCAAATTCTGGTTGCCATCTTGAATGCTACATGTAAGGTAGTGCATTGGTCTGCTCAGGTTGCCATGACAAAATAACATAGACTGTGTGGCTTAAACAACGTAATTTTTTTTTAACCTAGAAATTTATTTACCTCCAGGTTCTGGAGGTTAGAAGTCCACGATTAAGGTGTCCTCAGGGTTGGTTTCTGCTATGGATTCTCTTCTTGGATAGCAGACAGCTGTCTTCTTGCTGTGTCCTCACATGGATTCTTCTCTATGTCCTTGCAAAAAGAGAACTTTGGTTTCTCTGCCTTTTCTTAAAAACCAGTCTTTTTGGATTAGGGCCCCACCCTTATGACCTCATTTAAACTTAATTATCTCCCTAAAGGTCCTATTTCCAAATAATGTCACATTGGGCATTAGGGCTTCAACATATGAATTTTGAGGAGGATACAATTCAGTCCACAGCTGGCAGTAAATCTGTACATAATTTAAGGAGGATTGGCTTCTTTGTAATATTCTTTTCCCCATAAGTAAACACAGGACACTGATCTATTTATTTGGGATTTTTATAGTGGCCTGCAAAAAGACTGTGTGCATTTTTGTTAGGTTTCTTTTTAGGCAAATTTGGATATTTGCTGCTATTATGGTTGAGATATTTTCAATTATTTGTTCTTATTACTTAGTGATTTTGTATGTCAAGGCTCCTGAGTTTGCCATAGTGATATATACAACAGCTTTCTGAAGTCTGTTATTTGTTGAGTATTTTGTGCACTGGTTCATCTGGATTTTCTAATTAGAAGAGCATATTGTCACCATTTATTATCTCTGTCCTTTCAATATTCGCACCTTTTATTTTAATATTTTTATTGCTCTGGTTATGTATTTCAGTTCACTTTAAAACAGTAGAGACGCTACCATACATTTGTGTCTTGGTCCTCATTTTAATGGGGATGCTTTTAACATTTCACCTTTCTGTAAGTTTTCTGTAGATTTTAGGAAATGGAAATCCTATTCCAATGTTATTTTGTTTTTTTTTTTGTACCATGAATCAGTGTTAAATATTTTTTTCCAAAGGCTTTTTCTGTACCCCAGGAAATGATCAAATGCCATTCTCCTCTAATCTATCATTGTAGATAAATCCCAATCAACCATTTTTTCCTAATGTTATATCATTTTTGCATTTCTTGGATACAGCCTACTTATTCACTCTTACATTAAATATGTTATGAATTTATTTAGGATAGATGCCTCTGTGTGAGTGAAACTGGCTCATGTGATCTATTCTTGGGGTGTCCTTATTTAGTCTTTCTATTCAATAAAACTATACACCAAACAAAAGAACATAAAACAACAAAAGCAATGATTACATGCTAAAAGTGTTTAAATCCAAGTTAGACTTTAGATTAGTTAATCATATTATACCAATGTCATTTTCTGCGTTTTCATAATCGGACTATTATTATGTAAGTTGGTATCGTCAGAGGAAGGTGGGAGAAAGGCGCGTAGTAACTCTCTGTACTATGGTTGCAATTTCCACTAGTGTAAAATAATATCAAAATAAAGGATTTAAGGATTTCTGGTTTTAGCACCAACATACAAAGGGCTTAGGAGTTATCTTTTTTATCTTTACAACAAGAAATAGCTGGAAAAATGGAAAACCAATGACTTTCCTTGGACCTAACAGAGAAGTGAGGTCAAAGAAGTCACAAAGCAACTTGCTACGCTGAAATCTGAAGAGACAGGCACATTCAGATAATTACAGTTATTTGCTTACCTGGAGCAGAAGCTACTGAAAGCCATAACAGTGGAACCAATTAGTTCATTAGTAATATTGACAAATTGCTATAGGCTGAATGCAGACTAGTGTGAGATTGCAAAAAAACACCTAGGGGTTGCTATCACAGAAGGGACCACACTAATGCAGCCTTTCCCTCCAGGAACTCCACCAGGTTCTCACAATGAGGACCTGAGAGAAATCCCCTGGTGGTTCTGGCAGGGGGAAGGAGAAGAATAACCATTATATAATCTTTCCAGATCCTTCCATATTACAGAGGTCTATTCTCCAGACTAACACAGAAACCTTATCCCACTTAAGGGAATTAATTTCCACCCCACTATAGCTCCTTTCAGCCTTCCTGTCTTATGTAATAAAAAAAAAATAACATAGTCAACATGTGACGAGGATAAAAAAAAATAGATTGGTAATGATGCAACCAGGTAAGGAAGCAAAGGGCTGGAGTGGGTGGGTGGGGTGTTAATACTCTTGGAGGAGGGACGGAAATATTTGTGATCATTCCCCCTAAAAGCAGGATTACTAAAATACTAAGATTTAATTTTTTAAAAAATTATAGAACACTTTCTTTTTCCCACATCCTACCACCA
The DNA here is from genome assembly GCF_000001405.40 of Homo sapiens. Lineage (NCBI taxonomy): Eukaryota > Metazoa > Chordata > Mammalia > Primates > Hominidae > Homo > Homo sapiens. The sequence goes on along the minus strand of NC_000023.11, from coordinate 27,850,513 downwards.
CAGAAACAAACCTCTAGTATACTAACAGTGGATTACAGCTGAAAGATCTGCAAAACACAGCTGCTCTCTGAGGACCAATACAAAGAGAAACCCTAAAGCAAAGAGAGGATAAAAAAATCAAAGACACTAGAGGAATGTGAGGCCTCTAGTACCTATACTATAACAAACATTAAACACAAGCCAACTCCTAACCATGTTAATATCAATCATCACACTAAAAGCATATGTTCCCTGGTACCTAACACTGACATATGTCTGGCTTTCAACAAAAAATTATAAAGCATACCAAAAAGCAAGAAAGAAAACAATCTAAAGAGACAAAGCAGGTATCAGAACCAGACTTAAACATGATACAGACGTTTAAATTATCAAACAAGAAAACTTAAATAGGTATGATTAGAATTTTAAGGGCTCTAATTGAAAAAACAGATAACATGCAAGACCAAACGGGGATTATGTTGGCAGAGAGATGAAGACTATAGGAAAGAATAAAAACTAAATGCTAGCAATCAAAAATACAATAAGAGAAATGCAGAGTGCTATTGACAGGCTTATTAGTTAACACGACACAGCTGAAGAAATAATTACTAAACTTGAAAATAGGTTAGTAAAAACCTCACCAAATGAAACAGAAAGGGGAATAAAAAGAATTAAAAATTAACAGGATATCCAAGAACCATGGGATAATATAAAAAGGTATAAATACAAGTAATTAGAATGTCAGAAGGAAAATAAAGAAAGAATGGGGCAGAAAAAAATACTTGTCATGATAGTGTCAAAGGATTTTCTATCATCAGTGACAGACAACAAAGCATAGACGACCCAGTCAGCTCAGAGAACACCAAGCAAGATAAAGAGCAACTGTAACAGATTATACCTAGGATATCATATTTTAACTGCAGAAAAAAAAGACAAAAATTATGAAGAAAGTGGACTGGAATTACTTTCCTACAGAAAAGAAAGATTAAAATTATAGCAAAATTCTCATCGGAAACCAGGCAAGCAAGAACAGAATAACGTGAAATCCTTAAAGTGTTAAAAGAAATAAAAGTTCAAACCAAGAATTCTATAACTAACATAACTATCTTTCAAAGGAGAAGAAAAAGTAAAGACTTTCTCAGACAGACAAAAACTGGAGCAATTCATTGCCAGCATACCTGCTCTGCAAGATGTTAACTTCATCATGCAGAAGGAAACTGATATAGGTCATAAATGTGGATGAACATAAATGAGCATCAGAGAAGGAATAAATGCGGGTAAACCGAAATATTTATTTTTTTGTCAGTCTTTAAAAATTATTTCTTTAAAGCATTAATAGTAACAATGTATGGGTTGATTATAGCATATGGATAAGTAAAATGAATGACAACAGTGTTACAAGGGATGGAGGGAGAAACTGGAAACATACTGTTATAAGGAAGGTATACTACATGTTAAACAGTGTAGTGTTATTTGAATGTGGGCTTAAATTATTTAAAAACATATATTGTAAACCTTAGGAAAACCACTGAAAAATTTTAAGTATGAAGTATTTATCAGGAGAAGAGATTAAATAAAATCATATAAAATGCTCAAGTATAACCAGACAATGCAAAAAAAAAAAAAAAAGCAGATAGAAAAAAAATGCAGCAGATAGAAAACAGACATAAAAGAACAGATTTTAAGGCTGGGTGTGGTGGCTCACGCCTGTAATCTTAACACTTTGGAAGGCTGAGGCAGGCAGATCACTTGACCTCAGGAGTTTGAGACCAGCCTGGGCAACATGGTGAAACCCCATCTCTACAAAAAATAGAAAAATTAGCCGGGAGTGGTAGTTTGCACCTGTAGTCCCAGCTACTTGGGGGGCTGAGGCAGGAGAATCGCTTGAGTCCAGGAAGCAGAGGTTGCAGTGGGCCAAGATCACGTCACTGCACTCCAGCCTGGGCGACAGAGTGAGACCCTTTTAATACAACTATATTAATAATCACTTTAAATGTGAATGCTCTAAACACAATAGCTAAAAGGAAAAATTTGTCAGATTGGATACAAAAATATAAAAGATTCAACCACATGCTGTTGATAAATCTACTTTGTATATTAACACTCAGGTTAAAAGAAAAGGGGTAAGGGATTTTTAGGGGAGTGAAACTATTCTGTATGATACTTTAATGGTGGATACATGACATTATGCATTTGTCAAAACCTGTAGGACTGTACAACACAAATAACGGATCCTAATGTAAATTATGGACTTTAGTTAATAATCTATCAATATTCATTAATTAATTGTATCAAATGTGCCACACTAATGCAAGATGTCAATAGTAGGAAAAACTGCGTGTGACAGGGGAAGGGGTAAATAAATGGAAATGATATTTCTGGCTCAGTTTTTCCATAAACCTAAAACTGCGCTAAATATAAAATGTATCAGTTTTTAAAAAGCAAAGAAAATCCACATATATGGTGGGCAAATAGCCAGCTTACAGTATTTGAACTAAATTTGTACTATAATTGAACTAAAACACATTGGATTCACAAATTTCTTGTCTTATTTTTAGCAGAGTCCCTGTACAATGGTTATTGCCCACAAACTAACAGCTCCAGATCATCTGCCACACCTTCCTTGTCCAACATTCAAGGGTTACCTTAGAACACCCAAGATCAGGCCAACAATTTAGAGGTGATGACTAGTGACATCTATTTAATGTTCCACAATGCTGTCTCCTTCAAGAAAGTGTCCAATGACCTCCTCACTTCAAAAAAGGGTCACCTGCAGAAAAGGAAGGAGTTTTGAGATGATGTGATAGATTATGTTGTTAACAACATACCTCTCAACTGGCTGGTAGGTTCCCTTTATTCTCAGCTGACTGAGTCTCAGAATGCTCAAGACCAAGGTGCAGGGAAGAAAAGGACAAGCCAGGAAATATATCAAGCTGAACATAAAACACAGCAAACTTGTCCCGTTAGCCAATGCATGGTACAGCCAGCCAGATGACTTTCTTTGATGTTGAAATTAACCTGCTAGGCAAATATGATAGGTAGCTAGAAATGGGTCTTCAATTGTAGTCATTTCCAGCTACATAAAGATCTTTAACGTTTTTTGATTAAGCAATTAAGTTCTGTTGCTTATCCGGCTGTCAAGAAAAGAATGACAGACTTGTCAGAGCCTAGTCAGAACTCACTTATGACATTTATGATTTTATTCTGTGATCATTGTGTTGCTACTGTTAGTGTATGACTGTAATAAATAGAAAAACATGGCTGGGCGCAGTGGCTCACGCCTGTAATCCCAGCACTTTGGGAGGCCAAGGCGGGTGGATCACGAGGTCAGGAGATCGAGACCATTCTGACTAACACGGTGAAACCCCGTCTCTACTAAAAATCCAAAAAAAAAAATTAGCCTGGCGTGGTGGTGGGTGCCTGTAGTCCCAGCTACTCAGGAGGCTAAAGCAGGAGAATGGCGTGAACCCAGGAGGCGGAGCTTGCAGTGAGCCAAGATTGCGCCACTGCACTTCAGCCTGGGGGACAGAGCGAGACTCCATCTCAAAAAAAACAAACAAACAAACAAACAAAAAACAGAAAAACATTCATATAGGCTGTGGTATGAATTGATGTCTGTTCCAGCGTTGTTCATGGTTTGTCTTGTAATGCATGCTTGTAAAACTTGATTTTAGCTTTTAAAAAAAATTCTCATGTAGGAATGCTACTTTGAAATTCAATAAAATATATTTCACAGTAAGTCAGTTTAAAAAAAGTAAAGGGATGGAGACAGATATACCATAACAACACTAATCAAATAAAACCTAAAATAGCTACAGAAATTTTAGACAAAACAGATTTCAAAACAAGGGAAATTATCAGGGACAAAGAGGGAAATTATGTAATGATAAAGGGGTCTATTCCCCAAAAGGACACACCAACTCTAAATGTGTATGCATCTAACAGAGCATCAAAATACATGGAGCAAAAATTGATTGAAGTAAAAAGATATAGTATTATAGTATATTTAATACATTTTCAGTAATTTATAGACGGCAGACAGAAAATCAGCAAGGATATAGATGACCAACGTGACTTAACTGACATGATAGAGTATTCCAACCAACAGCAGCAGAATACACATTATTCTTAAGCTCACCTGTGACATCCACCAAGTAGACCACATTCTAGGCCATAAAACACACAGTAACAATTTTTTTTAAAAAAATACAAATTGCACAAAGTGTGTTCTCAGATAACAGTATAATTATATCAGAGATCAATAACAGAAAGATAGCTGGAAAGTTCCCAAATATTTGTAAATTAAACAACGCACTTCTCTACAACCCAAAGGTCAAAGAAGTTTCAAGAGAAATCTAAAAATATTTTGAACTAAATAAAAATGAAAATCCAAATAACCAAGTCTTGTGGATTGCTGCTAAAGTAGTTTTTCTAGAGAAATTTAGAAGATCAAATTCATGTATCAGAAAATAAGAGATATCTAAAGTAAATAACCTAAGCTTCTACCATAGGAAACCATAAAAAGAGGAGCAAATGAAAAATAAATAGAAGAAAGTGGATATTTGTTAAAAGAAGCAGAAGTAAAACAAATAAAAATACAGAGCAGAAATAAAACAAGAAAACAATAGAGAAAAGCGATAACATCATCAAAATAACCTAATAAATTATTGGCCTCTAGCCAGGATGATCAAGAAAGATAGAGAAGAAATAAACTACCAATATCAGGAATAAAAGGGGGTCATCACAACTCACAACTGATCTTATAAACATTGAAAAAATATTAATGGAATACTACAAACAACTCTGCTTACAGATTTGATAACTTAGACAAAATGGGTTAATCCCTTGAAAGACACAAACTACCCAAATTCACATGAGTTGAAATAAATAACCTGAACAGTATTGTATCTATTAAAGATATTTAATCAGTAGTTTAAAACTTTCTTTAAAAATAATCACCAGGTGCAGATGGTTTTCTTGGATGAATTCTACCAAACATTTAAGGAAGAGAAAATACCAATAATCCACAATATCTTCCAGTAAATAGAAGAGACAAAATTCTCAATTCTTTTTATGAGGCTATCATCACTCTAATACCAAAGCCAAATAAATACATTACTAGAAAAATAACAACGGCCCAATATCACTCACGAATATAAAAAATATCTTTCATAAAATATTAGCAAATAGAATACAGAAATATGTAAAAAGAATGAAACACATCATGACCAAGAAGGGCTCAGTCCCAGAATGCAAGACTGAGTCCATATTTGTAAATCAATCAGTGCAATTCATATTAACAGATTGAATATAAAATAAATGTAATTATATCAATACATGCAAAACAATAATTTGAAAAATTTAATACCAATTTATACTTACCACATCTAAAAATTAATAATACAAGGGAATTCCCTTAATTTGATAAAGGGTATATAAGAGAACTTATCACTAACACCATACCTAATGATGAGAAAATGAATATTTTCCACCTAAGATTGGGAATGAGACGAGGTTGATTTTTCATTATTCCTATTCGATATAATAATAGAAGCCCTATTTAGTACAAGACAAGAAAAATAAGTAAATAAAAATTATATATATAGGAGAAGGATAAATAAAAATTGTCTTTTTTGCAGAGGAAATGATTGTCTATGTAGAAAACCCAAAGAATCTAAAAAAAAACCCTTTCTGAAACAAGTAATTATAATCACTTTGCCATTTACCAACAATAGAGAATTGGAATCAGAAATTAAAAAGCAAAAATATTTACAATCACACAGAAATACTTAGGTATAAGTCTAATAAGATATGTATGGAATCCATATGCAGAAAACTACAAAACGCTGATCAAGGGAAATTTAAATAAATGGAGCAGTATTTTCTGTTCCTGGAATGGAAGACTCACTATTGTTAAGATGTCAATTCTTTCTAACTTGATTTATAGACTCAATGCAATTCCACTAAAAATCCCAGCAAGTTTTTTGTAGACAGCAACATACTGACTCTGATATGGTATAACAAAGATCTTAGAATAGCCAATGCAATACTGACTAAGAACAAAGTTTGAAGACTCATACTATGTGATTTAAAGGCTTAATATAAAGCTATAGTAATCAAGACATTATAGTGTTAGTGAAAGAAAGAACAAATAGAATGGCGAATAAGATGCCCAGAAATAGGCTCACACAAATACAGCAAACTGATTTGTCACAAAGGTGCGAAGGCAAATAAATGGAAAATGATCATTTTTTTCTCAGCAAATAGTGCTAGAACAGTTGGATATTCATATGGAAAAAAATTAACTTAGACACTAAACTGAGACCTTACACAAAAAATTAACTCAAAATGGATTATAGTCCTAAAACAAAATGCAAAACTATAAAACTTCTAGAAGAAAACATAAGAGAAAATCTATGAGTTTGGGTTTTGGAATGAGTTTTATTAATATATACAATACCAAAAGCATAGTTAATAAAAGAAAAAACACTGATAAGTTGGACTTTATTAACGTTAAAAAGTTTTGCTCCGTGAGAGACACCGTTAAGGGAATAAAAAGACAATACTGGGAGAAAATATTTGCAAATCATATCACCGATAAATGATTGGTATCCAGAATGCATAAAGAACTCTACAACTTCAAAAATAATAAAACAAGCAACCAGTAGTGGGTTGAATGGTGACTTCAAATAGATATGTCTATCTCCTAACTCCTGGAACTTGTGAATGTGACCTTCTTTGGAAAGTTTGCAACTGTAATTAGGTTAAGGATCTCAAGAAGACATTGTTTTTGATTTAGGTTGAACCATAAGTCCAATGACAAGTGTCATAGAAGAAAGATCAAGGGAGATTTGAAACACAGACACACAGAAGGGAAGGCTATATGAAGGTAAAGACAGATGCAAGTGATGGGTTTATAAGTCAGGAATGTGAAGAATTGCTGGGTAGCCATCAGAAGGTAGGAGAAAGGCATTAAATGGATTCTTTCTGAGAGCCTCCAGAAAGAATCAACATTTCTGACACCTTGATTTCAGACTTCTGGCCTCCGTATCTGCGGGAGAATATATTTATTTTGTTGTAAGTCACTCAGTTTGTTATAGTTGTCCTAGGATACTGATACACAACGTTATTTTTTAAATAGGTAAAATATATGAAAACATATTTCACAAAAGAAGATTTTTCTATGGCAAACAGGCATATGAAAGGATGCACAACATAGTTTTTCATTAAGGAAATACAAACTAAGACAATTATTTACTAGTACACACATATTAGTAGGGCTAAAATATCAATTACTGGTGAGGATGCAACTAGATCTTTCACACATTGATGGTAGGGATGCAAAATGGTACAGCCACTTTGGAAACAGTTTGGCAACTTCTTATAAAGTTAAACCTAGTCTTACATGGTCCAGCTGACCAAACACGTGAAAACTTAACGTCAACACAAATAATTGCACAAAAATGCTTATATCAGCATTATTCATAATTACCAGAACCCAAGATGTCCTTAATACGTGAATGAATAAATTGTGGTGCATGCATACAACGGAATACCATTCAGCAATAAATAGCAATCAACTATAAATCCATACAATAACATAGATGAATCTTAAATGTATATTGGTAAGTGAAATGAGCCAATCTGAAAATATTACATGTTGTAAACTTTATGTGACACTCTAGGAAAGGCACAACTACAGAGACAATAACAGATTCAGTAGCTTTCAGGGGATTGTGGGGAGTGGTTGAATAGATGAAGTACAGGGAATTTTTTATGATAGTGAAACTATTCTGTATGATACTGTAATGATGGATATGAGACGGATTGCATTTTTCAAAGCCCATGGAACATTATAATACAAAGAGTGAACATTAATGTATACAAATAAAAATCAATTTAAAAATCTGGGTATCGGAGCATGGAATGCAGACTGCAACAAAAGAATCTAGCTGTATTAAAAGTGTATAAAATGATGTCACTGAAAGTAATAGGGAAAAAGAAGTGCTGACCTAAGTAACTTAGGAAATGAGTGGAGACTGTAAGACTAAAGAAAAAAAAGGAACTGTACAAAGACATTATACTTGTTTCTCACAAGGCCAACAATCTGAAATCAATATTCTAGGACTATATAAATAATTATGTATACAGATGCTAGACAGTTGGGGCCAATTTTGTTATGGAGGTAAGTAGAGGAGATGGCTAAAATGAATTATGTGATACTAGAATAGAGCTAGAAACATCAGTAAGAGTAATGTTCAGCTTAATATAGGTACAGATGGATAAATATTGAAATAATTATAGATCTATGTTCATATACATTTAGTATACAGAAGTTTTCCAATATCTAGCTGCTAAGAAGGCTTAGAAGTAAGACTGCAGCACCAATGAAACATTTTGATCTAATAAAGTAACCTAATACTGGATTATAACCTGGGGTATAAGATAAATATCCACAAGTTCATACTGATATAAATAAATGATTGAATAAGTAAATCAAGGAGAATATGCAATTTTTTTTTTTGAGACGGAGTCTTGCTCTGTTGTCAGGCTGGAGTGCAGTGGTGCTATCTCGGCTCACTGCAACCTCCACCTCCTGGGTTCAAGTGATTCTCCTGTCTCAGCCTCCCGAGTAGCTGGGACTACAGGTGTGCGCCACCATGCCCAACTGATTTTTGTATTTTTAGTAGAGACAGGGTTTCACCATGTTGGCCAGGATGGTCTTGATCTCTTTACCTCGTGATCCACCCCCCTCAGCATCCCAAAGTGCTGGGATTACAGGTGTGAGCCACCGAGTCTGGTAAATCTTTTCTAAAGAAGAATTCCAAATAATTTGTGTGGATAGTCCACCCTCAATGACAATAGGGGAAAGTGAATATTGAGTGTAAGAGAACTCTGTCTTATCTTTGCAACTTTTCTCTAAATATAAAACAATTTTAATTTTATTTTAAAGAAAGGGTTTAAGCATTGCATGAATATTGCAACTTGTGGCACATTTAACTACTGTTCACCAGTGCCCAGTTCTCCCACTCAGCCCCCTCTGCTTGGGGGCCTCCCACGGCTGACAGCAGGGGCAGAGTTCTGTGGAGTTTGCTGTTCTGATGTGGGAAGTTCCTTCGGACCTTACTCAGAATCCTTACCTTAACGTGTGGCAGAGCCTGGACGCCTCCATCTGCTGACTCTCAGCTCCCAGAGTCCTCACTGAGGGAATTCAGAAGGTACTAAATCAAATGATCCCTGTCTGGGATCTAACAGGGCTGAAATCAGGGGTTGGACTCTGTGGGAGTCCCTCCAATCTGTGGTGGGTGGTTCCCTCAAACTTCACTCAGAGTACTTATCTTGCCTAGAACAGGGCCTGGACTCCTCCATCTGCTGACCCGATGCCTCCTCACGCATATCAAAGCCTTCACTGCCCTGAGGTGTCAGAGGCAAGGTGGAAGAAAAGAGAAACTACTTCCTGTGTCCCCTGCTTAGTGCCTCCCAGGGCTGATGGAAGGGGTGGTGCTCCAAGCTGACCTCCTCTGTTCTAGACAAGGAAGTACCTGCAGTACTCATGTTTTGAAAGAACTACTGGACAGTACTGTGCTCTCTCTGTTGAATTGAATGAGCCAGCCTTAGACAAAGGCTAACTCCCCGTCTTTCTAATCATTGTCATTTCCCAACCCCCTGTACTTAGTTTAGTTAAGGGGCCCCTGTACTTAACAATCATGCCTGGAGCTCCTGAGGCTGACCCCAGGGGTGCAGGGATGGGGGGGTTGGGGGGGCCTGTGGGCGGGGCAGTATGTTCCAGTGTTAAGTGGTTCCCTCAGACCTTCCTCAAGGTCCTCATGTTTATTTCTGCTGAGGCTTGGAATTCTTCCCTTTGCTGACCTGAAGCTGATACCCTGGCCCAGTGCTTTCACTTCTCAGTAAAAGGTAATAAAATTTATTACAGATCTTTTGAAAATGTTGAGAATGCCTGGTACAGATGTTTTTTACATTTTAATTCAATCAACTCCACAGAACTCTGCCCTCTGTCAGCCATGGGAGGCCCTCAAGCAGAGGGGGCTGAGTGGGAGAACTGGGCTCTGGTGAACACACATATCACCATCACCCCCAGTCAGTTTGACAATGAACTGCATCATCTGCAGTAATTCTCCACCCATCCTGCAAGATGTTTATGCCTGGGGCCAGCCTCCTACCCTAGGCAGTATCTGGTGGCAACACAGACCACTTAACAGAGCCACAGGACATATGCCCTGTGGCAGCAAATAACTTGAGAACCAAGGGAGACAGTCAGAGGTAGGGAGAGCATCGAGATCTTTTTCTCAAGACATATCCACATTGAAACCTTTATTTGCAGAGTCACTGAGGTACTTAGCCTCAGGGAATTCCCCCTCCAATTTTCCACTGCTTGCAGCTACACACCCTCTCCCATTATTCTGGTACTCCCTGGCCTATTTCAACTGTCATCATTTGCCGTCTTTCCCATACACATAGCACCAACCTCAATGGTGGAAGGGTACTGTGTACAAGAGAAGAAATGCCCTTCTCCAGCAGGAATCAAGGCAGCTCACAGCTGCAGTACAGTGGCAAAGAAGTACAGCCCACCAGAATAGTGAAAAGCTCTCCCAGTTTCCATCAAGAACGTTATTCAGTGACACAGGGGAGCTAGCTATACTTTGCCTGACAGTGAGTAGGGCAGATTGTAAGTTAGGGTAAGGTATCAGGCATGCCTGTGGTGATTTTCTACAATAGATCTTCCCACTCAGATCACTCTACAACTTCAGATGGGTAAAAATGATTCAGAAATTTGTCAAGCTGCTCACGTGAGTTGTTCAGGACCCTCCAAGATTCCACACCTTTTCATTTTCTGATTCATTCTCAACGAAATGCGGAACTCTGCATACAGATCCTTGACTGTCAGTCTGCCCTAGGCTCCCTGAGCTTGGTTTAGCATGTGGTCTTTCTCATGGACTCTGGAAATTATTCTGTCTCCCTCCTGATGTTTCTCACTAACTGAAAGTGCCCTCTCTGGACATTTCCTGGGACTTAGTCATTCTGACCAAAGCCGTGCTTCTCAAAGTAAAAAGAAATTTTCATTGACATTTCAGAATTTTAAAGCTTGCCCAGAGGTATCCTAGTACAGAAGACATCACTGCAGAAACCCTGCTTTGTAAAGATAGGGGGTTGAATTAATTTTGGATTACCATAATTAGAAAACATGGAAATACAAAATAACAGTAAGAATGTATTTTCACCCAAAAGAATGAATAAATTTAAAATTGATCAAGTCAAATTCCTGTGAGAGTATAAGATATTCACATACATTAATACACGAGAATATAAATTGGTATAGCATTATCAGAATGGAATTTCAGCAATATTCATAAAAGCTTACAATCATCACACTATTTCCACTTTAATTCAATTCTCAGTTTTCCATGTCTTTCCTACAAGAAAACACCCACATTTGCCCAATAATTTATGTTCAGTGATGTTGATATCAATTTTATTAGTCATAGCAAAAAATGGAAAACAACTTACATGTCCATCAGGAGGAGAATTTTTAAATCAATTATGACACATACACATTTTAGAATTGTAGGAAGTAGTTAAAAGAATGAGACATATCTATAGGTGCTCTCACAGAATGATTCAGCATTTATTTCATTAAGTGACAAGTGCAAGAGGCAAAAGAATATGTACATCTTTGTCCAGGTACATTAAAAACATACAATGTATTTTGTCTAGTATATCGATTTAAGGAAAAGCCTAAAATATATTTTAAAATAATATGTACAAGAATTTGAATTGTGGTTATTTCTGAGGGGAACTGAATTTTGGAGGAATGCAGTAAGGAAAGGGGTTGTGATTTAGCCATATTGTCAGATTTTTTTTTGTATCATGAATGTATGCACTATTATTTTTGTAATTAAAATGTTTCAATAAGACAGAAATAGTACCTGTGTATTGTTCATATACGATAACTGCAAGAGGATTTAATGGAAGAAGCCTAAAATCTGAAAGCCTTAGCACAAGAAAAGCTTTTGTCTCATGCACTTAAAATCTGATGTGGGTTAACAGAGGGATTCCACTGTTAGGCAACCCAGGGATCCAGGCTGTTTTTATTGTAGTTTCGCCAATGCACTACAATGTAGCAGCACTGTTTCTTTTTATATGTCAGTTGCAAGGGTAGTCAAATAACTCTTCCTGACTATAAGTGAACTGGGAATGTAGTCTCCTCCTCCCAGGAAGGACAACACTTGCAAACTTTCCATAAACAGTTACATAGTGGGTGATCAGCGAGGTGTAACTTTCACAATTTGTATAAAAGTCTTCTTCATTCATGGAGAAGTTTCTGAGAAGGCCAAAATTGCGTTGCAACTGGCTAAGTTTTTCTAGTGCCTACTATGTAATAGATCTTTTCATGTTTTATGCTATTATGCTAACTTTCTTTTTTCTTTTCTTTTCTTTCTTTCTTTCTTTTTTTTTTTTTTTGAGACAGTCTTTCTCTGTTGCCCAGGCTGGAGTTCAGTGGCATGATCTCGGCTCACTGCAACCTCTGCCTCCCAGATTCGAGCGATTCTCTTGCCTCAGCCTCCCAAGTAGCTGGGATTACAGGCATGCAGCACCACACCCAGCTAATTTTTGTATTTTTAGTAGAGGCAGGGTTTCTCCATGTTGGCCAGGTTGGTCTCGAACTCCTGACCTCAGGTGATCCGCCCGCCTTGGCTTCCCGAAGTGCTGGGATTACAGGCATGAGCCACCGTGCCCTGCCACAATTATGCTAACTTTCTAAAGGACTCTTTAAGAATTACCAACAACTATGGTTTACCCTTCTTTACTCAGTAGCACCGTTCTCCACTTACCTTTACAATAGTCTCAGTATACTGAGCATTTCTTTCTTCCTTTCACTACATGATCAAGATCATAATTTCGGAGTGTCTTCTATCTATCACTTGATGAATATGCCTGAACACTTATACAGGTGTCTTTACACATAGTGAAAAACCAGGATTTTCCCTTGGGGCAGATGCAGACAAGAGTTAGCTGAAACATGGAGATTATTTTTACATTTCTCATAAACTCTAGAAGGCTAGGGAAACATTTTCTACAGTGTTGGTAGACTGAATAATTGCTACAAAAGTATATATATGCACTTATCCCTGAAAACCATGTGTATGTTATGCTACGTGACAAAGGCATTTTGCAGATCTTATTAAGATTATTAAACTACTTTTTATTTTATTTTTTTAACTTTTATTTTAAGTTCGGGGATACAAGTGCAGATTTGTTACATAGGTAAACTTGTGTCATGGGGGTTTGTTGTACAGATTATCTCATCACCCAGGTATTAAGTCTAGTACCCACTAATTATTTTTCCTGATCCTCTCCCGCCTCCCACCCTCCACTCTCCAAAGGCCCCAGTGTGTATTGTTCTCCTCTGTGTGTCCATGTGTTCTCATCATTTAGCTCCCACTTGTAAGTGAGAACACGTGGCATTTGGTTTTGTTCCTGTGTTACTTTGCTAAGGATAATGACCTCCAACTCCACCCATGTCCCTGCAAAGGACATGAACTCATTCTTTTTCATGGCTGCGTAGAATACTATGGTATACATGGTGCATAGAATATCATGGTGTATATGTACCACATTTTCTTTATCCAGTCTATCATTGATGGGCATTTAAGTTGATTCCATGTCTTTATTATTGTGAATAGTGCCACAATGAACATACACGTGCATGTGTCTTTATAATAGAATGATTTATATTCCTTTGGGAAACCACTATTAAATTAGGTACATTATGTTGAATTATCAAGGAGGGCTCAATCTAATGATATGGGCTCTTACACACAGAGGATGTTCTCCGGATAGAAGTAGAAAAGAGATACAGCAGAGGAGGAAGTTAGAAAGATTGCAAGTGTAATAAGGATTCAACCTGCAATTGCTGACACAAGATAAATGCAAAGAATAGAGAAAGGTCTCAAGAAATTATGGTTGCCATAGACGAATGCAGTCAGAAAGTAGGGCCTTTGTCTTAGAAGTGCAGGAAATTGAAATCTGCCAACAACCTGAATGAGTTATAAAGGGGATTCATCCCAGAACCTTGCAATAAGAGTACAGGCTCTGAGAGTTCGGTATGGGCCTTGTGAAACCCAGAGCAGAGAAATCAGCAGAGCCAACCTAGATTTCTCACCCAGAGATGTGACATAATAAAGGTGTGTTGTTGTAAAATGCTAAATTTGCAGTAATTTGTTACTGCATTGAGAGAAATCTACCACAACTTCCTGGAAGGACTACAGGGTTCATTACAGTCCAGTCTTTTTAGATGGTTGCTAGACAGTGACTTCCTTGATCCTTCCTCATTTACCACTTATATGGGAGGTTTTGGTTTTTGGCCACTTGGTTAAGCTCATTCATCAGTGCCTAGTCTCAAATAGGTCACCAGATTAAACTCTCCTGTCTTTGTCATCCAATTTTCTGTCTAAAATCTTTAGCTTCAGAGTTATATGCCAAGAACCAGCAGATTTTGTTTCAAATCTGACTCAACTCACAAGCAAATTTGGAAAAAAATTTGGTTGGAGTGGAAGCACCCAGAACAGATAAGCAGGTACGTAACGTTCACTGCTTAAGTAAACAATTACATGGAAGGGGCTGTTGTTATCAGAAGTTGCAAGCTGAGTGATGTGGCAAACAGAGGACATCTGCAGGGAGTTGGAAAGCTCTAAGTCAGGAGAAAGGAAGGAAAGTTATTCTGGGCTTTCTTTCCCATAGCGAGCAGGGTGCAGCCTTCGTGGAAGGAAGCAGGGAAGAGCTGGACAGCAGGTAAGGATCCAGATTTGGGCACAAGGACTCACAGGGGCTGACTCAAGGAAAGAACAGTGTAATTTGGGAAGTGCTGGATCTGGTCCCATCTGCCAGCACCTGGGCAAAATCAGCTCCCAAAGAACCCTGGAGCTAGGGGTGGATGGGCCCTATGAAATGAGGCCCACAGGCAGTCTCCAAATGGTGTTCAATTCTCATTTTCTCCATTATTTATTACATCTGGATTTAGTACATTGGCCCCAGGTTCCTTCTTTTCATTGCCCAGAGACATAGTGTGGTAGTGAGAAGAGAAATGAATTCAGAGACACAAGTCAGCTTAGTCAAGGAGAGGGAACAATGTGGACTCTAGACGAATTCAGAATAGGGGTCTGGTCCCAGTATTATCACTTGCAAGTCAGGGAAACTCGGGAAAACTGCAGTTCTATGAGCCTCAAATTCTTCATCTGTGAAGTTGGTTTGATAAACAGTCCTCTTGCTCCCTGGCTCATGTATTTGGCTTCTCAGTATACCGTACTGTAAAGTACGAATGTTGGAATGTATCTAACTTATGCAAGGCATCTGGCACACTACCTTATATTGGATTTTAATAAATTACGGTTATTATTATGTTTATATTGACCCCAAAACCTACCAATTTTCCCTCTTTTTGTTTGCTTTGTTTTATCCAGGAATTGTCAGATAATTTGCAGCCCACTAGCATATAGCACAACAAATCAGCCAAAATGTTGCTTAGCAGGTTAAACTAAGTTACACGCTATACAACTTTTTTGAGGTTATGTTATTTGTTGTTGGTATGGGGGAGTCTTATCCAGTTTCATGCAACTCAGAGCTCCTAGAAATTGTGTCAAGGTCTACCTCAGTCCCTCCCTTCCAACTGCCCTTCGCTCCAAACCACATGTATTTGCAATTATTTCACCCCATAAAAATCCAGTTTTAGTTTATAGTTTGCCAAATTATATACTAGATAACCTAGTTGAAATGCCCATTTAATGGATGGGCTGTGCCTCTCCCAAATCACTGCAGATTGCCAGCACAGTGGCTTCTGAGCTTCTTATATGAGTATCACCATTATTCCTGAGACCCTCCCTTGTGGTAATAGGTGTAAATCACATTTTCGTGCACCTTGTTAAATCATCTTTTTGTGCATTGCGTTCACCCACACTGAGATAAGAGCACAGGACGTCTTCCATTTGTGCACTAGGTGGAGATTTCTCTCTGGTTTATTTGTGACCTAAAGGTGACTACTAAAAGCAATTTTCCATTCCAGCCTTCTCAAGTCTGAGACACACCATCTGAGGTGCTGGCCTCTGCCCACCGCTCTCAGAGGCTCATCTGACCCACAACTCAGCTTAATTTAAGATTATGTCACATTGAAGGACTTGCAGTTTCCCAACCCCAACCCTTTGCCACAGGGCATTTACACTCAGCTGCTCATCTGAAACCCCAAAGTCCTCACACCTTCTTTTGACTTGTCCTTTTGGTTAGATTGTCTCACTGCTATGGATGGAATGATTGTGTCCCCCAAAAATTCACATGTTGAACCCTGAATCCCCAATGTGATGGTATTTGGAGGTGGGGCCTTGGGGAGGTAATTAGGTTATGAGGGTAGAGCCTTCATGAATGAGTGCTCTTATAAAGGGATGAAGAGACCACAGCTTTCTCTACCATGTGAGGATACAAGGAGAAGATTGTTAAGCATTGAGAGAGCCTTTACTGAGAACCTGACCTGGAAACTCGATCTCAGACTTCCAACTACCAGAACTATGAGTAATAAATGTTTGATCTTTAAGCCACCCAATCTATAATTTGTGATAGCAATCTGAACTAAGCCGTTCACCATCTTCCTTTCATGTTAGCTACTCCAAGGCTGTTCATTTCTATGGGTATAGATGATTCTTGTTTATCTTAGCACTGCAAGTACTAACACAAGCCATCCAGAGCAGATGCTCAATTATTATTTGGGGAAAAAAATAAACCCCTGAGAAGGAGGTCTGATTTATTATGATTTAATTTCTCCTACATTGTTGAATAAACTAAGTATATCCAGGTATGTATATACAAATGGATTTTACCAAAAAAAAAAGACTAAAGGTGATAAATGAAACCAAGAATTTACAGTCTTTTATTTTTTCCCCACTTTTGATCCCAACTATTACAATTCTGCGTCCTTTCACATTTCCGAAAAAAAAATACCAAATTTACTGCCATATCTTGTTTCAAACAACTAAAATGGAATGTTCCTTATTTGTTTCACAAAATAATAAAACTCTTACTCTTACATTCACAGCAATGTTTAAGTAATGTCATTCATAAACTTAGTTTCTAAAGTTACTCAAACCTTCTGATAAAAGGAACAATATTTTGAAAAAACTATCCAGGAACTTATTACAGAACAAGAAAACAAACATGTTATACACTGTGTTGCCTCCAGTCCCACCCTGACCTTCCACAGCTTAGAATGTGGACTTTTCCTTTCAACCACAAGGCGAAAAATGTCTTGAGTTCTACTAGGGGTGGGAGAATCTGCTAAATATGGCCTTGGAACGTGCATTGGCCACAGCCCTAATGTGAGCCCTTGCTGCAAGTCTGACTTGAGCTCTTTCTTCCTCATCTCTCAAAGCCTCTTTATACCAGGTTGGGAAGGCACTGGGGACAGTATTGTGGATCTTCGCTAAAAACTCTAGGACTTTCATCTTGGTGGTTTCTACATGAGCTCGTGGACCCCATAGAAATTGATGGCGCGGAGGATCACTGTCGGGCACTTGCTGATACTGCAGGTAATTTTCTCTCACAAAATCTTGGGTGATGATCTTCTTGGGTTCCCCAAAAATGAAGTGCCTCCTCCCCTCATATAACCCCATCACATTCAATACCTGCCAGATTTGTTCCTCAGTGGCACAATTACCATTTGTGAAGATCACACCCAGGATAGTCATCAGCAGGCCAGTCCTGGGCACACGTCTGTCATCACTCAACTTTGCATCATAGGTTGGTACCAGTGTGTTGATAAGGAAATAGATGTGCCTATCTGGATCCATTTCCTTCAGGTCAAGTCCAAAGACCATCTCCAGGTGATATGAAACTTTCCCCAGATCTCACTGAAGTATCTCCTGGGAATTTGGACTATATCTTTCAGCATAGCTGCCTTTATAATAAGCTCTTTCATTTGATACTTGTACAGAAGGTAATGCACCAAAATAAACACCTTCTCATCTAGAGGGCTTCTGGTCATGTGCTCATTGGCAGCCAGGGCCTGTGAGGATCTTGGTCTTTCCTCCGTTTGGTTGTTGGTGCTTTCATTAGATCTTACATACGAAACAGCTGCGGCAGTAGTGGTGGTGCATGTGGCTCTCTGAGGCCCGTGGGGATTGCTGGTTGTCTTGGCAGCAATTGAGCTCTGGATGGTACTCCTGAAATGAGCAGAGGAAGAGGAGGAACATTCTCTTCCCACTCTTGCAGTGGCTTGAGCACCCATCAGAGGCTCTGGCTCTTCTCGAGCCTGACGGCGTTTCTCACGGGCACGAAGCTTACTCTTTGACCCCGAGGCATGATGACTTAAGACAGGGTAGTAGACAGTTAGACACGTGAGCTCTGTGACCTAGAGGAAAGAGGATGAGATGGTTGGGTCACTTCAACTGGGAGACACCTCCGTGACTTTATTGAAGGCCACCTCAGCAGTTTTCCTTGAAGTCACTGCTCTAGGAATCCCATAATGCTCCTATTCCCTGATCTGCTTGTTCCCTAAGAACATGTGGAATTAACTAAGACTTAGGTTGTCACTACTTGCCAGATATGCCTAGGACTTACTGGGATTTAGAGAAGTGGCTCTGTTCTGGGGCAGGAGTTCATTCTCTCAGTTCACATTAAGGATCATTATCTCACTTCTGTTATGACCTGGGGTCCCTCTGATCTACTACTTTGATGCTGACCCCTCACTTCAAAGCCCTCATCTCTCTGTGATCCCAGAAGGTGAATTCAGGGAAACCTCATCTGACCACACCTGCCGGAGACACAGAGACAGATGAAAGCACAGGCCAAGCTCTGTGGGACTCTCTATCCTGGGGTAATTAGGGTTCTCAGTCCTCACTTAGTGATCTCACCTTTGCTTTTGCTAAGGCGTGGGACTCCTCTGTCTGCTGACTTTAGAGCGATCTCCTCTGGGCAAAGCCTTCACATCCTTGAAAGCCCTAATGAGAATATTTGGCAGACCACAGCCTAATATATCTCCTTCAGGTTCACTCAGGTTTGAAGGTCTGGATAGGGCTCTGTGACTCCCTGCTGTTCCGGGGTGGGTAGTCCTCTCAGTCCTTACTCAGTGTCCACACACAGACTTCCAGAAGACTATGGGCCTCCTCCCTCTAATGCCACAAAGCTGCCCCTCTCAGACTAAAGACCTCATCTCCCCGATCACCCTCCCACCCAGCCCCCGATAAGTACAACATGAGGGAGTGCCTTGCCCAAAGCCTCCCAGGGCTGACAGCAGGGGTGCGGCTTTGTGAAGCTCCCTTTGTTAGGGGTGGGTTGTTCCCTGAGACCTCACTCAATATTCTCACTTTAACCCCTAACAGGGTCTGGAAATCATCCTGCTACTACTGACTTGACATCACTCTGCTCCCATTCCAAGGCATTCACTTCCCTGAGACACCAGAGGCAGAAGTCAGGGTTCCTTGCATCAATGCACCTTCATTCACCTTAGCTTTTCAGGACTGAGTGTATGGCGAGGGCTCTGTGAGGCCCCTCTGCTCGGGGGTTCGGGGGTCCGCTCAGATCTCACTCAGGGTCTTCCCTTTCACTCTTATTAGAGGCTGGGTACTCTCCCTCTGCTGGTCTGAAGCCCGCACCCAGGTCCAATACCCTTACCGGCTCAGTCTCCTTGGGGGGCATTTAGAAGGTACTCAGAGGTCGCTACCTCCCACGATTCCTGTCTTTGTTCTATCGGAGCTGAAAGCAGGAGAATAACTCTCTGGGAGCCCCTCTAGTCTGGGGTGGGTGGTCCCCTCACACCTAACTCCGGGTCTTTACCTTAATTCTAGGCAGGGCTCAAAGCTCCTCCCTCGACTTAAGTGAGTGATGCTACCCGGCCTCACCCCAACACTTCCCTCAAACACAACAGGCGAAAGCCCGTGTGCCTCAGGTCCTTCCGCCCCCATCTGGGGCCTCCCCAAGGTTGACCGCAAGGGCGGGACTTTGCGAGGCCCCTCTGTTCTGAAAACGGGGCGGACGAGGGGGACTCCCTTTACTCCTGTTCTTTCAGGGTCTTTGCCTTTACTCCTGTTAGGGCCTGGGAACTCTCCCTCTGCTGGTCTGAAGCCCACACGCTAGTCCAATACCCTCACTCGCCCAGTCTCCTCAGGGACTATTTAAAAGGTATTCAGGGGTCGCTACATCAGAGAGTCCTGTCTGGGTTCTATGGAAGCTGAAAGCAGGGACGGAATTCTCTCAGAGCCCCTTTAGTCTGGAGTGGGTGGTCCCCCACACCTAACTCAGGGTCCTTACTTAATTTCAGGCAGGATCTGGAACTCCTCCCTCAGGCGACTGGACGCCAGCGCTCTCAGACACTTTCACTTCCTGCGACCCCACGGCTGGATATCGGGGTGCAAACCCTTCCGGGAAAGATTGGGGGTTTGTGGGGCTGGCACTGGGGCGAGGCGCTGTGGGGTTAACTGTTCTGGGTTGCGCGATTCCCTTAGAACTCACATAGGGGCTTTTTAGTGACTCCCGGCCAGGTCGCCTTCTGGTTACCAAGTTAACCAGCCTTAAACCAGCAACCTACTCACATCACCCTCGTTTCCAGAAGGCGAAGTGAAGGGGTTCCTGAGCCTCACAGCCATGCCAGTGCCTCCCAGAACTGACAGCAGAAGCCAGCCACTGTGCTGCCAGTCTGTTTTCAGTGGGCGGTTTCCTCAGAAATATACACAGAATCCTCACCTTTACTTCTATTAGGTCTAGGATTCCTCCTTCTGCTGGCCTGAGTCTGACACAGTGGTCCACAGTTTTCACGTCATAGTTTTAGATTTTATTACATTTGCTGCACATCAGGGACTTTTTTCTTTGTTTTGTTTTGTTTTGAGACGGAGTCTCGCTCTGTCGCCCAGGCTGGGTGCAGTGGCGTGATCTCGGCTCACTGCAACCTCCTCCTCCAGGGTTCAAGCGATTCTCCCACCTCAGCCTCCCGAGTAGCTGGGATTACAGGCACTCGCCACCATGCCCGGCTAATTTTTGTAGATATGGAATTTCACCATGTTGGCCTGGCCAATTTCGAACTCCTGACCTCAGGTGATCTGCCCACCGCGGCTTCCCAAGGTGCTGGGATTACAGGTGTGAGCCACTGTGCTTGGCCCAGGTGATGACATTTTGAGAGTGGCTAGTACAGAAACTATTTTTTGTTTGTTTGTTTTCAATTTGTTCAGGTTGGGGTAATTACAATAATAAAGAGATCTCTTTGTGTCTCACATATACCTGTCACCCCCAGTCAATTTAACACCATTTACACTGCTTCTCCATTCACCCTCGAAATGTTTGCATAGCAAATCAGCCCCCTACACCACTTGGTATCTGGTGGGAAAAGGCCACCAAACACAGCTGAAGGATATATTTATTCTGGTGTAAAAAGAAGGCAGGAAAAGTGAGAGGCAATCTGAGCTAGGGATAACATGTGGATCCTTTTTCAAGACATGTCCACATTCAACCTTTTACTTATAGAGTCAGTGAGGTAGTTAGTCTCAGAGAACTCCCCCTCCAGTTTCTTTTTCCTTGCAGTGACACACTCTGTGCCACTACTTATTGGTAGTACTTGCCCTGTTTTAACTGTCTAATCGCCAATCCCACCCACTTGTACAGCTTCCCACCCACTTGTAGCAGGGTTGAGAGCTGTCTTGATGACTGAAAAGAAAGATTGTATCTTCCCTTACAAGATACAATCTTTCTTATTCTCACTGGAAAGGGTGCACTGAACCACCAGAGTAGTGAAGAGAGCTTTCCCAGAATCAATTAATATCGTCACTGGGTGATGCAGGGGAGTAAGTCATACCCTGCCTGAGAAGTGGGAAGGGGAAAGTCTAATAGAGCATGCCTTTGGGCCTTTCATCCAATAGATCTGCGTACTCAGATCACCCTACAATTTCATGCGGGTAATGATTCAGATTGCCAAGCCTATTCATAAAAGTTGTCCGAGACACCACCGGTTTCCTCACCTTCACTCCTTCTGGTCCCATTACTATCCCATGCTGAACTCTGGATGCAGATCCCTGACCACTCCCTACCCTGAGTTCTCTGGACTTGGTTTAGCTTGTGATCTCTCTCATGGGTTCTGGAAATTGTTCTAGTCCCCGGTTCTCTTGATGTTCTTCACTAACTGAGGTTTTTTTGTCAGGGCACATTTTTCTGGACCCTGGTCATACTGACCAAGTTCTTTCTTCTCAAAGTGAAGAGAAATGTTTTCTTGACATATGAGAATTTTAAAGCAAATGCCCAGAGAAATGTTAGTGCTCAAGACATCACTACCGATGTCTCACTTCGTATGGATGAGGGATTAAGTTCATTTTCTGTTCAACCTACTTAGAAAATGGAAATTAAAATAGAAATAGCAGTGAAACAATACAACTTGGCTAAACATTTCTCCCAAATTTAAAATTTATCAAAGAAAACACCAGTGAGAGTATACAACATTTTTGGAATGAAAGTTCAGTAATATTCAAAAAATTGACAATCACCACATTCTTACCATTTTAACTGAATTTATACTTTTCTACATCTTTCCTGTAATAAAACATCTACATTTACCCAAGAAGTCATGTTCAGTAATGTTTATTTCAATCTTATTAGTCATAGCAATAAATGGAAAACACTTTATACATCCATCAGTAGAAGAATTGTTTAATT
Source organism: Homo sapiens (assembly GCF_000001405.40). Taxonomy (NCBI): domain Eukaryota; kingdom Metazoa; phylum Chordata; class Mammalia; order Primates; family Hominidae; genus Homo; species Homo sapiens. Next base: position 27,827,842 of record NC_000023.11, on the reverse strand, counting down.
AATTATGATACATATGTCCCTTGAAATTCTTGGTAGTAGTTTAAACAGTGAGGTGGATCTATATGTGCTCTCATGGAAAGTTCCTGCATCCATTTTATTTAGTGACAAATGCAACAGGTACAACAAAATGTACATCAGTATATATATATATATGTTAAAAGTTCACAATATATTTTCCTACCACATGTATATAAGAAAAAAGCCTAGAATATACATAAAAATAAAAGACTCAAGGTTTTTAATGGTGGTTACTTCTGGTAGGGAATAAATTTTGGAGGAACAGAGTAAGGGAGCAGAATTGTGATTTATCCATAGTGTTAGAATTTTCTTAAGCATCAAGAATATTTGAGTAATTAATATATTTGAGTAAAACTAACAACAGAAATAGTAACTGTGCAATATTCTGATAGTCACTGCTAATGGATGTAATGGAAGAAGCCTGAAATCCTAAAGTCTTAGCACAACAAGTTTATTTTTCACGCACATAAAATCTGATGTGAGTTAACAGGGGGTCTTCACTGTCAGAGGACCCAGGGATCCAGGCTACTTCCATCATGTGGCACCACATCTCATCATGAGAGCTCCATATTTGCTGCTGAATAGACCAGAAAGCATAGAACTGACATACTGACTCTCAAATGCCTTGGCCTGAAAATGACAAGCATAGCTTCTGTTTATATTTCAGTGGCCCTTTCTAACAACAAATGGACTGGGGAATATAGTCTCCCCATATGCCCAGGAAGGACAGCAAAACAAGTGGATGGAAACTTGTCTCTCCCACAATCTATTACCTATTAGGTGCTCAATAAAAAGCAAATATGAAACTTTGTTTTGACAACAATCTCTATTCTTGGAAAAGTTTCTGAGAAGGCCAAAATTGCCTTGCAATTTGGGAAATTTTTCTAGTGTGTATCATGTGACAGTTGTTTTCAAATATAGGATCACACCAATTTTCTAAAGAGCCATGAAAATCTCAGCAAGGATGATCTTTTGTCTCTCATCACAAAATAGTACCTTTCTCTACTGACCTTTGCAATAATCTCAAAATATGGAGGATGTTATTCTTCCTTTTAGTGCATGGTCTAAATAATACCTTGGGAGTCTCTACTACCACCTGATTAACACACCTAAACACGTGTGCAGTGTGTCTTTACACACACTGAAAAGTAGGATTTTCCCTTGGGGCAGATAGAAACAAAAGTCAGGAGAATTATGGTGAATTATTTTATTCTTTTCTTATCAAAGCACTGCCAAAGACACATTGTCTACATCAATAGTAGGCTGAATAATTAATTGCTCCAAAAAGATGCTTATACAATTATCCTTGAAAAATGAATATGCTTTGTTATATGACCAAAGGCACTTTGCAGAAGCATTAAGGTTATGTAACTGAACTTAAAATAAAAATATTACACTAGGTTATTCAGGAAAGTCCGATATCATGACACGAGAATTTACAGGCAGAGAACTTTCTCTAGTTGGAGGCAGAAGAGAGATGCAGCAGACGGGAAGTTAGAGAGATTACAAGTGTGAGAAGAATTCAACCTACAAGTGTTGACTCAAAATGTATGAGCCCACATTCAAGGACTGGAGAGACGCCTGCCAACTCCAGCTGATGGTCAGCTAGGAAATAGGACCTCAATCTTATTACCACAAATAACTGGATTCTGTCAACAACCTGAATGAGTTCAGAAGGAGAATCTTCTCAGAGTCTCATAAGAAGACTGCCAGCTGAAAGCTTGATTTGAGCCTTGTGAAAATCTGAGTACAGAATCTAGCAGAACCATTCCATCCTTCACACGTACAGAAATGTAGACAATAAACCCTACAAAGGTAATAAATGTGTGCTGTTGTAAACTACTACATTTGTGGTAATGTGTTACAGCTACCATAGAACTACTACAACTTTCTGGAAAGACTACAGAATTTGTAAGAATTCACTCTCTTCAGATGGTTGCTACACAGTTATTTCCTTGGTCTTTCCTCATTTAACACCTAGGAGGGAAGCTCTGAGTTTTGGCGCTTAGTTGAGCTCATTCATCAGTGTATAGATTCGGTGGCAACATTCAAAAAGTCACCAGTTTAAAACCTCTTCTTTTTCTAATCTCACCTGCTTTCTAAAACCTCTTCTCTACTTCAGGATTATATCTCTGCTTCAGGATAAAATATCAGTTGATTCTATCCCAAACCAGACTCTCCTCACCAGCAGATTTGAAAACACTTTGAGTGTGGTGGAGGCACCCAGAGATGAAGAGGTATCTAAGCTTCACTATTTGAAGTGAACAATTACACAGAATGGGCTGTTGCTGTCAGAGGGAATCCAAGGTGAGGGGTGGGGCTTCTAGGCAGTTGGAAGCTTCTATGTCCAGGAGAAGGCAGGCAAGTCTGGGCTGTCTATTCCTCTGGGAGCAAATGCAGGCTCCAGAGAAGGACACAGTAAAGCTGGCCAGCAGGTCAGTTCCAGTTTGGGCAGGAGGGCACAGTGGGAAGACCCAGGGGAAGGGCACGGTAATGTGGGAAAGTGCTGGACTGAACCCATTTGAAGGGACCAGGGCAGAGTCAGCTCCGGAAGAATCCAGGCTAAAGGTGGGAGGACTCCAGGCCAATGAACCCCACAGACAGTCCCAGATTGTGTCTCATTCTCATTCCACCTTCCTTTTTAGAGCCTGCTTTTAGTGCTTTGGCCACAGGGTCTTTCTTTTCTTTGTCTGAGAGACATTGTGGAGTAGCGAGAAGCGAAATGAATTAATAGACCTAAGATCTGCCTCAGGCTGAGAGGACTGGAACAATGTGGGCTGTAGAGGAATTCAGACCAGGAGGTCTCATCTCAGCCTTGTCACTTGAACTCGAAAATTCTGTGAGCCTCAAGTTCTTTGTGAAGTGGGCTTGAAGAAGTCATTTTGTTCTTTGGCTAGTGTATACCTTGTGAAGTCTGACTTTTACAATGTAAGTTATTTGTGTAGGGCAGCTGGCACAGTGTTAGTGTGTACTGGGTTTTTGATAACTAACAGTTTATTCTATTATATTTTAGATTGCTAACACTACCAACCTTCCCCTCTTGGAAATTTTTAATTTATTTTTCATCCTGGAGATATTAAGAGAATATGCAGCCCTCTAAGACATGGAAAACCAAATCAATCAAAATGCTTCTTACCAAGAGGAAGTTACTTACTTGATAAGAATCTTTTTGAGGATATACATTTTTTACATTGTGTGTTGGGAGAATCTACCCCAGCTAGATGCAGCTCAGCTGGATGCTCCTAGAAAATGTGTCAAGGACTTCCTCCTTCACTCCCATCAAAACACCTATCCCTTGCTTTAAGTTTGCCAAATTACACTCAAGATAATCTAGTTTAAATACCCTATTAATGGAATGGACTCTGCTGTGAACAGGAATGTGTCTCCCAAAAGGCACTCCAACAGTATTGTGAGGTAGGACCTGATGAGAAGTAATTAGGCCGTGAGAGATATGCCCTTATAAATGGATTAATACCTTTATCACAGGAGTGGGTTTGCTTCAAAAAGTATGTTTGGTCCCCTTTTCTCTTGCTTTCCCTCTCTCACTGCCTCACTTTCTGCCATGGGAAGGCCCAGCAAGACATCCCTCCCTTGATGCCACCAAACACCTTGATCTTGGACTTCCCAGCCTCCACTACTGTGAAAAAAATTCTTTTCCTTAAAAGTAACCCAGTCTCTGGCATTCTATTATAGCAACACAAAATAAAATAACACAGGCTCTGTCTTTCCCAGGCCAGAGCAAAGAGTGTCAGTAAAGTGGCTTCTGAGCATCCCATGTTAAGATAGTATTACCCTTATTTCTCAGAAACTTGCTGGAGATGATGTGTATAGAACACGTGGTTTGTGGTCTGTGATCAACTGCACTGGAGTTAGGAGAGCACAGGAAACCTTTCATTCCTGCCCCAGGTGAAGATTTCTTTCTGTTTTATCCATGAGCCCAAGCAACTGCTGTAACTACCTGTCCATTCCAGACCTTAGTGTTTCAACCCTGGACATGTCTTCAGACAGGATGGCCACTGCTCACCACTCTCAGAGCCTCATCTGACCAAGCAAGCACAGTGGCTCACACCTGTAATTCCAGCACTTAGGGAGGCTGAGGCAGGCAGATTGCTTGAGTCCAGGAGTTGGAGAACAGCCTGGGCCACAAGGCGAAACCCTGTCTCTACTAAAAGTATAAAAAATTAACCAGGCACGATGGCGTGCACCTGTAGTCTCAGCTACTCAGGAGGCTGAGGTAGGAGAATCACCTGAGCCCAGGATGTTGAGGCTGCAGTGAGTTGTGATTCCCACCACTGCATTTCAGCCTGGGTGACAAGAGTGAGGAAAAAAAAACCAAAAACCAAAAAAACCACACAACTGATTCACACTGAAAGACTTTCAATTTCCCAAACCTCCAATCCCATTTGCCTTAAGGCATTTACATTTGATGCTCTCATCTAGATAACCCTCTTCCTACATTCTCACTTTGTTTGACTTGTCCTCTAGGACTTAGTGGGTATCTCACCATATTCCTTATGTAACATCTTCTCCTAGATTCTAAAACCCAATGAGCACAGGTAGATCTTCCTTATCCTGACATCCTAGCACAAGGCCATCCAAAGAGCAGATGCTCAATTAATGTTTAAGGAACAGATGAACCAATGTGCAAAAGGTCTAATTTATTACAATGTAATTAATTATATATTCTTGAATAATGTAAGCATATCCTGGCATATATCTTTTAATTTTACATAACAACAGAATAAAAGTCAATAGGGAATGTAATAATTAGCCATCTTTTACTGTTTTCTCTATTTTTTTTTTCTTTTTTGAGACAGAGTCTCGCTCTGTCACCCAGGCTAGAATGCAGTCGTGTGATCTTGGCTCACTGCAAGCTCCGCCTCCCGGGTTTACGCCATTCTCCTGCCTCAGCCTCCTGAGCAGCTAGGACTACAGGAACCCGCCACCACGCCTGGCTAATTTTTTGTATTTTTAGTAGAGACGGGGTTTCACTGTGTTAGCCAAGATGGTCTTGATCTCCTGACCTCATGATCCGCCTGCCTCGGCCTCCCAAAGTGCTAGGATTACAGGTGTGAGCCACCGCACCCGACCCTCTTTGCTCTATTTCTTGATCCCATTTATTACACTCCTAAATTATTTCACATTGAATTAGGAAATGCCTAATTTACTACCATGCTATCGTGTTTCGATCACTAAATAAATGGAGAGTTTCCCAATTAGACTTATAAAGCAATAAATCGCTTACTCTTAATCTCACATACAGAAAAATTTGAGCAATGTCATTCATAAACTTAGATAGTGAAGCTACTTTAACCATCTATTAAAGGAACAACATCTTCAAAAATTCCAAGCCATCACATAGAACATTAACACAAACATATTATTCACTGTGTTGTCTCCAGTCCCACCCTGACCTCCCACAGCTCAGAATGTGCATTTCTTTTCAAACACAAATGAAGAATCTCCCTCAGACTTTACTGCAGTTGGGAGGACTTGCTGGACTTAACCTTGGAACGTGCACCGGCTGTGGCACTAACGCGAGCCTTGGCTGCAACTCTGGCTCTGGCTCTCTCTTCCTCATCTTGTAAAGCCTCTGTATACCAGTTTGAGAATTCACTGGGAGCTGTATCATTTACCTTGGCCAAAAACTCAAGAACTTTCATCTTGCTGGTTTCAGCATGGGCTCTTGGGCCCCATAGGAATTGATAGCGTGGAGGATCACTGTTGGGCACTTGCTGGTACTCCAGGTAATTTTCTTTCACCAAATCTTTGGTAAGGAGCTTCCTGGGCTCCCCAAACATGAAGTGCTCAATTCCGTCATATAACCCCATCGTGTTAAACACTTTCCAGACTTCCTCCTCAGCGACACAATTGCCATTTGTGAAGATAATACCCAGGACAGTCATCAGCAGGCCAGTCTTGGGCACGCCTGTTTCATCACTCAGCTTTGCATCACAGCCTAGATCTAGTTTGTTGACAAGGACATAGATGTGCTTATTAGGCTCCACTTCCTTCAGGTCAAGACCAAAGATCAGCTCCAGGTGCTCAGAAGCTCTGCTCAGGATTACAGGGAACTGGCTCTTGGACATTTGGGTTACATTTCTCAGCATATCTGCCTTTGTAATGGGCTCTTTCATTTGGTACTTGTACAGCAAGTAATGCACCAATATAATTACTTTCTCATCTACAGGGCCTCTGGGAAAGCTATCAGTGGCTTCTAGATCTTGTGTGCATATTGGCCTTTCTTCCATTTGGTCGTTGACTCCTTCGGGATGTCTTGTGTGTGAAGCAGCTGTAGCAGATGTGCTGGTGGATTGGGCTTCCCGAAGTCCATGGGGATTGTTGGATGCCCCATCAAGTGAACTCTGGAAAACATCCTTCAAACAAGCAGAGGCAGAGGGGGGAGATTCTTCCTCCTCTTCTAAAATGTCCAGAGCATCTATCAAATCTTCCAGCCCTCCTCGGGCCTGACGGCGTTTTTCCCTGGCACGGAGTTTACTCTTCTGACCTCGAGGCATGATGACTCTGTTCAGGTGCAGCAGCCAAAAAGGCAGGTGATCCCGTGACCTGGAGAAGAGAAGATGAAATGGGGTGTGCCCATTCAGCAGAGAGATACAACTTTAGCTTTATTGACGGCCACCTCTGAAAGTTTTCTTGGTGCATTACTCAAGGAAAAACAAGGCCCCTATTCTTTGATTTGCCTGCCCCCTGAGTACTCTGTGAAATAACTAGGATGTGTTTTAGGTTGCCACTTGCCAGATCTGCCTGGGGCTTACTGGGTGATGACAGCCAGGCCTGGCAGGTCCAGGCTTTGTGGAGGCCCCTTTGTTCTTGGGTAGGGACTCTTTTCTTAGTTCACATTCAGAACTGTCCTCTTGATTTCTGGCAGGTTCTGGGATCCCTCTACTCTACTGACCCCTCATTTCAGTCCCCTCATTTCCCTGCTACCCTGGTAGAGAAACTGAAAGGGAAACTCATCTGACCACACCTGCCTGAGGACATCCAGGATGACTACAATAGAAAAGCTCTGAGGGACCTTCTATATTCTGGGATCCTTAGTGTTCTCATTCTTCACTCAGGGTTTTCACCTTGGCTTCTGCTAGGCCCTGGGACTTCACCCTGTGATGGCCTGAGACCTATCCCCTCAGAGCAAGGCCCTCACATCTCTGAGTTACAAAAGGAGAAAGTGAGAGAGACCTCAGCCTAACATATCTACCCCACAGTCCCTCAGGGTTGACAGCATAGATGGGACTCTGTGCTGTCCCCTTTTGATCTGGGGTGGATGGCTCCCTCAGAACTCAGGATTCTTTTTACTCTTCTTAGGGCTTGGGACTCCTTCTCTGCTGACCAGAGGCTGACACTCTGGTCCAACGCCCTCCCCTCCCTGAGTTCTCACCAGAATTCAGAGGGTGCTTCATCAGGCCCTGTCCTGGACCTGTCATGAATCCATGGGGCCCGTCTTTTGGAGTGGAAGTCCCCCTCAAACTTCACTCAAGATCTTTGTATTCCCTTTTGGCAAGGCCTCAAAATAGCTCCTCTGACAACCTAAACCTCTTCACTTCTTTGAGAAAGCAGTAATGGAATTCAGAAAGTGTCACAATAGCCACTCCAACCTGGGACCTCCCTGGGCTGAGAGCAGGGGCAGACTCTGTTATGAACCCCTCTCTTTTGTGGTGGGTGGTTCCTTCTGATCTCACTCAGTTTCCTCACCTTTACTTCTGTTAGGGCCTGGGACTCTTATCTGCTGGCCTGAGGCTGTAACCTTGGTCCAATGCTGTCCTCTCCTTGAATTTCCAAAGAGGGAATTCAGAGGGTGCTATATAAGAGGTTTTTTTTTGCCCAAGGTTGGCTACCACTAACAGCAAGGGCATGGCTATTACCCTTACACCTCACAAAGGGTCTTTATCTTACCTCCTAGCAGGGCCTGGAACTCCTCCCTCTGCTGATTTAACACCTCCCTCTGGCACCAGTTTTTTAACTTCCCTAAAAATCCAGAGGTGGAACTCAGAGACTTTTATATCTGGCCACTCCATTCATGGGCTTCTCAGGCCTGAAAGCAGAAGCCTGGATGCTGTGGAGCCCTTCTGATCTGGTGTGGATAGTTGCCTCAAATATTAGGGTCTTCACCATCACTGCTGGAAGGTCTGGAACCCTGCTCTCTACTGGTCTGATGCCAAAGCATGGTTCAATGCTGTCACCTCCCAGGATCCTGGGAATTCAAAGGGCACTACATCAGAGGATCCCTGTCCAGGGTCTCCCAGGGCTTACACAGGGCTGGGATTCTGTTGGTCCTTCTCTCTTCTGGTATAAAGAGTCCTCAGATCTCAGTTAAGGTCTTTAACTTAACTCCTGACAGGACCTGGAAATCTCTGGAACTCTCTTTTCTGCTGATTTGAGGCTACCCTGCTCAGACTAATGCCTTCATTCTTCTGAGAAGTTAGAGTCAGAAGTTGGGGAAGCCAATTCTAGCCACCCCCATATGGGACCCAGTGCTGAGAGCAGGGGTGCAGCTCTTAGAAGTAAGGGGGTGGCTTGTGTTTTGTGGGAGTAGGGAATTCTGACAGAAGTTGCATAGGGGTCTTTCATTGACTCTGGGGGGCCTGGGACGACTCCTCCTCCTGATCTGAGTCATTCAGCTTTAAAACAAAGCCTTCGTCCCCAACCACTTCACCCCACAGTCCCATATCCCTGGACTACAGAGGGTGAAGTGAGGAGGCTTCTGGGCCTAACATCGAGGCATTGGCTTAGAAATGTTAACAGCAGGGGTGGTCTCTGTGCTGAGCAGTCTGTTATGGAGTGGGTGACTCTTTCAAAACTTCATCAGGGTCTTCATTTTTATTCCTTTTAGAGACTGGGACTCCTCCCTCTGTGGATCTGAGAATGACACCCGGTCCAATGCCCCTACCTCACAGTGAGAAATGATGTAAATTTTACTACAGATCATGTAATAACTTTGCAAATGGCTAGTGCAGAATCCCCCTTTATAAAAATTTTCAGTTGATTCGAATCAAGTCAGGATTATAACAGTAAAGAAGATAGAGATTTGGACTCCACCTATACTTGTTACCTGCAGTCCATTCAATAAGGAGCTGCAGCATCTGCAATGGTTCTCCATCTACCCTGGAAATACTTGCCTTGAAAACCAGCACCCTACTACAGTGTTTGGTGGCAACAAAGGCCACCAGACACAGCAACAAAAAATCAGCCCTCTGTTCTGCAAAGAAGTCAGTGATGTTAGGAAGTATTCGGAGTTGGGGATAACATCTGGATCCTTGTTTAAAGGCATATGCACGCTCAGCCTTTTAGTTACAGAGTCAGTGAGGTAGTTCGTCTCAGGAAATCCCTTTTCCAATTCCCCCCTCCTTGAATCTACACTATGCCACTACTCATTGGTACTATTTGCCCTGTTTTAACTGTCATTAATCACCAATCATGTCTATTTGCACAGCTTCAACCTCAGTGGTAGGAGGGCCACATACTCAAGGGGGGCCACATATACAAGGGCCACATACATTCTTTCTTATAGGCATCAAGACAGCTCTCAACCCTGCTACACTGGAAAGGGTGCCCTGAACGACCAGAGTAGTGAAGAGATGTAGCTCTCCCAGGATCAATTAATATCATAACTGGTATTAATTGACGCAGGGTAGCAAGCCACACTCTGCCTGAGAAGTGGGAAGGGAAGACTCTAGCAGAGCACGCCTCTGGACAGCTCAGCCTACAACTTCATGCTGGTAATGATGATTCAGAGATTGCCAAGGCTATTCAGAAAAGTTGTCCAAGACACCACCAGTTTCCTCATCTTTACTCCTTCTTGTCCCATTGCTACCCCACGCTGAACTCTGGATACAGATCCCTGACTACCCCGTGCCCTGAGTTCTCTGGACTTTGTTTAGCTTATGATCTCTCTCGTGGATTCTGGAAATTGTTCCAGTGCCCAGTTTTCCTGATGTCCTTCACTAATTGAGGTTTTCTTGTTAAGGCACATTTCCTGGAACCTTGTCATTCTGAGTAAATCCTTTCTTCTCAAAGTAAAGAGAAATGTGTTATTGAAATATCAAAATTCTAAGGCATATTGTGGAGCAATATGTAAACAGTTATCAATGTATATTTAAAACTCACAGTAACCAGGTACAGTGGCTCCCAACTGTACTCCTAGCTGCTTGAAAGGCTGAGGTGGGAGGATTGCTTGAGCTCAGGAGTTCTAGGCTATACTGAGTTATGATCACACCACTGCACTCCAGTCTGGGCAACAGAGCGAGGCACCGTCTCTAAAAGAAATAAATAAGTAAATAAAAATTAAGAAGAAAAAGGAGCAAACAAAAGCAAAAAAACCCTCACAGTGTATTTTTGTTGCACATGTATATAAGAGAAAGCCTATAATACATTTAAAAATACTACATGCAGGATTTAAAAAATGTGGTTACATATGAGGAGGTATTGAATTTTGGAGGGACATAGTAAGGAAGCGAAATTTTGATTTATCTGTATTAGAATTTTTGGCAACAAGAATACATACACTATTTTCTTGGTAATTAAAATATTTAAATAATAATAACAATGGAATTAGTAGTTGTGTATTGTACAGATAAAGTATGTATGAGATGTAATGGCAAAAGGCTGAAATCTCAATGGCTTAACACACTAAAGGTTTATCTCTTATGCAAATAAACTTTGATATTAATTAATAGGGATTTTTTGCTGTCAGGTGTCCCAGGGATCCATGCTGCTTCTATACTGTGGCTCCATATCTCAGCATGGAAGAGAAGGCATGGAGGTGGCAGACTGGCTCTCAAACACTTTGATCTGAAAGGGAAAAGCATGCTACTGTTCATATTTCAGTGTCAAGGGGGGTAGTCACATGACCTTTCCAAACTACAAGTGGACTGGCAATGTAGTCTCCATATGAACCAAGGATAGAAAGCAAGACACAAAGTGGATGAGCACTTGCAGTCTGTCCAATTAACTATTATAATAGTAAAAGCTCAATAAAAGCTACTACTATAAATTTGTTATGAAAACACCCTTCTTAAGTCTTGGAGGAGTTTCTGAGAATATCAAATATCTTTGCTAAACAACAACATTTTCTAGTGTCTATATGTGACAGGTAATTTCAAATCCAGAATCACACTAATTTTCAAAACGATCCTGTAAATCTCAGCAAGGAGGGTTCACCCCGCTGCACTCAATAACACCTTTCTGCACTGACCTTTTCAATGACCTCTATAATCTCAAGAGACTGAAAAATTTCTTCCTTCTTTTGATGTATTGTTAAAAACGTAACTTGTGAGTCCTGCTACCCACCACCTGATGAACATGTACACCTGAGCACATGTACAGGTGCCCTTAGGCGCAATGAAAAACCAGGATTTTCCCTTGGCGCAGATACAGACAAGAATCAGGAGAATGATGGCGAATTATGGTTTTTCTTTTCTTATCAAAGCTGGCATGTCTGCCAGAGAGACATATTCTACCTCTGTGGTAGACTGAATAATTGCTCCACGAAGATTCACATATCCTCATTCCTGAAACCCATGAATATGTTATGTTACATGGCCAAAGGCACTTTGCAAATATAATTAAAATTATGAAACCGACCTGAAAATAGAGAGATTACACTGGATTGCCTACATGGGCCAAATCTAATTAGATGAGCCCTTACAAGCAGAGAAGTTTCTCCACCTGGAGGCAGAAGAGATATGCAGCAGAGACAGAAGTTAGAGAAATTCCAAGCGTGAGACAGGTTCAATGTCCCAAGTCTGACTCAAAAGTAGAGGCCCACATGCAAAGACTGGACACAGGCCTGGAGAAAATATGGCAGCTCCAACTGATAGCCTGAAAGGAGACTTACTCCTCACTCTTCTTACAACCACAAAGAACTGGGTTCCTCATATAATGACCTGAATAAGCCTGAAATGGGATTCTTCACAGTGTGTCCCAATAAGAAGCCAGGCTTTGACAGCTTGATTTGGGCCTGTGTAACCCTAAGCAAAGAAACCAGCAGAACCAACCCATACTTCTCACCTACAGAAGGGTGATCTAATCAATATGTTATTTTAAGTGTCTTACTGTATGGCATTTGTTATGTCAGCATAGAAATCTACTACATGCTCCTAGTACACCAGGATTTATAGGAATCCAATTTCTGGACATGGTTGATACACAGTTATTTCCTAGGTCCTTCCTTATCCACCACTTGAGACAGAGGCTTCGATATTTTCACCATTCACTTAAGCTCACTAGTGTATGGATTCAGTGCTAGTCTCAAATAAGTCACCAGATTACATTCTCCTCTCTTTCTAACTTCATCTGCTTTCTACACCTCCTCTCTAACTTCAGAGTTATCTTTCAAGGTTAGATTCTGTTCCAAGTCTGACCTGACTCACAGGCAGACTTGGAAAAAATCTTGAGTGTGGTGGAATTACTCAGAGCAGATGAGCAGGTATGTAGTGTTCACTGCCAAAGTAAACAATTACATGGAAGGGGCTGTTATCAGAGAAGTTCCAAGTGAGTGATGTGACAAAACAGAGGACATCTGCAGGGAGTTGGAAAGCTCTAAGTCAGGAGAAAGGAAGGAAAGTTATTCTGGGCTTTCTTTCCCATAGGGAGCAGGGTGCAGCCTTCATGGAAGGAAGCAGGGAAGAGCTGGACAGCAGGTAAGGATCCAGATTTGGGCACAAGGACTCACAGGGGCTGACTCAAGGAAAGAACAGTGTAATTTGGGAAGTGCTGGATCTGGTCCCAGGTGCCAGCACCTGGGCAAAATCAGCTCCCAAAGAACCCTGGAGCTAGGGGTGGATGGACCCTACGAAAATGAGGCCCACGGGCAGTCCCCAAATGGTGTTCAATTCTCATTTTCTCCATTATTTATTACATCTGGATTTAGTACACTGGCCCCAGGTTCCTTCTTTTTATTGCCTAGAGACACAGTGCAGTAGTGAGAAGAGAAATGAATTAAAAGACAGACATGTGCTTCATGCAGGAAGGAGTGCAACAGTGTGGGTTCTAAACAAATTCAGACTATGGTTCTAATTTTGACACTTAATGAACCACGTGAAGTCAGGAAAATTGCAAAGCTCTATGAGGCTCAGGCTTTTTGTGAAGTGACCTTGATAAGCCTTGCCTTGTAGGATTTCTGGGTTGTATGTAATGTATGAAAACTCTGGGAAAAGTGCCTATTATTTATTGCATATTTAATAACTAGCGTTTGTTACTATTATTAGTTTGACCCCAGGCCCTATTGAAATCTCTGTGATTGTTTTTAAAGCAAGAGATGTCCGAAAATATGCAGCACTCTATGATACAGCACACAAATCAACCAAAAATGCCGCTTAGCAAGTAAAACTCAGTTATTTACTTTGCAAATTTGAGGATTTCTTATTTATTGCGGGTGTGGGGTAGTCTTCCCCAGTTGGATTCAAGACTCCTATAATTTATGTCAAAGACTAATTCCTTCCATCCCTTCAACTATCCTTCCATCCAAACCACCCCTATTTTCATTTCTTTCACTCGCATCAAAAATCTAGCCCTCACTTGAGTTTGCCAAATGATACTAAAGACAACCTAATAAAAATGCCCTTTTAGGAACAACACACACCGGGTCCTGTTGGGGTGTGAGGGGCAGGGGGAGGGAGCCTAGATGATGGGTCAATAGGTGCAGCAAACCACCATGGCCCATGCATACCTATATAACAAACCTGCACATTCTGCACATGTATCCAGGAACTTAAAGTACAAGTTTTTTTAAAAGCCCTTTTAATTAAGTGGGTTTAGTGGGCTCTTGTTTCTCCCAGGCCAGAGCAAATAATGCCAGCACAATGGCTTTTGAGCACATTCATGTCAGGTCACCCTTGATTCTCAGAAGGTCCCTGGAGCTGATGTGCATAAAACATAGTTTGTGGACTGTGCCCAACTGCACTGGAAAAATGACACTGGAAAAGGATGCAAGACACCTTCCATTCCCATCTTACAATTATTTCTGGTTTATCTATTACCTCAAAATAACTGCTAAAAGCACTTCTTCATTCTAGGCATTAGTCTTTTTGAGGATCTGGCCCCTGCTCTGTACTCCCACAGCCTCAACCAACCCACTATCCAGACTAACAAAATTGACTGACACTGAAGGGTTTGCAGTTTCCTAAGGCCCCAAACCCACTTGCCTCAGGACATTTTCACTTGACTGCTCTGATCTGGATCTTCCCACCTTCTCTTACTCATCCTTTACTTCTTAGGGTATATCTCACCATCTTCCTTACATGACAGCTGCTCTTAGACTCTACAATTCAGTGCGTGCCCTTGGGTCTTGTTTATCCTGACATTCCCAGTACCAGCATGGCGCCTTCCCTCCAAAGAACAGATGCCCAAGTAATGTTTGAGAAATAAGTGAGCCAGTGTGCAAGAAGTCAGTTTTATTATGATGTTCCTTCTCCTACATTGTTGAATAAACTAATCATATCTAAGTATCTATCTCTTAATTTTACAGAACAGACTAAACATAACGGAATGAAAGCATTTATCATCTTTTACATTTTACCTCTATTTCTTCATCCCAACTATTTTACTGCTTTTTTAAAAAAATATTTCCAAGGAAATGGCTAATCCACTACTATGTTATCTCATTGGAGATCACTAAATAAGATGGAAATTTTCCCATTTTTTTCTATAAAATAGTAAAACTCTACTCTAAAACCTCACAAACATCAATAAATGTATGACTTACTATCACTTATAATCTTGGATTCTTAAGCTACTTTAACCTTCTATTAAAAGGAACAACGTTTAAATATCCAAGTTACCCAGAACATGTTATGTACTATGTTATAACGAGACACAGCCAACCCTCCACTAGTGAAACACTGACTGTCCTCTTCAAAAACACAGTAAAGCATTTTCCTCAGCCTTCACTTGGAGCAGGCAAGGCTGCTGGACGTGGCCTTGGAACGTGCACTGGCCATGGTGGCAGTACGGGCCCTGGCTGCAATTCTGGCTTGGGATCTCTCTTCCACATCTTTCAAAGCCTCTTCATAATGGGATGGGAAGGCACTGGGGACTGTACCATGGATCTTGGCCAAAAACTCTAGGACTTTCATCTTGCTGGTTTCAGCATAGGCTCGTGGACGCCACAGGAATTCATAGCTTGGAGGACTGCTGTTGGGCACTTCCCAATACTCCAGGTACTGCTCTTGCACTAAATCTTTGGTGAGGAGGTTCCTGGGCTCTCCATAGATGACGTGCTCCTGTCCCTCGTATACCCCCATCATATTTAGCACCTTCCAGACTTCCTCCTCAGGGGCACAATTCCCCTGGCTGAAGATCGCACTCAGGATGGTCATCAGCAGGCCATTCTTGGGCAAACTTCTGTTAGGATTCACTCTTGTGTCATGGCCTAATTCTAGTTTGTTGACAAGGACATAGATGCTCTTGTTGGGATCCACTTCTCTCACGTCAAGGCCAAAGACCAACTCCAGGTGATCAGAAGCTCTCCTCAGGATCTCAGGGAAGAGGCTCTTTTACGTCTGGATTACATTTTTCAGCATATCTGCCTTTGTAATGGGCTCTTGCATTTGACATTTGTACAGCAGGTAATGCACCAACATAGCAATCTTCTTATCTATAGGGCCTCTGGGCCACTGCCCAGTGGTAGCCTGGGCCTGTGAGGCATTTGACCTTTCCTCAACTTGGCTGTCGATGCCTTCATTAGATGCTGTGCATGAAACAGCTGCAGCAGTGGTGATGGCTAGAGCTATCCCAGGCTCTTGCTCATTGCTGGGTGTTTCGACAGCAGATGACCTCTCAGGACTATCTTTGAAATGAGGAGATGAAGTGAGGGACTCTCCTTCCTCTGCTACAGTGACTTGAGCACCTTCCACGTCCTTGGGCTCTTCTCGAGCCTGGCGGCGTTTCTCACGGGCACGGGGCTTACTTTTCTGACCCCGAGGCATTATGACTCTGCTCAGAGGTAAGTAGTAGTGTGAGACAGATGGCAGGTGATGAAGTGACCTCAAGGAAAGAAGGTGTGATCCTCCAGCAGGAAGATATCACCTTGACTTTATGGAAGTTGCTTCTGTAGGTTTCTTTGAGAACACTGTTCAAGGATCCTATGAGGCTACTCTTCTCTGAAGGGCCTTTCCCCTGAGGAATCAGTGGAAGTAACTAGACTGTACCTTTGCTGAAGCCTGCCAGTATTACCTGCATCTTACTGGGACTGATACAGTGACTGGCAGGTCCAGACTCTATGGAGCTTCCTTTTTTTCTGGGGTAGACGATGTTTCTTTCAATTCACATTCAGGGCCATCACCTTGACTTCTGGCAGGACCTGTTATCTCACTGCTGAACTGTTTTGATGCTGACTCCCTCATTCCAAAGCGCTCATATCCTTGACTCCCCAGACAAGAAATTGAGGGGGAATCTCATGTGACCACATTTGCAGGGGGACATTGTGGAATGGCAGCAATGCAGAGATCGGTGAGACCCTCTTTATCTTGAGGTAATTAGTTTTCAGTCCTCAGTCTTTACTTTTGCTTCTTGGAGGGTCTGATTGCCCTCCTTTTGCTTACCTGAAACCTATCCCCTCCAAGCAAGGCCTTCACATCCCTGACATTCCTGATAAAGATATTAGGGAGGCCTCAGATGTATCTTCCCCAGGGACCCCTATCAGGAAAGACAGCACTCTTAGGGCTCTATGAATCCTCTTTTACTTCTGGAAATTCAGGTTCCTCCTAATGACTCCTCACCTTGACAGCCTCATACCTTCCCCTCTGAGGACTTGAGGCCTATACCAATCAGAGAAAGGCCCTCTTCCACTTGATATCCCAGAGTATGCAGTTGGAGGGAGGGGGTGGGGTGCGTTCAGAATGACAAATCTGCCCAGGGCTTCCCAAGGCTGACCACAGAGGCAGTGCCTAGCCCCATCAGTCCTCACTTTGACTTCCATAAGGGCCTGAGTCACCTCCCTCTAATGACCTGCCACTGACTGCCCTATCAAATCTATGTCCTCATCACCCTGTGACCACTAAGGATAAATTGAGGGATACCTTAGCCGAGAGTCATGCTGAAAGGCTACCAAGGCTCATAGTAGTGGTACTCTGTTGGGTCCCCTTTGTTCTGGGAAGAAAATCCCTTCAGTCTTTGCTCTGGGTTCTAAACTAAACTCCTGGTTACCCCCAAAGACTCCTTCCACTGCTGACCTCAATGCGCTAGCCTTAGTTTGTACCCTTCCCCACGACCACCACCAGAATATGAAGCGAGGGGTCACCTGGGCCTTACAGCCACGCTAGGGACCTCCCAGAACTTACAGGAAGGGCAGGATTCTCTAAGGCCGCCATCTTTATGGGAAGCTAGTTTCCCCCACAGCCCACACTGGGGCATTTCATTAACACGTGGCAGAGCATAGTGTGTCCGGAATTGGTGGGTTCTTGGTCTCAAAAGCTGCGGACCCTCGTGGTGAGTGTTACAGTTCTTAAAGGTGGCGTGTCCGGAGTTTGTTCCTTCTAATGTTCGGATGTGTTCGGAGCTTCTTCCTTCTGGTGGGTTCGTGGTCTCACTGGCTCAGGAGTGAAGCTGCAGACCTTCGCTCGTGGTGTTACAGCTCATAAAGGCAGTGTGGACCCAAAGAGGGAGCAGCAGCAAGATTTATTGTAAAGAGTGAAAGAACAAAGCTTCCACAGTTTGGAAGGGGACCCCAGCGGGTTGCCAAGGCTGGCTCGGGCAGCCTACTTTTATTCTGTTATCTGGCCCCACCCACATCCTGCTGATTTGTCCATTTTACAGAGAGCTGAGTGGTCTGATCTGACAGGGTGCTGATTGGTGCATTTACAATCCCTGAGCTAGACACAAAGGTTCTTCACCTCCCCACTAGATTAGCTAGATACAGAGTGTTGACACAAGGGTTCTCCAAATCCCCACCAGAGTAGCTGGATACAGAGTGTCCATTGGTGTATTCACAAACCTTGAGCTAGACACAGGGTGCTGATTGGTGTGTTTACAAACCTTGAGCTAGATACAGAGTGCCGATTGGTGTATTTACAATCCCCTAGCTAGACATAAAGGTTCTCCAAGTCCCCACCAGTCAGGAGCCCAGCTGGCTTCACCCAGTGGATCCCGCACTGGGGCCGCAGGTGGAGCTGCCTGCCAGTCCCGCGCCATGCGCCCGCAGTCCTCAGCCCTTGGGTGGTCGATGGGACTGGGCACCGCAGAGCGGGGGGCGGCGCTCGTCAGGGAGGCTCCGGTAGGACAGGAGGGGGGGTGGGTGGGGTGGGGGCGGTGGGCGGGGCGGGGCGGGGCGGGGGCCGGCGGCGGGGGGGGGGCGGGCGGGGGGGGGGGCGGGCGGGGCGGGGGGGGGGCCGGCGGGGGGGTGGTGGTTGGGGCGGGGGCGGGCGGGGTTGGGGGGGGCTGGCGGGGTTGGGGGGGGCTGGCGGGGTTGGAGGGGGCTGGCGGGGTTGGGGGGGTGGGAGAGGCTCAGGAATGGCGGGCTGCAGGTCCTGAGCCCTGCCCCACGGGAAGGAAGCTAAGGCCTGGCGAGAAATTGAGCACAGCAACTACTGGCCCAGGTGCTAAGCCCCTCACTGCCTGGGCCGGGGGGCCTGCCAGCTGCTCTGAGTGCCGGGCCCGCCAAGCTCATGCCCACCGGGAACTTGCGCTGTCCCGCAAGCACCACGTGCAGCCCTGGTTCCCGCCCAGGCCTCTCCCTCCACACCTCCCTGCAAGCTGAGAGAGCCGGCTCCGGCCTTGGCCAGCCCAGAAAGGGGCTCCCACAGTGCAGCGGTGGGCTGAAGGGCTCCTCAAGTGCCACCAAAGTGGGAGCCCAGGCAGAGGAGGCACCAAGAGCCAGCGAGGGCTGTGAGGGCTGCCAGCATGCTGTCACCTCTCAATAGGACTCCTTCCCCTGCTGCCCGAGGCAGACACCGTGGTCCAATACCCTCATCTCCTTGAGAGGTTAAAGGTGGAAATTCCAGCTACCCCTACTTAGGATCACCCAGGCTTGAGAGCAGAGGCTGGGCTCTGTGGGGACCGGTCCGCTATGGCAGAAAGGGAGTTTTATGGAACTCACCCTTTATTGACTCCTGGAGGGTTCTAAGACCCTTATCTCAGGTGGCTTGATGCCAACACCTTAGTCCAATGCTATCACTTCCCTGACTCTCCAGAAGAATAATGCAGAGTGCGATACCCAAGAGGATCCCTGCCCGGGGTTTTTTCGGCTTAAGGCAGAGGCTGGACGGCATGGCGTTCTTTCTTTTGCGGTAGGGGTTCCCCTCAAACATTATTCAGTGTCTTTGCCTTACCTCCTGGCAGGGCCTGGATGCCTTCCTCTGCTGACCAGATACCAACCGCCTCACTGCAAGGCCTCACCTCCCACGGACGGCAGAAGCGGAAGTGTGTGTGACATCCGGGCATCCTGCCCACGGACCGAAGGGCTGCCAGCAAGGGCGGTGTGGCGTGACTTTCTGTGGCGCCCCCTTTGTTATGGAGTAGTAGTAATATTAAGTCCTCCTCTAGGAAGTATATCCATGTTTTCGCTCCTAATTCATTGATTAAAGGCCCCTTAGGGAAATAATAACCCTTTATTGACTACTGGAGGGTTCTAAGACCCCAATCTCTGGTGGCTTGATGCCAGCACCTTAGCCCAATGCTATCACTTCCCTGACTCTCCAGAAGAATAATGCAGAGTGCGATACCTAAGAGGATCCCTGCCCGGGGCTTTTGCGGCTTAAGGCCGAGGCCGGACGGCATGGCGTTCTTTCTTTTGTGGTAGTGGGTCCCCTCAAATGCTATTCAGTGTCTTTGCCTTACCTCCTGGCGGGGCCTGGATGCCTTTCTCTGCTGACCAGATACCAATCGCCTCACTGCAAGGCCTCACCTCCCACGGACGGCAGAAGCGGAAGTGTACGTGACATCCGGGCATCCTGCCCACGGCCCGAAGGGCTGCCAGCAAGGGCGGCGTGGCGTGACTTTCTGTGGCGCCCTCTTTGTTATGGAGTAATAGTAATATTAAGTCCTCTCGGAAGTAGATCCATATTTTGGCTCCTAATTCATTGATTACAGGCTCCTTAGAGAAATAATCACCAAACAATAAGCTCTGGACAGTTTTGCAACATAAACCGTTACGGATAATGGGTTTGCGTTCCAGGCTTGATGGGAGAAGAGAGGCCGCAGCACAAAGGTAGGGTGCCCAAGACAGATTCTGAGATGTTGGAGTAAGTGCATTATAACTATGGGGTCTCTTCACTGGCGAAATGTAGACATTGCGAACTTTCTGTTCTAAAAGATCTACTTTCTATAGAGAAGCCATAGATGTACACAATTTTGTGAGACCCAGATCTCTTGACTTTATCTAACATTGCATTGTATTGTGCAGTGAAATTCATTTTAATTATGGTCTTATTTGTTCCACCAAATATATTATATGCATGTTCTATTACTACTGCTTTGTGTGGCAAGGCTTTTGATTTTGCTACAGTGATTTATACACCGCTTTTCAGAAGTCATTTATTGATTTGGATTGGGTGTGGTCTTTTCCTTTGGATTTTCTAAAATGATGATCACATTTTCACCAAATAATTTCTATTTCTATTAAATATTTCCAAGTTACATTTGTTTTTATAGTCTTATCCTCTGGCCATGTATTCAGCATACATTTATGTCTGGTTCCTTGCTTTAATGAGAATGCGTCGAGCGTTCAGCATTTCACATTTAAGTTTGTTTGCCATAGGTTTTAGGAAATGAAAGTTATCTTCTGATGTTAGTTTGTGGAATGTTATCAAGCATTTGTGTTGAATTTTTTGTTGAAAAATTTTTCTGTACCTCAGTACATGATCGAATGCCCATTTAAAAAAATGTAATGGCCGAGCGCAGCTACTCGGGAGGCTGACACATGACGATTGCTGGAGCCCAAGAGATCGACACCAGTCCGCAACATAGTGGGAGTCGGTCGCTATAAAAAATTAAAAAAAAAATTAGACGGGCACGGTGGCGCACGCCTGTAGTCTGAGCCACTCTGGAGGCTGAGGCCCAAGGATCTTTTGAGTCCAAGCAGGTCGAGGTTGCTCCAGTCTGGGCGCCAGAGCAAGACCCATCTCAAATAATAATAATAATAATAATCTAATCTGTTAGTGTGAGAATATTTTAGGCAATTTTTTTCTAATGTTGTATTATCTTTACATTTCATGGATACAGACTTTTTTTCCATTGAATTAACTGCAATATTGGACCTGCTATGTGTTTATTGAGGATCTTTGCCTCTGTGTGGGTGAACTTGGCTCAGTTGTTCCCCTCCCCGCACCTAGGTTATCCTCAGCTGTTCTTTTTGTTTTGTTTTGTTTTTTTGTTTTTTGTTTTTTTAATCAAAGAAAGCTAGCCTGGGAAAGTGAGTTGAACATCATAAGATGGTGGTTATTTTTGTGTTTACATAAGATGGTCAGCTTTTCACTGCTTATTTGGTAGAACTGGTCCCAAAATGCCTGGTCCCAAAACATTTGAGGGTGGCTGGAGCTTTGATCAGTTTCATTTTGCGTTTCGCAATTACAGATTTTTATTTCTATTTGGATTAATTGGGCCATTCATATTTTCCTAAATAATGGTCTGTTTTCATTTGGGGTTTCAAATTTAATGATTATATATATTCTTTTTATTGTAGAAATTCTCAAATATATTCTACTGTAGAGAGAATATACCTGGAACTCAGAATCATCAACACATGGCCAACCTGGCTTCGTCTATACTCACACATAACACCATGTCTGCCAGTGGAATAATGTGAAACAAATCCTAGGCATCACATCATTTCATCTTTAAATATTTCAGTATGTGTTTTTAAAGACAGAAATATTAACTGATAACACTACCCCACCTTATAAAATTAACTCCTTCATGTAATTAACTGTTCAGTTATTTTCACATTTACCCACTGACATCATTTAAGTGTGTTTTTTCTTGAACCCGGGTCCAAATAAATCTAATCATTATCACTGCATTTTATGACCATTAATTTATACATTCTTCCCCCCAACACACATACATTACTTCTTTATCCCTGCAATCTTTGTTTTTACAAAAAAACAGATCTTATGCTCTGTTCAGTTTCACATGGTCTGGCTTTTGCTTTGTGCAACATTAATGTCATTCTTCTCTGTATTTCTTTCAATTGGTAGAGGTTTTATCATATTAAAATTTAATTTTTATTCTCTCTCGTTTTATTTGGAAAGATCACTTTACAGGTGATGTGAACTTTCATTACGAGGAAGTAACTTCCATTATGAGGGGGACCGAATATTTGTCTCCCTTTTTGTTGATGTTGGCAGTCTTTGAAGATTAGTATATTTATCCATTAATTAATTAGGGTTTGCAAAATGTTAATTTTTCTAATTCTACCATTCCTTCTGATTTCATTAGATGAAATATATCTTTCTGTAGAAATCATCCCTTGTCTATCATTTGTTAATGATATTTACAGTGTTCTCTTATGGTATTCAAGTTCCTTCTGCACCTATTTTTGTACAGTATTTTAAAGCTACTATCAGTTTTCTTTTGTAATTGAAGATGACTATAAAATTGTCTCCTATATAAATCTTTTAAAAGAATAGGCTTTTGTTAGTTGGCTCCACTGTCTTAATTAATCATTTCTGCATTTATCTTAGTTATTTCCTATGCTTTATTTCTTTGGGTTAAATATGGTTTTATTTCTCTAGCTTCTTGAAGTTTTGCATGTTTAAAATATTTCTGTTTTTTTCTAATCAGTTTATTTAAGGCTGTAAATATTCCTTTGTGTACCACCTGATTTGTTTCCCACAGGTAATGCTATAGAGTTTTATGTGCAGTGCTTGATTATTTTACAAGCTGAATATATCTCTGTATTCCTTATGCTCTTAGAATTTTTTGAATATGTGTGCGCAAATGCTAGTGAGTGCAAAAATTATTTTGGGGAAGGATGTGAAGAAGAGAGACATAGTTATTTAGAGGAGGTTTCAGTCTCCCAGGGGTGTTTTGTTTTGGTTACATATAATATAAAAGACTTGAACACATTTTACTGCTAGTGACTCAGTTGAGGCTTTCCTGTGAATGAAATGGTCTCACATTAGAACAATCAATATAATTAGCCAAGTATAACTGTTAAAGATTATCCAGGAAAACAGAAATTACTTTAAATACATAAGTCAGGTTGAATATGATGCACAAAATTGGTTACTCAAGTGATGGAGAAGCCAAACGGGAGAGGCGGGCAAGCCAATATTTGGCAGCTTAAGAAATTTTCTTCAGTCTCTAGGATAGAAACAAATAAAGGAGATAATGTTAATGGAGCCTTGGAGTTGGGGTCAATAGGATCTGGAACTAAGGTGGATAAGTATGATGAGGGTGAGAGCCATGGAGAAGATGTAAACCTTGAAAGCAGTTGAAGGCACCTGATGCAGAGAGAGAAAATAAAATATAAACTCTAGCTGCTTCTGTCCTCCTGTACTGTACTAACCTGCTGGTGCCTTCTGTTGCTTGAACCATGATGGCAGCCAAATGTTGGAGAACATAGGAAGTGCAGCCTACAATCATCTCCTGAACACTGGAGAACAGAGCAAGGAAAGAGAGAGAAAGGGATCTGAGGCCAATCAGGTCAAGGACTGGCATATTGCCTTGACATATTGTGAGAAAAATCATATCTAAATTGATACAGAAAAGTATTTTGTAAAAATCAGCATTAATTCATGATAAAAAGAGATGTTATCAAAGTAGATAAAGGATATCTACCAAAATCTATAGCAAATATTCTACTCAGTAGAAAAACATTGGCTATTGGAAAATAGATAAGAATAGCTGCTATCACTATTTTTATTCCACATTATAATAGGGGTTCCTGCCAATGCAGTAATGGGAAACAGATGAAATAAAAGGATTGGAAAATAAGATGATTTAGATGTCAGTTCTCAAATTATCTTTAATCAAAATCCCAGAAGGATTTTTGTAGAAGTGAATACACTGACTGTAAAATTAATATGGACATGTGATCGACCAAGAATAGCCAAAACGACTTTGCAAAACAAGAACAAAATAAGAGGACTAATACTACCCAATCTCAAGACTTATTATAAAATTCAAGTAATCATGACAGTGTGGCATTTTTGTAAAGACAGGCAAATAGATCAGCGAAACAGAATAGAAATACCAACAATAGACTTCAGCATATAGAAGCAGCTGATTGTCAGCCATGGTGCAAAGGCAATTCAGTGAAGAAGGGATAATCCTTTCAACATAGGATGATGGAACAGTTGGAAATACACACACACACAACACAACACAAAACAAAGCAAACAAAACAAAAACTTTCAGTCCACTCCTTTCACCATATAGAAAATTAGCTAAAAATGGACCACCAACTTAAATGTAAAATCCAGAGCTATAAAACTACTAGGAAGGAAACATAAGATAAAACCTTTGTGATCTTTGGCTGGGCAAACATTTCTTAGGCACAACTCCAAAAATACAATCCATAAAATAACAAATTGATTAATTTGCCTTTACCAAAATTGAAAACATATTTTCTTCAAAAGGCACTGCTAAGAGAATGAAAAGACAATCTATAGAATGGGATAAAATTTTTGTAAAGCATATATGTGAGAAAGGAGTTGTAATCCAGCACTTAAAATAATTCTCAAAACTCAATAAGAAAATAAACAACCCGATATAAATGGGCAAAAGGCTTGAACAGACAGTTCAAGAAAGGACAGTTATAAATGTCAAAGAAGCACATAAAATGCTCAACATCATTAGGCATTAGGGAAATAAAAATTAAAACCCCAGTAAGATACTATTACACACCTATTAGAATATGTACAATTAAAATGACTGACTGTACTAAGTATTGCCAAAGATGTGAAGGAACTCTCACACCTTGCTGGTGGGAATGTAGATTGGACATCCACTTTGGAAAACAGTTTGGCAGTTACTCAAGAATTTAGACATACACATGCAATATGACCTAATTGTTATACTCCCAGGAAATAAGGGCATATGTCTGTGAAAAGATGTGTATACAAAAGTTCATGGCAGCTTTATTTGTAATAGTGAAAAACTGGGAATAACCCAGATGTCCATCAATAGGTCACTAGATAAACTGTATTATATACAATAAAATATTATTCAGCAATAAATTGAATGAACTATTGATACACGCTATAACATGGATATATTTCTCAATAATTATTCTGTTAGCCAGATAAAATAGTACATACTATGTTATTCCGTTTTTATAAACGGAAGATGAAAACTAATGCATAGTGACAGAAAGATGATTGCCTGTGGACAGAGAGGAGTGCAAAAGAGCTTACAAAGGAACATGAAAAAAGTTTTGGGGGTGATGGTGATTGACATATTCATTGTCTTGAATGTGATGGTGGTTAAATGGATGCATAGATAAGTCAAAACTTATCAAATTGTATGCGCTTTATTGTATTCCAATTGCATCTTTGAAAAGCCATTACAAATTCTGGAACAAGCAAATCTAATGTACAGTTGAAATCAAAACTGTAGAAGAGGGGTCATGTGGAGGTGTTCTATTGTGATTAGCTTGGAAAGACGTGATTGATCTTTATGATGCACTAACATTTTACTCTATATTTTGATTGGGGATGGTTTACACACATGTATGCATACGTACATTTAGGTTCTGGCATATGTCCTATTAATACTATTTCATAATAATAATAATACACATATTGTATCAGAATAGAATCACAAGGATCTTTGAGGAAAACAAATATCCAATAAGCTGTATATGCGTTATGCTTAATTAGGCACTTTATTTAATTTGTTAATAAGCACAGGTCAAATATTACTTATTTTTAGCTTTTTTTTCTTTTTATTATTATTATACTTTAAGTTTTAGGGTACATGTGCACAATGTGCAGGTTTGTTACATATGTATACATGTGCCATGTTGGTGTACTGCACCCATTAACTTGTCATTTAACATTAGGTATATCTCCTAATGCTATCCCTCCCCCATCCCCCCACCCCACAACAGTCCCCGGAGTGTGATGTTCCCCTTCCTGTGTCCATGTGTTCTCATTGTTCAATTCCCACCTATGAGTGAGAACGTGCGGTGTTTGGTTTTTTGTCCTTGTGATAGTTTGCTGAGAATGATGATTTCCAGTTTCATCCATGTCCCTACAAAGGACATGAACTCATCATTTTTTATGGCTGCATAGTATTCCATGGTGTGTATGTGCCACATTTTCTTAATCCAGTCTATCGCTGTTGGACATTTGGGTTGGTTCCAAGTCTTTGCTATTGTGAATAGTGCCACAATAAACATATGTGTGCATGTGTCTTTATAGCAGCATGATTTATAGTCCTTGGGATATATACCCAGTAATGGGATGGCTGGGTCAAATGGTATTTCTAGTTCTAGATCCCTGAGGAATCGCCACACTGACTCAGACTGCTGTGCTAGCAATCAGCGAGACTCCGTGGGCATAGGACCCTCTGAGCCATGTGCCCGTTGGAAAAGCGCAGTATTAGGGTGGGAGTGACCCGATTTTCCAGGTGCCCTCTGTCACCCCTTTCTTTGACTAGCAAAGGGAACTCCCTGACCCCTTGCGCTTCCCGAGTGAGGCAATGCCTCGCCCTGCTTCTGCTCGTGCATGGTGCGCTGCACCCACTGTCCTGCGCCCACTGTCTGACACTCCCTAGTGAGATGAACCCGGTACCTCAGATGGAAATGCAGAAATCACCCGTCTTCTGCGTCGCTCACGCTGGGAGCTGTAGACCGGAGCTGTTCCTATTCGGCCATCTTGGCTCCACCCCTCTTATTTTTAGCTTTGTAGATGCCCAAAATTTGAGTAATTTCATTAGATTTTCAATTTCATATAACCGTGATAGTATTGTATATTACTCAACTGATTTTTGAAATCTCAGACATTTTAAGACTCACTTTATTGCTTAGTCTATAATTGATTCCTAATATTTTTGGTCATAATTAACCAAATTCCAAATTTCACAATAACAAAAATAACAGGGTGAAGGTGCTTTGTAATTAATGCTAAATAAGTTCTAGGTGAGTAACTTTTTGAAGCCAGAACTATTATAAGACAATCATATAGGTGGCGTAACCATGTAATGTTACTAATAAACATCCATTAATACCATAATGGGGCCAGGAGCGGTGGCTCACGCCTGTAATCCCAGCACTTTGGGAGGCTGAGGCAGGTGGATCATGAGGTCAGGAGTTCAAGACTAGCCTGGCCAAGATAGTGAAACCCTGTCTCTACTGAAAATACAAAAATTAGCGGGGCGTGGTGGCGGGTGGGTAGGAAAATCATAGCTCACTGGAATCTTCAACTGCTGGGTTCAAGTGATCATCCTGCCTCAGCCTCCTGAGTAGCTAGGATGACAGGTGAGTGCCACCACACCCAGCTAATTTTTTTTAAAAAAAGTTTTTGTAGCGATGAGGTGTTGCTATGTTGCCCAGGCTTTTCTGGAATGCCTGGTCTCAAGGGATTCTCCTGCCTCAGCCTCCTAAAGTGGTAGGATTACAAGCATGAGCCAGTATACTGGGTCTAGAATTTACTTTTATCATGATTTCTTAACCTCAGTGAGCTTGGTGTTCTGTTAAAATGCAGTACTATAAGCAGACATGTTAAAATAGTTGTAAATTCAGTTTGATAACTGATGTCAAAACCGTATTCCTTGTTTTACTTCTACTCCTCACTGTATTACATATATCAAATTTTAATGGGCTATTTTAAGCCAGTTAATTGGCTTGAAGTTTGAACTGGTAATACACATTAAGTTTATCATAAAGCAAAACAGGAGAAAAATGAAAAAAAAATTAAATGTTATCTATGTTTACATCTTCTAAAGTCTATTAATAGATTTTCGTTTACAAACAGGAAAAACAGAGATATGTACTTGCTGTCAAGAGCTGTAAAGAGTCTGAGACTTTGCCCTTCTTGCCACCTAACAAGTTAGCCTGTCACTGTTTCATTTATGCTGGCAGAAGACACAAAGCTCTTGGGTAAGAGACAAAAAAACTGTATTAACCATAGCAGTAGTACTAGCATTTTCTTCCACCTATCCCTTAAGCCACAGTTCCCATAGGGTATCAGCATTTTTCAGGGTATCAGCATTTTTCAGAGTATCAGCATTTTCTTCCACTGATTCCTCAATCCACAGTTCCCACAGGGTGACGTGAAAAGGTCTGGGTGACACAGGCACATGCGGTAGATTGCGTTACAGGAGAGGAATCCTGAGCCTAGGAAACCTGATTTTGTATAATGGGCAGCAAATGTAGTTTCCCTGTGATCTGGAGATGTTATATGTATTTTCTTTTTCTTTCTTTTTTTTTTCACAGTACAACATGTTACTTTTAATTATATGATAAACACATGTAAATCAGTAGTTATCCAAAATTGATCATTTACTTCATCCAAAAACATATTTAATTTGCATTCTTTTTTTATTATACTTTAAGTTTTAGGGTACATGTGCACAACGTGCAGGTTTGTTACATATGTATGCATGTGCCATGTTGGTGTGCTGCACCCATTAACTCGTCATTTAGCATTAGGTATATCACCTAATGCTATCCCTCCCCCCTTCCCCCACCCCACAACAGTCCCCGGTGTGTGATGTTCCCCTTCCTGTGTCCATGTGTTCTCATTCTTCAGTTCCCACCTATGAGTGAGAACATGCGGTGTTTTGTTTTTCATCCTTGTGATAGTTTGCTGAGAATGATGGTTTCCAGCTTCATCCATGTCTCTACAAAGGGAATTAGATTGTCTCACCTAATTCATTTTCTAAACATCCATATGAATATCATAGGTTTGGGAGAAAAGAAACAGCAGGACATCAGTTAAAATTCACATAAAGAAATTGGTTTGAATTGTTATATGTTTAAGTGACAAGTTGCCAAATGCATTTATTATTGTAAAGCTTATTTCAGATGAGTTTCTTCAACAGAAAGTTATAGCTTAAGCAAATTGTAATAAGGTCCCTTCTTTTTCCATTTTATATATAAAATAAAATATTTTGTGAAAATATGGGTCACTAAATGAAATGAAGCTATAAAGGACAGATAGGTGAATATAATGGAAGCAGTAGGGTTGGGAAAACTTCCTTCATCTTACATTTTACATATAATTATCATTAGTGTGTGACAGATAGATGTTCTTAATTCTTCTTACCTCAAGGTTCTAAAATTTTCAATGGCACAATAGTAAGCATTCATTCTCCTCCATAATGAAATATATTGCATGGTCTCTAATATTCTATGAAAAAGTAATCAATGAGGTATCATGATACGTGACTCCTTACCAGTTTTCTAATGGGAGTAACTTCTGGTTACAGGGAGATGAGGCATTAAATATAAAATTTGATGTAAAGATTTAAAGATTTACAATTTAACATTCTAATAAGCATTGTGATAACCTCCTTACAAAAAAAATCTGAGTGGTCGTCATTACTTAGAATTCAAAAGAAAATTTCTCTATTTGTATTTTTGAACCCACTAGTGACTTTAACAGATAAAATTTCTTATTATGGAGGTTGAGGGGATGCTTCTGGAGCAAATAGTCATCAGATCAACTCAAATCACAGGTACACACAAAACTGCTAAAAATCTTCTGGTTATTATGTCACTTATCAGAATGTGTTGAAGCTATGTTTCAAAACCAAATATAGTAACATTAAAACTGCCTATAAAATTGTCCACAACATATCAGCTCTGCTGCTAAAAATCCAAAAGAGTATAAAAATAAACACTGAGTATACCATGTTAGGTTGAAGATCCCTTATGATTACTTTTTATTTCTTGCTACAAGTTTGTAAACATGCCAGTAATTACAGCACTAAGTGAAAAAAAATCTCTTATGAACTGACCATGATCAAACAAATACAAAAGTCTACATTTTTAAAATATCAAATCAAATTTCTTTTTAGCATTGACATAAAAACAGGCAGTGACTAGAGTTGCATCAATCCTTCCCAACTGTCTGAAAAAATATGTGCACTGTTACAATAAAAGCAGTTCACCAGCTGTTTATGTAAAAATTATTTGATGAAAAACAAGCATGGCCATATGGTGCACTAGCTCTGCTGTGGGAGCATGAAGAATAATTTTGTAGGCTGTAGTACATAATGGTCATGCTAAGTAGGGTGTCAACTATTGCAGGCACATTACATTAATAGTTAATCTGTCCTTTTATCCTCTAAGTACTTACGTTTCTTAATAGCTTGTAGTTTGGAAACAAGTTAACAACTCACTGATTAAGAATTAAAATTTTGGAGTTCATGACCAGCCCGACCAATTTGGTGAAACCCCGTCTCTACTAAAAATACAAAAATTAGCCGGGCGTTTTGGCGCATGCCTATAATCCCAGCTACTTAGGAGGCTGAAACAGGAGAATCGCTTGAACCCGGGAGGCTGAGGTTGCAGTGAGCTGAGATTGAGCCATTGCACTCCAGCCTGGGTGACGGAGCAAGACTCCGTCTCAAAAAAAACCCAGTAAAAATAAAATTAAAAATAAAATAAAATTTTGGAAATGACAAAATATTTGATGTAATGTCGACATACATAGTATTCATTTGTTAAATATATTGTTTAAATCATATATTAACTGAATGATATGAATGTGATAAGGGCAGCTGGTTCTCATTTCTAATGAGAAGTTCCAAAAGTATGAAGGTACTACGCTGATTTAGAAAAAAAAAAAAAAACCTAGTTAGAAGAGGTACTTCATGTAAGAGCCAAATTAACATACACCCTAGAGTGTTAAGAATTGTACCTTACTCACCTGTATATATCTATTGCTGTGTCTTGCACATAGTAAACATGAAGTAAATATTTGCTAAATAGAATCCTTTTAGAAATAATGAGATATAAATGCCACCGGCAGACCCTTGAGCCTCATAAGTTTATTTTGAAATTCTGGAATACATCCGAGAACAACTCTTATCCATTACTTACACTGCGCACGTGAGTATTTATTAGGTTATGAAATCCCAGTATTTAACTCTCATATCAATATTTCCTTCTTGAGTTGTTTACATATTGAGAGCCAGAGTCAACTGAAAAAGAAAAAAAACTGAAGAGCCCAGCTCTCATTCAGCAAATCAGCGTACTTGACTTAAGATCCTTTAAAAGAGGATGGAAACCAAAATGGAAAAGGAAAAAGTGAGGCTAGAATCCAGTCACTTACATTTGTATGCTTTGGTCAATACCCTGACAAAAAGTTCGTTGACATGTGGCACTGTCATTAATAATTTCAAAATGTCAGTTGAGTGTCATGGTGACATTAATAACTGAGAAAGAAACCACAGCAGAGATAGTTCTGTAAGAAAGATGTTGCAGATGTGCCATCTATTTCTAAAATGCTTATTCTCTATGGTTTTCATGGTTCATTTGATACATGAATATCTAGTTTAAACTCATGATCGATGTGATTTTTTCACTTACACCAATTCCAAGCCAAATGTATTAATTTTTAATTTCAGAGAATTGGAATGCCACATTAAAGAATTTCAGATTGGTAGTAATATCCTTGTTTACAAGTGGCAAACAAAACTAGTGTGTAGGTGATTATGACTCAAGATTTATGATAAGAATGCTACAAACTCTGGTATGGATACCTACCTAGTATTAGTTCATGGAATATAACAGTCATAATAAGGATGTATTAGGAAAATCACTTGAAAGAACATTTTAGGGAACAAAATAATTAAGTTGATAGAGACACAGATAGGGAGCTCTCAAGGCTTAATATTTGAATGATGAGTCAAATACTGGAATCACAGAAGTATCAGTACTTTAGTAAATGACAGTAGCAATGGAGCAAAGCTCACAAGATTAGAAGAGACTGTAAGATATAAAATTATTATCTATGATATTAATGTTTAAGGAAGATTAAAGTTTTTTAGTTTAGTTTGTTTTATATATTACAAAAACCCTATCAAAAAGACAGTTTTCCTGGAGTGCACATCTTTTTATTGATTTTTACTATGGTATGTGACTAGAGTGATTTTTATCACTTTACAATATGTTTTTATAAAACAAGAAAGCCTGCTGTTTATTTGTTGACTATGAGAAATAATATCTTTAGTAAAATGTTAGATATATATTTAAGATTTCAAGGGTACACAGAAAAGTTGAGAAGGCAACAGTTTGAATGTTAAAATATATACTCACCCAGAATGGAACAATATGGGTAGTGTGAGGTAATGGGTGATATTATATGGTGAAGTACAATTCTAATTAGTGAAATAAAAGTCATCTGGTATTAAGAAATAAAAATACATTTGAGGTAGTGGTTGAGATTTCTTGATTTATGAATATATATTTTTAAATATTCATTATATGCTATTCAGATATTTATACTTAGATGTTTATTTTTAAAAGTAAGGAATTGTTCAAAGAAGAAATAAAAATTATCATAATTTCCCAACAAGAGATAGCCAATATATGTATTTTAAAATTTATTAACAATATTTTAAATTTTCTGTCATATTAGTTGCAGATACTTTCCCATATATATTTTTATATATGGAATTTTTATTTATATTTATATTTATTATTATTATTATTTGAGATGGAGTCTCACTCTGTCACCCAGGCTGTAGTGCAATGGTGCAATCTCCGCTCAATGCAACCTCTGCCTCCCGGGTTCAAGCAATTCTCCTACCTCAGCTTCCCGAGTAGCTGGGATTACAGGTGCCTGCCACCACGCCTGGCTAATTTTTGTATTTTTAGTAGATTTTTTTTTTTTCTTTTTAGAGATGGGGTGTTGCATTGTTGCCACGGCTGGCCTGGAACTACTGGGCCCAAGCAATCTTCCTGCCTCAGCCTCCTGCGTAGCTGGGACTACAGGTGCACCACTGCACTCTGCTTCCATTTTATATGATTTCTGTATTTGAGGTCATAAAGGTTGTTCTTTCTTCCAAATGTTCTTTACTATTATTTTAAGACTTTTTTAACCTTTAAATTTATAATACATTTACCAGGAAAACATCGTAAACTGGTGGTCTGCAGGCTGGATTTGGCCTGGAATTTTTTTTTTTATTCACACAGTGAAGTTTTTGTGGTTGTTGTCATTAGTTTGCCTTAGTTTTTTAATGTGTGTGCTTATACACTTATTACTCAAGTATAATGTACATAGGAACAGAAATGTGAATAAATCACAAATATACAGCTTGATGAATTTTCATAAACTGAACACGCTCATGTAACCATCATCCAGATCAGGAAAAAGAACCACATCACAGTACTGTAAAAAAAAAAAAAAAGAAATTGTGCAGACATGCCATCTACTTCTAAAACTCAGGACCCTCCACACACCTCCTTCCAGTTGCAACTCCTTCCCAAAGATAACTACTATCCAACTTCTTAAAGTTCTAAAAGATAAATATGCCAGTTGTAAAACCTTATGTAATTTGAAACGATGGAAGTTACTGTGTTTAATATGATTATTGGCCATTTTGATATCCTCTTTTGTGGAGTTGTTAATCAAGTCTTTTGTTCATTGTTTCTATAGGGTAGTCTCCCTTTTACTTATTGCTTTATAAAAGTTATCTATGTATTTTGGAAATAAGAACTTTGTTGGAAGTTTATAGTCAATCTATCTCCACTTATGCCAATCTTAATATATTCTAATTGATCAGTTTTTACCATTTTTGATTATTTTTTGTCCTAGTTAAAAAATTGTTGCCAATTCCATGGTTATGAAGATGTTCTACCACATTTTCTTCTAGACACTATATTGTTTTACCTTTCACAGCTAGATAGAGAACTCATCTGGAAGTCTTTTTTATTATGCTAATTAGAAGTCAAGGTTAATTTTTTCCTCATAAATATCTAGTTGATCCAGGACTATTTACAAAAAAGACAGTTCTTTCCCTACTGCATTCCAATTTTCATAAATCAAGTGACTATATATGTAGGTATATTTCAAAACTCTCTAGCCTTTTCCATTGGCCTACTTGTCTATTTTTCCGCAAATATTGTATTGTCTTAATTACTGTAGTTTGGTATGTAAAATAGTATCTGATAATTAGTGACAATTCATAGCCATTTATTTTTTTTCTTTTGAAACCTTATGTCTCCACTTACAGTATATAAGTATTTTTTGCCTCATTGAACTGGCTGGAACAGCTTTTAAAATGATAAATAGAAGCGATAACAGTATTATTAACATGCATATTTGTCTTGTTTCTGATGTAAGAAAGAAAACTTTCAATGATGTTTGCTGTGGTAATTTAGATGTTCTTCATTAAATTCAAGGCATTTTATTCCTTTTCTATATCAATAGCTTTTATCAGTAATGAGTACTAAATTTTGTAAATACATTTTCATCATTGATATATATGATTTTCTTCTTTTGTTCCAGTTCAGTTTATGAATTAAAATGTTTGATATTTTTAACGTTAAATAAATCTTGTATTCCTGCAATAAAACCCTCTGGTCAGGATGTATTATCTTTTTATTTATCTTTTAATCTATATTTAAATTTTATTTATCTTTATTTACATCCGCTTGGTCATGATGTATTATCTATTTTCCTTTCTTTTTTATTATTTAATTTTTTATTTATCACTAGATTTTAATTTGCTGATAATTTGTTTAGACTTGTATCTGTGCTTATGAAAGGAATTAATTTTAATACTTTTTCATAATGTCTTTTTCAGGGTTTGATGTTATAGTTATACTGCTATTATAAAATGAGATGGGATATGTTTCCTCTTTTTCTGCTCTTTAGAAGTACTTTTGTGTAATGTTGGTTTTGTTGTTCCGAAGCCATCTAATTCTGGAGTGTGCTTTGAGGGAATTTAAGTTATGGATTCTGTTTCAGAATTTTAAACAATGAAGTTGTAAATTCATTATTACACATCTTTTCTATTTCTTTTTTTTTGGTCAATTTTAGTTAGGTGTGCTTTTCTAGAATTTGGTTTAATTTTTCAAGTTTTCCATGATATTGTTGTTGATGCTATCATATAGTATTTTCTATGTGTGTTGGATCTGTAGTGATATTTCTTTTTCATTCTGACAGTGGCTTTTTCAGCGTTTATTTTTCTTGATCATTCTTGCAAAGAGTTTATTTATTGAATTTATCCTTTTAGAGAATTAACTTTTAGTTTGGTGATACTAAGTTATGGATTTGAACTCTATTTCATCAATTTTTGTTCTTATTATAACATTTTGCTTTATTTTCTTTGGGTTTATTTTATTTTTCTTTTGCTATTTTCTTTTCTTTTCTTTTCTTTTTTGTCTTTTTTGTCTTTTTCTTTTTCTTTTTTCTTTTTTTTTTTTTTTTGAGATAGAGTCTCGCTCTGTTGCCCAGGCTGGAGTGCAGTGGCTGTGATCTCAGCTCACTGCAACCTTAGCCTCCCGGTTTCAAGTGTTTCTCCTGCCTCAGCATCCTGAATAGCTGGGATTACAGGGGTGTGCCACCACGCCTGGCTAACTTTTGTATTTTTAGTAGAGACGGGGTTTCACCATGTTGATCAGGCTGGTCTCAAACTCCTGACCTCGTGATCAGTCTGCCTCGACCTCCCAAAGTGCTGGGATTACAGGCATGAGCCACTGCGCCTGGCCTGCTATTTTCTTAATATGGGTATTATTTTATTGTTAGTTCATCAATTTTTACCCTTTCTTACTCTCTAACATATGGCTTTTAAACTGTAAACTTTCCTCTAAGTATATGTTGAACATTATACTCTAAATGTTATGGTGTATTTTATTTTTCAGTCATTTCAAAATACATTCTACTTTCTGTTTTTTTTTCTTCTTTTCTCTGTGGTTTATTTAAAGTGCATTTATCAATCTCCTAAGTTCCTAAGTTAGGGAGATTTTTAGGTATTTATTATTGATATTTACATTTAATTACATTGTGATTAGTGACTGTAATTTGTAATTTTCAATTCTTTCAAATTATCTTAACGTTATTTTATGGCCCAGAATATACTCGATTATTTAAAGTGTTTCCTGTCTGTCTGAAAAAAAAAATGTGTGTTGTGCATGTTTTGGAGAAAGTGTTTTGTATATATAGTTTACATCAAATTTGTTAAAACTATTAAAATATTCTCTATTTTGTGTTTTATTTGATCTGCTTGATCTACCAATTCAGGTAGGTATATTAAAATCTATTATTATTATTATTATTATTATTATTATTTTCTGAGACGGAGTCTCGCTCTATCACCCAGGCTGGAGTGCAGTGGAGTGATCTTGGCTCACTGCAGCCTCCACCTCCTGCGTTCAAGTGATTCTCCTGCCTCAGCCTCCTGAGTAGTTGGGATTACAGGTGCCCGCCACCATGCCCAGCTAATTTTTGTTTTTTTAGTAGAGATGAGGTTTTACCATGTTGCCAGGCTGGTCTCATACTCCTAACCTCTGGTGATCCACCCTCCTCGGCCTCCCAAAGTGCTAGGAT
Source organism: Homo sapiens (assembly GCF_000001405.40). Classification (NCBI taxonomy): domain Eukaryota; kingdom Metazoa; phylum Chordata; class Mammalia; order Primates; family Hominidae; genus Homo; species Homo sapiens. The sequence continues at coordinate 27,791,426 of NC_000023.11, read as the reverse complement.
TACAGGCGTGAGCCACCGTGCCCTGCATCATCATTATTTAAAATTTTTCTTTGTCTACTTGTAATTTTGTCCATTTTTGCCTGTGTATGTAGAGTCCATTTCATTTGAGGTGCAGTAATTTAGAATAGTTATGGCCTTCCAGAGAATTACATTTTTGATCATTCGGAAGTAATTTCTATATATCTATTATTGCTTTTTGGCTTTAATATGTATTTTATCTGTTATTAAGATAACTATACTAGATTTGTTTTGATTAGTGATTACATGATAAAACTTTTCCTATACTTTGTCAACCTTTTTATATCTTTTTATTTCACATAATTCTCTTGTAAATAGCACATAGTTGATTTTAAAAATCAAGTCTGAATTGTTTTCTTTATTTTGGCAGAGTCATTCTATTTCCTTCATTAGCTAATGTGTTCACTTTACAAATACTAGTTATTATTTGCATTCTTATTGTCCCACTTGTTTTAGGAGTCCCTTTTTCTGCTTCCTTGCATTATTTTGAATTGCACATTTTTATTATTCCTTATCCCTCTATGATGCTTTTAGTTTTATATTCTTTGATTCCTCTATTCATTTTTCTCTAGAAACTACAACATGCGTGATAAAATTACCAAAATCTTTTATTTGTTGATTATTTCACTGTTCTCTTAGAAAACACTGGAAATGTAGACTCTTCATTACAATTACTTCCTTTGTTGATTTACATACTATTATTTTTGTGGATTTTAATTGGTTAGTAATGGATTTTTTTTTTTTGGTCAGTCTATGTCTTTATTTCACATCCATCATTGAAGGATACTTTTGTGAGAAATAATTTATGTTGGTAGTCATTTTAACACATTGAAGTTATAGTCCTTCAGCTTCTGGATTTTATTGTTGTTGTTGTTGCAAAGGCAGCTGTCCTTTTGACTGTTGATGCTTTAAATGTGATCCCTTCATTAGCTATTTTTAAGATGTCCTTTGTATTTTGTGTTGGTTTTTTGCAGGTATATTATAATATGCCTATGTCTGATTTTCTTTTGTTTATCTTTCATGCAATTTGTTGTGATTCTTGAATGTGTGGATTGATATTTTCTGTTAGTTTTGGAAAATTTGTAGCCCTTTTTTGTTTCAATTTTTTTCTTTCCTTATAAACTTCAATTAAATGTGTTTTAGAACTTTTCATTTTATTCTCTGTTTCTGTCTTTTTTTCTGTATTTTCTCCACTCTTTTATCTTCATGATTCATTCTGGGTAGTTTCTTCTGACCCATCTTTCCAAATCATAAATGTTTCAGCTATATTAAATATGCTGTAAAATCCACCTTCCATGTTCTTAATTTTCGTCATTGTATCTTTCAGTTCTATGATTTCTGGTTGGTTCTTTTAAAAATTGTTTTGTCAGTTTTTACACTTTCTTATTTCTTGGTAAATATTTTAAGTTCAATACTTACCTCCATGATCATAGTTAGCATAACTATGTCTGTTAATTATAATATCTATGTTCATTGTGAGTCTGTTTCAATTATCTTGTCCCCTCATGTGCTAGGTTATGATTATGTATTGATCATTTCTGTACACATTTTTAGATATTTTATTGTGTTCTGAATATGAATTTGATGCCTAGATTCAGGTATTCGTCCTAAAGCCTCTAGGGAGGATTTTTTTTCTGCCTAGTGTTTGGAGGCACTAGCAATGTATTATCACCATAATCCAACTTCAGGGTTTGAGATTTTCTAGAGACCAAATGACCTGAAACTGAGCTTCAGCTCATGCGAGGGCTTATTTCCTTCTGTTTCACACTTATTCCTGTATGCAGGTTTGCAGGAACTATTCTAAATAAAGTATACCTTACAAGACTGCTCTCCATCTTGGCAGGACCTGGAATTCATCTTTTGATCACCTGCCCTTTGAACCTATCACAGGCATTACTTGGCCCCTCAATAACCTGTGAAAACTGGCATCAAATACTGCAAGTACTGCTTCACTTCTGTGGGTTTCTGTCTTCCCCAAGATATTGTCTCTTCACTTCCTCATCATTTTGCTACTTTCTTATTATATATTTTTCTTGTCCATACTTTTAGTTATGTAATTGGGGTGGAGGTTCTCAGCTATGTAATCCATCATTTCAGTAAACTTTATTGGGCTTTTCTCAGTCATCATTTTATACTATTGATACACAAGGGTTGGAAATGAGTGTATGTTCCACCTCCAGTAAGGTTTCCTCTGCCTCTAAATTTGTTAGGGCAAAGACTATGTATGAAACTTTCTCTAGAAAATACAAAAATTGGTACATATTTAGCAACGGTTATATATAGAATGTGCAAGAAAACTTTTTGTCACTTTCTGTTAGCCTTTAAATTCTGTTTTCTGTTTTTAGGCTTGAAAAGATACATTATTATCACACTAATTCTCTTTAATGTAAATCTTGAAATATGTAACAAAAAATTAAGCACAAAGCTTAAACACATTTGGCTGCTGGCAGGATGGATGATTCTCCTTGTTTGCCTCTAGAAAATCATACTGGAACAAACTGCAATAAAAAAAATACTGATATACTTGGCATCTTGAACCATGCTGCATTTCTCATCTGGGCATTTAATCACTTTATTTAACAACTTTTAATAGTAGCTATCATGTGAGGGTATAGAACATGCAGTTCCTGTTTTCAAAGATGCCAGAGTCTCGTGGTAGAATTGTTCAGTAAAGAGATACGTGTAAAAGAGTGTAGTGAGTTACCTGGTAGGGGCATTGACAATCAGTTCTCAGAGTCCTGATGATAAAAGAGTCAATTGACAACAGCACAGCTTTGAGAAACTGATGTATCTTTCCGCTTATCCTAGCTAAGGATGTGCCTAAAAGCTTATTCCAAAGCCAATCCCTCTTTATCCCCTCTCTTCTGCTTTCCAAGGGAGAATGGCATCATTTCTAGGCTTTCTTTACTACTGCATGCCACATTCACAAGTAGAATACTAAAAATATTTAAATAAAAATCATGAGCAAAAATGGCATATAAAATGTGGAAAAAGGGGACAGAAGTAAAAGTAATCAAACACATTGTTTTTGAAAAATTATCAAAGAAAAAACAACGCATTAAAGATATAAAGCAATTTTTTTCTTTGATGACTTTACAATCTTTAAGGTAAATTTTAAATACTTTTCTGAAATATTTCAGATCTTATTTCCTTTTATGCATTAATTTACTGGCAATTGTAATTGTAGATATTGAGTTTATTACCATACATAATATCATGAATTTCAAATTCCTTCAAAAATGAACCTTCAAATAAAAGTGAGTTTTTTGAAATAAACTAACTCATGGCATCACTTCAACTCAGAGACTTATAAAGTCTGTGGTAAGAATTATTTTGATTACTTTTAATTAACTTTGGGCCTATGCAAGTTAGATATATTAACAAAAGGATTTGATTATTTTAAAAAAGATAAAGGGCCACCATTTGGAGGAAAGTACAGATTCAAAACAAATCTTCTTCAGTAAATAAAGGGATATGAAACCAAATTATTTGGACTCTACACTGCAATAGAAAACAAAGAAAAGTAATAAAATGAATTAACTTAGATCAATGCTGATACTCCAGTTAGCCATGTATTCTTACATATTAATTTCTTTCCATTATTCCAAAAGTGTTAGCAAATGAATCTCATTTTAAAATATACTTGCATATGTTAATTTCAGTCTGTCTTCCAAAAATATGAAAATTTGCCTTTAAAAATTAACATGACTAATCTAAGAAAAGTATGTTAAAAATGTAGGTTCATATATTAAATAGTACAAAGACAATATGGTTGAGGATTACTTCTTTTTCATCATATAACACTTCTGTGTTTACTTATATACCCTGATGACTTTTGATGAAAATATAGTTTTAAAGTAGGAAAGCTTTTCTAATACTCATGCTCATGGCCTCATAAAATTTCCTTTTGGTACCACTGATTATATAATATTTATCAAATGTAGATAGAATTAAGCTCATTGATTTCATGAGCATGTGAGGAAATTCACTTTGTACATCTATGCTGAGAATTAACATATACAAATCAATATATACAAACTGTTGCATCTCTCTTTTGATAATGTTATTTCATTTAGTAGATATTAAAGTCCTTTTTAAATTGGACGATGGAGTTATTAGGTAAAGGGAGGAGCAGAAAGAAATGTTAATATCTTTGTTTCAACCTACATTTTAATTTTTGTCTTATAATTATGACTTTTGGATGATATGTGCCTTGTCACCTACGTGTCTGATTATTAAGTAACAATTTTAATTAAAAATATATGTATCAGTCAGGGGCCAGGCATAAAGGTAATTTAAGCTATGGAGTTCAATAGAGGGAATTTAAATTGGGAATATTAATGTCAAAAAGTGTTAGAAGAACTGAAAGGGCAAAAAGAGGACCATGAGGCAATCTGGCTGTCAGCACTGAAGGAAACAGGCCCTAGTGCTAGAGAGGCAAAGATGTGAGGTGCTGTTACCAGGTGATGTTACCAGGTAGCGAACAGAAGTAAGGGCCTTCTGGTAGGAGCCAGAACTTAAGAAGGGGGAGGGCCTCTGGAAGCTAGAACCACATGGGAGAAGCAGCCATAGCCAAGAAGGCCATCTGAAGCAGTGAGAGGTGGGAGAAATACCTTAGATTCTCCTCCCCATTCATCCTCAAATATCCTGCCAGTAGCTTTCAGTGGCAGAATTCAGTCAGAAGCTAATTGGTAAGTAATTGGTAAACTAATCAGTAAGGGATATGTACTTGTGGGGCTCGGTCACCCAATACACACAGTAGAGCAGGAGGAAAGAAGGACATGGCTCTAAGTGCATGTTGGCCGACAAACAGAACAGTATATTCAAAATAGTCAGTAGAAAAGAAAAAAATAGCATTATATAATATTATTTATATAACGTTATTTATAACATAACATAATCTCAAATTTAGAGAAGATTGGAAGAAATCAGACTAAAAAATGACAAACTTTAAATAATTGCATGGCTTTGAGGTAGTAGGAAAAGATTTTTAAATAAAAAATTTAAACAGTGTACCAAAAGGCACTTGATAAAAAGAAATGTTAACCTCTTCTGAAAAATTAATAAATATAAATATAAGGATTCTTGCTTATATGTGATAAAGAATACCTTTGTAACAGCTACATTGTGAAGCACTGAATTTACATTTAATTCTGAAATTAGACAATGCTGATATTGCTACTGTATTTCTTGGTATTGCTCTGCTAGTCCTGGCCTATGGAACAGTGTGGCAAAACAAAATGAGATATAGTTATGTGAAGGTAGTGAAGAAAATTACCATTATTTCCAAATAATGTTATCTACATAAAAACTCAGAAGCTTATATGAAAAAATATTTCAACTTAAAGCGCATTTGATTACTGAGAACAAAAAATAAATAACAGTTGCTAATAAAACTTTTATGTATTATCACAATTAATGTGGTGGCTGGGAGCGGTGGCTTATGCCTGTAATCCCAGCATTTTGGGAGGCCGAGGCTGGCGGATCACTTGAGGTCAGGAGTTTGAGACCAGCCTGGCCAACATGGTGAAACCCCGTCTCTACTAAAAAAAAAAAAATACAAAAATCAGCCAGGCGTGTCTGTAACCCAGCTACCAGGGAGGCTGAGGCAGGAGAATCTCTCGAACCCGGGAGGCGGAGGTTACATTGAGCTGAGTTTGCACCACTGCACTCCAGCCTGGGCGACAGAGTGAGACTCTGTCTCAAAAAAAAAAAAAAAAAAAATTAATGTGGTAATATAATGAAAAAAAAAACCTCCATTCATAACAATAACAAAAAGTAAGTACCTAACTACCTATAATACGTTGGAATAGTCATAAAAAAAGAATATAAATTTCATGGAAAATTTTACATAACTTTAGATGAGACCTAAAATGTTAAGTAAATAGAGACTTATGTCAGGTTTTTGGATTAGAAATCTTATTTTAAATATCAGATTTCCTCTTAAGTTAATGGGTTGGTTTATTACAAGTTTATTCACATTCTCACTGGGATATTTTGGAGGGATAGTATTGAAAATGATGCCAACTCGTATTTAGAAAATAAGTTAATGATTGAAGCCAAAAATATTTTGAGAAGGAGAAGTATGAAATTTTAAAATGTAATATCTATTTTCAATTCCACATGACAGGCTGAGCAACTGTGACTATCACCCCTGGCTTCCCATATCCACTTAAAATTGCAGACAGCATATTGGTGCGTGTGTGTGCATATGCAAACAAAAGAACATAATAAAATTGTCAATTAAGAACATTTTATATATGTAAATAAGAGAGTTATTGGTAGATAGAAAGTTGATGGGTTCGGATTGAAAGGAAATTTAGAAGTGCCAAAAGTGAAGCAAATACCGGAGGTTAGCAGATTTTCTCAAGGAAACCCTGGGGAAAACAAAGCTGAGAGTGCACAAATATCAAAGCCAGACTAAGCAGTAGGTCAATCTTCAAGATAATTGTTGTAAGAAATTTTATTGAGAATAACTGGATGTTTGTGCCCCCGTGTCTCCCGCTCATCAACAGAACAGCTGGTTGTAGTGAATTTTGTACTCAAAATAAAGCCCAAGAAATTCCTCTGGATAAAATAGTCTGTTCTAGGGCGGGTAGTAAGGGGATTGTAGCTTGAGAAGGAAGCCAAGCTTGAGTTGGGACAATCCTCAAGAGATTAAAAAGCAAACAATGTTGAACAAAAATAAAGAGAAATATATTGGATATGTTTCTTTCCAAAGTAAAACTCTTTGGTTTGGCAATTATTAAGACTTTGAGCCTACCTTCTTGCCTTCTCACCATTCACACAAAGGTCAATACCTGTCCCAGAGTGTAACTTGTTTACTTACGTAGAATCTGTGGTCAGGCTTAATTACAGAAAAGTCTTGTTGGAGAAACACACCCATGACCATTGTGGAATCCAGCATGCTATGCTGTACTTCATTTGTAAATATTAATAGACCAACACATAGGATAAGACATTTGAGGAAAACACCGAGTGTGAAGAAGGGGGACAAAAAAGAACAAACAGAATAATATAATTAACAGATGAAAACATTCAGAAGAAAAATAATTCAAGGAGAAAATAAATTAAACCCGAATGAGATCATGAGAGAAAATTATGACGAATATTGTTTCCATGAAACAAGAGTGATTGTCCATGCAAACAGAAGAAGATACAACAATTAGAATACGTTTTTTGAAATGTAAAATTCAATAAACTGACTAAATTACAAATGTATGTAAGTTATGGCTGAATTGCAGATCTAGACAATATCCCAGAATAATCAATACAAAATCAAGGCAAAATATGAGACTGGTGTACAGATTCAGGTAATTCCAGAAGGAAGAGGAACTAATGAACTAAAAATGTCTCTGAACTATAGAAACATGTAAACTTTCAGATTTAAAGGATTCATTTACTGCCTATCAGGATAAATAAAATAAGTCCACGCTTAGCAAATTTCATCACCAAGGTCAAAATAAAAATCCAAAACATTTCATAGAGGGAAAAAAAGTTTGTTTACAAAGAAAGGAAAATTTCAGGGAGGTAACTAGCATTCTCATAAAAATACAAACTCTTCAAAGAAAATGATACAATAGCTTTGTATTTCTATGAAAAATAACATTTTAAAACTACAAGTATATACTCAGTTATATCATTAATAAGTCAAGAGTGTCAAATAAATATGCTTTCAGACACTTAAGAGCAGAGAAACCTAATGCCTATGAAAAGTTGCCCAAAACATATTCCAACACAACAAAAAAGGTGGCGACATGTATTATAAGAATAATTGGTATCATAGTATGGTCTAAAAACTAAAAAATGCTGAAGTTCACTTCAAAGAAAATCTATTATATGTTTAGAGTATTTTTTCACTTTCAGCAGGAAATAATGATTCAAGGTCTAGTGAATTGTACTACTTAATTCTATGACAGACATGATTTGGCTAATTGAATAGAAAGTGCTGTTTGTTGCTTTTCACGGTTTAATGTCAGCATATAGAGGAAATCTTTAAAAATTGCAGATAGAGAAAAGAGTATAAATATTACAAATGTCACACCATACATATATGATGAACAGAAACGGAAAGTATGGGAAAGGATGGTATACAGAAGCATGTTAATTCTGATTTCTTCTTTGAATAGCAGAGTTATGTTCTAGAAGTGAGATCAAGAAATGCAAGTTTAAGTACATTGTTTAAATTTTACAAACCAATCGTCAGAAAAACTGAAAAGAATAAATGCAATACATTCCTCTCTTTACCCAAAGAAGAGACAATAAAAACTGTTTTATCTTTGGCAAGTAAAACTATTTACAAAGATATAATTATCATAAGAATTAAACTCAAAAACCATATCTGTGAGTGACTCTAAATTGTGTGTGTGAGAATGTGAGTGATGCAGGAAAGAAGAGGCTGTGACTTTTTTGCTTTAGTTTCTTCTATAATATTTTATTTTTCTTAAAATTTACATGCATTATCTTCATAATGAAACATCATTTCATAAGGTTTGAACTTTCTAATAATGTATCAACAAATTATTTTAATTGAAAGTGTTACCAGTCTGAGGATGAAAAAAGAAACTGTTAAAAAAAAAAAAAAAGGAAAAGGGCCTGATATAAAATCTAAAATTTCTGTAAGGAAAGGAAGTATTTGTTAAGTAAACATTGCTAGACTATTTAGAAAAGTAATAAATACAGAGCCATTTCTCATGAATCATATGTGCATATTTATATTTTTATGTGCGGAAATATTTTTATTTTTCTGTGGTATATTTTGCTTTATCATGCATTAGCATAATTATAAGGGCAGATGAAAATTATTTAAAGATTTTGGTCATCTGTAATTCTTATCTTGTGATTACCCTTTTTTAATGAAAATAATGATTTATAAATTTTATTCAATCTAAAACAAAGTCAGAATGTGTAGGCCATACATAGGAGAGAAGGCATCCCCCCAATACCCCAATAACTTATGGAAAAATAAAATAAAATAAAAGAACAGCTGTGGAGATAGGAAACACTCCTGTAGGTATTTCTTAAAATATTCAAATAAAGTAGAACCTTCTTTTTTGTTTGTTTAGTTGTTTTTTCAGCTTCATTGAAGTATGATGGACAAATACAAATTTTCTGTGCATGAAGACAATGTTAGGTGACAGAAGGTATATATTGTCAAATTTCATTTTTTTTAAATACCACAAACAAAAATATACAGCAAATACTAAAATAGAGAGCAAATTAAGTAAAATATATTTGATCAAAGTTACTAAAGGATGCTGTCATTAAGGAACACTTTATAAAGCAATGGAAACTGACTTTCATATAAATAATTTATGAGTTTACATTTGTAAAAGAATATGGATGGTCAGTAAATATATAAAAAAATTAAGTCTCGGTAGTGCCCACATAGTTTTAAAATACCATCTAGGATAATCAGATTAGCAAATGTTAAAGTTATAAACACATTTTTGGAAATGAGCATTTTTTTCATTTCTTGTAGGGGTATGTATAATCATAACCTTTCTGAAAACCCATTTGCAATAAATGTTTAATAGCATTAATAGGGCTATTGCTCATCAGTATAGCAAGCATTTATCATCAGTCCTGTGAAATACAAAGAAATACAGTCAAAGACATGTGCAAAATGGCCATTATATTATGCTTTATATAATAGCAAAACAATGGCAAAATAAACTTCTCCAAGTAGTGAAAAAGAAATGTATAAATACATTAAGAAAAACACTATTTTCTAAAAAAAAAAAAAAAAAAAATCTGAAGCAAGGACTAAGTTGCTTGCATTTCAATTAGGATGTGCCAGCTCAGTGCTGTGATGATGAGGACAAGAGGGAAATGAGTTAAGATCCAAAGCAGTGTCAAACAATGTATCGCTATATTTGCTACTGCTTCAGACAAGCCACTAAGAGAGTTCACTGTGACAGAACAGATCACTCAGGAAGCATATTCACTTAGCATCTGAGACTTCTCTGGAAGGGTAGCCAGTCCTGAGAGTAGTCCACAGGAGAGAGAAAACAGGGGTACTTGTCGGCCCTTCTCTCTATTGTTTCTTATTTTCTATTGGCCAAAGGCTATCTTGGGATAGCTAATCCCCCAATACCGATTTGGTGGTCACTCTGGAAGCCAGATTCTGCCCTTAACAACAAACTGTACTGTTCCATCCGAGTCCAAACAGGGATGACATGATCTGGAATGGCTTGGCCACCAGCCAAAAAAGTGAAAAATTAAAATAGTCAAGGAAATATGAAAAGGCTTACAAGATTGGCATACCAATAAAATATAGTTGAATAATTATCATAGAACCTTTATAATCAACTTTTCTAAAAATGAAGAATGGCACAGAAATCTTTATGAAATTATGTCAAATTTTAAAAAAGCAGGAATGTTAGCTATGAACCCAAGATCGTGAGATAGATATGTGGGTAGATAGATAGGCTGATGGTTAAATTGATAATCTAGAAATAAGTTTATTACCAGTGTGTTGCTTTCTGTGTAAGGTATTTTTACTTTAGGTTCATTTTTTCCAAATAGTGACTGTGATATTCTAAAATTTCACCATGATTTTGTATTAATTTTATAATTCTAGTAAACAATAACCATTAGCACACATGAAAAAAAATACAGCTGAAGTTGTTACAATGGGATCTAGTTTTACTAAATTTTAATAAGCTATTCTTCAATATACATATAAAACTTCAGGAAACTTCAGACACATGAATATAAACTCCATGGGGATGCATAAAATATGGAGTTTAAAAAACTAGTTGATGTGACAGATGTTCCTTTTCCATCCTGTCAGATAAAAGTACCATTATACCATTTTTAGAAATAATTTTTTTAGTAAAGTTCACTAAACAAATAAGCTACATTGATTTGGCATACTAATAGAAAAAAATAAAAAAAGATTCACATTTATGGTCCCAAGAACCCTTAGAGACATAAAATAAAATTATCAGTTGTAGTTCAGCCTTTATTAAACTAATCTCTGGTACTTTGAATCTAGAATATGTAAGGAGATTGGAGAAAATTCAAAGGCATTTAATAAAGGGGGTATCATGATAACAATTTACTTTTGGATGATGGATGGAAAAGGAGACGTAAGCATTTTAGCCTTTCTGTAGTTTAACCAAATCTATATTCTTCCATCTTTTTTGATCAGATTTACACAAAACCACCAAAATGAATGTTTTCAAACAAAACAAAAGCCAGCCTTCTGTCTAAATACTTTTGGAATTAGATGGTGAGAAAATCTTACAAATGTCAATAAAATCTTCTAAAGCCCAATTATAGATATTGTTTTAGTTGTGCTTTCCTTTCTATTACTTTGTTTGTTTGTTTTCTGAAATGTTCACCAGCACGCTGTGAGCCCTAAGTAATGCTCCTGTAGCAAAAGAAGAAAAACGAATGGGTAAAAAAAGAGGGATCATAATCATAATAGCAGATATTTAATGAACATCTTATAATTGCCAGCTATAATTCTCAGTGCTTCACACACATTATTAACTCATTTAATATTGACAAAACCTATGAGGTATATGAGGTGAATATTATTATTGTCATTCCCACTTTACAGATGGGAAACAGGCAGAGGTCAAACAGGCAGATCCAGGATTTGAACTAAAGAAGACTGGCTCCGGAGGCTGTGCTGTTAACCATTATAGAACATGCTACCTCTCATGGTCACTTAGGTACTTGCTGAAAAAAACAAATTATGCATTACATAGAAGATAATCTGCCACAAAGAATCTCTTTGGCTTCTCTTTGGTGCAGATGCCTAATTATAGCTGACCAAGAATATGTTTATGGTACAGATATCTACAGAGCTGAGATCTTACATCTGCTTTCCTGGTCCTTCTTTCTCTAAAGCACTTGCCAACCCATGAAACAGAAGTAAAGTAATCATGCTGATTTGTCTAATTGCTCTGTTTTATTTCTTAGTACACTTCCCATGAGTAATGACTACTAAATATTATAATCCTTTAGTCTATTGATTTTACCATTCCAAGGTTTAATTCCAGGAAGTATGACATTGAAGTAGGCAAATTTAGCAACAGCATATTTATAGTTTATACAAATCTTGAATTTTCAATTTATTATTAATTTCAGAGAAAGAAAAATTATAATTTGTTTTCTTAGTCATATATTTTACTACCAATAACATGTAAACCATTAAGAAAGTATGTAACTTTCATTTTTGCAACAAATAAATTTATAATTATAATTATAAGTTACTAAATTATAACTTTATCAATGGTTAAGCTTCAGAAATGAATGTTTGGTTATTCCTTTTAATTTAAATATGGGGAGAGGAAAATATAATAAAATTCAAATGAATTGATAGAAGTAAAACAGTACTTCCAGACTGGTATGGCACTCACATCTTCAGTATAAGGCTGACTGTACACCCGAAAAAACATCTAAAAATTAGGGAAGATCCAATAATGAGCTCTTGAAAGAAAAATTCTATCGTTTAAACAGAAGGAAGTAGACTCAAAAAATATGTGGCCTTGACATGCTCTTTGGTTACATATATAAATGAATGTAGAAGGAAGGACAGGACTAATAATATATTTTCCTTTAAGAGGTATAGGAAGTCTTGTCATTGCTTACTCAGCTTTCTAACTTTTAAAATGAAATGAAATACATGTAGATAAAAATAACCCAAGATCTATCTCAAAGGACTCAAAGTAAAGTAAATCAGTGAATGGTGTTTGTACTCCTTAAATTAAGATTAATAATGATAACACTGGCAAAGGCAAACATTGGACTTGTCAAATTAAAAGATGAACTTCCTGAAGAATCAAACATGGCATCTTGGTGTACCACAACGGGAAAAAAATACTACAGCTAGAGAATATTTCATTCTTTCATTCTATAATTAAGAATATTGAATATTATTGAACATCCATTATTGTGGTACTATTTCATGATAAAAAGTACAATACATTAATTATTGCCTTATTGTTGGATATTTAGATTTTTGCCAATTTTTCTTTTATTGAGATAGGATAAATATCTTTAAACATCCCATAGTTCTGATGATTTATTCAGAATACAGCACAAGAGGTTTACTGGGATAATTTTTATAGGTGATGTAAAAGTAATTTCCATTGACCTGTTAGAGGAATAAGTTGTGACATAAGTTATCATTTTTTGAACACAACTCAGCCATGAAAAGAAGTGTTATCTAGTATTTTGGTTATCACTCCACTTGAGTTATGTAACTTGGAAACCCTTACACAGTTGGATTTGCAATTTCCATTTGAAACATATTCACAAACATTTCTGTATGACACCAACACTGACTTCACTAACTCAAAAAGTGATTTTTTAAAATATGTTTTAAAAAAGTTTTTTATTACATTTTTTACAGGACATGACTTGTCAAGAATGAGATGAAAGTCAGGAAAAATTGCCTGTTTGCTTGATTGATATATAGATCATGGGACAGTGCAAGCTAAAAACATGTTTGTGGCCAAATGTATGTAATATAAACTGCTAATCCTAAGAATAATATTATATATTTTATTTATATTTCCTTCTGTTTTGCTTAAATTTAGGATGCAAATATGACCTGGTTATACATCAGTATGTATGCCTTAAAAGTAAGCTGTCAGTCCTAAAAGTAGTTACTCTGTGCACTGTTTACTAAAATATGACATACTGATTAAAAGAAACAAAGCTAAGCAACAAAAACAAAGAACAATTCTCAATGGCCCAGCACACTTACTGAGAATAAAATCCAAAGCTCATACCCAGGCCTACAACACTATACAAGGCCTCATGCTCTGGCTCCTGGACTCCTTTCCAAGCTCATCTCCTGTCACTCTTCCCAGTACCACTACCTTTATCACCATCCCTCTTTCACTTGTTGTTCCCTCTATCAGGAACCTTCTTGTAGATTTTCTTATGGTTCAACCTCTTAAATTTTTCAGAGCTCTTGATAAAGGGCTTCCCTAACTATCTCCATCATTCCATAAGCCTTCAACTGCCTTGTTTTAGTTTTACAGCATTTACCTGTACCTGGCATTATGTTATGTGTATGCTTCTTTGTCATTTTCTTCTTCCAATGAAATCTAAGCTTCATTAGGACAGAGGCTGTTTTCTTAACCACTCGCTTCTATTACATTGAACATTGTTTGTCACAAAGTAGGTTCTCAGTGAATATATATCCAAGGAGTAATATAACATATGATCTACTGGGAGTCAAGAGAGACTAGGTAAAATATTTATGTTTTCCATGTGAACTCAGCTTTGTGAAGTGGAGAAAGAAGTCAGCAAATTATTGCATAAATTAATGTATATAATCAAGTGATAAAATTTTAAAAATGAATTGTGTGTTTTGTATAGTAATTATTTCATGAAAAGCTATTATTAAATCAATGTCATGGCATTATAATTATGACATCTTTTATATGTTGAGCACATTGTTGGGTTATTTGTTAAATTTTAACTATTTTCCTGATAAGTATCTACTACTTTCCTCACCATTCTCTCCCTATAGACATTCCATTAAAATGCCTCAATTCATTGTTTCAGGAGAGGGCTCAGAAAGCAGAAAAGAGACTTTAAGTCTCTTCTAGATTTAGACACATAAAAGATAAAGTTCTTACATAGAGAATGTGTTGAACATTGACAAAATGGAAGAAAAATCACAATGAGCAGCGTTTCTTCATTTTCTTAATTTTCTTTACACAAAAATATGTTCCAATTTTTAGGGTAGGAAGAAGACAGTAAGTAGAGTGATATTCAAAATATAGAATAACTGATGTTGGTCTGCTGTTGACCTACCAGGCACATCTGTTGGTTGTATACAATCTGTGTTAGCTATTTTGAAGGTAACCTGCTAGACAAGAGTCTACATGTTAGAGTGTCTCTGAGAAAAGGGCAATCACTGGGAAAGGAGAAAGTCCGCAGGGAAAAGAATGGCTCCAGAAAGGGCCTAGACACCCTGAATCTTCAGTAACCTAACCAATAACTGTCTGTTGTAACTTTTTAGCAACTTTAAGTACCCAGGAACTTTGACCAAACCTCCAGGAAAGAGGATAAAGCCCCAGTTGACTGAGAACAAGTTTCCACTGCTCCAGGAGAATGGGGATCTTAAATATAAAATAAACTGGTAAAAGAAAAAAATTAAATAATTGTATTTTGTGCTCAGCTATACTCTATACACTGGCTATGCACATTACATATACCCAGTGGCAGATCTGCCGCAAGAGTAATGAAGCTTAAGCTTCAAGGCCTCTCCTTTGCACCTGTTTCTAGTAATTCTCTGAATTGTAGTGTGTGTGGGAACCAGTTTGCACGAAAAGCATTTCTCTACAAGCATTTCAGACCTCAGATGAAATGAATCTGAATTAAGTCTCCAGCCATTTTTTAATTTCTTTCCTTATTAACACACACACACACACACACACACACACACACTTCCTAACCTAATTATAAATGTATAATTTTTTAATTTCTTATTTTTTAGTAAGGTCCTAAAATTGTATAAGTTTTAGATTCCACCTAACCTGGACCCACCCTTGTATATACATAGAACTTTTGAAGGATAGCCACCAGGTTGATAAGTGTATTGACTTTGGAGAAGTAATTGTGACAGACCAAGGAGGGACAGGTTTTTCAAATTTTACCTCATATGCTTTCACAATTTTTGACTGCATCGTGTTTTATATCTCTCCTTTTAAATTCTCTGATAAAGAGAAACAAGATTCTCATTTCTTCAAAATAACTTAGCTTCCAATAAAAACTGCCAAAACAAACCAAAACAAATGAAATAAAGTATTTGAATACGTAAATGAGAGAAACTGATGCCACAACTTCCTCATTTTATCTAGAGCCAAATTTTTATAAAGGTTGCTATTATTTTTAGCTTTATTATTGTATAATTTATATATAAATTATGTTTATTATTCACAAAATTTTATGAATTATGTCAATTCAATGGGCTTTTAAGTGAATGT
The DNA here is from genome assembly GCF_000001405.40 of Homo sapiens. Classification (NCBI taxonomy): domain Eukaryota; kingdom Metazoa; phylum Chordata; class Mammalia; order Primates; family Hominidae; genus Homo; species Homo sapiens. Next base: position 27,775,446 of record NC_000023.11, on the reverse strand, counting down.
ATAGACTCATGCAATCAGTATCACAATCCAGAAACACTCTTATCATCCCCCCAAAATTTCCTTGAGCCAGTGTGCACTCCATAAATTACTATTTTTAAAAATTTGTTTTTATTTAAGAGCTATTGTCTTCACTTCTCCTTATTTAACTCCTTTTGACTTCTGCTGCTTCTCTCATTGAAGCGTTCCTTGCCATGATCAGTAATAACTTCTATTGTTATTGTTAAAATTAGTGGATGTTTTTCAGCTTTTATCTTACTTGATCTTTCAGTTATTCTTGTATTGTTGGGAATTCTTTGCTTTATAAAATACTCTTAGATTTTGTGGCAGTAAGTCATCCAATATCTATTGTTTCTTTCCTTTCTCCTTGCTAATAGAAACCGTAGGTTAGATGTTACCCAGTGTGGAGCTCAAGTATATAAATTACAAAGAACCCTTGCATTTGGCGGGGTGATGTAAGAAATTGACTAACCATTTCTGGGAAAGATTATGATTTCCTGATATAGATGCCACCTCTTCTTGCTTCCCTCACTTTCTTCTTCTTTTCTGGAACAAAATAGCTTATCGAAGTTTTATAGATCATCTCCCACCACCATCATAAGAATGGCTGAGCATAAAACTAGAAGCTCCTTGGCATATTGAGGTCATCACGTAGCCTTTATAACAGTCCTGAACTGCTTATCTATAGACTTGTTGAAATGAGAGAAAATAAACTTGCATCGTGTGAATCCCCTGATATTTCAAAATTATCTTACTAACATCTGATTGCATTCACTAACTAAAATAGCTTAGATGGCTTTTTTCATTTTGAACCTATGGGTAATAGTGCCACCTGGAAGAGTCTTTATAGAGAAAAACCAGGGATGTTATCTGATGACTATTTCTGAGAATATCCTGTCATGTGAATCCTCTTCTACTGAAAGAATGCAGTTTCAACATTTGGTTGTCCATGTCTAGTAGCTAAATATATGTGAGACCATGGATTTTAAGAACTACAATTTTGTACATAAGAACAGACTGGTGTGCTAAGTCAGTAAACAACTTTGTTTAGAAAATCAAAGGTACCATTTGCACATTAGCATTATAGCCCTGGGGGGAAATATCGTTTGGCTATCCAAGATACCAGGATGAAGTTCTTTTTAGAACGATTCTCTCTCTCTCTCTTTCTCTCTCTTCCCTCCCCCATTAATAAGCCCAAAAGAGGATATATGGGGATGACTAAAAGACGACCAATACTCATTTTTCCCACTTTGCGATATGGATTCTTTTCACTGTTTTAAATCCAATGAAACAATATATTTTGGCTATTATAAACATACAGACAGAAACAAAAGGCTAAAGAGAGTATCATAAGAAAATTTCAAAATAGGATTTTCATGTTTATGTAGTATATACTGTGTGAGGAAACCAGCATGCCTTAAGTTGTCGATGGGAGTTAAAACTGAAACAAATGCATATGAGGACATCTTATACAGGAAAAAAAAAACCCTTAATCTTTTATATATCATTTAGCCCAGCAATGCTATTTCTGTGTATTTATCCTAAAATAATTCTGCAGAAGCCTATTTGGAGCAGAACTTGGTATTAAAGTTAAGATCTTGCTTAGCTATCATTCTTATGCACCAGCCAGGCAGTGAATGAAGCAGGATGGGGGAAGAGCACTCTCTTTCCTTAAAACATAGCAGATCTCTGTTTTCCACAATTAAAAGTTTTTATGAAACTTTTTATTTTGATGAAAGCCCTTAGCTACATCCTGTATTTTTCTCTATACCTACTGCAAAGTGGTTTGTTTGTGACCTAGTTTGATAATTAAGGTCAGGGACAAATTGCTTCCTATATTCTGTACAGTCATTATCAGAATGGCATGCCATACTAATTTTCCTAGGAAAATGTTTAAGATGTCAAATTTAATAAATCTGAAATCCTGTTTTTATTAACGATATGGGAAAATCCACTACCTATAATTAAAGCCAGAGGGAATATTTGAATTGAAAATTATATATTTTTATTGATCATAAAATCACTCAAGGAAATACTTAAGTACTTATATAACTTATAAACATTTTTTCAGGTATTTAAAATATTCGTGTTTTGTGAACGAGACCTCTGAAAGTGATTCATTTTACTATCTTCACTTTTTTTTTTTTTACCAAGAAGCCAAGTAAGAAAATCTTTCAATGCAGCATGATCGGGGACTTTCTTTTTGCCCCGTGTAATGAAAGTATGTATGGACATTTATTCCAGAAAACCATTACTTATAAACACCAATCAGCTTCCTTCCACCTGATGTGAGATTCTTCGGGGAAGTCTTATCAGCCACAAAAACAGAGGATGTAGCCTTCCCAAAGCTATAGGACTCAGCAGGTTTTAGAACTACTGAACTGTATGACCCTCTGGGATTTTCAATTCTTTTTCATTGCCTTTTCTCTATTCAAATATCTTATTGGGGTCTTTATATAAAGGTGATACCTCAGGGTGAATTGCCAGAAGCTCAGCACCTCACTCTTTCATTTTGGCTATTTAATCTAGGAGATCAAAATCCCCTAGAACTTCCTCAGCCTGGGATGCCCAGCCTAAATCTAATTTGTTCTTGAGCACACTGAAGCCAGATGATTTGCACAGTGAAGGTTAACCCATTTTTCTCTGCCCACCTTCCACCGTGCTTCCCCACTCAACAGTAATAGGGAAAGTTTATGCCTATCTTTTATTGGCCATGACCATCACATCCCTTAGATTTGTAAATATGTTCTTCCTCTTTTTAAAAATGACCGGAATAGGAAAACAGTTATAAATATGTTTTCTGTAAAATTTTAAAAATAATAAATCAAGTGCTCAAAAATCATTTGCATATCTCAGTGTGTTTTGATGAAAGGATAATGGAATTTCAAAGTATCCTAATATGCACCTGGGGAGGGCAGTGTTAAGACTTATGCAAAATTTCACAATTTAATGTGGTAACGTTGCTAATATGAAACTTCTAAAAATCCCAAAAGGAGAAAGGAATGTGAATGGTTATGGCATAAAAGATAAAAAGTCTTCTGCCTCTCGTGCGAATTAGTCTATTTAATAGAAGAAAAGACTTGCAAAGATGGTACAGCAAACTATTGAAGTTTTATAATATGGGTCTAAAGGTTACTAATAAAATGCTATGAATAAGAAAATATGTATAAAATTACAAAAGAAAACGACATTTCTCCTGGAAAATATGTGGAATGACTGGTGAAACAGAGTCAGTAAAGGAATACTGAAATACATAAGACAAACTGCATCATATGTGCAAGGAAGACTGCTACAAAGGGTGGAAATTAATCCAAGGATGTTCCTTGATTAGAGAGGATTGACAGGGAAGAGTAGAAAGCCTTGCATAAAACAGTAAGGTGATTATTTGGCATAGTGTAGTAGAAGCTGAGTATTGAATACATGTTCTTCCTTGTTGAGACCTCATTCTCCAACTTGAGCTAGGGAATGAGGAAACAGAAGTATGTGCTCCCTTATGATTTCAAGTGTTTTGTTGTTGTTGTTTTTAAAAAGAACAGCGCCTTCCCATAAGAATAATTACCTTCATACTCCACCCTGTTCCATAACCTATCACTGCTCTAGAAGCAGGGAATGATAACCAGGTATCTTACAGAGAGACAGAAGATTAATTCAAGATCCTAAAATTACAAAATATTGAGAAGGATAGTAGAAACAGTAAGAAAAGTAAGAGGAGATAATTAGATGTTTCAAAAATACATCCAACAGAAATTTCAGAAAGAGGAATAAGTCAGCAATAATAAAATAGCATCTGATCAAAGTGAAGAAAGTCATGAGTCCTTAGTTGGAAAGGGCTCATTCTATATATGAGCCCTGTTTACCTCCATCCTATCAATGAGAACTATGAAATAATGTGGAAAAGTACACCTGGGAAGTTCTTATGCCCTAGGTCTGGGAATGGAATATATATTTCCACTTACATCTCTACTGTCACATGGTCATACATCACTGAAAGGGAGGCTATGAAATAAAGATGAGCTCTGTGTTCAGAAAAAAAAGAGAAAATTTAGTTTTGGTAAACCATTGGCAGTTCCTCCCATATTCTATACTTCAGACTACTAAATATCCATTTGGACTCTTCTGTTTTAATAGGAGGAATACTTTTGCCCATTTGTCTCTGTGTCCCTTGGCTCTAACTTCAGGAAGATCTTGCAAGTCCATTATCCTACTTGGCCAAATCTGAAATGGATGTTGGGGCACTGGGGATTACACCAATAACCATACACCTTACACATATGCTAAATAATTATACTTAAAATATTTACCATACCAAGTCCTTACTCAGTCGCTTTATTTACATATTTTTTGCTTGCTTGTTTACAGTTTCTTTACCACCATCCCATCAGTGATTGAAAAATATTAGATAATGATATAAAAGGATATTCAGAATATCTTTGCGGTGGATAAATGCCTAATATGAACCTGTGGTAGGCAGCCTCTGAGACAGCCCTAAATGATATCCTCCTCTTGGCATTCATGCCTTTGAATGTGAGTAAGGTTTAGTGACTCACTTCTAGTGAATAGAACGTGGCAGAGGTGATGACTTGAGAGACTAGGTTACAAAAAGACTGCAGCATCCATATTTTGCCCTCTTCCACTCACCTGTTTGCTCTGAGGGAAGTCAGCTGTCATGTTATGAGCTGCCCTATGGGGTGGCCTACTTAACAAGGAACTATTGTCTTTAGCTGTCAGCTAGTAAGGACCAAAGGCCTGCCAACACCCACATGAGTGACCTTGGAAGCAGTTCCTTCCCCACTTGAGCCTTGAGATGACTGCAGCCCTGGCTGACACTTTAATGGCAGCCTCATGAGATACTCTGAGTTAGATAACTCAGTTAAGCCATATGAAGATTCTCGACTCATAGAAAATGTAAAATTAAGATTCAAATGTTTGTTGTTTTAGGCAACTAAGTTTTGGGTTAATGTGTTATGCAGCTATTGATAACTAACTCAGACCCTCTTTGAGTAAAATTTTATAAAATAGATGTGCTCTTATATCCTTAAATTATGTTTCATGAAAAGGTTCAAGAAGTTGTCAACACTGCTTATCTTCAACAACAGAGAATGGATAACTGGGGAATTAATTTTACTTTACACTTTATATTGTTCTCCACTTTTTGGATATTTTACCATGAAAGTGGATTACTTTTTAATCATCATATAAAATAACTAGTTAAAAGTAACCTTTGTTTTAATGAGGAAATAATAACTACATCACATGCTTTTTAGAAAAAAATTAGGACACTATATATTAAAACCTATGGAGTGTGCTCTAAATCACACTCAGAGGAAATTTTATAGAGCTGAACGGATTTGAAATAAAAAAGAAAAATTAAATATAAAGAACACAGTTTTCTGTTTAAGAAGAAACAAAAGAAATAAAACTTGGATGATTTGAAATAAAGCATTAATAAATATAACTGGAGAAATTAATGTGGTAGAAAAGAAACTGTCTGAAAAAAAAACACACAAACCAGTAATCTTGACCAGTAAAACCAAAATCTGCTGCTGAGAAAATACTGATAAGATATATAAAATATTGACACACACAAACAAGAAAAAAGAGATAAGGCACAACAAATTTACACCAAGAATGAAAAAACTCCAATGATTGCAGATTAGAAGTATTCCCATTAACATTAAGAACCAACAAGGATGTGTGCTAACACTGCTACCATTTGACACTGCTTAGGAAATCCCAGTAAAAATAGGAAGCAATAAAGGAGAAATAATAGTATAAATATTGCAAGAGAATAAATAAAAGCGTAACTGATTAGAGATGATATGATAGCACATATAGACAGTTTGAGATCACACAGTTAATAAATGATTAGAACTAATATGAGAGTTTAACAATGACCATTTACAGAAAGCTCACATGTGATTCCTACACTTAAGAACAATTCCTTATTGTTTTTGCTCTTTAACTGTCTCTAAAATAGCAATTACCCTGATGTGGTTTCTGATTCCAGTGGACAATTCCAGCCTTTAATAATGATCCTATTAGACCCATTCTGTCCTTTAACAGATATCTGTACTCACTTAGACATCGAGGGAACTATTTTGCTGAACTTTTTCTTTATATATCACTCTGCACTATATTGGAATGGTCATTTTCTTATGTCAGGGCATGTAATACTCATTACAGAGATTTCTTAGGTTGTACTCCACTGTGTTTGAGAGCCAGTGTTAATCTTACCGTGTTTCTAAGAGTACTAGAGCACTGCTATCTACTATGGTACTCTGCAGAAGGCTTCTTTCCTGATGACCCTGGGAAGGGCCTGGATTTGTATATCGCTGGAGTTGTGAGCACTCTGTCAGTGTACATGTGTATGCATAATTAACAGAGCTCTTTAAGCATTTTGGTGGGAAGTTCCAATTCCATATTGAATTCTAAACGAAGCTGATTTGATATGCACATGGATACCATATAATGTCTGTTTCCTACATCAGACAGACACCCCTCCCCTGTCTCTAGTGAAGCGAAGTTTTAATGCACTTAAAATCAATTTCTAAGCTACATCTGTATTTCAAATAAAATGTCCTTAAGGTGATGGCCAAGGCAAATTATTTGTTTTGTTTTGTTTTTAGAGACAGGGTCTTATGCTGTCGCCCAGGCTGGAGTGCAGTGGTGCAACCTTGGCTCACTGCAGCCTTGACCTCCTGGGCTCAAGCAATCCTCCCATCTCCGGCTCCCGAGTAGCTGGGACCACAGGCACACACCACCACTCCTGGTTAATTTTTGTATTTTTTTTTTTTTGTAGAGATGGGGGTCGTGCTATGTTGCCCAGGCTGGTCTTGAACTCCTGAGCTCAAGCGACCCACCTGCCTTGGCCTCCCAAAGTGCTGGGATTACAGATGAGAGCCACCATGCCCGGCCTGGCAAATTCTTTTAGTTACAATTTTATTTTGAAAATTATGAATTCCTTGAAAATATATTTTCCTAGGAAGTCCGTTTTCCCACTTTCTAAGAAAATTATGTCCAAATTTTATCCTCTTTTCAAAACTTTTTTTCAAGAAAATTCTCTCCCCCACAGAAGTCTAAGCCAATGGTCCTACCTCATATTTTACTGGACATAAAGCAATAACATCAGTCTCCTAACACCCATCTTCCCACCACCAAACCTGTCGACTCACTTGACTGAATTTACTTTGTCTGGCTTGATCCTAGGAAAGGCCATTATTCCACTAGTTTCTAGATCATATATCTTCTCAAGAGCTGGAATCCTGGAGTTTTCCACTCCTTCCTACATCAATGATATCTCTCTCACATTTAGATATCTACTATCAACAACTTTTTTTGCTAATATATTTCATCTTAAAACTTCCCTAATTCTACATGTTGTTCCAGCTGTAACTCCATTTTTCTTTTCTTCTACATAGCTAAACTTCTTGAAAGATTTGCCTACACTCACCATTTTTACTTCCTCTCCTATATACCCTTCAACCAACTCAAATCTGACTTTCACTCCACTTCTATGCTGAAGATATTGACAACATTTTACAAACTGCAAAAATACATATGTTTTGTGGTAAATGATCAGTGTTTTTAAAAAAAGCAGTGATGTGTGAATATTTTCTAAGTCCTTATTTAATAAGTACTTTACAATTTTCTTTGGTGATAAGTCTCCCTTTAAAGAAATTTCTTTTAGGAATTTACTAAACATTGTCCTTTAAAAATTTCATCTTTATTTCAATTTACAGCTTTTATTTGACTTTTATTAGAAGCAGCTTACCAGAAGCACATCATTGAACAAAACAGTCAGAGTGATAAAAGAAAGAACATTTTCAAAAGGTCACAAATAATGAAAATTACTCAGCATGAATCACAAAATAAGTAGAGATTTCAAGAACCAAAGGAACTGAATTATTTCTACTCATAAGATAAACATTACTAGAATCATGATAGCTACTATAGTTAGGGAGTTTTTCCATGGATATTTTTTGCATGTAATAATTTCTTACTGCTTTGAAATAGTTTTAGATTTCCAAAGATTGTTCCCACATATCCCTCACCCAGTTTCCTCTAATATTTATGCCTTACATTACCATTGTATGTTTGTTAAAACTAAGAAACCACCACCAGTTCATTACCATTAACTAAACTACAGACTTTATTCAGAGTTTACCACTTTGTCTACTAATGCCCTTTCTGTATTCCAGGATCCCATCCAGGCTACCACGTTGCATTTAGCCATCATGACTCTTTAGACTCCTCTGATCTGTGATAATTTTTCAGCCTTTCCTTGTTTCTCGTAACCTTAAAAGCCTTAAGGATTACTAGCCAGGTATTTGTAGAATGTTCTTCAATTTGGAGTTGTTTTGTACTTTCCTCACGGCTAGACTAATGTTATGGTTTTTGCAGAAGAATAATCATAGAGGTTAATGTCCTTATCATTATATCATATTGGAGGCATATGATATCAACGTGACTTATCACTGGTGATGTGAACCTCTATCACTTGGTTAAGTGGTGTTCATCCCATTTCTTTACATAAAATGACTACTATTTCCTCTTTTTATACTCAGTGCTTTAGACGCAACACACTAAATTCAGCCCACATTCAAACGGGGAGGGGAATCAAACTCCGTCTCCTGAAGAAGGGATTATCTACTGTTATTTCAAATTATTCTGTAGGTAGATTTGTCCCTTCTCCCTTATTTATTTATTTATTTAGTACCAGTGTGGACTCATGAATATTTTATACTTCGGGTTGTAGTCTAATGCCACATTATTTGGGATTTTTTTGTCAATTTATTACAGCTTTGGCCATCGAGAACCCTTTCAGTTGGTTTATGTGTCCTTTTGATATACTCTCATCCTTTTGTTTTATGAGAATTTTCTGGCTCTCTAGCACTACAAGACGCTCCAAGTTCCTCTTGTATATTCACTGCCCCAGCTTTAAAATCAGCCATTTCTCTGAGGATTCCTGGTTCTTTTTATCGAAGAATGGAGTTAGAAATCAAGATCTGGGTGCTGGGTGTGATCATTGCTGCTGAAGTGTCACTGCTCCCAGAGCCTCTCAGTAGAGAGAACAAGAAAATATATATATGTACTCTAACCCACGTATATACACATTTCTATAATTATTTCTGCATCTGTCCATCTCTATATATATAATATATAATATATATATGCCAGATATATATATGAAATGAGAGGAGATATATATTATATAGATAGATATATATCTTCTATATAATATATAATATATATAATATATTTACATATATAATATATTTATATATATTATATATATAAATATACCATCTATCTATATATATATACTAGGGCAAGAACCTCGGGATACAGAAAGCCCTCTGTCCTTGTGATAAGGCAGAGGGTCTAATTGAGCTGATTAATACAAGCCACCTGCAGATAGCAAAACTGAAAGAGCACACTGTAACACACACCCACTGGTGCTTCGGGAGCTGTAAAATGTAAAACCTCAACCTTAGACGCCGTTGTGGGGTGAGAGCCCAAAAACACTCCCCGCGACCTGCCCTTCTGCATGCTCCGCCTAGGGGGTTGAGCGGTGAGACGCCAAAGAAGCAAGCCACACCCGTGTCACATACCCAGCGACGGGATAAGGAAAATCTCCTCCCATTTCATATATAAAGCTAATTGTGAGTTCATAGTGATATCTCTAACTCTAATCTGGTACTACAGAGTTCATTTCACCTTTATTCCTTGCTCATCTGGAATTTCCCTCTCTGACAGTGAGAATCCTCGTTCTCAACATGCATCATCAATTTACTTATTTATTCAACCCCAGACATACATGCAGGTTGAGAATTAGTGACCACAACCCCAATGAAAAATAAATTCAGCAACTAGACTTCAGTTTCTATGTACCATTACTTTTGTCTTCAGCTTTCAGTTTCCTTCAAAACAGCATTCGGCAAAGTTATTTATGCCAGCTTCTTTTCCCCCACCTGCTTCGGTGAGGTTATGTCAAACACTGTAATAAAGGCAGATTTAGTTGTCATAGTCTATATTCCATCTTGAGATCCCCTGATATCCTGCTGAATTTTTTTACTATGCATACATTAAAGTGTACTCTTTTTTTGACGTACAGTTCTATGAGTTTTGACAAGTGCGTTGAGTCATATATCCACTCAGTGTTTTCAGTAACATACAGATCAGTTCCACCATCCTAAAATTCTACAGATTTTTGTTGAGGGGGGGCTACTATGAGAAAACACTTGGAACAAAATCTGTTTTCCTTTAAATGCTTGGTTTTATGTGATGATGTTAAGGTCAGTTTATTTCCATATTTCCAAAAACATGTTTAAAACTTTTACAAATATCCTTACTCACCAATAGTTCCTAATTGCAAACTTTTAAAAAATATTTAAGTGTGACTATTAATTATCAATTATGTCTTTTTTAAAATTGTGTTATTTCATTTTTATTCAAAGATAATCTAGTTTTACATATGTAAAAAAATCTACTGTAAAGTGTTAATAAGGGTTACCTTTGAGTGATGAGATTATAGCTGATTTTGCTTTTGTGTGTGTGTGTGTGGTGTCTTTTCTATGCAAGTATAGGGTGGGGGCCGAAAGCTCAGATTCTGGAGTGGGAATATGTACTTGGCATTGTCCCTTGTGTGAGTCACCTCTGTGAGTTATTTATTTATTTATATATTTATTTATTTTTATTTATTTTTTATTTTTTATTATTATACTTAAGTTCTAGGGTACATGTGCACAACGTGCAGGATTGTTACATACGTATACATGTGCCATGTTGGTGTGCTGCACCCATTAACTCGTCATTTGCATTAGGTATATCTCCTAATGCTATCTCTGCCCCCTCCCCCCACCCCACAACAGGGCCCGGTGTGTGATGTTCCCCTTCCTGTGTCCAAGTGTTCTCATTGTTCAATTCCCATATATGAGTGAGAACATGTGGTGTTTGGTTTTTTGTCCTTGTGATAGTTTGCTGAGAATGATGGTTTCCAGCTTTATCCATGTCCCTACAAAGGACATGAACTCATCCTTTTTTAGGGCTGCATAGTATTCCATGGTGTAAATGTGCCACATTTTCTTAATCCAGTCTATCATTGATGGACATTTGGGTTGGTTTCAACTCTTTGCTATTGTGAATAGTACCACAATAAACATACATGTGCATGTGTCTTTATAGCAGCATGATTTATAATCCTTTGGGTATATACCCAGTAATGGGATGGCTGGGTCAAATGGTAATTTTAGTTCTAGATCCTTGATGGATCGCCACACTGTCTTCCACAATGGTTGAACTAGTTTACAGTGCCACCAACAGTGTAAAAGTGTTCCTATTTCTCCACATCCTCTCCAGCACCTGTTGTTTCCTGACTTTTTAATGATCGCCATTCTAACTGGTGTGAGATGGTATCTCATTGTGATAAAGGCAGATTTAGTTGTCATAGTCTATATTTGATTTGCATTTCTCTGACGGCCAGTGATGATGAGCATTTTTTCATGTGTCTGTTGGCTGCATATAAATGTCTTCTTTTGAGAAGTGTCTGTTCATATTCTTTGCCCACTTTGTGATGGGGTTGTTTGTTTTTTTCTTGTAAATTTGTTTGAGTTCTTTGTAGATTCTGGATATTAGCCATTTTTCAGATGAGTAGATTGCAAAAAATTTCTCCAATTCTGTAGGTTGCCTGTTCACTCTGATGGTAGTTTCTTTTGCTGTGCAGAAGCTCTTTAGTTTAATTAGATCCCATTTGTCAATTTTGGCTTTTGTTGCCATTGCTTTTGGTGTTTTAGACATGAAGTCCTTGCCCATGCCTATGTCCTGAATGGTATTGCCTAGGTTTTCTTCTAGGGTTTTTATGGTTTTAGGTCTAACATTTAAGTCGTTAATCCATCTTGAATTAATTTTTGTATAAGGTGTAAGGAAGGGATCCAGTTTCAGCTTTCTACCTATGGCTAGCCAGTTTTCCCAGCACCATTTATTAAATAGGGAATCCTTTCCCCATTTCTTGTTTTTGTCAGGTTTGTCAGAGATCAGATGGTTGTAGATGTGTGGTATTATTTCTGAGGGCTCTGTTCTGTTCCATTGGTCTATATTTCTGTTTTGTTACCAGTACCATGCTGTTTTGGTTACTGTAGCCTTGTACTATAGTTTGAAGTCAGGTAGCGTGATGCCTCCAGCTTTGTTCTTTTGGCTTAGGATTGTCTTGGCAATGCGGGCTCTTTTTCAGTTCCATATGAACTTTAAAGTAGTTTTTTCCAATTCTGTGAAGAAAGTCATTGGTAGCTTGAGGGGATGGCATTGAATCTATACATTACCTTGGGCAGTATGGCCATTTTCACAATATTGATTCTTCCTATCCATGAGCATAGAATGTTCTTCCATTTGTTTGTGTCCTCTTTTATTTCATTGAGCAGTGGTTTGTAGTTCTCCTTGAAGAGGTCCTTCACATCCCTTGTAAGTTGGATTCCTAGGTATTTTATTCTCTTTGAAGCAATTGTGAATGGGAGTTAACTCATGGTTTGGCTCTCTGTTTGTCTGTTATTGGTGTATAAGAATGCTTGTGATTTTTGTACATTGATTTTGTATCCTGAGACTTTGCTGAAGTTGCTTATCAGCTTAAGGAGATTTTGGGCTGAGACAATGGGGTTTTCTAAATATACAATCATGTCATCTGCAAACAGGGACAATTTGACTTCCTCTTTTCCTAATTGAATACCCTTTATTTCTTTCTGCTGCCTGATTGCCCTGGCCAGAACTTCCAACAGTATGTTGAATAGGAGTGGTAAGAGAGGGCATCCCTGTCTTGTGCCAGTTTTCAAAGGGAATGTTTCCAGTTTTTGCCCATTCAGAATGATATTGGCTGTGGGTATGTCATAAATAGCTCTTATTATTTTGAGATACATCCCATCAATACCTAATTTATTGAGAGTTTTTAGCATGAAAGGCTGTCGAATATTGTCAAAGGCTTTTTCTCCATCTATTGAGATAACCATGTGGTTTTTTTCTTTGGTTCTGTTTATATGCTGGATTACGTTTATTGATTTGCATATATTGAACCAGCCTTGCATCCCAGGGATGAAGCCCACTTGATCATGGTGGATAAGCTTTTTGATGTGCTGCTGGATTTGGTTTGCCAGTATTTTATTATGGATTTTTGCATTGATGTTCATCAGAGATATTGGTCTAAAATTCTCTTTTTTTGTTGTGACTCTGCCAGGCTTTGGTATCAGGATGATGCTGGCCTCATAAAATGAGTTAGGGAGGATTCCCTCTTTTTCTATTGATTGGAATAGTTTCAGAAGGAATGGTACCAGCTCCTCTTTGTACCTCTGGTAGAATTCGGCTGTGAATCCATCTGGTCCTGGACTTTCTTTGGTTGGTAGGCTATTAATTATTGCCTCAATTTCAGATCCTGTTATTGGTATATTCAGAGATTCAACTTCTTCCTGGTTTAGTCTTGGGAGGGTGTATATGTCCAGGAATTTATCCATTTCTTCTAGATTTTCTAGTTTATTTGCATAGAGGTGTTTATAGTATTCTCTGATGGTAGTTTGTATTTCTGTGGGATTGGTGGTGATATCCCCTTTATCATTTTTTATTGCATCTATTTGATTCTTCTCTCTTTTCTTCTTTATTAGTCTTGCTAGTGGTCTATCAATTTTGTTGATCTTTTCAAAAAACCAGCTCCTGGATTCATTGATTTTTTGAAGGGTTTTTTGTGTCTCTATTTCCTTCAGTTCTGCTCTGATCTTAGTTATTTCTTGCCTTCTGCTAGCTTTTGAATGTGTTTGCTCTTGCTTCTCTAGTTATTTTAATTGTGATATTAGGGTGTCAATTTTAGATCTTTCCTGCTTTCTCTTGTGGGCATTTAGTGCTATAAATTTCCCTCTACACACTGCTTTAAATGTGTCCCAGAGATTCTGGTATGTCGTGTCTTTTTTCTCATTGGTTTCAAAGAACATCTTTATTTCTGCCGTCATTTTGTTATGTACCCAGTAGTCATTCAGGAGCAGGTTGTTCAGTTTCCATGTAGTTGAGTGATTTTGAGTGAGTTTCTTAATCCTGAGTTCTAGTTTGATTGCACTGTGGTCTGAGAGACAGTTTGTTATAATTTCTGTTCTTTTACATTTACTGAGGAGAGCTTTACTTCCAACTATGTGGTCAGTTTTGGAATAAGTGCAATGTGGTGCTGAGAAGAATGTCTATTCCATTGATTTGGTGTGGAGAGTTCTGTAGACGTCTATTAAGTTGGCTTGGTGCAGAGCTGAATTCAATTCCTGGATATCCTTGTTAACTGTTTGTCTCATTGATGTGTCTAATGTTGGCAGTGGGGTGTCAAAGTCTCCCATTATTATTGTGTGGGAGTCTAGGTCTCTTTGAAGGTCTCTAAGGACTTGCTTTATGAATCTGGGTCCTCCTGTATTGGGTGCATATATATTTATGATAGTTAGCTCTTCTTGTTGAATTGATCCCTTTACCATTATGTAATGGCTTTCTTTGTCTCTTTTGATCTTTGTTGGTTTAAAGTCTGTTTTATCAGAGACTAGGATTGCAACCCCTGCCTTTTTGTTTTGTTTTGTTTTCCATTTGCTTGATAGATCTTCCTCCATCCATTTATTTTGAGCCTATGTGTGTCTCTGCACATGAGATGGGTCTCCTGAATGCAGCACACTGATGGGTCTTGAATCTTTATCCAATTTGCCAGTCTGTATCTTTTAATTGGAGCATTTAGCCTATTTACATTTAAGGTTAATATTGATATGTGTGAATTTGATCTTGTCATTATGATGTTAGCTGGTTATTTTGCTCGTTAGTTGATGCAGTTTCTTCCTAGCGTCGATGGTCTTTACAATTTGTCATGCTTTTGCAGTGACTTGTACCAGTTGTTCCTTTCCATGTTTAGTGCTTCCTTCAGGAGCTCTTGTAGGGCAGGCCTGGTGGTGACAAAATCTCTCCACATTTGCTTGTTTGTAAAGGATTTTATTTCTCCTTCGCTTATGAAGCTTAGTTTGTCTGGATATGAAATTCTGGGTTGAAAATTCTTTTCTTTAAGAATGTTGAATATTGGTCCCCACTCTCTTCTGGCTTGCAGAGTTTCTGCCGAGAGATCCGCTGTTAGTCTGATGGGCTTCCCTTTGTGGGTAACCCAACCTTTCTCTCTGGCTACCCTTAACATTTTTTCCTTCATTTCAGCTTTGGTGAATCTGACAATTATGTGTCTTGGAGTTGCTCTTCTCAAGGAGTATCTTTGTGGCCTTCTCTGTATTTCCCGAATTTTGAGTGTTGGCCTGCCTTGCTAGGTTTGGGAAGTTCTCCTTGATAATACCCTGCAGAGTGTTTTCCAACTTGGTTCCATTCTCCCCGTCACTTTCAGGTACACCAATCAGATGTAGATTTGGTGTTTTCACATAGTCCCATATTTCTTGGAGGCTTTGTTCATTTCTTTTTACTCTTTTTTCTCTGAACTTCTCTTCTTGCTTCATTTCATTCATTTGATCTTCAGTCCTGATACCCTTTCTTCCAGTTGATCGAATTGGCTACTGAAGCTTTTGCATTCATCACATAGTTCTCGTGCCATGGTTTTTAGCTCCATCAGGTCATTTAAGGACTTCTCTACACTGGTTATTCTAGTTAGCCATTCGTCTAATCTTTTTTCAAGGTTTTTAACTTCTTTGCGATGGGTTCGAACTTCCTCCTTTAGCTCGGAGAGGTTTGATCATCTGAAGCCTTCTTCTCTCAACTCGTCAAAGTCATTCTCCATCCAGCTTTGTTCTGTTGCTGGCGAGGAGCTGCATTCCTTTGGAGGGGGAGAGGCGCTCTGATTTTTAGAATTTTCAGCTTTTCTGCTCTGGTTTTTCACCATCTTTGTAGTTTTATCTACCTTTGGGTCTTTGATGATGGTGACGTACAGATGGGGTTTTGGTGTGGATGTCCTTTCTGTTTGTTAGTTTTCCTGCTAACAGTCAGGACCCTCAGCTGCAGGTCTGTTGGAGTTTGCTGGAGGTCCACCCCAGACACTGTTTGCCTGGGTATCAGCAGTGGAGGCTGCGGAACAGCAAATGTTGCTGCCTGATCGCTCCTCTGGAAGCTTCATCTCAAAGGGGTACTCAGCTGTGTGAGGTGTCAGTCTGTCCCTGCTGTGGTTGCCTCCCAGTTAGGCTATTCGGAGGTCAGGGACCCACTTGAGGAGGCAGTCTGTCCTTTCTCAGATCTGAAACTCCATGCTGTGAAAACCACTACACTCTTCAAAGCTGTCAGACAGGGACATTTAAGTCTGCAGAGGTTTCTGCTGTCTTTTGTTCGGCTATGCCCTGCCCCCGAAGTGGGGTCTACCAAGGCAGGCAGGCCTCCTTGAGCTGTGGTGGGCTCCACCCAGTTCAAGCGTCCTGGCTGCTTTGTTTATCTACTCAAGCCTCAGCAGTGGCAGGCGCCCCTCCCCTAGCCTCGCTGCTGACTTGCAGTTCGATCTCACACTGCTGTGCTAGCACCGAGCGAGGCTCTGTGGGTGTGGGACCCTCCTAGCCACGCACGGGATGTAATCTCCTGGTGTGCCGTTTGCTAAGACCACTGGAAAAGCACAGTATTAGGGTGGGAGTGACCAAATTTTCCAGGTGCCATCTGTCACAGCTTCCCTTGGCTAGGAAAGGGAATTCCCTGACCCCTTGCACTTCCCTGGTGAGGTGATGCCTTGCCCTGCTTTGGCTTACGCTCAGTGGGCTGCACCCACTGTCATGCACCCACTGTCTGACAAGCCCCAGTGAGATGAACCCAGTACCTCAGTTGGAAATGCAGAAATCACCCGTCTTCTGTGTCACTCATGCTGGGAGCTGTAGACTGGAGCTGTTCCTATTCGGCCATCTTGAAACCCTATTTCCAATTATAAGTCTTAACAGAGTAACACTGAAGGCCCAAATACTGTGTCTTAACTTGGTAACTCTCACTACAAAAAAGAGGAGCTTGTCTACAGGATGCAAGCTCTTAATGGTTACCTATCATGAATCTCAGTCCCTCACAGTGTTTGTTATACCACTATCTAGCAAAGAAATATATATTCAGCGTTCCATTAAGACGTGAGATCTAATTTTGAAAATTCAACCCTCTCATTTTACTGTTGAGATTAAGATTGAGAAAATTTAAGATAGTGAAGTTCCTAGAAGTCAATCAGAGGATGGCTAAGATTCAGTCTATTGTGAATTTATTGCATTATGCTTTTGGCTCACAACATGGTAAAATAAGCACTGCTGACAGTCACTGTTGGACTTTGACAAATATTCAAAAGTTTTTTGGCCTACCGTTTAGCAATTATGCTCCATTATATATTTTTTTTCATCTCTATTCTTTTCCACACCTGTCCCCTTAAGAAATGGCTGCCTGAAGATTTCTTTTTAAAAGTATAGTTTGGCATCTCTCACAACTTTATGCAGATAAATACTGTGCATAATTAGGAGACAATTATAATATTTCATAAAGGTCATGAAGACCTACACAGCACTGTCCTGTAGACAACCCACATTGGATGAAAATAATTGGTGTTGAAAAATTAAAGCTAAAGGGGCAGCTTCGCCTGCTTATTGAACTGATGGAATTGTTAGTTTTGCCCAGTATCTCATAGCTGTCTGGTGGTTGTATTCTATTGCTTTCTTCTGTGTGCTAATAGGAAACATACATGCATAAATTAAAACCATAACAATTACTTCGTTTTCTAGAACCTAAAATGCATATCTCAGAGATATTGCACGTTCAGTTCCACACCACTGCAGTAAAGTGAATATCACAATTAAGTGAGTCACACCATTTTTTTGCTTCCCAGTTCATATGCATGTTATGTTTATACTATACTGTAGTCTATGAACTGGGCAATAGCATTATGTCTTAAAAATAATGTACATACCTTAATTAACAGTATTTATTAATAAAAATGCTAAAGATCATCTGAGCCCTCAGAAAGTCATAATCTTTTTGGTGGTGGATGGTCTTGCTTTGTTGTTGATGACTGCTGACTGATCAGGATGGTGGTTGCTGAAGATGGGAGTGGCTGTGGCAATTTCTTAAAATAAGACAACAATGAACTTTGCCACATGAATTGAATCTTCCTTTCCCAGAATATAGTGCTTTCAAAAAATGTGATGCTGTTTGATAGTATTTTACCCACAGTAGAACTTCTTTCAAAATAGGCATCAATCTTAAACCCTGGCACTGCTTTATCTGCTAAGTTTATGGAATATTCTAGATCCTTCATGTTCATTACAACAATGTTCACAACGTCTTCGCCAGGAGTATATTCTGCCTCAAGAAACCATTTTCTTTGCTCATCCTTAAGAAATAATTCCCCATCTATTCAAGTTTTATCAAGAGACTGCAACAATATAGTCACATACACAGGCCCCACAATTAATTCTAGTTATCTTGCTGTTTCCACTACATCTGCAGTGACTTCCTCTACTGAAGTGTTGAACTCCTCATAGTCATCCATGAAGGCTGGAATCATCTTCTTCTAAACTCCTGTTAATGTTGCTATTTTGACCACCTTCCATGAATCATGAATGTTCTTAATGGCATCTGGAGTGGCAAATCCTTTCCAGAATAACTTCAATTTACTTTGCTCAGATCCATCAGAGAAATCTCTGTCTATGGCACCTATAGCCTTATGAGGCTTATGTCTTAAATAACAAGACTTGAAAGTTGAAATGGCTCCTTGACATAGGGGCTGCAGAATGGATGTTGTGTTAGTAAGCATGAAAACATTAATCTCCTTGCACATCCCTATCAGAGCTCTTGAGTGACCAGGTACATTGTCAATTATCAGTTTTATTTTGAAAGGAATCTTTTTTTCCTGAACAGTAGGTCTCAAAAGTGAGATAAAATTCTCAACAGTGAATAAACCATGCTGTAAACAGGTGTACTGTCATCCAGGCTTTGTCATTCCATTAACAGACCACAGGCAGAGTAGATTTATCATAATTATTAAGGGGCCTAGGAATTTTGGAATAGTAAATGAGCATTAGCTTTAACTTAAAGTCACTAGTTGCCTCAGCCTTTAATAACAGATACAGCCTGTCCTTTGAAGCTTTGAGGCCAGGCATTGTCTTCTATTATCTATCTATGGAAGTCCTAGATGGCATCTTTTAACAATACAAGGCTATTTTGTTTACACTGAAATCTGTTTAGGATAGTCACTTCCATCAAGGGTTGATATGGTTTGGATGTTTCTCCCCTACAAATCTGATGTTGAAATGTAATCCTCAGTGTTGGAGGTGAGGCCTGCGGCGAGGTATTCGGGTCATGAAGGAAGATCCTTCATGAATGATGGCTTAGTGACATCCCACTGGAGATGAGCGAGTTTTCCCTGTGAGTTCACATGATATCTGGTTGTTTAAACATGTGTGGCACCTCTCCCCTCTGTCTCTTGCTCCTGCTCTTGTCATGTGACATGCCTGCTCCCACTTTACCTTCTTCCATGAGTAAAAGTTTCCTGAGGCCTCACCATAAGCCCAGCAGATGCTGGCATCATGCTTGTACAGCCTGTAGACTAATGAGCCAATTAAATGTCATTTCTTTATAAATAATCCAGCCTCAGGTATTTCTTTATAGTGACATAATGGACTAACACAGAAAATTGTACTGAGGGCGTGGTGGCTCATGCCTGTAATCCCAGCACTTTGGGAAGCTGAGGGGGGCAGATCAAGAGTTCGAGACCAGCCTGGGCAACATGGTGAAACGCATCTCTACTAAAAATACAAAAATTAGCTGGACATGTGGCACATGCCCATAATCCCAGCTACTTGGGAGACTGAAGCAGGAGAATCGCTTGAACGTGGGAGGTGGAGGTTGCAGTGAGCCGAGATTGCGCCACTGCACTCCAGCCTGGGCAACAGTGAGAGAAGAAAGAAAGAAGGAAGGAGGGAAGGAAGGAAGGAAGGAAGGAAAAGAGAAAATTGTACTGAGAAATGGGACATTGCTACAAAGATACCTGAAAATGCAGAAGTGGTTTTGGAACTGGGTAATGGGAAGAGGTTGGAAGAGTTTGGAGGGCTCAGAAGAAGGCAGGAAGATGAGAGAAAGTTTGGAACTTGTTAAAGACTGTGGTTGTAATGCTGATAGAATTATGGACAGTGAAGGCCATGCTGATGAGGTCTCGTTTGGGAATGTGGAAGTTATTGAGAACTGCAGTAAAAGGTAAATCCTGTTACACCCTAGCAGAGAACTTGGCTGCATTATGTTCATGTCCTAGAGATCTGTGGAAGTTTGAACTTAAAAGCGATGACTTACCATATCTGGCAGAAGAAGTTTCTAAGCAGCAAAGTGTTCAAGAAGCCTGTTAGAAGACTGGATGCTTTTAAAAAGCTAAATCAGATGTAGGAGCAAAGGAATGACTTAACACTAGAACTTGTATTTAAAAGGGAAGCAGAGCATAAAAGTTAGGAAAACTCACAGCCTGGCCCTGTGGTAGAGAAAGAATCCAGGCAGGCTGCAGAGCAACCACTTCCTAGACACAGTAGCATGACTAAAAGGCAGCCAAGTACTAATATCCAAGACAATGGGAAAAAGGCCTTGAAGGCATTTCAGAAGTTTTTAAGACAGCCTCTCTCATCACAGGCCCAGAGTCCTAGGAGGAAAGAATTGTTTCAGGTACCAGTCCCAGTGTGTTACTGCCCTACTCAGCCTCAGGAAACTGCTCCTCACATCTTGGCTGCTCTGGCTCCAGTCTTGGCTCAAAGGGGCTCAGGCACAGCTCAGGCCACAACTCTGGATGGTGCAAGCCATAAGCCTTGGCAGTGTCTACGTGGTGTCAAGTCGGTGCATGGAATGCAAGAGTGAAGGAGGTTTGGAATCTTTCCCCTAGATTTCAGAGGATGTATGAGGAAGCCTAGGTGCCCAGGAAGAAGCCTTCCACAGAGGCAGAACCCTCACAGGGAGACTCTACTAGGAAAGTGCAGAAAGGAAATGTGGAGTTGGAGTCCCCACAAAGAGTTCTCCCCACCAGTGCACTGCCTAGTGAAGCTGTGAAAAGGGGGCTGCTGCCCTCCAGACTCCAGAATGGCATAGCCATGGGCAGCTTGCATCCTGAGCCTGGAAAAGTTACAGGTACTCAACTCCAACCCGTGATAGCAGTCACAGGGGCTGCAACCTGCAAAGCCACAGGGATAGGGCTGCCCAAGGCCTTAGGAATCCAACCCTTGCCCCAGTATGCCCTGGATATGGGACATGGAGTCAAGGAGATTATTTTGGAGCTTTAAGATTTAATGCCGATCCTGCTGGGTTTCAGACTTGCATGGGGCCTATAGCCTTTTTCTTTTGGCCAGTTTCTTACTTTCAGAATGGTAGTGTTTATCCAATGCCTGTACCACCATTGTATCTTGTGAATAAATAACTTGTTTTGATTTTATAGGCTCATAGGTGGAAGATGAGTCTCAGATGAAACTTAAGACTTTGACCTTGATGCTGGAATGAGTTAAGACTTTTGGAGACTATTGGCAGGGCGTAATGGTGTTTTTCAATGTGAGAAGAACATGAGACTTGGGGGACAAGAAGTGGAATTACATGATTTGAAGATTTATCTCCTCTAACTCTTATTTTGAAATGCAATCCTCAGTGTTGGAGGTGGGGCCTGGTGGGTGGTGTTTGGATCATGGGGGAAGATCACTCATGAATGGTTTAGCGCCATCCCCTTGGTGATGAGTGAGTTTTCACTCTGAGTTCACATGAGATCTGGTTGTTCTGGTTGTTTAAAAGTATGTTCCCCCCACCCCCTGCCACCTTGTTCCCCTTTTCGCCATGTGATGTGCCTTCTCTGGCTTCACCTTCTGACGCTAGTAAAAGCTCCATGAGACCTCACCAGGAGCTGAGCAGATGAGACAGTGCCATGCTCTTACAGCCTGAAGAGCCATGAGCTAATAAAACCTTTCTTTACAAATTACCCATCCTCACATACTTCTTTATAGCAATGCAACATACAAACACAATGGTTTTAGCTATATTTTCTGGATAACTTGCTGCAGCACTTGTTGCTTTACTTTGAACTTTTATGTTATGGAGATGCCTTCTTTCCTTACACATAATGAACCAACCTCTGCTAGCTTCATAATTTTCTTCTGCAGCTTGCTTACCTCTCTCAGCCTTCATAGAACTGAAGAAAGTTAAGGCCTGCCTGACTCTGGATTAGGTTTTGGCTTAAGGGAATGTTGTGGTCGGTTTGATCTTCTATGCAAATCACTCAAACCTTCTGCATATCAGCAATAAGGCTGTTTCAGTTTCTTATCATTTATGTGCTCACTGGAGTAGTACTTTTAATTTCCTTCAGAAACTTTTCCTTTTCATTTACAACTTAGCCAACTATTTGGCACAAGATGCCTAGCTTTTGGCCTATCTCAGGTTTTTTGATGCTTTCCTCACTAAGCTTAAATCATTTCTAGCTTTTGATTTAAAGCGAGAAACGTATGACTCTTCCTTTCACTTGAACACTTAGAGGCCATTGTTGGGTTATTGACTGGCCTAATTTCCATAGTCTTGTGTCTTAGGGAAAAGGGAGGCCATAATAGAGGGAGACGGACACAGGAATGGCTGATCGGTGGGGCACTGAGAACACACACAACATTGATTAAGTTCATCATGTTATAATGGGCACAGTTCATGGTGTGCCAAAACAATTACTATGGTGACATCAAATATCACCAATCACATCTTGCCTGTAATCCCAGTTGCTCAGGAGGATCACTTGAGGCCAGGAGTTCCAGAACAGCCTGGGCAACACAGCGAGACCCCACCTCTAACAAAATTGTGTAAAAAATAGGCTAGCCAGGTGTAGTGGTTCAGGCCTATAGTCCCTCCTACCTGGGAGGCTGGGGTGGGAGGATCCCTTGAACCCAGGAGGCTGCAGTGAGCTATGATTGCACGATTGCGCTCCAGCCTGGGTAACAGAACCAGACTGTCTAAGAAAAAAAAGAAAAGATCATCAATTACAAATCACCATAACAGATAAAATTATAAGGAACATTTGAAGTATGGCAAGAATTACCAAAATGTGGCAGAGGCATGAAGTAACCACATGCTGTTGGAAAAATGATGCTGATAGACTTGCTTATTGCAGAGTTGCCAAAAAACTTCAATTTGTAAACAAAACAAAAGCAATATCTGCAAAGCACAATAAAGTGAAGTGCAATAAAACAAAGTATGCCTATACTACATCAGATTCATTGAGAGAGACAGAGACAGGGAGAGAGAGAGAGTGAGGGAGAGAGGAAGCCAAGGAGGATGACTAAGAGGAAGTTGCCCCCCGGCCAGGACTAGGATGAGGTGTAGAGGCTGTGTCCCCCATCTCCAGGGCTGGGCTGAGGACTGGGCGCTCCTGCAGCAAAGCCAGCCTTGCCAAATAATGTCTCTATGAGACCAGAGGACTTTCTTTTCTTCCAGGCAGGTTTGGATTTGGGGTGGATTTTAGTTTTGTTTCTCTCCTCTCTTCTTTTTTAGTGATGTTTTATCTTTGTTATTTTTATTTTATTTTTTGAGACGGAGTCTTGCTCTGGAGTCGCCCAGGCTGGAGCGCAGTGTGGCGATCTCGGCTCACTGCAACCTCTGCCACCCAGGTTCAAGCGATTCTCCTGCCTAAGCCTCCCAAGTAGCTGGGATTACAGGCACGTGCCACCACGCCCAGCTAATTTTTTGTGTGTTTTTAGTAGAGACGGCGTTTCCAGCATCTTGGCCAGGCTGGTCTTGAACTCCTGACCTCGTGATCCACCTGTCTTGGCCTCCCAAAGTGATGGGATTACAGGCATGAGCCACTGCGCCCGGCCAGTGATGTTTTATCTTTGATTCACTTTTAGCCCTCACCCCTGGTTGTCATCTTTCTTGATCAACATCTTTTCCCGATTCTCTCCCCTTCTCTACCCAGATCTCTTAGCTACCCTCCAACCCAGGGAGCAGCAGTGTAGACAGGAAGCCACAGGCCTGAGACTCCATCTGCTCTCCTTCCTAGAACCTGGAGCAGGCCAGGAGAAGGAGGTGGTGTTCTCCAGCTCCCCAGCACTGAGGAAGAATGGGATTCTTACCATGTCATCCTTCCCTTTCTCTCCTGCTCCCAGGACTGGGCCACTTCTGAGTGATTCAGCGGGTCTCAGCTCAGCTCACACTGAGAATATAAGAGTGTGTGTGTGTGTGTGTGTGTGTGCGCGTGTGTGTGTGTGTGTGTGTGTGTGTGTATCAACTTCAACTTCTCCCTTTAGGACCCATAATTCCTCCAGATGGCAAATATCCAAGTTTAAGTAACCAGGGGATTTATTCAGTCCAAAGTATGTGGGGGAGGTTGCATCAGTCAGGGTTCAATCAGAGAAACAAACACTCTGATTGAACAAATATAAGATGATACACACATAGGGGTGATACACACATAAGAAGGGACTTATAATAGGGTCCAGGCCTTATTGAATTGTGGAAACCGCTTAATCAGTCTCAGCGAGGCTTTTGTCTTTGCATCATATGCTGGAACCTGAAGACAGCAGGGAAGTCAGGAAGAGGAGATGATGCACAGTAGAGGAAGCAAGGATAAATGGAATCCATGAGGAATATCTGGGGCTCACAAGGACTGACTGGGACCCATGTTGATCTTTCACTGCCTCCAAACCTCCAATTTCAATGACATGAATGTCCTGCCAAAAAAAAAGTGGGCGTTCTTTTTTATGGAGCTGGTGAAGAAGGAGGAAGATATGAGGGAGAACTGGAGCAATTGTGGGCCCAGCTGCTGCCCCACACCAAGGTAAGTCAGGATATAAGCAAAAATATTCATGAGCTGAGGCAGCACCTTTCTGAGCATAAAACAAATGTGGCTACTACTTTACCTTTGCCTCCCAAATCTTTTACCAAATGCCTCTGGTAGCACAAGCAATCTCAGAACCATTCAGGGAACTCTGAGTAAAGTTTTAGTTTAGTTAAGTGAGCAGGATATAAATCCCCCAGAGGCAGACCTTCTAAACAGCAGGTGGAAAAAGAACTGCGTAATTTATCTGCTTTCACTTTTGCTCACACTGTCACTTGAAATCCCAAATGATTTTTTAAAAATGTTTTGTTAATATTATTGCTGGTATGTATCCCATGAAGTTATACGGGGTGTCCCAAACTTGGAATTCTAGTTTATAACACTCTTCTTACTGCCCATAAATTCTCTTTTGGGACTCTTAAGATCCTTTCCTGACAGCAGACCTTGGTAGGGGCTTCTTGAGGCTCCCAGACCCCCGGGCAGTTGTCCATAACTTTGGATCTCAGTGAGCAGGAACTTCAGTCATTACGTTCCTTTCTAAATTCTAATCTCATTATGCAAATTACTCTACATTTTCCCCAAAACACAGAGATAATACTCATTTTGAGAAGTATTATCAAAGAAAAGCCATTGTCAGGACACAGGATGTTTCATTACATCCTTCTTTCCCAAAAGTCTGCAAAGAATGGTGTGGTATAGTTCATGGGTGTTGGGGGCAAGGTGATCTTCTGAATTCATTCACACAAATAACACATATAAAATAAAAACAAATATTTTTATTGAGCAGTAATTGGACATCCAGTACCCTTATTTAATTTATATTAAATGAGGCATAAAACAATTTTTAAAGCAATTTAAACAGCAGAGAGAATTTTAAGCAATGTGAGGATGTCAAATAGGATTTTTCTACCAATTACACCAAATGGTTATGTGTAAGTATAAACAATCTTTATTGCAACTTGTTCTTAAAAGTTAATTAGAATGCGTTTTCAAATATGAGAGATTTTTATATCAGTAAGCTGGCATTTATAGGACATGCTTGTCCCAGGAGGACTTCCTGGAAGGTAACCCTGTGGGAGTTCCCAACCTTAAAACTTCAAGAAAACTTAATGCACAGAGTAAACAATGTCATGTGATCAAATTTAATTTAGTTCTTACCAGCTACAGTGTACTCAAATTTTTCAAAATTATTAATATATGGATTCAGAAAATGTAGGCAATCCCACGTTATTTATTCTAAGGAGATGAATTATCTGGTTAGGAATTAATCTACATAGTACCTCTCCTCTTTTCCTTTTCTGAGACTGTGTCTGCGTATGGCCAAGTGTTAAGAATTAATCTACACACTACTTCTCTTTTCCTTTTCTGAGACTGTGTGTGTGCGGCCAAGTGTCAGTATCGACAGAACAAAACTGTAGTTTGTCTTATTTTCTAAAGAAGAAACACATTTCTGAAATTTTCAGGTCAACTGAGGAACTCGATCTTCAGAAAAAATTGTTAAAGATGAAAAAAAGTAAAAAGGTAACCGTTTTCAGACTGTCAGATTTGAGTAGATGCATCTAATAAGGGTATTAATTCTTTCAGCAAAATTCAGAAAATTTAGAGGTCAACTATAAGGGAACAAAGGAAAAGAGGCATAAATAAGTTGTGTATGCACTCATGTAAGAATAAGGGGTAACAAAAGAGGCGTAAAGAAACCAAGAGGAAAGGAATGAGAGAAAGAATGTGTGGAAGAAAGAAAGGAAAGTAGAGAGGAAGGAATGGAAGAGACGGTTTTCAGCATATATTATGGAAAATAGAAGACAAAAAGCAAATCTATTAATCTATTGACAATTCTAAATTAGTCAAACTGAATTTTAAAGTCCAGTGTACTTAGGTGGCATGTAGCTGGACTGGATATGAGGCCTTCAGGATGGCATGCACTGCACTCGGTCTTGGACCTCCTCCTCAGATGTCTCTGAAGTGCTGGAAGACTCATCCGATTCTTCATCTGGAAATTCAGCTTCACCACTTCTCCAGTCCTGGTGACGACCTCTCTGCGTCACGTGACGCAGGAGGAACCAAAGCATGTACTGGTCAAACAGGCTGCCATGGTGCAAGCTGTCTTCATCTCGTTCCCACTTGTTCTTCTTAATCACCTTCTTTAACCCAGTAAGCTCAGTGGCAGCTTTAGCTGTGGGTGTCCAGATCTTGACATCATGATCTAGGCCACTGCACGCCAACACAGGTAGGTAAGGGTGGGGTTCAAGACAGTTTATTGTACCTTCTCTGCTCCCCTTTAGGAACTGGATGATTTGGCAGGATGATTTCTCCCAGAAGAAGATGTGCCCGCAATCACTACCGCTCACTACAAACTCACTCCTGGGGCCATAGAAATTAACACCTTTGACTGTGGTATTATTTCTGTGTCCCTTAAATCTCTTACTGTATTGAGCACCATCACTGTGAGAGGAGTTGAAGAGGTAAATATCGTCATCATTGTAGCTGGCTAGCAGCTCTGTGCCATCGTGGCTGTACACAACGCAGGTGATGTTTGTTGGGAAATCACAATTAACCAGATGATGAGGAGTGAATTTCTTGAGCACGCCATTGTTTTCTTTCTTATCAATTTTCCTCTGGTCATAAATCCTTACAAACTGATCTTGTCCACCCACTGCAAATTGGTAGGTATTGGCGGGATTCACAGTAATTGTATACAGTCCCACTTTCTTATCATTTTCTCTTGTTACCACAACTTTTGAAGCTGGCCGGTCTTGTCTGAGGTCAATGGTGAAGACAACAGCATCTTCACCTGAAGTGAGGAACTTATAAGGAGAGTCAGGCTCCAGAGCCAACTTGTGGGCAGGTCCCCTGTGCTGGGCCACACACTTAGTATTGTTGAAATATGATGCATTAATTAACTCTGCTACCCGTACCTGCCCATCACGGGCACACATGGCCAGAGTGGAATCACCACAGTTAGGAAGGAACTTGGCCTGGAAGACATTATTTGTGTGACCACTTTCAAAGTTCAGTACTGGCCTCTGCCGCACCCAGTCCCACACTATCACCTTTAGGTCATCACCGCTACTGGCCAGCCGGGTGCCACGCTGGTTAAAGTGTACAGTATTGACACAGCCGACATGGTCTGCAAGACGATATTGCAGGCGGAAACGCTGCACAAAGGCTCTTGCCCCACAGGCCTCATATACAAAGCGGGGACGTGAACCCAGCTGCCGCTGGTGAAGAGCAGTAACGACCTGCCAGCGAGGTCGGGGCAGGGCAGATGTCTCTGAGGAAACCCACTCCTCCAGCGCCTGATCCTCCTCTAACGAATACTGCTCATGGTTGCCGCCACTGCCTTGTGGACCCGCCCGAGGCTGTTCTTCTTCCTCCTCCTCCTCCTCCTCCTCCTCCTCCTCCTCCTCCTCCTCCTCTTCCTCCTCCTCCCCTCCCTCCTCTTGTATCTCTTCGTCTTCCTCCTCCCTTTCTGTCTCCTCCTCTCCCACTAAAGGGTAATGGAATAAACTTTCACCACTCATGAGGAAATGCTCAAAGTCCTCCAAGCTCTCAAGTTCGATGTCTTCACTTGCGCTTTCTTGGTCTGAGCTTCGATTTTCTGTGCTGGCATCGTTGGGGAATCCACCATCCCTGCTATCACTGCCATCTCCGGTCACTGTCACACTCAGCTCTGAGGTCGCTATGTCAATGTCTGAGGAGGCCTCTGTCGCCGCCACGGCTCCAGACTGCTCCTCTGGGCTGCTGAACAGGCTTTCAGTCCCTAAGTCTGGTAAGCCGTCTGTGCTGCCTTCTTGGTGGGACATCTTGAACGATGTTTGCTGTAGTAGATCTGGAACTGCAAAGGCCAGGCCCCTAAAAGCTCTGGGAAGAAAGTTGGCCTGCGGTTAGGACTGATGGTAGTGAAGGAAGTAAGCGCGTGGCAATCAAACAGCAATCTGATTGGCTAAAGGAGACTAAATAAACTATTCTGCCAAGGCAGTTGCCAGTATGGGATCCCATGAGGTTCAAAAAGCTTCTTACCTGCTCGCCGCCTCGCAGCATCCAGACTGCTCTAGTTTTTCCAGGCCCAGAGCCCCACCCCGACAGGCATCTTACACTGTGAGTAGCTGCGGGTTTTTGAAGATCGAAACTTGCTGCACCTTGGAAAATGTTCTTATTAGAGAACCATGAGCAAAAGTGATCCTCCTTAAGCAAAATAGTTTTTAGAAGCCTCTCAGTGTTTTGCTTGAAGGTAATGTACTCTATAAAATGAAGATGTAGGCAAGAACAGTGAAAAGTCAGCTAAGTGTCCCATAGCTAGTGACTTTTTGACATACAAGAAATATCTTAAATCGAACAGCTTAAGGGAAACCTTGAGTGCTCTAACTAGTAGAATCGATATAGGGTTGCCAGATAAAATACGGTATGCATAGTTAATTGCATTTCAGATAAAGGATGAATACTTTTTTTAGTATGAGTAGATCTCAAATGTTACATTAGATATATTGCCACTAAAATTTTATTTATTATTTATCTGAAATTCAAATTTAACATGGTGTCCTCTATTTTTATTTGTTAAATCTGGCAGGCTCCTTTAGTGAGAAGAATTTAGACCCTCAGTGTAATGAAGGCTGAAATCAACTGATCAATTGAAAGTGGACACTGAAATGAGTAATTGCTTCACCTATTTGAGATAGAAGTAGTACTTCCTTTTTTCTTATTCCACCAGAGTTCCTATATATTTATTTAGAGTTAATTCAATTTAAGATACTTAGGGAACACCAACACAATTTTGTGAAAAAAGGAAATTATGTGATGTCATAGAACTATAAAGTCTTTTACATATCACCCAGAACATGTCCGAGGCTTCTGTGGGGCCTCTAAGGAACAGAAAACAGCTCTACAGAGACAGTTAATTGGCATTACTGTGTTAATTTAATAGTTTCTCTGAATGAATTATCTAAGGTGATATCAGCATATTTTCAAAGGGCTACAGTAAACTGCTAACTAAGAAGGCCAGAATGAGGAAAACAAAGTTTCCCTCAGAATAATTGCAAGATAAATGCAAAATTGATTAAAAATAGAAGTATACAGTCTTCTAAAGAAAATGGATGGTTCCAAGGCCAATAGTAACAGAAAGATATGTAAACAGTATTCATAGCAACTTGTAAAGTCTAGCGCAGCAAACTGAAAACCACTGAAAAGCCCATCAAGAATAACATGGATAAATAATGGAATAATGTATGGAAGTGAGAATGACTAGACTAGAATTAAATACATGAGCACGGATGAATCTTTAACACAATGATGAGTGAAAACACAATTAACAAGGATAGTCAATAATTTCAATTTTTTGCAAGTCTATATTGTTTTCATATAAAATAACATCATTTAAAAAGGCAAGGAAGTAATTGATTCACAACTCAGGATAATGATTAAATTTCAAAAAGAGAAGAAGGTTGAAATCTGAGAAAGATGTAACTTCAAAAATTCTTGGCAATATTTATATCTTATCCTGAGTATAGGTGTCCAGTTATTCTTTTTATTATTTATTGCTAGGCATATACATTTTATGTGTATGATATATTGCATAGTAATTCTTTAAAAGAATTCATGTTCATAAACAAGGGGTCTTGCTCAGCCATGGAACACAAAAACAGGAAACCTAGAGCATCAAACCCTAACATACCCATAAAGGAATTGTCCAGGAAAGGAAGTGTCTTAGTCCATTTCGCTTTGCTCTAAAGGAATAGCTGAGGCTGGGTAAGTTAAAAAGAAAAATGGTTTACTTGGTTAAAAGGTCAGCAGGCTGTACAAGAGGCAGGCACCAAGTTCTGCTTTTAGTGAGGAACTCAGGAAGCTTTAATCATGGCAGAAGGAGAAGGGGAGCGGGAGTGTCACGTGGTAAGAGAGGGAGCAGGAAAAGAGGAGGTGCAAAACTCTTTATAACAATCACATCTTGTGAGAACTAATAGAGTGAGAAATTACTCATTACCTGGAGAGAAGGCACCAAGCCATTCATGAAGGATCTATCCCCATGATCCAAACACCTCCCACCTGGCCCCACTTTCAACACTGGGCATCAGTTTTTTTGATAGCTTTTAATTGTGCTTTTCTTCAACTTAGTTCATTAAAATATATTTATTTTAAGCATCCTATAAATAAAGTGACCACCAACTAATGTGGGATATAGGTCACCCCTCAGCATGATATTTGTTTTAAGCAGTGTTTCTTATAGGAATTTTATTGATTGTACAGTAGTTACAATAATGTCAGATATAATGGTGTATACAATTTAAATGAGATAGGCCTGTTAAGAATTTACATAATATAAAAATATACATATTAAAAGTTAGCCAAGTGGACAGATGCATGTAACAGGGAGAGCAGGTAACAGGAACCCCTTTAATTATCAGTCAAGGGCCCAGATGCAGGAATCTTATTTTCCCCTCTATGACAGTAAACAATGTTCATTAACAGATACAGGTCTTCCAGATACACCTAAACACACAGGAGTAAGTTGTGAATTGCTGCGTGTACAGTCTAAAGTGGTGTAATTGTGATCTTCCTGTGATACTCCCGAGAAAAAGTAAATAGTGAACCCCATGCAAGTAGTAGGAAGCATTGGTCTTTTATCATAGGTTGGACTTGAAGATGTTTAACTCCTGACATTAATATTTGTAAACAGGCCAGGCCTGGTGGCTCACGTCTATAATCCCAGCACTTTGGGAGGCTGAGGTGGGCATATCATTTGAGGTCAGGAATTTGAGACCAGCCTGGCCAACATGGTGAAACCCCATCTCTACTAAAATACAAAAAATTAGCCGGATATGGTGGCACACATCTGTCATTCCAGCTACTTGGGAGGCTGAGGTGGGAAGATCGCTTGAGCCCGGGAGGTGGAGGTTGCAGTGAGCTGAGATCACACCACTGCACTCCAGCCTGGGCGACACAGTGAGACCCTGTCTCAAAAATAAATAAATAAATAAATAAATAAATAAATAAATAAATAAATAAATAATAAAAGCCAGGCATGGTGGCTCATGCCTGTAATCCCAGGACTTTGGGAGGCTGAGGTAGGTGGATTACTTGCAGTCGGAGTTTGAGACCAGCCTGGCCAACATGGCAAAACCCCCTCTCTACTAAAAATACAAAAATTAGCCGGTCGTGGTGGCGTGAATGTGGTCCCAGCTACTCGGGAGGCTGAGGCACAAAAATCGCTTGAACCCGGGAGGCAGAGGTTGCAGTGAGCTGAGGTCGCGCCACTGCACTCCAGACTGGGTGACGGAGTGAGACTCTGTCTCAAAGAACAAACAAATAAAATATTTGTAAACAGCACATGTCCCCTTTTGCTATGTTTTCTCCAAAACTGGCATGGACTTAGGGTGGGAGAATTCTGATGGTCATTTGACCTAACAGTGAACTACTGAAATACTGTTTAAAATGTGAGAACCTTTCAAAAGAATTAGTCAGGTGTGATAGCATGTGCCTTGTAGTCCCAGCTACCCGGGAGGCTGAGACAAGCGAATCCCATCCCTTGGGCCTGGGAGATCGAGGCTGCAGTGAGCCGTATTTATGCCACTGCACTCCAGCCTGGGTCACGGAGTAAGACCCTATCTCAAAAAATAAAATAAAATGAAATAAAAAATAAAAGTGTGAGAACCTTTTAATACTATTTAGTTACACACTTTAAAAAATGGGTATCATCCATAGCTATAAGCCAAAAGGTAGAAGGGAGTGCATCTTAATTTTTATGCTTTTAGTTTTACTGTTTTATGGTTTCTATGGCTGTCCTAAAGAATGACACTGGTACACTGCTGGTTTGTTTACCAATGCAGACACTAGTTTGAGCACTTAGATCAGACAAAACCCGAAATAGAAGAAATGCCACTCTTTTTCTCTGGGATCTTCTAAGAAACTAGACTAAAATTATGAATTATTAAAGTTTCCTGTTGAGTGGTGGTGTTTTTATGTATGTAACTATCCAGAGAACAAATCAAATAGCTGTCTAACACTTGCAAGAGCATAGACTTTTAGTATACTTCTGATAGGAATCAGGAACCTTGAGCAGCAGTTCACAGTCAGAGTTGTTTTCTTTTTCTTTCTCTTGGTTTTTTTTTTTTGTTTGTTTTTGTTTTTGTTTTTGTTTTTGAGATGGAGTCTTGCTTTGTGGCCCAGGCTGGAGTGCAGTGGCGTGATCTGGGCTCACTGCAACCTCTGCCTCCCGGGTTCAAGCGATTCTCCTGCCTCAGTCTCCCGAGTAGCTGGGATTAGAGGTGTGTGCCACCCCACCTGGCTAATTTTTCTATTTTCAGTGGAGACGGGGTTCCACCATATTGGCCAGGCTGGTCTCAAACTCCTGACCTCAGGTGATCCGTCCACCTCGGCCTCCCAAAGTGCTGGGATTATAGGTGTGAGCCACCATGCCTGGCTAGAGTTGTTTTCCTACACACCCCATTTACCCTGCGCTTGTGCCAACTACTATGGCATATGCATTTTGACGGATTATGCTTCACAATGTGTGCCTAAAGATCCTCTTAGAGAGATTTCTCTAGTTGAGTAAAAACCCCTCTAAAAAAGGTGGCAAGTTCTGTGAACCTAAAGAGAAGACTCAGTGTCTCTCTGAATACCTTTAAATTACTGCTAGAATTGGAAGTTCCTATTTGGGGGAAAACAATATTAAAATAACGAAGATCTATTTTATTGGTAACTTAGAATACAAAATATTTTATTTTAAAAATTCTAAAATTTGAAAGCAAGCTAGCCTAGGTTAAATAATATAGTTTCTAGACCTGAGTGTGCTCATCTGGAGCTCAGTTTTTCTGTTTAAATACAAGAACAACTTCCTAACTTCCTAGGTGGGAACACTATGTTTTGATGATCTGTGATTAGATAAACTGATCCATCTCAGTTGGTAACACTCCTTTTTTTCTTTGGTAATGGTGTAAACTTCTAGAATAAATGCATTTTTATCTAGTTTTACAGTGACAATTTCCAAAATCTATTGGGAGGCATATACCGTATATAGGAAGCCATCTTCATCCTTCTCACTCCTCATACACCTCTGAAATCAGCGAGGTGGCGCTCATCATTCTGTGCCCAGTCACCAACAGGAAGAAGGCTTGATTAGCTAGCACAAGGAACTTTGTTTTATCCAGAACAGGCAGCTGCTCCTCACTCTTGTATCCTATTATCACTGGGATTCTGGTTGGATGCTGCTCTCCGATAAGTGAGACATCTACTCTTTGTCTTAAGGTGCAGGCTGCTTGAAGGTCTCCTAAGCCATGGTGCTGGGGCATGGGGGTGGGGGCAGGGGCGGGCTAGGCTAAGGAGGCAGGCTGCAGAGACCCTGAGGGTCTGGTGGCTCTGGGGAGGGGAGGAGAGGGAGAGCGGCAGTGGCTCTGACTCTGTTGGGGATCAAATTTTAACAGAAGATTTGAGGGGACAAATATCCAAATTATATCAGGAAATCTTAATCGGCTTTGGATATATCTTGACCCATTGCAAAGAACAGTTCCAGTGTTAGAGGATGAATCAGGTTACTTTAACCTGATGCTATTTTATCAATCTGCTTTTCATATTTGCTTATTAGGCAAATTTGGACTATAAATTGGCTTTTCATTTAAGTTTTTGTTTAAGTTTGGCTTTACATATCATCGATTCACTTTATATATTTCCATTCTCATTCATTAATCCACCGTGCATTTATTTAGGACTTCTATGTGCCATGTACTAGTCTAGGTACTGATAATACGGTGGTGAATAAAAGTGGCATTCCCTTCACTCATGGAGTATGTAGTATAGTGGATGAAAGAGAAAACAGACAAATTAATATATAGATAGACCAGATGAAGCAGTAATGAATATTATGGAGAGAATTAAAGCTGTGTAAGTGCATATAGAATATGGGTTGTTATTTTAGATAGTACATTCAGGAAGGACTTCTTATTGGGGTGACATTTAAGTAATTTAAGTAGAGGGCAAATGAAAAGAGAAATAGATCCTTAAGTACCTAGGGTAAGAACATTCCTTATAAAGTGATATTGAGTGCAAATTATCTGAAGTAGGATCACAATGTGAGTGTTTGTGGAACTTCAAGGAGGCTGTGATTGAAGCAGTACAAGCAAGCTTTAGGGAGAGTGACAGGCAATGAGATTGGAAGAAGCCATGGCTAACTAAACAGAACCTTGTTGACCATTATAAGGAATTATAGTGCTTTATTTTATTCTAAGTGTGCTGGAAAACCTTTGGGAGCTTGCCAGTAGGGGAATGCATTGTATGAGTTACTTTTTAAAAGGATGACACCAGCTATTGTGTGGAGAATAGCATGGGAGGAGAAGAGAGAGCAGATGTACTAAACTGTCGCTCTAATCCAGGTGAGAAATTAAACTGGCTTAAACTGGTGTTGGAATGGTGGAGGTGGAGAAAATTAGTTAAGTCTGGAATATATTTTGAAGTGGAAAAGGCAGCATTTGCTGATGAGTTCAATATGGGTGTGAGGTGAATTAGGCTATTGGCAAGAAACACATACCAGTTGGGTAATTGCAAGCAGTTCAGCAAGTGGGCTCCTTACAAAGGTGAGAGCAGGCTAAATCACAAGGTAAGCATACGGACATCATTGCTATTACGAACAGGAAGACATTATACCCCTAAGCCAAAAGGTATAGAAGGCAGAGAGAAGTTATCAAAAACCTGAGACGAAAAGGGGAGTGTGGAGAGTCTGGCGTGACATTAGCCATCCGTCTGTGAACCCACAGAGAGGCAGCCAGGGAAATAAATTCCCCAGATTTATTCTCCTTTCTCTGCTCTCCTGCTGGTGCTTCCCACTCAATCACATTAAGAAGGGAGGAGAAGGAATCCGGATGTGTAAATGTAAGCTATCCAGCCTCTGGTGGGCAGATAGGAATCAATGGTAACTCCTAAGTATTTGACAGGAATAATGGGTTAATGGTGGTGACATTTACTACAGTGAGGATTAGGGATGAGGATGGGGAATCAAGAGTTCTGTTTTATTTACATCAAGTGTAAAAATGTCCACGAAACATTGAGAAAACAGAAGCACTGAGTTGGCAATTGGATACACATGTCTGGAGTTTACAGGAAAGATTATAAATATAGATATAAATTTAGAAGTCATTAGCCACTGGGAGTAAAGGAGATCACCTAGGGAGTGAATATAGTGAGAAAGCAAAGGTCTGAGAACTAGGCATTGGAAAACTCCAACATTTATTTTAGGAAGAAAGGAGAAAACAACCATATGGAGCAGAAGGAGCAGCCAGTTATGTAGGAGAACAATATGAGAATATGAAGAAAGTGTAGAAATTATTTTACAAAGTTGAGTGTGATTGACTGTGCCAAATATTGCCAAGAGGTTAAAATAAAGCCTTGGAAGTGACCACTGAATTTGGTAACAGGGAGGTAACCAGTGACTTATTGTAACTCTTTTATAAGACTTATGAGAAAAAAGCTTGGCCAGGAATGTTTGGGGAGAGAAAGGAGAGGGAAGAAGTGATGATGGTGAGCGAGGAGAGACAACTCTTATAAAGGGTTTTGCTGCAAAGAGAAGAGAATTAGAGTGACAACAAAGGGAAATGGGGTCAATAGATTTTTTTTTAAATCAGATTTATCACACGATGTCATATACTAATGATAATGATTCAGTAGTGAGGGGGAAGCTGTAATGCAGGGAGGACAGGAGAAATTTCTGAAAGTCTTAAATAGGGGAGAGAAAACAGGATTCAACGCACAGGTGGAGGGGTTGTAGCAGGAGAGGAGATGAAATATTTGGCATGGAGGCAGGCAGGTTATTAGATCTGGTGGTGAAAGAATATGCACATTATCTTCTAACTGTTTCTGTTCCTGAAGTGAATAAAGAAGCAAGGAAATCAACTATGAATGAGGAGGAATAAATCTATGCTGGAGCTTTGAGACAGAAGAAGGTTTGGAAGTGCCAACTCAGAGAATGAGAGAATTAGTCCAATAGAGAAATGGAGATTTGTTGCCTGGAAGCAGATCAGGCCACTTGTAGTTTCATGACACAAACATAAAGTGAGACAGCATTGCTATTTGTTTTTCTCTAAACATTTCAGATACTTGAGGACAGGAATGGTGTAGGCAGATACCTGGATTGAAGTAAATTCCAAATTCTTTTGCTAGTTGAGGATGACAGAGAGTTGGGGATGGGGGACAAAGGAGCTTAGATTTTACATAGTGAAATTTTATAATAACAAACCATGAAATTTAACTATATTTAAAAGGGAATTAAGGACATGAGGAAGAAGATGGAAATGGCAAATATAATAGGGTCAGCAGATTGGAGGTCCTAGAAAAGTCAAAGTTTGCTCTGATCAGCAAATGTGTTCAACTAGGCCTGCAAGTACATATGAAGCTTAGGAGGATAGGATGATTCAGAGCACTATCATGTGTACTCAAGCTATTAAGGCAAAACAATTTGATTAAAAGAGTAAAGTAGTTCACTTTAAGATGTGACTCAATTTTCTTACAAGCTATTTCCTTAATCTAAGGGGAACTTCCTATTCTGGGGAAGATGTTTTTTAGACAAAACCTTCCAGTGCCACTTGAATATCCCAGGACATTACCGTAACTACTCTTGGAGACCAGTAGTATGGCAGCCTGATTCTGAAAATATCAATCAAAGAAAAAGATGGGTTATTAATCTGATTGCCTTGGTGGGTTTAAGGATTTAAAAGACAATCATTTCTAAAATGCTGTATCGCCTTCCTTATGCAGTGGGCTTGTCGTGTTTTCTGCCCTCACGGAAGTAACATCCTAGTGGGAAAGATACATTTGCAAACCAGTAATGATTTTGAAGTGCAATGCATACTAAGATTAGTAGAATTTTTTTGTGTGAAGATTTCATAAGGTGTTGGCAAAACTTACATTTAAATGTGCTTCCTAGATTTTAGAAACACTTATTCAAATTTCTGGGAAGCCCATTAACTTCAGATTGTCATTTGGAAACAAAAGAGGGCAAAAAAAAAAAAAAAGATTCTCTATATTCTAGAACAATTTCTATTAAAAACAATTAAAATAGCCAAATGTATGCTAATTGAATTATTAACAGAGGGTCCTGTGAAAGTGCAGTGACAGGGGATACTGTTTTGGGGTAGACATAGTGTTTAGATTGGCTTCCAGGAAAGATATTTGAGCATAACACTGAAAGCAAGAACAACAGAGCAGCACATAGCCACCTAATGTGAATTTTCTTCTGGGCCCTTGTGTATGCATTCCCGTGCTCCTCTGGCTCAGACTCACTTTGTTTCAGTCCCTTTTCTGTCTGGTATACAACAAGGTGGGAAGCAGGTGGAGGTTGACACATGGTCTGTGACAGGAGGGAGGAGAGAGCATGACATATTTTGGAAAATGGGAAGTCTTAGTATGGTTGGAACACAGAGTAAGTGTAAGCAGCAATACAAGACAAGGCCAGCTCACAACTTGGCGTGTTTTAATGCAGCATTTCTCAAACCTTTTGGTCTCAGAGTGCCTTTACACTCTTAAAAGTTATTGAGAATCCCAAAGGGTTTGCGTGTATATGAATTATATCCATTTATATTTGCCGTACTAGAAGTTAAAGCTGAGAAACTTTTAAATATTTATCAATTTATTTAAAACAATAATCAACCCAATACATGTTAACATAAATAATATATTTTATGAAAGATTTTTTCCCAATGAACCAAATTTAATAAGGAGATTGGCATTGTTTTACAATTTTGCCTATTTTTATTGTCTGGTTTAATAGAAGACATCTGGATTTTCATATCTGCTTCTTCATGCAATCTGTTGCAATATCACACTTTATGCAGTGTCTGGAAAATTCGACTGTACATTTGTGAGAGAATGAGACTGGAAAAAAAAATATTTTAGGCTTACCATAAAATAATTTTGACCCTGCAGAGCCACTAAAAAGGTCTCAGAGACCACCCTCAAGTTCCCCAATCACACTTTGAGAACTGCTGCTTTCTTATAAAGGCATATTGATAAGTTGAATTTTAACTAATGCACAGATAATTTAGGCAAGGGATTACCTGATAGGATTTGCATTTTATAATTATTGCTTTCAGGGTGGGAAATAAATTGGAGACAGGCAAGGCAAGATGATTGGAAATTAATTAAATTTGAACAATTTCTCACATTCTATCTGAAGTAAGTATTTTTACAAACTTTTATAAAATGCCGGTAATACTTTGTATGTGTCTAGTTTGCTTTGCTCAAGAGAAAGTTACTTGAAAGCAGGTATTGCTTTTGATTCATCCATATGACTATCGCTTTTGGTAATGTGTACAGAGTAGGCACCAAGTAAAGATTTGTTGAAAATAAATGAAAGAACCAACTAAGTGGCTATCAGAATAGTGCAGATAAAAGATGATATAGTCCTGACCTTAAGGGCAGTGGCAAAACAGAGGAGTAAATTCAAGAGATGTACTGAATTCATTGTTGACTGCCGGGAAATGTCATTGACCTGCTTGATAGATAAGGGCTATGAAGGAAAGAGAAGGTACACCATCATGTCGGCCATCTGTCTGCTTCATGTGGCCCTGATTCAGGAAATATTGAAGGGACAGAATGGGGTGGAGTATGAAGGGGTGACTTTTGGTTTCATTTTGAATATGAATTCCAGATGCCTATAGGACTTGAGCCACCCGTATCACCTGAAGCTGTTTTAAAGTTACATAAGTGCCTTATCTAATTAAGCCAAGATCATAGTATATTCTAATATTTGTTTTCAATACTTTAATATTTTAGTATTTGTTTTTAGTACTTTTGATGTTTTAGTGTTTATTTTTAATGTCTTAATATTTTAAATATTTAATCAGAATTCTTGGATTTTTGCTGGCCTAAATTTCCGATTCTATTAGTGGGTGCCGATTTACTGTCAAACACCTGGGATTAATTTGGCTGCTACACAGTGGATGCTATTTTGCTTTCTGATTCACTGTAATGTGCTTCTAGATTCCATCCAGAGTTTGGGAAGCTGAATTCTTCCTACAACTGTGTGAAGGAATCTGCAGACCCCATTCTTAATATGCATGTATGGTAGAAAGTAGAAGACACAGCATTTGACTTATTTACAGAAACTGATCGAGTCTCCTGTCACCATCCTCCCACTTTGCAAGTCCTAGTTAAAGTTGATGACACATTTAAAAGTACAAATATCAGCAAGTATGGATTTTAGTAGTTCACAATTCATTAGATAGACAACATGTGATTGAAAATAAAGAAGCATTATGCAAAGAGTATGTTTTGAACAACTTAAAATGAGTTCAGAAGGTAGCAAAACAAACTGGCTTTATGTTTCCAAGAGAGTAGCCCCAACAGACAGAAAGGAAGCCTTTAAACAGTAAAAGAATTTAGTTCTCATATCCTTTATTGCTGCTTATCTTTTCATCTGGTTGGAGTTGCTGTTTTATCTAGTACTTCACTATTTAGCACCATCCTGTCTTTATATTTTGATTCCAATCTACTCTGCAAGCCTAATTGTTGCCCTGTCCCAGGAGAATGTGAATCATTTTAAAGTTAGAAAGAGAAGCATCTACATAGATAGAAAATAATTGTAATTTCATTATAATTACTCTATTTGTTTTTCTCTTAATTATGCTGAACATGTATCAATATCTCCAAAGAATGAGTGATTACCACCTGTCATAAATGTGGAAGGCAGCCCCCAACTCTAATCACTTTCATCACTTCAAATTAAAACTATAGTGTTTATGAAAGTTTGAACTCTTGATATTTCTATTGGTTGCATAATTTAGTGCGTTACAGAAATTGTACCATTTAAGAAAAATAAGATATACTTTGAAAAGTATATTGTGTTTGCTTTTCGCCAGTTATTGTGTGTTTCATAAAGCACATATTGAACACATAAAACTGGACACTCGTGAATTTCATTAGAGATATTAATATAATTTAAATGGAATACAGGACATTATTTCTAAGACTGTATAAGGATACTCATGGTAATATATGAAATACAGATATAAAACTAAAACACACAAAAGTTTCTGGTGTCACCTAACAGAATTTTTATGCTCCCCAGTAGAAAATTAGGCAGATTAGTTTAAAAAGTAACCAAAGGTATATTTATCAAACATGTTATTATTATTGAGAGTGGTGCCACAATTTCTTTCTCCTCTCATTTACACGCTGAAAGGAATTTCTGCTCTTCTCTGTTTTGGAAATTCTGTCTTTATTCCTAATGTGATACTTCAGACTTTGAAATATGGTGGGCGACATTTTACTCTTGGACAGAGTCATGGTTCACATGGTACAGACCCTGTTGCTCTCTCATTTGCCTCAATGCTCAGGCATGAAGAGCACTCTTGGGTTTTTTGTTAACGTGCTTGGACAGTGCCCAGGATCTAGTAGGAATGCTGGCTCTCCTTCTTACAGGTACTCTCTTTCACCACTGATTCTGTGTGTTAGTTGGACCAGGCATCTGCAAACAGCGATATTTTTACTTCTTTCTTTCTGGTTTAGATGGGGTTTAATTTCTTTTTCTTGCCTGATTGCCCTTGCTCGTGCTTTCAGTACTATGTTGAATAGAAATGCCAAGGGTGGCCATCTTTTCCTCGTATGGGATCTTAGAGAGAAAGCTTTCAGTTTTCCCCCTTGATTATTATGTTAACTGTGGGCTCTTCATAAATGAGTTTTATTGTGTTGAGAAAATCTCCTTCTATACCTATTTTGTTGGGATTTTTTTTATCAAAAAAAGATGCTTAACTTTGTCAAATGCTTTATCTGCATCTATTGAGATGATCATGTGGTATTTATCTTTTATTCTGTTAATGTTGTATATCACATTGACTGACATAGACAAATGGAACAGAATAGAAAGCTTAGAAGTAAATCCAACCACACATGATCAACTAATTTTTGATAAGGGCACCAAGACCGCACAATGGGGAAAGGATATTTTCTTCAATTCATGGTGTTGGGAAAGCTGGATATCCACATGCAAAATAATGAAATTGAACCCTTATCTTATACTATACACAAAAATCAAATGGAAATGGATTAAAGGCCTAAATATAAGAAATGAAATTGAAATTTCTAGAAAAAAATACATGGGGGAAAACTCCTTGACATTGGCCTTGGCAATGATTTTTTGTGGCATATCATACTACAAGCTCAAGCAACAAAAGCAAACATAAAAAGTGGGATATATCAAACTAAAAAGCATCTGTATAGTAAAGGAAACAACAAAATGGAAACACATCTTATGGATTAAGAGAAAATATTTGCAAACCATATATTTGATAAAAGCTAATATCCAAAATATATAAGGAACTCACTCTAATCAATGGCGATAATAAAAATAATACCGAATTAAAATATGGCCAAAGGACATGAATATACATTTTTTCCAGACGTAACTAAATATGGTCAACAAATATATCAAAAGTGCTCAATATCATTAATCACCACAGAAATGCAAATCAAAACCACAGTGAGATATCACCTCACACCTGTTAGGATGGATATTATCAAAAAGACAAGAGATAACAAGTGTTGTTGAGGGTATGGATAAAAGGGAAACCATGGCCGGGCACGGTGGCTCATACCTGTAATCCCAGCACTTTGGGAGGCCGAGGCGGGTGGATCATGAGATCAGGAGATCGAGACCATCCTGGCTAACACGGTGAAACCCAGTCTCTACTAAAAATATAAAAAATTAGCCGGGCATGGTGGCACACACCTGTAGTCCCAGCTACTCAGGAGGCTGAGGCAGGAGAATCGCTTGAACCCGGGAGGTGGAGGTTGCAGTGAGCCGAGGTTGCACACTACACTCCAGCCTGGGCAACAGAGCGAGACTCCTTCTCAAAAAAATTTTTTTTAAAAAAAGGGAACCTTGCACACTGTTGGTAGGAAAGTAATTTGGTATAGTCATTATGGCAAATAGTATGGAGATTCCTCAAAAGATTAAAACTAAAACTATCATATGACCCAGCAATCCCTTTTCTGGTTATATACCTAAAGGAAGTGAAATCAGCAACTTATGGAGATATTATTGCAGCATTTTTCATAGTATCCAAGATATGGAAACAATCTAAGTGTCTGTTGATGGATGAATGCTTAAAGAAATTTTGATAGAGTGTATATATGTGTTTATATATATACATATACACATATTTTCTGCTATGTGAGGACATAAAGAGGAAGCTAATCAGCTGGCACCTTGACACACACACACACACACACACACGCGCACACACACAGGAAAATTATTAAGCCTTAGAAAAGGAGATCCTGCCATTTGCAGCAACATGGATGAACCTGCAGGACATTATGCTAAGTGAAATAAGCCAAGGACAGAAAGAAGAATATTGCATGATCTCGTGGATATGCAGAATCTAAAAAAAGCGGAATACATAGAAACAGAGTAGGATGGTAGCTACCAGGGTAGGTGGGAGAAGGAAGTGGGGAAATGTAGGTCAAAGGGTACAAAATTGCAGTTATGTAAGAATTCCAGAGATCTTATGTACAGCATGAAGACTATAGTTGGTAACATTGCATTGTTTACTGGAAATTTGCTAAGTCAGCAGATTTCTGGTGCTCTTATCACAAATAAGGGTAACTATGTAAGGAGACACATACGTTA
Source organism: Homo sapiens (assembly GCF_000001405.40). Taxonomy (NCBI): domain Eukaryota; kingdom Metazoa; phylum Chordata; class Mammalia; order Primates; family Hominidae; genus Homo; species Homo sapiens. Next base: position 27,732,097 of record NC_000023.11, on the reverse strand, counting down.
ATTTTCTTAATTGTAGTAGCAATTTCACTATGTGTATGTAGATCAAAACGTCATGTTATACAGCTGAAATATATACAATAAAAACAACAACAACAACACAGGACCCAGGACCGGGGTTTGAATCATGGTCTTGCCCGTTTCCAGTTGTATCATCTTGGGCAAGCTGTATAACATTTCTATGTTTCTGTCTCACTGTATGTAAAGTGATATCAGTTATACCAATTACTTCAGAGAGAATTGTGGGATACATAAATTAATATAAACTGATTAAATTATTTAATTAACATTAAATAAATTAATAGTTTTGAAATGCTTAAAACATTTCATGGTACATAGTGAGCACTATGTAAAGGTTAGCTGCCATTATTAGTGTCAGCCTGTTATGTACTGTGTATTTGTGTCTTCCTAAAATTCATATGTTGAATCCCTATGCCCTAATGGGATGCTGGAGCTTTTGGGAGGTGATTCGAGTCAGATGAGGTCATGAGGATGGAGCCCTTATTTGGTAATGCATTTATTAAAAAAGAAGGAGACCAAGGATATTTCTCTCTTTCTGCCATATGAGGATATATTCAGGAAGAGGGTCTTTGCCAGGAATCTAATCAGCTGGCACCTTGATTTCAGACTTCCTAACCTCTAGATCTGTGAGAAGTAAATGTCTGGGTTTTGTGTTTGTTTGTTTTTTGTTTTTGTTTTTGAGACAGAGTCTTTCTCTGTCGCCCAGGTTGGAATGCAGTGGTGCAATCTCGGCTCACTGCAACCTCCGCGTCTCCAGGTTCGTGCCTCAGCCACCCGAATAGCTGGGATTGCTGGCACGTGCCACCACGCCCAGCTAATTTTTGTATTTTTTTTTTTAAGTAGAGACAGGGTTTCACCATGTTGGCCAGGCTGTTCTCGAACTCAGGAGTTACACCTCAGGAGTCTTGACCTCAAGTGATCCACCCGCCTCGGTCTCCCAATGTGCTGGGCCTACAGGTGTGCCATGCCCAGCCTAAATGTCTGTTGTTTAAGTCACCCAGCCCACAGTATTTTTATTACAGCAGCGCAAACTGGCTAAGACACAGCCAGAGCAAGTTCTGTGGTCACAAAGTTCAAGATACCGTACTTGATTCTAAATATTTTAACATTTGTGTCAAAGGCTTGAACAGTGATATTAAAGGCCTGTGATACGAAATTGGGAGCTCTATCTCTGACGCTAGGCTAAAGTCAATGAAATGAAATATGTTTAGGTCCCCCAAAACAAAGGTTTACATGCCAAATATTTGCCAGCATTGTGATATATTTATTTTAAATATATGAGTGCCATGTTGTGATCTGTTTCACAGCTTGCATTGCAAATACAGCTAAACAAACTTTAGTAGTTTTTTTTTTTTTCAAAAATAAAATATGTGGCTGTGCGCAGCTGTAATCCTAGCACTTTGGGAGGCCCTGGCGGATGGATCACCTGAGGTCAGGAGTTGGAGACCAGCCTGGCCAACATGGAGAAACTCCGTCTCTACTAAAAATACAAAAATTAGCCAGGTGTGGTGGCGGGCACCTGTAATCCCAGCTACTCCGGAGGCTGAGGCAGGAGAATCGCTTTAAACCGGGGGGCAGAGGTTGCAGTGAGCTGAGATTGCACCACTGCACTCCAGCCTGGGCAAAAGAGTGAAATTCTGTCTCAAAAAGCAAAATAAATATGTGATTCAGTGATATAAGATGAATAAGTTCTAGAGGTCTGCTGTACAACATTATCTGTGGTTAACAATACTGTATTGTGTACTTAAAATTTGTTAAGGGTAGATCTCATGTTAAATGTTTTTACTACAATATATAAATAAGCAAGCAAACAAACAAATAAATAATATATGTGATTTCAAATATCATAGGACCAAACTAGCAGAAAATCCAATATCTTTTCTCCTCTCACCACCTTCACCTCCAACTTGTTGAAAACTTAGGACTTATAGAGAACTAAATATCTGCAGGTGTCATGGGAAGGGTGGGTCATTCCAACTTCTACACCCACACGAGGATTATGTAGTAAGTGCCTTAATGTTTTGTCTTATCATTGCTACATAAAGACATTTTTGACAACCAGTCCTATAACATTATGAATTCCACCAGTAAGAACCTCTGAGGGAGACTGATCCATTCCTGCAATGCTTATCTCAACCATGAAGCCTCTTACTTTGAGTACCCATGGATACATTTCTTAGGACTCAGTATTTTTCATCTCATGTTCAGCTAGGAGTACAGCATCAAAATTGGTTTAGGACTGCAGTGGACTGAATGCTTGTCTTTCCCTAAATTAATATGTTGAAATTCTAACCTCCAAGGTGATGGTATTAGGAGGTAGCAGCTTTAGGTGGTGATTAGATTGTAAGAGTAGAGCCCTCATGAATGGGACTAGTGCCCTTTTAAAAGAAACTCCAGAAAGCTAACTTTTCCCTTCCACGATGTGAGAACTGAGATAGAAAATACCATCTATGAACCAAAAGCAGGCCTTACCAGACACTGAATCTACCTGCACCTTGACCTTGGGCTTCCCAGCCTCCAAACAGTGAGAAATAAATTTCTGTTGTTTATAAACTACCAATTTTATGGTATTCTGCTACAGCAGGCCAAATGGACTAAGATGGGATGGCAATAGGAAAAAAAAATTAAAGATCAGTTATTTGCTGCCATATGGCTGTGGTCAGCAGAGAGGACTGAGTGCAAAGGAGCATGAAGGAACTTCTGTGCACATGATGGAAATATTCTATTTATATCATAATTGCCTTGATAGGTATATGACTGAATACATTTCTTAAAATTCATCAAACCATACAATTAAAATGAGTGGATTGTATTGAATACAAATTATACCTCACTAGAGCTACTTCCCCCATGTCTTCTTCATGCCCACATCCTAAAGAACTGAAGACTCCCCACTTTCGTCTTGCTAAACATGAAGTGTCTTATAGTACTCCCTCTCTCTCTCTCCAGGGAGCTTTATATTCCACCTATTTTTTAACCTTATGTTTTAAGTTTAATTTAATAAATTATTCTTTCAATGGTTATTTCAAACATTTTCTTGTTTTACTTTCTTTTTACATATGTGGAGGGATGTCCTTTCCTCTTAAAAAAATTCACTTGAGAAGATATTTAATGAATCCTTACTAAATGTCAGGCAGTTTTATAGGCACTATGGATACAAGAGTGAGGAAGACAAATAAAAACCCATGTCCTGATATATTAATATTAGATGATATGCTAAGTAGAAAAGTAAAGCAGAAGATAAGGATAGGAATGACTGGATGGGGTTATGTTTGTTGCAATTTTTTAAAGTCTGGACAAAAAAGACATCACAGAGAATGTACTGACTGAACAGACTTTAAGAAGAAAAAGGAAGGCACATGGAGATATACCTATGTATCTATATCTATATCTAATAGTCCACGCAGAGAAAGTAGCAAACATGACTTTTCTGAGAAGAGAGGATGTCTGGAGTGATTGAAAACTAGCACAGGGGCCGGAATGGCTGGAGCAGACTCCAAAAAGGGAAGTGTAGAAGACATGAGGCCTGACAGGTAGCAGGAGGCCATATTATTTACAGCCATATGACTCACTTGAAAGGGTTAAGGCTTTCCCTTAAATAGGATGGTGAGATGTCTTGCCAAGAAAACTGACTTTGGAACAAAGGTTTGTGTGTGAGTCACTTATTGGAGGAAATGTGCTCAGAAAGCAGCAGTGAGGTCCAAAGGAGATTCCAAGCAGGGAAAAGAGGAAAGCAAAACAACAACAACAACAACAACAACAAGACATTGAATTGGCCGTTGCTACAAGTGACTAGTGGTTCTATCCATGGGATCATGTAAAAAAATTGTGTTAAATGTGCCCCAGGAACATTCACGCAGGGGGTAAAAGGGAGGAGTTTTTATCCTTGAGATTCCATAATTTTGTTGAACCTCCCTAAGGTGCATTAACTCATCGGCAGTTCTGTGTTGCATATTTATTGTAGCACTTCACACCCGAATTTAGTAGGCAAGCCCAAAGCAGGAGGTGTGAGACATGCAAAGTAAGGTTGAAATGTAATGTTCTCAGGATATTACCCCATGAAGTTGGTCAGAACCCAGGTAGAACTAGTCATTGCAATTGTATTTCTATAGACAAGATACAATTGGAATGTGAAATTTATAATAATGGTGCATTTACAATAGCATCAAAAGATGCCAAATGCCTAGAAATAAATATAATTAAACATATCCAAAATCTCGTCACAGAAAACTATAACTGAAGGAAACAGTGCAAAAAGAGATTAAAAATACAAAAGTAAATGAATTTATATACATGTTCTTAGATTGGAAGACTCATTATTGAAAAGATGCCAATTTTCCCAAAATTGATTAGTAAATTCAATACAATCTAAATAAAAATTTTAGCACGGTGTTTATATGTGTGTTTTGGGGCTAGGAAAGGAAATTTGAAAAATTGTAAGTGATTCTAAAATTTTAAAAGAATACAAGTACAGATAAAATATATTTGAAGAAAAAAAGTTGAAGAATTTGTAGGCATCAAAATTATGATTAAGATAGTGTGCTGTTGATACAGAGACAAACAAATAGATCAACGAAATAAAACAGAATCCAGAAGCATGCCCACACACATAAGGACATTCAAATGATTAAAAAATGGGCATAAATGAGTCATAGAAGAATATCTTTATGAGCTTTGGGAAGAGGAAATATTTCCCAAAAGATAACGGGAAAGATTGACATATCGGATTATTTTAAAAGGAGGAACTTCTGTTCATCAAATGATACCATTTAAGATTTTTAAAACCAGTATATTTGCAACCCATATACACAAATGAGACATATAGATTAATGAAAAAAGTTGGAAGACCCAAGTGAGAAAAGGGACAATAAATTTTCAGTATCCTCTATAAAAATATAAAAATAGTTTATGATCCTATGGAAAGATGCTCAACCTGTTTATTAACCAGGGAAATTCAAACTAAAACCACAATGAGATGTCCACTAGAATACTACAATTTAAAAGACTGAAAACATCCAATATTGTTGGTAAAGAGCTTTCATTTACTTCTTATTAGGGTGTGTGGTGAAAAGAACTATTTTGGAATATTGCTTGGCAGTATCTATTAAACTTGCAGATATGCAGATCCCCTGATCCAACAATACCACTATTCAGTATATACCCAACAGAAAGCACACATATGCGCATGAAAAAACATAGGAAAGAATGTTCATACAATCATTATTCATGATATCCTCAACTTGGAAACAACCAAAATGTCATGCAAGAATGAAATGGATAAGTGAGTTGTCTGTACATACAAGGACACGCTATACAGCAATGAAACAAGGACTGCTACTGCACAAAACATTATGGATAAATCTCACAAACACATAGAGCAAAAGAAGCCAGATAAAAAAGAACTCAATTATGTGACTGCATTTGTAAAGTGTTCCAAAACAGGAAAATAATCTGTTGTTGGAAGGCAGGACAGTCATTACCTTTTCAGAGAGGGGAGGGAGTATGATGGGGCCTCTGGAGCAACAGTAATATATTATTTCTTAGTCTGAGTGCTTTATGTGGGTGGGTTTACTCTGTAATAACTAATGCTCTACACATATGATTTGCTTAGCTATGTATATATAATACATAATATTTAAAAGCTTATAAAATTGTTGTACCTACCTTAATGTGTTCCTAAAAATAAATGAGACAATACATGTCTCATGACTGGCACATAGTAGGTGCATAATTGATGTTAGCTAATGGCATAAAGAAAGGAACTACATAATCTTTGGTTTTAAGTAGAACTGTAAATTAGTCTAGAGAAAGAAAGAGTTGTTAAGAACTGATCTCCCAAATCCCATTCAGATTACGAGGTTATGAGAACTGAGAGGGGGGAAAATAATCACTTTGCCACTGAGAATATTTATTATGGGGAAAAGGACTAGAGAGAAATGCCCTGAAGGGCACGGAAACCTGAATAATAAGTGGCAGTTTTTGGTCTATGTTGTGATATAAGTTATCAAGCTTGTGTTAGACCAAGTAGGGTACGCAAGCAAGAGAGTATAGCTATATAGATTTAGATAATACCAAACCATTAAGATAGGTTGCTAACTCATTTCTCTTGTTCTTTTCAAAGATAGCTACATTATTGTCAGAAAATAAATTGAAAGAACATTTGTATTTGCAGTGTTTTATTTTTTAACAGCGGTTCTGATTTATATTTATAGATATATTTATTTCATATATTTATCTTATATATTTACACTTAAAAGATGAGCAACCGATTTCTTGTTCTGAGTATTTTCATAACATACTTTGAATTATTCTGATAAACTTATGTTTTAGCTTCAAATATTATTTATTTATAATTTAATTTGCAAGTTATATTATTCTACTTGTAACACTATCCTCTTATATGTGTTCAATTACATTTAAAATGCAATTTATAATATTTATCTTTACAATTTTTAACCATGTATATTATTGGACCCATCTAGATCTTTATAAAACATAATATATTTATATTTTAACTCTGAAAATAAAGACTTAAAATATAAATATATTATGTTGTTAAAATGCCATCATCTATATTCAGCAGGTCAAATTTATTATCTGTCATTATCACAAATAAATCTTTTTGGGGCAGATAAAAACAAAATTCTCCAATTCTAGCTATTATTAACTCTCAATGCAGCCTCCATTTGGGGATTGCTGAGCTAAGAGTCTATCTTAATACTTAAATAGTATTTGCAGTATTTTTGAAGGGAAATGCATTCCTTGGGCATTTTGCATGTCCTTGGAAATGAGATTAGTATTTGATTTTTGTTTTCCTAAATATGACCAATGTAACCATCACTGGGGATGAATCTTACAGAGCTGCATGCTGAAAGATTCAGCTAAAAATTCTGACTTGGCTTATATAGTTTTCTCTTGTGGATGGAGTCTTTCTGTCTTGCAATTAGAATGTACCACAACTTACTATCATGTCTCTTATTTTTAAAAAAAGAATTTATAAATATGGAATTGCCAACATGAAATCTGGATGCAATACTTGATATGAGTCTCATAACAATATTATATTTTATTTGTTTTCTGTAATAATTATTTAGAGTCAAATATGTTTAAATATTCAAGCTGTTAGTCCGTTTTCTCAGAAACGGAATATATACACTTACTTATAGTAATGTCATATAGGTAGTTCTTCTTGGCTAAAATATGACTTTTTTCCCTCTCACTTTAAAGTATATGTGAGATGGCTGAATTTGAAATAAAAATATACCTAGAATATACAAACAGGCTGTATTTAGTTAAAAACCTGGCAACAATCTATCAAATTGTTAATAAATGTGAATATAAATCTGTTACTTGGAGAATTGATTCTGTAGCTGTGAAGAATTGAATGTGCTTACATCTTTTGTATTTTAAAAAAAGAATTGACAAAATAGATTTTTATAACATTTCTTTTCTGTTGCCTGATAAATTTAATATATTCCACTAAAGTTAGTATACAGGTAACCCAGTACAGTAATGACTTCTGGAGTAAAAAGGTTTTTTTCCCCTTGTTCTTCCTAGCAGAAAATTAAAGAATTTTTATATTCCAAACAGTTACAAACTCAGTTTTCCAGTAGTTTATCCCAGTCTTCAATGATATATGAAGTAAACAAGGGATACTGTTCCCCCACGAAGAGGTGGAGACAATAATTAACGTTTATTAATTACTGTTTTTTGTCTTATAGTTGAGAAATATATAAAGCCTCTTACATCAAATGTATCCAGTAAATCTTATTTTTCTTCATATGTAATCGTATCATCTAAAACCAAGTAGAAACATAAATTTAATCTACTATTTAAAATAATTCTTCAAAATAGAGAGCAGGGCCATATTCCTATGATTATTTTTTAAGAGTTAATTTTTTGAGTAGATAATATATTTATTCAAAATCATACAAGATGCATGTTTGGAAGTCTTGTTGCTATCCACCCTCTTAACCCATTCTACTGCACTGTGTACTGATAAATATTTTTATTGCATTTTTTCTTATCCTCCTAGTGTTTAATACAAATATATGCAAATATGAAAATATATTCACTAGCTTCATTTCTTAGGAAAAAAAAGGTAGCACACCAAACAATATTTTATCTTGTTTTTTTTACTCTAAAATGTTATTGGAGATCACTCTATCTTGGTACATAAACGCTATACTCATTCTTCTTATTGATGCATAATATTCTATTATGTAGATATAGCTCCAGTTATTTCATAAATTTCCCATTGATATACACATGGTTTATTTACAGTTGTTTACTATTACAGTGTCTCAATGAGTAATCCTGTTCATATATCATTTAGAATGCATGAGCATTTTTGCAGGACAAATACCTGGAAGAGAAGATCTGTGGTCAAAGGGGAATTGCATTTGTATTTTGGTAAATAATGGCAGATTGTCCTGGATAGGATTTGCACCATTTTCCACTCTTAGCACTAATGTATGAGAATGCTGTTTTCCCATAGTCTCAACAGCCATGCTTTGTTAAAAATTTGGAATATGATAGGTAAGGAAAAGCTTCTCTATAGAGTGTGTTTGCATTTTTTAATTTATAAAAAACTCAGAATCATTTTCTATTTTAAAATTCAGTTTGTATTTGTTTTTCTAAGAATTATTGGTTCATTTCTTTGCCCATTTTTCTGTTGTGTTGTTGGTCTTACTATTCTTGATTTCTAGGAGTTTTTTTTCTATTCATTAAGCAGGTTAGTCTTTTGTCTGTGGTACAAATCGTAAAGATATTTCACAGCTCTTCATTTGTCTTTTGACTTTGCTTTTGATTTAAAAAATAATTTAGAAACATTTATTACTCTTTTCATTTAGGCCTTCTGGATTTTGATTTTTGGTTATTTATAAATTTTATAATTTATAAATTAACTTTGGGGGAATGGACATCTTTATATTGTTCAGTCTTCCTAGATAAAACATGGTATAGTTTTCCATACAAGTATAATTCTTGCATCCTTCAGAAAACCTATAGTTTTATTTCAGATTTGTTTCTCTATATATTTTCCTGTTCTGTTGCCATTGTAAATGAATAAAATCCTTTTAATGATTTTTAATGGATTTTGTTTGTGCAGATGTCTATTGATTTTTGAATACTAATTTTATAACCCAATAACTTATTTTTTTTCTAGTAGCTTTTCAGATCATTCTCCTGGGATTACAGTTACGCTTTCTTATTATCTGTTACATGAAATACTTTTACCTCCTTGTTTTACATTGTTATATCTCTAATTTCTTTCCCATATTAATCTCATTAGCTAATGCACCTTATAAAATGTTAAGTAGCAGTTGTGATAGTGAGCATTTTGTTATCCTCCTGCTTTTATCTGGAACACAAGCAGTATATTATAATAAACATGTGCTTTAAGATTATACACATGCACACATACACACACACACAGACAATCCTCAACTTACAATGGTTCAACTTGTGAATTTTTGACTTCATGATGTTGTGAAAGTGATACACATTCAGTAGAAACCACACATCCAATTTTGAATTTTGACTAATTAAAAATTCAAAATTTGAAGTATGCTTTCTACTGAATGTGAATTATACATTCTTAATTATAGAATAATATTTGCATTAGAGGGTTTTGCCCAATTTTAGACTAATGTAAGAGCTTCGAGCACATTTAATATAGACTGGGCTAACCTATGATCTTCAATAGGTTCGGTTTATTAAATGCATTTTCAACCTACAATATTTTCAACTTATGATGGGCTTATCAGAACGTAACCACATTGTAAGTCGAGATTCATCTGTACATAAATCATTTTAGTGAAGTATCTGTTGAATTCTATTTTATCAAGGTATTTTTATTTTGTTTTCTTTTAAAAAAGGACAGATTTGAATCCAGTAAAAATGTCTTTTCAACATTGTTAGAGATCAATCATAATAATTTGCATTAAATTGCATAAATGAGATGCCTCAATGAGAGATAAATGAAAATGTTCTGTGGTTTTCCTTTTTGTGCATTTTTCAGGTTATGGATAAAATGTCATTCATACTTGATGAAAATAATTTTAATATATTTCAGCTTTCTATGTACTCATGAATAGGTGAATTACCATCAGAATGATCTGTTCTTTATGGATTTGGTAGGATTTCATGTGAAACCATCTGAGCTTGGTGTTATTCACAGGGAGGAGGGCATTATTTTATTTACAAATTTCTCCAATTATCTAGGGAAATTATCTGTTTCAAATTTCTCTTCTGGTAATTATTCTTCTGTTGTATTTTTCTAGAAAATTATCCATTTAATTTAGATTTTTTACATAGGGCTGCATAAAATAGTTTGTGAGTGATTTTTTAAAATTATGAGTTACTTGATTGCCTCCTATTATTTCTTATTTTGTGTTTTAATGCTTTCTTTTTTCTTTCCTCTGTGAGCTAATCTACTTTATTATTTTAAACAATCTTATGTTTTCTTATTTTGCAGATTTTGTTTTCTAACTAATTTCTCTTGTCCATCAATTCATTTTCAATCTTTGTTTTATTCCATAGATTAGAATTAGGTTTGCTTTGTGTTTCAATCCTAAACTAAAAAATTATTAGGTGAATTATGTCCATTTGTATTTATTTAAATACGTTTAGTATTTTGTAGTTCTACGATATTCAGGACTTTAAAAATCCTTGTTCTATATATATTTATATGACATCCTTAGTCTTTTCTTTGTTTAAACATTATGTATCAGTACCTTATTATGAGCAACAGTGAAATTAATTAGCTTTTAACTTTTCCTTCTTTTTGTTCTCATGCACCATTTTCTTAAATTGGATTAGCTTTAAAGTATTTGCTGCCATTATATTCAACATTATACTGGAAGTATCAGACAGTGCAAAAGGATAAATGGAATGAATGGATAAATAAATGAAAGGCCTACAATTTGATTGAAAAATAAAAAAGCAAAGCCATCTTGATTTGCAGATAATCTAATTATGTATGTGGAAAACCCTTTAAAATCTGTAAGATAGTTATTACAATTAACAATCACACTTTTCAAGCTTACAATTTATAAGACCAATACAATACAAATACAAAGACCAATACAATATAAACAAATTAATCGTATTTCTATAAAATAAAAATATTTAAGAAATAAATTTTAAAACTCAAATTTTAATAAAGTAAAAAATAAACTATTTATAAATGCATTTAATAAAATATATGTAAGGTCTGAACACCAAATTACAAAACATGGGTAACATTAACTTAAAGAACACACACATAAATACATATAGTTTTCATAAATTAGAAGACTAAATTTTTTTGAAATGTCAGTTCTTCTCAAATTGATCTATAGATTTAATGGAGTCTTAGTCAAATTGATAGGTTGATTATAATAAATATATGAAAATAAAAATAATCGGCAGGGCGCGGTGGCTCACGCCTGAAATCCCAGCACTTTGGGAGGCCGAGGCGGGTGGGTCATGAGGTCAGGAGATCGAGACCATCCTGGCTAACAAGGTGAAACCCCGTCTCTACTAAAAATACAAAAAATTAGCCAGGCGCGGTGGCGGGCGCCTGTAGTCCCAGCTACTCGGGAGGCTGAGGCAGGAGAAAGGCGTGAACCCAGGAGGCAGAGCTTGCAGTGAGCCGAGATTGCGCCACTGCAGTCCGCAGTCCGGCCTAGGCGACAGAGCGAGACTCCGTCTCAAAAAAAAATAATAATAATAATAATCTACAATAGCTGAAATAGCTTTGAAAAAGAATAACTTTGGGGAACTTTTACTGTCTGATTCAAGACTCACTATAACGATAAAATAATTAATGCAGTGTAGTATAGGTGTAATAGACATTATCTAAACGAAACAAAGTCAAGATTCCAGAAATAGACCCACATATATATGGTGAAGTGGTTTTTGACATAGGTATTAAGGTATTCCAATAGGGGAAATATACATTTTTAAATAAATATTATTGGAACAATTGGATATCTGTATGGTTAAAAAAAAACCCTTGACTCAAAATCATATATAAAATTTAGCTTAAATGAATTATAGACCTATATGTAAGATAAAGATACAAAACCACTTGAAGAAAACACAGGAAAAAAATCTTTGTCATATTGACTTTGACAAAGTTTCTTAAGCAGGATATAAAAAAAGCATAATCCATAAAAGAAAAAAAAACACAAATAGACTTTTGTTCTTTTACAGACATGGTTTAGGAAACAAAATTGATTGCCATACACCGAATGGAAGAAAATATTTGTAAATCATAAATTTAACAAAGGCCATGTATCCAAAAAATATAAAGAACAAATTTAATTCACTATCAAGAAAATAAAATTTTTGACCTGGCACAGTGGCTCACGCCTGTTATCCCAGCACTTTGGGAGGCTGAGGTGTGCGGATCACTTGAGGTCAGAAGTTTGAGACCAGCCTGAGCAACATGTCAAAATCCCACCTCTACTAAAAATGCAAAACTTAGCCAGGCATGGCGACATGCACCTGTAGTCCCAGCTACTCAGGAGGCTGAGGCAGGAGAATCGCTTGAACCCAGGAGGCGGAGGTTTCAGTGAGCCAAGATCGCACTGCACTCCAGCCTGGGTGACAGCAAGACTCCGTCTCAAAAAAAAAAAAAAAAAAAATTAAATGGGTAAATGATTTTAAGAGGTACTTAACAAAAGTACCTCTTAAAATACACTTTCTTTATATATGTTTTATATTTTAACATATTTTCTTTAACAAAACGAAATAGATCTATGGCCAATTATCATAAGAAAAAGTGTTCTATGTCATTAACCATGAGGAAATTAAAATTAAAGCCACAATGATATATTCACTAGAATTGCTAAAATCTAAGAAATGGAAAACACTAGGTTTGGACAAAGATATGAAGCAACTGCATTTCTCATACATTGCTGGTGGGGATGCAAAATGTTGCAGCCATTTTGAAAAAAATTTGCCAATTAAATATCACTGTTATATGCACTTTTCATGACCCAGAAGTTCCACTCCTAGATGTTTGCCCAAGATAAATTAAAAAATAGGTCTACAGAAAGACTTTGTACTAGTCAAAATTCTTCAGAAAAACAGAAGCAATAGGATATATGTGGGTGTATATGCGTGCCTGTTTTATGTATACATATATAATATACATACATACACACACATACATATGTAATAAGGAATTGTCTGAGAAGCACCAAGACCTGCAGTTAGCAAGATAGAGGCCCAGAAGAGCCAATGGTGTTGTATTAGATTGAGTCTGAAGTCCGAAGAACCAGGAGAACCAAGATTTTAAATTCCATTTGGAAAGCCAGCAGGCTTGAGACCCAAGAATAACCAATGTTTCAGTCATGGTTTGAAAGCCAGAAAAGAGTAATGTTGCAGCTCAAGCAGTTAAGCAGGCAGTGTTCCCTCTTGTTCTCAGAAAGGCTGGCTGTTTTTTTTTCTACTTAGGCCTTCAGTTGATTGGATCAGGGCTCCCCCAACATTAGGGAAGGCAGTCTGCTTTACTCAGTCTACCGATTGAAATGTTAATCTCATCCAGAAACACTCTCACAGGCACACTCAGAATAATGTTTGACCAAGTAACTGGGCAGCCTGTGGCCAAGTCAAGTTGACACATAAAATTAACCATAATAGGCTTATACACAAACTAGAAGTAGGGGAAGTATCCTAAAAGTGGTGATTGAATAAACAAATTGTGCTATATTTATACTATGGAACAAAACGACCAAAATATTGATATACACAAAAACATGAATGAATCTCAAAAACATGATGCTATGTTAGAAAATGAAACATGAAAGACTGCATAGTACATGATTCCATTTGTATGAAATTCTAGAAAAGGCAAAACTATAGTGACAAAAAGCTGATCAGTGGTTACCTGGGATGGAGGATGAAAGGAGGAAATCTAATTCAAAGAGTCACTATGGAATTTTTGGATCTATATCATGTTTGTGGGAATGGCTACACAAATACATACAATCACCAAAACTCATAAAACTATACACTTAATATGTGTTGGTTTTATTTTATGTAAATTATTTCTCAAAAGTTAGGAAAAATGATGTTAATTATAACATTGTTAACAATAGTAAAATAGAATATTTTATAATAGAGAAATGACTAAGTTATGGCAATTCAACGGAATAAAAAATTATGCTCTCATGAAAATTATAGGATTGAAAATGCAATCAGAACTGTACATGGTTGGTAGACTATGCTTGTATGTACTTTAAAAATTTCACATTTCTCTAGAGACTGAAAGGAGAACATGGGTATTTTTAAATAGTTGTTCTAGGGAAATAAAACATTATATATCTTAACAAAAGCAAAAATTGACAAATGATATCTAATTAAAGAGCTTCTGCACAGCAAAAGAAACTATCATCAGAATGAACAGGCAACCTACAGAGTGGGAGAAAATCTTTGCAATCTGTCCACCTGACAAAGGTCTAATATCCAGAATCTGCAAGAAACTCAAACACATTTACAAGAAAAAAACAACCCCATTAAAAAGTGGGCAAAGGACATGAACAGACACTTCTCAAAAGAAGACATTCATGCAGCCAACAAACATATGAAAAAAAGCTCATCATCACTGATCATTAGAGAAATGTAAATCAAAACCACAATGAGATACCATCTCATGTCAGTTGGAATGGCCATTATTAAAAAGTCAAGAAACAACAGATGCTGGTGAGGTTGTGGAGCAGAAGGAAACTTTAACACTGTTGGTGGGAATGTAAATTAGTTCTGCCATTGTGGAAGACAGTGTGGTGATTCCTCAAAGAGCTAAAACCAGAAATACAATTTGACCCAGCTATCCCATTACTGGGTATATACCCAAAGGAATGTAAATCATTCTATTAAAGAGATACATGCACACATATGTTAACTACAGAACTATTCACAATAGCAAGGACACGGAATCAACCCAAATGCCCATCAATGAAAGACTGGATAAAGAAAATGTTGTACATATACACTACGGAATATTATGCAGGCATAAAAAGGAACGAGATCATGTCCTTTGCAGGGACATGGATGAAGCTGGAAGCCATTATCCTCAGCAAACTAATGCAGGAACAGAAAACCAAGCACCACATGTTCTCACTTGTAAGTGTGAGCTGAACAATGAGAACACGTGGACACAGGGAGGAGAACAACACACACTGCAGCCTGTCGGGGGTGGGGTGCGGGGAGAGAGTATTAGAAAGGATGGCTAATGCATGCTGGGCTTAATACCTAGGTGATGGGTTGATAGATGCAGTAAACCACTATGACATACCTTTACCTATGTAACAAACATTCACATCC
Source organism: Homo sapiens (assembly GCF_000001405.40). Classification (NCBI taxonomy): domain Eukaryota; kingdom Metazoa; phylum Chordata; class Mammalia; order Primates; family Hominidae; genus Homo; species Homo sapiens. Next base: position 27,716,764 of record NC_000023.11, on the reverse strand, counting down.
TGCACATGTCCCCCAGAACTAAAAATAAAAAAAGAATAACTGTAATCCTAAAGCAAAATAAAATACTTGGATATCACAAGTTTTACAGCTCAGAAATACATACAGTCTCAGTTTCCCCTGTTTTTAAAATTGAATGACACATTTCCTATGGGAGCTGATGAGAAGGCTTGGAAAGCCAGTGATATAGTGACAGTGGCACATTAAACTCTTACAAAAGTGAAGATTTTATAAATATGAGCAAGTTGTAAACATAAAGAAAAGGTTGTTTGCTTTATTTCTGATTATTGTTGTGTCATTTTATGACAAGATTTCTTTTTGTGCTTTTCAATTGCTTTGTATTTTTCATGACCTATTATAGTTAATGGGAAAATGTATCTGACACAAACTAATATTCAAGTACTTTTATTAGGTACACTATTATTTGTAATGCCTTCACAGTTTTACATTTTAGTTAGATTCTTCCTGTGCCTAAATCATTCTCTGTTAATGACTTAGGCACTGGAGGCACATTAAAGCTTTTTAACCACTAAGCAATCACAGGTCTTCTAGGAAATTGCTGCTGCCATGCATAATTTGCTACCCATGCCACTCACCTGTGTCAGTAGCAATTAGAGATTTCCCCACTGATTCCACACCGTCCTGAAAGAGTTAATGGACCTCTGCAACAGTGCAGCTTCCTAACAGGATAAAATAAATTGTTTTAGTGCAAGTCTAATCAGATTTCTTAATAAGGATAATAAACAAACCAAGTCATTGGATTTTAGTTTGTCCAATACTGATGAAGGGAGAACATAACAAATTTAAGTTTAAGGTTATGCAATGTGTAGTTCAAACATATTTGACAATAATAATGTTAAAAGCTCTGAGATAGAAAAGCAAAAATATTTATATCCATTCTGAAGAAAGGACTATCATTAATTTAGCATTAGTCATCTCTGAAAGTCTTATGTACTTGTAGTTAAAGTTATTGAGGCAGAAATGACCTGGGAGCATGAATACTTAGTTTTTATTATGACATAGCTTGACGCAGTGATGCCCCCAAGCTCTTTTCCTGGGCCACTTTATTTTGCATCAATAACTTCCCCTCATGCATTATTTATTTAGTTTTTATTTAACTGACACTTATTGTGCTAGGTACTGTTCTACGTTTTTGACAAATATTAAAACATTACTTCTTATAATAACCCTATGAAGTGGGTATTACTGATTTCTATTTTACAGATGAGAAGGCAGAGATCCTGAGGTATAAGTAACTTTCTCCAACTTGTAAGCCTGGATCCTAAATCTGTGCTCTTAACCATTGAGTTAAAGTGTCATGACGTTTATTAGTTTTTCCAAATTCCACCACAGATTTCAAGAATAGATCTAGTCTCAGTTCCTTTTTTTTTTTTTTTTTTTGAGACGGAGTCTCGCTCTGTCGCCCAGGTTGGAGTGCAGTGGCGCGATCTTGGCTCACTGCAAGCTCCGCCTCCCGGGTTCACGCCATTCTCCTGCCTCAGCCTCCTGCCACCAACCCAGCTAATTTTTTGTATTTTTAGTAGAGACGGGGTTTCACTGTGTTAGCCAGGATGGTCTCGATCTCCTGACCTCGTGATCTGTCCACCTTGGCCTCCCAAAGTGCTGGGATTACAGGCATGAGCCACCGTGCCCGGCCTACTCTCAGTTACCTTTGACTCCCATTTCCACTCAAATATTATTTTCCCTACAAATTATTGTACACTGTATCTTGTGAAGGGAAAAATATTAGTGTCATAGTAAAACCATTTTAAGTCCTCAACACACAGGTGAGAAGCTATTTTCTGAAAATTATGTCTGAACCCAGAACTACTTGTCTTTAACTAAAAAAATAAAAATAAAAAATAAAAAAATCCATGTGGTTTCTACTTTAAACATGTTTTATAAGGTGGCTGCAGGGTTCTTACTCAAAAGACTGAGGCAATATGGCCTCAAACCTGATAGAATCCAGGGCACTGACATTTGCAATTACTTCAAATTTTGGAAGAGTAGGGAAAATGGGGAGGCTAGAAAGACCTGTCAATATATTCAATCTCAGAAAACATGATTTTCTCAAATATCTGTATGCTTGTTGCTATTACTTTTGCAATCACTGTAGTTTACAGCACCTTCTGTAATGTAATGTTGGCTGCCATAGAAGTAATCCACCAAAATAGAATACCTTCTAAATCTTAGTGGTGTTAAAATGTAGTCATTTTATACAATGGGAATAAACATTTCTCTACTAAACTAAGCATATTTAGAGAAAAGTTTTTGAAGTTAAAAAATGGCTGGGAAAGAAATTGCTAAGAACATTTCTTTGCCTTATTATGACAAACAGGAAAAAGATGTTTTAGGTGCACTTTTAGAACAGTCTCAAGTAAAAAAAAAAACTCACAATGAATTACCATACATTTAGAATCTGGTTTGGTAAAATTAAAGGTTAACAATAATTCTAACCCCTTGATTTCTTAGACTGCTCTATCGTTTTAGGTGTTTAATGAATGAGAAGCAGAATTAGTGTTATTTGAGAAACCATTAAAAATCATTTTGCATTTTCCTCTCTTTTTTTCTATTATAAAATGATTCTGTTACTGTAAGCAGAGCATGGAATAGGGGTAGGCAAAGCTGAAGATGTTTATCAGGGATGGGTAGGATAATTAAGATCAAGTGGATGATTTAACATTTCCTAACATGGAAAAATAGAAGAAATCTAAAGGAGAGTTGTATATGCTTCTACACCACCATCTACCATTCTACCTATATAAGGGTCATACTTCACCCTAAATTCTATTAAAATGGATGAACTTTCTTTTTTGATCAACTGATAATCTCTATACTTGTATATTGGATCCTCTCAAGGCTTGCCTACTCAAGAATTTAATTTCTGATATTACCCTCTTTTCTCTTAATATCAGTGGCCAGCAAACTAAGGCCCACAACCCAACCCTGCCTTTCATCTGTTAGTAAATCAAGTTTCATTGGAACACAGCCATGCCCATTAATTTACATGTTACCTATGGTTGCAGTTATGACAGAGATCATATGGCTGACAAAGTTTATAATATTTAATATCTGTCCCTTTAGAGAAAACGTTTGCCAACTGATGTCCTACATCTTCAATTTTCTTTTCCCTTGGTTAGATAATTTCTGCCAGCAAATAAACAATGTATAATGTTACTTCTAACATTAATACCTTTTTTACTCCAATTTTCTCCTTCAATTACTGCCCCATTACTCTGTTCCCCTTTACAGAAAATCTCCTCAAAAGGTTTGTGTATGTCCTAGGTATTTCTGCCTCTTATTACCTATTTTTTTCTTGAATCTCCTGAAGAGTTTCTTTCAACTACTTCATACACACTGCTCTTTTAAGGTAATCAATAATGTACATTAATCCAATTTTACCAGCCAATTTTCAGTCCTCATCTTATTTCATTCATTAGCAACATTTGGCATTATTCTAATCCAATTTTCTTGAAGCATTTATTTGATTCTCCTCATACCTTCCAAGTCCATTATTTTATTCTCAGTCTTTTTTCCTTGTTTCTTCTTATTTTCCTGGCTCCTAAAGCTGTGAAATGTCTCCTTTCAGTCCTCAGACTTTGTTCTTCTTTACATAAAATTATTCCCTTCATAGTTTAATCCAGTATAATTCACTTAGATGCCATACATTCTATACACTGGTGATTGCCAAAATTCTCTTTCCAACTCAGACCTCTTCCTCAAATTCTGTACACTGGTCTGCCTCAGCATATCTACTTGGATCATAAATAGGGATTTCACTGTTAATTAATTCAAGACAGACTCCTTACACATATTTTCTGATGGGTCCACTTTACTGAGGCTCATGCCTTTGCTCAATCCCAAGTGAATACAGTCTATCTCTATAGAAACAGACAATTATCTATTTTAAAGCTTCCACTAGTGGTTTCTGCTTCCATTTTGGAGAAGCAAGCGCCTAACATATTGATCCTCCCACAAATATGAGCTATAAACATTAGACAAAAATAAACAAATAAACCCAAATACCTGGGGCTCTAGAAACTGTACAAATACAAACATTTTTAGAAGGGACCAAGTGACCAGCACTGTGCGAATACCCTGTATTTTTACAGTTTTACCTGAGAGTAGCTGCAGTCACAGAAGCATGGAAGCGGCTAAAACTCTGATGGTAAACTAGAAATGTTTCTGGTAGTCAAGTGAACACAGAACCCTGGAAGGAAAATAATCAAAGAAGAGAAACCCTAAATTTTGTGTTTAAACTCACTTCAACCTGTGAAACATGCATATGTAGGGAAAACTGGAAACAGCTTTCAACAACTGAAATTTGAGCCACTGACCCCTTCAGTTAGGATATTTTGCAGTTTGGGTCTAACTATTTTAACTACTTACTGGAAGAGAAACAAATTGGTACTGTTCAGAGCAATATAACATAATTCAGAGTGTCTACAACATGAAATTCCTAGTGGCCATGACACGATTTGAAATTATGTGACATACAAAGAACCAGGAAACTTAGACCCCACTTCAAAGGAAAAGACAGTCAACAGATGCCAATTCTGAGATGACTCAAATGACAGAAATATGTTAATTGGATTAAATACTCCAAAATAAAATAATGCCAAAATCCGGTTCTTGGAAAATATCAACAAAATTCACAACCCCTAGCTATATTAATAATAAAAAATGATAGAAAGAAAATCCCAATATCTTGAAGGAAATAATGAATATTACTGCAGATCCTATATCTATTAAAAGGATAATAAAGGAACATCATGTACAACTTTATGCAAACAAATTCTAAAACCTAGATGAACAGAGAAGTCCCTTGAAAGATTCAAGCTACCAAAACTCACTCAAGAAGAAATAAATAACCTGAATAGTGCTAGATATATTAAATAAATTGAATTCATAGTTAGCTAACTTCCCCCCAAAACCCTCCATGTTTCTGGTGGCTTCTTTGTTGAAATCTAGTGAACATTTGAGAAATTATACCAACCTCAGACTCCTTAAGAAAATTCAATGGAGGGAACACTTTTCACCTCATTTTATGAGGCCAGCATTACTCTAATACTAAAATCACAAAATGATATTATAAAAAACTGCAGATCAATATTCCTTTTTAATTATTTTCTTTAATTTTTATTCATTGAAATCAATTTTATTGTGTATATTTGAGGCTTAGAACATGATGTTATGGGATATAAATAGTAAAGTGGTTGCTATAGTGAAGCAAATTAGCATATCCATCATCTCACATAGTTACTTTTGTGTGACAAGAGGAATGTATATATATACACATATAAGCACTTCTAAAGAACAAAGTCAAATATATATATATATAATACACACACACACACACACACACACACGTACACACACACACACACACATATAGATGTAGGAAAATTATTCACCCATAAAAAAGAAGAAAATTCTGCTCTTTGCCACAACAGAGAAAGACCTGAAAGACATTATATTAAGTGAAATGCGCCAGACACAGAAAGAAAAATATTGCATGGTCTCTTATATGTTGCATGGTCCAAATGTTACTGAATCTAAGTCCACCATATATAAAATAATAATACAACCTGACTAAGGAGGGTAATTTATCTACAGAATTCCAGTTTTGTTTAATACTGAAGTAATCAGTTAATGTAATTAGCAAACCATATTAAGAGAACAAAAGGAAAAATAATTTTGTCTTTTCAAATTATTTTCAATTTTTATATTTTTAATTTTTGTGGGTACATAGTAGGTGTATATTTTGTCATTTTACGAGATGCAGAAAAATCGTTTTACAAAATCAAATAGCCATTCATGATAAAAATATTCATCAAACTAGTAATAGAAGACAACTTCCTCAATTAGATAACGGGCATCTACAAACAATGAAAATCCTACAGCTAACATCATACTTAATGGTGAAAGAGTAAATCTTTTCTTCTAATGTCAGAAACAAGACAATGTCCCCTTTCAACACTTCTCTTAAACTTTGTGTTGGAGGCCCTAGCCATAGCAATGAAGGAAGGAAAAAAATGAAAGTGATAAAATGTTAAAGGAAGAAGTAAAACTATATACACATGCAGGTGAAATAATTGTTAAAATAGGAGAATGCTGAGGAATCTGCATATAACTTCTAGAAAAAATAAGTGACTTTATCATGGTCAGAGACTAGATTAATATACAAAAATGAATAAAATATTAGTTTGTATTTACAATAGTACCTCAAATCATCAAGTACTTATGATTAAATTTAACAAAAGACACGAAAGACAGAAGAATTGAGACTAGAGAACACTGACAAACAGATTAGAGAATATTTAAATAAATTAAGAAAAATACTCTAATTCTGGATTGGATGACTAAAATAGATAATATACAAGTTACACCCAAATTTATCTATATATTCAACACAAAACCAACCAAAATTTCAGAAGTTTTAAAAATTTATAGAAATTGGAAAATTGATTTTAGGATGTATATGGGAATTGAAAAGACCAAGAATGCCTGCCCAAAGCACTTTTAAACTGAGGAACAAAGTCAAAGGACTTACACTACTTGATTTGAAGAGTTACTCTAATGGTGCAATATGACATTGGGCTGCAGGATAGGCACATAGTCAATGAAACAGTACAATGTACAGAAAATGGATAGAAAATCACTGGGAAAAGAATCTTCAACTACGTTTGAACAACTGAACATCTATGTGGAAAATAATTGAGCATAGGCCCTTAATGCAAACCATATACAAAAATTAACTCAAAATACATTTCATAGAAATGTGAAAGCTAAAAATAAAAAAAACCTAGAAAAAGTAGGGCATATTATTTGCAACGATTTATTAGATAGGACACACAAAAAGCATAATCATAAAGCAAAAAAAAATAATTGGGCATTTCCCACATTTAATCTTTTGCTTTTTGAAAGACATTGTTAAAAAAAAAAATGAACATGCCAGCCACAGAAACAGTCCATGAACATGCCAGCCACAGAAACAGTCCACAGACAAGGACTGGTGAAGAGACAAGATTTTGGCCCCCATGATCTTTAACCCCTTTAGCCCATGGTGTTACTTCTGTGATTTTTATGTTACATGGCAAAAGAGACTTTGTAGATGGAATTAAGATTTGCTAATCAGCTGACAATAGAATTGAGTGGTTATTCTAGATTATCCAAGTAGGCCTAACGTAATCACATAAGCATTTAAGAGTGGAAAGGGAAGGAAGAAAAGTCAGTCAGAGAGATACAGTGTGAGAAGAACCCCATCACGGTTGCTAATATTTTATTGTTTGTGGTGTAGTTTAAAATCAACTGGTTCCTTGCCTTATTTTTCAGATAGACCTTGAATCAACTGTAAAGAAGTTCAATTTTTTATCTCTCACTATGCACTAATCAACAAAATAAGTTAATATAATGTTATAAAAAAAGTGTTACAACAAAATGTACGGAAAATACAAACACAAATGAAAGTCTTTAAGGTCCAGTGAAGAGAACTAGCCCAGAATCTAATAGAGTGGAAAGGTACCAACTTAAGAAGCAGGTGGAACTGGTCGGGCGCGGTGGCTCACGCCTGTAATCCCAGCACTTGGGAGGCTGAGGCAGGTGGATCACCTGAGGTCAGGAGTTCAAGACCAGCCTGACCAACATGGAGAAACCCTGTCTCTACTAAAAAAATACCAAATTAGCCGGGCGTGGTGGCACATGCCTGTAATCCCAGCTATTCGGGAGGCTGAGGCAGGAGAATTGCTTGAACCTGGGAGGCCGAGGTTGTGGTGAGCCGAGATCACGCCATTGCACTACTCCAGCCTGTGCAACAAGAGTGAAACTCTGTAAAAAAAGAAAAAAGAAAAGCAGGTGGAACTAGAACTATGAGAAACTCAACTGAGCTAGTGAAGAAAAGAAAATGAAACACTAGAGGCATTTTCCAGTAATGGAAGAGTAAATGGGTAGTAGAAAGAAATGCTACTTGAGATTGGGAATATTAAATAGCAGAGATAGCAGTGTTTTGAGGAGAAGGGGAAGATACTGGTCCTCAATAGATCGGTAGGGGTTTAACCTGAAAATTCTTCTGTAGCAATGCCTTTGGCATCTACTAAATATCAGTCTATGTAGACTGAAACAAATGGGTAGACAATAGTACAAATATTCCTTGAAACATCCTTGAAAGAAGATTGCATATATATAAACCATTATAAAACCAGAGACAGTAGATATAGCTAAGATAATACAAGATTGAAAATACATCTTATGAGAGTTGAGTGTAGCACTATGTGACAGAAAGGCGAAACTCCCATCCAAGAACTAACCAGGCATGACTCTGCTTAGCTTCTGATATCAGACACATTCAGAGTGGTATGGGTATAGATGTCAATGGTGGACTGGATAAAGACAACGTGGTATATATACACCATAGAATACTATGCAGCCATTAAGAAGAATGAAATCATGTCCTTTGCAGCAACATAGATGCAGCTGGAGGCCATTATCCTAAGCAAATTAATGCAGGAAACAATAGCGCATGTTCTCATTTGTAAGTGAGAGCTAAATACTGAGCACATATGGACATAAAGATGGGAACAATAGACACTGGTAACTATTAGAGAGGGAAGGGAGGCAAGGGTTGAAAAACTAACTATTGGGTACTATGCTCAGTGCATGAGTGAGGGGAATCAATTGTACCCTAAACCTCAGCATCACTCAATATATCCAGGTAAAAAACTTTCACATGTACATCACAAAACTAAAATAAAAGTAGAATATTTTAAATAAAGTAAAATAAAATAAGAAATGTGAAACAGAGAAAACACATACTAAAAGATTTTGAAATTGGTGGATAGGAAAGAAAAGCACCTCTAATAAGATGCCATTTTTATTTACCCTAACTTCCATAATCACAAAATTCTACTTTGTCAAAAAAGCCACAGTGTTTCAAATAACACTCTCAGTAACTAATGTATCTATAGTTTTATTTTCCCTCCAGATATTATAACCCCCTAGTGCAAATATTAACATATTATGGGAACACAAAGCCCAATTTAATCCTAAACTCATAGACCACGGATTCCAAGCAACAGTAATAGGCTGATTAGCATCCTAGTGAAATGAAAGCCAAGATGATTTCCATATATGCTCCTTTCCCTAGATATTACCGAGTCTTCATTCTGGGTTGCAACACTCGATTCTAGTTTACAGAACTATAATTTAGCTTCAAATTACTTTTTTGGTATTTTTCCATCATTATATTTGAAATTTTTCAAACATATAGAAATGCCATATCCATATAATCACCACCTAAATGTTATGATTGTTAAGATTTTGCTGTTTGCTTCATCATATATCTGTGTCTCTAGCCATCTACCCATTTATCCAATTATCAATCCACAATATCTTTGATCAATTTCAAAGTCAGTTTCAGATATCAGGAAACTTCATCCCTAAAAACTACAATATGCACATTATTTATTTTTAAACAGGATGATTGAGATATTAACATTCAATAAAAATCATCCATTGAAATTATACAAATCAATAGTTTTTAGTATATTCACAGAGTTGTGCAGCCATCACCACAATCTAATTTTAGGACATTTTGCCACCCGAGAAAGAAACCCCATGCTCATTGGTAGTCACTTCCCATTTCCCCCCATTCACCTAGCCTTAGGCAACCACTTTCTGGCTCTACTCACTTGCCTATTCTAAACATTTTATGTAAATGAAACCATACAATATGTGTTCTTCCGTGACTGGCTTATTTCATTAGCATAATGTTTTCAAGGTCCATTCATATTGTAGCATGTATCAGTACTTCATTCCCTATTTTTGCTGAAAAGCATTCCATTTTATGATATACCACATCTTATTTATCCATTCATCAGTTGATGGATATTTGGGTTGTTTCCACATTTTGGATATTATGAGTAATGTTGCTATAAACATTCATGTACAGGTTTTTGTGTTGGCATATGTTTCCATTTTTCTTGGATACATAAATAAGGGTGGAATTGCTGGGTCATATGGAACTCTATGTTTAACTTTTTGAGGAACTGCCAAACTGTTTTCCAAAGCAGCTGTACCACTTCACAAACCCATCAGCAATGTATGAGGTTTCCAATTTCTCCACGTCCTTGCCAACACTTTTCATTGTGCCTTTTTAAATTTATAGCCATCCTAGTGGGTGTGAAGTAGCATCTCATTGTAGTTTGATTTGCATTTCCTTAATGACTAATGATGTTGAGCATCTTTTCATGTGTCTATTGCCTATTTATATATCTTCTATTGAGAAATGTCTATTTAATTCCCTTTCCCAGTTTTTAGTTGGTCTTTCTTTAGAGGAAGAATCAATAATGTTAAAATAGCCATACTGCCCCAAACAATTTACAGATTCAATGCTATTCCTTTCAAACTACCAAAGAAATTCTTCACAAAATTAGAAAAAAAAAGTATTTTAAAATTCCTATGGAATGAAAAAAGGAGCCCAAATAGCCCAGGCAATACTATGCCAAAAATAATAATAATAATCATAAAGAAACTGGAGGCATCACGTTATCCAACTTCAAACTATACTACTGGGATACAGTAACCAAAACAGCGCGGCACTGGTACAAAAAACAGGCAAATAGACCAATGGAACAGAATAGAGAGCCAAGAAATAAGGCTGCACACCTACAAGCATCTGGTCTTTGACAAAGCTGACAAAAACAAGCAATAGGGAAACGAGGGTCACCTATTCAATAAATGGTGCTGGGATAGCTGGCTAGCCATATACAGAAGACTGAATCTGAACCCCTTCCTTATACCACATACAAAAAATCAACTCAAGAAGGACTAGAGACTTAAATGTAAAACCTAAATCTGTGAAAACTCTGGAAAATGCCTAGGCAACCTAGGCATTCTGGACATAGAAACTAGCAAATATTTCATGACAAAGATGGCAAAAACAATCGCAACAAAAACAACAATTGACAAATAGAATCTAATTAAACTAAAGGGCTTCTGCACAGCAAAATAAACTAGCAACAGAGTAAACAGGCAACCTACAGAATGGGAGAAAATATTTGCAAACTATGCATTTGATAAAAGTCAACTATCCAGCATCTATAAGGGACTTAAGTAAATTTACAAGAAAAAACAACCCCATTAAAAAGTGGGCAAAGGACATAAACACACTTTTCAAAAGAAGACATTCATGCAGCCAACAAGCATATGAAAAAAAGCTCAGCATCACTGATCATTAAAGCAATGCAAATCAAAACCACAATAAGATACAAGTTTGCATTCAGTAGGATGGCTATAATGAAAAAGAATGAGAATAGTAAGTGTTTACAGGGATGTGCAAAAACTGAAACCTTCATATTTTGCTTGTGGAAATGTAAAATGGTCCAGTCACTTTGGAAAACAGTTCTTCAAAAAGCTAGTCATGGAGTTACCATATGATCCTGTAATTTTACTCCTAGTTATATACCTAAGAAATGAAACATATTTCTATACAAAAACTTGTATAGAAATGTTTATTGCAGCACTAGTCACAATATCAAAGACATGGTATCAACCTAAATGCCCATAAATGGTAGATTGGATAAAGAGAATTGGTATATATACACCATGGAATAGTATGCAGCCTTGAAAAAGAATGAGATCATCTCCTTTGCAGGAACGTGGAGGGAGCTGGAGGCCATTTTCTTTTGAAAACTAACACAAGAACCAAAAAACAAATATTGCATTTATAAATGGAAGCCAAAATGATGAGAACACATGAACACTAGGAGGGAAAGAAGAGACACTAGGGCCTATTTGAGGATGGAGGGGAAGAGGGAGAGGATCAGAAAGAATTCTTATTGGGTACCATGCTTATTACCTGGGTGACAATCTGTACACCAAATCTTTGTGACATGCAGTTTCCCTATATAACAAACATGCATATCTACCCCTGAACCTGAAATAAAAAAATTAAAAAATTTCATGTCTTAATTTTTGAAATTTATTTTATTGCATATATTTAAGGTGTTTAACATGATGTGTTGCTACACACATACATAATGAAATCATTACTACAAACTAACAAATTAACACATTCATCATCTTCTATAGTCACTTTTTTAGGTAAGAGCACCTAAAATCTACTTTCTTGGAAAATTTTCAGTATACAATAAAATACTCAACTATAATCCTTATGCTGTACATTAAATCTCCAGACTTATTTATCTTACATAAAGGAGTGTACGCTTAGACATGCTTCTTCCCATTTCCTCCCCCTCTTCATACCTGGCAATCACAATTCTACTCTAATTCTATTTATTTGACCGTTCAACAAAATTCCACATTTAGGTGAGATAATACACTATGTTTCTTTCTGTGTATGGCATATTTTATTTAGAATAATATTCTCCAGGCTCACACATATTGTCACAAATGGTAGTATCTCCTTTATGAGGCTGGATAATATTCCATTGTGTATATATATACACACACATATATATGTATATATATATGTACATATATACGTATATATACGTACATACGTATGTGCGCACGTGTGTACACGCACATGTGCGCGCGTGTGTACATGTGTATATACATATGTGTGTGTGTATATGTATATATATATATATATATACTGCAGCACTATTCACAATAACCAAGATATGGTAATAGCCTAAGTGTCCATCAATTGATGATGTGTATCTTGATTTATACATATATATATATACACACACAATGTGTTATCTTTACATTATGGAGTCATAAGAGTTCTTTATGCTGATCCAAGTCCCTTATCACTATATGATTTGCTAATATTTTTTCTCATTGTGCGAATTTTCTTTTCACTTCCTTTATGGTGATCTTTGGGTGCAAATATTTTTAATTTTGATGAAGTTCAATTTATTTTTCCTTTATTGCTTAGATATGTACTTTTGGTGTCATATCTAAGAAAACATTGCCTATTTTTCTAAATACAATACAAATAAATATAAAGATTTATTCCTATGTTTTATTTTAAGGCTGTTATTGTTTTAACTGTTAAATTTATGTGTATGATGCATTTTGAATTATTTTCATGTGTGTGCATGGTGTGAGTTCAGGGTCCAACTTCATTCTTTTGCATGTGGATATCCAGTTCTCCCAGCACCATTTGTTGAAAATAACATTATTTGTCTATTGAATTGTCATGGCGCTCTTTTCAAAAATCAACTGACCGTGATTGATTTTCAAAAATCAATTGACCAAAAATAAATTGACCATAAAGTAAGGGTTTATTTCTGAGCTCTCAGTTCTATTCAATTAATTATCATGTCTAACCTTATGCCAGAACTTTACTGTCTTGGGTACTTTAGCATTGTAGTAAGTTTTGAAATTGGGAAATAGTGTCCTTTGTCTTTGTTCATCTTTATCAAGATTGTTTGGGGTATTCTGAGTCCCTTATATTTCCATATAAATTTAGGATCGGTTTGCCAATATCTGCAAAAATGCCAGCTGCGATTTTGATAGAGATTGTAGATTAATTGGGAAACATTGCTATCTTAAGAATATTAAATCTTTCGTTCTGTCAACATGGGATGTGTTTTCATTTATTTAAATCTTTCATTTCTGTCGAACTGTTTTGCAATATTCTGTGTACAATTCTTGTACTTCTTTTGTTAAATTTATTCCTAAGAATTATATGATTTTGATTTATTGTAAATGTAATTGTTTTCTTAATTACATTTTCAGATTGTTCATTGTTATTATATAAGAATACAATTGATATTTGTGTATTGGTTTTGTATCCTTCAGCCTTGCTGAACTTGTCTATTAGTTCCTATAGTTTTCGAGTGGATTCCTTAGGTTTCCTGTACACAAGGTCAGGTCATCTGAAAATAGAAAGAGTTTTACTTCCTTTTTAATATGAAATATTTTTATCTATTTTTCTTACCTAATTTCCCTGGCTAGAACTTCCAATACAGCGTTTAAGTGGCAAGAGCAGACATTCTTGTCTTGTTCCTTATCTTAGGGAGAGAACATTTAATTTTTGACTATTAAATGTGATGTTAGTTATGGATTTTTATTAGATGCTTTTTATTAATTTGAAGCAGTTATCTTTTATTACTAGCTTGTTAAGATGCTTTATCATGAAATGTTGTTGAATTTTGTGAAATGTTTATTCTGTATCTATTAAGATGATTATGTGTTTTTTGCTATTTTTACCTATTAATATGATATATTAAATCAATTGCTTCTTAGATGATAAACCAAACTTGCATTCTTGGGGCAAAACTTTTTCAGTGATGATGTGAAGTTATTTTTTTATGCTCTATATTCAGTTGTCTAGTTTTTTTTTTTGAGGATTTTGGATCTATATTCATAAGGAATATGGTTTGTAGGTTTTTTTTGTTGGTATCTTTGTCTGGTATTTGTATCGGGGTAATACTGGACTCAAAGAATGATTTGGGACCTGCTCCATCTTCTATTTTTTTTTTCAAAGAATTTGTGAGGGAATTGGTATTAATCTTCTTTCATTGTTTGGTAGAATTTACAGTGGAGCCACTGGACCTGGGAATGTTTTGTGTATTAGTGGCAGAGGAGTTAATTACTAATTCAATCTCTTTACTTTTTATGTCTACTCAGATTTTCTATTTCTACTTGAGTCAGTTTCAGTCATTTATTGAAAGCTGTCTATTTCATCAAAGTCATCTAATTTGTGGCATGCAGTTATTCACATTATTTTCTTAAAATTATTTTCTCGTATCTAAGGTCGGTAGTGGTATATTCTCTTTCATTCCAGATATTAATAGAAGACAAGTCTTCTCTTTTCTTGATAAATGTAGCTAAAAGTTTGTCAGTTTCTTTTTCTCATTTCAAAGCACCAACTTTTGGTTTCATTGATTTTCTTTGCTTTTTTTTCTCTAATCTCTGCTTCATTTATGTTCACTCCAATCTTTATTATTTTGAGTCTCTTGCTTTATCTGGATTTAGTTTGCTCTTATTTTTCTAGTTTCTCAATGTGGAAGTTTATGTTACCGATTTGAGAGTTTCTTCTTATTTAATAAAGGCATTGCAGCTATAAATTAAGCACTACTTATAGCTTTTCTTTGGACACAAGTTTTGGTATGTTTTTCCTTTTTTTACCTAAAAGTATTTTCTAATTTCCCTTGTAATTTGTCCTTTAACTTATTGGTTATTTAGAAGTATACTGCTTAATTTCCACATGTTTATTGATTTCTCATATTTCCTTCTGTAATTTATATCTAATTTAATTCTTTTTTAGTAAGAGATCATATATTTTATTAATTTCAGTCCTTTCACGTTTATTGAGGCTTGTTTTATAGATTGGCATATGTTTTATCCTTCAGTGTATGCTTGAGAAGAATGTATTCTGCTTTTGTTGGGTGGAGTGTTCTCCAGATGTCTGTTAGGTCTAGTCACTTTACAGTATTGCTAAAGTCTTACATATTCCTGTTCTTTTAACTTGTTCTATCCACTATCAAACTGTTTGGATTACTTTTCTCTCTAAAATTTGTAGCACTGGATACAATGCCATGATAATCTTCCCTGTTCCTTTACTTTAATTCATTGTTTCTTTGGACTCTTTAAAAATTAAAGCATGTTAGGATCTTGGTGTTGAATTAATAAAAACTCTGCCCTGAATTATACTCATCTCAGTAAGAAACATCCCATAATGAAGCTTCCAAATGAATTTTAGTTTGGAACTATCATGAAGAAGCCTCCTGAATGAGATTTTTGCAGGATGAGAAATTGAGAATATAAATTATGGATTTTAATTTCTTTTAAATTCTTCCTCATGAGAGGAAGGTGATTTTATTTGTGGGGTTTATTCAGGACTTTAACTTACAAGGAATTTTAATCTGTGGACTCTAATTTCTTCCCAAGAATTTTATATGGGAGTGATGTGATTTTTATTTAAGTTTAGGGTGGCTTTATATTGACATTTTATTATTAGAGTATTTTAATATTGTCATTTTATTCTGTTGCAGAACGTTTGGCAATGTGGCTAGAAATAATGTGCAGTGAAAAAAGAAAAATAGTGAGTGAATGTTGGTCTTGGCTACAAAGTAGACTTAGAACATAATAAACGTAATATTCAGTTCCACTTCAGGGGTTTCAGGTGGCAAAATTCGTATTTCCCAGTAATTCCCCTGGAAGGATAACCAAAGAAGCAGTGATCGCTATGCAAGAAATAGTCTCATAAAAGTGAGAATCAATTTTCACTTTTGTTTGAATCAAAAGAATCAATCAATTCTAACAGGAGAATGCAAAACTGTTGCTTGACTATAAGTCAATGGTTTTCCCCAATGGTAAATAAAGCAAAGAGAAAAAAAATATTAAGGGCAAAGGTTCTTC
Source organism: Homo sapiens (assembly GCF_000001405.40). Classification (NCBI taxonomy): domain Eukaryota; kingdom Metazoa; phylum Chordata; class Mammalia; order Primates; family Hominidae; genus Homo; species Homo sapiens. The sequence continues at coordinate 27,700,432 of NC_000023.11, read as the reverse complement.
CCTACTCCTTATATATCCTTTCCCCTCCTATGAGGATGGATTTTTTTTTTTCCTTAACACTTATGACCCATTTCCAGATGTGTTAATACTCCTCAACACATAAAATGCTTTAATTTTCATTCCTCCTTTTTCAGTTAGTTTCATCTATCCTGTCAAAGTTACAGCACTCAGGAGAACTGGTCCGTTCTCCAACTTGGGAGTGAAAGGCAAAGATTTAGATACATTGGTCTGAAGGCACAATCTTTCATTGGATGGGTTGATCCAAGGTTTAGACTAGGGGCCAGGAAACTATCAGTCCATTTTGACTCTTATGGTAGGCTACATGCTCCAGCCTAGATTTTATCAGTATAAAATAAATATAGGTAATATTTTGGCCCCATGTTCCCTTTTCTTTTCTTTTCTTTTTTGGACAGTCTGTCACCCAGGCTGGAGTGCAGTGATGCAATCATAGCTCATCTCGATGTTGAACTCCTAGGCTCAAGCCATCCTTCTCCCTCAGCCTCCCAAGTAGCTAGGACTACAGGTGCACACCACCATGCCCAGCTATTTTTTGTTTTATTTTTATTTTTGTAGAGATGGAATATCCCTATGTTGCCCAGGCTGGTCTCCATCTCCTGGCCTCAAGCAATCCTTCTACTTTGGCCTCCCAAACAGTGGGATTACAGTTGTGAATCATACACCCTGCCTATATTTTGGCCCTTATCTGCTTAACCTTTTCATTTATTTCCCAGTGGTCTCAGAACCTGAGCATGGAAGCAGGTGCTATTTAATGGATTACCTTAACACTTCAGAAACTCACTACTTTGATGCTACCACTTCGCTTGAGACATCATCGTCTCTGGCCTGGGTAATTGCAATAACCTCACAATCAGTTGTTCTCTATCCACATTTGCTCCTCTATAGACCCACTTTTTGCCATGGAAACCAAGTCATATCATTCTGTCAGTGCTCAAAACTTTACAGAGATTTATTTTTCTTAGAGTGATAGTCATATTCCTTAAAAATGCCTATAAGGCCTTTCCTCTCTCCTGAGTCATCTCTTACTTTTCCCTCCCTTGCTGACTGTATTATGCCCACTTTAATATCACTGTTATACTTCGAATGAGACAACAACATTTCTGTCTAAGGCATTTGCCCTTTTTGTGCTGTCTTCCTGGAACATTACTTTTCTGCAAATATCCACGTGGTCCCTCACATCCATGAATTCTTTTCTAAATTATCCCCTTAACATGGGAGGCTTTTATAAAGACACTATGGAGTATAACATCTTTTTCCACCCCCAGCACTATCTTTACACTGAATCACATTTTTTTCAAAACATTTCTTGCTTTGCTTATTAGCTATTTATTTATTAGTTTTCTGCCAATTTTTGTTATAATATAATCACCATGGCTTTTTTGTTTGGTACTTTTGGCCTAGTCCCCAGACCAGAGCCTGAGATTCCATAACTCCTCAACAAATATTTGGACAATGAAAACCCTTTTGATAGATACTGTGCTGAGAAAAAGGTTTTAATTAGAAAAGGGACATTTAAAATAGTCAAAAGAATAAATGTAGAATATTTTGCACAGTGTCTGCCCCACAGTAGTAGCAGGTTCTCAGAAAGTGTTAGTTCCAGCTTTCTCTGCATCAATTCAATTGTTTCATACATTTGAGAGTTTGAGTTTTCCTAGACATAAAGCAGAAAGAAGTCATTTTTTTTAAAAGTCAGACGGTGTACAGTTAAGATTCATTCAACAGCAAGTGACCAAATATGCAAATAATAGTGGCTTAACTACTACAAACATATTTTTTAAGAAAAAGTTTAAAGTAGATAGTCTATGATTAGTCCAAGGCTCAAGGGCCCAAGTCATTATCTCTGTAAATCTCTTGGTGAAATGGTAGCAACATGACTGTAGCAAATATAACATCTTCACACTGAAATGTCTCAAACTGGAAAGAAAGCAGTTGTTAAAAAATGAAGATCCTCTCATGTGTCCTCTCCATTTGTATGGAGGAGATTCAGTCCTACAAGTTCTCTGGTAGCCAAACCCCCATATGCCAAAGGCAAGAGACATTGGTAACTTGGCCCAGTAGGCTCAGGAAGTGACTATCTGATATTTTTGGCCTCTATGCTGGGAGACAAATCAAGACAGAAAAGGGATGCAACAGTTGTTGCATCAACAAACAATAGTGCCTTCCAAATTAATAACATATATAAATAAAACAAAACTTTTCTTTGCATTTCATGCCTCAATATTAAAGAAAGTTTATCAAATAAGGAAAAAAATCAAGATAAGCATCATATAAACATTTTCTTGAATTTAAATCATTATGAATAGAATTCCTTTTTTCCCACCATACACACTGGGAAAAATGTATCCTGCATAAATGACAAGGAAACTGTAAGGATAAAATCAAATAGTTAATAAAAAAAATTTTAAATTCATAAAAATTCAACTATAAGGTTTTTTAGCTCTTTTGCTCCTGAATGCCAAGAGTTCTTATATACACGTATACTTATGACAATTGTATGATTCTTATATATTTATGCGAATATCATTGTTCTTTCATTCTTTTTCTTTCTCTCTTTCTTCTTCCCTTTCCTTCATTTACTTTGTTTCCTTAATTGTATTAAAAACAATATTCTCCCTCATTGCCTAGTAGATAGCCTGATTATAAAGAGTTATTCATTGACTGACTAATTAGACAATGATTCATTCTAGTCTACAAAGTAGCTAGCTTACCTAGAGACAGTCTATTTTCAAAATTTGAAGAGTCTCTTTTTTAGACATTAAACATTAAGGGAAATAGCTAATATTTAATTGTGTTAGTAAAAAAATAAAAAGAGTAGAATAATTGACAAACTAGGTAAAATTTATCTATTTTGTTGGGTTTCTGTTGAATTGCTTTGTAGAGTTCCTGAAAAATGTTACAATCCTCCAACTCTGCACATTTTAATATATAAATTTAACGGAACACAAAGAACACTTACTGAAGGTGTACAGAATATGTGTGTTTCTAATTTTATCACACATTATTGGACATCATTCTCATTTCCCCAATCCCCAAAGCTATTAGGAAACATAAACAACTTTATGTAAAGGCTATACATATCCAGGCATCTGGTTTGAGTGAGAGGATTATATGAATATTGAAAAATACTATAAAATAGAAATATTGAATTGACATAAGTAGATTTGCTTTAAGATTTAATAACTTAACTGTAGCACATTTTTATCACCTCTATAAAGTTCTTTCTAAGCCTTTCCCTGTCAATCATACTGGTGAAAATCTATGACCTCTGTTTACTTTGCGGAAAATTTTTGCCTGAAAAGAAGTACCCTTCTGCTTTTACCCAAGTACCAGGGGTTAGGTCAGGTTAAAAGAATATTGTATACATTTAAAAGAAAATATGTTAAAACTCTTCATGGCACATGCAGTAGTGCCCTCTTCAGCCCCTTCTGACCTGATAAAATGATAATGCCAGATTGATCTTCCCAATTTAGTTGTATAAATAACCTTTTGGGGATATTATTCTACAATAAAAAAAATCTGCTGCTTTAAAGGACACACGGTTTTCCAACTTCCCTCTAAGTGTCTTCACTGCCATTGTGTTTTTTGTCTAGGCTGCCCTATGGAGTCTATTTAAAGAGAGATTCAAGAATCAAACCCACTGACAGTCTTTCAGAAGGATTTGCTATTGCACTTGACAGGAAGAGGCTTGTCAATCATTTGAAGACCTTTTGCTTGAAAAACTAATATTTTGGAGGAAAAGTAAAGCAAATCTTGAGGGCCATTTACTCACAACTTCTTCACGTTTATATGCCTTAAATTATTCCTCCTGCTAAAGGAGTATCTGTATACAGACTTTGGAAAACTATGAGTATTTATTAAATAGCAAATATGAGGACTAGGTATCATAAAATTATGGAATTAAAACAAAGTGAATTGTGCAGGTATCAAATCTAAATGCTCATTTATTTCATTTTATTAAAAACATAGCTGAACAGGTGTATCATATTGTTCAAGAAACCACAGTTAGAGTCAGGCTTGGCTGTATTCTTTCTAGCATGCCATCCAATGCCTTCCATTTCAATTTTCTTTCTCTTTCTTTCTTTTTCTTTCTTTCTTTCTTTCTTTCTTTCTTTCTTTCTTTCTTTCTTTCTTTCTTTCTTTCTTTCTCTCTCTCTCTTCCTTCCTTCCTTCTTTCTTTCTTTCATTCTTTCTTTCTTTTTCTTCTTTTTTTTTTCTTCTGACGGAGTCTAACTCTGTCCCTCAGGCTGCAGTGCAGTGGCATGATCTCAGCTCAGTGCAACCTCTGCCTCCCAGGTTCAAGCGATTATCCTGCCTCAGCCTCCCGAATAGCTGGTATTACAGGTGCGTGCCACCACACCTGGCTAATTTTTGTATTTTCTTTAAGTGCAGATGGGGTTTCGCTATGTTGGCCAGGCTGGTCTCAAACTCCTGATTTCAAGTGATCTGTCTGCCTTGGCCTCCCAAAAGTGCTGGGATTACAGATGTGAGCCACCACGCCTAGCCCCATTTAAATTTTTGATAGTAATATTAACCTACTTATATTGAAGTATAAAAATTTACATTTACATGTGAATTCAAATGTAAATGTTAAAATGTAATATTTGAAATTTGAAAAATAGTTCCTAGTACACTGCTGAAGATAAACTGGAGAGATTCTATTATAAATTCATATCTATAGGCATTAAAATACCTATATTAATCAGGACACACGTGTTGGTTAATTTAATTATAGAGAAGGTTATTATATTTATAATGGTTATTCACTATGATACTATTTTATGCCAGGCACTATGCTAGCCTGTAAACGTTTTATTTTGAGAAGTAGGTATTGTTATACACATATTTTAGATGAGGACATTGAGAATCAAAAAGGTAAAGGGCTTGTCAAAGATACCCATGTAATGAGTGACAGAGGACTGATTCCATTTCAAATCTGCCTGATTTCAGATTCCAAGCTCTTATCCATTTTGATAACTCCAAAATACCATTCTGCAGCCCATTCCAATAGTGAATAAGAACTTATTTTGTTCCTGGTTTAATTTTAAACTTGTTCATATACTTTTGTTTTCTATTGGCAAGTAAAGTTGCTCTGCATAAATTCTTATATATTACCATAAATGCAACCTGCAAAAATAATAGTAACCTTCATAAAAGGTCACCCTTAGCCTTCTCTTAACAGAACACAGAATGGTATAGCAAGGAAGAATCTTATACTTTATGAAGTAAACATCCAGTAATTTTCATAAGTGGAAACTGAGGCCTATTACTGTGAAGGACCATGAGGTTAATTAAGTTTTAGGAGGGTGCAAGCTCACACAGAGGGCCAGATCTGAAAACCAAATCTCCAAACTGTTCTGTCTGCTCTGTGTGCTGCACAAACTGATGTGGTTGAGGTAGAAAAGAAGAAAGAAAAGAGCAATTTAAAACCCATTATGTAAACAGAATTCAACTCTATGAGGTGGTCCTTCTTGAATAAAAATATCCTACAGTGTAGTTGGAGTGTTATTATACAAGGCATGTTTACGTTTCAAGTGCAGTCATGTTTCTGTTGTCATTATAATGAGAGACAAGACTGGCATGCAATGCTTAAAACCTCATAGATGTGTGACAAGAATAATGTATATGACTATCTCCAATCTAATTCATATCCTTGGATACCTGAAAGTTTTCTATGAATATTATTTTAAAATTCAAGTTTGTTTTCCCTTATTAATAGAATTACCAATGCACAAAAAAGAAAAATATGATCTTAAGTCTTTAATTAGGTAGACAAAAAGAATCTTTTCAAATAATTGAACTTTCAATGTTAACTTGGCAGTAGTTATTACTTGATATGTTTTAAAGAAGCAACAGTAACATCATCTTTCACATATGCATCAATACTGAACTGCATACTTGATAAGAAACATTGCTCATCTAAGATTTAATTACCTACCAACAAGATCAGTTTGATAGAAATGTTAATATTTTTAAAGTTTTCAAATAAATATAAGCATGGTTAAATGGAGATAAAGATAAAAATAGAGGAAATTATTATTTTAAAAAATAATTTCCATTTTTATGTTAGATTCAAAGAGTACATGTGCAGGTTTGTTACAAGTGAATATTGCGTGATGCTGAGGTTTGAGGTATGGATGATACTATCACCCAGGTAGTGAGCAGTAAGTGGTTTTTCAGCCCTTTCCTCCTCCCTGCCTTCCCCCATCTAGTGGTCTCCAGTGTCTATTGCTCCCATCTTTATGTCCACGTGTGCTCAGTGTTTAGCTTCCACTTATAGTTGAGAACATGCAGTATTTGGTTTTCTGTTCCTACATTAATTAGTTTGGGATAATGGCCTCCAGCTGCACCCATTTTGCTGCTAAGGACATGATTTCATTCTTTTTTGTGGCTACATAGTATTCCATGGTGTATATGTACCACATTTTCTTTATCCAATCCACCATTGATGGGCATCTAGGTTGATTCCATGTCTTTGCTATTGTGAATAGTGCTGTGATGAACATATGAGTGTATGTATTTTTGGTAGTTTGATTTATCCTCCTTTGGCTATATACCCAGTAATGGGATTTCTGGGTTGAATGGTAGTTATGTTTTGAGTTATTTGAGAAATATCCAAACTGCTTTCCACAGTGGTTGAACTAATTTACATTCTCATCATCAGTGTATAAACGTTCCTTTTTCTCTACAGTCTTGCCAGTATCTGTTATTTTTTAACTTTTTAATAATAGCTATTCTGACAGATGTGAGATAATATGTCATTGTGGTTTTGATTTGCACTTCTCAGATTATTAATGACCCCATTAAAAAATGAGCAAAGGGCATAAACACATCTGAAAAAGGAAATTATTAAAAATATGATAAAATTATAGAACAGGTTTCTATATGGACAGGAACATAATAAATGAAGGAAAATGCTTATTTTAAAATTAAACCATTTAACTAAGGTAAAATAGGAGGGGATAGAAGTTATATATCAGGTGAGAAAACCTGAATCATTCTAATATGAAGACTAGTAAAAGTATAAATTAATAATTTATGAAGAGCTTGCTTTTCTTTTTTTCAATAATATTTAATTTTTAGTTAACTCAGAAACTCATAGATATGCACTAGTGGCTACACTTTATAAATTTCCTGATTCAGAGAGCTAAGTTTCTGGTTTTTGTTAATGAGCTCCACAGTTTTATTGATGAAACAAAGCATGAGGGAGTTTAATGTCCATTAATTTTAAGCAGCTTCAAAAATATCCTTTCAAATATCCATGTGTGCTCAGTATTTTTAAGAGATAGAGTCACTTACTGTTAGAATATTCTACTAAAATGATACAGGCTTTTCTTGGCTCATAATATAATTCACACGCGAATTAATCAGTAATGTGGTTAAAATAATTGTTTTATACACTGGCACATATATTGCATAACAAAATATCGAAGTCTCTTTCTTTTATATTATCCTAGAACTCTGCAGGGATTCAGGCAAGCTTTCTCAGTTTCAGCACTATTAACATTTGGGGCCATATAGCTCTGCTGATGGGGGACTATCCAGTGCACTGTAGGATGTTTAGCAGACTTCCTGGCCTCTACCCACTAAATGGTAGTAGAACTCCTTCTCCCTATATTATGATAATCAAGAGTGTCTCCAGAAACTTTCCAGTTGTCCCCTGGGTGACATAGTCACCACAGTTGAAAACTACTAGGTTAAGGATATAAAATATCTCACCAAAGTAGATAAACAACTTTCTCTAAGTCTCTGATTCTTCACTGCTTAGAGTCATGAAACCTTTGAGAATCAAACTAACTCTTTCAGAAAAATTTCACAGAGAAGCAACATTGTGCTTATTACATCTTGGTGATAAGGACCTTTTAAACCCATCCATGCTCTTTTGTTTAAAAGTCTTCTCTAGATAATATTTATGAATAGATTTGAATGAAAATAAAGAATAAATTGTGAAGATTAGAGAAAACACATTGTTTAGGCACTTAATACATTAAATTCTTTTACAAAACCCATTGGGACACCAAAAATTCATTTCAACTGCCAATCTTATCATATCCTGCATGTCTGTAAGTGAGTAAATCCTGTCTGTCTCATGATACTATGAAAAGTCCATGTCAGGCTATTATTTTTCCCTTGACATTCACATTAAGTTAATATTTAACTGTAAGTACATATCTCCAAGAAGCCAGAAATCTGAATGTAACATCTTCAATGACAAGCAATTTTGTAGTAAACGTAGGTAGGTTCATACACATAAAGTGAAAAGGAGAGCTATGTTATCTGGAAGATATTTGGAAGATGCCAGTCACTTTTTGAAATAAACTATACCTCTTTCCACCCAGAATAATATTCTACATCACTACTCTTATGTTCCTAGCTGCTTAAAAATATATTCAACCACATCAAATATATTGACTGTATGTTCAACAGAAGCACGTTATGATCAACCTCTTCAAAATGGAACTAGCATTTTTCAAAACTCGAATCTAAATCCTTGTCCTTATTTCTACTAATGACATCTTCACATTTTTAATCTCCTAGGCTTCAAATGTGAAGAGAATTCCATTCACTCTTTCTCACTAAGCACCACCTATCCTCCTTCAGGCTGTCCACATAATAAAATGGGTTTTAAATTTTGACAATCTTAGTGTGAATTCAATCTCTGCCACTTGCTGGTATGCAATTTTTGGCCAATTATGGACACAGCATTCTGAGGCATCCCTTGTTTATAAAATAGAAATAATAGTACATATATCATAAGCTAATTCTGATTATTTTCATTACATGCAAATCTTTGGATATTCCATCACTCAATATCTTCATAATAACATCCACACTTTTAAGGAAAATAGGACAGAGAAACAGAAATAGATGTTTCAATGAAAATTAGCTATCATCATTAATTTTTTGGTACCTCTCTTACATACAACCACATCTTTCCATCAAATAACCAATAGTCTAGCAGTGGCACATATAAAATGATTTAGGTGGAATTTTAAAACTGTGTTTTATTTCTTAATGAATTGCAATTATGTCTATTTTTTATCATCTTGACATGGATTTAAATTTGCCATATAAGTGTTTAGGAAACAGCATTATCTCTCATCTATATTTCTCTTAAAACAACTTTTCAGAAATAAGTGAGACAAAAAACCCACATCTATTTAACATAAAAAATAATTTATAGTATAAAATCAGCTATTTTATGAAGAATTATAACCTTGTTAGATTCACATGTTAATGAATTGCTGCAATTTGATTTAGATCTTAAATGTTTGATATTTTGTTAGCTTTTTTCCTCAATATATTAAATGTCATTCTGATAGAACGATAAATGTGCATATATCTAAAGAAGTTTCAGGTAAATGTGCAGAGAAATACAGAAAAATTGCTTGGCACAGGGAAATGTGTTTTCATCCCTCATTTTAAAAAATGCTTATTTCAGTGGTATTTGATGACACATGGGAATATTAATAGACATGAGCCTTTATGCTCTCAATTTGTAGTTCTCATCTCAGTCAAGAGAAGCTTCAAATTATTTCTAATTTAGGGATATTAGTTGTTCTAAAAAATGACTTTTTGTGTCGATTCAATTGAGTTGTAAATAGTTTATACCAGAGTGACTACTAAATGTGTAGGTACAAAAGAGAAAAAGAGCAAAACTCAGTTTGGTATGCCATAGCCAGTGAAGGGCACGGTAGAAACAATGAGAAAAGAGAGGAGGTAAAGGCCAGATTAGAGGATTTGTAAGCCATTATAACGATCTGGCATTTTATTGTGCTTATAGTAAAAGGCTGTTTTTTTTTTCTCCTTTTAGTGGTGAGCAATTTGATGTAATTCATATGTCAGCAAGATCACCTTAAAAAGATCTGGTGGTCAGACCTTGGTGGGCAAGAGTGCCGAACTCTGGTAAGATAAGGCCAGAGAAATGAAAAATTGTATCTCTTTCTACACTTTGAAATGTATTTGTCTGAGAAAAAATTAAGAGCCACAGTCAAGACATGCATTCTGTAGATCATCACATGCTCTTTAATTCCCCGTACTTTTTTTAGCCAGCCTAATTTACACATTTTTGTTATTGAAATGACTAAGGATGGCATTTGAAGTTGCAACCCAAATAAATATTCAAACTAGCAAAGACTATACTATTGCTCATTAATTGCATGCATCCAAGCTCTTGACCTCCTCTAGTTTATCTTCTTTTATTATTTAAAAAATAATGTATGTGGTAAAAAAGTAAAAATGTACAAAATTTACACCACAGAAAGTCATAATTTAACAATATTAATATCTTAACATTATTTTCTGTCATGATTTAGTCCCTCCGTCTCTCTTCAGAAGTATCCCCTACTGACAAACAGTGTCTTATGTATCCTCCAAAAAAGTCTCTTGAATATATGCATATATAATTATATGGAATATATATGTTTTCTTTACTTTTAACATGAATAGGACTATAATAGCCTAATTCTATTTCTTTATTTTTACTGAGCAATATATACTTTTGTTCCTATTTTCTTATTTTTCTTTATGGCACTTAATCACTACGTTGCATTATATGACATTCATTATGTGTTTGTTTTTCTGGTTAATGTCTGCTTCTCTCACTACATTTTGAAATCCATAAAGACAGGAACATTGTCTTGTTCATGGCTGCATCAATAATGCTTGGAAAGTAGTATGAACTCATATATTTGCTGAATGTATGAATGAATGAATCATTTATATTGTCTGCTGTCAGCCTGTATCCTATTCTTCCTAATGGCTACATGGCATTCCATTGGACAAGTAACAGTAATTTATACAACCATCTTTCAATTGCTAGTTATAAAGGCTATAATGTGGCAATGTATTCTTGTACGTATATCTTATGGTGGGCTGGGTGCGGTGGCTCACGCCTGTAATCCCAGCACATTGGGAGGCTGAGGCGGGTGGATCACCTGAGGTCAGGAGTTCGAGACCAGCCTGACCAACATGATGAAACCCGTCTCTACTAAAAATACAAAAAATTAGCTGGGTGTGGTGGTGTGCACCTGTAGTCCCAGCTACTTGGGAGGCTGTGGCAGGAGAATCACTTGAACCTGGGAGGCGGAGGTTGGCAGTGAGCCAAGATCATGCCACTGCACTCCAGCCTGAGTGACTGAGCGAGACTCCATCGCAAAAAATCAATCAATCAATCAATCAGTCAATCAATCTTGTGGTGTATATGTGAGTACATTTGTTATATATGTATTTTGTGTACATTCATTCAATAAAACCCTAAAGGAAAATTGATAAATCAAGGTACATGTGCTTTCAAATTTTGCAGATATGGCCAAATTGTACTGATAAAAGGGGGAATGATTTAGAATCATAGCAAAACACTTTTCCCATATACTTTTGAATCATCAGTCTGGGGCCTCTGATGCCAGGAATAAACTGAACACATTAGGGAAAACATTAACAAGATATTTCATCTTTTGGAGATTTGAGTTTCTTATCTAGAAAGTGGGGTGATAATAAAACCTACCTTGAGTGTGATTTCAAAAAGAGGAACTTATTTTTGGATTAAAAAAATAGCAAATGAAAACAAACAAACAAAAAAGACCTCCATGTAGTTACTTATCAAATATACTTAGATATTAATAATTTAGTCACAATTTTCTCATTGTCATCATTAGAGACTGTACATTTTCTCTTATGGGGAAAATATACTTTGAACATTTTAAAGTTTTCTAACTGGACTTTTACAATAAATATGGCTCACAAGAGATAGTTATAGAATATCCTTTTTTTGTTATTGTTAGACAACATATTTTAGAAGAAAAAGCACTAGGCAATAATAATAATACAACAAAAAAGCTACTATTTTTTGAATAATTATCATAGATGGTCATCATATTAAATGTTTTGCAAATATTTATTTGATACTCATAGTTGTCCTTTTGGGTTGTACATTATTATTTCCATTGTATGAATACAAAATAAAACAAAGCAATGCACAAAAGCTTTAAATAGCTTATCCAAGGCCACAGACCTAGCCTTCAAGTTAAGAACTGTGAGCTCAAGTCCTACATTTCCCTTGACTTGCTTAGGTGAATTAAGCAATTTAATTTCTGTGTTCATATTTTGTGGTCTCAAAAATGAAGAGGAGAGATTGGATGGTCATATATGTTCCTTTGCAATTCTAATATTTATAAATGTGATTGCTGTAAAAAAAAGATGCTAAACTTCATCATCATGAGCCCATTCTATTTTTTATCAATTAGATAATTAACCAGTTTTTCATGTGACTGAAATCTTTCTCTATTTTATCTAAGCCCATTTCTTTTTATCTGATACTCTACATACAGAACAGTTTTCCACTCAAAAACAATAATTAATTCACTCTTTTTATTCTATTTTTTGAAGAGGCAAAAACTTTATTTAGCCATTTAATACAACCAGATTTCTCCCTTTCAGTATTTAAAAAAATTCTTTGGCATACAATTAAATTTCTTCATATTTTTAATTAAAATATAGACTCAAATTAAATCTAAAACTCTAATAACAGTTTCAGCTAGAGAACTAAAGACAGATACCTTTATAAAGACAGAAGGATCTCTTATTCTTTTCAGAGACAGGGTCTCAGTCTGTCACCCAGGCTAGAGTGTAGCACCTCCTGGGTTCAAGCAATCCTCCTGCCTCAGCCTCCCAAGTAGCTGTGACTACACACATGCACGACCAGGACCAACTATTTTTTAAACTTTTTTTGTAGACGGGATCTTCCTATGTTTCCCAGGCTGGTCTTGAACTCCTGGCTTCAAGTGATCCTCCCACCTTAGCCTCCCAAAGTGTCGAGTTTACAGGCGTGAGCCACTGTGCCCAGCCCTGATTTCTTAATGCCTTAGTATTGTTGTATTTTTAACACTTCCCAGATTCGTGTGGATTTTATTATTATAGTGCTGATATAGTTTAAGGATGACTCTTAGTTGCCTTTTGCTATTTAAAAAGAATTTCAGTACTTGCAACTAGTTGTTGATATTAGTTTCTCTTGCTACCTTATTTTGAAGTTTTGAATATCTGTTTGTATTTTTCCTCATTCAACTTTATTCACTGAACAGGTTTTCCCCCCTAATTGCTTAAGTACATTTTATTCTAAAAATAACAATGTGATCCAGAACTTTGATAAATATATTTTACTTCATTTATACAGTCATTTTCCCTCTGTGCAAAGATTTTATTTTATTTTCGTGGACACATAATAATTGATACATATGTATAGGCTACACAAGATATTTTGTTATATGCATAGACTGTGTAATGATCAAGTCAGGGTATTTGGGGGTGTCCATCACCTACAACAGGAGTCCTCAATCTCTGGGTCATGTACTGGTACCTGTCTGTGGCCTGTTAGGAACCAGGCCACACAGCAGGAGGTGAGTGGCCAGGGAGCATTACTGCCTGAGCTCCGCCTTCTGTCAGATCAGTGGCAGCATTAGATTCTCATAGAAGCGTGAACCCTATTGTGAACTGCACACGCAAAGGATGTAGGTTGTGTGCTCCTTATGAGAATTTAATGCTTGATGATCAGAGATGGAAGAGTTTCATCTTGAAACCACCCCTCTACCCAGTCCGTAGAAAAATTGTCTTCTACAAAACCGTTCTCTGGTGCCAAAAACGTTGGGGACCACTGACTCAGAGCATTTATCATTTCTATCTGTTGGGAACATTTGAAGACTTTTCTTCTAGATATGTGGAAAAATACAATACATTGTCATTAACTATAGGACCCCTACTCTGCTTTTGAACACTAGAATATATTCCTTTTATTTAAGTGTACATTTATGGCCATTAACTAACCTATCTTCATCCCCTACCCCTTCCCAGCCTCTGGTAACCACCATTCTATTCTCTATCTTCATGAGATACACCTTTTTTTTTAGCTCCTACATATGAGTGAGAATGTGCAATATTTGTCTTTTTTGCCTGGATTATTTTACTTAATATAATGACCCCCAGTTCCATGTTGCTGCAAATGAAAGGATTTTATTTTTTTTATAGTCAAATAGGATTCTGTTGTCTATATATATCACATTTTCTTCATCCATTCATCTATTTATGGACACAGGTTGATTTCATATCTTGTCTATTGTGAATAGTGCTGCAATAAACATGGGTATGCAAATATCTCTTTGATGTACTGATTTCCTTTCTTTTGGATATATAACTAGTAGTGGAATTTCTGGATCATATGATACATCTATTTTAATTTTTTGAGGAACCACCATGCTGTTTTTCATGATGGCTTTACTACACTGCGCTCCCACCCGCAGTGTACTAAAGTTTCCCTTTGTCTGCATCCTCACCAGCATCTATTTTGTTTTTGTCTTTTTGATACTAGCCATTCTAACTGAGGTGAGATTATATCTCATTGTGGTTTTGATTTGCATTTCCCCGATGATTACTAGTGTTGAGCATTTTTATATGTTTGTTGGACATTTATATGTCTTCTTTTGAAAACTGTCTATTCAGATCTTCTGCCCATTTTGAAATCCTATTATTTGATATTTTTTGCTATTGAGTTATTTGAGTTCCTTATATATTCTTGGTATTAATCCATTGTCAGATGGATAGTTTGAAAATATTTTCTCCCATCCTGTAGGTTGTCTTTTCACTCTGCTGATTGTTTCCTTTGCTCTGCAGAAGGTTTTTAGCTTGCTGTAATCTGATTTGTCTATGTTTGCTTTTGTTGCCTATGCTTTTGAGGTCTTACACAAAAATATATTTGCCCAGACTAATGTCCTGAAGTGTTGCACCAATGTTTTCTTCTAATACTTTCAAAGTTTCAGGTCTTACATTTAAGTTTTTAAACCATTTAGAGTTTATTTTTGGTGTGTAGTGAGCGATAGGGATCTAGTTTTATTCCTCTGACTACGAATATCTAGTTTTCCCAGAACCATCTATGAAAGAGGCTATCTTTCCCCAATGTATGCTCTTGGTATCTTTATCAAAAATAAGTTGGTTGTAAATGCATGAATTTATGCAGTTATTGATACAGTAATTGAATGAAATTGTCTTATGGTAGAAAGTCTTGTCACCCACAAATTATTTCTTTACCCCAAATTATTATTAAACTACTGACAGATATTCTGTAAGGGCCTGCCCATAGTGTTCTCCTTTCTTAAGAATGATAGAGGCAATATCAAACTTCTTTGTCACTTAAATTTTTCCCACCTCGATTATTTTTTACATATTTCTTTCAGATAGAATTGGAAAACAAAAACTCGTCTTGATTTATTCATGAGGTATCAATGTCAAAGCAAGAAGTTTCTTTATAATACTCTAAATTGGAGGGGATATACCATGGAGTCTAAGTTTAGTGCACAATGCTGATGAGAGGATATCACATCCTGTTCTTAAACTGATTGGTTACAGTGATTCCCAGGAATATTGACCAAAAGGGTCTCATCATAAACAGAATGTGAAAGTAAACATGAGTTGACATTCTAAGAAGGAAAAATGTAAAGATAGATATAAGAGATTAATGGAGGAAAGTCACAATGTTTGTAACTGAGCTGGCCTACAAAAGATCAGTAATATCATGAGTGAGTGAGCATTGGGTCACTAAAATGCTAAAAACAAGTCTGCAGGATCATATGTAAGAGCTCATATCTATGTAGATGGATAGCTTGGACTTGATGGCCTATACAATTGTATATATTTAGTTCACATCAAAGATGTCCTACCATGTAGAACATTATATTAAGCGGAGTCATATGAAATTGACTTTTAGCCACTTTTGACATACATTCATGATACATGGTTCCATCTACTGTAATAGGATTCACCACACATTCTGAATGCCCTAAATATAGCATATTTATGGTTCTGATATTCATTAGGGAAGTTGTATATGCTATCAGTCTCTGGACTAGTCTCAACCTCTTTTTTATCATCCACCTGTATATTTTACCTATTTGTGCCACTACGAAGCCTACTTTTGCTGGGCATAAGCCAGTTTCTGCAATTTAAGCCTGCAACAATTTATTGAGTTTTAATACATGTAAAATTCTGCTTTAGTCTTTTTTGATGAAAATAGATGCTGGGATAGGACCTATAAGTGTCTAATGTATCTCAGATGATGAGATCCTGTGACTCTGATGCTCAGAAAATGGCCCTCCTTCCCATACTGCTTCCCCTTTGTTTCCTAATGACAGCTGTGCAAATCCTACCTGTGGTCATGTTTGCTGTCACTTCTTCTCCTTTGGTTCCAGACATCGTTAGCTCTTTGAGGGTAGAGATAATGGCACTGTCTTCTTTGGATACCTCTCACTACTTCACTTGGTATTCAGTGCAAAGTATTCAATGAAAAAAGGTATTCAATGAAAAAAGGTATTCAATGAAAGGTCATGCAGTTAATGCAAAGAACTCTGATATTCTTAGTCTTGCCACTAGGCGGCGGTATTTTGACATGACAGTGAGGTCTCCACTATAGGTGTATCCTAAGTTAGACATAGGCTCTGAGATGAGGATGTATGTTTGATTAATTTAAGAAAATGATCCAAGGGGAGGTAGTGGAAGCCAAGGAACAGTGCAATCTCAGGTGAACACCCCTCAGAGGATAGCTTCAGCACGATCCTCCTGGGGAACTCTGGAGAGTAAGTTACGTCTGAGTTATCCTTACACCAGGCAAGGGAGTGAACTTTCATACTCCTACACTGTTCAGCCCTTGATTAAAGGCCACCCTGGGAGGGATGAGCATATCAACTCCCAGATGTCCCAGATGCTTTAAAATCTCTTCACCTGTGGGCAAAAGCCCCTTCAGCAGCTTGAGGACTAAAGAGCTGTGCATTAGTACTGATGCTTGGAAGGGAAAGGGAAGTAAATGGTACAAAAAGGGATTTGAAAGGATCTTGCAGGAGCATGAACATTAACAGCCACAAGGTAGCTAATACAGCGACTATCAGAAAGGGCTTCGTTACTACTGTGTATGCTGATGAAAGAACAACTTAAATAAAGCTTTAAGAAGTGTATAGAAGCCTAATTTGGAAGGCGAAACTAAAACTAAAGTTATGGTGAGCAAATACTATTCACTTCCCATATCTTGTTAAATGATGGTTCGAATCCCACAGCCACCATACCCCTCTTCATGCCACTTGAATGAATAATATGGAGCAGAATGGTGAAGAGCAGAGATTGACAGTGGGAAGGGCATTTGAAGCTCTCAACAGTGACCACCGGCAAATTAGCACAGATAAAGCCAATTATTTTTCCTTTTGTTTCATGTCATAAAAAGAAAGATTTGCCAGTATGAAATTGAAATTTAGATTAGGAATGCTCAAAGCTAGGAGGACAAAACTTTATAGAAGTACTCAATGTTCAGCTACTAATTAGTCCTTTTTGAAGATATTAGTTTCAAAGAAGCCTAGTATGTGTTTATAATGATCTCTGGACAAACTGTTACATGTTTATGTGAAGTGTGGCTGGGTATCATTGTAATAGTTGCCAGCTACTGCTTGTTTGTGAGGACTAAAGTTTTAAAGGATTATTCAAATGGAGCAGTGACCCAACTCAGAACCTCCTATTCAATATCTTGTGGCTCTAACAGGAACTATTAAATATGTCAGAAAGACAAAGAGTCAATATAAAGCACATAAAACTTTACAGGATTTTTTTTTTCTTGAGAAATACAGTCTTCTTCCTTTAAATAAAGGACTCTAGGAAGACTCTTGGCAGCTTAAACAACATATAAAAATACTCATTTTGCCAACATCGTGAACTTGCATTGACTTGAATCACAATGACCCATAATCTTTTGTCATATGGAAATTTAATCTCTATTAATCTACAACTATAAACAATATAATTCCATTATATAAATGAATTTTATTGACAAATGTAAGGTGTTTACTCATTAAATAGAAGAGTTTTATCAAGAAGGTCTAAACCAGATAAAATAAATTACTCTAAAGTAAAAGGGAATAATCTGTCATTATTGGATACTCTTTAAAACAAATTATTGTATTTTGCTTTCTCATATATCCTTTACAATATTTGTGTTGTCCTTCCCTAATTTCATAAGAAATTCCTACATTCAGAGACCATTCTTAAAATTCATTTACTAAATATATCATCAATTTGACCTTAAAAAAACTATTTTAAATGTCTGGAGAGTCTCATTGTAAAATTAAAACCAGCTGGGCACAGTAGTTCATGCCTGTAATCACAACACTTTGGGAGGACGAGGCAGGAGGATCACTGGATGTCAGAAATTTGAGACCAGCCTGAGCAATATAGCAAGCCCCTGTCTCTACAAAAAACGAAATAAATTAGTTTGGCACGGTGGTGCATGCCAGTAGTCCCGGCTACCTGGGAGGCTGAGGTGGGAGGATTGTTCAAGCCCAGGGCTACAAGGCTGCAGTGAGCTATGATCACACTACTGCACTCTAGACTGGGTGACAGAGCGAGACCTTGTCTCAAAAAACAACAACAAAAAAAATGAAAACCAAGAAACGCGACTCCGTTTTATTTTGATATTCTATGACCACAAATAATTCTCTGAATTTCTGCAATATGTTAGTAATATAATAAAATTAATTTTTGTAGCATAAAAATAGGCTCTGGGAATTTTGAATTAGAAAATATGTAGTATCTGAGCAATCATATAGTTTAGACCACTTATAATAAGAAATCTGGGGTCCAGAAAGATTCAGAGAGTAAATGCTTAAAATGTTGACTATTTCTGAAAGTTATTTTAATAGCAAATTGTTCATAGAATCGATATATTACTTCAGCTACGACAATATAATTTTAATCCAATCACATAAGGTAAATATAGAGCTCTTAAGCAAAATGTATTACTACTGACTGATATATTTTATGTAACAAAATATTGTACAATAAATAATTGACCTGATTGAAATAGATGTACTGTATATTTTTGTTGCTTTAGTGTGTTTTAGTTAGTGAGATATCATTTTAGAGTGGACTTCCCAAAGGACTTGAATTACATTTAGGGCGGTGCAGCTCTAATGACCTGGTTACTTTGTCACCCATTCAAGAGAAGAGACCTAATATCTCACAGTCTAGAGATAAAATATTACGTCAGACCTATTCCCTGTCTCTACTTCTACTTATTGTTTCTACTTTTGCCACCACTTTACCCTCTTTCTACACTTACCTTTATTGTACAGTCTATAATGACTCTGCTTACTTAACATGTGGGGTGTGTGTTTGTGTGTGTGTGTGTGTGTGTATTTAATTTCTGCCTTTGCTATAAACTGCTGTGTCAAGCCCAAACTTACACAGAAGACTTGATTGCTTCTTTTATTCACTGCTGAGTAAAAGGCTTCTCCATTAGCCCAGCTCAAAGGCATGAGCCAACCTATAGATATCTACCTCTAAAACAGTACTCCACCTTTGTTCAGTAATCGTTGGCTAGAGAACCTCTTGATTTTTCTCTAGCATTATCTTCAGTCCAAGCTTCAGCAAAGTTATCCCTGAATGACTTCATCTCCCCAGAGTGTGCTACTAAGTGAACAAGAATGCAGATTTAACCTTCTGAATCCAGCTATCCAATCACCTAAAACTGACTAAATCAAGTTTCTTTTCATAGACAAAGAGTTTTCAAACATATCAAGATCTCAAATGTATCTCCACTTGCTTGGCAATGCTTGAATTCCTTTAACTATAGGACACAGCTTTTCACTTAACAATTGAAAGTATTAAAGTGCCAGTTCTTGGCTGAGGTAATGCAAGAAGGTCAATTAGTCAGTTGTTCAACTATTGTAAAGGCTTGAGTTTTGATACTTTCCAGTTTCAGAGAAAAACTGGACACTGGCATTGGATGGGCAAACAAAAAAAAATAGAGAAAGGGACAGATAACCTGTGAAGTATAGAAAAAAATGTAGAAAGGGAAGGCCAAGCCTCAGTGAATACAATTTTCAGTACTTAAGATATTTTTTAAAATTATTATTCTTTACTTCTAACTTTGTGCAAAAGGAGAGAAGTGATTTACAGAGTGTTTTTATTGGTTTTTCTCATACACATTCATACTCACGCTTACTTTAACAATGCTATTGTGATCCTGCGTGACTGCCAACAGTGGTTGACATGCTTTATGAAGTCTTTTTTTTCTAACTCAGCTACATTGTAGAACGGTTTTATTACCTTGGGACTTGCAGGGCAGGAGCAAACTTTCACAATCCTGCCATAGAGATATGACGACTCTTAGGCTCTGTGCTACTATTCAGTCCATAGGGACCCTGACAAACTCACATTCTTATAGGTCATTCTGATGAACCTCTAAAGTGATGACTTTTTGCAGTAGGATCTAGGAAGAAAGAAGTAAATGGCACCCTAAATGTTTGACTGTGGTGCCAGGGATGGATAGAGAGATAGTTTTTTTACTACCCCAGGAATTTTTTTCTGGAGTCTTGTTGATCTGATACAAAATAAAGGATATATTTACACATCTTGATTTCCTTACCCACTTAACATTCTTGGGGGACCCCTTGAGATATTTGAGAAATGTACCATTTAATGTTGTTCTAGCTAGATCTATTTGCTGGATAAAGCAAAAGCCTGTCCATTTTAGTGGGGCTCAGAGCAAAGAAAGCCACTCTAGCTGGTCTAAGGTACAGGACAAATAACTTTGCCAACTGATCCTTATAAAACAGCATATGCTGTGGTGCTTGAAGTGTCAGAGGCAGGTGGCAATGTGCAATCAAGCCTACTATAAACCTTGAAAGAAGAATAGTGGATGAGGACCCAAGACTTCTGTAGCAAAGTCAGGCCTGCTTTACCAAGTTTATTTTCTTCTTGAGAAGGAGCTCTGGATCAGCTCACAAAGGCTGAATATTTGGCCCGGGGAACAATGGGGATATCTGACCCCAGCTGCTTGTCATGAACTGGATGCAATCTATTACTCCTAGCCATAAAATCTGGTATACTCAGAAGCTCTTAAATATCAAGTGAAAACAGCACTGAGCCCAAGCAGGTTCTAAAGGCATTAGTAATTTGCACAGGCAGATAGCTCATACATCCAGAGTGCCTTACTCCTGCCAAATTACTTCCCCTTCTTCAAACCACATCTGTGGCTTGATGGGTAATTTCCTATGACAAATTAAATAGGAAAAAAAAAAGCTCAAACTGGAATTACAGAGAGCTTTGCTTTACAGCAAAAATGAACTACCACAGCATTACAGTACCAAGGAGGACCCCTCAAGATAAATGAGAAATAGAATCCTTCCACCAAGAGGGATTCAAATAGCAATGAAACACTATTGATCTTTGGCTCCTATAAATATTTGCTCCCTTTAACTTATCTGACATTATTCTCTTTTCTCTTTTTGTCTTCCTCTCACATTTCTAGCCATCCCATCCCTGTCCTTTCTGAAGACCAGTCCTCCTCTGCATAGCCATTATTGAGTTCATCATCTTTAGTTCTAAACTCTCTTTTCCTTTCATCACACATTTCCGTCCACATACATTCAAACTAGGCAATTTTACATGACTTCACTTGTCATAAACACAATGATGACACTTTCATTTACATCTTTAGCCTAGGACTCTGAGCTCCAGATCTACATACATTTTTCATTATGGAAAAATACATATAATATAAAATTTACCATTTTAACCACTTTGAAGCATATAGTTCAGTGGCATTAAGCACATTTACATTGTTGTGCAACCATCAGCAACATCCATCTCCAGCACTTTAAAAAAATCTTCCAGAACTGAAACTCCATACCCATGAAGTAACGCCCTTCCAGCCCCTGACAACCACCATCCTACTTTCTGCCTCTACAAATTTGCCTGTTGTAGCTTCTTCAGATAAGTGGAATAATACAATATTTTCTCTTTAGTGTCTAGCTTATTTCTCAAAGCACAATGTTTTTAAGGTTCTTTCATGTTGTTTCCATGTTGTAGCAAGTATCAGAATCTTATTCCTTTTTAAGGATGGATAATATTCGATTCTATATATACCACATTTTGTTTATCCATTTATCTGTTGATAGACATTTTTGTTGTTTCCACCTTTTGGCTACTGTGAATAATGCTGCTGTGAGCATTAGTATACAATTATATGCTTGAGTCCCTGCTTTCAATTCCTTTGGGTATATACTCAGAAGTGAAATTTCTGGATCATATGGTAATTCTATGTTTAAGTTTTTGAGGAACTTCCATATCATATACTTTTGATATATTTACATTCCCTTTATATTTGAATGTGACATAGACACTTCAAAATAAAATAAAATAAAACGTTTTGTCTTTCCTCCAAAACATAGTCTTTCATTAGTGTTCTCTTGGAGAATGGCACTGCCAACCAGGCACAGAAGCAAACCAGAAAATAAGAAGTCACCCTTGATATAACCCTCCTTCTCACCTTTCATATCATCATCTTGTCAGTTTTAACTCTGAAATATTTTTGAATGTATTTATTTCTATCTCTATAATCATATGTCTAGAAATAAATCTCATTATGGTTCATCTGATTATTTTAACAACCTCCTAACAGATTTATCTACATCCACTCTTACCTCCTTATTAGCACCGCTCCACAGTATGGTCAGAAAGTTCACATGTGATATGATTTTCTTCAATTAAGAAAACACATCTGCAAAAGCAGCAACAGTTAGAGTCAGTGTCTCATTAAGGTTATGATAATCTACTGTTCTTCAAGTCCAATAAATATTCTGTTACCCACCTGCTAAAAATGTTCAGTAGTTTAATAATGTTAGGATAAAGAGCACGATTCTTAATCTGGCCTGCAAGGTCCTGCATGACCTGGCCTCCACTTTTTCCACTTTTCCTACTTTTCCTAAGCTTTATTTCTCACAAACCCCTGCCTGATTTTCTGATCTCCCATCATACTAAGCTTCCTTAGGTTTTTAATTAATTGTTTCCTACTTGGAACAGGGCCATAGTGAACAATATTCTCTTCAACTGGGAAACTATCCTCCATTCTTCATCACCACATGGAAGCTATCCTTTACTTCTAAGATCAGGTGAAACTCCTCTCACAGGCTCTCAATACATTTCTCTTTTTCTTAGCTTATCATAGAGACATTTCTACATTTTATTTGTTTGGGGTTTTGATTAAAATATATTTTTCCTATTAGAAAATAATTCTCAGGAGTGCATCAACCATGTGTACTTTTTCAAACCTTTATATGTCTAGCAGTAGAATAGTTCCTGGCACAGAGAGAACACACAGTGTTTGTGGGATGAAGGAATGAATCTGTTTATGTCTCTGTGTTGCTCACCAGAACTCAACCGCCTTTATCAGAGAAGAGCAAGCCATTGATTTATTCACCTTGTTATCTCCAACATCTGGCATATTTAGCGTTGAACTGAACACCATAATTTCAATTTCAACAGGGTTTTTCGAATTAGCCATGACATACCCTTGTCAACAGTTAGGTTTCTGCTCCTCTCATAACAAGGAAAATCCTACAAACTACATCCCTTTTCCTTTGTAGAGTAGTTGGCTCTCTCTTCTTTTTCCTAGAGGAAGAAGACAGCATTTTGTTTAGGCAAAAAAGTAAGATTAGCAAAGAAAAGTCTGGAGAGAGCTGGTAAAGAGAGCCAGTCTAGGCAAACTTGTCCCCGGGGGATGCAAACTACTTCTAGTTGTCTCAATTTGTTGAAATAGAGAAAAATGCATGCACGAAATCGATACATGAATACCGAATGCCAAGAGCTACAATAATTTTCTCCAGTTAAGAAAACACATCTGCAACAGCAGCAACAGTTAGAGTCCTTGCCTCATTAAGGTTATGGTAATCTACTGCTCTTCTTCAAGTCCCATAAACATTCTGTGCTGACCAAACTGCTGACAATGACCACTCCTACTTATTTGGACTCTTTCTTGGTGGTTCCAACCTCTGCTATTCCTCCAGGGATGTCTTATTCACTGTTTTGGCAGAAAACATGAGGTTCAAAGCCTATTTGAAATTTCCTAAGGTAACATAGTTCCATTGTTAAGATTCTAATATTGTATAAGTAGACATACATTTATTCATATATACATATATATGTACACAAATACTTACATATACTTGCATATCAGACCATGTAAATTCATGTTGAAACTTCCTTTGAAATTTCAGCACTTTAAATTGCTATTCAAGACTATAGTGACATATGTGTCTTCAAAAATTAATGTTAATCAATGCCTTTTATAATTGTACCTGAAATATTTGGATTTCCCTGCCTCAGCACCTAGTAACTCAGGTGAGTAAGCATAAGTTACTATGAGACGCCTACAAAGAGATACAGAGTACTCAATTGTGGTATTACAGGGGAGACTTCAGTGGAATTGAGGACTGATTGCTCTGGGCTTGGGAACTGACTCAAGATTAGAAATGGGGTGATAAACTGTGACTCTCTTTCATGTTGGCTTAAGGCAGGACTAAAATTTTGTTTTCTTTTGGTCTACATTTAGTTATGCAAATTAAACCAAAACTTAAGGTACTTTATGATTAATTAAGCATAGCCAGAGATCTTTGCAAGTCACAGCATCCCTTGACAGCGGATTACTCTGCTTTCTGTGCTACCTGCTGTGATAACTATGTCCACTTTGTTTCTAGTGGTTTACTGTGCTCTACAAACTTATGATCCCATGAAGCTCAGGAAGACAGTCAAATTGCATTTCATCCTACCAGCATTCCTGGCCTAAAGCCAATAAAGCACTCTTTAAATCTTTATGTGTTGTCATCACCTATGTCTTTCTCAAGGCTTTGGTGAAGCAAGACTCTTTGGGTGTGAGAGTGGCTATGTGAGTCACACAGCATTCTTATTCTTAAAGAATTTAACTACCTTCTATACCATGTCAATATGATTTAAAGTGCTTAACATAATGACATTCAAGTTTGCACTAGTCAACTAGAAAACCATTAAAATTTCAACCGGCTAACCAACTAGCACACTGAATACATAGCTTCTACTAAATTAATACATGTAAAATAATCAGTCTGGTTTAGAAATACATTACACCTTCCTTTGTCCGGCATTTTCACAATCTGTTTTCATGATTATTTGCCAAAATTTTACAATGTTTTTTAGCAAAATCCCTCAAATAGCTTTGCTTGAATGCTTCTTTTAACTATTTTTGCTCCGTACTTCAGTATCTCTCCCCACCAGGTCATGTTGAATTTGGATGCTGATTCCCAGTCAAGCAACCATTGTGACAAAAAGGGACATGTTATCTTCCTCAACCAAGAGATGGGGGACAGTTTATGGAGGCAAAGGTGATATAATGGAATTTTAGAGAGTGTTTTGGATATTTCAATTCTTCTGTGTCTTCTAAATCTAACCATTACATTTACTAAAATATTACTCCTTTTCAGATCAAGATTCCAAATTTCACATTTTTAGAGTTTGACTTTAAATGATAAAAAAAATTACTTGGAACAAGAAAGAATCACATGGAATATTCATAAAAGCAATTCCAATTTCATTCTCTTCAGTACCTATGAGTGAGTGTAGTTCACTTTCCATTGGGTGTTAAAAAGGGCAGGTCCCTTGATTTCTCAGCTTACTCTTAAAAAGCAGAAAGTCCTATGTTCACACTAAGTCACAAATAAAGCCTCAATTCTGAATTGAGAGCACCCGGTCCAAAATACTGTTCAATCCTTTCATCTCAATTTGTAGATAAATCTTCTTTGACCTTTCTACAACCGCGGCCTGCTGCAAGTGGAAACCTGTAATTTGAAAAAGGGAGTATGGGTGGCATCATTTTCTCTCCCTGCCTAACATTTCTACTCCACCTTCAGATTCCTGAACCCCTGCCAATGTCAAAGCATTGGGAGAGATGAACAGTAAGGGAAATAGGAAAGTTCTCTCTTGACTGACATTATTGTACAACGGCTTCATGCTCTCTGAACATGAACATGAGAAAGTCAGTGTGCACATCTTTATAGGTTTTTCAGAGGTACTAACTACTGCTGGGCTCTCTATCTCTCCTTGGCAGAGGTGATGCATTCTATTTCTCCAGCTTCTATTCAACCTTTAGGCCCTAGTTTTCTAGTATTTTGCTTTTTCTAATTTTGTCTAAGCAGAAAAAGCCCACATAATTAATATTATTGACTAATATGAATTTTATTTTTACTAGAAATAGGAAGGGGGGCACAATAAGTAAAATAATACCATCAGTATTTATTTTGGAAATGTAATAAGTTACACTCATACACACTTTCACACTTTCTTTAATCTCTTAATAATGACAGGTCTGTATTCCAGTTTTACAGACAATTAAACTGTTAAACTGAGGCATAAGAAAGTTAACTTGCCAAATGTCACTCAACATAATAAGTGGAAAGTATGTCTGACATAAACATCCATGCTTTTAACTACTATGTTATTCTAATTCACTAAGCCAATAATTAATTTGATTCTGATAATGATCCACATTTGGAAAAGTTTGGAAATTTGTGAGTTGTGATGGGTGATTTAAGGGTGATTAACCCCATTAATATATACATGTACTATATACGCATAAAATAAAAAATAAAAGGTGCAAGCTGCCTGGTCTGGTATTTCAAATCTTCTACTTTCTAGCTGTGCAAACTTGGACAAGATGCTTAAACTCTGTGCCGCAGCTACCTTATCCATAAAACACTGACACATATACACTATTGTATTTTATGAAGGGTTGTTATGAAAAATAAATG
This sequence comes from Homo sapiens, assembly GCF_000001405.40. NCBI lineage: Eukaryota > Metazoa > Chordata > Mammalia > Primates > Hominidae > Homo > Homo sapiens. The sequence continues at coordinate 27,673,778 of NC_000023.11, read as the reverse complement.
AATTAATACATGTGAAGTACTCAGAAAAGTGCTTGACATATACATGTAGTATATGTGTGTGTGTATATATATATATACACACAACCACGTATATATACACACACATATGTATATTATATATGCATATATGTGCATGTATACATATATATGTATATATAAGGTAGCTCAAAAAGTGTTCTACATATAGAAGGATTCAGTAGAGGTTAAAAATTATTATTATTATCCTTACTAATATTATACCTAACCCCAAATCTTTTTTTTTTTTTTTTTTGAGATGGAATCTCACTCTGTCACCCAGGCTGGAGTGCAGTGGCACTATCTCGGCTCACTGTAACCTCCGCCTCCCGGGTTCAAACGATTCTTGTGCCTCAGCCTCCTGAGTAGCTGGGACTACAGGCAACTGCCACCACGCCCGGCTAATTTTTGTATTTTTAGTAGAGATGGGGTTTCGCCGTGTTGGCCAAGCTGGTCTTGAACTCCTGACCTCAAGTGATCTGCCTGCCTCAGCTTCCCAAAGTGCTGGGATTATAGGGGTTAGCCACTGTGCTTGGTCCCCAAATCTTGTCTAAAATTCGGGTTGATATTTGGATTCATTAGAAGTTTTCAGAAAATAAAGTATAATAATATAAATTTAACATAAGTATTTAAAAATACTTCCTAGCCAGCTTGCTTTAGGAGTAGTGTGTGCATATTACTGTGTGAGTGTGTGTTTGTGTGTGTGTATGTGTGTGGTGGGGTTGGGATGATAAAGTTACCCAAAACTTCTTCAGGGCTTGTGGGGACTCTGATAGGCCTCAACTGTGCATTTAAGTGAAGATGTCCTAAGGAGAAATTTCATCTTTCTTCAATGTAAAGTAGTATAGCAGCAGTTGCTGGCTTCGTAACTAATTCAAATAATGTGCAGACATTTTTTTCTTATCACTCCAACTGGAAATTCAAATTTGACACGAGAAAAGGCAATGTGAGAGATTTTGAGCAAATAACTGTGAATTACACTTTATCTGAAATTGAGGGATTTTATTTATCAAATATAAAGTTTCGCCCTGTAGTTGTCTTGGCCACAAGTCTTCAGACTGCATTAGTCAGAAATAACTTTTTGCCAACCTCTTTTATTCCTGCTATAGGTGAAGGCCATTTTCTCAAAGTGATTAACTGGCAGTAGTACTCAATCCATTTATCCTTCTTAGGCTTTCCTATTGTAATGCATTGCAATACTCGCCTCTCTCTGTGAAGCTACAAAGAGGCAGTGGCTGTGAAAACTTGAAGGTGGAGTTTCTTAAAATGAAAGTCGAAGACCTAATGAAATTGTTCCAACATTATGTTGGGAGTGTGTAGGAAAACGTAGTGTTCTTCATCTTCTTGAGTGGTATGCTTGGCAAATGTTGTATTTTAACTGATGGCAAGCCAGGGAAAATCATGCGAATATCACTGAATAATTAATTAGTATAGCCAAAGGAATGTTTAAAAACGATTACCCAAATGGCCCGGGCCCTGTGCTTGGCATTACCTCAGTCCTTTGACTACCTTTAGATAAGCTGATCTGTACAAACTGTTGCCCTCATGGAACATTTCCATCCTAATAATATTGACAGATTATTTTACAGTAAATATATTTGCTTAGAAGCAAACACTGTTTGATATGGAATCTTTATATATGTGAAAATTGCTTTGATATATTTCAGCATGCTTCTCTCTAGTTTGTCAGTTTCTAACATTGTATACAGAATTTTGTTTTCCCTTAGGAAGGTATTTTCATTCTGAAGATTTTCATCCTATATTAAGATAGGCTGTTTATGAGCTTAATTAAAACCACTTTTAGTATAGCCTGTACATTTCAATACTTCATACTGGGTTCACTGTTTTAAAAATTGACATGCCTTGAGATTTCAGTGAACTCAATTCATGACTTATTTTGAAAATGATGCTCCCTAATTATATTAATACTACTGAGTAATTGTGTATTTCAGTTAGAATTATTTTAGTTGAAAGTGACAGAAAACACAGACAAAATTATATTTAGCAAATGGGAATGCACAGTCCGAGAAGCTGTGAAGACCAGGTATGGCTTTTCAAGATCTCGAAAATATCTCTGGGTCTTGGATTTCTTCTGTCTCTTGGTTCTCCTTCCTCTGGATTGACATCATTGAAAGTAGGTTTTTATCTGACTGAGGATGGAAAACTATTATCAAAAGAGAGTGGAATCGATGCTGGACAGATAAAAATGTTCACTATAATATTTAGAAATTGATTCTTTTTGTGTATTCAAGAGCGCTTCCCCTTTAAGGATGTGAATTTGGAATATGGCAGAGAAGAGAGTCCTAAGCTTTAAAGCACATTAGAAATTGCTGATAAAGCATTCTTACTAATGTCACAGGAAATATTACTTAATAGTACTTAAGGATTTAGTAAATTAAATGAGAAGTATATAGCAGTTATTTGAGGCAGAATAAAGATGAATTTGGTGAAAAAATAAAAGTTATCAGAAAAATCAGAAGGTTTATTTTTTAACAGTTACCAGACTGTATGTAGAAAGGTACTCAGTAGCAACCAACTACTGGTAGAATTTACCCTGTTATTGTGGTAGGCACAAATTAGTATGACCACCTGGATTACAGATTGTTAAGCGGCCATGCCTGTGATTATGTTAACATAACAGAATCCTCTGTATTTTGGACAAAACATAACCCACATTGGGTAATCTCAGAACCTCATACCACCCCCTCCCCAGTGTGTTTGACCTAAAGAATGGACACAGAACCTGTTTTAGTCCATTTGTGTTGCCATAAAGGAATGCCTAATGTTGAGTAATTAATAAAGAAAAGAGATTTACTTGGCTCACAGTTCTGCAGACTATACAAGAAGCATGGCACCAGCATCTGTTTCTGATGAAGGCCTAAGACTGCTTCCACTTATGGCAGAAAGGGAAGGGAAGTGATGTCAGAGCGATGAGAGAGGAAGGAGGAGACAGGAGGAGGTCAGGCTCTTTCCAATAACCAGTTCCTGTGGGAATTGAGTGAGAACTCACTCACTCCTAGGAGGACAACACCAACCCATTCATGAAAGATCCCTTCTCATAACCCAAACACCTCCCACCAGGTCCCCCTCCAACACTGGGGGATCAGATTTCAACATAAGACTTGTTGGGGCCAAACAAACTATGTCTGAACCATAGCAAGACCCAAGCTGGGTTATGTAGATTCTTTCCTTGATATTCTTTAAACGGTGATGAAAGAGCTAAACCAATTCTATCAGCACCCGTCACAACACTAAAAGGATGTAAGCTCAAAAGAGCCTGCAGCAACAACCCACTTCATGGGAAGATATTGTTTTGAGAGCATAATTTGGCACTTGAAGACAAGCAGAGATGAGAGATAGAGGGGAATGCCCCATAGCATTTTGCTTACTAATTCCGGTGCTCTTTCAGGCCAGCTCCAACTCACCCTCTCCAGATAGTCCAGTCAATAAGCAGGACTTTAGCATAATTGAGTTCAGCTGTAAGTTTGTTACTTGAAATCGGGGCCCTGACTGAACCAATCTCTTAGAAATAAATGAAAACATCAGGGAATATTTTAAGAAGCACTAAACAAACAAACAAACAAACAAAAATAAAACCAAACAAAACTCAGGAAGTATGGTAGTCACAAACTAAAAAAAAAAACAAACAAAAAAAACACTATAAAACAAAGATTATGTAATTGAGACTAGAGAAATTTGTTTCTTGCTTTCTTTTTAGAAATATTGGGTAGGTTATAGAACTAGAAATACCATTTGACCCAGCCATCCCATTACTGGGTATATACCCAAAGGATTATAAATCATGCTGCTATAAAGACACATGCACACGTATGTTTATTGCAGCACTATTCACAATGGCAAAGACTTGGAACCAACCCAAATGTCCAGCAATGATAGACTGGATTAAGAAAATGTGGCATGTATACACCATGGAATACTATGCAGCCATAAAAAAGGATGAGTTCATGTCCTTTGTAGGGACATGGATGAAGCTGGAAACCATCATTCTCAGCAAACTATCGCAAGGACAGAAAACCAAACACTGCATATTCTCACTCATAGGTGGGGATTGAACAATGAGAACACTTGGACACAGGAAGGGGAACATCACACACCAGGGTCTGTCATGGAGCGGGGGCGGGGGAGGGATAGCATTAGGAGATATACCTAATGTAAATGATGAGTTAATGGGTGCAGCACACTAACATGGCGCATGTATACATATGTAACTAACCTGCACATTGTGCACATGTACCCTAGAACTTAAAGTATAATAAAAATAAAAAATAAATAAATAAATAAATAAATGAATAAATAAGAAATATTGGGTAAGTTATTTAGACTAACCAAAACTGGGTAAGTAAATAATCATTCTCTGAGGAAAAAATATAATGGTAGAGCTCTGTGAATGAAGCTTGTCTTAGAAAGAGATTCTAACAGTCAGTGATAGTTTTGGGGATTGGAAAGGCCGAGACCAGGGATACTTTTCAACAGAAAGCTCCATAATATTAAAAAGCAATAAATGTTTTATATTATTAATTTGTTAAGCATGTGATCATTTTCCCTTTACTGTTTGACAATACCCACTTTTTATGATGGAGTGAGGCAACATGAATATTATTATTTTAAAAGATAGGCATTTCTCCTACGATCTTGTTTTGTAAAATTGGGAAATATAGACTATTCTGTGTTATGCTCACATCCTATTGGGCCCTCTTTACTATCTGTGTGCACATGTCTTTCCAGTGAGCTCTTCACTCTTATCAGCCAGTACCTATGTCTGTCTGAAAAATCCCCTCTGGCTGTAGAATTCTTTTTTTTTTTTTTGAGACAGAGTCTCACTCTGTGTCAACCAGGCTGGAGTGCAGTGGCACGATCCCGGCTCACTGCAACCTCCACCTCCCGGATTCAAGCGATTCTCCTGCTGGGATTACAGGCGCCCACCACCACGCCTGGCTAATTTTTGTATTTTCAGTAGAGACGGGGTTTCGCCATGTTGGCCAGGCTGGTCTCGAACTCCCGACCTCAGGTAATCCGCCTGCCTCGGCCTCCCAAAGTGCTGGGATTATGGGCGTGAGCCACCGCGCCTGGCCAGAATTGCTTTTTCTGAGTAGAGGAAACCAGAAATGTCTGGTAATTTATGATCTCCAAGGCGTAGTTCTTAACTAACTGACAGCTGGTCAGCTGTTTGCAGGGTTATAAATATTCCAGTCCCTTTTTCCTCTGGTTGAGACAACTCTAGGTGTGAGCCACACTGTGTCCAGAAAATGGTAACTTTAAGACTAACTCAGTGTTACCCTCTGTAGGACTTTGCTTGACATGCTTCTTTCTGGCATTTTGTTTTCCTCTTTCCTATTTCTTTCCCATTCACCTACCATCTTTTTTCATTGTTCGTTTGCTTGTTTGATTTCCCTTACAAAGACTGCCTGATAAGCCACTTTCATACGAATCCTCATCTTCGAGTCTGTTTTTGAAAAACCACACTGAGTACAGGATGCATCTTATATGCTGACAAACATGTTAGCTGGCAGGATGTATGTAGGATTAAGTCTTATTTCATTTTTTTCTCATTTCTATAGGCTATTTGTCCCTGGTAGAGATACTTTTTCCCCATGCCCAGCAATCTTGTGATTTGCATGTTGGTAAAAATGTAGTGATGGCTTACGTGGAAAGGGACTTTCCTTGCTTGGGAAGAAGCCTTACTGACTGGAACTACATCTTTATCTTGAAAGCCTTCAGAACCATAGCCATCACATTAAGAAGGAGCACTCTAGACTGATAACATATGCCTTGCAAATCTATTCTTTATTAGTGAAAGGACATCATGGTTTCTATCAATTCAGTTTGTATACTTGAGATCAAATTCATGCTATAGAAGTCTGTACCTTTTATATGTAAAATAACAAAATAGCAATATTTGAAGTGAAATGTGATAAATTAATCAGTATGGTAATGATTATTCAAGAAAAGAATTACTGGGCATTATCTTTCATAACATAAAATGCTCACAGAAGAATAAAGATGATTTGCTTTCTATTTTTAAGTATCCTGATAAGCAGTTATTCTCTTTTTCAATCTTCCTTATTATTTAGTATTTTTAAACAAAGCCATAACTCCTAATAACTGCTTACTAACAACATATTTGAGTCAGCCAGAATTTGATTTGCTCAAGCTGACCTTGACTTTTGTGGCTTCTAGTTTGTCTTTGTTCTCTCACAGTTACATATAAGCTATCTAGTACTGTGTCCTTCTCTGCCTGAATCTCCTTGATATTATAAAACAGACCTCTAAAACCACAGTTTGACTTATTTTTCCCAAAATAAATCTTACTTTTAGCTTTATTTTTGCTTAGTACATTTCTTTATTTATTTGGGGGTTATTAAAAAGATGGTTTGCATATTTACTCATTGAACTTCCTGTACAACCTAACCTAGTTGTAGCTTAACAGACAAGAAAAGGTGTGTTTCTACTTATTCTTAATAATCAAAGGATTAACAACAAAATAAAGAACCAACCAGTCACTCACAGAATGAAAATCAGTAGGTCAACATCTGTATCTGTCAGGTGAAACCTGCAACATTTTTTATGGGTTACCTTGTATCGTTCCTTTAACACCGCCCCCCACCCCACCCCTTTCTCTACTCTCCCTCCCCACACACATCATGAACTTTTTAATTGTAAAGGCTCACTATTCCAAGTGTGGTTCTTGAACCAGCAGTATCTGAAAGTATCATTAGGAAGCTGGTTCAAAGTTCAAAATCTTTGGTCCCTACCTAGATATACTAAATCAGAATCTGCATTTCAACAAGTTTCTTCCATTGATTCATATGTACATTAAAGTTTGAAAAGCACTAGTCTAAAGGACAGGGTCTAGTCTTCATTGTGGAAACAAATGAGCCCCTTTAATCTCTTGTGTGGATAATATGTTACAATGAAAGGAAATAGCATTGGACTTGTATTCATTTTAAAATGACATTAATGTGTAAATATGCCATAGAGATAAAAGATGGCACATGATGAAAACAATTCTGTTACAAATTGTCCAGGGTTTTTGCCTTACATCACAGAAGCATAGAAAACAAAATTATCTTTCAAACCAGAATTCAAAAAAATTATAATCTTTCAATTGCTTATATAGCACATTCTACAAAATAATATTGAAAAACAAATATGCTGTGTTACAGGCAGGTTTTTCTGAGTTAGAAAGATCTAAATTATTCAGCCTATCTTGACACTTTTACACCATAGAATATTTTCCATCCAGGTTAAAATATGGTATCTGTTACTTGGATAGATCTGACTTAAAATCATGTAAGCTGTTTACTTGGAAGGTTAAATGGCTCTTTCTTATACTATAATATAAAGTAGTAAGTGTCTCTTATAGCAACTACATGTATTCAAATATAATATTGGCCTTTCCAGAAGAAACATTTGTGAAATAAACCTCCCAATTTTCTCTGAGGTTCCTTATTAAATAAAAACTGTATTTGCTTTATTGTCTAAAATGTTAGAGGCTTTGCAGAGGTTGCACACAATTTAAGAAAAGACTGGTTTCTTATTTTTACTGCAAACTTGCATAAGTAAGTAATATTGTAAACATACACAATTTTAATATTTGTTTTAAGAGGAAATTAACGTCAGAACACAAAAAATATAATTATTGATGAAAGAAGCTATCACTCATTTTTATTACTATTTAATTATTTGGAAAACATGACACATGAGCTTTTATTTCTTAATAGTACATATACAGGTATATGTCAGATATATTGCAGGTTAGGATCCAGACGACTACAATAAAGCAAATATCACAATAAAGCAAGTCACATAGATTTTTTGGCTTTCCAGTGCATATAAAAGTTATGTTTACACTACACTGTAGGCTATTAAGTGTGCAGTAGCATTATGTCTAAAAAATGTACATACCTTAATTAAAAATAATGTATTGCTAAATAATTGCTAATGATCATCTGAGCCCTCAGCGAGTCATGATCTTTTTGCTGGTGGAGGGTCTTGCCTTGATACTGATGACTACTGACTAATTAGGGTAGTAGTTCCTGAAGGTTGGGGTGGCTATGGTAATTTCTTAAAATAATACAAGAAAGAAGTTTGCCATGTTGATTGACTCTTCATTTTACAAAAGATTTCTCTGTAGCATGTGATGCTGTTTGATAGCATTTTATCCACTGTAGAACTTCTTTCAAAATTGGAGCCAATACTCTCAATCCTTGGCACTACTTTAACATCTAAATTTATGTAATATTCTAAAGTCTTTGCTATCATTTCAACAATGTTTAGCCATCTTCCAGGAATAGATTCCATCTCAAGAAATCACTTTCTTTGCTCATCCATAATAAGTAATTCTTCATCCATTAAACTTTTATGATGAAATTGCAGCAATTCAGTCACATCTTCAGGCTCCACTTCTAATTCTTGTTCTTTCTATTTTCACCACATCTGTAGTGACTTCCTCCAATGAAATCTTAAACCCCACAAAGTCATCTATCAAGTTTAGAATCAATTTCTTTTAAATTTTTTGGTAATATTGATATTTTTAAATCCTCCCATGACTTATGAATACTTTTAATGACATCTAGAATGGCGAATCCTTTCCAGAATGATTTCAATTTGCTTTGCCCAGATTTATCAGAGGAATAATTATCTATGGAAGCTACAGCATTATAAAATATAAAAGTAATAAGAATTGAAAGTCAAAATTACCCCTTGATCTATAGGCTGCAGAATGGGTGTTGTTAGCAGGTATGAGAACAATATTAATCTTTTTGTATATTTCCATCAGAGCTCTTGGGTAACTAGGTGCATTGTCAATGAGCAGTAATGTTTTGAAAGAAATCTTGTTTTCTGAGTAGCAGTCTCAATGGTGGGCTTAAAATATTTAGTAAACCATTCTGTAAATAGGTGTTCTACCATGCAGGCTTTTTTTTCTATTTATAGGGCACAGGCAGAGTAAATTTAGCAAAATACTTATAGGCTCTAAGATCTTAGGAATGGTAAATGAATTCTGGCTTTAACTTAAAGTCACCAACTGCCTTAGCCCCTAACAAGAGAATCAGTATGTTCTTTGAAGCTTTGAAGCCAAGCATTGACTTATTCTCTCTGGCTATCAATGTCCTAGACGGCCTCTTCTTCCAATAGAAGGCTGTTTAATTTACATTAAAAATTTTTTGTTGACTGTAGCCACCTTCATCAATTATTTTAGCTAGATCTTCTGGATAACTTGCTGCAGCTTCTCCATCAACACTTGCTACTTCATGTTGCACCTTTTATGTTATGGAGATGGCTTCTTTCCTTGAACCTCATGAAATAACCTCTGTTAGCTTCCAGCTTTTCTTCTTCAAGTTGATCACCTCTCTCAACCTTCACAGAATTGAAGAGCGTTAAAGCCTTGGTCTGTATTAGGCTTTGGCTTAAAGGAATGTTGCGGCTGGTTTGATCTTTCCAGACCACTCAAACTATCTCCATATCAGCACTGAGGTTTTTTCCCCTTTCTTATCATTGATACGTTGACTAGAGTAGCAGTTTTAATTTCCTTCAATACCTGTTCCCTTGCATTTACAACTTGTCTAACTATTTGGCAAAAGAGGCCTAGGTTTTGGCCTATCTCAGCTTTTGAAATGCCTTCCTCACTAAGTTTGATCATTTCTAGCTTATGACTTAAAATGAGAGACATGTGATTCTTCCTTTCACTTGAACACTTAGAGGCCATTGTAGGGTTATCAATTAGCCTAATTTCACCCAGGCATGGTGGCTGACTCCTGTAATCCCAGCACTTTGGGAGGCCGAGGTGAGTGGATCACCTGAGGTCAGGGGTTTGAGACCAGTCTGACCAATATGGTGAAACCCCATCTCTACTTAAAAAAAAAAAAAAAAAAAAAAAATTAGCCAGGTGTGGTGGCACACACCTGTAGTGACAGCTACTCGGGAGGCTGAGACAAGAGAATTGCTTGAATCTGGGAGGTGGAGATTGCAGTGAGCCAAGATCAAGCCACTGCACTCCAGCCTGGGTGACAGAGCAAGACTTCATCTCAAAAAATAAAATAAATAAAATATAATTAGCCTAATTTCAACATTGTTGTGTCTCAGGGAGTAGGAAGGCCCAAGGAGAGAGGGAGATAGGGGGAAAAGCTATCAGTGGATAGCTATAGGGTAGAGCAGTCAGAACACACACAACATTTATCTATTAAGTTTGGTGTCTTATATTGTTGTGTGTGGCACTCCAAAGCAATTACAATAGTAACATCTAATATCACTGATAGCAGATCACCACAACAGATACAATAAAAATGAAAAAGTTTCAAGTATTGTGAGAATTGCCAAAATGTGACACAGAGACACAAATTGAGTCCATGCTGTTGGAAAATGGCACCTACTTACTTGCTCAATGCAGAATTGCCATCATTCTTCAATTTGTAAAAAATATAAAACAAAACAAAAACTCTCACAATATCTGCCAAGTGCAATAAAGCAAAGCACTATAAAATGAGTTATGTCTATATACAGAGAATCCTTCCCTTTAATGAGTTTTGGTTGTTGTTATATTTTCTTTAATTGCATTACTTTCACTCTATGGGATACCATTGTGAACTGCTGGTAGATTGCCACTGTCTGCTATAATTTATTTTATGCTATGTCTTGAAGCTCAGGTGACCAAGATTATTTTCATGTGCCATTTGCTAATATTACTTTAACAAATATTGCAATACCTATTATATGAAGAATGTAAGTTTGATAATAGGAATGCAATAGGAAATAAAATATCTCTACCCACAACTCATATTCTAATTGGAGATGAAGGTCAAGTAAAAATATAATTATTTTTATATATTATAAACCTTGAATCATCATAGGCAAATATGAAAGGTACACTGAACTTCTGTGCATCAGATCAATTTTTTATTGCCCTATTTTCTGCAACACAATGTTAGGAATAATCTCCTAACACTCTTATATGGGTCATCTGGATTATAAATTTACATGGCTATTTTGTAAGATATTTGGCCACTTCACAAGTGTTTTGAAATGAGTGTTAAATCATTTATTTTGAAACAATAGTTCCACACCTAGGAATTTCTAGAGGTAACAATTAGACATGTGCACGAAGAGATATGTAAAAGAATATTCACTCCAGTATTGTTTGTGATAAAGAGAAAATGCCACAGCTACATAATGCTATGCTACCATTAAGATGATGTTGTAGAACATATTTAATGGCATTGAAAGGTATAAATAATATATTAAATGATAAATTTACAAAAGAAAGTGGATAATGTTATCTCTCTTTTGAAAGAAAATATGTGTGTATGGATGTGTCTAGAAAACTTCAAACAACATATGTATCAAAATACCTCTAGATGGTAATATTTAGAAAAAATGGAAAAAATATCCCTATTTTCTTTTATATGTGTGCATATATATTCTTCCTAAGAATAAATAGACTAATTTTTATGATTTGATGCTTCACAGAGGACATTTTGTTTCATATTTATCCCTATGGATAACTTCTAAAATTATTTATAGATCATCTCCTGCACAGACGCAAATCTTTACAGACATAATATCTATATTTCTCTATCTCTTGCTCTTCTTTCTTCACTTGCTACACCTCTCCCCTGATCTTATCATCCCAAGAATGGATTATAATATTTATCCCTAAGTGTCCTAAATATTTCATTAAAGTATTTTGAAATTGCCGAAATTTGAAAATATTTATTGATTCTATTTCTAGTATATTTAAAACATTTCCATATCTGTTCTCATTGCATTCTATTTTCCCAAATTGTCTTAGCTAAAAAAACACTAAGTTTATTTCAGTGTAAGAAAAACTGAGTCTCATATAAGTTTCCAGACATCCCAGGAAGTGGTTATTTACTCAAAATCTTCACAGTATTTTTGTGACTCTCTTGCCACAGCATGAGTGAAATATTTCTCACTGATATTTTCCTCTATCATGTGAGAAAGGCGTATTACTGTTTCTCTGTATGCAGGACATACATTTTTCAGTGTCAAGTTGGGTGGTTAATGAAACTTGTTCATTCCATTTTCCTAAAAGCTAAGCACTTATAAATATTTTTCATGATTCTCATTATGATTTACTGTATCTAAATATTCTTTTTAATTCCAGTAATAATATAGACTTAGATAACATTAAGTTAACAAGCATATATTAATCCCCTACTACAAGATAGCATAATATCAGGAACATTGGGAAAACAAATAAATATGAAAAAAAGAAAACACTGGATTAGAGCTCTGAGAGGTCTTCAAGGTGGCTGACTGACTAGAAGCAACCAACACTCATCTCCTCTACAAAGAAGTACCAAAACGACAGATCGATAACCACAAGTCAAATGGAAGTTCTAGCAGAGAACACTGGAATTCACCAATAAAGTGATAGAGACCCTCTGAGGCACAGAAATGCAAGATGGCAGCATAGAGAAGGGAAGCAGCCAACCAGGATTAGCTCAAAGCCAACAAACTCCTCATTTTGGGGAAAACTTAAACTGTAGATCTCCAGCAATCCACATTTCTACCACAGATGCCTGCAATCCTAACTAGAGGAGAGCCCCTCAGCAGTCACAAGCCCTAAGCCTATTACAGAGAGCTGCCTGGAGTCCACATGACTGCATTATCCCAGACAGGGAATTCACACTGGGTCTGACTCACACCCCAGCACCCAGGCTGCAGCAGCACAGTGCCATTTTGAGAGCAAAGCCACCACCAGGTGACATCATGCTCTGGGCCAAATAGCCCCTGCATTTCCACATGCCTAGGTCCACACTGACATCTTCCTACATCCACTCAGAGGGCTACAGTATAGGAAAACCAGCTGGAATCAATAATACTGCTGTCTCCCCAGCATCTGAACCCATGCTGTTTACTACACCCCAGGAAGGAGAATGTTTGGCACATCAGGGAGGCTGCCCTCAGGATACAGGGAACTAAAGTACATGCTCCCCGGCACCTGAGACTTGCCTGCCTGGGGCAGCAGCCACTGACATTGACCCGGCCCAGTCCAGCAGTAGAACCACCCTACATCTGTGCACTGCCCAGAAGGCCAAGGACTGGCCCATCCAAGGCCCAATCCCTCCATCACCAGTGCCCACGTGCACTAACCAGTGGCCTGAGGACTGCACATGCGACATGCCCATCCCCAGAAAAATCACTCCACAGCCTCCACAGGAAAACCACACCTTGAGCCACTGAGGAATTCACAGTAACCAATGTTAATTACAACTGAAGAAATCATACAGAGACTACACTACTTCAGGCACTAGAACCCAGAGCCAAAGCACCCTACCCAACTGAAGCTACAGACAAATCTACAAAAAAAAACACAAAAACCTCCTTCTCTATAAGCTACTCAATAAAATTAGAAGAAGCAACTGTTAAACCAGATACACAGATAGCAACATAGGGATAAGCTGGGCATGGTGGCTCACACCTGTAATCTCAGCACTTTGGGAGACCGAGACAGGTGGATCACCTGAGGTCAGGAGTTCATGACCAGTCTGGCCAACATGGTGAAACCACATTTCTACTAAAAATACAAAAAGTTAGCCGGGCGTGATGGTGGGTGCCTGTAATCCCAGCTACTTGGGAGGCTGAGGCAGGAGAATCACTTGAACCCAGGAGGCGGAGGTTGCAGTGAGCTGAGATCGCGCCGTTGCACTTCAGCCTGAGCAACAAGAGCGAAACTCTGTATCAAAACAAACAAACAAATAACATAGGGACACAAGAAACATAAAAAAGTAAGGAAACATGCCAACTCCAAAGAAGGACAATAATTCTCCAGCAACAGATCTTAAAGAAAAGGAAATATATTAAATGACTGAAAAGAAATCCAACGTTATGATTTTTTAAAACTCAGTGAGATACAAGAGAACACAGAGAGATAATACAAAGAAATCAGAAAAACAATTCATGATCTAAATGAGAAATTCAACAAAGAGATAGATACTAAAAAGAACCAAATAGAAATCTTGAAACTGAAGAATTCAGTGAATGAAATTTAAAAAAAAATGGAGAATTTTAACAACAGACTAGATCAAGCAGTAAATGTTCTGACCTTGAAGAAAGGTTTTTTGAAATAACCCAGTTAGACAAAATAGGAAAAAAAAATGAAGAGAGCTCACGTGACATATAGGATATAATTAAGTGAAAAAACAGAGGGTCTTTCCCCACCAAATATCACATTTCAAAGGGTTGTGATTGGCAGCAAGACATAAGCGAGTTTCCCTCTCTCATATATGTGAAAATCCATTCTATAGGAGGATGGAGATAGGAGGTAATATGTGCATGTACATGAACATGTGTGTGAATTCTCCTGACAAGATGTAGGTAAAAGCATAGTTTTTGTCTCAGATAATGACCCCTACCCCTAGCTCAGCAAGTTGATTTGTAACTGAGCTTTAGAGTTAGAGGGGCTTTAGGCTAAAAGACAAGGATCATCCTTTGATTTGCACATTGAATACATGAGTTTCATGTAATTGAGGTCTTCAGCTAAAGCAGTGCCCTTTAGGTACTCTGAGAAGCTCCAACATCAGGAACAGGAGGTAACAACATAGGGTTCAGTATTAGCACAGCCATGTGGGAGAAAGTTCATTCTCTTGCACTGTTGCAGGCCATAAGCATTAGTGAAAGGATTTCAGGTGGAGAAATGGAAGAGGGCCTCTCAGGGGTACATTTGAGACTCCCACTGGGGGTATTCAAACATATATCAGAGAGATCTAGGGGAAAGGAGTTGGAAGTTCAGCCTCAGCAGGTGGGGGCGAGAATTATTAAAAACTGTGTTAATAATAGGATTACATTTTAATCCATCAGTTAATGACGGTTGAGGAAACGGTTAGAATTAAATGTTTTCATTTCTTTTTCTAAATACTTTTGTAATATAGGTAGATTTTATCCCCATTTTTACAGGTAAAAACCAAATAAAACTGGCCTCTGTAGCATAAAATAACTTGACCAAGGTCATTCTGACTGTTACAAACCCAGTGCTGTTGTGCTGTTTGAATACAGTGGTGTAAAAGCTCATAATACTGCATTCCTTAAAAATAATTATTGAGCATTTATTACATATGATGCTCTTTCCTCAACAGAACAAACACACTCAGCCATGCTCTCAGTTTCCTAGCATCCCGTTTGCATTCAGGTTTGCATTTAGCAAGATTCTGAAATGCTTTTGGTGTGAGATAGGGGAAGTGGACCAAGTGTGAGATTCAATACAATTTTTAATCTTAAAAAACATAACAGTGTCTATCTAAGAAAAGGCTTATACATTTTTTCAGATAAGCTACAAATAGACATTCATTTTGAAATTTTAGTATTTCAATTTCTATGGCTACTAATCTTACCCCCAAATTAAACATGTCTGTTCTCTGTGTATGGCTTAACCCTGGGGAAGAAACTTGTGACATGGAGATTAAATTGATATCAGTACCTATCATATTTAATTTTGCCCTGTTGTTTTCATGTGTAGTATAGAATATTATGCTCTTTTAACAATTTGTGCTATTTACTAAGGCACACTTTAAACAATGAGGAACAATATGAAAATAATTTAAAATTAGCACTAATCCTGTGGTACACACTTACTTTTCGGATTCAAGTAAACCTCTTCAGGTTTCTGAAAACAAATGTTTCAGAAAAAAGAAAATATGCAAAACTATGAAGCCAACACAAACATACACATATTCTAAGACCACATTGCTGTGATTGCCAAGAAGGCAACAAAAAATGCACGGATTAGGGGTCTGCTTATATTTCTACTGCCACTGGAACAATTAACTTTGTTCATTAAAGTTCTCTGTCATTATTACAGCTATTTGTGGCTTTTGATTAATGGTATTTGATGTTACAAAACTACATCCGGGGGTATATATATTTAATAAAATAGAATCAGTTATAATTTTTATATGTAATGTTTGTTGTCAAAGAAGAGGGTCTTCCTTGTTCCGAGGAATAATTATTGATCACAAAAGAACTATAAATGGAAATTTAATTCATTAATTGGCCTATGGTTCTTCCCTGCTGAGGACATTATCCTTATTCTGTCTCATGTATAAATGAATTTTAAGGATGAGATGGCTTAGAAATGAATAGTATTATTTCAGCAGAACTTTTGTTATGCTCTATCCTTACTCATTATCATTATGACTGAAAATTATATCCCATATCTTTATAATCTCTTTACTAAATATAGAAGTATTCTTTTAAACCAGGTAGACTAGAGTATTTGAGAAAAATTGCATAGTACTTAAAATCTCTTTAGGTGTCAATCATTGTTTTATCCCTTGCTGGTAGGGTGATACTAGACAAGTTACTTAACCTCTCTGTGCCTCAATTTCTTGATTGTAAAATAATGATAACAATAATACATGGGGATGCTCCAAAGATCAAATGAAATGATGACTGTAACACGCTAACAAAGGAGCATAGGCCATAGTGTGGATAGTAGTTTACGTTATTGGTTTCAATTTTTCACCCCTCCTTTCGGCGTGTATATGCGTTAGGGTTCTCTAGAGGGACAAAACTAATAGGATATATTGGTTTATTAAGTTAATAAAGGGGAGGTTATTAAGTATTAACTCACATGATCATATGGTCCCACAATAGGCTCTCTGCAAGCTGAGGAGCAAGGAGAGCCAGTCTGAGTCCCAAAACTGAAGAACTCTCTCTTTTCACATTTTTCTGTCTGCTTGTATTCTACCCAGGCAAGTAGTTGATTAGATGGTGCCCACCCAAATTAAGGGTGGGTCTGCCTTTCCCAGCCCACTGACTCAAATGTTAGTCTCCTTTGGCAACACCCTCACAGACACACCCAGGGTCAATACTTTGTATCCTTCAATCCAATCAAGTTGGCACTCAGTATTAACCATCACATCATGTAACTTTTCAGTTCCTCCCACTAAAGGGATAATGTATATCTTCCTTCCCCTTGGCTTTGACCCATAGAATAAACAGAAAGTTAGTGTTCTGGATCTTAGCCTAAGCCTTGAAGTTTCGTATGTTTCACTTACACATTTATGCCTCTGCTAATCCTAAGAAAAGAATATTATTTTGTTAATACAGCTAATGGAAAAGAGTTACTCCAGCCAACCCATTACCTGCAGTGAGAAATAGGGCCACCCTAGCTCCCACAGACTGAAAAAGAAATAAATTGAACCTACCTCCAGATTAGGCAGCACCCATGAAGCCCAAAACACATGAATAATAATAGTTTATTGTTTTAAGCCACATGGAGGTAGTTTTTTTATGCAGCAAAAATTGACAGATACAGTATACAATCAATTAGATTAGCTATTGTTGTGGTTATCATTTACTATTGTTTGAAAGGGAAGCCCAATAAAAACAAATAAAGCAAAGCAGTATGATCATTAGTAAGGTACAGAACTCTGTTTTCTAAACATGAGGTTTTTAAAGAAATAATGTTTTATCTACTCTCGTTTGTTTTCGGATACCGCTGTTGGCAGACAGCACCTTCTTCAGGAAAAGGAAATGTAAATGCTTGGGAGAGTTTTGTCCAATCTGCTACTTCTCCAAGGAAAATAGAATCCTATAATAAACAATCTTGTGATCACAGATGTATAAATGTAATGGCGATGCTACAAATACATCACACATGCAAACTTCAAATACATATCTCCCTCCTACATATTCTTCCACAAATATTCTGCTGCATCTCTCAGAAGGAATTGCAAGCATTTCATCTGGAAGCCTCAGTGTGTAGCTCTCCCCAGTGAAACCAAGGCAAAAAAACCCATTAGAGCTGTAACAAAGGGTAGGGTCAGGAGACAGAGGTTTTTTATAAAAAATTAAAGGGCAAAGGGAGAAGAAAAATGAAGGCAGAGGTACTTAACTATTTGAACTCACAAATTTGAAGTTTTAAAAGCATATAAAAATAGATGCCCTTCAGCTGAATGCGGTGCCCAACTTGGGTTTCTCCTTCTAGGGTGGGTACTGCTTAAGTATTTAGTTAGCATGTAAGCTGGAATAGTTAGTGAGTTTTGGTATCAACGACTACATGATAAAACTGGCTTAAAATACAGATAAAATATTTACTATAATCCTGAGCCATTGTGACTAAATTCTCCAAGAAATGTGGAACAATCTTATCATAAGAGATAAAATAATAATAATAATAGTTTAACAATCAGTCCACCTTTAAGTTGAATTGTGTATTCCAGAGGAAATTGCAGTTTGTTTCTATATATTGCTTTGCCCTTCAGCTCAGCTGTTGGCCCTGCATTAATATTCAGGCAGCATCAGTGCCAGTCTTGGTGATTCACTGAGGTATTATGAATATGCAAATGAGCAAGAGCTTTTTATGTCGATGGTTTGTCTTTCTTACATGTTTGAAGAAATAATTGGAACCAATCAGCTACTGATAACTTGCATATAGATGACTATTGCTTTGGAAGCTAAAACCATTTAATAATTTGTCTTATTCCAGCCCAAAGGTTTGATTTTAATCAATCTCTTGAAACAGTACTCCTAGTATCTCTTAAACTGACTGAGAGGTTAAAGTGTCATATTATTTTAACTTTCTGGATTATAGTGACAGTATTTTGGAGTGAGCACTGTACAAAGAGTTTAATATGCATACTTTTTTACTTGTACTTTTAATTTTTCCCTACATCTTTATCTATTTTCCTTGAGTATTTAAAAACCAGAGGAGTTTGTGGAGTATACTAGGTAGATGAACTCTAGAGCTTCCGAAATGTGGAGATAGAATAGATAGATAGGAGAGAGAAAAAATAGTATGTAGGCTGGACCTTATCTACCTGCCTAGTTTCTCGTATTCATCAATAATTAATGCTTGATTTTAAAATCACATTAATGTTACGTTAATGACATATATTAATAAGAAAAAATAAACGTTAACAAGATGTATAATTCATTTTAGATAGAAAAATAATAACATTTATGAAGAAAAATCAAAGTATAAGTAAATGAACTAGGTGAATTTTAATATAAATCTTGTTAACATATTATATCTTGATAGAGATTTGTCATGCAGTTTAACAATTTTAAATTTTTTTCTGTAGCAGTGTGACACACTGAAAAAAGTCACAATACAATATAGAATATTTCTATTATTGTGCCCTGCAAGTGACTAAAACATTTGTGATTATTTTCTTTTGATGTTCTAGCACTGTCTTGTTTCCACGAAGAAATAACCTTCTAGTTGCCACAGCTTGTTGATTGTCTATAGAGAACTTATTTATGACTGTGTGAAACAACCTGCATTCTGCTAACATGTAGTCATTTTCATTTAATGAAGAAATTATTTCAGATATAGGAAATACTTTTGAAAATAAGATTATATAGTTATTTGATTCCTCTCTATCTATAAAAATGAGTTACATGTTTTATATTAAAAGGCAAATACCAGGTAGTTCATGTTAGGTTATGTTCTGGTTTTTGTTGTTGTTTCTGCTGTTTTTTGTTTTTTAATCTCTGTTTGAAACAACAAAGGTTTAATTATTGCACATGCTACGTGTATCACAGGTTGGTAGAGGAGCTCTATTCATTATAATGTTGAGGGCCCTAGGCTGACAGAGGTTCCCAATTGGCACATACTCCCCTACTTAATCATGCCAGAGAGGAGCAGCTCTGGAGGTTCTTGAACCAGCAATTCAATGCCCAAACCCTAAAGTGACACATATCATTTCTGACTACAATTAATTGATTGAAATGGTCACATGGTCACACCAAGCTTTAAGGGATGGAGAAGAAAATATATTCCCAAGTGCCTGGAAGGAGAGGGGAAACGGAATATTTATGCACGTTAATAATTTCAGTCCCATGACACTGCATTTGTATATTTGTCCCATAATTTGCAATGTCCAAGTCATTTGGACATTGACCAAATGATTTGCTAATGTCATATTTCTAATTAAAGGAAGAAAAAACATAATCCTCTCAGGAATATTCACTAACTGGCAGAAAATGAGACATTAAAATCTTCCTGGAAATATATGTTGTGTGTGTGTGTGTGTGTGTGTGTGTGTGTGTGTGTATACATATCTGTGTGTTATCACTGCATGCCCCATGATTGACTAAAAGTTCTATATATGTATATATTATTTATTTGGAGCTGGATTGAGTTGAGGCTAGATATACGTGTACTCAGTAGGATAGTTTATTAAAAGAGGACCTTAAAATTTAATGAAAATATAAAGTATTGGAGAAAAACATATTTTCCAGAACCGCTTTTTAGAAGAATGTTAAATACAATTACAGGGCTTATTTTGTTTTAGGAAGCTACTTGGGGGGTGACTACTGTAATGAATTTTTAAAAAATAACCATAGGTGATCACTACATAATTTACTAAGAATGTGGAACCAATGAACTAGATCTAGCTGCTATCAGCCAGTGGGGCATGGTAATTTAGAGCCAGGGATTTTTGACAAGCAGATTTGCCTTTCTTCTGACCTATGCCCACATAACAGTCAACTTGCCCTACAAATAAAAACTGAACAAATATTAAAAGAGTAGTGGTTTGTATCAGTCAAATTGTTCATCCTGTGGCTGAGGTATTATATTGCCCATTAATCTCCAGAATATGACTTTGCTGATTTGACTCTCTAAATAGCAACTACCTCCTTCCTCACCATTCCACGCAGTGCATCCCATCAAATATCATACAGCTGGTCTCAGACAAAAGAACAACATTGTTAAGTCAATTATACTGTGAATTAATGCATTAGGTCTATATAAGAAAATATAGCTACATAAAAAGAAAAATGCAGTGAATATAAATGGTCTTACTCTCTAGCCATTTATCCCTCTCTTATTTTCCATTTTATAGGGACTGAATTCCTAGTAATCATAATTAAACATTTTTATGATGGTTGTAATTTGCCTAAAAAATAATTCAGTATAGATAGTTTGTGTATTTTAACCAGGAATTCCCATTCCAGGGACAGTCACATATCACTTTTTCATTGAGGATACCCTCCTCCACTCCAGAGGCAATGATCACAAACACATTAGCTCTCTTTGTCTTTGGTCATATCCAGAGGTTTTAGCAATTACCATATTTCATATCAGAAGTGGGTTTTCATTGATTGAATTAGTGGCTACCTTATTAATTAGCATGACATGTTAGTAATGGTTTTTCTTTGGTAAAATTAAAAGCTTTCATCTTGTATGAATTGTCTAAATTAGTGTAAAGACACTCCTCAATCTCATATAAACAGGACATAAAAATCCGGCAAAGTTAGCAGCTTCTACCCTTAGAGTTTGTGCCAAAGATTTGGTCTGTAAACTTCTCTGTATCAGGTCTCTGCTTTAGAGGATTTTTGTTGCTTGATGCTGTTAAGAGTAACTGAGTCCTACTTCTGGGACGCTGTTCGGTGTTTAGTCAATCTTTCTTGTAAGCTGAGAGGGTCAAAGCTCCTGAAATAACAGACAGCTGGGACTTCATCAAGCTTATAGAACAAGCTGTATGAACCATGTTTTCCTCTTTGCTAATAAACACCTCTATGATAATAAAGCTTGTTCTAGGACTTGACTTCATACAAACCTGGTTGCAATGTTTGAGGGAAGTAGCTAGCTTTTATTCATATAGAAGATTCAGTTGGCTACTGTTATTTGTTAAAAGTAAATGAACAAAATGAAACTCCTAAGAATTCTGCATGTTCAATTTTTCTTAGGTTCATGCCCAGCATACTTAAATATAAATTAATATTAATATTAATATCAATATTAATTAATAGTATCTCCATATTTACTACTTGACATAGAGTAGTAAAAGTTGACTTCACTTATTAGAGTGGTCTTTAAAAAATATGTTGTTGTAGTAGTTTACATTGACTAAATAACTCCAATGGCTAATCATTATCTTCATCTCAGAACATGAGCTTCCATGAAAAAAAGGAAATGAGCAAGTTATACTAGAAGATCGTATTAATATAGATCATAAGATTATCTGCCAGGCGTGGTGGCTCACGCCTGTAATCCCAGCATTTTGGGAGGCGGAGGCGGGTGGATCATGAAGTCAGGAGATTGAGACCATCTTGGCTAACACGGTGAAACCCCGTCTCTACTAAAAATACAAAAAATTAGCTGGGTGTGGTGGTAGGCTCCTTTAGTCCCAAGCTACTCTGGAGGCTGAGGCAGGAGAATGGTGAGAACCTGGGAGGTGCAGCTTGCAGTGAGCCGAGATCGTGCCACTGCACTCCAGCCTGGGCGACAGAGCAAGACTCCGTCTCAAAAAAAAAAAAAAAAAAAAAAGGTTATCTACTTTTTCATTTTTATTATTTAAAACAAATGTATCATCTGAAAGATCATTTTACATGCAAGAAGCCATTGAATTAGGGTTTTAATGAAGGACATACACATAAAAATGAATAAAGTTTGTAAAAATAATGAAAAATCACAAATTCTTAGATACCTGTATAAAATAAGGACCACTTCCATAACTCATTCTATGAAGCCAACATCACCCTGATACCAAAACCTGGAGAAGACACAGTGAAAAAGGAAAACTACAGGCCAATAGCCCTGATGAACATAGAAACAAAAATTCTCAGTGAAATACTAGGAAAATTAATCCAGCAACACATCAAAAGGTTAATTCACCATGATGAAGTAGGCTTCATTTCTGATATGCAAGTTTGGTTCGACATATGCAAATTAGTAAATGTAATTTACCACATACACAGGATTAAAAACAAAAATCATATGATCATCTCAATAGATGTGGTAAAAGCTTTTGATAAACTCCAACATCCCTTCACAATAAACACCATCAATAAATTAGGCACTGAAGGAACATACCTCAAAATAATATGAGTCATTTATGTCAAACCCACAGCCAACATCATACTGCATGGGAAAAACTGGAAGCATCCCCCTTGAGAACTGGAATAAGACAAGGATGCCCACTTCTCACCACTCATATTCAACATAATACTGGAAATCCTTGACAGAACAATCAGTCAAGAGAAATAAATAAAAGGCATCAAGATAGAAAAAGAAGAAGTTAAACTATATCTCTTCATGGAAAATATGATTCTATACCTGGAAAATAGTAAAGACTTCACCAAAAGGTGCTTGGAACTGACAAACAAGTAAAATTTCAGGATACAAAATGAATGCATGAAAATCAGTAGCACTTCTATACATCAATAACATTCAAGCTGAAAGCTAAATCAATAATGCAACCAATTTACGATAGATGCAAAAGATAAAATAAAATACCTAGCAATACATCTAACCAAGGAGGTAAAGGATCTCTACAAGGAGAACTGCAAAACACTGCTAAAATTAGTCATAGATGACACAGTCAAATGGAAAAACATTCCATGCTCATGAATTAGAAGAATCAATATCATTTAAATGGCCATAAGGCTCAAAGCAATTTACAGATTCAACATTGTTCCTATTAAACTGCCAACATCATTTTTCACAGAACTAGAATAAAAACTATTCTAAAATTCATATGGAACCCTAAAAGAGCCCTAATAGCCAAAACAATCCTAAGGAAAATGAACAGAGCTGGAGGCATCACATTATCTGACTTCAAACTATACTACAGAACAACAGTAATCAAAACAGCGTTGTCCTGGTACAAAAACAGACACATAGACCAATGGAACAGAATGGAGAACCCAGAAATAAAGCTGCACCCCTACAGCCATTCGATCTTCAACAAAGTGAGTAACAAGCCTATGAGGGAAGTGCTCTCTATTCCATAAATGGTGCTGAGATAGCTGGCATATGCAGAAGAATGAAACTGGACCCCTACCTTTTGCCATATGAAACAATTAACTCAAGATGGATTAAAGATTTAAATATAAGACCTCAAACTATAAGAATCCTGGAAGAAAAATTGAGAAGCACCATTCTATGCATCAGCCTTGGGAAAGAATATATGACTAAGTCCTCAAAAGCAATTGCAAACAAAAACAAAAATTGACAAATAGGACCTAATTTAACTAAGGAGCTTCTGCACAGCAAAATAAATTATCAACAGAGTAAACAGAAAACCTACGCAATGAGAGAAGATATTTACATACTGTGCATCTGACAAATGTCTAATATTAAGAATCCATTAGGAACTTAATATAACAAACAAAAACCAAACAACCCCATTAAAACATGGGCAAAGGACAGACGCTTCTCAAAAGAAAACATACATGTGGCCAACAAGCATATGAAAAAATGCTCAACACCACTAATCACCAGAGAAGTGCAAATCAAAACCATAGTAAGATATTATCTCACACCAGTCAGAATGGCTATTAGTAAAACGTCAAAAAACAACAGATTCTGGTGAGGCTGCAGAGAAAAGGAAACATTTACATACTGTTGATGGGAATGCAAATTAGTTCAGCCACTGTGGAAAGTAGTTTGGAGATTTCTCAAAGAACTTAAAACAGAACTACCATTTGACTCATCAATCTCATTACAGGGTATGTATCCAGAAGAAACTAAATCATTCCTCCAAAAAGACACATGCACTCGTATGTTCATTGCAGCACTATTCACAATAACAAAGACATGGAATCAACTTAGGTGCCCAACACTGGTGGATTGGATTGGATAAAGAAAATGTGGTACATATACACTATGGAACACTATGCAGCCACAAAAAAAGAATAAAATCATGCCCTTTGCAGCAACATGGATGCAGCTGGAGGCTGTAATCTTTAGCAAATTAACACAGGAACCAAAAACCAAATATCACATATTCTCACTTATAAGTGTCTGGGCTGGGGCCCAGACATCAGTATGTTTTAAACATTTCCGGGTGATGTTAATATTAATACACAGCTAGGTTCAAGAAACTTGGTTCCAATATGAGCCAATATACAGTACTAACCCACTTGCCAGCCAGTAAATATAACTTTCATTTTATCTTCTAGGACAAAGATGTATGAAATAATAAAATCATTTGATTTGAAAGTTCTGAACAATTCCATTTTACATAAATCCTACTTCGGCTTATTATACTAACAGTTGTGCTTTGTCCACCTTGTTCTACCTGTGTATCAGTAACTGCCTCGAACACCTGAGACTTGTAACATCAGTACTGTGTCCAATCAACTGAAAAAGACAGATTGTGAAAATTGTAAGAAAACTATATTCATTGTGCAATTCTAAATTCCTCTTTTAAAATGTTTGCATATTTTTGTTCATGATATACATTTCCTGATAACTGTATGCAATTCCAAAAAGTAAAGCAGATATATACATATATATATATATATAAATAATACATATATATATATGTTTGCTTAACTAGGAAATGTTACTACTGACCTTTGAAATCAGTTCTAAAATAAAAATCATGCCTCTATTCTCTTTTCTCCCTGCCTCTATTCTTTCACAGAGGTATCATAATCCTGAATTTAGTGCTTATAATAATATTTTTTCATTTTCTTTTTCCCATATTCACATATCCCTAAACAACATAGAATATTATTTTGTATATTTTTATGTTGTAATTCCCAAATGTGATAATAATGTTTGGAATGTTCTCATTTTTATTTCTTTAAACATCTTATACATACTTATTTTATAATCTTTATCTGCTAATTTCAATATCTAAGTTTCTTGGTCATTAAAAAGTATCCTTTTTTCCTCCCTCATTTTTGCTTATGGTACTTTTTTTCTTCTGCTGCTGTGTAACTTTGGATCCTGAACTTTAATTCAGGGAATCTTGATATGAAGT
Organism: Homo sapiens; assembly: GCF_000001405.40. Taxonomy (NCBI): domain Eukaryota; kingdom Metazoa; phylum Chordata; class Mammalia; order Primates; family Hominidae; genus Homo; species Homo sapiens. Next base: position 27,648,060 of record NC_000023.11, on the reverse strand, counting down.
CAGCCTGTGAATTCTTTTTTGCCATTACCTTCTTCTAGAAAGGCAGTGTATTTACCTCTGTCATGTGGCCCAAGTTACAACCAATTCAGAATGTCTTCAAGTGAGTTTTGTGGTATAGAATTTTATGGACTATGTGGGTAGCAAAAAATAGGAACTCATATCATAAGCAAGGGCAGGAATGAAGTTATGAGATCTCATTGTTAACTTTAGAAAAAAATTCTTCCCTGAACCCAAGTCTAGAAAGACAATTTTCCTTGTCATTGGCCTCTGACAGGAGGTTTGTTTTTGTCCAATTCATCTTTTTTATAGAAAGTGTAGATTTTGCCTTTGTATGGGGTCTTTCCTGTTCCATCTTTGCCTGTTCCCTGTTCCACTCCTTTCTGAGAGCTAAGGACTTATCTCCTTCTCCATTCCCAGCTGTAAAGGTGCCAGTCTCTTGGATACTAAGAAAGAAAAAGAATTTTTCTAATTTTTTAATTTTTTATTATTTTATGTTTTTAGGTTCTGTGGTACATGTGGAGGATGTGCAGGTTTGTTACATAGGTAAATGTGTGCCATGGTGGTTTGCTGCACCTATCAACCCATCACCTAGGTATTAAGCCCAGCATGCATTAGTTCTTTTCTCTAATGCTCTCCCCACCTCCACTCTTCCCCGACAAGTGCCAGTGTGTGTTGTTCCCCACCCTGTGTCCATGTGTTCTCATTGTTCAGCTCCCACTTATAAGTGAGAACATGCGATGTTTGGTTTTCTGTTCCTGCGTTAGTTTGCTGAAGATAATGGCTTCCAGCTTCATCCATGTCCCTGCAAAGAACATGATTTCATTCCTTTTATGGCTGCATAGTACTCCATGGTGTATATGTAGCACATTTTCTTTATCCAGTCTTTCACTGATGGGCATTTAGGTTGATTCCATGTGTTTGCTATTGTGAATGCTGCTGCAATGAACATACATTTGCATGTATCTTTGTAATAGAAAGATTTATATTCCTTTGGGTATATAACCAGTAATAGAATTGCTGGGTAAAATGGTACTTCTGGTTCTAAGTCTTTGAAGAGTCACCACACTGTCTTCCACAATTGTTGAACTAATTTACATTCCCACCAATAGCATAAAAGCATTCCTATTTCTCCACAACCTCGCCAGCATTTGTTGTTTCTTGACTTTTTAATAATTGCCATTCTGAGTGGCATGAGATGGTATCTCATTGTGGTTTTGATTTGCATTTCTCTAATGATCAGTTATGTTGAGCTTTTTTTCATGTTTGTTGGCCGCATGTATGTCTTTTTTTTGAGAAGTAGCCTGTTCATATTCTTTTCCCACTTTTTAATGCGGTTGTTGGTTTTTTTCTTGTAAATATGCTTAAGTTCCTTATAGATCCTGGATATTAAACATTTTTCAGATGGATAGATTGCAAAAATTTTCTCCTATCTGTAAGTTGTCTGTTCACTCTGACGATACTTTCCTTTACTGTACAGAAGCTCTTTAATTAGGTCCCATTTGTCAATTTTTGCTTTTGTTGCAATTACTTTTGGTGATTTCATCATAAAATCTTTGCCCATGCCTATGTTTTGCATGGTATTGCCTAGATTTTCTTCTAGGGTTTTTATAATTTTGGGTTTTACATTTAAGTCTTTAATCCATCTTTAGTTAATTTTGGCATAAAGTGTAAAGAAGGCATCCAGTTTCAATTTTCTGCATATGTCTAGCCAGTTCTCCCAGCACTATTTATTGAATAGGGAATCATTCCCCCATTGCTTGTTTTTGTCAAGTTTGTCAAAGATCAGATAGTTGTAAGTGTGTGGGCTTATTTCTGGATTCTCTATTCTGTTCTATTGATCTATATGTCTGTTTTTGTACCAGTACCATCCTGATTTGGTTACTGTAGCTTTGTAATATAGTTTGAAGTTGGGTGGCATCATGCCTCCAGCTTTGTTCTTTTTGCTTAGGATTGTCATGGCTATATGAGCTCTTTTTTGGTTCCATATGAATTAAAACTTTTTTTTCTAATTCTGTGAAGAATATCAATGGTAGCTTAATGGGAATAGCATTGAGTCTATAAATTGCTTTGGGCAGTATGGTGATTTTCATGATATTGATTCTTCCTATGCATCAGCATGGAATGTTTTTCCATCTGCTTGTGTCCTCTCTGATTTCCCTGAGGGATGGTTTGTAGTTCGCCTTGAAGAGGTCCTTCACTTCCTTTGTTAGCTGCGTTCCTAGGTGTTTTATTCTCTTTGTGGCAATTGTGATGGGAGTTCATTGATGATTTGGCTCTCTGCTTGTCTGTTGTTGGTGTGTAGGAATGCTTGTGATTTCTGCACATTGATTTTGTATCCTGAGATTTTGCTGAAGTTGCCCATCAGCCTAAGAAGCTTTTGGGCTGAATCAGGGGTTTTGTAGATATAGGATCATGTCATCTGCAAACAAAGACAATTTGATTTCCTCTCTTCCTTTATTTGAATACCCTTTATTTATTTCTTTTGAGTGATTGCCTTGGCCAGAACTTCCAACACTATGTTGAATAAGAGTGGTGAGAGAGGGCATCTTTGTCTTGTGCCAGTTTTCAAGGGGAATGCTTCCAGCTTTTGTCCATTCAGTATATTGGCTGTGGGTTTGTTATAAATGGCTTTTATTATTTTGAGGTATGGTCCTTCAATACCTGGTGTATTGAGAGTTTTTATCATGAGGATGTTGGATTTTATTGAAGGCCTTTTCTGCGTCTATTGAGATAATCATGTGGTTTTTGTCTTTAGTTCTGTTTATGTGATGAATTATGTTTACTGATTTCCATATGTTGCACCAGCCTTGCATATTGGGAATAAAGCTGACTTGATAGTGGTGGATAAGGTTTTTGATGTGCTGCTGGATTCAGATCACCAATATTTTATTGAGGATTTTTCCATCAATGTTCATCAGAGATATTGGCCTGAAGTTTTCTTTTTCTGTTATATCTGTGCCAGGTTTTGGTATCAGGATGACACTGGCCTCATAAAATGAGTTAGGGGGCGGGTGCGGTAGCTCATGCCTGTAATCCCAGCACTTTAGGAGGCTGAGGCGGGCAGATCACGAGGTCAGGAGATCATGGCCATCCTGGCCAACATGGTGAAGCCCCATCTCTACTAAAAACAATACAAAAATTAGTTGGGCGTGGTGGCACGTGCATGTAATCTCAGCTACTTGGGAGGCTGAGGCAGGAGAATCGCTTGAACCTGGGAGGTGGAGGTTGCAGTGAGCCGAGATTGCGCCACTGCACTCCAGCCTGGCGACAGAGCAAGACTCCATCTCAAAAACAACAACAACAAAAAAGAGTTAGGGATGAGTCCCTCCTTTTCAATTGTTTGGACCAGTTCCTCTTTGTACCTCTGGTAGAATCAGCTGCCCTAAATAGCAGTACTTTCAGTTTTATTTTATCAGTTGGTTTCCAGCCTCCTCTTCATAGATCTATGGCTCCTGTGGCTTCCCCTTAGCTTCCTGAAAGCTGAGCTATGTAATTAAATACCTGTTGGTCATATTTATCCAGCATATCTCGGTGATTTGTAACAAGAGGTTTTTTCAGAGGAGTTAGCCTGATTTATCAATGTAAACAGATGTGACCTATATTACTGAGGGTCTTGATGATGAAGCTTCTGGTAATTAAGTGTATCATCCACCTTTTCATCTATTCATTCACTTGACATACAGTAATTGAATATCTCCTCTGTGTCTTTCCTGTGTACCCTGGGGATAAAGTGATCATTGAAAACTGTTGCTACTGTCAAGGAGCTTATATTCTAGTGAAAGAGACAAACAACAAATTAAACGTGTATGTGTGTATATGTGTATATGTGTGGTACACAAATGCATGCTATACACTATACACACATATACATGAACATACAATATTTTCAAGTAACTGTCAGTTCTCAGAAGAAAAGGAAATCAGGGTCATGGGTTAGAATGTGGCAGGTGATATTTTAGACATGGTAGTCTCCTCAGAGGAGGAGACATTGATCAGATAGAAAAATAGTGAGTGAGCTAAGTAGATGGAGATGGGTAAAATGAATGCTTCTGGCAGAAGCAATGTTAAGTGCAAAGACTTCATGATAGGGATTGGGACGTTTTTATGAGGTTCAAGAAAAACTCTGGAGAATATAGATCCTTTTATAGGAAATATAGTTTTGGAACACTATATTAGCATGTTAGTCACCAAGTAGGTAGAGATGTCCTGGTTATTTCACTCATAGTCCAATCAATTCTTCAGCCAAAAAAATCAAACACATATTAGGTATTGTATGAGAAATGAAAGCTAAACATCAGGAACACGATGTGTTCATAGTTTAATTGGGAAGAAGGCAAAGGATAACCGTGTGGAAAGTCACAACGTAATCTCAAGAGATACTTTAATTACTATTATCCTATAATTTTCAGGAAAATAACGTTGGACATTATGTTTTACTCTTTTGAATTTATTAATAATTTTAAGAGCTTTAAAATTGTAGCTATATTATATGTGTATGTAAGCATTAATTGGATGTATTTTTATCAAACTGCTGGAATTTACCAAAAATTACTGGGATTCTTTTATCTGTCTCTATTGGTTTCTGACCACTACGACATCAACACAGATTAACTTTTTTCTCAAAACAAGAGTACAAAAAAAGAATAGCTCTTTTACAACAAACATACATAGACATTTTGCAAAAGAAGACATACAAATGGCCAACAGGTATATAAGAAGGTGCTCACCTTCACTAATCATCAGGGAAATGCAAATCAAAGCTGCAATGGGTTATCACCTTACACATGTTAGGATAGCTATTATCAAAAAGTCAAAAGATAACAACTGTTGGCTAGGGTGTTGAGAGAAGGAAACCCTTGTGAATTGTTAGTGGAATGCAAATTGGTACAGCATTTGGGAAAACAGTGTGGAGATTCTTCAAAAAATTAAAAATCAAACTACCATATGATCCAGCAATCTCACTACTAGTTGTATGTCTGTAAGGAATAAAATGATTATCTTGAAGAGATATCGACACCATTCTGTTAAAATGTAACAGAAGCACAGTAAAGGTGTCTGCATATACATAGCAAAATATCATATTAAAAGGTAAAATGGTGAAGACATCTCTTGACTTAAAAACCAACAATATGGTAGAGTTAATAAATGATGGCATGGTTTTAGTAACGCTATGATGCTTGTCATATCACCTGCAACGTCCAAGTTGTACATCACTATTATTGAGAATATATGTTCTTTTCAAAATGATTACATGGTTCTGATAGTGTATCAATTATATTTGGAAAATAACTGAAAGCTTATTCTGCATATCTTATTATTAAAAATAAAAAGTTATACTAATTTTAGGGGATATAAATGTACATTTTACCAAAGGGTGAGGAAACCTGGGGAAAGCCCAGCAGTGTCCTTGAGTTGAAGAGATAGACATGGAAATATGGGAAGATGAAGGTATCTGGCGTTTTGATGGGAGAGTAGAAAAGAGAGAATTGCAGTGAAAGAAAGCTCTGAGGATCTGCAGAGTCCCATCTCCCTGAGTCTTCATCTGTGTTCTTATCAGAACATACATGTGAGAAAGCTGCCTGAAGCCTAGGAAAGAATTATCTGAAAGAAGCAAGTGGAAAAATCTCCAGGGCTCAATCGGAGCCAGAAAAAAAAAATTGCTGTTTTCACAAGCCAGATTAGAAATACACTATAATACATGAGATATAGGGTGCACTTGTCAGAAGGATGTTGACTCAGTTGAGAGGCAAAATTAGATCTAGACTAAAGGCTTATGTGGTCCTGCATAAGAAAGTCAAAAACAAGTTTAAAAGGATCAAACCTCGGAGGAAAAACTGGAGAAAACTTTGTTAAGATGTACCCTTATCAGGCCAGGCACGGTGGCTCACGCTTGTTATCCCAACACTTTGGGAGGCCGAGGTGGGCGGATCACGAGGTCAGGAGATTGAGACCATCCTGGCTAACATGGTGAAACCCCTTCTCTACTAAAAAAAAAATACAAAAAATTATCCCGGCATGGTGGCAGGCACCTGTAGTCCCAGCTACTCTGGAGGCTGAGGCAGGAGAATGGCGTGAATCCGGGAGGCAGAGCTTGCAGTGAGCCGAGATTGTCCTACTGCACTCCAGCACGGGCGACAGAGCGAGACTCCATCTCAAAAAAAAAATTTAAAAAAAGTACCCTTATCAAACTGCTTGAAACTAGTGATAAAGAGAAAAATTTAAAAGTGGCCAGAGGAAGGGCAAACACACGTTATGCAGAGTAAAACAAAGATAGAAATACAGCATACTTGGCCGGGCGTGGTGGCTCACGCCTGTAGTCCCAGCGCTTTGGGAGGCCGAGGTGGGTGGATCACCTGAGGTCAGGAGTTTGAGACCAGCCTGGCCAACATGGTGAAACCCCGTCTCTACTAAAAATACAAAAGTTAGCTGGGCATGTTGGCACACACCTGGAATCCCAGCTATTCGGGAGGCTGAGGCAGGAAAACTGCTTGAACCCAGGAGGTGGAGGTTGCAGTGAGCTGAGATCAACCATTGCACTCCAGCCTGGGCTACAAGAGCAAAATTCCATCTCAAAAAAAAAAAAAAAAGAAAAGTAAAGAAAAGGAAAGAAAAGAAAAGAAAAGAAATATAGCAGGCTTTATGTTGGGAACAGTTCAAATAAGAAGACAGTGGAGCAATATCTTTAAATTACTGAAAAAAATAGCTATCAGACTTAGTTTATAATCAGCAAAAATTTCAAAAATAAAAGTGAAATAAAAGCTTATTTCAATATACAAGAAGTGAAAGAATTCATCACCAGTAGATGTGCAATTTTAAATGAAATCCTTTAGGTAGAAGGAAATGTTAACAGATAAAAATCTGCATCTACACAAAGGAGTGAAGAAACCAGAAATGGTAAGTATGTGAGTAAATATAAAATGATGTTTCCTTATATTCTGAAGTACTTTAAAAGATAATCAAATCTTCAAATAAAAATAATAAAAAGATTGTGTTATCTATAACAGCTATGGAAATAAACTATATGACAATAGCACAAAGGCAGGGAAAATGGAAATAAATTGTACTATTTTCAAGCCCTTCTATAAATGAAGTAATATAATATTAATTGAAGGCAGACTGTTATAAGTCATCTCTACTAGAAACCCTAAAGTAAAATTTCACCAAACAAGATGTACATAAATGTATATGAACATCATTAGTCATTAGAGAAATTCAAATTAAAATGATAATAAAATACTCCTACACTTTTTATTTTTTCTTGTAAAATACCACTACATATTAAAAAGGCTAAAATAAAAACAAATTAACTGAAAATATGAAGGGCAGACAAAGATTTAGAGTAACTGGATCTCTCATACATTGCCGTGAAAATGTGAAATGATAGAACCAATTTGGAAAATACTTTAGTAGTTTTTTATGAAGTTAAACATACACTTGCCACATGACCCAGAAATCCCACTATTAGGATTTACCTAAGTGAAATGATGATATTCTTGAATATTTATAGCAGCTGTATTCATAAGTGCCAAAATTGGGAAATGATGACAATATCCTTCAACTGATGAATGGCTAAACTAGTGTAGTATATCCATACAGTGAAATGCTGCTCAGCAATACAAATGAATAAAATACTTATTTATACACATAAACATGGATAAATGCAAATGTATGTTAGTAAGTGAAAGAAGCCAGACTCCCAAATCTACACACTGTATGGATTCATTTATATAACACTCTGGAAGAGGTAAAAGTACAGTGACAGAAAATTGATGCGTGGTTGCCAAGTGCTGGGGATGGGAGAGGTAATGAATCAAAAAAACTTTAATAACAACAAGTGTTCTCATTGTTCAATTCCTACCTATGTGTGAGAACATGCAGTGTTTGGTTTTTTGTCCTTGCGATAGTTTGCTGAGAATGATGGTTTCCAGCTTCATCCATGTCCCTACAAAGGACATGAACTCATTGGTGGGAGGAGGGGGGAGGGATAGCATTAGGAGATATACCTAATGTAAATGACCAGTTAATGGGTGCAGCACACCAACATGACACGTGTACATATGTAACAAACCTGCACGTTGTGCATATGTACCCTAGAACTTGAAGTCTAATAAAAAATAAAATTAAATAAATAAAATTTTAAAAAGTGATAAATAGTACAACGCCTGAAACATCTGAAAAAATCAGTTGATACAGTGTTCAATGAAAGCCAGATGTAAAATAATATGTATTACGATTAAAAATGAGAAAAGTTCTATGAAAAATGCCAGTACAGTTGACATCCAAGTGGCAGCTATAACAGAGCCTGTGGATGTTACTTTTCTCTTACTTTTAGGCTTAGAGTTAATTTCATAATTTAAAAAATGTAAATTGAAAAAAAATTAATAAAAACAAGAAAACAAGCCCAAGAGTCCCAATTTTGAACCCACACTTGCTTGATACCAAAGCTACTATGTAACCTGTAATTATATATATAGTTGTAGATACTTAGTAGGTGTATATATTTATGGAGTACATGAGATATTTTGGTACAGGTATGCAGTGATGCAATGTGAAATAAGCACATCATGGAGAATGGGGTATTCATTCCCTCAAGCATTTCTCCTTTGAGTTACAAACAATCCAATTACACCCATTAAGTGTTTTAAAATGTACAATTAAGTTATTATTAACTATAGTCGCCCTGTTGTGCTATCAAATAGGTCTCATTCATTCTTTCTACTTTTTGGACCCATTAACAATCCCTACCTCCCTACCAGCCCCTCACTACTCTTCCCAGCCTCTGGTAATCATCCTTCTACTCTCTATGTCCATGAGTTCAGTTGTTTTGATGTTTACATCCCACAAATAAGTGACAACATGCAATGTTTGTCTTTCTGTGCCTGGCTTATTTCACTTAACATGATCTTCAGTTCCATCCATGTTGTTGAAATGACTGGATGTCATTATTTTTATGGCTGAATAGTACCCCATTGTACATATGTAATTAACAGAGATCCCGTGATGATATAAGTTCAAGACTAATTAAGGAGAGGGAAGTATGAGAGTAATTATTTGGGTAACTCATATTCTAACAACAGAGTTTTTGTTTTACTTACTTGGTTCTCCTATAGTGCTACTCAGACCACCATTAGCAGCACCTGGGAACTTGTTAAAGTTGTGCATTCTCAGGCTCCATCCCCAGATCTATTGAATCAGAAACTCTTTGGGTGGGGGTGGATTCAATAATCTGTGTTTTAGCGAGTCCTCCAGATGATTCTGATGTGCACTAAAGTTTGAGACCTACAGATCTACATTAATGCATTAGTCCTCATTATTTAAAACAATAAATGCAAATGATTGGGCTGTTCTTGACTGTTCATCTGTAAAGCCACTTGTGAATTGAAAACTGAAACCTCTCATTTCTCCCTGCCCCTCCACAATACATTGTTTATACCTTTATTAAACACACATTTCCTCCACCTTGTATTATATTTCATTCCTGACATGTCTATAACCTTCACTAAAACACCAGCTCCATGGGGCATGGATTCTCATATTTCAAGATTTATAAAGCTCATAGCCAGCATAATCTGAGTAAGGGCAAATCCAGCTGGCCATGAAGGTTAAAATAATTGGGAAGTGTCGGTTTCCAAGGTACATAAAGTTCCAGGCTTGATTCAAGTAAATCAATTACATTTAGTAGCCATCATCTTTCCACAATCACCAAAATGAGTGTGGGAGTGTGGCAGCAATGAAAATGTTGCTCTCAGATCTTCTGCTGTGGGGAGCATAACTGATCAATGACTCCAGCTGTTGAGATCTGAGTCCATTACCATACTTTTCACAGGCTCTTCCTAGCCAATGATGGTATGTACCAGAGTACTAAAGCAGGGATATTCCAGCAAGATACAAGACTTCTCTAGTGAGCAACTTTGGCTCAAGGATTTCTCATCAGCCTTGCTAATACTTTCCTTAAATTACCATACAATCTAAGACTTTTCCTACCTAACCTTCCTTCCTTCCATCTCTCCTTCATGGTGTTGAAATTGTATTGTGGTCTGATAGCTCCCTCCTCCTTTCCTTCATATCCATTTTTTTCCCAATAAATCTTGCTTTGTTTAATCCTGTCTTAGTGTCTACTTCTCTGAGAATGTGAGCTAACTTTGAGAGGATCGTGTCTGGTTTGAATTCCATTAATAGTTGTGCTTCCCTAAGCAATTGTATTGTTTTTAATGTATGGGGAATATTACCTGGAGAAACGACTACTTCCTCTTTGCAGGTTGGCTGCTAGAAAGTTGAGAACAAAAGTATGACTCTGTGTTATGAGCCAGTTATTGCTTTTCATTAAATTTTGAGCCCCCTTTTATTCATAAATGATTTTATTTCATTTTTAATTTAATTTTACAGATTTTTGTAAGCTGCATTAAATAATTTCTGAATGAAGCCCGAGTAAAGATAATCCAATCAATACTCAAATTTGAAGAAGCTGCCATGTTCATCCAGTTTTATGGGCTATGTACTCCATGGCTTGAGCTGGATGCTCAAATCGAATGATGCCATCTGAAGTTGTGTGCTGGTCCTGGTTGGCACATGCCCAAAGGTGGAAAGAACATCCTAATGGAAAACCCACATAGTGACATGTGGAAATTCAGTCAAGCAGACAATCTGATTGGGTAAGAGCATATATTTGGGTAGTGGTCACCATACTAGAAAATTAAAAGTTAGAAACCCACTTCTCAAAGTTAAGCTAGTGTGATCTGGAGATCCCTGAAATAGGGATGCCACAATGGAGAAAATTTCAGAAGCCCTGAGTACTGGTGGTAGGAACTCCATAGGACATAACAGATAAACCTGAAACAAACTGGCTTAAACCAAAATGTTAATTTAATAAGCCATGTAATCAGATTGTTCAGGAGGAGACAGGCTTTAGATTAAGCTCTGCATATGACTCAAACAATGTTATTGGGACTTTGAGAATGTACAGATGTCATTTTTTGCTGCTCAGAAAGTGAAATGGCTTTCTAATTTCGGAGAACCTTTAAACTGAGATTCTCAGTAGGTGATAGTGCATCTCCCAATGACAGGTGCTTAAAGGTAAAATCTGTCCTCTTCTCGTCTCCTAGTGGCCAGAGCATGGAAATCAATACTCAGATATTATCATCAAGGATTCTCTTTTTTAGCCTAGTGACCTAAAGGAAAATGATTTTATGATTTGCTTTTCTGCATCTAGCTATGGTGCCTGTGTGTCATGGAGGAGATTGTGGACAGTGGCAGCAGATACATTTGTAAATAAGATTTTTTTTCTGCAACATTACTCAACTCTTTAGTTCCTTCTCATTTCCTGGGCCTGATTCTCTGGTTCTCCCCTCAACTCTTTGAGCTACTAGTAATATTCTTCCAGTAAAATTCTTCTCTATTTAATTTTCCAGAATTAAATAGAGATGTGTTCAGGTTTGAGATGCATTCAGACCACCTGATATACCTGGCTCTCTATATCTAGTTTTCAGTCTCTTTTCCTCAATATTAGAACCAATGCAACAGCCATTACATCCTGGGGATACACACTTCCTTGTTCAGGTTTAGCACAAAACATGTCTGATTTTCTAGGGAGTTACATAAATGAATGAATAAACACAGTTTTTAATTCTTTATATCTTTGGATCAATTTGAAGTAATGTACTGATAGCTCAATGTTAGCAATTGATTTAAAATGCAATTGTAGTAGATTTTAGCTTATAATGAAATGGGTTTAATAATAAATTGTTATTATAAAATAAATGCTTTAGAACTCAGAGGAATATGTTGATTCTAAACATGAAGATTGGACCATGAACACAGATAAAATGTAAGGTCCAGGTGCCTAAAGGAATTTATTTCAGCACTAGGCTTTTCATGCAACATAGCTCTTAAGAAAATAAAATATGTCAAACACTATGAGCTTTTATTGACATTAATAGAAATTTCTGGCCGGGCACGGTGGCTCACACCTGTAATCCCAGCACTTTCGGAGGCCACGGTTGGCGGGCAGATCATCTGAGGTCAGGACTTCAAGACCAGCCTGGCTAACATGGTGAAACCCTGTCTCTACTAAAAATACAAAAAATTAGCTGGGCGTGGTGGCAGGCGCCTGTAATCCCAGCTACTTGGGAGGCTGAGGCAGGAGAATCGCTTGAACCCGGGAGGCGGAGGTTGCAGCGAGCCAAGATGGCGCCAGTGCACTCCAGCCTGGGTAACAAGAGCAAAACTCCATCACACACACACACACACACACACACACACACACACACACACACACGTAAAAGGAAATTGCTTTCATACGTTAGGTGTTGACTATTGCCCAAAAATATTAAAATAATACTACTTCAAAAAAAGTGTCACTTTCAATTTGAATTATTGATAATTGAAGCATTTTCTTTTTCTTGTAAGTGTTAAACCTGGAAGTAGAATGGCTAGTGGGAGCAAATGTTGAATTGGCCGGAAGAAAGCTGTTTGCCATATTCTTGAATACTTTTATGGCAATGAAAAGAATTACTTGACTCTTTTGTGTCTGGGCCTCCTCAAATCTTAATAGCATTTTATTTAGTAAGGTTGGTTTTGAGGAAAACATTAAATTGAGTACAGTGAATGCTACTGCTCCTGGGACTGATGCATGATTACTATCAACACAGCTATATTTAGGTATGATACTTTAAAATCATCATGAAATTCCTTGGGCGGGTATTAAGAACTACTCATTATAAATGTTGATAGTTTCATTGAGAAGATATTTCAGCTTAGTCACTCACTCCAAATAATATTTATTTTGCCCTATTGACTATTAAACACTGTACTAGGTCCAGCAGTTGACTAAGTAAAAGTATCTCCACTCAGTCAACTCATGGTATGGTCACAAGGTAAAAATAATTAAAAATCAATGTTAAACAGCAATGATAAAAATTATGTAATAACTCAGCTTAAGGGACTAGAGTGATAATAAAAATAACAATGTCAATATATCTATTACACTACGCATAAGAGCTAACATTTACTGCATGCTTACCATGAAACAGGTACTATTCTAAGAGCTCTCTCTCTCTTTCTCTCTCTCTCTCTATATATGTGTGTGTGTGTGTGTGTGTGTGTGTATATACATGGTTTGTGTATCCCTTATCTGAAATGCTTGAGACCAGAAGTGTTTCAAATTTCAGATTTTTGGAATATTTAGGTATACATGATGAGATATCTTGGGGATGGGACCGTATTCCAAACATAAAATTCATTTATGTTTAATATACACTTTATACACATAGCCTGAAGGTAATTTTATGCAATATTTTGAAATAATTTCGTGCATGAAACAAAGTTTTCATTGCATTTTCACTGTGATCCATCACCTGAGGTCAGGTGTAGAATTTTCCACTTGTGATGTCATGTTAGCACTCAAAAGGTTTCGGATTTTGAAACATTTCAGGTTTCAGATTTTTGGATTGAGGGTGCTCAGTGTCTATCAGTTTATTTAATTATCACAACAATCCTATGAAGATGTTCCTATTTTCTTTACAGTTAGGAAACCAAGGCACCGAGAGGTTAAGTAACTTTCCTGAGGTTATGCAACTAGTAAGAGGCAAAATAAACCAACTCCAACAACCTCGTTTCAGAGTCTGAGCCCATAACCACAAGGCTATATTGCCACTCTGAGGCATCAGAGATGCCTTTGCAAAGGAGGTAACATATGAACTGAATCTGGAAGGATATTTAGGATTGAACCAGGCAGATGCAGGTGAAAGACATTTCAGGGAGAGAGAGTAGCATGCATATGGGTAAATAGAACAGGTTATATCCAGACTACTTACAAGTAATTTATTATGTCTGTAGCCCAAGTAACGTTTGAAGAAACCAGAGGTGGGGAGACAAGTTAGGACGTTATAACTCTAATCCAGTTAAGAGATAATGAAGGACCAGACTATGTTAGTGCTAGCATATAATATGTGGAATGGAACACATATTATGTGCTAAATTCTGTAGAAAATACAAAACTGAATGGGACATAAACTTGTCCTCGAACAGTTTATATTCATTTGGATATAGAGATGGGATATAGTCGATTCATCAAATTTTCATGGAAATACTAGCTCTGACAAGGTTGTCAAACAGCCTCTCCAATAAAACAAGAGGGAAAATTGACCTTCACCAGCAGAAAGAGAGAAAAATATGCTAATTTTAACATTGATAAGTGTAGGATCATTTTAAGGATAAAACATGATTTCCATGACTACACAATCAGAAATAACCAGCTTTGAAGCGGTTGCCAGAAAAAATTTCCAAGATTTATTATGGACTCAAAGTTAAATTTGTCAGCAATATAATTCTTTTAAGAAACGAGGGATGAAAATGGGATATGTACACTGAAGCAGAGGCTCTAAAAACAGCAAGTTTTCTTCCCACAGCTGTTAGCAGTGGTCAGATATTATGAGAATATTATGTCTGCCCTGGGGATTTGAAATTGGTATCGGCAATTTGGAAAGGGTACAGAATGTGATAAAGGTCTTAGGAAATAGGTGCACCGAGCAAGGGTTAAAGGTAGCTCAGAAGCTACACTGACCCCTGCAAATGTGCCAAGAACAGCCTCACATCTAGAAAAGACACAGGCTCTATTGGCTTATATTCTAAAAGTTTCAACTAGTTTGACTGGAAATTGCTTTGAATATACATTCTTCTTTTATGCTGTACAATTTCCTGGAAAATTAAATACAGCATGCATTTTAATGAAGTGCCGTAAGTATTAAAATTAAAGATGGAAGGGCTTGGGCATCAAGAAAATTATAATTTTTCTCCAATATCATTATCTCAACCCAATTGAACACATCTAGGATTTTATATCACTATTAAAATACTTTGAAACAAATTAACATTTACTAAAGAAGCTTTATGACCTTTCATTTAGAAAATTCTGACTTTGCAATTTTCATGTTACACTAACAATCAAGTATGTTTACTCACAGAAGTTTAACTCATTAAAACCATTCTATACATACATATGCATATGCATACATATACACTTTTACATCATAGATATACGGACTTCATTAACAAACATTGGCTAATGTTTTCAATATACTTTTATAAAGTGTTTATTGTATGTTAGGACACCTTCAAGGTGTTTGGGATATATCAGTGAAAAAACTAGGCAAAATTTACTGCCTTCCTGGAGTTGACATTCTACTAAGATAAGGTAGACACTGAAAAATACATACAGTAAATAAATAAATGATCTAGCATGTTACAACTGATGATTGCTGTAGTAAAAAAAAGAAACCAAATAGAGCAGAGTTAGGGAAATCAGGAGAGCTGGCTATGCTGAGAACAAGGTACAGTATTAAATACAGTGGTCAGGAGTAGGCATCTTTGGGGAGGTGGGACTTGAGCAAAGACACAAAGGATAGGAGAAAGACAGACACAAGGGAAGTACACAATACTCTTGTGTAAGGATGTTCTAGGCAGAGGAAACAGCTAGTGCAAAGACCCTCAGGCAAGACACAAGTGCAAAGACCCTAAAATGCCTCGTGTTTGTGAGCAACAGCCAATGTGCCTGGGACAGAGTGAACAAGGAGTACACAAAAGATGAAATCAGAGAATTAGGGGATGAAAACCATGTAGGGTCTTGCAGGCCATGGTAAACCTTGACCTGTTCTGAATAAAATGGAGCTGCTGGAGGGTTTTGAGCAGAGACATGACGTGATTTCTGTTTTAAATGGACCATACTGGGGAGAGACATCAGCAAAATGGCAAAATAGGACTTTCCTGCACTTGTTTCTGCAAAAAAACTTCCATTTGAACAATTATTCATGCACAAAAATACCTTTACAAGAGATTGGGAAACCAAGGAAGAGATTACAGCACCTGGGTATAGCACATACATTTTTAAAAGACACAATTAAGAAAAGCTTCCCTCAACCTCCGGCAGCGCAACATGGAGGGAGAAACTTTCTGCTTGAGGGAAGAAGAGGGAAGTGAGCACTTTGCTGTGAGGTCCAACACTGGACGTGCCCCATTAAAACCCAGTACTGGGCAGGCCCCTATGACCCCAGACTCCAGGCTTTACCTGAGATTGAGCTTCCCAAGGTCTGTCACAGGAACCAACTAGGATCCTGCAGCCCCAGGCATCAGATGAGCTGCACTACCACCAGGCTGACACCAGTAGCCCCAGGCTCAGTATACCAAAACCTGTGGGACAGAGAAAAAGTAGTTCTGAGAGGGAAGTGTATACCAATAATTGCTTACATTAAAAATGAAGAAATAGTTTACTACGAATTTAAAGGGTACATGAATATTTGGGAAATTTGACTATAACCACTGTAGGGATAAGTCAGCTATTCTGATTAGTAGGAAGGAGTCACATTCTCAGTGCTACAAAATTGTCCTACTTTAAGTTATTCACTGTGGGAGGAAGATACCTTTCTTCCAAGGTTGAATAATACATATAGTCTGTGCTGCCTAAAAATGTGTCTACTGGCCACATTTGGCTATTTAAATTTAAATGAAAATTAAGTAAAACCAAATAAAAATAAAAATTTAGTTCCGCAGTCAAAATAGCCATATTTCACTTGCTTTATAGCCACACGTGGCTAATGACTATGCATTAGATGGAGCAGATAGAGAATAATAACATTTTAATTCATTTTATTTCTTTCTCTTTCCTAAATTGCTCTGGTTGGGACTTCCAGTACTATGTTGAATAGAAATGGTGAAAGTTGGCATCCTTGTCTTCTTCCTGATTTTAGAGGAAAAGCTTACAACTTTCCACCATTAAGTATAATGTTAGATTTCAGCTTGTCATCTATGACCTTTATTATGTTGAAGTACATTCCTTCTATACCTAGTTTGTTGATCAGTTTTATCATGAAATAATGTTAAATTATTTCCAATGCTTTTTCTACTCCTATTAAAAAGATCATGTGATTTTTAGTATTAATTTCGTTAACGTTGGGTATTACATTCATTGATCTGCATATATTGAACCATCCTTGTAACCCCAAGGATGATGCAATAGACGAATGTTTGTGTCCTCCACTCCCCAAATTTCATATGTTGGAACCTAATCCCCAATTTCATGGTATTTGAAAGAGTGGTGTTTGGGATGTGATTAGGTTATGAGAATGGAGCTCTTATGAATGTGATTAGTGCCCTTATAAAAGAGACACCAGAGACCTCTCTTGCTCCTTCTGCCAAGTGGCGAGGCAGCAATAAGACGGCCATCTCTAAATTGGGAAACGGGGCCTCACCAGACATAGAATCTGCTGGTGCCTTGAGCTTGGACTTCCTAGCTTCCAGAACTGTAAGAAATTAATTTCTATTTTTTTATAAGCCACTCAACCTATGGTATTTTGTTATAGCAATTTGAATAGACTATGATGAATAAACCCCACTTGATCATGGTGCATAATATTTTTAATGTACTATTGAATTTTGTTTGCTAGTATTTTTTGAGGATTTTTGAATCTATATTCATCAACGATATTAGCCTTTAATTTTCTCTTCTTGTAATATCTTTGTCTGGCTTTGGTATTATGTAATGATGGTATCATAAAATAAGTTTGGCAGTCTCCCCCTCTCTTCAGCATTTTTGAAGTGTTTGACAAGAACTGGCATTCATTCTTCTTGAAATGTTTGGTATAATTCACCAGTAAAGCCATCTGGTCAGGGGCTTTTCTTTTTCAGAGGCTTTTGATTGTTGATTCAACCTCCTTACTCATTATTATTCTGTAAAGATTTTTACGTCTTCATAATTCAGTCATGGCAGGTTGTATGTATATAGAAATTTACCCATAATCCTAATAATAAAGAAGTAAAATTATTTCTCTTTTCAGATGTTATGATCCTATATACAGAAAACCTAGACTCCACAGAAGAATATTAGAACTAGTTTTTAAATTCAGTAAATTTGCAGACTACAAAATCAACAGAGAAAAATCAGCTTTTTACACACTAACAATGAACTGTCCAAAAAGGATATTAAGAAAACAGTCCCTTTTACAATAGCATAAAAGAAAATAAAATACTTAGGAGTAAACTTAACCGAGGAGGTGAAAGACTTTTGCACTGAAAACTACAAAAGATTGATAAAAAAAATTTACAGGAAACAAGTAAATGGGAATATATCCTATTTTAATAGATTGGAATAATTGATGTTAAAATGTCCATACTACCCAGTGGCCTACAGAGTCATTGCTATTCCTGTCAAAATTCCAATGGCATTTTTTTACAGACATAGGAAAACAATCCTAAAATTCATATGGAGTGATAAAAGACACAGAATAGCTAAAATAATCTTGAGAAAGAACAAAGCAGGAAGCATAATACGTCCTGATTTCAAAATATATTATAAAGCTAGAGTAATCAAAACAGTTTTGTACTGTCATAAAAACAGACATACAGACCAATGGAACAGAATAAAAAGCCCAGAAATAATCCAATGCATATAGTCAAATGATCTTTGACAAGGGTGCCAATAATGCACAATGGGGAAAGGATAGTCTTTTCAACAAATGGTGTTGTGGAAACTGGATATTGATGTGAAAAAGAAAAGAAAAGAAAGAGAGAGAGAGAGAAAAGGAAGGAAGGGAGAAAGAAAGAAAGAAAAAAGAGAGAGAAAGAAAGAAAGGGAAAGAGAGAGAGAAAGAAAAAGAGAGAGAGAAAGAAATTTAACCTCTACTTTAAACCATACACTAAAATCAGCTTAAAAAGAAATACTGAAATGTAAGGGCTGAAAATGCAGAACTCCTAGAAGAAAACAGGAGAAGAGTTGCTACACATTTGTCATGGCAGTAAGTTATTGGCTATGACACCAAAAGCACAGGCAACAAAAGGAAAAATAGACAAGTGGGCCCACATCAATCTAAAAAGCTTCTGCACAGAAACAATCAACAGAATGAAAAGTCTACAGAATGGGAAAAAATTTGTCAACTGTATATCTGACAAGGGATTAATATCCAAAATATATAAGAAACTCATACAATTCAACTGCAACAACAACAAACAACCCAGTTTAAAAAATGGGCTAAAGTCTTGAAAATATATTTCTCCAAAAAAGACATACAGATGGCCAACAGGCATATGAGAAGGTAATCAACATCATTAATCATTAGGGAAATGCAAATCAAAGCTACAATGAGATCTATCACTTCACACATAATAGGATAGCTACTATCAAAAAGACTCACACCTGTAATCCCAGCACTTTGGGAGGCTGAGGCGGGTAGATCAAGAGGTCAGGAGATCGAGACCGTCCTGGCTAACATGGTGAAACCCCGTCTCTACTAAAAATACAAAAAATTAGCCGGGCGTGGTGGCGGGCGCCTGTAGTCCCAGCTACTCTGGAGGCTGAGGCAGGAGAATGGCGTGAACCCGGGAGGCGGAGCTTGCAGTGAGCCGAGATCGCGCCACTGCACTCCAGCCTGGGCGACAGGGCGAGACTCCGTCTCAAAAAAAAAAAAAAAAGACAAGAGCCAACAAGTGTTGGCAAGGGTGAGGAGAAAACAGAACCATTACACACTGTTGGTGGGAGTGTATATTGGTACAGTCATAATGGAGAAAAGTATGGAGGTTCCTCAAAATTAAAAAATAGAACTATCACATGATCCAGCAATCTCACTTATGTGCATATACACAAAGGAAATAAAATCAGTATCTCCAAGAGATATCTGCATTCCCATGTTCATTGCAGCATTATTTCAAATAGCCCATATATGGAAAAAACCCAAGTGGGCATCAACTCATGAATGGATAAAGATAATGTGGTTTACATATCTAGTGGAATATTATTCAGCTTTAAAAAAAAGAAAATCCTTTCATTTGCTAGATCATGTAGGAAATGAAAGGACAATATGCTAAGTGAAGTAAGCCAGCCATAGGACAAATACTGCATGATTTCACTTATATGAGGTATCTATAATAGTCAAATTCATGGAAGGAAAAGTATACAAAGTGATTGGCAGGGTTGGAAAGTGGGGGAAATTGAGAGTTGTTCAATGGGTATAAAGTACGTTATGCTAGATGAATAAGTTCTAGAGATCTGCTGTACAACATGGTGCCTATAGTTAACAATATGGTATTTTATACTTCAAAATTGAAGAGAGTAGATCTCATGATGTTATGTATTCATTGTTTTTTTTTTTTTTAGATGGAGTCTTGCTCTGTCACCAGACTAGTTTTAGATGGAGTCTTGCTCTGTCACCAGACTAGAGTGCAGTGGCACGATCTCAGCTCACTGAAACCTCCAATTCCCTGGTTCAGGTGATTCTCCTGCCTCAGCCTCCCGAGTAGCTGAGATTACAGGCACGCACCACCACGCCCAGCTAATTTTTGTATTTTTGGTAGAGACAGGGTTTCACCATGTTGTCCAGGAGGGTCTCGATCTCCTGACCTCGTGATCCACCTGGCTCAGCTTCCCAAAGTGCTGAGATTACAGGCATGAGACACTGTGCCCGGCCCATATTATGTATTCTTAACACACACACATGCATACACACACACACACACACACACACACACACACACACACACACAACAAAAACAACAATCAACCAATGAAACACACACAAAGGGATGCAACAAAACTTTGGGAGGTGTTGAATATGTCTATTACCTTGAGTGTGGTGATGGGATCATGGGTGTTTGCATATGTCCAAACTCATCAAATTTTACACATTATATATGTGCCATCATTTGCATATCAATTATACTTCAGTAAAGCTGTTTTAAAAAGAAAAAAAAAAGGAATATTTCACCATGCCAGAAAATTCTATTGGATAGCACTGGCTAGGTACTTTTAATGAACATAATATATTAAACATTTGCCGGATGTGCCTAATATTCCTCTTTCTAGATTTTATAGGCTTGGATAATTGTAGAAAAATAATAAGAGAGAAAACACAAGCTTCGTACTACTTATGTATTCTAATGAAATACCAGCCTGCATTTTTCCCATTTCTTTTGCATTTGTCTTTCACAGCTTTTTTTTTTTTTTTTTTGGTCTTAACATTTCTTGGTGCTATTTTTTTCCACCACCTAGAATTAGAAATCAATTCTTTTGTTTCAAATGTGAATTCCCCCTCCCCTAATTATAAGCTGCTACTTCATGTAACAAAAGAATTGATTTCTGAAAGCTCTAATCAGACATTAGCAAAACTAACAATTGGAATTAACATTCAAATTTATGTCCCTTATAAGCTTTAATGGCCAAGACTAAGATATAGACTTAATTTTAGACTCTTATTCACATTTATCTACTTTTTGCCTTTAAATCAATCCTATATGATAGCAGGAATCTTTCTTTGCCTCCTATATTTCAGCTTGCTTTCTCATCCTTTGTGTGCAGTGTTACTTAGACTTCTTGATAACTGAAACAAGTATGTATTTATTCATGTTACATGGTGACTTATCTTCATAAGAAACAAATAAAAATATTACATATCAAATTAATTATTTTAACATGAGTCTGTTTAGATACTTTAGGTAATTTTTACTCAACATCATCTTTTGGGGCTGGGATAATTTGATGTGGCCTAGAAAACTAGCTTTGTGGTTTGATCATTTTCCTCTTTACTCTGAGATCCACCTCCTCTTCCTTTCACGTGCTATGCCCTAAACTACAGATCACAGAAGGATGACTCCTGCAAACTACATTCCCAGATTCCTCTCAAATTGCTTCTTTTGGGCTCACCTAACAGGGAAGCACTGGCTAGAGATTGGAGGTGAGAAGCCAGGGTAAGCCTTCTTCTTGGCTTCTGGAGGTATCTCTGTCAGTGTGTATAGCAATTCTGTGGTTGCAGAGCCCACAAGGCAGCGCCTTCCTCTGAGGTCCCAGCTCCCGTCTTGCAGCTCCTTCTATGATTCTAGCTCCCGTCAGATGAGCACTTCTTCATGTCTCCAAATTCCCCTTGGTAGCTACTCCTGCTGCTCCCTCAAAAAGCCCTTCTTTTAAGTTTTCAGCTCCTGTGAAGGGAACTCAGATCTTGGGCTCTGGTAACATCAGCTACTTCTCTTTTATTTATTTACTTATTTATTTTTCAAGTTATTTTTTTTTAACTTTTATTTTAGGTTCAGGGGTATATGCACACGATTGTTACATAGGCAAATTGTGTATCACAGGTGTTTGGCATACAGATTATTTTGCCACCCTGGTAATAAGCATAGCACCTGATAGGCAGTTTTTTGGTCCTCACCCTCCTCCCACCCTCCACTCACAAATAGGCTCAGATGTCTATTGTTCCTTTTTTTGTGTTCATGTGTACTCAGTGCTTGGCTCCCACTTGAAAGTACGAACATGTGGTATTTGGTTTTCTGTTCCTGGGTTGGTTTACTTAGGATAATAGCCTCCAGCTGCACCCACGTTGCTGCAAAAAACATGATCTCATTCTTTTTATGGCTGCATAGTATTCCACGGTGTATACGTACCACATTTTCTTTATCCAGTCTACTGTTAATGGGCATTTAGGTTGATTCTGTGTTTTTGCTATTGTAAACAGTGCTGCAATGAACTAACATGTGTGTGTGTCTTTATGATAGAACAATTTATATTCCTTTGGGTACATACTCAATAATCAGATAGCTGGGTCAAATGGTAGTTCTGTTTTAAGTTCTTTGATAAATTCCCAAACTGCTTTCCACAGCGGCTGAATTTATTTACATTCCCACCAGCAGTGGTGTGAATAATGGAATAAGTGTTCCATTTTCTCTATAACCTCACCAGCATCTGTTATTTTTTGACTTTTTAGTAATAGCCATTCTGACTGGTGTGAGATGGTATCTCACTGTGGTTTTGATTTGCATTTCTCTAATGATTAATGATGTTGAGCACTTTTTCATATGCTTGTTGGCCACCTGAATGCCTTCTTTTGAAAACTATCTGTTCATGTCATTTGCCCACTTTTTAATGGGGTTTTCTGTTTTTGGCTTGTTAGTTTGTTTAAATTCTTTAGAGATTCTGGATATTAGACCTTTGTTTGACGCATAGTTTGCAAATTTTTTCTCTCATTCTGTAGGTTGTCTGCTCTGTTGATAGTTTCTTTTACTGTGCAGAAGCCCTTTAGTTTAATTAGATTCCATTTGCCAATTTTTCTTTTTGTCACAATTGCTTTTGGCATCTTTATCAGAAATCTTTGCCAGGGCCTATATCCAGAATGGTATTTCCTAGGTTATATTCCAGGGTTTTTTAATTTTAGGTTTTACATTTAAGCCTTTAATCCATCTTGAGTTTTTTGTATGTGGTGCAAGGAAGGGATCAATTTCAATTTTCTGCATATAACTAGCCAGTTATCCCAACACCATTTACTGAGTAGGGAACTCTTTCCCCGTTGCTTGTTTTTGTCAAGTTTGTCAAAGATCAGATGGTTGTAGGTGTCCAGATTTATTTCTGGGTTCTCTATTCTATTCTACTGGTCTGTGTGTCTGTTTTTGTACCAGTAGCATGTTGTTTTGGTTATTGCACCCTTGTAGTATAGTTTGAAGTTGGGTAATGTGATGCCTCTGGTTTTCTTCATTTTTCTTAGGACTGCTATTAAGGCTCTTTTTTGATTCCATATGAGTTTTAGAATAGTTTTTTTTTTCTAATTCTGAGAGGAATGTTCTTAGTAGTGATAGCAATAGCATTTACTCGGTAAATTGCTTTGGGCGGTATGGCCATTTTAAAACATTCATCCTTCCTATCCATGAGCATGGAATGTTCCTTCTATTGACTCTCCAGCCCTAGTAATGGAAGCAACTTCTTGCATTTGATAACCTCTGGGCTATCTCCCCTCACCCTGTTATTCTGTGAGGTCTTCTAACAATTTGGTACTACCTTCCCATATGAAACTCCCTTTGTTGAAGTACTTGACATGAGTTATCTTTTCCTGACTCTACTGTGACTGATAATCCCTGATATTAGTATGGTATCTAAAAGTTGCAGGTAGGCACAATAATAATTGGTCTTAGAGTCAGAAGAACTATGTCTAAACTCTGACAATTCTAATTCCTTAGTATGTAACTAGAGAAAATACATGTACTCTGAGCTTCAATATCTTCACCTGTAAATCTTAGAAAATAATTCCAATTCCATTGGTTGATCATGCATATTAAATGAGATAACATAAGTAAATGCACATAGAAACTACCTAGTAGGAGGTACTTGATGAACATTAAGAAGTTTGTGAAAGTATTTTCTTCCTTCATTTTAGGAAGCAATTTCAATGTTGTAGCTTTAGTACTTGGACCTTTATCTAATTGGCAGACCTCAAACAAAATTGGTGTGAAAGGAAATCTAATTCTTTCCATTCACACGTGTTTAAATCTGCATTGCTATTTTCTTGGAGGTTGTGTGAGGTGTATCTTGCTGTTTTAAAAAATGGTGTCTAATTAATCATGAAATAAATCATACTCGGGCTGCTATGCAATCTTTTTTCTTTTAAATATAAATTTATTTGGTTTTCTTTGCCAGTATTGATTTTTTTTTGTAGGCAGTAAGTAGAAAGTTGTAACACAAAACTTTCCCAAATTTTTTTTACCCTTTTCATTTATATTTAAAACCTTGTTGTTATAAATGTTTTTCATTGAAAAACCCTCAAAAACTTCTCTTTTAGGACTTTGATTTGTAATATATATTAAAAATAAAACAGGTATATTTACTAAAAGCATTCCAGTTTTTTTTCCATTTATGCAGTATTTCCAGTATGACTTTTTAGGTTTACAGTAAATTAATACAGCCTTTTCCATCTTCTCTGCATTCATATTTCCTCTCCAGTATGGATCATGTTTCCTAACAACAAGCAATCTTTTACAATAAACTATATATTCTAGGATTTTTCAGTTTTTTTTCCCCTGAAGGGCAGTGAGAGAACTCTATCCTCAGTTCTATTAAACTCTCTCTTCTTACTGTGACCAAACCAGCCCTTTCTGGTAGCCCAAAAGTAAGTGGTGTGAAATGTAGACTGTATTATGATCAAAAAGTTTCCAGCAGTGAGCTCAGTTTACAGCCACCAGTCATTGAAGTCTATCTCTTGTCACCAGCAAATACATTTATAACTTCCTTGTTCTAAGCAAAAGTGTTTCCTTATAATTGGAGCAATTCCAAGTATTACAGAATTATGTTTTAACCAACTACTTTGCATTTTAATTAAATTTTATGGTGGACTACAATATACATGGGGGAAATGCACAAAGTAGAAATATACAGTACAGCCCTTTCTCATACAGTGAACTTCTGCTTGATGACCCTCAAGCTTAAGAAATAAAGTCATCAACCCAAATAACTCCCATACACCCTGTCAAAATCACTATTTCTCTCTGCCAAAGATAACCAGAATTGTATGGTAGTTATTTCCTTCTTTTCTTTGTGATTTTATTTCCTCAGTACATATCATTAAACGTTATTTAAGTGTACCTGATTTTTAAATGTTACCTGAATGGAATAATCCAGAAGTATCTAGGTTGCTCTAGTCAGCATTATGTTAGTGGGAAATATGAACGTAGCACTAATTCACTTATGTTAATGTTTCCTAGCATTTCATTGTTTGACTTTCTACAATTTATTTATCAATTTTACTTTTAAATGAGTTTGAGATTATTGCCAATTTGAGATATTACATGTAATGATGCTAATGATGTTCTTTTTATATATTTTTATTTTTTATCTTTTTTTTTGTAGATGGAGTCTCGCTCAGTCGCCCAGGCTGGAGTGCAGTGGCGCGATCTCGGCTCACTGCAAGCTCCGCCTCCTGGGTTCACGCCATTCTCCTGCCTCAGCCTCCCTAGTAGCTAGGAATACAGGTGTCCGCCACTACGCCCGGCTAATTTTTTTGTATTTTTAGTAGAGACGGGGTTTCACCGTGTTAGCCAGGATGGTCTCGATCTCCTGACCTCGTGATCCGCCCGTCTCGGCCTCCCAAATGATGTTCTTATACATACTGCTTGGTGCACAAATGCCTACACTCTGTTGAATAGAGATGTAAAAGTAGAATTTCTGAGTAACAGGTGATGTACGTCTTCAAATTTGGTAGATAATACCAAATTTTATTTCAAAATACTTTAAACATATATTCTTACTAACATCTTTTTTTTTTGTTGTTGTTGTTGTTGAGATAAGGTCTTACTCTATCACCCAGGCTGGATTGCATGGTGCAACCTCAGCTCACTGCAGCCTTGACCTCTCAGTCTCAGCAATCCTCCCACCTCAGCCTCCTGAGTAGCTGGGACTACAGGCATCTGACACCGCATCTGGCTAATTTTGTTTATTTTTTGTAGAAACAGGATCTCACTGTGTTGCCCAGGCTTGTCTCGAACTTCTGGATGGAAGCTATCCTCCTGCCTCAGCCTCCCAAAGTGTTGGGATTACAGATGTGAGCCACAGTGCCTGCCCCAGCATCTTAATAGAACTCCTATTGCACACATCCTAGCCTACACCTGGTATCTTATACACGCTGTATGGGTGTGGGGGTGTACGTTTGCGTTTCTTAAATTTTAGTGACATCTTACTATAATTTTAATCTGCATTTTGTTGATTACTAATGATTTGAGCCTATTTTATATATGGCTATAGGCCACTTTTTTCCTTTACTGTGGTGGGTGGGCAGGAGGAGTTTAAAGTGTTGGTTCAATTTTTTTTCCTGTTTTCTATTAGGTTATCAGGATTTTGCTTGCTTATTATTTTTTCCTATTTTTGTTATGTTAAAATACACATAATATAAAATTTGTTATCTTAACAAAAAATTATTTTCCTTCTCCAATTTATTGGTATAGACAAAGTAACCATTTTAAGCACAGAGCTAAGTAATCTTAAATACCTTAATAACATTGTGCAACCATCATCACCATCGATCTCCACAACTCTTTTCATCTTGTAAAAGTGAAACTCTATAGCATTCTACTCTCCACACATTAAAAAATATCTCCCCATTCTCCCCTCTCCCCAGCCTCTGGCAACCACCATTCTACTTTTTGTCTCTATGACTGTGATTACTTTAAATATCTCATATAAGTAGAATGGTACAGTATAAGTATTTTTGTGACTGGTTTCTTCCACTTAGTATTATGTCTTCAAGATTCATCCATGTTGTAGCATACGACAAAATTTCCTTCCGTTGTAAGGTTGAATATACTATTGTATGTATATATCACATATTGCTTATCTATTCATTTATCCACAGACACTTTATATGCTTCCATATTTTAGCTGCTGTTAATAATGCTGCTATGAGCATGAGTACATAAATAGCTCTTTGAAGCCCTGTTTTTAATTATTTGGGGTACATATCTAGAAATGGAATTGCTGGACCATACATCAATTTTATTTTTGACTTTTGAAGGAACACCAGTTTTCCACAGCAATTATACCATTTTACATTATCACCAAAAATGTACAAGTGTTACAATTTCTCCACAGCCTTGCCAATACTTGATATTTCTTCTTGTTGTTGTTTTATAGTAGCTACCCTGATGAGTATGAAGTATTACATCATTGTAGTTTTAATTTGCATTTTCCTAATGATTTGTGATGTTGAGCATTGTTTTGTATGCTTCCGGCCATTTGTATATTTTCTTTGGAGAAATATTTGTTCATCCCTTTGCACATTTTCTTCACATTATCTTTCATCAGATATATGGTTTGAAAATATTTTCTCCCATTCTTTGGGGTGCCTTTTTACTCTGTTGATGTTGTTTGTTGATATACTAAATTTTTAAATTTCCACAAAGTTTAATTTGTCTATTTATTCTTTTGTTACCTGTCCTTTTGATATTATATTTTTGGAGTGTATCCTCTGGCTATATTTTTGAAAGTGGTACTACCGAATCAAAGTTCAAAGGCATTTTTTAGATTTTGTCAAATTTTTCAACATAATTACACTATTGTACTATTCTGTAGTCCCATTAGCAAGATATGAGAGTGTCTGTTCTCTACAGTCTTGCCAACAGAGGGTGATATTGAGCTCTCAAATTTTTGTCAATGTATATATGAGAAATTTTGTCAATTAGCTTGAATTTACATTCTCCTCATTATAAGTGAAATTTAGCATCTTTTAATAAGTTTAATAATTTTTGTAACTTTAAAATTGTTTTAAAATTCGAAATTTTTCATGTCTTTTTGCCAATTTTTCCATAAGTTTATTTATTTAGGTTGTTAAACTTCATCTTTTAGATTATTTATTAAGACATTAATCCTTTAATTGTAGCATGTATTGCAAATATTTTAGTCTTTTTTTTACTTTACCTATATTTCTTTTTCTTTTTTTTATCATGCAGTTTTTAAAATTTTAAGCAGTAGAAGTTATCCTTTCTTTTACTGCACCTGGACTTTGAGTCATAGTTAAGATAGTTGGTTTTTCAGGAATTTGAATAGGCTACTAGTGAATTATTTCCTCAAACATTTTTATTGGAAGGTGGAAAGGAAGCAGCTGCCATTTTGTAGATAACATGTAGTGATCAGCTGACAGATCTCATTAGCATGAAGCAGCGTCTAGACCTGAATTACACTAGCTTCTTTGAATTTCCCTTTACTTTTCCTGACTTCTGTGCCAACTTGTGCTGGAGTGTCAGGTCTGCTTATGCTCCAGCATCAGATGTGGAGGGAGAACCTTTAAAAGACTGTTTACCCAGTTCCCACAATTGGGAAACCCAGATCCCTGTAACAAATCTCTCTGTCTCTGTCTGTCTGTCTCTCTCTCTCTCTCTTTCTCTCTCTCCTATCTATCTATCTATTATTTGTCTGATCTATTTCTGTGCTTTTCTGGATGAGGCCTCACTTATAGAGAAACGGTTTCTATTGGTAAATTATTTTGTGGAAAAGCTGAAAGGCTTATCCCTGTTTGGAGATTTACAGTAGCTATTGTATTAAAATCTCTAAGATAACCTGGAATAAATAAATCTTATGCTATATTCATCAAAACATTGTCATACTTTCTTGACTTATTACCAAAACCACACCTAAAATTGTTTCATATCTCATAGAGCTAGTTTTCCAAATAAAATTTTTGTGGAATATAGGTAGATGGATAGGTAGGTAAGTAAATAGATAGATAGATATAAGATAGATAGATAGATAGATAGATAGATAGATAGATAGATAGATTAGATATAGATATAGATAATATCCTGAAGCTATATCTTAATCCAGAAGAGATCGGCTTAATTATAAAAAAATTGAAACATAAAGGCCATACATTTTGCATAGTCTTTGTTATTTAAAAAAAAACTAAACCTTTTCCCAAAGCTTTACTACTTTTGGTCTATGATCAATAAAGCTTAAAATCCAATCATTATTAATTTGCCTCTCACTTTTCCACTAGTATTAACAGAACTTACAATAAATAGGAGGACTGAGTTTTGAACACGTATTCAAGTTGATCACTTCACATACACAACCAGCCAAGAGGGCGCATGGGGGTTCAAATCAATTTCAAGCTCTTCTAAATGTTTTTTGCTTCACGGGGCAGAGCTACATCTGCCTGGAGTAAGGAACATCTTTTGTAATTAGTACAAAGGCTCCATCTGCACTCCAAGATGAATGACAATGGGGATGTGCATACCTGGAGAAGCGTCTATGTCTAATCTGAACAAAGGTGCCATAGCTACTTGTGTCTAATGCACCTAAAAAGTCTATGAACGTTTTCTCATTTTCATTTTGCCAAAAAGAAAATTGTGTTTTGAAGAGGATAAGTAATCTATTTATAATCCCAAGCTAGTAAGCTGAGTCCAATCCCCATTTTTTTCTTTTCCACTGTAATAGACTATCTTTTTACCCGTGTGTTACCCCCATGCAGCATTTCTTCCTGTGTTATGTTGTCTAATTATTTCTAACTGCCTGCTTTCTTGTGCATTCTCTTAAAAATCTAGATTATGATTCCACTGTGACAAATGGGAAATGAATGTTTTTCATCCTACTGTATATTGTTCAAATGTTTTCTATGTGTATGTCATTTTGAAGTTAATTCTGTAATTTTATTTTGCAAATTCATTTTGCATATTTTATTGAGTTTTCTCTAAGCTCCTGTGTTTTTCTAGCAGCTTTATAACTCTCTACAACCAGTCATGGAATAAAAAAATATACCTAAGCATCCTCTAAGAAGTTTCAAAGCCATATGATATGATAACATAGAATGCTTCCATATGTTAGAACCATAATAACAGAAGTTGCACACTAAAAATTGTTTTACTTTTGAAATAGTGCCCATTTATATTCCACATTATTGAAGTAACATTATACTTTCAATAAACATCTCTAGACATAATTATCTAGTTCCTCTGTCCCATAAAGGGTGGCAATCACTTTATTTATTGTCTAAATCATAAAAGGCAGTGATTTTTTAAAAATTCCCTAAATAAAAAATATCTAATAAGTGAGCAGTTAACAGATGCACTGACTAATCACTAGGTAGCTGACAACTGGATATTTTGGGAATATGTAAATATCAGTGGATCATTTGTAATAAAAAACAGAAACTTATAAAAAGGGATAATAATAATTAAAGAGGTAAGATAATGGAAGATTCTTTTTCAACATGTTTTCATTTTCTTAAATATGTTGTGATCCTAAATAAGCAAATTAGGGAACCAGGTTGATTACTATGTAAAAATCCTTGAATCATATGATTCATTTCATAGCTTTTAAGACTCCATGAAGGATAATGTTTAAGACATGTTAGGCAGAACACCAAGTGGTATAGATTTAAAACAGGATCTATTGGGAGAAAACTTACAAGCAGAGAAGTGATAGAGCACATACATTTCCCTCAGCTCTACCTATCCCACAGTGAAAGCTGAGCACAGCTCTGCACACAACACAATGTACTAGATAGGAGGAATCTTCCTCCCAAACCTCTAAATATCTATATATTTATAATGAAGGTCAGGGCAAATCTATGTAACTAAGTAACAGAGGAACTCCTTCGTCAGGGAAATGGGCTTCTTAGAAATGAGGAGTTCATGAAGCCCCATAACTGGTAGCAGCTTGTTATTTTGATGAGTTAAATCAGACTACTTGGACCATTCTTCTAATCTATTAAAGGAGGGAGTGATATTAACCCAAGAACCCTCCAGATTTGTTGCTTTTTATGTATTTAATCAGTCTAGCTTGAAACCTCAGTAGGGTAGTTCCATGGCTTACAAATAGAATGGTGTATTCAAAATGCAATGTATAACTTTTTCCACAAAGAGAATGTATTTTCCCTCTTGGGAAAATCCATTTTGTATGGTTTTGATACGGCTAATCTTGCCCCCAATATTTTCTTCCTCTACTTTCTGGGCAACAAGAATTGAGCCAGTGATTGCTGCAAGATCCTGTGTTCAATCCGTTTTCCCTAGGACAATTACCCCCAGAGATATCATGGACAAAGAGCCTCTCTCTGATGGGGATGTTAATCTGTAGACTATGGGTCTAGGGCAGCAATTCCTTCCGCCTTAAGAGAGAATCAACGTAATACGATAAGTAGTGGCAAGAGTTGGAGGGAGAAAGAAAAACTAATGACATTGTTTAAGCTTTATGTTTAGTTACGACTGAACCCAAGTCCACATTCTTTTGTATATATAAATAAATTCCCCTATCAGCTTAAATTAATTTCAATTGAATTGCTCTTTTTTGAATATAACTGGAGTAATAATTTTTTAAAATCTGCTACTACCATTTTTGCTATCAGAATTAATTATTCCAATTCTCATAGAGACTATGAGACTTATATTTCCAATTTTCAGGTAATTGATTTTTTTATTATAATAACATTATGACTGATGGTCGATATTTTGGAAGTCAAAAAACTTAATGTACTTTCTAAGAGAGGATTATTCACTATTGGAAAGGCCAAAAAGAGCACTGTATCACAACACCTGAGGAGAGCATAAAAAAACAAACTGAGAGAATACCATAATACAATGATACTAGAAATAACAGCAATAGTATCTTTAGCCACAAAATAATCTAGAAATTTCATATCTATTTTTTTATTTGAAGAATATGATATAAAGCAAGGATTCAACCATTTATGTCCCTAAGAGGGGAAAAAAGAGTATTGACAAGGTATTCAGTTTAGTTTCACAAAATATTCTGGCTGAAAAAAATTTAAATGTCTTAGTTATATTGCTATTCTTTACTCCATAAATCTAATATATCTTCCATCTATCTATCTTATTATCTTCTCTATTTTTTAAATAAAAATATTAAAAAACACTGCCATACATGTGAAATATGAAGGAAAAAGAAAGGTTTCTAGTGCCATTTATTTTATTATTTATTTCTGAAGTTCATAAACTTTAAGAGGTTTTAATGACATTGTAGATCTTTGAATATTGAGGATTTAAGTGATTAGGAACTTAGTATTTTAATATTCTCCTCTGATCTATGTTTCACTGATTCTGTTCAGAGTTAATTAGAAAAAGCTTAAAATTGATAATGAACAAAGTTTTATTTTTATTAGAATTATGCTGAAGAGTTAGCATATAATGCAGACTTCTTGAATTGCAAAGTCTTGGTGAACAGTGAATCTATTTCCAGGTCACTTTTTCAAGTCAGAAAATATAGATAGATAGATTAGATAGATAGATAGATAGATAGATAGATTGATAGAATCTACTATTATTTTTTGTGCGTTTAATCATAATGCAAAAAAATTCAAAAATATTTATGGCTTCTGACAAAGCAAAAATTTGAAGGTATTCAAGAATATAGTCATTTCTTCTTTAGTATTTCATGTTTTAAAATTTATTGATTATAATTATAAATGTTTATAAAATTACATTGATTCATTATGTTCAAATGTGTTCTAAACTTTAAACGTGTTCATTCAAAAGAAGTGTGACTTTTTAGTTCTAAGGCAAACAAGAATCAGAAGTCTTTTTCAAAAAAACTGCAATGACTACAATAGGGATGAGTTGGATATCTGTTTGGCCTCTCATGTCCAGCATTCATTAATTCCTTTTTAGAGTAACAGCACTACAATTCCCTTTGGGCAAGGGGCACGTCTTCCTTTTCTCTCACACATCTTTCCCCACCACTGAAACCTCTAGCATCATTGGATCTAGCAAACAACATGACCCAAAAATGCAGAGATGCTTACATTATAACTTAGACTTGCTACAGAGCACTTCTTTGCTCTGGGACTAACTCAAAGCTAGCAGCCTTTTGTATCATTGTGTATATGGGCTAAAGCAGTGTCTCGGGGTATGGAACGTTTCCTATAGAATCTGAACTTATTCCAAAATTGACCACATAGTTGGAAATAAAGCACTCCTTAGCAAATGTAAAAGAATGGAAATCACAACAAACTGTCTCTCAGACCACAGTGCAATCAAATTAGAACTCAGGATTAAGAAACTCACTCAAAACCGCTCAACTACATGGAAACTGAACAACCTGCTCCTGAATGACTACTGGGTACATAACGAAATGAAGGCAGAAATAAAGATGTTCTCTGAAACCAATGAGAACAAAGACACAACATATCAGAATCTCTGGGACACATTTAAAGCAGTGTGTAGAGGGAAATTTATAGCACTAAATGCCCAAAAGAGAAAGCAGGAAAGATCTAAAATCAACACCCTAACATCACAATTAAAAGAACTAGAGAAGCAAGAGCAAACACATTCAAAAGCTAGCAAAAGGCTAGAAATAACTAAGATCAGAGCAGAACTGAAGGAGATAGAGACACAAAAAACCCTTCAAAAAATCAATGAATCCAGAAGCTGGTATTTTGAAAAGATCAACAAAATTGATAGACCGCTAGTAAGACTAATAAAGAAGAAAAGAGAGAAAAATCAAATAGACACAATAAAAAATGATAAAGGGGATATCACCACCGATACCACAGAAATACAAACTACCATCAGAAAATACTATAAACACCTCTATGCAAATAAACTAGAAAATCTAGAAGAAATGGATAAATTCCTGGACACATACACCCTCCCAAGACTAAACCAGGAAGAAGTTGAATCCCTGAATAGACCAATAACAGGCTCTGAAATTGAGGCAATAATTAAGAATCTACCAACCAAAAAAAGTCCAGGACCAGATGGATTCACAGCCGAATTCTACCAGAGGTAGAAAGAGGAACTGGTACCATTCCTTCTGAAACTTTTCCAAACAATAGAAAAAGAGGTAATTCTCCCTAACTCATTTAATGAGGCCAGCATCATCCTGATACCAAAGCCTGGCAGAGACACAACAAAAAAAGAGAATTTTAGCCCAATATCCGTGATGAACATCGATGCAAACATCCTCAATAAAATACTGGCAAACCGAATCCAGCAACACATCAAAAAGCTTATCCACCAAGATCAAGTTGGCTTCGTCCCTGGGATGCAAGGCTGGTTCAACATATGCAAATCAATAAATGTAATCCATCACATAAACAGAACCAAAGACAAAAACCACATGATTATCTCAATAGATGGAGAAAAGGCCTTTGAGAAAATTCAACAGCCCTTCATGCTAAAAACTCTCAATAAACTAGGTATTGATGGGCCATATCTCAAAATAATAAGAGCTATTTATGACAAACCCACAGCCAATATCATACTGAATGGGCAAAAACTGGAAGCATTCCCTTTGAAAACTGGCACAAGACAGGGATGCCCTCTCTCACCACTCCTATTCAACATAGTGTTGGAAGTTCTGGCCAGGGCAATCAGGCAGCAGAAAGAAATAAAGGGTATTCAATTAGGAAAAGAGGAAGTCAAATTGTCCCTGTTTGCAGATGACATGATTGCATATTTAGAAAAACTCCATCATCTCAGCCCAAAATCTCCTTAAGCTGATAAGCAACTTCAGCAAAGTCTCAGGATACAAAATCAATGTGCAAAAATTACAAGCATTCCTATACACCAATAACAGACAAACAGAGAGCCAAATCATGAGTGAACTCCCATTCACAATTGCTACAAAGAGAATAAAATACCTAGGAATCCAACTTACAAGGGATGTGAAGGACCTCTTCAAGGAGAACTACAAACCACTGCTCAATGAAATAAAAGAGGACACAAACAAACGGAAACACATTCCATGCTCATGGATAGGAAGAATCAATATTGTGAAAATGGCCATACTGCCCAAAGTAATTTATAGATTCAATGCCATCCTCATCAAGCTACCAATGACTTTCTTGACCAAATTGGAAAAAAACTACTTTAAAGTTCATATGGAATCAAAAAAGAGCCCACATTGCCAAGACAATCCTCAGCAAAAACAACAAAGGTGGAGGTATCACGCTACCTGACTTCAAACTATACCACAAGGCTACAGTAACCAAAACAGCATGGTACTGGCAACCAAAACAGAGATATAGACCAATGGAACACAACAGAGGCCTCAGAAATAACACCACACATATCTACAACCATCTGATCTTTGACAAACCTGACAAAAACAAGAAATGGGGAAAGGATTTCCTATTTAATAAATGCTGCTGGGGAAACTGGCTAGCCACATGTAGAAAGCTGAAACTGGATCCCTTCCTTACACCTTGTACAAAAATTAATTCAAGATGGAATAAAGACTTAAATGTTAGACCTAAAACCATAGAAACCCTAGAAGAAAACCTAGGCAATACCTTTCAGGACATAGGCATGGGCAAGGACTTCATGACTAAAACACAAAAAACAATGGCAACAAATGCCAAAATAGGCAAATGGGATCTAATTAAACTAAAGAGCTTCTGCACAGCAAAAGAAACTACCGTCATAGTGAACAGGCAACCTACAGAACGGGAGAACATTTTTGCAATCTACCCATCTGACAAAGGGCTAATATCCAGAATCTACAAAGAACTTAAACAAATTTACAAGAAAAAATCAAATAACCCCATCAAAAAGTGGGCAAAGGATAAGAACAGACACATCTCAAAAGAAGACAGACACATGCAGCCAACAGACACATGAAAACATGCTCATCATCCCTGGTCATGAGAGAAATGCAAATCAAAACCACAATGAGATACCATCTCACGCCAGTTAGAATGGTGATCATTAAAAAGTCAGGAAACAAGAGATGCTGGAGAGGATGTGGAGAAATAGGAACGCTTTTACACTGTTGATGGGGGTGTAAACTAGTTCAACCATTGTGGAAGACAGTGTGGCGATTCCTCAAGGATCTAGAACTAGAAATACCATTTGACCCAGGGATCCCATTACTGGCTATATACCCAAAGGCTTATAAATCATGCTACTGTAAAGAACATGCACACGTATGTTTATTGCAGCACTATTCACAATAGCAAAGACTTGGAACCAACCCAAATGTCCAACAATGATAGACTGGATTAAGAAAATGTGGCACATATACACCATGGAATACTATGCAGCCATAAAAAAGGATGACTTCATGTCCTTTGTAGGGACATGGATGAAGCTGGAAACCATCATTCTGAGCAAGCTATCGCAAGGACAGAAAACCAAACATCGCATGTTCTCACTCACAGGTGAGAATTGAACAATGAGAACACTTGGACACAGGGCAGGGAACATCACACACCGGGGCCTGTCGTGGGGTGGGGGGACGGGGGAAGGATAGCATGAGGAGAAATACCTAATGTAAATGACGAGTTAATGGGCGCAGCAAACCAAAATGGCACATGTAAACATATGTCACAAACTTGCACGCTGTGGACATGTACCCCAGAACTTAAAGTACATATATATATATGGGTCAGATGGGTAGATTGCAAAAATGTTCTCCCGTTCTGTAGGTTGCCTGTTCACTATGACGGCATATATATATATATATATGAATAAAAAGAATCTGAAGAAGTTTGCCAGGCTTCGCACTTTCTTCTTCATGATAAGAGACCCATGATGTAATGTTTCTTCTTTTATTTTGAAAGGTATATTCTAAAGCTCAGATCCATAAAAATCGCTTAGATATGGCAGTCCTGTGAATATTCCTTAGATTTATATCCCATCCCCGTAGTGTACCTGTACTATCGGTACTATTGTCTCCGTTGTGATAGATACCTCTTGATCATCCCACCTGATCAACACAATATCATTGAATCAATGTTCAGACAGTCCAAAGCTCTTCAGACACATTATAATAGAGAACAGTACAGTTAACATAGCCCTGAGGCTAAAGTGTTAATGAATTCATTTGTCTGTTCCACAGGAATTCAAATCGTTACTGATGTTTTTTTTCCGATTAAAAAAGAAAGAACACCTTTTCCAAATCAGTGGTCTCACACCATGTACTAGAGGCCGTATTAATCTGCTCTAACAATGATACCATGTCCAGCACAGCACCTGCAATCACGGTTAGTACTTGTTGAAGTGTGCCATAGTCTACAGTTATTCTCTTGGATCCATCCAATTTCTGCAGCAGCCAGGTTGGTGAATTAGAAGTACAGTGGGGACCACAATCCTTGTAGCTTTAGATCCTTAGGAGTAGCCTTACTTTCTAGCATTCTTTCCAGATGCGTTAGTGCTTTTGATGTACTCTCTTGGCCAGAGAGGAGGCAGTTTCAGAAGCTTCTGTTTGGTTTTCCTTACTCTGATAGCACTTTCCTCAAAAATGTTCTAAATTCAAACTATCAAAATATGGACAAATTCCATTAAATAAAAAATATCATTGCCAATGAATTAATTGCAGCACTGTACATTGTGGATTTTTGTCAAACACTCTAACATCATGATGTTTCCTTCGTTAAAATAAGTATTTATTATATATATAATTTGAAAAACATCACGCACACACACACACACATGCACACACAGGCACACATATACACACATCCAGTCCTGAACTGGAGAATAGGCCCATTATAACACTTGCTATGACACCAAACTTACCCAAAGGATATTGGGCACTTATTAATGTAGTTTCGAATCCCACATTTAGGCATATGGGTGTAGGTTCTTAGGTGTTTTGTTCAAGTATTTCGTCTTAAGAGTACATACTTATTGTAGGTATGATTTTTCTCTTATTTGATCATTCCAGAACACCTGGAATAACGTCATGAAGCCTAAAGGCATTCAATGAATAGTTTTTGATGGTAGGCATTATTTGAAACAGTTGAATATCTGGTCTATGCTATCCACCCAAACACTTTAATATATATGGCTTAACAATATAGCAAGCCTGATTTCATTTTAATGGTGCATTATCTGGGTGATTGTGATTTATTGTAACAGAGTGTAAATTCAACTATTGAGTCTTTAACAATAAATAACGAAGAGGTTTGTAATAGAGAAAATAAAGCATTATGTTGATAGAGGCAGAATTGAAATGGTGACAAAATACAGCAATCTACTATCAGACAACATAATTAAAGTTTAGCTGTGGGGTGCCAGAATTCTATTATTTTAAGATGATTTGGGTGTGTGAGTGTGTAAGCTAGAAACAGTTGTTCTCTACTGGAAAACAGTATTTTGGTTTCTTATTATAAAATAATAACTATATACATTTTCTATAAGAGCATCAGACATATGTAATAAACTTTAGCACTAAAACCAAGAGGCGTTTGGCAGGGAATCCAGTGACCTGAGAATGGGAACACTGATGATGACCTGTAAAGAATTTGAGGGGCCTGCCAAGAGACGCTTCTGGAAAACTGGCTTTTGCTTCACCTAAACGTGCCCTGGACACACAGGAATTATTGTGGTTTGTTTTATACTAGCTGTTTTATATCTAGCTAATAGGTTGAAATGTAGCCAGAATTTTCAGAATAGACCATTATCATCAGGGACCTGGAGGATGTAAGTGCTGTGAGAATAATAATGTTAATTCCAGTGGTGCCTTCCACAGCTTTACCTCCTATCAGGGACTTCGGGAGACCTGGAAAGTCAAATCTTTTCCCAGGATTGTTTACTATTCTGTACTTTTGGTAAGCTTGTATCTTTTCTCGATTAAAGAAATTTATACCCCATAACATTTTTTCACACCATCCTGACAGCTTCAGTGCAATATTTAACTTCTGTTAATTTTTAGTTTCTTCATCTGTAAAATAGAGATAAGGCCCTTGTGAAAAAGATACAAGATAATGGATGGGAGGCTTTGCCCATAGTTCGTGATACATGGTAGAAGCATAATACATGTTAAGTCTCCAGTATCACTTGTTCTTCGGATAAACAACCAAATAGAGGCATAATTATAACTTTTGGGATGTCAGCTAAGTTTAAGAGAGTCCCTTTTCTCCACGAAGTATTGCCTCAACCCCTCTATCTAGTTGTGTGTGCGGCTGAAACCATGGTAATAGTACGCAATGTCATTCTATGTACTATTGATGGGACCAGTGTTGGACACCAGGCCTGAGCTGAATTAATCAGATTCTCTCTCCTAGGAAAGTGAAATTGCCATGCAGTTTGGCTCTGTGAAAGGCTGGAATAGAGGGACTTATAAATCTTAGCCAGAGAAGGAACCTTCTTCTGTCTTATTTGCAAAACATCACAGAGAAAAAAAAAAAGATGTTCAGGATAATAAGACTGAAGAAGATAGAGACGCAGAAAAAAATGGAATGGAAGAGGATCAACTACATG
Source organism: Homo sapiens (assembly GCF_000001405.40). Taxonomy (NCBI): domain Eukaryota; kingdom Metazoa; phylum Chordata; class Mammalia; order Primates; family Hominidae; genus Homo; species Homo sapiens. Next base: position 27,608,625 of record NC_000023.11, on the reverse strand, counting down.
CCTATAACTTTCCTAATTATTGGTTCTGGTCTTCCCTTACGTGCAGACTCCCTTTGAATTTTAGGAGAAACTGCAGTATCCATTCTGTAAATATGCATTGTTGCTTAAGTTAGCTGGAGTTATCCTCCATCATGTGTATTCAAAAGAAATTTAACTAAAGCAAAAAGTAAAATGATGCTCACCAGATTATATTATTTACCAGTATAAATATTTTAAATTACTTCTTTTATTTTATTTTATTACAATACGACATCAAAGTCTACATGATCAGTATGTAAAGGACTTAAATAAAACATTTTAGTAACATTCCCTATTTAATTGGTTATTTTTATATCTAAGTAAATGACAATTTTTAAAACATTTTCAGCAGTGAAAACTGTTTAATTTTGAGTCCAAAATAAAGTCTTTTACTTGAAATCTAAATAAAAGTAAATTAGAATTGCTTCGAAAATATGTTAGCACTCTTGTTACTATAGAACAAGAGAAATATAACTTTATATATTTACCTAACAGAGAAACATAACAAAGATTTAAATTAAATCGTTATCTCTAACATATATCATATAAACACTGTCATCTTTTCCTTTAGAAGCAAAGAACTATGTCATAACTTCTTAGTCATATTATTACATATTAACTATGTCATAACTTCTTAGTCAATTTAGAAAGCTAAATTATTCTTCAATTTCTAACACTTTTTTCCAAGTTGTAGTCAATTTCATAATCCATTATCTTGATATAGCTACTGGAGTATTTAAATGTTGGTTAACACAAAACAAAGAGAAGAGGGAAACAGAAACTAAAACTAATGAAGTTAAAGAAATAAAGAAATAGGTCTTGGAAAAATCACCAAAAATAATACAGTGAAAGAAGTACTGGAAAGAATTTCAGAAGAAAATTAAATTCAGTGTAACAAAGAAAATCATGGTTATTTGTGAAAATATGTGCAGAAGATAACGTCCACTGAGTTAAAAACCATGGTTTGCGTGCAGCAAGAGTGCTGAATCTTGCATCTGTGTCATGGTAGGTTAGTATTCAAAGTGAAAATGCCATGAAACACAGTTGGAGATTAAATAATTCTCTGTTAAATAGTCATAGATCTTGTTTAAGAGACTCAGCCCGTCTTAGAAGACTCTATGAAAAATAATGACAACCACTGAGACTACTGAAGCTCTGTTCTCGAAAATGTAAGAGCAAATCTCAGAGGAAATTGGATATCCTATACAGGAAATGATTCAAGAAATAGCTACTTGAAAATAAGTCATATTTCATTATTTCTGGTACCATTTGGTAATGCAGGCTCCACAAAACAGAATTACTGAAGTTTGCTTTTATCCAAGACATAAGAACCAAACCCACATTATTTATTTTCCATTCTGCTGTATGGTGTTCTGAAATGTTTAATTCTTCCTCTGTACCTTCATAAACAGCATAGTAAGCAAAATAGTATTTTGTTATAATTTATAAACATTATCAGTTGTATTGATTTTACATGGCTATGTTTTTTAAGTTCCTAATCTTGTTTTTACTATATTTCTAGCCTCCTTCCTAGATTTAACATTGTCAACTGTCACATTTTTTTGTACAAGTATTCCTGCTGCTGAAATTTTCTTTACTCTAATTTGATGTTTCTAATATATTTATAGTTCGGGGAATCAGAAAACCAAACTATTGTAACTGGATTTTGGGTAGGATATGAATACAGGTAACTTCTTTTAGCACCCAAGAAGTTTTCTAGAGTTAAAGTGCATTAAAACAAGCAAACGGGCTGTATTTTGACTGTTCAGAGGAAATTTTTAAATTTAATTTCTCTATCACAGATTGACTAGGAAAAGTTTACCAAAAAAATCAGTCACTAGAAGTGTGATGTACTCATGTAGGAAATAATTAACCAAAATTTAAGGAAGAAAGTGACACCAAATATTTGAACTCAGAAAAATATACTACTAGGAATTGGCCAGGCACGGTGGCTCACGCCTGTAATCCCAGCACTTTGGGAGGCCAAGGCAGGCAGATCGCCTGAGGTCAGGAGTTCGAGACCAGCCTGACCAACATGGTGAAACCCCGTCTCTACTAAAAATACAAACATTAGCTGGGCGTGGTGGCAGGCACCTGTAATCCCAGCTACTCGGGAGGCTGTGGCAGGAGAATCGCTTCAACCTGGGAGATGGAGATTGCAGTGAGCCAAGATTGCACCACTGTACTCCAGCCTGGGCGACAGAGTGAGACTCTGTCTCAAAAGAATATATATATATATATATATATATTCCTAGATATATATATAATTCCTATATATATATATAATTCCTATATATATATAATTCATATATATATAATTCCTATATATATATAATTCCTATATATATATATATATAATTCCTATATATATATATATTTGTATCTAGGAATTAAAAACAATGTACAGTTCTTATCTGTGAACTTCTCAAGGTCCGCCTTCCACACCATAGTAATGCCTGTAATACACATGACTTCATTAAGTTTTTAAGACAATCAGTACTTCCGTGGCTCTTCCCAAAAAAAAAAAAGTGCACTGTCTCTTTGTGACTTTGTTTATATCAAGCCCACACCCACTCTTCTTCATCTATTCAACAGACTCTTTCCCTCAAGGAAGTGGTACCAAATTAAGTCAGTCTGTGCTAATCAGTGTTAATTCTACCAAATCAGGAAAAGGATTGGAAAATGCACCTAACCTCAGACCCCTGGGACTGTCCAGTTTCAAGAGGTTAAGATAGAAAAGTCTCATTCCCTGTACTTCAGTCTCCTCTTGCATTTATTTCACTACTTGTTTTTCTCAGAGCACTACACACTATTTTATTCTTCATTTCTGATTAGCTCCACTGACAGCAAGAAGTCAGGTATGTCGCTCTTTTTTGAAATGAAGTACAAGATTATTCAGTAAGTCTTCATTGTAAAAAGCACCTGCAAAAACCTAGTCCACTAGAACCCTTTTCTAATGCCTGTGGCAAACATCTTAATGCAGTACTTACTATTATCTGAATAGATGAGAGCAGCACTTTCACTATTTTGGTAGATGCACAAAGATGAATTTAACCCACATATTTTATCTTCAGTGAAGCACATCTTCCCATAAAAAGGGACGTGCTTCAGTGTTGCCAAAGTCTGCAGGACTCCAAATCTCCAAATCCCCAAATATTAATACAATATATAATATTATATGTATATATGACTTAAGAAAAATAATTTTCAAGTTCACAAAGACATTCACAAAAGTTTCTTCAATTTAGTGCCTTCACATAGTTAGAGCTGAAAATTTTCATTTAAGCCCAAACATTCTTCTCTATCAGTTATACAATATTATTGCATATTGATTGTATCATTCAAAACATAATAGTTCAAAGTTCTTTGAAAGAGTAGGATGGTAAGAGTGACTAACGAAATCTTGGCTCATTTTGGTGATTATATATCTTTATGTGCAGTGAGGTTTTGCATATTACATCCAACTTCCAGATGACAGCTTCCCAAATATATCCCAGATATATAACACAGGTCCAACCTCATAGCCATCTGACTCTAGACACTTGAACCAATGTGTATCTCTACTCTAAAATTTCTGAAAGGAAGCTATGTAGGAGTTTCAAAAAATATTTCACAAATAAAATACCCTAGAAATACTGATTTGACATCATTCCTTCTTCCTAAAATTTTACACTCATTTAGTTGCTAAGAAAAATATATCTTTACCTTTGTAGCTACTCAACATTCTCCACTGAATTTGTTCACCATCAGACTGCCTATTATTTCTTCCTCCATTATCCACTGTCTTACAGAAGCATGTCTTGAATTTTTATGTCTGCTTACCAGCCATGTAATATGCTGGAATGAATACTTGTAGAGGGAAGCAAAGGGAGGTCTCTACTTTCACTTCAACAGTTTCCCATAATATTCATGGAAAAGTTGGTGAATGGAATTCTACACTTTGTCACACCAGTTAGAGACAAAGATTTTTGTTAAGTGATTTTTCTTGTGTTTTCCAAATTATATCATATATATAACATTCTTCATTCATTCATTCATAAGATATTTACAGAGTTTCTGCAACGTCCATACCTCCATACTAGTCACTAGAGAAAGTGAATATAATAAGGTGGAAGATGTAATGTGTGGTCTGCATCCTTCATGAATGTATGGCTGAGTATGAAGAGACAGTAACAGCTTTCTTAGGTAAGAGTGATATGATATGAGATCTGGAAATGGCCTGCTACCATAGTTTACACCTAGAAAATCTTCTCCTTGGCTGGCACTTTAATGCCCTAAAGTATGTAATTTATTATTGTGCATTGAATTTCATCTCCAAATGTAGTAAAAAGGAACAGTTCACTGTTCATGGCAAGTAAAGATATAAGGTAATGCTTTAGCTACCTTAAGAAAGATCAGGCCCCCAAAGTCCCATATCTTCATAGCTGATGTTATTAGAGAGTGTGAAAAGCTGAAGGGAGAAAAAAACCTGTTGCTTGTATGTGAATGCAAAAGGCTGTTATGTTGCTTGTTTCTCTGGTGGAAGGATTCAGTAAAAGTGTACTGCTGCTGTCAAATATGAGATATCAGAGAGTGTCATAAAACATCATTGTGTAGTTATTAAAATTATTTTAATCAATCAGTGGAAAATTGAGGAAGAGTATTATTCTATAGCCTTGTGAAAAGATATGAGTGCCAATAGCTACTCAGTTGTTTTAAGTGCTACTGTGTGAAAAAATTTTCAAGATAAATCTCTCAACATGTCAATGAGTATAAAAATACATTACAAATGGTTACAGAGTGCCTTTAAATTGCTATAGCTTTTAAAGCTATCTAACCTTCCAAGTCCCCAACTGATAACACACATTTCATATTCAGTTGAAACAAAATAAAAATGTGCACCTATGGCTATCAGTGTTGACTGAAATATAGTTGAAATACTTCTGTTCCAGCACACCATGCTTCAGAAATATGCTTTATATATGTTGTAGGTTTGTTATATCAGTTCTTGTTTTATTATTTTTGCTTCTAGCTCTATGAAAACTTCTTAGCTAAATCTCCACTAAGTGATATACAACCGTAGTCCCTTTGCTTGAATTAAAGTGTCAAATGTATTTAGTGCGATTTTATATTTTGAACTTTATAATGCAGGCCATGAATAATTCACTTTGGTTGAATAAGTGGAGAATAAAGGTGAATAAGTGAATAACTAAAATGATGCTTTTAAAATAGGGTCCCCGGGCACTTAAAATTCTTAAGCCGTTTTGTAGGCCAAAAATATAGTGTAAAAAGGGTACTCTAAGGTTTAAATGATTGTGATAAAGATCTCAAAAATGAGCACAGAAGCTTAAAGTAGAACAGTTAAACAGAAAGCAATCACTCCAATAGAAAATATATGAAATAATACATGTACGGTAATAAAAATGTCCAAATATGCTGATGATAACATAAAAAGTTAAAACAAAAAGACTGCATTTCCCTTAAAGACAGTAGGAAGGCTGCTGTCCAGGGACCTACAGAGAGTTCCAAATATCACAAAGCAAAACAAACGTTTCTTAGAGGACATGTAATTGTCTCTGTCACTTGTAATTTTGTCATTATAAAGAATACTTTATAAAATGTAATTGTTTTCAAAAATATAGCTGTTTTAAATTATTTTGCACATTAGCAAATGAAAGGATTGTGTTGTCTTTTATTTTAATAGACAATACTGAATTTATTGGTAGAAAAGCATTTTTCAAATCATAAGAAAATAATTTTAATTTTTACTTTTACATTTCCTTATACTCATGTTTTTTTAGTGAAGAGTTCAAATTATTTGCACTTTGAACGCAATTATATTTTTTAATCTTTTAGATCACTTAGTGTAACACAAATCATGTGAATTTCAGTCATAACAACACAACTAGCAATTTTTCTAACATAAAAAGGACAAAATTAGATGAGTAATAAAGACATAATTTATAAATTGTATATCTATTACATAAATTATGATTATTTCATACAACTCTTTTTTTAGGAGTTGTGATCAATTTGTTGAGACTTTCTTAGGACAATAAAACATGTCTTGTCTTGCTGACAATAAGGGTCTGATAAAATAAAGGTACATAGAGAAATAAGATGATGAATTTTGATGCCAGAAATTTCTATGAGACTTAGAATCATATTAGGTGTTACAAATATATTTTCAAAGCTGTTTCTTTAATTTTAAGATTAGAAAATTTAAAGAACAAGTTTTTCAGAAGCTTTCATTCTTAACCAAAGAGCTTTCAACACTACTAAAAACAAAAGTTCAGCCAGGCGCGGTGGCTCACTCCTATAATCCCAGCACTTTGAGAGGCTGAGGCGGGTGGATCTCCTGAGGTCGGGAGTTCAAGACCAGCCTGACCAATATGGAGAAACCCCGTCTCTACTAAAAATACAAAATTAGCTGGGCCTGGTGGTGCATGCCTGTAATCCCAGCTACTCGGGAGGCTGAGGCAGGAGAATTGCTTGAACCCGGGAGACTTGCGCTACTGCACTCAAGCCTGGGCAACAAGAGCAAAACTCTGTCTCAGAAAGAAAGAAAAAAGAAAGCAGGCCTACATATCTTTTTCTCTTCTGGTATCTGGTCATAAGCAACTCCCCAGGAATCCGTAAGTGTTATTTGAAAGTGAGGTAGCAAAACAGCAGGAAGAAACATTAGAAAAAATAAATTTCTCCCTTCCTGAACTGCAGTTTCTTTGCTGGTGCCTTCCTTTAGCTAAACCCTACCAGAATACACAGGACTTGGTACCCCAGGAGATGAAGTCTACAGGCATCCCCTTGGCAGAGAAGGATGGGGATTTGTTGCAAGTGTAGAGGGGGAAGAGCAAATAACCATCACAAATTGAATATGTTAAACTGGGTCCTGGGTCTTACAATGACTCAAATTGTTTTTTTTTTTTTTTGAGACTGAGTCTCACTCTGTCGCCCAGGCTGGAGTGCAGTGGCACGGTCTCTGCTCACTACAACCTCTGCCTCCCATGTACAAGTGATTCTCCTGCCTCAGCCTCCCGAGTAGCTGGGATTACAGGCATGTGTCACCATGTTCGGCTAACTTCTGTATTTTTACTAGAGACAGGGTTTTGCCATGTTGGCCAGGCTAGTCTTAAACTCCTAACCCCAAGCAATCCACCCGCCTCGGCCTCCCAAAGTGCTGGGATTACAGGCATGAGCCACCACGCCCAGCCTAATAACTCAATTCTTAATTCTGCATCAATGCAAAATTAGAGAGGGCATATTTACCTGGGTAATATTTAAATAATATCGTTCCTACATATGTGGTTCACATAATATTTCCCTTTTTTCAAAGATTACTGGCCTATATGAGTGAGGGTGTGAATTTGATAGTAAGGGGAACTGGAGAAAGAAAGATGATTTCACTGTGTTCAATCCATTTTTGCCAAAGACTCTTGGAAAAATATAAGCAAGTACCACGTTAAAATTTCCAGAGCCCAGCCTGGGCAACGTGGTGAAACCCCGACCCTACAAAAAATACAAAAATTAGCCAGGTGTTGTGGTGCACACTTGTAGTCCCAGCTACCTGGGAGGCTGAGGTGGGAGGATTGCTTGAGCCCAGGAAGTCCAGGCTGCAGTGAGCTATGATCACGTCACTGCATTCTGGCCTGGGTGACAGATGGAGACCTTGTCTCAAAGAAAAAAAAAAAAATCCAGAGCACTGTAACATGGGATGGCTGACTCATTATATTTCATAAAGAACAATGAACTTTCCATGATTAATATTCTCCCATGAGATGACATATTCCTTCACTATTTGGTTAACCACCTAGTTAATATAATCAGAGCTTTTGATTTCCATGCACCCTAGAAGCAATTCTTAGAGCACCATTAGCTTAGAGCTTTAGCTAATGACAGATTGCTTCGTATAATTCTCACAAAGCTAAATCAACTTGTTGGTTGTTATACAGGACAGTCTGAACAAATACAACTCTGCACTCTTTTCCTTTAGTGACCATTCATTTTTGTCTTATACTTTCTAGAAAGTTTCTTTATGTCATAAACTCTTTCTTTGAAGATAAAATTTTCGGAACATGCTCCTGAGATGCTTTAAATTTATTTTCAATGCCTTGATCTGATATCTACAGTGTGACATTTTTGTTTCATGCAAATTAAATAAATCTCTCATGCTACAATTTATGAAATACTGAGATGGCCATATTTTTATTATAAAACTCAAACAAAGTTTGAGACGTCTTTCTTTTGGTCACTATACCCTTGACAAATGAGTAAAAGTCATTTTCTAAAAAGAAGGATATACAGATCATTTTATCTAATATTGTACATTTTAACATTTTAATCCAACACATTCTTCAGCCTTCATTCAGTGTCTTCTTGTCAATTTATTTTGTTTTACTGTATTTAACTGTTTTATTCTGATACACACACACATCGACACAATGATGTACAAATCAATGATTCATCATAAAGTCAACAGTCTGTAACCACTGACCTAGATAAAAAAATATAACACTGCAGCACCATAAAAGTTTCTCTTGTGCCACCTTCTGGTTACAACCATCCTTCCTTATAAAAATAACCACTCTCATGTCATTTAGAATAATCATTCATTTGCTTTCTTGCATAATTGTACCGAATAAACGACCAATCTTAAATACTTAGGTTTAAACTTGGATTTTTCTTTTCGTAAAGATGTTATTATAAGGGATCTTTAGTTTGACATTATATTCCTGAGAAGTATCTATGTTATTGCACACAACATGTTTTATCAATTTTCATTGTTTATAGTTTCATTGTAGCAATTTGTATAATAATGAATTGTTTCATATAATTCTTGATTTGAAATTTGGATTAACTATGGTTTGGATTTTATAAATAATGTTAAGACCATTCTTTTACATGTCTCAGTGCACGGGGCGGGGGCAAATTCAAGTATTGAGCTGTCCAATTAATTGTGTGTACTATTCTATGAAATTTAAAACCTGTTTATAATGTAACCACCACCACCATCTGGATGCAGAACATCTCCATCACCTCCCAAAATTCTCTCATGCTATTACTTTATAGTTATACTACTAATTCAATTTTTTTCATGATGTAAAAATACCTAACAGGAGATCTACCCTCTTAACAAATTTTTAGGGGCACAATAAAGTATTTTTAACTCTAAGCACTAGATTGTGCAGCAGATCTCTAGAATTTATTCATCTTTCATAACTTAAACCTTACACCATTTGAACAGCTCCTCATTTCTCCCTCCTCCCAACCACTGGCAACCACCATTCTACTCTCTGTTTCTATGAGTTTGACTCCTCCAGATAGATACCTCATATAGGTGGAATCACATAGTATTTGTCTTTCTGTGTCTGTCTTATTTCGCTTAACATAGTATCCTCCAGGTTCATCAATATTGTCACAAATGACAGGATTTCCTTCTTTTTAAAGGACGAATAATATTTTATTCTGTATATATACCACATTTTTTTTTATCCATTCATCCATTGACAGAAATTTCTGTTGTTTCCGCATCTTGGGTATTGTGAATAGTTCTGTGATGTACATGGGAATGCAAATATCTCTTTGAGATCTTAACCTCAATTCTTTTGGATAAACACCCAGAAGTGAAATTGCTGGATCATATATATATATATATATTTTTTTTTTTTTTTGAGAAACTTTCCTATCGTTTTCCATAGTGGCTGCACCGTTTTACATTCCTTCCAACAGTAGACAAGTGTTTCCTTTCTCCACATCCTTACCAACACTTATCTTTCATTTTTCTGATAATCATCAGCAAATCAGGAATTATTAATAATTACCAAGGTAGTTATGTTGTTGCAGGATAAATCAGAGATGGGAGATACCGAGCAGAGTTAAGGAGAACCTTTAATTATTAAGGTGATCACTGGCTCAGTTGGACTAGGGTCCAGAAAGTCTGAGCCCCGAACAAAGGGATCAGTCACCTTTTAAGCAGTTTGTGGCAAGGGTTACGTGCTGCATGCAGGAAGCGTACTTGCAGAAGCGAGAACAAAGGCAGTTATTTACTCTTTTACATTTGTTACACCATATGTCTTACAACCTTGGGAATACATGCTTTTGTAGCAATTGCTTATCAACCTTGTGACTTTACAGCCCGGCTAGCGGGGGAAGCAAGAACTCACTGTGCCTCAAGGAATGTAGAACAATGGAACATAGATAAGCCTCTCTGGGCGTAGAGGAGGGATAAGCAGCTAATGTTCTCTCTTAACCCGCCCCATCCCCTCGGGGGGGTTGGGTGGGGGGGGTTATATTACATTCTACCTTCAAGAAAAAGAATAAATTTTTCGACCATTATACTTATAAAATTCATAATTCCCCCTTCAATGTAACAGTGTCACACTGACTTTTTTATGATTGAAGTTTGTTGTTTTAGAAGGAAATATTTTTTCAGCCAAAGTATATTGTTCTTTTCAGCCATTTCCACCTTCTCTAATTCCTACATCCTTCAAATTTTCCAATTCATTTACTCCTCCATAGGGAGAATATTTTATTTTTCTTTGAGTATACCTTGTACAATTTTTGCAGTCATTGATAGTATAATTAATAATTTATATGAAAATAAGATTTATAATTTGAATATTTGAAGGTTTGTTTTTAGAATCAAGTACATACCCTTAAATCCCAGCTTTGAGAAAGAGTCACATAAACTTGCCATAATGCATGAGCAATATAAAATAATGTCAGAGGAGAGAATACTACTTTCTGACCTTCACACAAATTCTCCTTATGCACCATTGCTAGAGGGCTGAGAGCCCTTCAAACTTTCTGACCTAAGTAGCGTGGCTGTAAATGTCATTCTTATTCATAGCAACATTTAATGCTTTCCTGGGTTTTGCTAAACTATTTACCACAGTGATATATTGCAGAATTGAATTCCACAGCTTGATGGTGTACTGCATAAAGAATTGTATTGTTCATCAGTCTAAAATGGAATGCGATTCATTCTCATTGAGAGTCAGTTTGTTTCCATGGTATGAAAATGGGAGGAGAAAACACCTTATGTTTTCAGTAAAACATTCATTACTTTTATAGCTGTTTTCCTTTTCATAGTTTACTTCTCTCCATTACTAAGTAAATCACACTATAATGCCTCCCAGACATAATTTTTATATTTATTTTGGCCTTTTTACCCAGCTTTAACATTTGGCCTGATTTTAATCTGTCACATTTTACATAATATTCCTTATAAATTGACTACTGAGTGAAACAGTGAAACCGATGCTCAAAAGAAATCTACAAGCACCACAAGGAAAAGTCATCAGCAATATACAGTTAGGAATAAATCAGAATTGAAAATTCAGAATTTTTAAGTTCTGTTCATGTGAATGCTCCATGTTATTTTTCCCTTCCTATATCTGCTAAAAAGTTAGAAGGAATTTCTTCCACCAGTTTAAATACATTGTAAAATGTATATGATTTTAAACAAATATTTATATATAATCATCATTGTAATAAGCTCTTAGATAATATTTATTTTACATATGTGAAAGTCAGTAAAAATATTTCATGTTAACTCCAAATCCAAATGGCCTTCAGTGAGTATTCTTTGCAAAGACATTTAGACTTAGCACTTATGCTCACAAAAATGTTCCAAGAGCACTTTTCTAATAACAACAGAAAACAAATACAATTATTTTAGCTGCCAAAAAAATTGTTGTTGATAAGATTATTTGTGCATTGATTTTAGAACCAATGGTATAAGAAAATCTTAAAATATTTCCTATATATAATGTCACTGAAAACAATGTTTAAAAAGGATTAAAAATAAGAGACATATCCCAATTGATAAATAATGTCCATAATAATATTGATACTCAAAAAATTAACTTGAATATTTAATTTTTGTACACAAGTTTAGATGGTAATGACAGTTCATTACTAATGAATATAATTGTTTTTATGGGATTCTTCTCATGTATTAGTTCAGACCTTCTTAATTTAATCTTTGTTATCAGAGATAATTCTATGACTGCTAAATTTGGAAGGCTGCTAGGTGAACTTTTTCATAGCAAATATATTGTTTTTCACCCGTTATACAATGTAATTGCTAAAACAGATCAAATGTGTGTATATTAATAATCATATCAAGATCTCTAACCCCTCCAGACTACAATGATATAGTAATTTAACAAGAATTGCTTTGTTCTTCTACAAGCCTGTCAGATCTAGGTTTTAATTATCTTCTCACCACCTCTAGGCCTTTTCATATTCAGACGATATGTAAATTAATGTAGTCTTTCATTTTGAAAGAGTTAAGGGATACGAATTTCTCTAGAATATTGCTCTCTTACCTGTCTTAACCATACATCTGCCTTCCTGTATTCATAATGAAAATACGGAATCCTAATTCTGGAGAGTAAAATCAGTAGGAAAATAAATCCTGCTCTCAACAAAATAAACATTATTAAAACTTAAAATCTTCAAAGTATAATGGAAGAAAAATTAGTTTACAAATTAACTTTTTTACAAATTTCAAAAAACCCCACAATATTATGTCTTCATTCAAATGATTTCTGTGTTCAAGAACCTTTTTTTGTTTGTTTTTGTTTTGTTTTGTTTTTTTGGAGATGGAGTCTCGCTGTTGCACAGGCTGGGGTGCCATGGCACAATCTCACCTCCCTGCAACCTCTGCTTCCTGGGTTCAATGATCCTCCTGCCTCAGCCTCCCGAGTAGCTGGGACTACAGGCACGCACCACCATGCCCAGCTAATTTTTGTTTTGTTTGTTTGTTTGTTTGTTTGTTTCAGTAGAGATGGTGTTTCACCATGTTGGCCAGGCTGTTCTCAAACTCCTTACCTCAGGTGATCCACCCGCCTCAGCCTCCCAACATGCTGGGATTACAGGCATGAGCCACCGCACTCGGCCTCAAGGAACATTTTTAAAGCAGTGTTCTAAACTTGAGGCTACAACCCTGAACTAAAAAGACAAAGCTCCTGTTTTTGTCTGATTACATCTTACATGCTAAGAGAGGGAAGCATAATAAATTATGAAACACATGAATTTATATATAATAAAGAAAATGAAATGGAGTTATGACAGGAAATGAATGAGGAGCAAATCTAAGGAAATCAGAAAGGGTTGCTCTTACATGAAAGTTGAGCAGAAATCTGTAGCAATGCAGTGAAACATAGATATCTCTGGGGAGAACATTCGAGATGGTCAGGGCTAATTCCAAAATTTAGAGTCTGACTAAAATGATGGAATTACCATTAACTGAGATGAGAATGACTAGAGAAGAGGATTGGCAAAAATCGAGTTTGGAGTTGGCCATGCTGCTTTTTTTAAAGTGTCTATTAGACTTCCAAAAGGAAATAAAAAATAGACAGAAAGAATCTAGCATTCTAATGAGCGACCTATATTGCATTGTAACTTTGCCAGTCATCAACATGTAGATGGTATTTGAGGCCAGGAAGCTTGATGTGATCAGTGAGGGACTGAGTAAATATGGAGAAAAGAGGCCTGAAGACTGAGTCCTGGAGCTTTCTGATTGTTGGAATCAAGAATAGGAGGAGAATAGAGAAATAGAGCCTAAGAAAGAGCATTCATGTGATCAGAGGAAAACCAAGAGAAAGTGTTGTCCTGGAAGCCAAGTGAAGAAAAATTTTAAACTAAGAGAGAGTGAAAAATTGCATCATATGCTGTTAACTGTCAAATAAATACATAGTAAACTATATGTATTTTAAGTACATATAAAAAAGTAAATTATAATAATATTGCATGGTACATCATTTTAGTCATAATTGTAAGTATAGGTTGCTTTGTATTTTACTTTGAAATTGACCTAAATATTTAAATTTAAAATGCTTGCCCTGTTATTGATGTTACCATATTACAACTTTGGAGAACGTGACCAAATGAAACTACAATTAAATTATAGGTTTTATAAGCAAGACAAAGTAAATATGACTATTTAGAAATTTTTTAGCAAATATTAACAGTAACTGGTACTTAGATTATCCTCATTTTCTCTTAAGGAAATTTTTGAATATCTCAAAGAGTTAACGTATACATTTGATAATTTTCTACCAAAAATAATTTTATTTGATTTAGAAAGGTATTTACTGATAGTATGCACTGAAGAATATGCTAAATTGTTAGCCATTTTAATCTAATTAGGTGTGAGAGTCTGTACGTATATATATATATTCTCAGTATTCTTTCAAGATTCTGAGTAAAGAACATATTAAAATTTAAAAATAAGCTACAAAATGACTGATACCATTTGTCATGTCTTATCTATATGAATTTTATTTTCTTAAAATCATTTAGCCAAAATAAAACTCAGAAAAATGCTGAATTATGGAGCTAGAATGATAAACTGACTGCAATTGTTATCCTTTATGCCAATTTTGTAAGTTATTTTTATCAGAATAACCCTATATTTTATTGCCTGACTTTGTAAAAAAAGTTATAGATGTGTACTTATACATTAATACTAAAAATATATCAGTTTTAAACATGGTGGATACACATGAGGTTTCATTACAATAAGTTTGAAACTACTTTCTTTTCTTTCTACTTCCCTTCTGACCTTTGACAAATCTATGCACTTATATTTTGACATTTCAAGTGACTTTATTATAAAAAAATTTAAGGTATTTCTTATGTGCAGTAATGTCTGCGTCTAGCTAAGCACCCAACAAATAACAGGCTTTCAAGCTTTTTTAATGAATAAATGGTAGCACCATTTTACACATTTTGTTACCTTTAGCAATTAGTCAGTATTAAACCATTAACATGAGTGATGGAGCCCAGGGTTCTGTCTTCTAGCATCTGAGGTCCCTTGCCTCAGAACTCTGCACCCAAGTGGGATACATGCCGCTCTCTCCATTCTGCACAGCACCTTGGCCCTGAGGCAGCCTGCCTGTACCTCGCATCGCCCAGGGTCCCTGGAGCAAGCATCTGTTTTCTGTAGTCCTTCTCTACATAGGCCTGGACAAGCAATAGGCCTATGAAGTCCTCGGGATTCCCTGATTCTGGAATCCAACACTGAGGACCCTGCTCCATGCAAAAGGCAAGTGTGAGGCTGCCTCACCAAGACAGCCACCCTAACAGCCCCTGGTCTTCCATCAAAACCAGCACACTCCACAACAACCAAAAGGTGGAAGCAACCCAGATGTCTGAATAGATAAACAAAATGTGATCCAGTAAACACAGGGAATATTATTCTGCCTTGAAAAAGGAAGGACATCCTGACACATGCTATGACATGCATGAAGCTTGAGGACATTATGCTAAGTGAAGTAAGCAAGTCACAAAGGGACAGACACTGTATGAGTCCACTTATAGGAAGCACCTAGAATAGTCAAATTCATAAAGTCAGAGAGAAGAATGGTGGTTGCCAAGGGTGGGAGGAAGGGCAAAGGGAGTTGTGTGACGGGTACAGATGATGAAAGATGAAAAGAGTTCTGGAGGTGGATGGTGGTGATGGTTGCACAACACTGTGAGCGTAGTTAATGCCACTGAACTATGCGCTTAAAAATGGTTGAGATGGCTGGGCACGGTGGCTCATGCCTGTCATTCCAGCACTCTGGGAGGCCGAGGCAGGTGGATCACCTGAGGTCAGGAGTTTGAGACCAGCCTGGCCAATATGGTGAAACCCCGTCTCTACTAAAAATACAAAAATTAGCTGGGTGTGGTGGCGGGCACCTGTAATCCCAGCTACTTGAGAGGCTGAGGTGGGAGAATCGCTTGAACCTGGGAAGTGGAGGTTGCAGTGAGCCAAGACTGTGCCACTGCACCCCAGCCTGGGCAACAGAGTGAAACTCTGTCTCAAAAAAAAAAAAAAGGTTGAGATGGTTAATTTCATGTTATGTGTGTGTTTTACCACAATTAAAAAACAATGCCCACTGGCCAGATGCGGTGGTGGCTCACACCTGTAATCCCAGCACTTTGGGAGGCTGAGGCGGGCAGATCACGAGGTCAGGAGATCGAGACCATACTGGCCAACAAGGTTGAAACTCCATCTCTACTAAAATACAAAAAAATTATCCTGTCATGGTGACATGCCCCTGTAGTCCCAGCTACTCAGGAGGCTGAGGCAGGGGAATCGCTTGAACCCAGGAGGCGGAGGTTGCGGTGAGCCAAGATCATGCCATTGCACTCCAGCCTGGGCAACAAGAGCGAAACTCTGTCTCAAAATAAATAAATAAATAAACCAAAAAAAAAAAAAACAAAAACAAACAAAAAAAAACAATGCTCTCCTGCACACCTACCTCCTGGGGAGAATGGCAGGGCCAGCACCCTTGACAGGAACGTGCCCCGGCTCCATGCCTCTGGATGTGGTGCGGCAGCACATGCAGTTCCCCAGGGGGACGTGAAAGGAGGCTGTGTGAGGATGCCAGATGGCAGAGCTGAGGCCCAGGTACTATGACGAGGCAGGAGGAGGGGGCCCCACAGCTCATCCTGCCCCACGCACCTCACTCAGCCCTGGACGGGGCCAGGCAGCAGCAGGCGCTACTCCTCCTACCCATCTGCATCGCCCTCGCCTTCTCTCTCACCACGGTGGTCAGCAGCCACTGGTGTGAGGGGACCCGGTGGGTGGTGAAGCTGCTGTGCCAGGACCTGCCAGGAGGGCAGCACTGCGTTCACTTCAAATGGGACAAAAGCAGCGATGGCAGGATGGACGACAACCAGGCTGTGCTGTACATTTGGGAGCATTTTCCTGTAGTTAATATTAGTGTGTCTGCATACTGAAAGTTAGGATTTAAGCTATGTTGATTGAAATTTTCTTCCCACTTAAACTATTGTCTTCTTAAAGACAGGGAACATGTTAACATTTCAGTCAGACATAGTTAAAAAGACTAATCTAAACAAGAACAAGACACTTTCCAGCATCACTACGGTATGATACAGTTTCTTAACTTCCCTGAGCCTTCGTTTATTGTTTTTTACCTGTATGCAGAGAAATATAATGTATGCTCTGCTTTCCAGATATAGATATTATAATGATAAAATAAAATAATACATATAAAAGAACTTTGCTACCTATAAGATACCATGAAAGAAAGATGTTTGTTTATTACTACGCTTTCAATAGCAGTTTCTAACAAGATGAAAAGGAGAGTGGGGAGAGAGAAGGGAAGAGGGAGAGAGAGGTAGAGGGAAGGGGGAGAAGCAACAACTTACTGCCTTATTTTTATAAATGTAGAGAGCATCATAATTCTGTAAACCACTGTTCTAAGCCAGTCTCCTCAATGGGGTAAAAGAGGATGATCAGGGAATTGAAAATGTGGGAGGTTTTGGTTATCATAGTATCTGGAAAGTGTTATTGCATTTATGGGATTGGGTAGCTGCTATGCTAAACTTTCTGTAGCCTGCTGGATACTAACACACACACAAATTACCCCACCCAAATGTTATTGGCAAATAGCTAAGCCTAGCAAACATTTTTTGAAAAACTTTTCTTTTCCTATTTGAATTAAATAAGTTGAATCACACACCAGTACATGTATTTTCAAATTCAGGATGAAGAAAAACCCCCAGCATTTATGATATACCAAATATAGTCCTACTGGTATGCTTATATGATAAAGTATTTTATAAAATGTAATGTAACCTATCAAATTATTTATTTATATATATATATATATATATATAAAATGTAAAGGCTTTTATAAACATTTAACATAAATGTGTTATGGTGCTGGCAAAGTGTGGTGGCTCATACCTGTAATCCCAGCTCTTTGGAAGGCTGAGGTGGGAGGATAGCTTGAGGCCAGGAGTTCGAGACTAGCCTGGGCAACAAAGCAAGACCCCATTTCAATTTTAAAAATATGAATTTATTATGGTGCTATGTAGGTCTAACATTATAAGATGAATTATCTCTATTCCGTCTTAATATTTGAGATAGTGTAGGAATATTTTCATATCAATGTATTAGAAAGTTCTGGTGAGAATATACTTTACTAGAAGTGCAGCATTGTGTTTAAAAAGAGAAAAACAAGTAAGATTTCTCATATTGTGCCCCAGGCAACTGTAAAATTTTCTGTAAAATTAAGAAACAAGACTATTTCCGCTCAGTATTATTTAAGGTAACTTTCAATCACAGAGGGATGAATCCAGTTGTCTTCATACTAGAAAGATCTCTGCAATTAAAAATTAACCCCACTCCCAAAATCATTGTTGAAATCAAAATATTGATTACATACCATAGACTCGAGTCATTCGCCTTCCTCTGCATTTGAACAGTGCAAGACGTCTTCTAAATAACCTTGTGGGGAGGATGTTCAGCTTTTGCGACTCCACAGAACAAAACTATCTCTCATGGTTCTTATTGCAGTTTACGTGAGTCTTTCCCACGCTGTAAGCAAGTAAAGTATCCAAATGCACCATTTTATCAAGCGCTCCATGGTCCAGAGGCAGGATATTTTGAAAGTTTGTGGCTAAAGTTGTGGCTCTCTAGTTCCATCCTAATCTAATTTTGATAATAGGACCTTACAGTTTCTAGTACTTGTAGAAAAAAAACCTAAATTAATTCATTTTCTTCTTGGATTCCAGTAATTGTTTGGGATTTGTCTTCTACCAGTTGCTTTTGAGAAAGATATTGATTTCTGGATTTCTTTAACTAATCATTGCTTTCAAGAAAAGCACTGCTCATGTCCATGCAGTTCACACCTATTTTTACAGTGATTCAGTCTGGAAAGTGAAGAGGCAGAATATAAATGTTAAAGAAATATTACTAATGGTAGATATGGTAATATCATCAGTTCAGGAGCAACTTTGCTTAGTTTGTCCTTTATGTGCTCTACAGGTTCAATTTAATTGAAAGGGGGAAAGGAGTAAGAATCAAAGTTTTGAATTTACACACATGGTTTATTCTTTTAATATATGACATTTTGATTAAAATACTTTCATTTCTGTCAAATCCAACATTACTTAGAGCCAAGTTTAGTTTTTTGGAAAACTTGCAAAATCAATCTTCTTCCTTCCTTTTTTATGTGCAAATCATGGGAAGATAAAATTCAAATAAAATGTTTCTAGACATAGTGACTTGATAATTTCTTTCTGTTTGGTAAATTGATCTTTCATGTTTCCCCACAGGATATAAAATTTCCAGAAAAATATATAAGATGGTATGAAGCTATGAAGCTGATTAAATATGGTATGTAGCAAATAAATTTAATTAATTCAAAATAATATTCATTTCACCATATCCAAGGCTGGGCCTACATGGTAAGTGCTTGCTACATTTATTCTCCAAATTCTTTCTTGCAATGCATTTGCCTTATTTACTCCTTTCCTTCCCATATCCACAAAACATAGTTTCTCTGTGGATAGCACATTCATGGCCTGATAAACAGCTTTCTAATACAATATATAACCTCTCTGTAAACATTTTCTTAAGCCCATGACCACTCTATAACATTGTAAGTTCTCCAGCTGATAAATGGGAAGTTGTTTAGTATATTCAAGGCATAGTTAAGGAACCAACCATAATCTTTGGTCTGAGAATTGCATTCTCTATCATGGATCTCTACCACTAAATGAGTGACACTAAGAACTTGTCCTGATTGAGGTAATTTCTTTCATTTCCAAAATGTGAGTGATTAGCCATTGTCTTTCCAATGCTTACAAGTAATCTGGGTATATACTTTTGAAAATAAGAATTTTCTAGGAATCTCAATTTTGATATTCAACATACAGATAAAATGTGTGATGTGTTTTATATTACTTAAGTCATTTCTATAAGTTATTTCAATAAACTCATTCTCGGTGTGTGTAAATGGGAATAACAGGTTATATTGTCTTAGAAGCTGGTTGGTGGGGAGGGATGAATTCAATGAACTCCTCTTCCCCATCTCCACTTACTTCCACAAATCATAGTTTATATGCATTGGTGTGTAAGTTGCTCTTTCAGGTAGTTTAAAATAGTACTTCTCATAATGCCTTTTTCTACTGGTCTCACACCTGTCAGAATGGCTACTGTTAAAAAGTAAAAAAACAACATATGCTGGTGAGGCTGCAGATAAAAGGGAAGGTTTATACATTGTTTATAGGAATGTAAATTAGTTCAGCCACTGTGGAAAACAGTTTGGAGATTCCTCAAAGAGCTTAAAACAGAACTGCCATTCAACCAAGCAATCTCATTACTGGGTACATACGCAAAAGAAAATAAATTGTTCTACCTGCACCCTATGTTCATTGCATTACTATTCACAGTAACAAAGACATGGAGGGAACCTAGATGTCCATCAGCAGTAGATTTAATAAAGTGGTACGTACACACCATGAAATACTATGCAGCCACAAAAAAGATAGAAATCGTGTCCTTTGCAGCAACATGAATGCAGCTGGAGGCCATTATCCTAAGTGAATTAATGCAGGAACAGAAAACCAAATGCCGTACCTTCTCACTTATAAGTGGGAGCTAAACATTGAGTACTAGTGGACATAAAGATGGCGAAAATAGATACTGGGGACCGAGGGAGCAAGGGTTGAAAAACTAATTATTGAGGACTATGTTCGCTACCTGGGTGACGGGATCATTTGTATTTCAAACCTCAGCATCATGCAATATACCCATGTAACAAACCTGCACATAGACGCCCTGAATCTAAAATAAACTTTGAAATTATATATATATATATATATATATATATATATTTTTTTTTTTAATGGAAGTACTGAAGTCACTTCAGTAATAGAATAGTTTGGGTTTCCCAAATTCTCCCAGAGCACATAGTGCTTTGCTGACTAGTTATACGACTGAGGGCCCTAAGGACATGCTGGATGAATGGGGAGAGGGGTAGACCCCATATTTTCAAGATTTATCCACTGCCCTTAGTAACACATTGTGTGGGTAGGAATTTCAAACTACTTCTTATTTTAACCTGTGATTTTGACCACAGTGAAAAAGCAGTACATATACTGAAGTCCCTTTGGGGAAGTCAGTTTGTCAACCCACTAACTAGCCTCTTGTTATATATTCCTTCATATATTAGTTCAATTTTGGATCCCTGAGTGTTAGTTTTCCAACAATATTGTGCATCCTAATAAAATCAAAGTATTCTAAGTTATTTGCATGTCCCTTTATGTCTACATTTTAACTATAACATTTCAATGTATATTCCGTAATGTATAAATGAACTGAACTGAATGTGTAAAAGAGAAAAATACCAAGAGATACAAAATATTTAAGGTGAAGAGTATATTGAAAACCACCCCAGGGGCCTACTAATTCTTTCTTCAAAAGCCAAGCCAAACATTCTCTTTTATGATTTTATCTTTATTGTTGCTACGTTACAACCCATAGTATCTTGCATTTCACCTCTTATATTCTCTCTAAAATGAAAGCAATAAACACAGTAAAAAGGAACTTCTTGTATGGTTCTTTTATTGACACTTTTCTAAGGATTTTGCAAGTATGTACTACATATTTCTTTAAATGTAACTATGTATTTTAATATAAGGAAAGCATGTGAACAGGTTATTATTAAAAATCCTTCATAGATATTTAAATAACATAATTTTCAATTTTTTTTTCTGTTGGCAAGACATTTTAAAAAGTTTAATTCAGGGTTTTATGGTGTGGTGATAGTGATAAGTACATGTTTTTATTATGTGATTTAATTAGGTTTCGGAAAAGATAAAGTTGAAAATAAAAAAAAATCTTGAAACACAGGTCATTAAGAACATGGAAATCAAATGATATTTCCAAAAGCTCAAGAAATATTTAATGGCAAGTTTGAATGTCATGTCCAGGAAAGAGCAATTAGAACAGGACAGGCCATCATCATGTTAAGGTTAAATTGTCTAGAAACAAACTCCCCATGATCTGCAGGAATATATTCTATTCCTGGTTGCTAAAACCAGGAATTTAAACCATCTAAAACTTGGTATTTTTTTCAACCCTCCTTTTTAGCACCAAGAGCAAAGGTGAAAAGTGAGAATAAAACCACAAATAATACTAATACACTCCTCACCTTCAAAGAACAGACAGTATAAACAGGCATACAATTTAACAAGCAATTTCAGGAAAGCACGTTAATTATGAAAGGACACGGCAGGATAATAAAGTGAGCCAGGATGTGAGAATGGGTGGCATGTCAGAAAAGCTATCCTGGAGGAATTGCTGTCCAGTGGATAATAGAGGAGTGAATAAACCATACCATTATGTTGGTGCAAAAGTAATTGCATTTTTTGCATTAAAAGTAATGGCAAAAACCACAACCACATTCGCATCAACTTAATACTATGAACAATCTTATTACTACCTTTAGGTGACAGACATAAATACTGACGCTGGGTTTTTATAAAACTGAACATATATATATATACCTATGACCCAGTTGCAGTACACATATGTTCAACTTTAGTAGATACTACCTAACAGATCTAAACACGTTTGTCCCAAATTACACTCTTTCCAGCAATATATAACAGTGTCATTTGTTCTACAACCTTGTCACTACTTGGAGTGGGGGGTGAAATAAGATAAAAGGAGGGTGGACTCTGTTAGCAGTGGAGTTTGGAGCTGAATAGAGTGTTCCAGGCTGAGGGACAGCACATGCAAAGGCCTGTGGAGAGGGGAAAATGAGGTTTATTTGAGCAACCAAAGATACCCTGATGGTGTGTGTTAGTGGATGAGCACTGATAGAAAATAAGATTAAATAATAAGTAAGCATGAGATCATAAGAGGCCTTTCATGTCACATGAAGAGATATAAAACATTTTATAATGGCTTTATATTGGCTTCCTTAAAGGTAACAGAAGCCAATGAGAGGTTTTCTTACTGAGAGTTCACTAAAGGGGTGAAGATGGGAAGTGGGAAGGTAAGAACCACAAGGACCATTTAAATTGAAACAGTGATAAATACAGGTGAGAGTGATAATGAGACCCTGCACCAGAGTACTGGTAATTGGGGATTTGGTAGCTATATAACAGGCAAAATAAATAAAATCTACTAGATTTGGCAGAGAAGGAGTTTGAGTATTGCTCATGTTGAGTTTCATGTGCTTCTGTGATACTTAAACAGAAATATCCCTTCTATAGAGGTAAAACATGACAGGGCTTGAGGCCCAGGAAAGGGTTCAGCACTTGTGATTTTGACTTGTGAGGCATCAAAATTTAGATGGTGGTGGAAACCATGGGAGTTAATGTAGATGCTGATGGAGTATGAGTGAGAAGAAAAGGGAATCTAGGACAATCTGGGAAACACTACCAATACAGAATCAGTAGACAATAAGAATGGGGAACCCATAGAAGATATGGATGTACATGCAGTGGTGTAGTAGACAGTTAAGAGGTGAGCTGTCTTGGATTCCAAGGAACAAAATTGATTTCACAAGAGTGATATGATGGACAATATTAAGACTGAGACTACAAGTAAGATTAGGACTAAAATAAAGCCATAAAACTCCATGAAATTAAGATTATGGGGGGCTATTATGAGAGCAGTTTCATAGACGATGAAATAGTAAGAGCTAGATTTGGCATGAAGGAGACACGAGGAAGAAGAGACAATAAAAGTAAACCAGGGTTTGCCAAATGCTCTTCTATATATTTTTTAGTTCACCTCAAATAATTGAAAAAAAAAACAATATTGTTTTTCATAAAGTTCACCAGGGTTCTCAACCTCAATACTATCACCGTTTTACACTGGATAATTATGTACTGTAGGAGGCTGTCTTGTGCATTGTAATAAGTTTATCACTATCCTTGACCTCTATCCATTAGATATTAGTAGCACATTCTGCTCAGCGTGACAAACAAAAATGTCTCCAGATATTGCCAAATGCTCCTTGAGGGGCAAAATCATTCCTCATTAAGAACCACTCAGCTAAAGTGATTCCAATTATAGAACGATACCATTTTTATGTTAATTCTTTTTATGAAATGACAATAGCATATTGGACATGTGTGGGTCTGTGCACATGTGAGTGCCTGTGTATTTAACTTCCTTACATAGAATAATTTTTCAAATGAAGTTGGTGTCTGAGTTTTCTTTTTGAACATTTACTGTTTATATAAAACTCAAAATTCTAAAGATTACTAGTGTAGTGCAAACAATGTATTTCAAAACTTTAGTAATAAGAGTTATTTTGAGTAGGAATTGGAGAGGCATATGAGATAGTGTTTTTTTTAAATATGGGATTATTGAGCATATTCAGATGCTATTTGGAGGAATCAAGCAATATGTAGAGATTGAAGTTATTGAATATGAGAGGCGCATCAAAGACAGCAGAATATCCCTGAATCTGTGAAAGGGTGAATAATAATGGGATTCAATAGTCAGGCAGAAGTATTCAACTTAGGAGGAGGAAATGGTGTGTGTATATGTGTGTGTGTGTGTGTATAAACAGACTTGATTTTCTGTTTGGTGAAATGAAGTTGAAATGTAGGCTACTCAAAGGTTCTATTGTCTTCATGAAGTAGCAAATAGTATCTTTTGCTGATAACAAGGCAGAAGATGAGAAAGCTGTGGTTTTAAATGATTGATGCGAATACATGAAGAATGAGTTACTCAGAAAAAATGTAGTAAGATTACCAAGCAATTTAAAGTTGGTAATCATAAATCTGTAATGAAGCCAACTTACAATGTTGGATGCTTTTTCAAGGATACTCAGCTGCTATAGTGCAAGCACAGAGAATGTAGATCACTGAGTTCCTAGAGGTTTGGGGTCTTTACAGATCCATACTTAACATACAGGGACAAAATATTTAAAAATGTTACTGGCTACATGGAAAGAATTTTAATGTATACACAACTTAAAGAGCCAGATATTATTTAGAGCAGCACTCCTCAACCATTTTAGCACCAGGGATCGGTTTCATGGAAGACAATTTTTCCATGGACTGGAGCAAGGTGGTTGGGGGATTGGGAAGGCATTACATTCTCGTAAGGAGCGTGCAACCCAGATCCCTCATATGCACAGTTCACAATAGGGTTTGTGCTCCAATGAGAATCTAACGCTAATCTAACAGGAGGTGGAGTTCAGGCAGTAAAGCTCGCTCACCTACCGCTCACCTCCTGCTGTGCAGGTGCAGCCTGGTTCCTAACAGACCATGGAAGGGTAACAGTCCATGGCCCGGGGCTTAGGGACCCCAGATTCAGAGGGCCAGGCACACAATTTGAAAGCAAGACTTCATTTCCTAGCTTTTCCCACTGAGAGGGCCCAAAAAGAGGGTAAAGAAACAACAGCTTAAAATTGTCCAGATCTTGGTTTCTAAACACCATCCCACAACAAAAGGAACTAGGTATCCTTGGAAAAGCAAGTGATTCTAGGGCTGAAATAGGAAAAATACAAGATGAGTCTTGAAAATCTTGTGACATTATGAAGTAACAAAATGAACAAAAGGGAACGGGGGATTGTTGAAAGAACATAGTAGCCAACCTTTAAAAAGATCCTAACTGAATCTGCCAAAGACAGAACCATTTGTGCACACACACAAAAATGATAGCACTGGATTTTAACCTACAGGAGAAAATGAATACCCAGAAGTCTATCTGGATATAAATAAATCACCAAGTAAATAAATAAATAGGGAAGAAGGCATAGAAAGAAAAAGAGAAATAGAAAATTCACTTTTAAGCACACACCACAGTAATAATTGCTACAGACGAGATCCAATAATGAATACTAAAAATAGTAAGTGAAGTTTGATGAGAAACAGAATTTGCATAGACTCAAAATATCTCCACAAAAAATAGTTACTAACTACAGAAAGATCTTAACTTTACAGTGGAGAAACCTGGCAAAAACTACCTTAACCAAATGATCATGGTTAACATAACCATGTTGATATCATGGTTATGTAATTTTTTTAAAATATGGGATTATTGAGCACAATTGGGATGCTACTTGGAGGAATCAAACGATACTTAGAGATTGAAGTTACTGAGGGTGAGAGGCACATCAAAGAGAGCACAATATCCCTGACTGTGAAAGGGTGAAAAATAATGGGATTCAAAACTCAGGCAGAAATATTCATAAGAAGTATTCATAAGAAATGTTGATATAATGAGCCCCACTGATGTGATGCACTTCTGAGGCACAATATCATGTTTGTGGTATTCTTGCCAAAAGTGCATAACTTCATTCAAATCATGAAAAAACATCTGAGAAACCCAAACTGAGGGCCAGCTATAAAAGAACTAACCAGTATGTATCATTAGTACCGAGATTATAAAAAACAAGGGAAGACTGAAGAACTGCCAGACATTGGAGGAGATGAAGAGACACAACAACTAAATAAAATATGGGATAGTACATTGGATCCTGAAAAAGAAAAGGGGCCATTAGTGGAAAAATTGGTGAAATTTGAATACTATGTATAGTTCAGTGAATAGTATTGTACCAATATTAATTTACTGTTTTTGGTCATTATTATGTAAAATGTTAACTTTAGGAAAAGCTAGATGAGAGATATTTGGGAATTGTACTTTTTTTGCAAGTATTCTGTAAGCATGAAATTAGATAAGAATTAACAATTCAAAAATATAATTGATTCTTCATGGTAGGAAAGGAAGCAAAGACAGTCATTGCCTGAAACATAGTGACCTCAATAAACAATTTTGGAATGAATGAATAAATAAAATAATGAAAGAAAATTACCTAAATCCTAGAGTACTACTTCAAGTGAACAACTACATCTTTTAAAATTAGACCAGTGACTCAAAATAAAATAAACCCACGTCTTTCCCAATAATTTATTTCAGAACAGAAAATCTAAGTCAAATATTAAATTTAAAAGTGTATTAAATCCAGCCAGGCACAGCGGCTCACGCCTGTAATCCCTGCACTTTGGGATGCCGAGGTGGGCGGATCACTTGAGGTCAGGAGTTTGAGACAAGCCTGGCCAACATGGCGAAACCCCATCTCTACCAAAAAATACAAAAATTAGCCGGGCATGGTGGCCGGTGCCTGTAGTCTTAGCTACTCCCAAGGTGAGGTAGGAGAATCACTTGAACCCGGGAGGTGGGGGCTGCAGTGAGCCAAGATGGTGCCACTGCACTCCAGCCTGGGCGACAAAGACCCTGTCTCAAAAAAAAAAAAAAAATTGTATTAAATCCAAGCTGCTAGAACAAGAAAACTAATAGAACAAATGGAACAGCAGCTTTTACTTTGGAGAAAGGCAGTACCATTTTATCACGGAGGCCTCAACAAATGAAAATACCCAGAATCAACTAATAGAGGAAGCAGTGATATTTAATTCCCAAGTAAAGATATATTAGAAAAAGTCACTTTAATACTTGTATTTACACAACACATGGAAACAGAGATATTAAAATCCAAGAATCACTGCTAGTGCTAACCTAATATACCCAGCAGAGAGGAAAGTAAAACTGAGAATTTTGACATCTATGTATTTTGTTAGCACTGTGAGAAGCAAGAAAATGAAAACAATAAAAAACATGAAGAGTACTTCTAGGTTCCCAAGTTAATGCTGCTGATGGACATCTGAAATTATGGCTGTATAGAACTGAGTTGCCCAATATGTTTGCCATAAGCCGTATAAGGTCACTGAACATTTGAAATGTGGTTAGTCATTGAATTATGTTGTAAGTATAAAATACATACCATATTTGAAGACTTACTATGAAAAAAAGAGTGCAAAATGTTTTATGAATTTTTATATTGATTACACATTGGAACCATAATATTCTGGATATATTGTGTTGATAAAAAAATTAATTTCACTAATGATTTTACTTTCTAAAATGTGACTACTAGTAAATTTAAAACTATTTCCGTGGTTCACATTTTATTTATGGCTGTATTATATTTATATTGGATAGCACTGGTGTAGAAAATGAAAGAGAGCTAGGTAGGAAAACAGTATTTTTAACAGCATTAAAGGGTTCTATCAGTAAAACTCTAACATTTCTTTTTAATATTTATTCTAACATTTATATTTCCTTTTAAATTTCCACTGGAACCACCTTTTCACCTCAGAACTGAAGTGTTCATCAATTATGTATTAAGCCCTTAATTCAAAGACATGATGTTCTAGAAGAACATGTTGAAGCCGTTGCTAATGTATCTGATTATGTACCCTGGCAGTCCTTCAGGGCACGGGATAATCTGGCCCCTAGGGATTGACAGACTTTATATGGCACTTTTTTTGTTTGTCTTTTTCAGTGTCCAGCACAGAATTATGTTTGAATGTCTCTTAAAAGATTCCGTCACTTCTACTAGACTCACCCAGTTTCTGGGGGCTCTGGGACAAAAGGAGCAGAAGGGGGAAATAGCTTTACTCTTCTCTGTGTTTAAACCTCATCTTCCTTACTGCTCTCAATCCAAATGAGGCAAAAAACATACCCATCTCATTGCCTGTCTTTTTCCCCATTGAAACCAGGGCACAGATAGTCCTGATTAACCAACCCTCTCTTGCTCCTTTCACTTGACACGACTTAGCCCTTCTGTGACAAGGGCCTTGTAAGGAAAAGACATTTAAATCTAACAAGCCATAATTAATACACCTCACTTGAGTCCTAGATTAGTCATTAGCAAACTCTTTGCTCTCATGACTCCTGTACTCTGGTCAAAATTACTGAAGACCCAAAAAAGCTTTTATTAATGTGGAT
Source organism: Homo sapiens (assembly GCF_000001405.40). NCBI lineage: Eukaryota > Metazoa > Chordata > Mammalia > Primates > Hominidae > Homo > Homo sapiens. The sequence goes on along the minus strand of NC_000023.11, from coordinate 27,580,061 downwards.
TATAACAAACTATAGTTAGCATATTAGAAACTAAAAGTGAGTGATTTTAAAAAAACATTTAAGTATCAATTCATTTAAAATGATACTTACAAACCCATTTAATATATTTATAATATATTTTATAAGAAATATTAACTATATTATTTAATATAATAATTATATCATCTTTAAAATAACTATATTAAAAGAAAAATTAGTGAGAAGAGGGCACTGCTTTATATTTTTAAAAATCTCTACATCTGGCTCTGTAGAAAACAGCTGGAACTTCACATTTGCTTCTGCATTTAAGCTGGTGCAATGTATAGCTTTAGCTGATGTATATGAATAAAATATAGCCTCACAGATAGAAAGTCTGAAAAGAGAGGAGTACTTTGGGTATTCAGTCTGTTTTGGTATATTTGTGTGTGTGTGTGTGTGTGTGTGTGTGTGTGTGTGTGTGTGTGTGTATTTCTCTGAAACTACATCCAAATAGGCAAATAGCAGTTTCTTTTTTATTTTATTTTAAGTTCTGGGGTACATGTGCAGGACATGCAGGTTTGTTACACAGGTAAACATGTGCCATGGTGGTTTGCAGCACCTATCAACCCATCACCCAGGTATTAAGCCCCACATGCATTAGCTATTTATCCTGATACTCTCCCTCCCCCTACACCCCCAACAGGCGCCAATGTGTGTTGTTTCCCTCCCTGTGTTAATGTGTTCTCATTGTTCAGCTACCACTTATAGGTGAAAACATGCAGTGCTTGGTTTTCTGTCCCTGTATTCATCTGCTGAGGATAATGGCTTCCAGCTCCATCCATGTCTCTACAAAGGACATTATCTTGTTCCTTTCTATGGCTGCATAGTATTCCATGGTGTATATGTATCACATTTTCTTTATCCAGTCTATCATTGATGAGCATTTGGGTTGATTTCATGTCTTTGCTATTGTGAATAGTGCTGCAATGAACATACATGTACACATATCTTTATAATAGAATGATTTGTATTCTTTGGGGTATTATACCCAGTAATGGGATTGCTTTGTCAAAAGATATTTCTGGTTCTAGGTCATTGAGGAATCGCCACTGTCTTCCACAATGATTGAACTAATTTACATTCCCACCAACAGTGTAAAAGTGTTCCTATTTCTCCACAGCCTCACCAGCATCTGTTTTTTTTTTTTTTGACATTTTAATAATTGCCATTCTGACTGGTGTGAGGTGGTATCTCATTGTGGTTTTGATTTGCATTTCTCTAATTATCAGTGATGTTGAGCTTTTTTTCATACGTTTGTTGGTCACATAAAGGTCTTCTTTTGAGAAGTGTCTGTTCATTCCCCTTGCCCACTTTTTAATGGGGTTGTTTTTTTCTTGTCAATTTGTTTAAGTTCCTTGTGAATTCCAGCTATTAGACATTTGTCAGATGGATAGATTGCAAAAATTTTCTCCTTTTCTGTAGGTTGCCTGTTCACTCTGATGATAATTTCTCTTGCTGTGTAGAAGCTCTTTAGGTTAATTAGATCCCACTTGTCAATTTTGGCTTTTCTTGCAATTGCTTTTGATATTTTCTTCATGAAATCTTTGCCCATGCTTATAAATGGTATTGCCTGGATTTTCTTCTAGGGTTTTTATAGTTTTGGCTTTTATGTGTAAGTCTTAAATCCATCTTGGGTTAATTTTTGTATAAGGTATAAGGAAGGGGTCCAGTTTCAATTTTCTGCATATGGCTAGCCAGTTCTCCCAGCACCATTTATTAAATAGGGAATCCTTTCTCCATTACTTGTTTTTGTCAGGTTTGTCAGAGATCAGATTGTTGTAGATGTGCAGTCTTATTTCTGAGATCCTTATTCTGTTCAATTAGCCTATGTACCTGATTTTGTACCAGTACCATGCTGTTTTGGTTACTGTAGTAACCAAACCTTGCAGTATAGTTTGAAGTCAGGTAGCTTGATGCCTCCAGTTTTGTTCTGTTTGCTTAGGATTGTCTTGGCTATACAGGCTCTGTTGTGGTTCCATATTAATTTTAAAGTAGTTGTTTTTTGTAATTCTCTAAAGAATGTCAATGGTAGTTTAATGGGAGTAGCACTGAATCTATAAATTACTTTGGGCAGTATGACCATTTTCATGATGTTGATTCTTCCTATCCATGAACATGGAATGTTTTTCCATTTACTTGAGTCCTCTCTGATTTTCTTGAGCAGCAGTTTGTAGTTCTCCTTGAGAAAGTCCTTTGCTTCCCTTGTTAGCTGTATTCCTAGGTATTTTATTATCTTTGTAGCAATTGTGAAGAGGAGTTCATTCATATTTCCCTCTTGGCTTGTATACTGTTGGTATGTAGGAATGCTTGTGATTTTTGCACACTGATTTTGTATCCTGAGACTTTGCTGAAGTTGCTTATCAGCTTAAGAAGCTTTTGGCCTAAGACGACAGGGTTTTCTAGATTAAGATCATGTCATCTAAAAGCAGAGACAGTTTGACTTCCTCTCTTCTTATTTGAATGCCCTTTCTCTAATTTATGAAGTTATTAATTACCTTCCTCAATTCCTATTTTATGTCTTTAATATTTACATATAAATCTTGCTTTTAATGTTTTTATTATATTATGTAGTAATCCTAACATTTGCAAGTTAGCATTTTGTCTCCACATTTTCCAGGGGAAGGAAGAATGCAGAGCCAATATGTTCTTCTATTTGGTCCCTCTGTCAGGCACAACTCCGTAAACTTTTCTTTGATTTAGCAAAGATTTACAGAAGGTTCACTGTGACCCTGCTATTGGCTGGCAATACCAAGAGACATAGCTGCTTTGTACCATCATATTTGAGTCATCCAACTAACTCCCTCACTAGGCTTTTCTAATTGTAATTGACTTCCTTTGGAGTTTTTCCACAGGGAGGATATCTGCTGGTCTGGCTGACCTGATTCTCCAGTTAGCTTGACATTTGTATTTCTCGTTGCAAATTAATAGATCAGTATTCAGATTTACCCTGAAATATCCTGGGAGTTGCATAGCATGGACCAACATCCCTACGTCTGATCAACACTAAAGCAGTTTCTAAATGGAGATCATGATAAATGTATTAAGAAATTTCCACTGGGTGAGAGCCTTCTAGCAGCCAGTTTTCTCTGTTAATATGCTTATATGTCACAATGTCATTTGTCACTTTTCACAGAGCTCTGACATAATATTCAAATAGTTGAGATATAATAGATAGTTTGAGTTCAATGTTACGTAGAAAAATCACTATTTCCTCATAATGGACAGTTTATTTCTTTATATAAAGCCATTTTGAATAAGCTTAATGTATTTTTAATATAACCAGGAAGCCAACCTAATTGCTATTTCCCCAGAAATTACTTTTTATAACTCACTATTAATGCAGTAAGGTTTTTAAAAGTTTTTTTCTTTCTATATTTTTGCACTGGCTTATTTGAGGTAAATTTTAAAATTTTGTGTTGAAAAATAAACCTACAGTGATTATTTTTTGCTGAGATAAAATATAGCCAGGTTTTCCAGATGTGGAGGATAATCCAGGGGTTACATAAAATGAGATAATGTTTTCCTTTTTAAACCATCACCACTAAAGACTTAGTATTAATACTGCATAGCACTTTTCAGTGCACAAATACTTGTAATAAATATTGTACCACATTTCTCTTAATATAGCCGGATGTATGAGTAGAAAAAATGTTATTTCCAATCTAGAGGTAAATGAAGATAGGTCCAAATGGTTCCATGACTTGCCCAAGTTCACACAGCTGGTAAGACTCAAGTTGAACTGTGTCTTTAACCCTGCATATCCAATTTCTCTGTACCTTCTACTATTGGTACCTGGAATTACTAATAGCAATACATTAGACAAGTTGAATACGTTATATATTTTTGAAGGAAAAAGCCACAGATGAACAATTCAAATGCATTTTAAAATTGCAGCTACATTGCATTGAACTAAATTAATGGGTAATCAAATTACTACACATACTTTGACTTATTAATGAAGATGTATTAGGTGCATTGTCAATAGAACACTTGTTTTTTACTTGTTGCTGTGCTTGTGGCAATTTTGTGTACTGTTTCACCCAGATCTTTCAGAATTTGTTCCAACAAATTCAAGATGCTTTGCTGTTTCATCAGAATGGATAATATTAAGGTACAATCCAGTGTATTGAATACATAAAGCATGCAACTTTCCAAACATTACTAGCTGTTGGTGATGTTACAGGTCCCACTCACCACCACCAACCTAGTTCAGATAAATTCCTTTATACATGAATCCCATGAAAACAGGAAAAAACAAAGCATGATACATATATAATGGCATGTACTATATTACCAAATACATTTCTGACTGGAATTTCTGCTTTGACAAGCTTCAATGGAAACCAAATCTCCCATTACAATGTTTTATGACTCATAAGTGGTAGAACTTCCCAAAGACTAGCTCCTGGCTTCATATATTTCAAATCTTGCTTCTCTTCCCATATCCACAAGCCTTCAATGCTAAGTTCTTTAGAGCACATTTATATCACAGTAATGATACGGGAGTGCTGGGAAGGGAAGAGTGTGGTCCCTTTAAGTGATATGGGGGTGGACAGGGAAGTGCTGGGTAGAGGAAGGCATAGTCCCTGGCTAGGACTCCACCTCCACTGACCTAGGTGAGGATAGGCACTCCTACTTTCGAGCCCAAATGTTGCATTTTCCAAGACAACTCTGGCCCTCCACACCCCCATCCTGGGCCTGTAAAAACCCGAGACCCTAGCAGGCAGACACACAGGTGGCCAGACATCGAGATGAGCACATCAGCGGAAGAAGACACAAATGGCTGGACGATGAGAGGACATCGAGGGAGCACGTTGGTGGAAAAGCACAACGACAGATGCTGGCATGCCAGCAGGCCATCAACCAGAGGGATGAGGCCAAGTTTGGCCTGGCTGGAGCAGTCAGAGGAGAGCCGGGGCCGTCGAGTGCCCCAACTCCAGGGGAAAACTATCTCTCTTTTGGTTCCTCCATCGCCTGAGAGCTACTTCCACTCAATAACACTTTGCACTCTTTCTCCAAGCCCACGCGTGATCCGATTCATCCGGCATAGCAAGGCAAGAGCCAAGGATACAGAAAGCCCTCTGTCCTTGCTACAAGGTAGAGGGTCTAACTGAGCTGCTTAACACAAGCCGCCTAAAAGAGCACCCTGTAACACATACCCATTGGGGCTTCAGGAGCAGTAAACATTCACCCTTAGACATTGCCGTGAGGTCGGAGCCTCACAGCCTGCCCATCTATATGCTCCCCTAGAAGTTTGAGCAGCGGGGCACTGAAAAAGCGAGCCAGACCCCCATCGCACACCTGCGAGAGGGACAAGGGAAAATTTCCCATTTCAGTAAGACCTCTGGTCCTGCATATACCTGTCACAACACTAAATCGGTCAGAACAGTGGACTATAGAAGTTTTCTTGGAAGCCATTGCTACACTACATGGGATGGCTAGAAATAACTTTACTTGGACATGACTAAAAACCACAAACATGTATCACAGTAAACCCAAAGTAAATGTTTTTCAATTCACCTTCACCTTAGCCATATCTCAAAAGTTTCTTTGGCCACACCAGTGGCACCTGAGAGAAGGAAAATGTAACAGGAAGACATGTTACACTGGAAAGAAACAGTGAACTGCATAAAATAACCTTAATTTGCAAACTGTATAAAACACATGGTCATGTGAACACATTGCTATAAGCTCTCATGGGCCTTGGAAAAGTCAGGCAAGTTCAGGGCCTTAAAGTTGCAGCTTTAGATTCAGGGAGATTTTGCTGCTGCCACATGCCCATATTTGTTCTTCCTGTACTGTCGATATGTAACATGACCATGAGTAGATTTTTCAAAATCTACCTCATATTCTCTCTTGAGCTAAAAGGTTCTTTATACCAACCTATTGGCTCCTCAGGAAGCCCACTGAAGCCAGGCATGGTGGCTCATGTGTGTAGTTCCAGCTACTCAGGACGCTGAGACAAAAAAAAAAATCACTTGAGGCTAGGAGTTCAAGATCAGCCTGGACAACACAGGGAGACCTTGTTACTATAAAAATTTTAAAAATTAGCCTGGCATGGTGGCATGCACTTGTAGTCTCAGCTACTCAGGAGGCTGAGTCAGGAAGATTACTTAAACTCAGTAATTTGAGACCAGCCTGGACAATTTAGTGAGACCACAGCTATAAAAAAAAAAAAGAGAGAGAGAGAGAGAGAAAGAAGTGCATAGTCTCCAATAATTATGTAATACAACGTTTAGCATACATACCCTTAGGTGACCCAAGGTTCAAATAGCCCTCCCAGGCTAAGAATATCTTAGCGCTTGCTGATTCCTGAAATGCAGTGACTGGGGTCCTTTCCAAATGTGTTTCCCTCACTCCAATGCATCTCCTACATGCTGTATTTTAAAAGTTCAAGGGTTGGTGAAAATCTATTCCCCTAGTTTAAGAAAGCCTAAAGATTGCTTCATTTTCAAACATCCTCTATCTTCTGTCACCAATGGCTTAACTGATCTGCTCTTGATGACTTTTTGGTTACTAGATCTGCAGACCCTGAGCAGGCATTTCCATAATCCTAGCCATATATTTATTCATCCAGGGCCTAAAGATTGGCTTCAAATGTGTTCCTCAGCTAGGGCAACATTGCTGTCATTCTACCAGAAATACTCTCTGAGTAGCCAGAGGCCAGCTTAAGAGAGTGGATTAAAACACTGAGAAATTCACATCAACTGTCCCCTGTCACTGTCACTCTACCTGCTGATGTTTGTGTATGTCTCTCTCCGTGTGTGTGTGTGTGTGTGTGTGTGTGTGAGAGAGAGAGAGAGAGAGAGATTTCTTAAATACCTGTTCTTTTATTTTAACACCTTAAGAAATGGGCAAAGAGTACAGATATCAACCATGTTTGGGGTAATTAAGTGAAAATAATCTTGTACTCGTGACTTGTGATGCTGAAAGTGTGTTGGTAGCTATATTTACATATTTCTAAAATTTTTTTTTTCAAGTTGGGTCCATAGGAACCAAATCTTTTGCTTTCCTGACCTTAGACAAGTAAACCAATAGGAAATAAGACCCTACTTCTGATGTAGTAACACTGGGAAAGATTGATCCCAATAGAGGAAGATCATTCTAGGAGAACTTAGTCTTTTTCATTGATTAGAAATAACGCAGTATGTAACCTGCTTATTCAGATCATGCTTTGAGACTCACAAAATTTTTTCAGAAAATGTAACCAAAGTGGAAGGTCTAAGTAGACAAGCCACGGAGAAAGAAGAGAAGGGTTACTACCAGTGACATGTCACAGGACTCTTAATAAATAGGTCTGTGTCTCAGTACCCTGAGAATTATGAATCAGTATTCACTGACCCATATGAATGGGCTAAGAAATACTGGGCTATACTCCATTTCTGCCCTTTTCCCTCCTGCACATGTCCGACAACCTTCTCCATCACAACACTGTAGCTTTATTCTTGTAAGAAAACTAAATCAGGAATCATTCTTTCACATAAAGATATGAAACATAAGACTTACCTTTTTACTAAAAACAGGTTGTGGCAGAACTCTTATTTATCCTATGATGATGAAAAAATTGCATTTTAACTCCACATGGTCTCTATAGCATGGTGTGGTCATACTTCTCACATGGAAGCAAAGGGCTTCAAAACAAAAATAGCAGAAACTGCCATAAAGAGACGAAATTGCCCTGTTTAGCATTTTGGTCTTTCCCGGTGTCCCTGGCTGAGCTAACTATGGTGGACAAGAAGCCTGGAAAATACTTGGAAAAATTATTGGAAAAATACTTAGAATTGCTTGACTGTATGATAACAATCAGACCCTCTACATTAACCCCAGAAGCTATAGCCACAGCCACAAACAATTAACCAGAGTACTCAAGGACACTTACAGGTTAAAGGAATACTGAGGAGCATACAGAAAAAGTAGTAATGTGAAAGAAAAGGGGATTGTGTTTCCTTCTTCTAGTTATTGATGGCTACAAAAATAATTACACAACTAGTGACTTACTAAAACAATTTATTATCTCTTACAATATTATAGGTCGAGAAATTGGGCAGGGCTTGGTGAGACAATTTTTCTCCTCTACATAGCACTGATATGACCAATCCATCTTATTTAGCGGGTTGACCAATCCATCTTATTTAGCGGGTGTGTGGACTAGTTTGGGGGATTCAAGATGGCTTCACTCACATGCTACCAACTTGGCAGGATCACTGAAAAGCTGGGCTCAGCTGGGTCTCTCTCCATATCTATGTAGTCTTTGCATGTGTTTTCCCAACAGGATAGTTGGATTTCTTATTATGGCAGCTCTGGACTTCAAGAGGAGGTGGTAATTGCTACTTCCCTAAAAGATTAGGCCTGGAATAAGCCATAATATTACTTATTCCATATTCAGTCAGTTAAAGCAGTCACAGACCAGCCCAGATTTAAGGGGAGGAAATCTATACTTGACCTCTTCAATATCTGCAATATCTGGCCATTTTTAACCTACTACATCTCTCTTTGGTAAAAGTTGCTTAAGGCCAAATGTTAGCTGCAGAACTCGAAATCATGATGTCAGAACCATTCGCAATGCCAGAATTATTGAGGATAGCCCTCTCACCAAAAACTTCAGAACTCTAGCACTGATTATAAAAGTCTTAGTTAAACTCCACCACACCCAACACCTATAAACAAAGGCATTGTTCTAGTTCTGAAGAGAGCTGACCTTTGACAGAGGGAAGTAGGTGATCATATGGCTTTTGCCTGGGGACCTTTGGAGGCAAAGGTCAAATCTTTCCATCTATAAAAATATATGGGAGAAACCAGAAAGAATCTAGAGATGATCAACTGAATAGATTAAAGGATAGGAAATTACTTCCCTCAACAAAAATAAAGGAGTCTAGGCTATTGAGCCACAACAAAGCAAGCTATCCAAGATTAATAGATGTCTTCAAATATATGAGAGGATTTTCTCAGTAGGAAATTAAGCAGTTGTTCCACTTAGAAAGAGCTGTAGTAAGAGGAAATGACTTATATTGAAATGGATAAGAGAGAGGTAGGAGCTTTCTGTCTATTAGAGAATCAAAGAACATGAAACCAGATATTCCTAAAGCAAAAGAGGTTTTATTGGGTTTTGGAGTTAGTGTATTATTATTGAACTCTAAATTTATGAGAAAAAAATAAGTAACAGACTGAAAGGAGAGGGAGGATAATACATACAAATGGGATGTGGCTCCTGATATTAAATTGCTTACAGTCTATTTGGGAAGATAGTAAATGTGCATTAAGTAAATATTTAAAAGTAACAGAGAAAATTTGTAAACATACATGAGCTCCCACCTGAGGAGAGCTGCCCCGAATAGGCTGCTCCAGACCTCTATGGAATATTTATTCTGTCTTTCTTTTGGTTGCTGCAGAGGCTTCCCTTGCCTTCAGTTGTAGGAAGAGTTATGGAAAAAGGAAAAAGGGAGAGAGCTTCCCCTGAATTCTTCACAAATGCTCTCCAGTAATTTACAGGACACTGCAAAACATCCACATGCCAGACAGAAACTGCATGGGAGGGAGGGTTGTCAGTTGTTAATATTGTAACAGTTATGGAAATAGTAAATAGGAAGAAATGGGATAGAAGTGTCCAATAGATATCCCTCTCCCAAAGTGCTGATTGGTTGCATGTTCACAACTGAATGTGCCCAAACCTCTCCTCACTCAATACTGATCTTTCTTTCATTCTTAGCACATCTTAGTTCACATCCTATTTTTAAGTTTTTAGGTCATAGTACTGTCCACTTACTTTTCTACTCCTTCTCCCCTAGCCCCTGCCCAAAAGATACCATTGAACTACCACCCAGAAGCATACATTAGGGAAATCATAACTTTTAGAGGTAAGGAATGGAACAAAGCAGATGTTCCCTTCCCCTACCAAGTTTCTGGAGGTGCAGAAGGAGGTGCGACAGGAAGAGAGGCACTGAGCATACCTGTTTTTCCAAAGAAACGAGAGCTATCAGATATTTAATGGTTTCTGTGTATAAGGGGCTTTATATATTTTAGGTTTAATCATAAGAAAATTGTCCTTTTTTAAGCTTCAAAAAGTTGAATCTTGGCAATTTTTATATGATTCAACCTAAAAATATTACATTATACTTTAATCCTTATAACAACTCTGGGAGAAGGATATTATTAACTTTCTTATACATAACACATTTAACAAAACTGAGGCCCTGAGAGTCGAAATAACTTTAAGATCACACAGATACTGAGAAAAGAAGCTAGCGTATTAACAGAGTTTTATTCAATTCCAAAACCCCATCCACTATCCCTATTATGTTTGTGTCATGTTGATACCCATTCACATTTTAAGTCAGGTATCTTTAATTTTGCATACTTTTTGAAAGGCTTATCCCTATATTAAGCATACTTTCTACATTATTTTAAATTAGATAATCTTACTGGAGTTAAACAGCTGTATTCTAAACAGTCTTTGTCAATACAGCTACCTGAATTAGACAATCCCTTATACAAGAAAGTGTATGGATCTTGCCAAATAAGTCCCATCAATAATAAAGTCAATGAAGAATAGAAACAAAACAAAACAAAAAAAGGTATTGGCCATGACTATTGAAAATCTGGATTCTTGCCTGAACTGGGATATATGATTATAAAATAGAAATACATCCTGTTGGGACTCAGATTCAAGTTATCACTTTGTTAGGTCAAATTGATGTTTGCAGGTGTCTGGGTTGTACCATTTAGAAAGAGCCAGAGAGATCCAAGGTACAGGCAACAGAAACAAGCCTGAAAGATATCTGAGAGCTCATAAAAATATATCTCATTTTTAATATAAAAGAGGAACACATTCTTGGGGTTGGTGGTGGTAAGAGAATGGTTTGAACTATTGGTAGTATGTATTATAGAAGTCTAGTCAGGTATGATTTCCTTAGGGCAGGGCAATATCCTCTTCATCTTTGAATCCCTAACACAATGGTTTGTTCATAATGGGCATTTAATACATGGATAATGAATTAATTGGTTTCTAGGAAGCAAACTCTTCTCACAGCAAAGGTTAAAAATTAACTCTGTGTGTGTGTGTGTGTGTGTGTGTGTGTGTGTGTGTGTGTGTGTGTGTGTTTGAGTTCCAAAGGCTTGGGGAGCTATGATAAAGAAGAAAGAATTAGGTGGGAATTGAACAATGAGAACACATGGACACAGGAAGGGGAACATCACACACCGGGGCCTGTTGTGGGGTGGGGGGAGCGGGGAGGGATAGCATTAGGAGATATACCTAATGTTAAATGATGAGTTAATGGGTACAGCACACCAACATGGCACATGTATACATATGTAACTAATCTGCACATTGTGCACATGTACCCTAAAACTTAAAGTATAAAAAAAAAAGAGTCAGAAAAAAAAAAACAGAAATGGAGTGCCAACTAGTTCATGTATCTGGTACTTGCTCTACAAACTTCTTAATTGAATAAAAATATCACAAAGACATTGAAATTAAAAATCCAGATTCTAGCTGTTATAACTGAGTTTTAGTTTAAGTTACAGTCCTGTCTAGAGAAAAAAATAGATTTGTAGTATCATTACTCAGAAATAATGACTTACTAATTTAGATAATACAGTTTTTAAAATTATTTATTTAAAGATAAGACTTTGATTCATGTCATGCTTTCAGGCCTAGTTATGCTTCTCAAAAAATGTTGCCATGGGCAGAGGTAAAACAGATCAGCTAAAAGCTTTGAAGCTTGATTTGAAGGTAAAAGTTTTACAGAAAAAAAACCTGTCTCCAAGACAAATCAGCAATATTACTTTAGGGAGTTTACTACTCCTGTCTATGACATATACTTCCATTTCCAAAAAAAAATTTTAGGTTATAATGGGTGTTTAATAAAAATTATAGAAGGCCATTGTTTTGGGCTGATTTTCTGCATTAGGCTCCAACAGACCAGATTAAAAACCAAAATGCAGTTACCCATGCTAACATTCTATGTCACCAAACTCAAACTAAGTTATTATCTGACCTTCCCAGAAATCAGGAGAAAGAAAACCAGCCAATGTCCTAAACAGGCCAGATTTTTTGTTGTTGATAAAAAAAAATAATTTACATATTTATGAGGTAGATGTATTTGTTACATGCATAGAATGTATAATAATCAACTCAAAGTATTTTAAATCTTTAATCAGCATGATAATAAAGTTCCTTCTGTTTTAATACTTAACTAATCAGCTATTTTTCTATTGTTCTGTCTCCCTGTCTGTCTTAAAACAAAACTAGCTTTGAAATCACTAATACACTCTTTATTCTTTGCTTCTGCTTTCTTCAGCCCCTCTCTGTCTATAAAGCCAACCCTTTCTACTCAATTCATTGGAGCACTTATTCTATTTTATGGAATAAAGTATCATATAATTCTAGAATTGCAATAAAGTTAATTTAGGTCTTTAAATAAAATCTGTTATAATTTTGTCCTTTGACACTGTTTTCATATATATATATATATATATATATATATATATATATATATGCTACAGTGGTGATCCTTAGACAAAATAGATTTGAAGTCTAACACTGTCTCTAGAGGGAAAAAAAGGTCATTATATAATGAAGCAAGGGTCCATTCAGTAGGGACTTATAACAATTATAAATATATACCTACCCAACATCAGAGCACCCAAAATATAAAGTAAATATTGACACATCACAAATAATAAATTGACAGCAACAAAATAATAGTAGGTGACTTTAATAACCCACTTACAATAAGGGATAGAACATCCAGACAGAAAATCAATAAAGAAACAGCTGACTGGAGCAACATTATAGAGCAAATGGAACCAACAGACATATACAAAACTTTCCACCTAAAAGCAAAATAATACACATTTTTCTCAAGTGCACATGGAACATTCTCCAAGAACCTGTTAGGTCACAAAACAAGTCTTAACAGATTTAAGAAGATCAAAAATCATTCCAAGTATCATCTCGGACCACGGTGGAGTGAAACTAAATTAAATTAACTAAATTAACAGTAGGAAAAGTGGATATTCACAAATATGTGGAAACTAAACAACACACTCTTGAACAACCATTGGGTCAAAGAGAAAATCAAAACGGAATTTGAAAAGTACCTTGAGAAAAACAAAGTGAAAACACAATATACCAAAACCCATGGGATTCAGCAAAAGCAGCACTAAGAGGGAAGTTTATAGCAATAAACGCCTACCTTAAAAAAGCAGAAAGATCTCAAATAAACAACCTAACTTTATACCTCAAGGAACTAAAAAAAGAAAAACAACCTAAGTCCAAAGTTAGCAGAAAAAAGGAAACAATAAAGAGTAGAGAAGAAATAAAATTGAGAATATTAAAAAATAGAAAAAATAAAAGTTGGTTTTTCAAAAGATAAATAAAATCAACAAATCCTTGGCTACACTAACTAAGAAAAAAGAGATAAGGTTCAAATAATTAAAATCAGAAATGCAAAAGGAGACATTACCATGTATGTCTCAAAACTCAAAAAGGATTTTAAGGGTCTATTATGAATAATTATATGCCAACAACTAGATAACCTAGAAGAAGTGGAAATATTCCTAAAACACATAGCTTACTAAAACTGAATCAAGATGAAATAGGAAATCTGAACAGAACAATAACAAATAAGGTGATTGAATCACTAATCAAAAATTTCACAGCATAGAAAAGCCCCGTGAGAAAGGAGAAAGTAAGGAAACAGTTAGGCAGATAGTTAGAGCAAGGTCCTTGGTAGAATTCTTTCTAACAAAAGAGCAGCCTGAAAACTCAAGCTGCAAGCACAGATAAGGAGGCAAGGTCCAACATAAAACATTTTTGTTGTAACCAATAAGTTTCACATACACACAGTGGGCTCCAGTGGATACATTCCTTTCCTTTTTTGGGCATACTCAGATAAGAGAACTTCCACAGGGTCGGGGGGGCGGGAGTTGGCTAAGACATGCTCGCAGCTGCACAGATAAGAGGAGTTGTACAGAACTAAACGTATCTGCAATAGAAAATTCCATCTCCTAACACATGCACAGTAAGGGAAACAGAGTTACTTAGAACAGTAACTCATGCTAAGGGTCCACATGCACACTAGAGGGATGGGGTGGAGCTGTCAGAAATCCACACCTTATACAAATTAAGACACCCAGCCCTAACCTGTCTTTTTGTGCCTTATGCAAAGAGATCCCCCGGCCCCACCAAGTCCCTCAAAAAAACCTTTGTAGTCAACTCTGAAATGGCATCTCTCTCAGGCCCCCTCTCCCCAGTGGAGAGCTTCCCTCTTTCGCTTATTAAACTTTCACTCAAACTCACCCTTGGTGTCCACACTCCTTGGTCGTGAGACAAAGAGCTTCAGGTAATACCTCAGACAATGAGACTGCTTCACCAGGACCAGATGGCCTCAGTGAAACACTTAAAGAAGAATTAATACCAATCCTTCTTAAACTCTTCCAAAAAAACAGAAAAATGAGAATAATTCCAAACCCATTCTATGAAGTCAACATCACTCTGTCATAAAAATCAGGCAAAGACACTACAAGAAAACTACAGACCAAAATCCCTGATAACATAAGAGTAAAAATCCTCAATTAAATACTAGCAAACTGATTTCAACAGAATATTAAAAGGATCATACACCATGACCACATGGAATTTATCTCTGACATGTAGGATGGGTCAATATATATACACAAAGCAATCAATGCAATGCAACACATTAAAACATGAAAGAAAAAGAACCACATAATCATCTCAATAGACTCAGAAAAAGCACTTGACAAAGTTCAACATCCATTTATGATTAAAACTCTCAACAAAGTAGGCATAGAAGGAACTTACCTCAGCACAATAAAAGCCATATATGAAATAACCCACAGCTAATGTCATAATCAATGGGGGAAAATGAAATCTTGCCCTCTAAGGTCTGGTACAGGGCAAGTGTATTAGTCAGGGCTCTCTAGAGGGACAGAACTAATGGAATGAATATATATAATATATAATGTATTGTTAAAACTATAGTTTTAACAACACATTAATTGTATTGTTAAAAAATAATTGTTAAAACTATAGTTTTAACAATTGGGAGTGATTCCTAATGCCTATAATCCCAGTACTTTGGGATGCTGAGGTGGGAGGATTGCTTGAGGCCTGGAGTTTGGGACCAGCACATAGGGACACCCCCGTTTCTACAAAAAATTTTTTTTTAAAATCACCTTTCTGCAGGGTTTTCCAGGATTGAAGAGAGTTTTAAAGGAAGCATGGCCCAAAATTACTAGTTGTTCATTATAGACAGCTGTATTCTTACAGAGGAATTTTTTTTTCATTGACAAAAGGTTTGTTCCAGACTTACAGGGTCAGACATAAGCCTATTATTCCAGTATGTGAGATGGACCCATTGACCCATTTCCAGTCTCGCCATTATCCACTCCAATACATTTTACATGGTCTATTCAAATAGACTCCCAGATATGCTGATGTGGCATAGAAGCCTACGTTCTGTGTGTGTGTGTGTGTGTGCATGTGTGTGCGTGCACGTGTGTGTAAGAGAGAAAGAGAGCACGTGCACCTCAACTGTTACATAAGCACTCATTCTTTTTGATACTTAAAATTCACTTTCCTTTACCTTTCAATTCACTGAAATTCAAAATTTTCAGAAAATATGCTGATATGGTTTGACTCTGTCCCCACCCAAATCTCACCTTGAATTGTAGTTCCCATAATCCTCACGTGTTGTGGGAGGGATCCTGTGGGAAGTAATTGAATCATGGGGTGGTTATCCCCATGCTGCTTTTCTCGTGATAGTGCGTTCTCACGAGATCTGAAGGTTTCATAAGGGGCTTTCCCCCTTTTGCTTGACACTTCTCCCTGCTGCTGCCATGTCGAGAAGGACCTGTTTACTTCCTCTTCTGCCATGATTGTAGGTTTCCCAAAGCCTCCGCAGCCATGCTGAACTGTGAGTCATTTAAACCTCTTTCCTTTATAAATTACCCAGTCTCAGGTATATGTTTATTAGCAGCATGAAAACGGACTAATACATATGCACAAACATTGAAGTAAAAGCATTGAAAGTACAGCCAGTGTAAATTACTTAAGAGTAAGAGACAGCCACTGGACCTTTTTTAGCTTAACAAATATACAAGCTATTAAATATTGAAGCTATTAGAGCAAATCAAATGAAATGTCTACTTATTGCGAAAAAATCAAATACATACTGTATGAGAAAGTCATTTCCTAGTAAGCAATATATAAGTGTGTATTAAAATGATCTATTATTATTCACCTCTACATAAGCATATTTGAAAACTACTTTGTATTAAGTCTAAATGGGGAGTGTATCTGCCATTTAAGGTAGAAATTAAAATTCAATTTGCCTTTCATAAGTAAATGTATTTCTCTGTAGCAATATTGCTTAAATTGACATAGGTTCTTCAAAGAGCATATTGTATTACATTTTATGTCAGGTAACTCTGCACCAAAGAGGGAATGCCCAAGACATGAAAAATCAGTGCATTTGACATATTTGGATTGAATATTGAAAGAGTCATATCCTAATATCAAAAGGTCAAATTACAGAAAAGGCTAGAAAAATGTGAGAAATATGTCTATGGTCCCCCCTCAAGGCTAGTGGAACTCTGGCTGAAATTTTACCTTTCATTTTGCAATAAACTTTTTTGGCATGAAATTAAGTGACTGTCACAGACAAGAGTTATTAAAGGACAAAAAATCATTTTAAACAATACCTAAATTTAAGAAAAATGTTAAACAATAAAAACCAGCAGGCAAGAAAGAAAGAAAGATGGATAGGTGGATGGATGGATAAATATATTTTTTTTTCTATTTTTTTCATTCAAGGCCAGGTGAACCTCTCAAGCTATACAATTTTATGTTTCATCCAGAGAAACCAGTTCGTACTTCTATTTGTAGAGAATAATAAAAAGGCAGCAAAAATATAAATATATGCAAATAAGAATATAACCGAAAAGAGAAAATTAACCCTGCATATGTTATCTATCAACACTTCATATTCATGCCCCAATTGTTGAATGTTTGGAGACTATTCAACATGACCACAAGCTACTTAATGAAATATAACAACTATTAAGAAGGCCTCTAAATTGCATCAAAATATAACATATGCAATAGACATGGTGATGAGACACCCAGATTTTATGGAAGGAAAAATCTGATGCTTAGCTTTCGAGAGAGAAGTAAGAAGACAGACTAGCTATCAGCTCTTTCCACTTTTGCTTCCGAGGCAGAGAATACCTTTATCAAAGTCGCATACTTCTGAGGGCAGCCCACATCTGGTGGCTGGGTCAGTGGCAGGCATAAAGGCCTGACCATTTTGGCCCAAATCAGGACAGTATGATAAGCAATTGTTGCTCCAGAGCTCCCCGCCAGGTTGGAGAATGCTGTCAGGCCTGCATTTCAGTTTGACTTCTCCCTCTGCCTCATCTTACTCTTTCCACCTCCTTTAACAGAGGTTGATTCCTAATAAATATTTTGTACCTCAAACTCTGTTTCACATCTCCTTCTGTAAAACCCAATCAGCAACCGTTGGTACCAGGAGTGATCTGAGAAAGCAGGCAATAAGATGGTGTTTTAGAGCTGGGTCACTCACCACCCTACTGGCTACGAGGAGGACTCCTGGTGATAAGTGATGATAAGTGGACCGTGGTGAGCTTTTGGCACAAGGTGGCTGTTAAATTGTTAAAACTTTCACTAGTGGCAAATCAGGAGGGTACACCCTCCTAGCAGGTGCAATGCACTAGAAATGCCCTAGCAGGTGCAATGTACTAGAAATGGCCTAGCAAGTGCAATGTACTAGATGTGTGTTACTTATGGAGAAAATATTAGATAAAAGGATAGTGGAGCACATGAAAATATGCTCAACATCATCAGTCATTAGGGAAGTGCAAATCAAAACCACAATGAGATACAAGTTCACACTCAGGATGGTTATAATGAAAAAGAAATACAATAGTAAGTGTTTACAGGCATGTGAAAAAACTGAAACCTTCATATTTTGCTTGTGGAAATATAAAATGGTCCAGTCACTTTGGAAAAAAGTTCCTCAAAAAGCTAACCATGGAGTTACCATATGATCCTGTAATTTTACTCCTAGTTATATACCTAAGAAATGAAACATATTTCTACACAAAAACTTGTATTGAAATGTTCATAGCAACATTATTCATAATAACCAAAAGTAGAATCAACCTAAATGCCCACCAACTAATGAATGGATAAATAAAATGTGCTGTATCAATATAATTGAATATTATTCAAAAATAAAAATATATGAAGTACTGAAACATACTACCACATGTATGAACCTTAAAAATGCACTAAATGAAAGAATCCAGTCACAACCCCCCCATGCATATTGTATTATTTTATATCCAGAACAGATATATTCATAGAGATAGAAAGCTAATTAGTGTTTTTTTAGGGTACAGAGTAGGGGTGACTGCTAATGGGTATGGGTTTCTTTCAAGGGGAACAAAAATACTATAAAGTTAGATCATGGTGATGGTAGTGCAACACTGCGAATATACTAAAAAACACTGAATGTAGACTTTGAATTGGTCAATTATATATAACATAAGAATTATATCTCAAAAAAGCTGTTAAAAGATTAAACCCACCCTGATCCTGGAATGGGGTGAGGATCCCTCATTTAAAAATAAGATAATGGGATTGGGTGGCTATAGCTAAATGTGATTGATGCGGTACAATAACAAACAGCTGAGAGCAAGTAACAGAATTAAAAGCCAGGTGTGAAAGTCAGCTGACCTTTTTGAGAGTAGAGAAAGAAGCAAGAAATGGCTAGCACATAGAAGACTTGGAAAGACACACAAACTCGAAAGATAAGAGGGAACCTCTACAAAGATTCAGGGCCAGCCATGCCCTTAAAATTGTAGGAGTCCACTAGTCCCGTGCTGGGACATTCCCTCCAAAGTAAAGGACAAGTTGGTCTTTTCAAGTCTAAAAGCAGCATATTTCACACTTTGGAATACTATTCCCACCCAATTATTTTGTGACATAAAAGGCTGCCAGCTTTGAAAAGAACTCAGAGGATAAAAGGGCTCTGCAACAGTTCCATACTGTAGTGCAAGCAGTCTTACTGCTTAGGCCATAAGATTTGGCAAACACTTCATGTTGAAATCATCAACAGTGGGAAAAGGTGCTGTATGGAAATTGTGGCAAGCCCTAGTAGAATAATCACAATACAGGCTCCTAGAGGTCTGGAACAAGGCCATGGCATCAGCAACAAATTATATTCGTTTAGAAAAACAACTTCTAGTGTGTTACTGGCCCCTGATAGAAATGGAACTATTTCCCATAGAACACTAAGTGTCCATATAGCCAGAACTACTGATCGTGAATTAGAGCCTGTGAACATCATCAAATCTGACTGAGTAAACCCAGAAAAAACATGTAATGTGGAATGGCAGTGGTGCATCCGGGATAGAGCATGAATAGGAGTAGTAGCCACAAGTAAGCTGCATAGTAGCTATCACCGTTACATCAGTATCACTCCCTCAGCTCACAGCTATGACTACATGGGAGAATTCTACATTACCAGCTGAAGGAAGAGAATAAAAAGCCACCACAGATTTGTTTACTCATGGACTGGCTTAGTATGCGGGCGCAAGTTGATAAGTGGATTCTAGTGGAATTATAGACTCACACATAATGACCTTGACAGACAGGGGTAAAGAAAAATCCTCCCAGTGAACAGAGGTTAAGGCAGTTCACCTTGTCATCTTTTTTTTTTTTTTTTTGAGATGGATATCTTGCTCTGTCGCCCAGGCTGGAGTGCAGTGGCATGATCTTGGCTCATTGCAAGCTCTGCCTCCTGGGTTCATGCCATTCTCCTGCCTCACCCTCCCAAGTAGCTGGGACTACAGGCACCCACCACCACGCCCGGCTAATTTTTTGTATTTTTAGTAGAGATGGGGTTTCACCGTGTTAGCCAGGATGGTCTCGATCTCCTGACCTCGTGATCCACCTGCCTAGGCCTCCCAAAGTGCTGGGATTACAGGCATGAGCCACCGTGCCCGGCTGTCATTTTTTTTTTTTAACGTGGAAAGAGAAGTTGCACAAGTTTAAAGTATATACACACTCATGGACAGTGGCAAATAGTCTGGCTGATGGTCAGAGACCTGGAAGGAGAAAGATTGGAAGATTGACAAAAGTAAGTTGTTAGGTAGAGATGTGTGGATGGACACACAGAGTGGGCATAAAGTATGAATTGGAGCTTTTTGTATCACGTGTTAACACCGAACAGAAATCATCCTCCATGGCAGAGGCATTAAACAGCAAAGTAGACAGTGACCTACCTGACTAGTTGAGGTCAGACTGCCACTGTCATTAGCCATCCCAGTCCTAGAACTATGGCCACGTGAACGATGTAGCCACGGTGGCAGAGGTGGAGGCTATGAATTTGCCCAACAGCATGGACACCCACAGATCAAGACTGTCATTGCTACTGCAGCCAATGATTGTTCAACATGGCAGCAGAAGCAACAACAACAAACAGGTTATTAGCCTTGATATGTTCTCATACCTCTCACGGGCCACAAGCAACTTGTTGGTGGCAAGTTGACTACAGTGGGCCCCTTCTAACCTGGAAAGGCCAGTGGCTTGTTTACATAGGAACAGACACTTATTTTGGATATGGGTTTGCCTTTACTGCCTGAAAGGTCCTCAACTAGCAATCCTTGTTCAAGGGTTTATACAATGTTTGATCCCCTGGTGTGTAGCTTCACATAACATAGAGGCAGACTGACCATCTCTTTACAGCAAAGGTCGTGTGGGATTGGGCCTGTATTAGTCCCTTTTCGCAATGCTATAAAGAACTACCCATGACTGGGTAATTTATAAAGATGAGAGGTTTAATTGACTCGCAGTTCTATGGGCTGTACAGGAGGCATGGCTGGGGGAGGCCTCAGGAAACTTAAAATCATGGCAGAGGCTAAAGGGGAATCTGGCACGTCCTACATGGCTACAGGAGAGATCCATGATCTAATCACTTCATACCAGGTCCCTCCCTTGACACATGGGGATTACAATTTGAGATGAGATTTGGGTGGGGACACAGAGCCAAACCATATCAGGCCCTTGAGCATAAGATCTACTGGCCATATTACATATTTTATGATCCAGAATCTGCAAGTCTAATAAAGTGTTGGAACACAGCCTGATGAAAGCACAGCTGAAGCAGCAGCTCAGACACATGGACACAGGAAGGGGAACATCACACTCTGGGGACTGTTGTGGGTTGGGGGGAGGGGGGAGGGATAGCACTGGGAGATATACCTAATGCTAGATGACGAGTTGGTGGGTGCAGCACACCAGCATGGCACATGTATACATATGTAACTAACCTGCACATTGTGTACATGTACCCTAAAACTTAAAGTATAATAATAATAAATAAAAAATTTAAAAAAAGAAGGAATACTCCATCCCCCAGCATATTTTATATGCCCAAAATTAACAACCTTTATATGATATTGTGTTCCCAGTAAACAAACTATCTGGAAACTAAGAAGTAGAATCAGGAGTTGTCAAACACTTATTATACCCAATGACCACTGGAGGCTGTTATGCTGTCCACTCCTGCAACTCTAGGCTCTGCCTGGTTAGACATCTTTTTTCCCAAAAGAGGGCACAATTTCCCCAGGGACAAAGCAAGAGTGGCATTGACTTATAAAGTACAATTGCATACAAAAGGAGCCACTGTCTTGGCAGGAGAACCTGACCCTGATCCTGAGGAGGAAGTAAGGCTGCTTCTACAGTGGTAGCATTAGAGGAATGTACATGAATTCGAGGTGATCCACTTGAGTACTTCTTGGTACCCCCTTGTGCAATTGTGACTGTAAAGAGGCAGTTTTTACAGTCTGTTGTGGCCACACTTTTACAGGAAGGGCAGAGTGACCAGGCACTCAAGGGTGTCAGAGTGAGGATCTGCGTCATGCCAGTGCATAAACCACTAAGCCCAACATATATGGTAGTTGATGGTGGGGTTATTTAAGATGAAAGTGGAGGAGGGAAATGAACAGCAGTTGTGGTCCAGAGTCCCAGTGTAGCAGCAGAGACTCTAGTTTGTCTCACTAACCTCCTTCATCTAAGTTCCTCTTAGAGATGGCCACTGGAATTTTCTAGGCGCTCTTTCCCAAATGTGCATAGAGAAGTATATGTATGTGGAATAAAGTGTGAACTCTGATAGACATGGAAATGCAATACCCGGATCCACTTATAAGGAAGGGCTTGCTGCTCTTCCACGTGGAAGCCCATACAGGGTTGCCCTCAGCTACATAGAACTTTTTCGTCAGGTCACGTCCTTCCCAGAAGAGCCCATATCTCTCACTGAGCAAAGCGGGAATGTGAAGGCACAACCTCTACAGCCCAACATGAGATACTCTGAAAAGCATTACTCCAAAGCTTCCAGCATCACAATTCAATTTCTTCCTCTCATCTTCACTAATAAGCATCTTGTTTCCAAACTCTTTCTCAGCAACTACTCTTATAGAATCTAACCTGGGACAATAAATTTAATAGCTATTTTTACTCGGATTGATGTATTTATGGTAGTAATGCTTACCATTGTATTCCTTTCATTTGGTGAGATAGTCTCCTAGAATATGAAAATGACATTATTTTGACGAAATTAACCTTTAAAATTTAAATAATTAACATATTACCAAGCTAAACATTTCAATTTTCACATTTGTATTGTCTTTGTGGTGTCAGAAAGGACTACACTAAAAGTTGTTGGATCAGATCCTGAAAACAAGATTATCTAATGAAAATTATCTGTAGTATTTTGATCATTCAAACTGATAGAAATAATTTTGGCACAAAAGAATTTACATTGGAGCTTTTTGTCTGTTTCAATTATTTTCTACTCCTTTTACCTGAATACCTAGAAATATTTCTAAATCACTTGCACAATTCAAACAGAACAAATTACATTTCAGTTTGTGGAACCAACTTTTATATATTTTTTCTATACTACTGATGAGAATACTTGAAAATATTTCAAAGCCATTTACTATGTGAAAAATAACACCAAGTTAATATATTTAGGTGTTATTTAGGCCTGAGTACTTTGAAAGATAAGATAAAGTTAATGTTGGTGTTTAAATTATCCCTGTTCCTATTCTCACCAATATTTACCAAGCATTCCCTTTAAAGGATGCATTTGGCAGGTGAAAAGCACGGATGACCTGTCCCACAGCACATTCCTAACAGCTGCATCTGGAGCTGATGTTATTTTCCTGGCTGCATTAGCATTCAGCTGTGTGATAAATATCAACTGCTTGGGATTTCTAAGCTTTATACACTTGCTTGGGTGATTTTGCACTTCTAGTCTTCGACTCTTTATCATGTTCTTATGGCACTTCAGTTAGAATTCTTCCTTTAAGTAAAATTTTATGATAGAGAAGGGGATGTTTCATCACATCACAGCTTGCATTTTCAACTTTTCTGCATGAGTGAGAATCATAATTTGGAAATAATCCACAAACAACTAGACCATTTTTCAGCATCAGGAATGGTGGTGGCATAAGAACCAAACACTTTTATCAATAATCAGATAGTAAGTTTGCAAAGTCAATCATTTAACACTATTATAATATAAAAAATGGCTTGTGTTTATATCGCACATTACACTTAATGAAATGCTGGTACATACATCATATAAAATGATCCTCAGAAATAACATGTGAGCTTTTGGGGTAGTCTTTAGTATCTCTGTGTTATAGAAGGAGGTGCTGGGGCCCAGAGAAACTGATTTAATTAGGGACAGTTTAATATAAATAATTATTAAGCTATAATAAAAGAGTGATTTATAAGACGTAAGAGAACTCTATATGGTAACCTAGGGCTGGGAGACAGTACCCAATGAGCGACAAACTTGGAAGGGAACCACTTTCCCAAGGCTAGCATGCAGACTTCATTGGAGAAGGTGAAGTTTCAGCTCACTGAATGGCAGAAAAGTACACTTGTCTCTCCGGGCCAGAGCTGGTCAATAGTCACTGATCAAGTAGGAAGCCAACCACCAGGGTATAGGCAAACCACATCTGGTGGGTGGGTTCATGGGTGTTCAGAGAAAGTGGGGGTGTCAGTGCTGAAGGGAGATTCAAGCACGTGATGTTAGTGTTTTAAGGGCCGAGGAAGGTGATCACCAGGCAGGGCTAGAGCTGTGAAGTCACCTAGGGACTGCACACTGTGGCATGTGGCTGTGGTAGAACACCACTGGATGCTCCCAAACTCACACCTCTCACCAACAGCACAGCAGCTGGAATCAATAGAAGCCTCTTCCTCCTGCAATGTCACTACAGCGACCTCTAGTGAGAAAGTTTAACATTGTATTCACTGCAAAAGAGAAATCCTTACAGGAATTCTATCCATTATTGCAGAGTAGGTATTAAAGGATAAATCTGGAACTGAGATGGAATAAATAACAATCACAGAAACCTATCAGGAGCTCAGTGTTGGTCTCTTAAGCTGTCAGGTTTGATATTTGACAACAACAGTAGCTAAATGATCCATGTTGAATGAGACCCATGCATTGCCTTGATCCCAACCAACATGTCTACTTTTTTCATAAGCCCATTGTGCCAACATTTGAAAAGGCCAATGTCAGAACCTGAATGAGTGGATGATTTTATGGTAGATGTTCTCTCTTAGGGGTTGACATGCAAAGCAAAGATATTCACATTTTGTGCCCACTCACACGTCAATCTGCATGCCTCTATACCAAATGTCTTGGCTACATCTTCTAGCCTTTTTTTCTGTTGGGCCTCTGATCAACAAACCAAGTTATTCACAATTGCCATGAGTCCATATAT
This sequence comes from Homo sapiens, assembly GCF_000001405.40. Lineage (NCBI taxonomy): Eukaryota > Metazoa > Chordata > Mammalia > Primates > Hominidae > Homo > Homo sapiens. The sequence goes on along the minus strand of NC_000023.11, from coordinate 27,555,191 downwards.
TTTATCTCTGGACACTTATATTTTATTCAAAGTGAATGCCCAGTTACAGCATCTCAGCCATTGCCTGTCAGGTAGATTTTTTCCTTACTGCAATCTTTCAAGGTTACCCCTGCGTTAAGATGCGTGTAGCACAGTCCATTTTCAGCCTGTATGCATCCACAGACTGGGATTGGCTGATTCATTCTCTATCAGGTGTTCATATGGGATCCTCTGTGTGGCCATAGATATAAACAGAAAGAAAGTTTCTGGTGCAGCTATGGTGTGTGATTCAGAGGTCTGGCACAACTGAATGTGTAGTTTTCTTGTGCCCTCTGTTCTGGTGCATGTCTGCTCCTTGGTGTATTACTTCCTTCTTAATTAATTGCAAAAGAACCCACCTGACTGTAGGATTTTGCGGGTCTGACAGATCCTTCTCATGATTGGCAGCTGTAATCTCGTGGTAAGAAATTTGATGACTAAAAGTCAGATGCTCCCTCTCTAACCCAGCAACACACGAGGAGCTGTTTTTCAAATGATGCATGATTTTATGCTGCAGACTGCATGGCTTTCCTCCAAAATTAAAGGGTTCTAAATTGTGATTCTCTTATTGGAGCTTGCTCTAGAATCCATACCATATCTTTTTACACAACACATGCTTCTAGTACAATAGGGTTTGTTGAATTGTATAGCACGACCGCTTGTACAATGGTTTCGGCCTGCTGCAAAGCCCTTTCTTGACCTGATCCTCACTTAAAGCTGCCAGCCTTCCTTGTCACTTAGTAAATGAGTCAGAACAGTCACAAATGACCTTGGGGTAGCAAATGTGCCAGGGTTGGAAAATCAACCTTTTCTGAAGCTCTGTTTATGGTATAATTAAGTCTTGGACATAATCCTCAGTTTTTTCTGCCCCTAGGCTACAGGAGATGAGAATCTTTATGTGCTGTAAGGGAGATCCTCTGGTTTTCACAACTCACTTTATATAGGTAATTGATCACCTTCATCCTTTCTTTCAGTTTTTTAATGCAAGGGTCAACAAACATTTTCTGTGAGGCGCCGGAGAGTAAATATTTTAGGATCTGAGAGCTACATATGGTTTCTATTTGAATTTTTTCTTCTTTTAAAACCTTTTAAAATGTAAAAACATTCTTAGCTTGAGGGCTGTAACTTCCTCTAGTGTAACAATGGCCCCTAGCAATAGCCATCTGACTCCAATGTCCTTATAATGACTATTTCCCTTGAAACCCTTACATGCCAGAGGCATTGCATCCACTAGTGCATTCTGTTCAACCAATATTTCATTGCAGTTTTTCACGAGTGAAAGTTTTAACAATTTTTCTAAGCCTCATAGTAACCACAAAGCAAAAACCTATAAAAGATAAACTAAAAATAAATAGCATGGAATTCAATCATACTACCAAAGAAATCACTTAATCACAAAGAAAGACAGAAAGGAAAAAAGGAAGAAAGTATAATGGCTGTAGTAAACCCTTACCTATCAATAACCTTGAATGTAAATGGATTGAACTCTCTAAACAAAAAACATTGAGTCAAGAAATTCACTTCACTTATAAAGACAGGCATAGACTTTATGTGAAGGGATGGAAAAATATTCCATGCAAATGGAAACCAATAAAAAGCAGGATTAGCTGTACTGATATCAGATAAACAGTAAGTCATCAAGAAGATTTAAAAAAAAAGACAAAGAAGGTCATTATATAATGACAAAGGAATCAATACAGCAAGGGGATATAGCAATTATAAACACATATGCACCCAACACCGGAGCCCAGAAATATATAAAGCAAATATTAGTAGACCTAAAGGGAGATCACTTGCAATACAGTAATAGTAGGTGACTTCAACAACCCACTATAAACAATGAACAGATCATCTTGATAGAGAATCAGCAAGAAAACATCAGAGTTGAACTGAACTCTAAACCAAAAGGACCTAGCAGACATTTAAAGAATATTCCATCCAACAGCCATAGAATACACATTCATCTCAATAGCACATGGTCATATATATAGAAAATTCTAAAGACTCTACCAGAAAACTGTTAGAACTAACAAATGAATTCAGTAAAGTTGCAGGACATAAAATCAACATACAAAAATCTGTAGCATTTTTATACACCAATGGTGAACTAAAAAAGAAATCAATAAATCAATCCCATTTACAATAACTACAAAAGTAAAATAAAATAAAATACCCAGGAATAAGTATAACCAAAGAATTGAAAGATTTCTAAAAGGAAAACCATAAAATACTGATGAAAGACACAAATGGATGGAAATATATTTATGTGCATAGATTGGAAGAATTAATATTATTAAAACATCTATACTACCCAAAGCAATCCACGGACTAAATGCATTTTCAATCAAAATACCAATGACATTGTCACAGAAATAGAATTAAAATTTATATGGCCTTGAATAGCCAAAGCAATCTTGAGCAAAGAGAACAAAGCTGGAAGCATCATGCTACCTGACTACAAAATATAATACAAAGCCATAATAACCAAATCAGCATGATATTGGCATAAAAATAGATGTATAGACCAATGGAACAAAATAGAGGGACCAGAAATAAATCCATGTATCTAGAGCCAACTGATTTTTGACAAAGGCACCAAGAGAACACATTGGGGAAAAGATAGTTTCTTCAATAAATGTTGCTTGGAAAACTGGACATTCATATGCAGAAAAATGAAACTAGGCCATTATTTCTCACACATATGAAAATCACCTCAAAATGGATTAAAGACTTAAATGTAAAACTCAAAATTATAAAACTACTAGAAGACAACATAGGGGAAATGCTATATAAATTTGTCTGAGCAAGGATTTTTTTTATAAGACTACAAAAACACAGGCAACAAACACAAAAATAGACAAATGAGATTACATCAAACTAAAAACATTCTGTACAAGAAGGGAAACAATCAACAGAATAAAGAGACAACCTACAGAATGGGAAAAATATTTGCAAATTATGCATTTAACAAGGAGTTAATATTTAGAATATATTGGGAATTCAACTCAGTAGCAAAAAACAAACAAACAAATAATCTGATCAAAAAACAAATAGCCAGTAACTATGTGACAAAATGCTCAACATCACTAATCGTCAGGGAAATGCAAATCAAAAGCACAATGAGATACCACTGCACCCCAGTTAGAATATCTAGCATCAAAAAGAAAAAAAATATAACAAACACTGGCAAAGATGCGGAGAAAGGGAAACTCTTAAACACTATTGGTAGGGATATAAATTAGTATAGCCATCATAGAAAACAATACGGAGATTTCTCCAAAAATTTAAAATACGACTACCATATGATCCAACAATTAAACTATTGGGTATATATCCAAAGGAACTGAAATCAGTATGTCAAAGAGATACCTGCATTCCCATTTTTATTGCAGCACTGTTCACAATAGCCAAGAGATGGAATCAACCTAAGTGTCCATCAATGGATGGATGGATAAGGAAAATATGGTGTATATACATAATGGAATACTATTTGATATAAAAAAAGTAATGAAATCCTTTCTTCTGTGGCAACATGGATGACTTTAGAGAACATAATGTTAAGTGAAATAAGCCAGGTACAGAAAGACACATAAAAGCATACCTCAGAGATATTTGGGGTTCAGTTACAGACCATTGCAACAAAGTAAATATTTAAATAAAGTGAATAACATTTTTTTCGTATCTCAGTGCATATAAAAGTTATGGTTTCACTTTACTGTATTCTATTAAGTTTAAAATAGCATTATGTCTAAAAAAACACATACTTCAATTAAAATGCTTTATTGCTAAAAATGATAATGATCTTCTCAGCCTTTGGTGAGTCATAATCTTTTGCTGGTGGAAGGTCTTGCCTTGATATTGATGGCTGCTTAGTGATCAGCGTGGTGGTTGCTGAAGGTTGGGGTGGCTTTGGCAATTTCTTACAATAAAATAAAATTTGCCACACTGATTGACTCTTCCTTTCATTTGAACAGTTACAGGTCTTTGTAGAGTGATTAATATGCCTAATTTCAATATTGTTGTGCTTCAGGGAACAGGAATGCCCAAGCAGAGGAAGAGAGATAGGGGAACAGCCAGGGGGTCAGTGGAGCAGTTAGGACACACACATTTATTAAGTTCATTGTCTTATATGGGTGTGGTTTGTGGCACCACGAAACAATTCCAATAGTAACATCAAAGACAAATGATCACAGGTCACCATAAGAGATATAATAATAATAAGCTTGAAATATTTCAAGAATTACCAAAATGTGACACAGAGACACGAAGTGAGCACATAATATTGGAAAAATGGCTCCAATAGGCTTGTTCAATGCAGAGTTGCCCCAAACCCTTAATTGTGTAAAAAAATCACAGCATCTGCAAAGCACAATAAAATATTGTTATGCCTGTACCACATGATCTCACTCATACATGGAATCTAAGAAAGTTAATCTCACAGAAGTAGAGAATAGAATAGTAGTTACCAGAGGATGGGAAGGGGAGAGGGGAGGGAAGATGGAGAGAGGTTGGTCAATGAATACAAAGGTGCGGTTGGATAGGAAGAATAAGTACTAGTGTTCTATTACATGGTAGGGTAACTATAGTTAATAAAAATATATTATATATTTCAAGATAGCTACAAAAGAGGATCTTGTAAGCTATCACCAAAAAGAAATGGTAAAGGTTTGAGTTGATAGGCTGGGTGTAGTGGCTCACATCTATAATCCCAACACTTTGGAGGCTGAGGTGAGATGATTGCTTGATGCCAGGAGTTTGAGACCACCCTGTCTCTACATAAACAAATTTACAAACAAGGTTTGAGGTGATGGACATGCTAACTACTCTGATTTAATCATTATACAATGTATACATGTATTGAAACATCACATACACCCCATAACATTCACTATCATGTGCCAATTATTAACATAATTTAAAAGTAATAAAAAGTTTTAACAATTGTACTTCAACCAAAAAGAGACTATCAGGCCTTCATTTATTACAAGCTACTTATTGCCTGCCAACTGGCTGACAAATGATCCATTTCTAAAATCCCACTTTAGAGTTGCTTTCTAGGACCATTCCTGATGCTAATTATCATAGAATGAGTAGAAAACAGATTCTGTCACTCTAAGATTTGTGAGGAATAAGGGCATCAGCATTGGAGAGAAAGGGAAATTGAACTGCAATAAAGTTGCAACAGAAGCATCAGCCAATGTAGTGGGGAGCTCTGGAGCTGAGATGGACCTTCAATCTAGAGGGCAAGTGCTTTATATCCCAGTTAATGGATGTGGGCTGCCCCATGGGAGGACTCATGACCTTGGGTGAGGCAGCTTTCTTTGGTTAAGGGTAGCTTCTGGAGAGGCACTTGGATGTCTCTGTAATGCTTAGGTCCCCTGGGGGAATGAGTGCCTTGGTTCTAAAGGGAGAATTTGAGCGGTTTATGACAGCAGCCATTACAATCATTTATCTGTAGATCAGTGGGAAGAAGCTGTCTGAATTGTGCAATATGTATGTATAACCCCTTTTACTAAGATATATTAGTGAGTCTTTCATTACTCTCCTCAGTGATGTTTTCTCATTCATTCTCTTATTCATTAAGGTTGTCATTAAATCTATAGCCTGGATATGGAATGCATTTGACTTTAATAATAATACTAATAATTATCAAGCCAAATATCTTTTGTCCTGGCAATCTCTATATTTTATAAAAAGAGTTCACTCACATTTCCTTATTTAAAGTTTACTTCCTAGAGAAAACTTAGTACAGCTATCATAGTACTATAGACTATTATTTTCAACTGACTGGTATGAATGGCAGTTAGTTAAATATCATTATGAAAATACTTTCAATGTACTTGTGATCAATAATTTTATTTCACAAACTGAAAAAGCAACCACTGCATGTGTCTTATGCATTGGAAGTGTCCTAGTTCATCTACTTTTCAGATTACAGAAAAAAAAATTTTAAGAGTGATTTATTTCATAATTAAAATAGAATAAAATAAAGGGATATTTCTCTTATATACTAATTCATGCAATTGCCACTAAATAATGCTACCTCCTACTGATTCTACAATAAAAATACTTACCTGTGTTCATTCCTAGAACTACTTCTACAGTTACTGAGAGAATTAAGAACACTTTCTATACTGCAAATGTGGAGCTACAGCCTTGTATTTCGCTTCTGTTGTGGGTCTTTTTTGGTGTACGGACATATATAGTGTAAAAGAAATAAAATTTCAAGACCTTCCAAATTTATTACGCTAAAGGGAAAAATTAAGCCCCGAAAGCTGACTGATGTAACAGGACTGTTTTTCTTCTCTGGGGCATGACCATAGCTTCCTGATGTTTGTGTTGAGATGTTATTCATTAACTAGACTCCCTATCCTTTATTCAACCTAGATGAAATGACATGGAGATAGAGATTATTGTGATTGTTATCTCTTTATAGCAGAATGTTAAACAGCCCCCTTAGAGTATAATCAATAATAGCCAATCAAACCTTATATCTGTATGTTGACCTTTGTATGGAAAATGTTGTAACACTGTTCAGTACCTCTGTTTTGCTTACATAAATTATCCTCATTTTTCCCCACACCTCGTGTACCGATCACCATTCTTTGGTGTAGCTCTGCTCCAGGACCTGATGGCCACCCTCACACTTTGCACTTGAATAAACTCTTTTAACTGGATCCTGAACCTTTTGATTATTTTAGATTGACAATAGTATAGCTATTTCTCTCTTCTATTTGTACAATAACTCTTCTTTGGCTAAAATCCTTAATGCCTCCACACCATTTTGAAGAAAGAGTCCAGACATCTAAGCATACTTTTTATTAAAAAGGACTCTTTTTAGTTAGGGGATATTTTTCAGTTTTAGCTCCTCAAAAAACTCTTTATTACAATCATTGGTAGACCCTGAATATTTACTAACTCCTTTAGACCTCTACACAACTTATTGCTTCTCTTTGGAATGACTTCCGGTATCGGAAAAATTCATACATATATTCAATAATCAGCTTCATTATTATGTCCTTTATGAAGTCTGTCAATTCTCCCTTACTCCCTGCTCCCCACGGTTCCCATGGCATCTCTATTAGTCCATTCTCACACTGCTATAAAGACATACCTGAGACTGGGTTATTTATAAAGAAAAGTGGTTTAATTTAATCACAGCTCCACAGGCTGTACAGGAGGCATGCCTGGGGAGGCCTCAGGAAGCTTATAATCATGGTGTAAGGTGAAGAAGAAGCAGGCACATCTTCACATGGCAACAGGAGAGAGAGAGAGAGAGAGAAAGAGAGAGAGAGAGAGAGAAAGAGAGAGAGAGAGAGAGAGAGAGAAAGAGAGAGAGAGAGAGAGAGAGAGCAAATGGGGAAGTCCCACACAATTTTAAACCAAAAGATCTTGATATGTTTTGGTTCTGTGTCCCCACCCAAATCTCATCTCGAATTGTAATCCCCACATGTCAAGAGAGGGAAGAGACTGGATTATGGGGACCACTTCCCCCATGTTGTTCTCCCGATTTTGAGTGAGTTCTCATGAGATATGATGGTTTTATAAATGGTGGTTTTTCCTGCACTCTCACATGTTCTCTCTCTCACCTGCTGCCATGTAAGATGGGCTTGCTTCCTCTTCTGCCATGATTGTAAGTTTCCTGAGGCCTCTCCAGCCATGCAGAACTGTGAGCCAATTAAAACTCTTTTCTTTATAAATTACTCTGTCTTGGGAAGTTCTTTATAGCAGTGTGAAAATGGACTAATACAGTAAATTGGGACTGGTGGGGTACTGCTGTAAAGATACCCAAAAATGTGGAAGTGACTTTGGAACTGGGTAGCAGGCAGAGGTTGGAACAGTTTGGAGGGCTCAGAAGAAGACAGAAAGATGCAGGAAAGTTTGGAACTTCTGAGACACTTATTGAATGGTTTTGACCAAAATGCTGATAGTGTTATGGACAATGAAGTCCTGGCTGAGGTGGTCTCAAATGGAGATGAGGAACTCATTGGGAACTGGAGCAAAGGTGACTCTTGCTGTGTTTTAGCAAAGAGACTGGTGACTTTTGCCCCTGCCCTAGAGATCTGTGGAACTTTGAACTTAAGAGACATTATTTGAAACTGGAACTTATGTTTAAAAGGGAAGCACAGCATAAAAGTTTGGAAAATTTGCAGCCTGACAATGTGATAGAAAAGAAAAACCCATTTTCTGGGGAGAAATTCAAGCCTGCTGCAGAAATTTTCATAAGTAAAGATAAACCAAATGTTAATCACTAAGACAATGGGGAAAATGTCTCCAGGGAATGTCAGAGATATTGGTTATAGCCCCTCCCATCACAGGTAAAGAGGCCTAAGAGGAAAAATGGTTTTATGGGCTGAGCTCAGGGCCTTCCTGCTCTGTGTAGCCTCAGGGCATTGTGCCCTGTGTCTCAGCCACTTCAGCTCCAGTAGTGGCTAAAAGGGACCAAGGTACAGCTCAGGCCATTGCTTCAGAGGGTAACAGCCCCAAGCCTTGGCAGCTTCCACATGGTGTTGGGCCTGTGGGTGCACAAAAGTCAAGAATCGAGGTTTGGGAACCTATCCTTAGATTTTACAGTATGTATGGAAATGCCTGGATGTCCTGGTAGAAGTCTGCTGGAGGAGCAGGCCCCTTATGGAGAACTTCTGCTGGGGCAGCACAAAAGGGAAATGTAGGGTTAGAGCCCCCACACAGAGTCCCCACTGCAGCACTGCCTAGTGAAGTTGTAAGAAGAGGGACACCGTTCTCCAGACCCTAGAGTGGTAGATCCACTGACAGCTTGCACCATGTGCCTGGAAAAGCCACAGACACTCAACGCCAGCCCATATAAGCAGCTGGGATGGGGGCTATACCCTGCAAAGCCACAGGAGCAGAGCTGCCCAAGACCATGCATGCCCACCTCTTGCATCAGCATTAACTGGATGTGAGACATGAAGTCAAAGGAGATCATTTTGGAGCTTTAAATGATTGCCCTGCTGGATTTTGGACTTACATGGGGCTTGTATCCCCTTCGTTTTGGCCAATTATCCCATTTGGAATGGGTGTATTTACCAGAATGCCTGCATCCACATTATATCTATGAAGTAACTAACTTCCTTTTGATTTTATAGGCTCATAGGCAGAAGGGACTTGCCTTCTCTCAGATAAGACTTTGAACTGTGGACTTTTGAGTTAATGCTGAAATGAGTTAAGAATTTAAGGGACTGTTGAGAAGGCATGATTGGTTTTGAAATTTGAAAAGGCATGAGATTTGGGAGGGGCAAGAGGCAGAATGATATGGTTTGGTTCTGTGTTCCCACCCAAATCTGATGGTTTTATAAATGGTAGTTTTTTCTGCACTCTCACGTGCTCTCTCTCTCACCTGCTCCCATATAAGATGTGCTTGCTTCCCCTTCCACTATGATTGTAAGTTTCCTGAGGCTTCCCCAGCCATGTGGAACTGGGAGTCAATTAAACCTCTTTCCTTTATAAATTACCCAGTCTCAGGAATTTCTTTATAGCAGTGTCAAAACAGACTAATACAGATCTCATGAGAACTTACTCACTGTCACAAGAACTTACTCCCTATGATGAGAACAGCAAGGGGGAAATCCGCTCCGATGATCTAATCACCTCCTACCAGGTTCCTCCCCCAGCATAGGGAATTACAATTCAACATAAGATTTGGGTGGGGACACAAAGCAATACCATATCAGCATCTAAAAAACATTTCTGTCATAGCATTCCTCATGACTTTTTGTAAACTTGGCTGTCTCTTCTACTAATTTCTAGTCTCTGAACACAGGGTATAGCATATTCTTTTGTTGTCGAGATTGCCTTTAATGATAAGTGCGCACAGCCAATTGGCTTCCATTATTATTCACTGGAAGAATGGTTTTGGTTAACTGAAGCCATCACACCTGAAGACACTAGGTTATATTCCCTCTTCCAGCAGCTCTAGCCAATGACTTGTTGATGCAGGGATATGATGACTAGAACCATCCTCACCCCCAGTCTGTACACTGGAAAACCTCTGTGTTTTAGTTCATGCACCTTAGCTACTCATGGAATCAAGCCGAAGCTAAATGTATCCTGAAGCCATGTTTTTTCCAGCTTCTTCATCCCAGCTATCCCACTCCCATCTCTCCCTTTCATTCATATTGTGCTGAGACAGAGATTTTAAACTGCTAAAATTTTTAAACTCTAGACCTAATATAATGCTGTTAAGGCATAGGACATTCAAGAAATGTTGGCTTAGTGGAAGGAACTGAGTAATTAAATCGAATATGTCTAATTACTCGTGTCTTTACTGCTTCATTGCCATGATGCCTGGCTTCTCTCTCTGATTTCCTGGTCCTGAGAAAATAGTGATATCTCAGTGGGCTCCTAATAAATACTCAGTTTCAGTTGATGTTTTCTTATCAATCTTTGAGCCACATTTGTGCTTCACAGGTTTTGAGTTAATAATCTTCTTAACTCTTTTTCTATCAATTAGGCTAAAGCTATCTGGATTATATGACCAACATGTAAATCACATATAAGGGATCATCTTTTAGAAAATGCAGAAAAGTAATGAAACCATTATATTGGAAATGGTTTTACATCAAAAATTAAAATTGGTTATCTTAAGGTTTTATTCACTCCAAAAATAGGTTTTATTGAGTTCATACAGTGTTTAAAGATGTTTTGACCTAGTTACCAACACTTAAAAATTCAAACTTCAAGATGTTAAGTCACACATAAATTGAAAGATCTAATATTATTACTCTTGTATGGTGAAGGGCAAACTTTCCTTTTGCTCTCTGAAGGTTCACTAATAAATTAACTGACTAAAATAAAATTAATAGAAAAGGCATGCAAATGTATTAATGTGCCACAGAGTCATACAAAATATAAGAACTCAAAGAAATGGCCAGATAGTTGCTTTTCTATCATCTTGAAGTTACAGAAAGAATGGAGGCTTGGATCCTGGCAAAACAGTTTATGGTGGCAAAAGAGGTTATAGAAAGGAGAGAAGAGGAGGCCTGACAAGCAAAGGTGGTCTTGTGATGTAGAGGCAACTTCACAGGTAGCAGCTCTCAGAGACACTAAATGATAAAAATTACTTTCAGGCTTTTAAAAGTGCCAGACTCTCACTTAATTTTTCATAGATCAGTAAAAAAGGGGGACCATAGAGAAAACCTGGCTGTATCAATGCAGATTTTCTCTACAGATACAAATCTCTCTCACAAAAGACAGCTTTGTAGAGCTACTTCTGTTTTCAGGCCCTCTGAATAGCCATCTCAAAATATGTCAAAGAAGTATATTGTTGGGGGTCAGAAAACAATACCCCAAAATGAAGGCCTCAGAAGTAACCTTGGAAGTTTTTTCTCTGACCATCTCTTGCCCTCCTGTCTCAGTCCCATTCTCCACAGAGGCTAGCCATAGAAACTAGAATCCCTGTTCTTCAAGGCAGGTCATAGACACCAGAGCTCCTTTTCCCCAAAGCCAGTCATAAAACCTAAAAATACTATTCTAAATTTCCCTCTGCCTTTCTGTGCTGAACCTGGCCATAAAGAAATTATCTGACCTACCCTGTTTGACTTTAGGTTGTAAGACCCCCATTCCAAAGAGGGTCCCTCCCATACCCAGAAGGATAAAATACAGGCTCAGAGAGACCAAGAATAATCCAGACAGGCCATTTTTTTTCACGGAATTAGAAAAAAACTGTTCTAAAATTCATATAGAATCAAAAAAGTCTCTGAATAGCAGTCCTAAGTAAAATGAAGAAAACAAAGCCTCATGCTACCCAACTTCAAACTATATTACAAGGCTACAGTAACCAAAACAGCATAGTATTCATACAAAAACAGACATGTAGACCAATGGAATAGAATAGAGAACCCAGAAATAAAGCTGCACACCTACAACCATGTGATCTTCAACAAAGTAGACAAAAATAAGCAATGGGGAAAGGACTTCTTATTCAATAAATGGTGCTGGGATAGCTGGCTAGCCTTATGTAGACTGAAACTTGATCCCTTCCTTTCACCATATACAAAAATCAACTCAAGATGAATTAAAGATTTAAATGTAAGATCACAAACTATAAGAATCCTAGAAGAAAACCTAAGAAACACAATTCTAGGCATTGGCCTTGGCAAAGAATTTATGACTAAGTCCTCAAAAGCAACTGCAACAAATACAAAAATTGACAAGTGGGATCTAATTAAACTAAAAAGCTTCTGCACAGCAAAAGAAACTATCAGCAGAGTAGACAGAAGACATACAGAATAGGAGAAAATATTTACAAACCGTGCATCCAACAAAGGTCTAGTATCCAGAATCTATAAGGAATTTAAACAAATGAACCAAGTGAAAAACAAATAACCCCATTAAAAAGTAGGCAAAGACTTTGGGAGGCCGAGGCGGGCGGATCCCGAGGTCAGGAGATCGAGACCATCCCGGCTAAAACGGTGAAACCCCGTCTCTACTAAAAATACAAAAAATTAGCCGGGCGTAGTGGCGGGCGCCTGTAGTCCCAGCTACTTGGGAGGCTGAGGCAGGAGAATGGCGTGAACCCGGGAGGCGGAGCTTGCAGTGAGCCGAGATCCCGCCACTGCACTCCAGCCTGGGCGACAGAGCGAGACTCCATCTCAAAAAAAAAAAAAAAAAAAAAAAAAAAGTAGGCAAAGGACATGAACAGACACTTCTTAAAAGAAGATATACCTGCGGCTAACAAACATATGAAAAAATGTTCAACATACTAATCATCAGAGAAACAGAAATCAAAACCACAATGAGATACCATCTCATACCAGTGAGAATGGCTATTATTAAAAAGTCAAAAAACAAAATGTGCTGGTGAGGCTGCAGAGAAAAGGGAAGGCTTATACATTGTTGGCGGGAATATAAATTAGTTCAGCCACTATATAAAGCAGTTTGGAGATTTCTCAAAGAACTTAAAACAGAACTACCATTTGACCCAGTAATCCTATTACTGGGTATATAGCCAAAGGAAAATAAATCATTCTACCAAAAAGGCACATGCACTCATTCATTCATTGCATCACTATTCACAGTAGCAAAGACATAGAATCAACCTAGATGCTCATCAACAGTAGATTAGATTAGATAAAGAAAATCTGGTACATATGTACTATGGAATACTATGCAACCATAAGAAGAGAATGAAATCATGTCCTTTGCAGCAACATGGATGTAGCTGGAGGCGGTTATCCTAAGTGAATTAATGCAGGAACAGAAAACAAAATACCACATGTTCTCATTTGTAAGTCAGAAGTAAGCACTGGATACACACATGGACATAAAGATGAGAAAAACAGATATTGGGGACTACTAGACAAGGGAGAGAAGGAGGGAGGCAGGGACTGTAAAACAACCTATTTGGTACTGTGCTCACTTCTTGGGTAACGGGACCCTTTGTACACCAAACCTCAGCATCATACAATAAACCCATGTAACAATCCTGCATATGTACCCCTTGTATCTAAAATAAAAGTTGAAATTATAAAAATAAAATAAAATTTTGGCCAGGCACAGTGGCTCATGCCTGTACTCCCAGCACTTTGAGAGGCCGAGGCAGGTGGATCACCTGAGGTCGGAAGTTCAAGACCAGCCTGACCAACATGGAGAAATCCTGTCTCTACTGAAAATACAAAATTAGTCAGGCATGGTAGCGCATGCCTGAATCCCAGCTACTCAGGAGGCTGAGGCAGGAGGATGGCTTGAACTCGGGAGGTGGAGGTTGCCGTGAGCTGAGATCGCGCCATTGCACTCCAGCCTGGGCAACAAGAGAGAAACTCCATCTCAAATAAATAAATAAATAAATAAATAAATAAATAAATAAATAAAATAAAAAATAAAAAAATTTATTTCAGTGCAAAAAATATATATAGACAGGCCTTGCTGGGTTTCCCCACTCAGTCTGTTAGCATTTGATCATACTCTTTTTGTCAGATCATATTTCTACATGGCTGTCCGTGCTTTGTTGAAACCAAACACAAAAATTGACAATTTCCCCTGTGCCTTTGGGTCTTCATTCTGAAAGGTCCCATGTATACACATTAAATAAACTTGTATGCCATTTCTCCAAATAATCTGCCTTTTGTGAGTTGATTTTTCAATGAAGCTTCAGAGGGCCAAGAGGAACCTGCAGCCCTTGGCCCCTACAATATTTTGGGATGAAATATTTTGGTTTCCTTCACTCTGATGACAACAATGGATATCTGTTCCCTGGTTCACCATAGTCCTGGATATTCTTTATTGTCTTACATTCAATCTGTTTCTTCGTGTGTGTATTATTTTTCTAAATTGTTATTATTTTTTAATTAACACATAATAATTGTACATATGGGGGACTTAATGTGTGATATTAATATTTCAGTACATGTACACAATGTGTAATGATCAAATCAAGGTAATTAGTATATCCATCACCTCAAACATTTATCATTTCATTTGTGTTGAGAACATTCAAAATCCACTCTTCCAGCAATTTGAAAATATGCAATAAATTTTTATTGTAGTCATCCTATAGTGATATAGAACACTAGAACTTATTCCTCCTATCTAATTGTACTTATATATCCATTAACCATCCTCTGGCTTTTCCCTTCACCCCCACACCCTTCTTAGCCTCTAGTAACCACTATTCTACTATCTACTTCTATGAGATCAGTGTTTTTAGCTTCTACATAAGTGAGAACATGCAGTATTTATCGTTCTGTGCATGCCTTATTTCACTTAATATAATGTCCTCCGAGCTCATCCATGTTTCTTTTTTAAGGGACCTGTTTGGCTGCTTCTGCATTAGAACCCTTAAGATATACTGGGAGCATATGGACAGGGATCATATTCCATCTATTTCCAAATCTTTAGCAATTAGCGCAGTATCTGCCAAAATAGGTGTGCTGTAAATGTTGTTAAATTTACCGTTTAGAGGGAAGGAAAAATGTCTTTTGGAAAATAATGTACTTTTCAACTCAAGTAAGAGAAGCCTATAAAATATCCCAACTGCAGCAGAAAACTAGGCAGCAGTAAAAAGGATGGCACAATTGAGAGTTGTAACAGACAAGAGGTTTGTGGCTTCCAGTGTCAGTGTCAGTTCTGGTATCACACAAACAAGTGAAACAGCGATTAGGAAGAGAAGTAGTAACAGTGATTGACCTAGTAGCACAGCTGATTAATTCTGTATCCAGGAAGAGAGATTTTAAGGACTGAAATGAAAGCAACTGCAAGCAGAAGGACACTGACAAATGACCACAATTAACATTTCTGATAGCCTAAAGGAACTAACACAGCATGATAAAATGTGGAACACAGAAGGTACAACAGGTGAGAGCTACAGGCTTCAATACAGGATTGAGACCTCAATCTAGATAAAGGCTCTACATACAGTGCCTTCTGGATGTTGGCAACACCAACATCCCTTAACAAAGAAGAATTTGTTTAAACTTTACACTGGATATATATCACATAATTTTCTGCACTTAACTAAGATTAACTTTACTAGCTAACTGTGTCTGTGTGCATACACACAGACACAGAATGTAGATTCTCTCAAAAAAATTTTGATGATTTAATCTTCAAATAAATATTGGAAAGATTGCCTTCAAGCATTGTTAGAAAGATATAGTTTAAAAAGATGAAACCACATGTATGTAGTATTCAATATTCAGGTGTTAAATAAGATAGGTTAGGAAGTACATCACAGACAGAAAGGCACCATACTATTAGTCCATTGATTGTCTCTCCCTCTAGTTTTTGCTTTGTATTTTATTTTCTCTCTGCTTGTACTGAATTATTTTCCTTTTATCTAATAATCTTCTGCCATAGGTCAATCAATGTTTTCAAGTTATAGCCAAGACCAAGTTGCCTGTTTAGTTTTCTATTAATTTTTGAAGCTCTTCTTCCCCCCAAGAAAACCCCATAAATTTCTTAATCACACACATGCAAAAACATTTTTGATATAAATCAAATATATTTTCAATTTAAGAGGAAGTTCATCACTATAAATAACAGGTATGGGTAGTACAAAAGTCACTGCTGGCGGGGCATGGTGGCTCATGCCTGTAATCCTAGTACTTTGGGAGGCCAAGGCGGGAGGATAATTTGAGCCCAGGAGTTCAAGACTAGCCTGGGCAACAAAGCAAGACTTTATCTACAAAAGCAAAACAAAACAAAACAAAAGTCAGTGCAGTTTGATCAGTATTGGTATACTTTCAGGTACACATTAGGATTACATTTCCCTGACACTGCTTAAGTTCGGCATAGATTTGTGCATTTATTTGACCAGTAAAATGTGAAATGTAAATGAAATATGTCTCTTCTGTGGCGGATTTAAGGGACAATAAGTGATTTTCAAAAGTCTCTTCTCTCTGTCAAGTCTATCATGGAAGAAGTTATTGAGAAAGTACTTTTATCAGCCTGGGTCCCTGAGTGTATAAATATGAGCAAAGCCTTTAGTTCCCTGTGTCATATAGCATGAGTAAAAAATAAATTTTTGGGCCGGGCACGGTGCTCACGCCTGTAATCCCAGCACTTTGGGAGGCCGAGGCAGGCGGATCACGAGGTCAGGAGTTTGAGACCAGCCTGGCCAACATGGTGAAACCCCATCTCTACTAAAAATACAAAAATTAGCCGGGCGTGGTGGTGCATGCCTGTAATCCCAGATACTCAGGAGGCTGAGGCAGGAGAATCACTTGAACCTGGGAGGCGGAGGTTGCAGTGAGCCAAGATCATGCCACTGCACTCCAGCCTGGGCGACAAAGCAAGACTCCATCTCAATAAATAAATAAATAAATAAATAAAAATTTTTGTTGTCTCAAGCTACTAAGGCTTGGGGTTTGTTTGTTACAACAGCATAATCTACATAATCTAGCCCATTCTTACTGGTATGACTAATTAAATTGCAAAGAGTTGTGGTACTAAAACTCCACTGTGGTATACAGGTAATTAAAAATATTATTTGATAGCTCAGAATTTCTGCATGACAAATAGGTAAACTAGAGGGAAATTTGCATACAAATAATATTGGGCCAGATGACCCAGGAAAGTGAATTTCAAACTGTTCCAGGGTGATGTTTAAGGGTTTCTTTGAATCTCTTCAGAGATCACCTGAAGGGACTGGGGAGGTGGAGGGTTTTTTGTAGACCCTAATCACACAAAACATCTGTTTCTGGGATTATCTGAGATAATTTGTTCAAAAATAGGGTTTCCAAGTATTATTATATTTGAGCAAAGGATCATATGGTGAAATAATATTGGGAAAAACATTCTTTTGAGGATAATGGATAACATAAAATGCTGTTGGTAATACATATCAATTTCTCACCAGTTGCTAAATATGCCAAGCTTATCCATACCTCAGCGTCTTTGCATGAGCTGAAACATATTTCCTCTCCTCACCAATCTCTGCCTTACATATTCCTTTGCAATCTTTAATATGCAGAAAAAATTCTGCCTTCTCTGTAAAACCAGCCCAGATGCATGTGTGGAAATACATGTGCACATACAGTAGAATATATGCCACTTTTTAAAATCCCCTGTCATGTTCCTTCATCAGTGCATTTACCACATTATGGTGTAATCAGTTTGTAAATCTCTCTCCTTTGCCAGATTATGAATGGCTTACAAAGAGTCTAGAAAGATATAAGTAGTTTGAAATGGCTAAAATTGTATTTAAACAATAAAACACAATTTAGCTTCTCAATTCATTTTGCTCCATTGTTTTAACCAAATTGTCAAACTTTAACTAGAATTTCCAACTCTTTACCATATTCCGTCATTAAATATTTAACACAAAATCCTCATAGGCTGTAAAATTAGATGTTATGTAAATGATTTACTACCACACTTTTATAGTTGATTTTTTTCTATTTCTGTGCTTAAACTGTAATTAACAAAGGAAATAAACAATCTGAAATAACATAAAGTGAAGACTTTATTCTTTATGATTTCATATGTGCCCTACCCTTTCCTACCAACAGAAAGACTTCTAACCAATGCTCTATTCACTTTTGTTTTGACTTTTACATGTTGTTGCTCTTACTGTAAATTCATTTTTTATATGTTCAGTAAAAACACAATTTTTAAAATATGCCAACTATACAAACTGTCACATTGATTCCATTTACAGAACACCTCTACCTGCCAATAAAAATGTTTACAGTTTGCAAATAGCAATTAAAAAAACCTCTTATTTTGGGAGAGGGTACGAGAAATAATCATAAGTTTGATATGTATTTATCAAATGAGAAAGGCAATAAACAGTTTTGGTTTTTATTCCCAAGTACTTACATGGGAAGAAAAGGCATGAGGGTTCCCTCAAAGTGATAGATGCAGGTGGCAGATAAGGTGGAGGGTCCCCAGATAATCTCTGACCCGCCTGTGCACCAGGAGAACGGGGTGGAGCCATGGGACGTTCATGCCTTGTGCAGGGGGCTTGAGCTGGGCCTCTTCGGTTCATGTATGGTGGGCTGGAATTCAGTCTGTGAGATGGGAGCCCACTGGCAGGATCCCCTCTCACCTTGCTGAGAGTTTTTTTTTTCCTATTTTTCCTTTTTGCCCAGTCAATTCTGTTCTACTCACCCTTCAATGTGTCCACACGCCAGGTCTTCCCTGGTCGTGTGACAAGAACACAGTTTTAGCTGAACTAAGGAGTAAAGTTCTGCAACAAAAGTTTTATTTTCATTTCAAAATATAACAACTAAAAATAAGGTGGCCTATACCATATCCTCCTTAGAGGTGATTCTGTAAGTGGTGGATTTTTTTATATTCTGTTATTTCCATAAAGAACTAAGAAGTATTAAAAAGCTATATTTTAACTCTTAGTTTCAAACAGTAACTAACCATTCCAAAAGAAGAACACTAGAAACCTAGTTCACCTTATAAACAGTCCTGGCCAAGGGCCAAGCTTGAAGTACATTGGTCAAAGTAGAGAGTTTAAAAACATAGTTAATTAATTTATTGGCTCATTTATTTATTAATTAGTTGGGTTTCGTTCCTCAGTAGAAGTAAATAGAATGTTAAACGAATAAGAATTTAAAAGGTGATAAGTACATTTTTATAGAAGGTAATAGTCTATCTGGGATGCCATATTTATGGAGGTAGTATTTTTATAGCATAAAACCAATGACAAAGACGACTTTTAGTAAGAATGTTTAAATTATGATGATATTGGAGATCAGTAATTATATATGTCCCTCAGAACAGAATGCAAATTTTTCCCAGTAACAAATTGCAATGACAAAATTCTACAGTTCAAAATATTACATCTTATTTGTTCTTTATATTAATGAATAATACGTAACTGTGTTTTTATTTCATTATTTCAATATATATTTGTGGACTCCTACTATGCCTCAGGTATGGTAAATATTGGAAACTTAAAGATCAATAAGTCTCTTTTACTTGCGTGAGCTCAGTAAAGAAAGATAAATAAATATCTGAAATTTGATGTTATTTGCTTTATAGTAAATACATGCACCAGGTCCAATGGTATCTCAGCAGAACATACAACAGTATAGCACTCTGGCACCATGAAGTTATTCAGGATGGCTCCGAAGAATATGAGGAAGAGGAGGGGTGAGAGTAGGACAAAAAAGCAAAATGTACCTTTAGGTAAGCAGAGGCAAGGCTGTAAACAGCTGTGAAGCCTTGCCAAGGTGTTAGAGGTTTTCCTATAGCCAGTAGTGGGCTACTGAAGAATCTTAATCAGGGAAATGGTATGACATGATCAGAACTGCTTTTTAAAGCCATCACTCTGGTGACAGTGGCAGTAAATGGTAACAGTAAATGTCATAATTATGATGGCGATGTGATAAGAGATGATTTAATTTTTCTTTTTTACCCTAGAGTTCTCAGATTTTTGACACTGAATCTGTTACTTGGTAATATAAATAGATGTGTTCTTTGAGTGAAAAAGATGACTTACATCTAATTGTCTACTTTTTCCAATAGAAAGCAAGCATAATCAAGACTGAGCATAAATACATATAATTATGATTTGCCAATTAAAAATATTAACAGAAAAAAGACCGAGCTACATACATCTTGTTCACCGCTCTAGTCCCAGTGCCAAATACATAGAAAATAAATATTTGTTGAATGAATGAATGTTAGTGTAAAGACTAGAGAGTTTAAAGTATTTTCCGCATAGAATTTGGTGAATACAACTTAGGATGCTGCTGTGTTTTTTACTGCAGTGACTGATGTAATCAATAAGTATAGGAACACAAAAGAAGCAATTGGGTTTCAAAAGAAAAATAATATGTACAGCTTTGAACATTTCAGTATAAACTCCCTATGGAAAATTGAGAAGAAAGCATCCAGTAAGAAATTGGTTAAAAGAGTAAGGAGCACAGGGAAAAATCTGGACTTGAAATATAAATTTGGGAATCCTTAACTTCCTATGTGGTAGTGTAAGCCACAGAACTAGATGTTATTATTTAGGGAATGTGTAGACCAAAAAGACCAGAAACCCTAGGGAAAATCAGTGTCTTCGAAATCGCCTGAAGAAGTGCTTCTAATATCACAGAATTCAGTATCATCAAATTCAAGAAATACGGTTTCTCACGAGAAGAACTGGTGAACAATGTCAAATGTGAAAGAGAAGTCAAGTAAAATAAAGGCAGAAGATAAAACTTTGAACTTGGAATCATTTTGTCATATAATTCAGGCTTAGAGCAAAAAGAATGTGTTACCCAAACCACCTTTACCTGGATTTCCCAAATGTTAAATTTGGTGAATAACAACTACTTCGTTATTCTCTACTTATTTGTAAGTATGTATGCATGCACGTATATATGTATCTATCTACATATTTTTGAACTATCTGGGACTTTTGAGAATAAGTTGCAGTTATGATGCTTCTAAATACTTACAATGTGTTTTCATAAAAACAAGAACATTCTCTTACATAAACAAAGTACAATTATCAAAGTCGAGATATTGACATCAATGCAAAAACACTTTTTTTTTTTTTTTTGAGACAGGGTCTCTCTGTAGCCCAGGCTGAAGCACAGTGGTGTGATCACGGCTCACTGCAACCTCCACCTCCAGGGCTCAAGTGATCCTCCTGTCTCAGCCTCCCCAGGAGCTGGGACTACAGGCCTGTGCCACCACACCTGGCTAATTTTTGTGGGTTTTTTGTAAAGAAGGGTTTTTGCCATGTTGCCCAGGGTGGTATTGAACTTCTGAGCTCAAGTGATCCACCTGCCTCGGTCCCCCAGAGTGCTGGGATTACAGGCCTGAGCCACCATGTGCTGGGATTACAGTGCTGAGCCACCACGCCCAGCCTGTAAACACTCTTTATTCAAATTTTGCCAATTGTTCCTTAACATCCATTATAAAAAATAAAATTCAGTCCAATATGCAATTCAGAATTACAATTTGAACTTAATTGTTCTGTCTCACGCATTTCCTTTAATCTGGAAGAGTTTCTCAAGCTTTAAGTATGTTGATATTTTTGAAGAGTATAAACTATTTTATACCATGTCAATCAGTTCAGGTTTTTTGTCTTGTTTAAATTGACCTTGTGCATTTTTGTCAAGAATACACCAGATATGATATATCACTGTCAATGTATCATAGCATGAAGTACACAATGCATATTTGACTCACTAATGACAAGGTTAACATTAATTATTTGGTGAAAGTGATATGCATCTGGCTTCTTTATTATAAGGTGGATATTTTGTAATTAATAAATATCTTAATACTATGTAAATACATTTCCCCATTTTTACTAATCTAATTTTTTTTTATTTTAAAAATGTTTTCACTAAATTTTTTGTAGAGATGGGGTATCCCATGCTGGAGTGCAGTAGCATGATCATACATAGCTCACTGCGGCCTTGAACTCTCGGGTTCAAGTGATCCTCCTGCCCCAGGCTCCCGAGTAGCTGAGATTAAAGGCATACACCACCAGGCTTGACTTTCTTTCTTTCTTTCTTTCTTTCTCTTTCTTTCTTTCTTTCTTTCTTTCTTTCTTTCTTTCTTTCTTTCTTTCTTTCTTTCTTTCTTTCTTTCTCTCTCTCTCTCTCTCTCTCTTTCTTCCTTCCTTCCTTCCTTTCCCTTCCTTCCTTCCTTTCTTCCTTTCTTTCTTTTTAACTTTCTTTGAAACAGAGTCTCACTCTATTACTCAGGCTGGAGGGCAGTGGTTCAATCTCGGCTCACAGCAACCTCCGCTTCCCAGGTTCAAGTGATTCTCATGCCTCAGCCTCCCAAGTACCTGCAATTACAGGCACGTGCCACCACGCCCAGCTAATTTTTTGTATTTTTAGTAGAGATGGGGTTTTGCCATGCTGCCCAGGCTGTTCTCGAACACCTGACCTCAAGTGATCCTCCTGCTTCAGCCCCGCAAAGTGCTGGGATTATAGGTGTGAGCCACCAAGTGCGGGCCCTGGCTTTGCTAATTAAAAATAAATAAATAAATAAATAAATAAATAAATAAATAAATAAATAAATATGGGTCTCACTATGTTGCCTAGGCTGGTCTGGAACTCCTGGGCTCAAGCAATCCTCCTGCCTGAGCCTCCCCAGTAGCTGGGATTACTGGTGCAAGCCACTGCACCTGGCTCCTTCATTGATTTTGGTATCTGTTTATAATTCCTAACAGAAACAAGTGCTGCTATGATAGCTGCCAAATAGTGATTTTCTACTTCCATCATCTCTTATATTTATAACAAAGAGCTTTGCTTTCTCAGTCATTTATTCATTTACTCTTCCATTAATAGGACTCATGGGTTATTTTTCTCTATGGTTTATAATTCACTGCTATCACCATTTATTTGGCTTCTCAAATTGTCTCAGATTTGGCTAGTGGAAGCCCTTTCAGATTGGTGCCTGTGTCCTTTTGATATGTTCCTTTCAATTCTCTGAGCATTTATTTACTTTATGGCATAGCGGGATGTTCCAGGCTCATCTTATACTTTCCCAGTTCCAGCCCTGCAATCTGCCATTTATCTAAGGAGCTCTTATTCCTTTTAGTAAAGAATAGTATTTAGAAACCAAGATATGACTGTAGGTGCACTCATTGCTACTACCCTGAGTGTGCTTATTGCCCCACTAGAGCAGTCATTGCTTTAGACTCACTCAATGAAAATTATTAGGAAATATATATATATATATATCGATATCAATTTATCTATCCATCCCTCTATCTGTATTAAAATCATGTATTTATAATTTAACTTCCAATTCTTTGATCAGGTTAGCAATATAACATCTCATGATAATTTTAGCAAGGTTCAAAGCTTTTTAGCTAGTGGCTCATCCTTTGTGATTAGAATTCCTTTTCGATATATGGTGCCTAGAGACATCTAGGTACACAATGCCTGTTATCTATCCCTAGCACATATCCCTGAATGTATGAACTGTAACTTGAAAATAAGCCTCCCATTATGGCTTGTACACTTTTTATGGCCTTAAGGACCAGAATCTATTCTCAAACACATAGATGGAAAACAGATGTAGCCCCTCAAATACTGGATTGTTTATCCTTGTCTTTTGTTTATATCTCTTTGATTAAAGCAATGTTCCTGTGGGTATAATGTTCTCTATTTCTCAGACAGTTTTTGGCACCAGGAAATCAAGGAAACACACTTATTTACAGATTATTTTGCATAAACTATTCAAAGTTTCTAGTGCTTTTATATTTCCAATTTTTATTGTTGGTGTAGTAAAAGAACATTTTCTATATGGCCATATTTTAATGGGATTAATTCAACATATGTGTTCTGATATGGTTTGGCTTTGTGTCTGCACCCAAATCTCACCTTGAATTGTAAGAGTCCCCATGTGTCATAGGAAGGACCCAAGGCGGGTAATTGAATCAGTGGGGTGGGATTTTCCCATGCTGTTCTCATGATAGTGAATAAGTCTCATGAGATCTGATGGTTTTATAAAGGGGAGTTCCCCTGCACATGCCCGCTTGCCTGCTGCCATGTAAGACATGACCTTGCTCCACATTCGCCTTCTGAATGATTGTGAGGCCTCCCCAGCTATGTGGAACTGCGAGCCAATTAAACGTCTTTCCTTTATAAATTACCCAGTCTTGGGTATGTCTTTATTAGAAGTGTGAGAACAGACTAATACATGCTCATTCTTACACACTTTCAGAATCAGCCACTACATGTCAGGTTATGCTACTGTAACAAAAACTCCACAAATCTTTGTGATTTAGCATAAGAAATTTTGGTTCTTGTTTACGATACATGGCCAATACTGGTCATCAGGGGAGAAATGGGAAGTCTGCATTCACTAAGCAAACCAGACTTCAAGACTCTCCCTCTCATCCTAAGCTTTCATGATCACCTCTGCAGGGAGGAGAAAATGTCTAGAATGATAGACTATTTCTTGTCTTCTGCCCAGGGGTAGCATATATCACTTTCACCTACTTTTCATTTGCAAAGCAAATAATATGACCGTACCTCAATTCAATGAGTGAGTGTAATTCTACAATGTACCTGTAAGGCGGACAGCAGGAAATATTTGAACTGCTCAGGTGACTACCACAATCCACGTTCTGGACAAAACATCAATTTGTCTCCATCCTGTAGGCAAAGTGAATATACTCTTTCCTTGAGGCACCACACAAGAGTTTTTTTCAAGTCCAGTAAAACTTAAATACAATTACCTCTGGCTGAAGATCAGTAATCTCCACTACACCAGATGACGTGCAGTAGCCCACATCAAATCTGCTTGCTCCTCTTGATTTGAAAACTTATGACCAAAGGTAGGATTATCTGCTCTACACTCAACCAATATATACTTGTGGAACAGGGACAAGATATATACAATAAGTTCTCCTGTATAGAAAACAGAAGAATGGCGGGGTTTGGGGGGGGAGTATACAGCAATCATTTATGCATTTTAGTTCTATGATCTTGCTGGGAAGATCTTGCAAGGGACTTCTGTACATTGGGTAGATAATGTTTTTTTTGTTGAACTCCAGTTCTGCTCCTTAGGATATTGTCCTTCCCAGCAATTGGTTCTTCCCCTGAGAGGCCCTTCCTTTTCTATTATTCACTTTGTTCACACCTACATTGGGCATCTAAGAATATGTTCTCTTTATCCAGTTATTTTCAAACTGCTTTCTTTTCATATAAAATTGGAGAACCAAATGTGATTTTGTCTGTTAGTCTCTTTTATTCCAGGCTCTTTCCAAAAACAATCAGCAAGCTTCTATTTAATTTCACTAAGCTGTGTGTGCCAATGGTCACACCCATTTTTTGCTTAACAAAATTCTTCTATTTGTTATTGTTCCTTGATTTTTAGACTCTGTCCCTATACCCATGAACTTAATTCTGTGTACCATGAGACTACAATGTTATTCTCTTTTTCCCAAGATATTTTGTTTAGCTGAAGGGAGTTTCTTTGTATCACAATCTTTATTGTGAGGTTCAGATACTTACTGTGATATAATTTGAACAATTCATATGTTTCAACAATTTGTGTGATGACCAATTCTTGATTTAATCCTTCATGCAATTCACTTCTGAGTTTTAATCAGCCCTTTGTTGCTCAAAGTATTGCTTAAAAATATCTATCACTAATTGGTTTTGAGAATCACTTGACTTTTCAACCCTACATGTCCTTAAATTTAAGGATTTTCTATACTTTTTTCATTCTTGCTTGCAAATCATCTGATTATTTTGTGTGCTTACCAATTTCTTGTAACACCTTGTAAACATAACCAACAGCAACCAACACTCATTACTAACATTTTATTCTTTCTTTTCTTTCCTTGGGGCTGTAAGTTCATTAGGTACCTGATCTAATTTTTATGTTATTGCAGTTGAGAGTTTTGCCAAATATTACACTGATGCATATTATCAATCAGCTTCCTTTTTTCTTTCAGTAATAATTTCTTAGCCCTTCACTGTCTTGAATGTAGGCTATTTTAGGGGTTTTGCTATAGGAGAGTCATACTCTTTGGAGTAGTTCAGTGCCATCCAGGATGGGCAAGATTATACTGCAATAACAATAATCCCTGCTACTGGAAGAAAATAAAGTTTATTTCTTACATATGATATATGTCAAATGTAAATTGACAGGGGGTCTTGGCTTATTGTTACTAAACAGGGACCTGAGATGACAGAGGCATCATGTACTTTTATGATCACTTTAGCAAGAGAAAGATAATGAGGCCTATAATTCCCTAGCCCTTCAAGCTTTCACACTGAAGTGTCACATGTCACTGTTATATTTCATTGACCACAACAACTCACGTAATCATAGGGCAGGAAAGTGAACCTACTACAGGATCAGAAATTAGGTAATAGGATACAATTGCACTAGTTGTTATAGCACTTTCTTCCACTAGTGAATTCAGTTTTCAAACTCAAATTCTTGCATATACATTGACACAATCCTGCATAGTATTATACCTAACTGAATGACGCTCAGTTTATTTAAAGGTGATGAGAGGTTAAATGTAGTCACTAGGTTGATCAAAATAAAGCAATGCAGTTCAAAAACTGGAAAAACAAAGAGTGTTGTTAAAAGATCCAAGTGTCATTTCCTGAAAAATAAAGAATAATACTTGTTTATTACTGGGGTGCTAACTTATTATTGCTAAGACATAAGATATTTTTCACTTCAGTTTTAAATTCAATTTCATTGTCATTAAAGTTATAAACATTAAACTTGTACATATACATAAACATATATGTGTATGTGTGTGTGTGTGTATATATATATATATATATATATATACACATACACATAACCACACACATATATGTATATATACACATACATATATATGTAAAACAGAATTTTATAAGAATCCTTGAGAGGAAGAATATTGTCGAAATTAATGTTTTTAGAAATCAGAATACTATGATGTTTAATACCATCTTCCTGTGTGAGAAACATACATTCTGGTATACACAAGAGCATAGTAAACAGAGAATATGCTAAGGTGAATAATAAAGATGAGCAACGGTCTCAATAATTTCTCAACCAATACATTGTTTCTTGTAGTAAATTACATTTCCATTCTTCATTTTTTAATCAGAAGGAGCAAGTGACTGCTTTGAACCACAATTTAATAATTTAATTATAATTTAATAATTAATTAAATTAAATTAAAAATTAGTCTAATAATTAATTTAATTAAATTAAAAATTTAATTTAATAATTAATTAAATTAAAAATTTAATTTAATAATTAATTAAATTAAAAATTTAATTTAATAATTAATTAAATTAAATTGGAATTTAATAATTCCAAGCACTAGACCTGGCACAGTGGCTTATGCCTGTAATCCCAGCACTTTGGGAGGCCAAGATGGGCTGACCACCTGAGGTCAGGAGTTTGAGACCAGCCTGACCAACATGGTGAAAACCTGTCTCTACTAAAAATACAAAAATTAGCCAGGCATGGTGGTGGGCACCTGTAGTCCCAGCTACTTGGGAGGCTGAGACAAGAGAATTGCTTGAACCCAGGAGGCAGAGGTTGTGGTGAGCTGAGATCGTGCCACTGCACTCAAGCCTGGGTGACATGAGCGGAAAAAAAAAAAAATCCGGAGGTTCCAAGATGGCTGAATAGCTCCAGTCTACAGCTCCCAGTGTGAGCGACACAGAAGACAGGTGATTTCTGCATTTCCAACTGAAGTACTAGGTTCACCTCACTGGGGCTTGTCGGACAGTGGGAGCAGGACAGTGGGTGCAGCCCACCGAGCGTGAGCCGAAGCAGGGTGAGGCATTGCCTCACTCAGGAAGCAAAAGGGGTCAGGGAATTCCCTTTCCTAGCCAAAGGAAGGTGTGACAGATGGCACCTGGAAAATCGGGTCACTCCCCCACAATACTGCACATTTCCAATGGTCTTAGCAAACAGCACACCAGGAGATTATATCCTGTGCCTGGCTTGGAGGGTCCTACACCCATGGAACCTTGCTCATTGCTAGCACAGCAGTCTGAGATCGAACTGCAAGGTGGCAGCGAGGCTGGGGGAGGGGCACCCACCATTGCTGAGCCTTGAATAGGTAAACAAAGCAGCCTGGAAGCTCAAACTGGGTGGAGTCCACCACAGCTCAAGGAGGCCTGCCTGCCTCTGTAGACTCCACTTCTGGGAGCAGGCCATAGCTGAACAAAAGGCAGCAGAAACCTCTGCAGACTTAAATGTCCCTGTCTGACAGCTTTGAAGAGAGTAGTGGTTCTCCTAGCATGGAGCTTGAGATCTGAGAACAGACAAACTGCCTCCTCAAGTGGGTCCCAGACCCCTGAGTAGCCTAACTGGGAGGCACCCCCCAGTAGGGGCAGACTGACACCTCACACAGCTGGGTATCCCTCTGAGACGAAGCTTCCAGAGGAACGATCAAACAGCAACATTTGCTGTTCAGCAATATTCGCTGTTCTGCAGCTTCCGCTGCTGATACCCAGGCAAACAGGGTCTGGAGTGGACCTCCAGCAAACTCCAACAGACCTGCAGCTGAGGGTCCTGACTGTCAGAAGGAAAACTAACAAACAGAAAGGACATCCACACCAAAACCACATCTGTACATCACCATCATCAAAGACCAAAGGTAGATAAAACCACAAAGATGGGGAAAAAACAGAGCAGAAAAGCTGAAAATTCTAAAAATCAGAGCACCTCTCCCCCTCCAAAGGAAAACAGCTCCTCGCCAGCAATGGAACAAAGCTGGATGGAGAATGACTTTGACGAGTTGAGAGAAGAAGGCTTCAGACGATCAAACTTCTCCGAGCTAAAGGAGGAAGTTCGAACCCATCACAAAGAAGCTAAAAACCTTGAAAAAAGATTAGATGAATGGCTAACTAGAATAACCAGTGTAGAGAAGTCCTTAAATGACCTGATGGAGCTAAAAACCATGGCACGAGAACTACGTGATGAATACACAAGCTTCAGTAGCTGATTCGATCAACTAGAAGAAAGGGTATCAGGATTGAAGATCAAATGAATGAAATGAAGCAGGAAGAGAAGTTTAGAGAAAAAAGAATAAAAAGAAATGAACAAAGCCTCCAAGAAATATGGGACTATGTGAAAAGACCAAATCTATGTCTGATTGGTGTACCTGAAAGTGACGGGGAGAATGGAACCAAGTTGGAAAGTACTCTGCAGGATATTATCCAGGAGAACTTCCCCAACCTAGTAAGGCAGGCCAACATTCAAATTCAGGAAATACAGAGAATGCCACAAAGACACTCCTTGAGAAGAGCAACTCCAAGACACATAATTGTCAGATTCACCAAAGTTGAAATGAAGGAAAAAATGTTAAGAGCAGTCAGCGAGAAAGGTCGGGTTACCCACAAAGGGAAGCCCATCAGACTAACAGCTGATTTCTCGGCAGAAACTCTCAAGCCAGAAGAGAGTGGGGGCCAATATTCAACATTCTTAAAGAAAAGAATTTTCAACCCAGAATTTCATATCCAGCCAAACTAAGCTTCATAAGTGAAGGAGAAATAAAATCCTTTACAGACAAGCAAATGCTGAGAGTTTGTCACCACCAGGCCTGCCCTGTAGGAGCTCCTGAAGGAAGCACTAAACATAGAAAGGAAAAACTGGTATCAGCCACTGCAAAAGCATGCCAAATTGTAAAGACCATTGACACTAGGAAGAAACTGCATCAACTAATGAGCAAAATAACCAGCTAACATCATAATGACAAGATCAAATTCACACATAACAATATTAACCCTAAATGTAAATGGGCTAAATGCTCCAATTAAAAGACACAGACTGGCAAATTGGATAGAGTCAAGACCTATCAGTGTGCTCTATTCAGGAGACACATCTCACATGCAGAAACACACATAGGTTCAAAATAAAGGGATGGAGGAAGATCTACCAAGCAAATGGAAAACAAAAAAAGGCAGGAGTTGCAATCCTAGTCTCTGATAAAACAGGTTTTAAACCAACAAAGATCAAAAGAGACAAACAAGGCCATTACATAATGGTAAAGGGATCACTTCAACAAGAAGAGCTAACTATCCTAAATATATATGCACCCAATACAGAAGCACCCAGATTCATAAAGCAAGTCCTTAGAGACCTACAAAGAGACTTAGACTCCCACACAATAATAAAGGGAGACTTTAACACCCCACTGTCAACATTAGACAGATCAACGAGACAGAAAGTTAACAAGGATTTCCAGGAATTGAGCTCAGCTCTGCACCAAGCAGACCAAATAGACATCTACAGAACTCTCCACCCCAAACCAACAGAATATACATTCTTCTCAGCACCACATCGCACTTATTCCAATATTGACCACATAGTTAGAAGTAAAGCACTCTTTAGCAAATGTAAAAGAACAGAAATTATAACAAACTGTCTCTCAGATCACAATGCAATCAAACTAGAACTCAGGATTAAGAAACTCACTCAAAACCGCTCAACTACATGGAAACTGAACAACCTGCTCCTGAATGACTACTGGGTACATAACGAAATGAAGGCAGAAATAAAGATGTTCTCTGAAACCAATGAGAACAAAGACACAACATACCAGAATCTCTGGGACACATTCAAAGCAGTGTGTAGAGGGAAATTTATAGCACTAAATGCCCAAAAGAGAAAGCAGGAAAGATCTAAAATTGACACCCTAACATCACAATTAAAAGAACTAGAGAAGCAAGAGCAAACACATTCAAAAGCTAGCAGAAGGCAAGAAATAACTAAGATCAGAGCAGAACTGAAGGAGATAGAGACACAAAAAACCCTTCAAAAAATCAATGAATCCAGGAGCTGGTTTTTTGAAAAGATCAACAAAATTGATAGACCACTAGAAAGACTAATAAAAAAGAAAAGAGAGAAAAATCAAATAGATGCAATAAAAAATGATAAAGGGGATATCACCACTGATCCCACAGAAATACAAACTACCATCAGAGAATACTATAAACACCTCTATGCAAATAAACTAGAAAATCTAGAAGAAATGGATAAATTCCTGGACATATACACCCTCCCAAGACTAAACCAGGAAGAAGTTGAATCCCTGAATAGACCAATAACAGGCTCTGAAATTGAGGCAATAATTAAGAATCTACCAACCAAAAAAAGTCCAGGACCAGACGGATTCACAGCCGAGTTCTACCAGAGGTAAAAAGAGGAGCTGGTACAATTCCTTCTGAAACTATTCCAATCAATAGAAAAAGAGGGAATCCTCCCTAACTCATTTAATGAGGCCAGCATCATCCTGATACCAAAGCCTGGCAAAGACACAACAACGAAAGAGACTTTTAGACCAATATCCCTGATGAACATCGATGCAGAAATCCTCAATAAAATACCGGCAAACGGAATGAAGCTGGAAACCATCATTCTCAGCAAACTATGGCAAGGACAAATAACCAAACACCGCATGTTCTCACTCATAGGTGGGAATTGAACAATGAGAACACTTGGACACAGGAAGGGGAACATCACACACCAGGCCCTGTTGTGGGGTGGGGGGACGGGGGAGAGATAGCATTAGGAGATATACCTAATGCAAATGACGAGTTAACTGGTGCAGCACACCAACACAGCATATGTATACATATGCAAAAATCCTGCATGTTGTGCACATGTACCCTAGAACTTAAAGTACAAAAAAAAAATTCCAAGCACTATAACATTTAACCATCAAATGTTAAATATATCTATGATGGGAAATTATATTGCTTTAATTATTGTAGACTCTAGATTCTAAGGACTATGTTTATCATACAAAATTGATCTTTTTCAATATTCTTTAAACAAATCATTAGCCTTTGGATAATTAACCCATTGCTATACACACACACACACACACACACACACACACACACACACTCAGTAGACAGAAAGCTAGCTAGATAGCTAGATGATTGACAGAGATATATTACACATTTATATATTGTATATTAATTTGTAAGCATAATTTAGATCATCTTAAAGGCTGTCTAGTCCAGCAACATTTATTAAGATTTAAAAGCAGAGCATCTGGAAACAAACTGCCTAAGTTCAATTCTGATGCCATTAAGTCTTAGCTGTGTTGTTATCCTTCTTGTGGTTCAATTTCCTTATCCGTATACTTTGTATCATAACATCCTTTATTTCACTTTCGTAAGGAGCAATTAGAAAAATAATGATTTCACAGGAAGCATTCAATGTCTGTTTGCTAATATCATTATTATTTATGCAAATCCTACAGGCAGTTTATGCCTATTTTTCTTTGAAATTTTCTTAAAATAAAGGATGTCTTTAGTATATTCAGTGAAAATACACTGAAAAGCCTTGTTCTTCTATGCTTTTCACTTGTTAAGGTCGATGAGTACATGAACGGGCTAGTAAGTGCAAACATCAGTCATGAGTCTGCTCCCTATTTCATCATTGTTCATGAGTACAGGTTAAGCTTATCTACTTGCTTCATGTCAATACTCAATGGATTCTACTAAAAGAAGAAATAAAATGAAAAATGCTACAGACTACTAAGAAGAAGGGAATTCTGTCATGTACTACAACATGGATGACATGTTTTGAGGACATTATGCTAAGTGAAATAAACCAGTCACAGAAGCACAAATGATGTATGATTTGTCAAATTCATAGAAACAGAGTAGAATAATGGTCTCCAGGGTCTGGTAACAGGGGAAATGCGGAATTGCTTTTTGATGGCTATTAAAATCCAGTTTATTTAAAATGAAGAAGTTCTAGAATTTTGCTGCCCAACATTTGCCTATAGTTAACAGTACTGTAATGTACACTTAGAAATTAAGAGAGTAACTCTCATGTTATGTGGTTTTCTTTCCACAATAAAAAAATTATAACAATAACAGAAAGAGCAATAAAGTATGACAAAATGAAATAAGAGGAAAAACAAAACACATGCACATACATACACATACATATACACATACAAAAGTACACACTGGGGGCCGGGCACGGTGGCTCACGCCTGTAATCCTAGCACTTTGGGAGGCCGAGGCAGGCGGATCACCTGAGGTCAGGAGTTTGAGAGCAGCCTGACCAACATGGAGAAAACCCGTCTCTACTAAAAATACAAAATTAGCTGGGCCTGGTGGTTCACGCCTGTAATCCCAACTACTCGGGAGGTTGAGGCAGGAGAATTGCTTGAAGCCAGGAGGCGGGGCTTGTGGTGAGCCGAGATCGCGCCACTGCACTTCAGCCTGGGCAACAAGAGCAAAACTCTGTCTCAAAAAATACACACTGAGTTCCAAACACTAATGCTTCTGAAATATTTATTAGGTGAAGAGAAGCATTATTTGGCAAATTTGCATAAAATATTTCCCAAACATATGTCCCCCTTTCAGCAAAACATGTCTACAAGGAGATTTCTTGAAATCTATTATCTTGCATGTATCAGTAGCAACATTAATCCATTTAATTTACAAAAAAGGCAAATAGGATGCTTAGTATATACATATATACCTTTTTCGTTCTAATAAATATAGACGCATTTTCTAATTCTAAAGTTTTACTCTTTTTAGAGGTTTTTGTGAAAAATAGCAAAAGTATGTGTAGCTATGAATGTCAAAAATAAGACATTAGTTTTTCATTTCCTACAATTGTGAGATGACAAAAAATCAATTTATATATAAATATTTTCATGGTGTATACTGTGAATATATTTATAAAACTCCACAAAACATCAGTCTTTAACTAAATAGTGAAACCACGTATTCCAATATTTCACAGCGTTCTCCATAGTTTTCTGTGCAACTGTTGAAGTGTTCCTTCTTTTACCTTCTGTTGAAATGCTTTATGGAGATTAAAGCTTAACTTCAGAACTTCAGAGTAAGCAGCAGAGAATGAAATAGCTTGGAAGAGACAGAGATGTGTAAAATCCTAAGCTGTTTCTAAAGATGTATGGCAAAGCACAGGATTGAAAATTGAAGTTGAATGTGGCAACTTAACAGACACAGAAGAGTTTTTCTTTATACAGTACAACCAAATTTATTTTAGAAGATGTTTTTTGAAAGAATTCTGGTGACGGAAAAATTATTTGAAACTTGGAAATAAGGCAAAAATATGGGCAGCAAGTCTACTTGATGTCACATGGTGGTAATGGCCATCTGAAGATTATGTAAAGAAATGTATTTAATTTGTATTAAATCTTAATTGAATTCATGTGTATATATAAGAACAAATGAGTTTAATAAAGTTTACAATTATCGTTTTTATAACTTAATAATTTCATAAAACACTTGAATGTATCTGTTGGAAACTTATACTTACACTGCCAACTGTTACAGGATATTGTGAAAATATTCATATGGAAATAAACTGTTTTCCCCTGACAAATCCAATATATTCTTAGAAATGCACATATCTGCCTGAAAGTTCTCATATTTTGAGAACAAAATCTGACTGGATTAAATTCACATTCTCTCCAGAAATTTCTAGGAAGAAAATGGCCTACAATTCTTGACACCTTTATTTCTGAATTTAGATAGATAACAATAGAGACGTATTATTCAGCTATTGACACAATTTCTTAACATCTAACTTTATCAGGGCAAGAAGTATTTCTTTATTATTTAACAGATAGGATATTGTTATATACAGCCTATCATACACTTGCAAGGTCAGAAATGGACCTTTGTATTTTATTAATGTTTTGGACATTTTTTATTTGAAGACAGAAGAAATTATTCATTCTGTCAACTTAAAAGGCATAACACAGCAGTACTGATTGAAAATAGAAGATATTTGATGAAAGATAAGAGTTAAAACGATTCTTACCTTAATTTAGCCATTTATGAAACTTTCAAAATGCACTAATATTATTTGACAGAAATCATTTAGTTCTGCACTTGCCATTGATTACATTAAGGTTATGAAACTTTCAAAATGCACTAATATTATTTGACAGAAATCATTTAGCTCTGCACTTGCCATTGATTACGTTAATGTTCTCTACAGCTTTTTAAATCTCTCAATGTAATTCTAAATATAAACCTGCTAAATAATGAATATTGGGGTTTAATATTCATGACGTTAATCTTCTCCCAAAATCAAACCTTGAAATCAAGTTGTCTCTTTTAAAAAATATTATTAGGAAGTTAAAAAATTGACTAAATTAAATAAATTGATTTTTGAAGACAAAATAATGGTCAATTTGATTGAAGTTTTACATTAAACATTTGTTTTGTTGTATTGATAGAATTTTCCAAGTGAATATAATACATAAAATAGAGAAATAGTAACTAAATGGGAAGAATGTTATATTTTTAAAAACCAAATTTTACATAAACATTGGAATTTTCTTTCATCTAATTTATCAATATTTTAATGCATCCTACATTTGACAATTTGGTTTTACCAATTTAATATTTCAAAAAAAGTATATAATTAAAATATCATAAGAAAAAATTTATTCACACATCCTTTTTCATTATTTTTTGAAATTTATAGATGACATGATAATTGTTCGTATTTAACCTTTAAAAAAATCAGATTAAAAGCCTCAAATTGGTTTCATCTCTGGCTTGGGCTAATTCTGAACTTAATGCCTGAAGTTGCTTCTTAACACGCGCATTTTTCTGTGTTTCTGTTACACGTTCTTCCTCGCTTCTATGGTTCATTACCCCTTCATTTGATAATTCAGCACTAGCCTCAGCATTATTCTCATCATGTTCGTTTTCTGTCGGAGGAATGACTGGTGGTGGAGGTGGAGAGAGGGTAGACATCACAGTTTTTAACTCTTCTTTGGTCTTTTCCAAGTCTTCCTGGGTTGCAAAAGCTTTGTGTTGCAACTCAGTAGCTTCCTCTTCCTTTTTCTTCTTGGCTTCTTCTAGAAGTGCAATCTTGGCAGTGAATTCAGCAAGTGCTGCTAGCTGCTCCTGATTCTTCATCTGGTCGGCAGCTTGTTTTGCTACGGCAGACTTCGCCTCTTCAGCAGCTCGACGCTCCTTTTCAAGCCGCTCTGCTTCTTCTTTTGCTCGTTTTCATTCTTGATCCAGTTCTAGAGCTTTTTGAGTCTGTTCTTCTAGTTATTTCTGGGCTTTAATTGTCCGTTCTTCAATCTGTCTTAGACGTTCCATTAGCTCTTCCTTTTCACGTTCTATTCTTTCCTTTTCCTTTTCTGCTATTTCTCTTTTCTTCTTTTCATTCTGTAATTGTGCCCTTTCCAACTGCTTCTGATGTTTCCCCTCCCTAGCCTGAGACTTCATCTGTTGTACTTCAATAGTATCAGGCTTCCTTCTTCGCATGTATAGTTCATGGTTTCCCATACATAAGGCCAAAATCCCCTTATGGATTCTCAGATGAGGTGCATAAAAAACAAAATCAGGTGCCTTTTTGTCTATTGGCTTTATAGCAATTTTTTTGTCATTAAATGAAATATTTCTGATTTCACTCCAGGGAAAACCAATTTTAGATGTCAACTTGTCATCATGCTCATAAATATTCAGACTCAAAGCATCAACACCTAGCCACAATTCAGTTCCCTTTTTATTTTTATTCTTATATTTATTTTATTACTTATTATTATTTTTTTTGAGATGGAGTCTCGCTCTTGTCACCCAGGCTGGAGTGCAGTGGCACGATCTCGACTCACTGCAACCTCCACCTCCCGGGTTCAAGTGATTCTCCTGCCTAAGCCTCCTGAGTAGCTGGGATTACAGGTGCAAGCCACCAAGCCCGGCTAATTTTTTGTATTTTTAGTAGAGACGGGGTTTCACCATGTTGGTCAGGCTGGTCTCGAACTCCTGACCTCGTGATCCGCCTGCCTCGGCCTCCCAAAGTGCTGGATTACAGGCATGAGCCACCACGCCTGACCCCCTTTTTGTTTTTCATTTCAAAATAGTTGACACCATATATTTCTAGATCTTGTGCAACCTTCAGGTTTTCCATCATAGAATCCTCCCTTAGCATTCCTCTATGTTCTTCATGCCAGTTCTGTATTCTTTCTTCCCACTGTTCTTTTGTTAGTTTGTGTTGTTCCAATAAACACGCTGGGGTAGGATTCTATCATTAGCCAGGTAGCCTGGCTTATGAATCTCTTTATTATAACCTCCATACTTGGCTTGGACAGCATAGGAAGCCAAAAGAACTGCAGTTTCTGGCGGGCAATATATTTCATCCTTTAAGATGGCTTCTTAAACTTGCAAGAAGAGTCTCTGGGTTATTTCTTGAATTAATTCCTCAGAAACATCTTCAGGAAAGAATTTAGCTCTAAACTAGAACTGTAAAGGATTCACTTTTTTAACATCTTGCTGTGTCACCTTTTTATTTAGTTTAAGCCATGTAGGATAACCTTTGCTGTCTACATACTGCAGCCCAAAAAAACCAGACCTCACGCAAACCAACTGTTTTCACCATCTGGTCAAAAAGTTGTCTGCCAGTTGTATTGGGCACAAAATGATGTTCTTCATGCTGAGAATGTTAAAGCAGGCCGTGATAAGTACAAGACTCTGCGACAGATTCGACAAGGCAATACAAACCTGTGTATCGATGAGTTTGAAGCAATGTGAGAGCTGTTATTTTGCATATATGTTCTGCATAAGCTGAACCACCAACAGAGAAAAGCAGGCCTTTGCGGATACGGTGGAATGCATCCCACCTCGCCAAAGCACTTATACCAGTTTGACTGTGCTAGCTAAAAGACAAATTTAAGGGGAGCTCTTCAACATTAAGGAAGTATGATATCATGCTTGGTTTTCTTTTTCTTTTGGTCCAGGGAATGGAGAATGGTGTTCCATTGCTTCCTTTCACATTCTTTCTTTTCTTTTTTTTTTTTTCTGTTGAAGGTTAACACTAATTAGCATGTCTGACAAATGCGTATGTGTGGTTTCAGTTCTATGCACATTTTAAATGATAATGGTGAACATTTTAATGGATTTCCCTTGCCTCTTCCATATTTAACCTGTATATATTTCCACATTCTCTCTCGCTCACATTTTCTCAGTGTGCCCTTCTCATATCTGCCATGCCCATAGCCATAATTCCACCATCATACAGATCAGGCAGTGTTTAAAATGATGGTAAGCAGCACAGTAGACAGTCTTGGATCATTATGTAGAATATGTTTATGAATAATGAAAAAGATTAGAACATTTAATAATGTATGTACAGCTGGTGGTTAGTTTTTTTAATCCAAATTTAATTACCTAATTGGATATTTGACATTTGGTTATCTAATCACAGTCATCTTTAACAGCTACATTGATTGGTGTATTATCTCCTGTAATCCTTTGATGGCTTTTTTTGCCTACCATTTCACAGAGGTTTGGACAGCAGTAGTAGTTCCCTAGGAGAGTTTGTTGATGAAACAGTCTCTGCATGATTTTAAAAGTCTTGTTCTTTTATAGACTGAT
This sequence comes from Homo sapiens, assembly GCF_000001405.40. NCBI lineage: Eukaryota > Metazoa > Chordata > Mammalia > Primates > Hominidae > Homo > Homo sapiens. The sequence continues at coordinate 27,516,921 of NC_000023.11, read as the reverse complement.
TTAGAAAAACAGATTATTAATAAAACAAAGTATACATTTGTTGGTAACTGATTTTAATTATTTTTTAAAACCTGGACCTTTCTGGAAGGGCAGCATATAAAAACGTCAGTCCTGAGGAGGGGATGACAATACTACCTCACTACTACACCTCTGATGACTGGTTGTTCAAACACAACGGAGTGTGTAAGCTATATGTTTTATAATTCATAACGATAGTCTCAATCATCGAGAAATACTTTTGAAATTTCATTTTCCCTCAGAATATCTTAAAGTGCCAAATGTTTAACTGCCTTTTTATTGAGCCAAACTGTGGGATTCTGATTTGTATTAAAATTGTAAGCTCCTCACTGGTATACTATCATCTTGGAGGGGTGTCGTATGGCTGAGGAAGAGTGAGAGAGAGAATAAGAGAGAGAGAGAGTATGTGTGTGTGTTTGTGTGTGTGTGTGTGTGTGTGTGTGTGTGTGAGAGAGAGATGCTAACCTTGTAGCATATGAAGAATGTCTGTACCTTGATATGATAGTTACATAATCATTTTAGTATATTTGGTTTCTAGATCACTGTGCTTATTTTTTTCCAGTATCTAACTAAAAATACTTAAATTTGGTTTGTTAATTCTATTTTAGAAATTATAATTTTAGTTTATATTAATTTCCATTATATCTTACTGAAGAAATCTTTCCAGTTAGGAGGCTCTAATATTCACATGTTCTAATACTTTGTTTACTGTAAAACAGCTAAATTTGGAGATAACGTAAAGCCTTGTTTACTCTGTGGGGTTCAGCTACTTTCCATTTGGTGTTACACACTCAAATTTACATTTATCTATTAAAATTGCCATTTTATTAAACATTTTCATACACAGTAGATTCAAGTTGTGTCTGAAAATAACTCTTGTACTTTTTTGATTTTGCTGACTTTAAAAGGATTAATCTGGGCAGACATTATGAAAAAGAAAGGTTGCATTTAATATATTTTTTGAACTTTGTAGGACAAAACGTAGCTGGTTAACCTTGAAGTGACTGTTGTACCATAGTTGTGCACATGCTTCAGAATCCTATGGAAGAGAATGTTCCTACCTGCAGTACATCAAAGGAATGGATGGTGGACCCTTACTATTCATGTTTTGAAACATAAATGTTCACTTTAAAGCAATTGCCATAATACATAAAAACCTGAACTTTCATTGGATTTCCTCATTTTGAATTATGTGCACTACCATAGCTTGAAAAATTATCAGATATATTTTGCTGTTTATGATCTATTTGTAGATTAGGATTAAAATGGATTTAATCCATTTTTAAGATTGTGTGAATTTTTCTAAACAAGAACCATTTGCAATATGGATTTCCTTTTGTTTGTTTGTTTGTTTCTTTGAGACTGAGTTTCGCTTTTGTTGCCCAGGCTGGAGTTCAATGGCACGATCTCAGCTCACTGCAACCTCCACCTCCCAGGTTCAGGTGATTCTACTGCCTCAGCTTCCCAAGTAGCTGGGATTACAGGCATGCACCACCACGCCTGGCTAATTGCAATATGGATTTTCAAAGAGATTAAACCAATTATAACTTATCATTAGCAGTCTTGAGCACATGTTCATATAGTCAATGTAAAAATACACTTATGAGTATTTGGTAAATCCCAGTAGGCTTTGACCATTAGCATAATTTTGTGTTGTACAATTAAGTTACAATTACATCTCTAATTTTGGATAATATTCATTGGTTAACAATAAAGTGACAAAAGCTCATGCCAAAAAAGCCTCAAATTAATTGTAAATATTTATGGTGTACAGTATGATGCTTCAATGCATGTATATATTATATAACAATCAAATCAGGGAAATTACCATATCTGTGACTTTAAACATAAATTTTTTGTGGTGGCAACATTCAAAGTCTTCTATCTATCTTGAAATATATGCTAGATTATTATTTGCTGTAGTCACCCTACTGTGTAATAGAACACCAGAATATTCTTCCTAACTGTAACGTTGTACCCACTGACCAACCTCTTCCATTCCCCCTCTCCTTTCTACCCTCCTCAGCCTCTAGTAACCACTATTCTACTTTCTCAATCTATAAAATCAGCCTTTTTAGATTCCACATATGAGTGAGATCATGTGGTATTTGTCTTTTTATGACTGGCTTATTTCACTTCACGTAATGTCCTCCATTGTTCATTTGTGTTGCCACAAATGGCAGGATTTCACTCTGTTTTTTTTTTTTGTTTTTTTTTTTTTTTTTTTTTTTTTTTGAGACGGAGTCTCGCTCTGTCGCCCAGGCTGGAGTGCAGTGGCGGGATCTCGGCTCACTGCAAGCTCCGCCTCCCGGGTTCACGCCATTCTCCTGCCTCAGCCTCCCAAGTAGCTGGGACTACAGGCGCCCGCCACTACGCCCGGCTAATTTTTTGTATTTTTAGTAGAGACGGGGTTTCACCGTTTTAGCCGGGATGGTCTCGATCTCCTGACCTCGTGATCCGCCTGCCTTGGCCTCCCAAAGTGCTGGGATTACAGGCGTGAGCCACCGCGCGCGGCCGATTTCACTCTGTTTTATGGCTGAGTAGTATTCCATTGTGTGTGTGTGTATGACAAATGAGGGAAATTACCATATACACATATGTGCACATATGCACACACATATGTACATATGTGCACATATGCACACATATATGTACATATGTGTACATATGCACACATATAGGTACATAGCACACATACATGTACATATGTGTGCACGGGTACATACATGTACATATGTGTGCATGCACACACATACATATACATATGTGTACATATACACTTTTCTTTACTTATCTATAGATGGGCATTTATGTATTGGCTATTGTGAATAGTGCTGCAACAAGCATGGGAATGAAGATATCTCTTCAACATACTGATGTCATTCCCTTTCGATATATACCCAGTAGTGGGATTCCTGGATCATGTGGTAATTCTATTTTTAATTCTTTGAGGAACTTCCATCACCAATGGTGATTCAGAGTTCTCCTTTCTCAATGGCCCCACCAGCATTTGTTATTATTTTGTGTTTCAGATAATAATCATTTTGACTGGGGTAAAGTAATATATCAATGTGGTTTTGATTTGAATTTTCCTTATGTTTAGTGATGCTGAAAATTTTTTCATGCATCTGTTGGAAATTTCAATGTATTATTTTGAAAAATGTCTATGCAGGACTTTGTTCCCTTTTTTTTTTTTTTTTGAGACTGAGTCTTGCTCTGTCACCAGGCTGTAGTGCAGTGGTGTGATCTCAGCTCACTGTAACCTCCATGTCCCAGGTTCAAGTGATTCTCCTGCCTCAGCCTCCCAAGTAGGTGGAACTACAGGCGCACGCCACCACGCCCAGCTAATTTTTTTATTTTTAGTAGAGACAGGGTTTCACCATGTTGGCCAGGATGGTCTTGATCTGTTGACTTCATGATCCACCCACCTCGGCCTCCCAAAGTGCTGGGATTACAGGTGTGAGCCACCATGCCCACCCTGACTCATTTTTTAATAAGATTATTTAGTTTTATACTATTGAGTTGTTTGCATTCCTTATATATTCCAGATATTAACCAAATACATAGTTTACAAATACTTTCTCCCATTCTGTAGGTTGCCTCTTCACTCTGTTGATAGTTTCCATTGCTCTGAAGATGCTTTTTAGTTTGATGTAATCCCATTTGTCTATTTTTGCATTAGGTGCCTGTGCTTTTGAGGTCTTACACAAAATATCCTTGCCCAGCCCAATTTCATGAAGAGTTTCCTCTATGTTTTCTTTTAGTAGTTTCATAGTTTTTGTTTTACATTTAAGTATTTAATCCACTTTGAGTTGATTTTGTGTATGGTGAGAGATAGGGGTCTAGTTTCATTCTTCTGCATGTGGATATACAGTTGTCCCAGCACCATTTATTGAAGAGACTGTCTTTTCCTCCATGTCTGTTATTGGCATTTTTGTCAAAAACAAGTTGGCTGTAAATGCATGAATTTATTTCCAGGTTGTGCACTCTGTTTTATTGGTCTGCGTGTCTGTTTTTATGCCAGTACTGATCTGTTTTGTTTACTGTAGCTTAGTATATTTTTAAGTCAGGTAGTGTGATGTCTCCAGCTTTGTTTTTTTTTTTTTTTTTTTTTTTTTTTTTTTGCTCAAGATTGTTTTGGCTGTCTGAGGTCTTTTGCATTTACACATGAATTTTAAGATTTTTTTTTCTGTTGCTGTGAAGAATGTCTTTTTTTTTTTTTAACAGAGTCTCACTCTGTTGCCCAGGCTGGAGTGCAGTGGCATTATCTCGGCTCACTGCAACTTCCGCCTGCCAGGTTCAAGGGATTCTCCTGCCTCAGCCTCTCGATTAGCTGGAATCGCAGGTGCCCACCACCACACCCAGCTAATTTTTGTATTTTTAATAAAGACAGGGTTTCACCATGTTGGCCAGGCTGGTCTCGAACTCCTGACCTCAGGCAATCCACTGGACTCGGCCCCCCAAAGTGCTGGGATTACAGGCATGAGCTGTCATTGGTATCTTGATAACGATTACATTGAATCTGTAGATTGCTTTGGGTAATGTGAGCATGTTAATAATATTAATTCTTCCAATCCATGAACACGGGATATCTTTTTATTTATTTGTGTTCTCATCATTTCCTTTATTTTCTGTGACAGTATCTCACTCTGCCACCTATGGTGTAGTGCAGTGGCATGATCACAGCTCACTGCAGCCTCAACTTCCAGGGCTGAATCAATCCTCTCACCTCAGCCTCTTGAGCAGTTGGAACTACAGGTGTGCACCACTATGTCCAGCTAATTTTTTTTTATTTTTTATGTTTTTGTGGAAGCAGAGTCTCATGTTGCCCAGGTTGGTCTCAAACTCCTGGACTCAAGCAATCCTCCACCTCAGCCTCACAAAGAGTTAGGATTCAATTTCTTTCATCAATGTTTTATAGATTTCATTGTAAATATCTTTCAGCTCCTTGGTTAAGTTTATTTCTAGAGGTTTTTTGTTGTTGTTGTTGCTATTGTAAATGGAATTGCTTTCCTGATTTCTTTCTCAGATAGTTCACTACCGGCACAGAGAAAAGCTACCACTTTTTAACCACTCTTGTCTTCACTTCACAGTTGGCAAATAGTTTTTACATTCATTGACTCCATTTTTATCTACATAAGTTGCCTATTAGATAGTTTGGACAGGTAAAATTATCGCCACTTTTACATTTTGGATAAATAATCTCAGGCACAAAATATATAAATGACTTTCCTCAAGGTTGCTATGCAATCAAGTGGCAGAGCCAGAACTTATTCTCCAGTTCAGATCTTGAATAGAAGGCCCTGGAACACATAGTTTATGTTTAGAAATAGTTTGTTATCATAACACATTACCTTCTTTAAAGCATTGATAATTTAACTTTCTTCTAATTTATTAGAGCATGCAGTTTTTCTATTTTATTCAATTTAGTAAAATATTTCATAAGTGATAACTAAGATTTTATATGGAGCCAAACTGTTCTGTTCCTCTAATGCTTGGAAATATGAAATATGAACAGCTGTTTGAATGTACACATGAAAAATTTCAATCTGTGTATAAGGGAAAATTCTAGTGATTCCAAGGATGAGATAATTAAATCAATTTACCTTTGCAAAGGGAAACTGCTCTGGGAATTATTTAAGGTGGTTAAATTGCCTAGCTTTCCCTCCACAAGCTGTCAACACTAAAGAGATTAAGACTTCATTTGCAAGCTTTATTTTTAATGTAAAATGACAGTAATTGACATTTTAAAACTGTATGGTACAGTACTCTACATGACACAAGCAGAAACTTGTACAGCTTTGGAGCCTAGCTGTTGTACATATTTGCTCCACTTGTCTATTACAAGATCTGGGGTTTTTTAGTAGCTGAATCTTCTGAATATTATCTTCTCTATTAGAATGCAAAAACACTGCTTGTGATGATACTAAGGAAAATCAACTTAAGGACACAGAGTACACATTACTTCTGACTCCTGATCTTCCTTTAAAACTGAAAGAGCTAGTACTCTTGAAGTATAATATTCTATGAACCACTTGCCTATTTACATAATTTGCTTTTCAGTGCAAAGTATTAGGCCCTGACCCAGATTATCTCAAAGTGAATTGTCAGCAAGCCAATAAAATATTGAGCAGATGGATGTCATTTTTCAAAATTAGGCTTTCTTTGACAATAATCATTCTTGATGTTCTATGATAATAAGAATTCAGTAGGAAGAATTCATCAGGCATTTCCTTATGTAGACAGGTATATAGCTTACATAGAAACCAAAAGATGACTGACAAAAAGCAGAAAAACTGCTTCTAATTTCAAAAAAGAAATTTGGCTACATATATATATATATAGTAATACAGCTCCTTGAAGTCCAAGAAGACTTCAAGATATATATATATATTCAAGATATATATATATATATTTCTCTTTGTTAAGCATATTACAAAATCCTTCCTTTTTATTCTATATGTGAGTCTGGGAAGTTTTCATGCCCATTCTCAGTTTCTATGTATTGTAGTTTTGAAGGCATAAAAAGATAATCGTATTTTATAAAGAACAATCTGCCTCTTCAATTAATGCCCCATGCTAAATTTGAAATTTACATCCTACACACCACTCTGGTTACAAAATAATTAATTTGATTCAGATGTTTAATTAAGCATGACAGGGAGGCTTTAGTTTTAAGTTAAGAGAGAAAAAAAAAATGAAAGAGTTGCCTTGGAAAAGCCTAGAGCATATTTTGCAGAGCATCTTGGAACAAACAGTTTTAACTGAAAAAGTTAGCCTATTCCTTTGATGACTTCATTAACAAGTCAAAATATTCAGACCCATGAGGCCTATGACAGAGAATACTCTAGTAGCTGGATGTAGGACACATAGAATTTGGGCTTTTTGATCAAATTTTAATAAATATATTTAATTAAGTAGGCTTTGCATGGGGAATTAAAAGAAAGAAAAGTGCCTCTTATTTATTTTTTGAACCAATGTTTCCTCATTCTATGTTAACTGAAAGGATCTTTTATTTATAGATATTATTATGACTTCCATAAATAGTAAATACATCCATTATACACATATTCACTTTCTTTTTGCTCTATTTTATTGTACAATCTCTTTTTATTGATGTTCAAAACGGTAATTAAAGCCAAGTCTTCATGTTTTCCCCTTTACTAACACTTACATTTTGTTGTAAGCAAAAGAACAAAAGAGTAAATCTTATCATGGTGATTTACTTGATTCTCAATTTTACTGACATTTACATCTGTACCCACATAGAATGGGAAGAAATAAGTGAACATTCACAGAAATGGCATAAATGCAAAGTTGAATTTTTAAAAATGCAATGTTCATTAGACAACCTGCAATTGTTTTCGTATTTTTTAAATTTTCATTTACAACAATATTTCCTGTAGAATTATAGTCACTATTTATAAGTCACAAAATGTCAAATTGGCTGACGAATGTTCTCATATCTCAGATTTACAACAATAGCTATGCTCAAAGTTGAAAGAGGTTTTTAAACAGACAGCAGTTTTATACAAATCCTTACAAATAACTCATGGATACAAAGTCAGGTGCTGAACTTAGTTTAATAATATTCAACTGAGGGAAAGGAGGGAAATCCATGGTAGTCACACAGGTACATGGCATGATGTTGAAATCTCAGCTCTGGGGAAGATGTTTCAAATCCCAAAGTTTCTGATTTTCTCACATGCTCTATATCTCCTCTCCAGCCCTCCTAAAGGCCAGTGAAAAGCCACCACTGTTACTAGTGACAGAATGTTGTATCTATCACCTAATATCTGATAGAAAAAAACCACTTGAACTATTGTTCTATTGACACAGTATTCCTGATATAATAGTAGGTTGTGTGACCATTCTCTATCTATCTTCAAAAATGTCTTAGGATTTGAATCTAGTCCAATCTTACTTGCAACATTAATTCAAGGAATTATGGGTGTGTGTTGGATTCTATTAAGTCCTTCTGAGTACTGGGAACTAGACTAAGCACCTACACTTCATTGTCAAAGTGGTTTATCAAGTAATGAGTAATTAGTATTGATGAGATGCAACTGCACCAGAAAATAGATACTAATTTTGTACTCTGAAGGAGCTATGTGATTAGCAAGGTACAAAAGTCGAAGAGACTTCAGAGCCACTGAGTTTCTGGAACTGAAGTGGTCAGTGCCAATCCAATCTCATCTAGTATGAGACTTAGCCTATTCCTTTGATGACTTCATTAACAAGTCAAAATATTCAGACCCATGAGGCCTGTGACAGAGAATACTCCAGTAACTAGATGTAGGACACACATGTTCTAAGGATGGAGTGACCGGGGCATGGGAATTTGTGCTTATGAATCACAAAATGATGATTATGTTGTTGCTGTGCATGCTGTGTTGCTGTCTGTCCTGTATTCCTTCTTCAAGTTAATAAACTTTATGTTGGGTAAAGTCTAACATGTCTCATGAGTTTGTCAATCCGGACTTAGTGCACTCTCTCTGGTTGATCAGAGTGGACACTGTATACATCTATTTCACTGAACTTCTACTTCATATTAAAAGTGTATCTTTGGCTTTCCCATTTGATTCTAGTTTTTCCTGCTTCTCATGTTATTCTTTTGTTTCAATTTGAAAGCCCCTGCTCCTTCTCCCATCCCTTAAACTTGTACATTTAGCACTGAAGTGAATAGATCAAAATTGTTAGACTTACACACATCTGGATTTGCATCCTAGCTTTGCAACTCAAGGGCAGTTTTAGGTGGTGAAAATTAGTTAACCTTTGGAGTTTCAATTTCTTATTGGTATACTAGGTCCTATATATCTCATAATTTTATTCAAATTGTATAACACATATAAAGTTATTTTGAATGTATAAATGGCTTAATGAATGAGAACAAACCAGTAAATATGCTTACATGAACTTATATGTTGCAAAAATTAAGAATAACTGCCATCTATCTTTGTATCTTACAGTACCTGAGGCGGAGGGGCCCTGTATCTATTAAGGATATACACTGTGTCATATATTTACATAGATTATATTATACAAACTGTCAGTATAGACACTATATTCATTTTATATAGGAAAATTAGAAGCTTTGAATTTTTTAATACTCTGAACTTTATTAAATATAATTGCTAGGAATTGAGGGCAATTTATCAATTTTATCAAGAGCATTGTGTCAATATAATCATAATTAATTTTCAAAACAACTCTGTAATTACTGTTATTATCCCATTTCACAGATGAAAGAAGTGGATATTTAGAAGAATTATTAGCATGTAATGAAGCAAGTATTAAAATTCAAGTGTGTATGACTCTAAAGTCTATAATCTTTTAATTAATAATGCTGCTACAAATGAATTCAGTGACTAGAACATAATATGGAAATAATATATATTTGATGAATGACTACATAACACTTTTATAGTTTGCGCTTTAGGAGAAATATGATTTTATTCTCATTCTCTAGTGGGGGTGCCACTTCAATCAACCTGTGGATGACACAAAAACATCTGGCTGATATTCCAATCACTTTATATTAACATTATTTATTATAGAGAGTTTTCAGCACCTTGAACCCCTAAAATAAAATTCAGAATGTCCTGTGTTTGTCTAAGACCAGGTATAACAAGGGAAAAATATTCTGATTTTACATGTGAGATTTTTAAGTGCTTCTTTTGGATAGAGATGAAACTGTTATTTTAGCGAATTATATTTAAAAACACTGCTACAACATTGATTATAATATCTTGAAGAGTACAAAAATTCAAATATTTCAGGTAAAATAGGATAGTAGACAATTACGTTACAGAAAAGTGTGGGAGGACAGAAAGTAGAGTTTCTTTTATTGACATAGAAAACTTTGAATGATGTAACAAAGCCAAAGATAGATGTTTAAAAAAGATTGTATAAGACAAAGGGAAAAAAAATGCTATTTGTCATAGGAAGAATTGTGTCCCCCCAAAAGATATATGAAGTCCTAACCCTAAGCACCTTGGAATGTGACATTACTTGGAAATAGAGTTTTTGCTGATGTAATCAAGTTAAGATAAGGTAATTAGGGTGAGCCTTAATCCAATATAACAAGTGTACTTATAATAAAAGGGAGAATCGCTTGAACCCGGGAGGCAGAGGTTGCAGTGAGCCAAGATTGCGCCACTGCACTGCAGCTTGGTGATAGAGTGAGACTACTTCTCAAAATAAATAAATAAAAAGAAAAGGGAAATCTGGACACACACGCACACAGAAGAATGCCAACTGAAGACAGATACATGAGAGAAGACAGCCATGTGAAGATGAGGTAGATTGGAGTTATGCTGCTACAGTGAAGAAAGGCCTAGGGCTACCAGAAGTTGAAAGAGGAAAGGAGGAATTCTGACCCAGAGGCTTCAGATAGAGTGTGGCCTTGCTAATATCTGATTTCAAACTTCTGGCCTCCAGAATTTTAAGACGATAAATTTATCTTGTTTTAAGTCACCAAGTTTGTGAGACTTTCTTACAGCCACCCTAAAAACTAACACAATATTTAAAAAATCTTGTTTGTAAAGAAAAATATCTCTACACTTATCTTTTCATGGACGAGGGTGTACAAAGTTCTTTTGGAGTGGAGAGTTGTGGAACTCTCAATTTGCACTCTGTAAATATCTTAACATGGGTATGTTCTCATTTTTGACAAAGATTTGAAGTGAGAATGAAAATTTTTTCACTGATTTATAAATGTGTGATAACATTTTTCTTTGTCTTCAATGATAAATATTTTTTTCTCATTGCTCTGTTTATTCGAATATTGATCTACTAAGAGCAAAGAAAGGTTATGCTAATCTATATATTCCTCTGAATTACCAAGGTTATTTCAGGCCTTAGCCTCAGTTATTTGATGATTCTTTTAAATTCACATTTCATTTTGATGTGTGGTCCTGACCAGAGCATATGACCAGAGCACAGTGGTTTAAATAGCATGAATAACTTCTTTGTGTAAGTTACTTATTGCTGTGTGACAAATTACCCCAAACTTTACTGGCTTAAACCAACAACATGTATTGTCTCACAATTATTGTTTCCCTGACATGAGGACCTGTCTTTAGAGCATCTCACAACATGGCCATTTGCTTTATCATCAAAAGGGCAAGAGAGAATAACAGCAAAATACACAGTTCCAGCAAGATGGAAGGAACAGTCTTTTGTAACCTAATCGACTAGTGACAACCCTTCACTTTTGTCATATTCTGTTCATTAGAAGAAAGTCACCAGGTTCAATCCATATTCAAGGAAAAGAGATTGCACAGGGATATGAGTACCAGGAAACAAGGATCACTGGGAGCCAAACCTACCATACTATTGTGTGATCAAATGATAAATATGCCTAATATGATTAAATGATGATATATCTATGTATTGAAATAAAAGATAAATAATAAGAAATAGCTTTTCATAAACTGAAATCAGTAAGTAGGTATACTTTTCTTATAGAATACTTTTTAATAAGTAATAAAGGAATTACATAAATTGCAATGAAAAAGTGAAAGAGACTGAATAAGAATTGCAGGTTGGAATTCTGGCAAATCACATATCAACGCCAAGTATTTAGCCGTGAGTTTTATATGTTCTGTATTGGATGACAGCAAAAGCTTTTAAGTCATACATCTATGGGTTCGTATCTAGGGTCAACCACCACTTACCAGTTGTTTTTTCATCTGTAAAGTGAGGGTCCTAATTCCTACACATCAGATATTTAAATCTGACCTCACATATAAGGTACTTAGCCTGCTTAAATAATTTCATGAGTAGTATTATTTTAAGATGATCATTTGCTCTATAATAAAAGACTTGGGAGAATGGAGTTATTTAAACAGAGGAGGTGTTTTCATATCAGTGAAAATAACTATTAATGTCAGGAGTAACACTGGGCAGAGGTAGAAGCCTCATTTATGTCAAACAAAGATGCTAAAAATCATTATACAGGAAAAAGTTCTGCCAGAAACTGAAACAAAATGGAGCTTAAGGTAAGGACAGGGAACAAATTTGGGGAGTTGACAGTTCATTCAGGTGTAAAGAGATAGAATCATGAAATATTGTAGTGATCCTGACAATGATGTCTTTCTACCTAGGGACTGGTTTTATGGATGTTCAAATACAAGACAGTTTTTGGCCTATTTCATCCTAAATATTCACCTTGAAATCAGGTAGATTGTTTGCTACTATGAGTCAGTCCAATTTTTCATTCCTCCCATATCCACTCCATGAGTGGTTTCTTTCAATGGTAAGAAGTGGAACAAGGGGGATGCAATAAAAATTTGGAGTGATGAGATAGTGCCAGAAAAGGACTTCTATCCATTTCCCTTCAAATGTTTCCCTTATTTTGTTTTTCATGGACTGATTGGCCCATGGACGTAAGACATATGGACATGGACATAAGACTGATTGGCCCATGGGCATAAGAACAATAAGTACACATGTCCTACTATTTGTCAGGCATATTCATGAATAACATGTGTACCATATTACTTATGACTTTATGAGTCAGTGAGTATATCATTTGTATAAAAGCGAAATCTGAATATGAGAGGAGTTAGGAGATATGCCTAAAATCACAGAATTTGTCATTAACAAATATTGGGATTAAAAATAATTTTTCTTGCTGCAAGGAATGTGAGTTTCCACTACAATCCTTGTACTTATAAAATGCTAGAATTAGGGTCAGATTTGACTGATTAAAGAGATAACCAAATCGTTTAGGTTAAAACAATTTTATTCACTTAGCGTTAATTTGCATTTGATTTATATGTGTTTCCACGTTGCAATTTTTTCCACCCAACACAATGTAATTAATATCACACACTAATTTTTGCAACTTGCATGGCAAAGCCAGAAAATTCAAATTTATAAGCACCATCAATCACCAGGTTGATGTTTCCTTATGTACAATACAATAAAGAAGAGAATGTCATCATATTCTTTTTAATTTCTGAATATGTTAAAACTCTAAAGAAAATAAATTACATTTTCTCTTTTTTATATGTCTAGTGTGTTCTTTTAGTAAAACCACGAATGAGGAGTCTATACTTGTATTTAATCTTATAAAATGGCAAGGTAGATAACCCACAAGCACATAGTTACTGGAGCTAAATAGATAAGCTAAAGATAACTAGAATAGCTAAAACAAGTCTGAGAAAAGAAGTAGCTTAGAGGACTCATACTACCTGATTTTAAGACTTGCTATATAAATATAGTATGATATTGAGAGAGATAGACACATAGATAATGGAACAAAACAGAGAACAAAAAAGTAGACCCACACCAATATGTCCAATTGATTTTTTTTTTGCAAAAGTGAAAATGCAATTCAATGGAGGAAGGATAATCTTTTCAACAAATGGTGTATGACATCCCGAGGCAAAAAAATAACCTCAACCTAAACCTCAGACCTTATACAAAAATTAATTCAAAATGCATCACAGATGTAAATACACAAGGTAAAACTATAAAACATTTAAAACAGAACATCAGAAAAAAATTTATGACCTAGAGTTAGGCAAAGAGTTCTTAGACATGACACCAAAAGCACAATCAATAAAAGCAAAAAAATGGATAAATTGGGCATCACCAAATTAAATTTTTTGGCCCTGCATATATCCTGTCAGTAAGATTAAAAGAGAAGCCTCAGACAGGGAAAAAATGGGAAAATCATATTTCTGACTAGGACTATTTAAAAAATATATAGGGAACTCTCTGAACTCAACAGTAAGAAAATGAAAAATCTAACAAGAAAATAAGCAAAGGCTTGAACAGACACTCCACCAAAGGAAATGTTAGACATGGACTTAACTGACTAATGAAACAGAAGATGAGGATTTCTAGAAAATATTTGTTTTACTGATATGAGCACAACCCTCTTCTTTCTCCTCTTTCTTCATATTCCTGCTCAGAAAATGTATGCAATGTATGGAAGTACAGTATCCACCTTGAAATCAGAAAGACAAAACTCACTTGATTAGGATGGTGGACCAAGAAGACAAAAGGAAACTGATACATTGATGATATCAAGTTATTGTTTCCCCTATATTTCCGAGTTATTTCCCCTATATTTAGAGTTAAATTTCCTCTATTTCCCTTGAATATCTTTCCCAAAACTGTAGAAAATAAATACATTGGCAATGTGAGTTTTCTGTATTGTTTGAGAACATTCAATTCTGCTATAGGGGACAAGAAAACAAATGGAATAGATGAAACTTACATGAAGTTTTAAACATAGATTTTAAGTTAAGCAAGTAGCTTATGAAACTAGGTGAAGATCACAGAATTTGTTAAGAATCAATAAATAAGCGTCTTATAAGCCATCAGCAAATTGCATAAGATGTGTTAACTTTAGATATTAACTTAGTAACTGGTTGAAGAGTCCAACCCCTGGTAAAGAACACATCTGTAATTTTTCAGGTCTACCATAGGCAATTATAAAGGCTTTACCTGAAAGGCCTTGCTGGGGAAAGCCCCTCTCCCAACATGAGACTTGCTGCACATGCACAGCCAATATATATATATATATATATATATATATATATATATATATATTTTTTTTTTTTTTTTTTTACAGAGTTTCACTCTGTCACCCAGGCTGGAGTGCAGTGGCACGATCTCGACTCACTGCAACCTCTGCCTCCCAAGTTCAAGCAATTCTCCTGCCTCAGCCTCCGGAGTAGCTGGGATTACAGGTGCCTGCCACCACGCCAGGCTAATTTTTGTATTTTTAGTAGAGAAGGGGTTTCACCTTGTTGGCCAGGCTGGTCTCGAACTCCTGACCTCAAGTGATCCACCCATCTTAGCCTCCCAAAGTGCTGGGATTACAGGTGTGAGCCACCGTGCCCAACCATATTGCCATTTTTGAAGGTAGTTGCAGTCAAGGTTTAGGCCCTTCTGCAGGTCATGCTCTTTCACATATTTATATTCCTTGCCCCAGTGCCTTCATTCCGAGGTCTCCTTATCTACGGCCTTGGGCAAAGACCTTCTTTAGTCAGCTCTGCCAAGGCCTCCTTATGGGGGTATATAGAAGGGAAATCTTGAAAACACGATTCTCCACTATGACTCAGTACTCAGAACTTTCCACTCAGCCCTTCCCCCTTGCTTCCTCTCAACCCCATGCCAGGGTCCATAAAACTGGAACCTTCTGTCCCAGGCTTCCTCAACAGTGAGATGATGCCCACATTTACTCCCATTCACCTGACCTTTGATTGGTGTGCCAATCACGGAGAGTTGGTGATTTCTCCAGGTTTGATCTCTTGCTTATACCATCACAGGAAGCGATTAAAGAGCTTAACTCTCATTTTGGGCTTATTTCTCTAATCAGCTACTTGGACACCTAATCAGACACCTCAATGGTCAGCACTCTCTTTCTCAGCTCAGTTGAGCTCCTAACACTGGTAAAACATATACACATGGAATATATAATGGAAACAAGAAAGTTACTTATAGATAGAAAGGGATGGAAAGGCAAAGTCATAATCATGTCGAATTTGAGCTCATGTATGTGTTATCCCTAAATCAATCACCCATCGGTCACCCAGTATGGCCCCATTCTGGCTCCACATGACATCTCCTTAAGCAACACACACACACACACACACATACACACACACAGCAGAGGAGGGGAGGAGAAGAGGGGGAGGAGGAGGGGGAGGTAGGACGAGGAGCTGTGGGGGGCAGGGAGAGAGAGAGAGAATGCCTCTTTATAAGGCTAATTGGTGAGCTCTAGCTGATGGCCAGGTATATGTATCTGTCCTTACATAGCTTCTATAGAGCAAGCATGTATTTGTCACAGGAAATTTCTTTTAACTCATTTACTCAAAACTCAATGATTGTCCTCATAACCAACTTTCAGAGGAAAGGAGATGCAGTAGAGATAGAGAAAGGCATATGAACATTGCGCAAACCATGATTCAGGCAGCTTCTGAAGGTGGAAAGCCGTCGTTCCTCTCCCATTTCATATCAAAAGTATCTTAAACAAACTCCCTTCTCTCAATGTTAACTCTGTTATTTAAATGAATTTACTAAAATGTGATTCAGGGACCATAATTTGGTCTATTAATCTTTTGCTTCTATGGGACATCTGGTAAAGCTAGCCTGGTATGTATGTGGATGCAACTGTTGCACCAGGGCTATTTCCCAGGTAATAACAGTTAATACAAGAAACTTTCCTTTGAGACTTACCTCGTTTTTATATGTAGAATATTAACTGCCACTCATTAAAATTTTTTCTGCAGTTACGGTTTTAATAAACGTTTTAGCCCAAAAGTAAATTAGAAGACTGTGTTTCTCTCCTAATTCCCAGGGAAATATATTGAATTTTGCTCTTTTTTTGAAATGTCCAGGTTTCAGATAATCATCGTCACAAAAATTGATATATCTACTACTTGGAATTTATGTCAAAGCCCTATGTGACATGCTACATGGCCGATCTGTGAAAATTCCAACAGTGTATAAAAAATTATTTCCTTTTCTAAATACTATTTCTCTCTCCTTTCCTTTATTTCTCTCAATAAATGAAACAATAATTTATATGATCTGTATCTTTCCTATTTTTACCAATTGGTATATTGATTTCTAAATATTGATGCTTCCCTTGATTGCTTAATTTTAAATTTCTTGCTGTATTTGTAGCAGATTATTGAGGCACAAGTCTTTTATTTTTTGGTGGATTACACTATTTTAATTAAAATTTGTATTACGAGACAATTGTAGATTCACAAGTATCTGTAAGAGATAATACAGAGACATCCTATGGTCCCTTTACCTATTTTCCTCCAATGTTAACATCTTGCAAAACTATACTTTAGAAGAACACATAGAGGAAAAAGCCCATGAAATTGGATTTGCCAAGATTTCCTGCATATGGTATCAAAAGCACAGGCAACAAAAGTAAAAATACACAAATTGGACAACACTAAACTAAAAAATTTATCCACACCAAAGGAAACAATCAACAAAATGAAAAGGCAACCCACAGAATGTGAGAAAACATTTGCAAAGCATATATCTAATAAGGGATTGATATGGTTTGGCCCTGTACCCCCCCCCACCACCAAATCTCATGTTGAATTGTAATCCTCAGTGTTGCGGGTGGGACCTGATTGGACATGATTGGATCATGGGGGAGAATGTGTCCCTTGCTGACTCATGATAGAGTTCTCAGGAGAGCTGGTTGCTTAAAAGTGTGTAGCACTTCCCCCTTCGCTCTCTCTCTTCCTCCTGCTTCGCCATGTGAAGAAGGCGCTTGCTTCCCCTTTGCCCCACTGCCATGATTGTAAGTTTCCTAAGGACTCCCAAACCATGCTTTCTGTACAGCCTGCAGAACTGTGAGTCAATGAAACCTCTTTTCTTCATAAATTACCCAGTCTCAAGTAGTTCTTTATAGCAGTGTGAGAACAGACTAATTCAGGGGTTAATATCCAAAATATACAAGGAACTTATACAACTTGATAGCCAAAAAATAAATAACCTGACTTTAAAAGGGCAAAAGACCTGAGTAGTCATCTTTCCAAAGAAGACATACAAATGGCCAACAGGTATATGAAAAGGTGTTCAACTTCACTAATCACCAGGGAAATGCAAATCATAACCACAATGAGATATTACCTCATAACTATGAGGATGGCTGTTATCAAAAAGTCAAAAGATAACACGTGTTGGTGAAGATGTGAAGAAAAGGGAACCCTTGTACACTGTTTATGGGAATGTAAATTAATGCAGCCTCTATGGAGAACAGTATAAACATTCCATAAAAAATTAGAAATATAACTACCATATGATCCAGCAGTCCCACTCTGGAATATATGTCTAAAAGAAATAAAGTCATTATTTTGAAGAGATTTCTGCACTCCTATGTTCATTGCAGCATTATTCACAATAACCAAGATATGGAATCAACCTAAGAGCCTGTTGATGGATGAATGGATAAAGAAAAGATATACACACACACACATATATAGTGTACACACATACACTGGAATATTATTCAGCCTAAAGAGAATGAAATCCTGCTAGTTGTGACAACACAGATCAACCTAGGACATTATACTAAATGGAATAAGTCAGACACAGAAAGACAAATACTACATGATCCCATTTATATGTGGAATCTAATAAAGTCATACTCAGATGCAGAGTAGAAGGGTGGTTACCAGGAGTAGAGGATAGGGGAAATGAGTAGATGTTGGTCAAAAGGTACGAACTTGAAGATATGAAATGAACAAGTTCTGGAGACCTAACATACAGCATGCTGGCTATAGTTAATAATAATGTGCTGTATGTTTGAAATATGCTAAGAGAGTAGACCTTAAGTATTCTCACCACAACAAAAAGAGTAACTACATGTGTTGTTGATGGCTATGTTAATTAGCTTGATTGTTACAGTACTTTTACAATATATATGTACAGCAAAACATCATGTTGTACACTTTGAATATATTTTATTTCTTTGTCAATTTTACCTCAGCAAAGCTGAAAAAAGCACAATGAGATATCACCTCATACCTCCTAGCATAGCCATTATCCAAGCAAACAAATAAACAGAAAATAATTGTTGGTGAGGATGTGGAGAAATTGGAAGCCTCATGCACTGTTGATGGAATTTTAAAATGGCACAGACACTATGGAAAACGTTCTGGTGCTTCCTCAAAAAATTAAAAATAGAACTACTACATGATCAAGTAATTCTTCTTGTAGTTATACACCCAAAAGAATTGAGCAAGGTCTTGAAAAGATATTTGCACACTTATATTTATAGCAGTACTATTTACAATAGCCAAAAGGTGGAAGCAATCCAGTGTTCACTGAGAAATTAATGAATAAACAAAATGTGATATGTATATATATACACACACACAATGGAATAGTATTTAGCTTTAAGAAGGAAATAAATTCTGACATATGCTACAACATGGATGAACCTTGAGGACATTATACTGACTGAAATAAACCAGTCACAAAAAGACAAATTCTGTATGATTTCACTTACATGAATCAAATTCATAAAAACAGAAAGCAGAGGCCGAGTGCGGTGGCTCACGCCTGTAATCCCAGCACTTTGGGAGGCCGAGGCGGGCAGATCACGAGGTCAGGAGTTTGAGGCCAGCCTGGCCAATATGGTGAAACCCCGTCTCTACTAAAAATAGAAAAATTAGCCGGGCGCGGTGGTGCGCGCCTGTAGTCCCAGCTACTCGGGAGGCTGAGGCAGAAGAATCGCTTGAACCCAGGAGGCAGAGGTTGCAGTGAGCGGAGATCGCCCCACTGCACTCCAGCCTGGGCGACAGAGTGAGACTTCATTGGAAAGAAGAAAGAAAGAAAGAAAGAAAGAAAGAAAGAAGGAAGGAAGGAAGGAAGGAAGGAAGGAAGGAAGGAAGGAAAGAAAGAAAGAATAATGGTGTTTGCCAAGGGCAAGAAGGATGGGAAATGGGGAAATGGGGAGTTTTCTAATGGTACAGAGTGTTAGATTTGCAAGATGAAAAAGTTCTGGAGATTGTTTGCTCAATGATGTGAATATATTTAACACTACTCAACTAACACACTTAGGAATGATTAAGAAGGTACAGTTTATTTTATGTGTTTTTCATCATTAAAAAGCCCTATAGTACAATACCACAACCAGGATCTTAGGAAACCAACATTGTTACAATCCACAGTTTTACTTATACTTCAGCAGGGGCGAGTGTATTTAATTGTGTATAATTCTATCGCGTGTAGCTTCATGCATCTACTAAGAATCAAGATACAGGACAAAATAATCATCATAGATATCCCCTATTTTGCCTTTGCATAAGCACACCCACCTCCCTCCCAAAGAAGCTTCCCTCAGTTCCACAACCTTATCTCACTCCCATGGAAATCACTAATTTATACTCTCCTCCTGAAACTTTGTCTTTTCAAAAGGTTAAAAATGGAAACTTACAGAAAATAACCTTTTGACATTGGCTTTTTCCAGGCAACATAATTCTTTAGATACGTATCCAAGTTGTATGCATCAATAGATTGTTCCTTTTCATAAATGGTAACTTTCAAGCCTTTCCAGTGAGAACGAAAAAAGTTGCCGTCACTTTAACAGGAAGTTTTTCAGTTTCTTAAGATGTTAGTCATTGACTTAGCATAGCACTCAGCCATTACAAAACTAGATTTCTACAGAAGAAATGTGAAACATACTTCCATCTAAGACTTGTAAGTTAAGGAGCGTAGGATCATTATACATAATAAGTAAAAAGTGGGACGATGGGGGTGTCTTTCAAATTCTGAATGGTTAATCGAAAGGTGATTTGCAGACAGAAAGGGCTATTGAGAAGAAACAATGTTTTGATACATGCTGCAAGACTAATGATCCTCAAACACATGCAAGCGAAAGAAGCCAGCCAAAAAGGACCACATATGACATGAATTCCCTGTATAAGAATTTTCAAGAAAAGGCACATCAATAGAGGTATAAAGTAGATTAGTGATTGCCCAGAGTTAGAGGTAAGAAGGAAATGTGGCAGGGAACAGGAACAAAATTTCTCATGCAACGACATAATTTCTAAAAGTTAGATTCTGCTGAGCGTTTCACAGCTTGGTGTATTTACCAAAAAATCATGAAATTATACATTCAACATGAGCAAACATAATGCAAATCATCCCATTAAAGTTTTTTAAAACATCAATTGCATTTCTATATAATAACAATGTATAATCTGAAACTGAAATTGAAAAAAATTACCATTGTCAATAGCATGAGAAGGAATAATTGATTTAAAATTAATATCAAATGAGGAAGACTTGTACACTGAAAACTACAAAATATTACTGAAAGTAACAAAAGATGATATAAGTAAATGGAGTATCATTCCAGATTCATGGATTAATGACATGGCATACATATCAATACTCTCAACTAGATGTACAAATTCAAGGTCATCATTTTCAGAAAAGCTATTATGCAAATGACCAAGACACAGGAAAATATGCACAGGAAATACAAATTTAAAAGACAATGTTAACCACTTTCACACAGAAAAATTGAAATAATAAAAACCACAAGAAATAAGTGTGGTCAAAGACATGGAGTGAATATCATCCTCACAAAGTTGTGATGGGGAAGAAAATTATAGAAATAATTTGACAATTTCTAATAATGCTAAAAAAGTTGTCTTATAGGAAACAGCAAGAGCACAACTAATAATACATACAAAAAAATGAAAACAATTCCCATGATAACATGTAGACAAAGATCACAGCAGCATTATTCATGATATCTGAAAAGAGAAACCGCTGCATGTCCTTCAACTGGGGATCAGACAAAAAAATAAAATGTATATTTATAAAGTGCAATACAATACTATGGAATACAAATTCATGTTAATGGATTAGAAAATTCAATATCGTGACGATGCCAACAGATTTAGGTATACCTACAGATTCAAAAACATTGCTATTAAAATCTCAGCCTCACTTTTTCAGAGAAATGGAAGAGCTGATATTAAAATTCATATGTAAATGCAAAGGTCCTAGGAGAGCCAAAACAATCTTGATTTAAAAAATAAGTGAGAGGATGAAAAATTCACAATTTCAAAACTTAGTACAAAGGGACAGTAATCTATAGGGCACAGTATTGACATTAGGATGGAAATATCAACCAATGCAACAGAATACAGAGTGCATAAATACATCTATTCATTTTTGATCAACTGAGTTTTGACAAAGATTCCAAGACAATTCAATATAGAATGTTAATCTCTTCCACAAATGATACTGGGACATTTGGATATCCATATGCAAAGAATGAATATAGAACTTTAGTTTAACCATGACACAACCATAGATAAAAAACAAAAAATACATATAAAGGTATACGTCAAAACTCCAAAACCATAAGAATAAAATAGAGCAGTACGTCTTTGAGCCCCTGAAACATGCAATGATTTCTTACAAAACACTAAAACAACTCATGCAAAAAAAAGATCAGAATTCCAAAATTAAAACATTTTGACCTTCTAATGGCCACATTGATAAAGAGCAATAAAATTAATTTAAATAAAACTATATTTGCAAATTATATGTGAGGTAAACAATTTATGAATATAAAGAACCATTTCAATGCAAAGAGAACAGAACTAAAACTGTATGTAAAGGATTTGAGTAGACATTTCACTTAAGAATATACCAGTTGTGAGCAAGCCCAAGAAAAAATGACCAATAGCATATATTTTTAAGAAAATGCAATGACAAATGCCAAGTCATAACCACAAAAGCACAATTATTTTAAAAGCACACATGCACATACTCTTAGAGCATAGAAAATAACAAGTATTTTCAAAGATGTGGAGAAACTAGAACTCTCATATCTTTCTGGTGGAAGTGAAAAACGTAGCCACTTTGGAAAACAGTCTGTCAGTTTCTTAAGATATTAAACTATTAAACATCAACTGTGCATAGGATTGAACAATAGCAAGAGTCTTTTTTTTTAATTTTTATTTATTTATTTATTTTTGAGACGGAGTCTTGCTCTGTCGCCCAGGCTAGAGTGCAGTGGCTCAATCTCGGCTCACCGCAACCTCTGCCTCTCAGGTTCAAGCGATTCTCCTGCCTCAGCCTCCTGAGTAGCTGGGATTACAGGTGTATGCCACCCTGCCTGGCCAATTTTTGTATTTTTAGTAGAGATGGGGTTTCACCATGTTGGTCAGGCTGGTCTTGAACTCCTGACCTCATGATCCGCCCACCTTGGCCTCCCAAATTGCTGAGATTACTGGCATGAGCCACTGTGCCTGGCCGCAAAAGTCATTTTCTATACAAGAGAAGTGAGACAAAATTCCACCCAAAGACTTGGAAAGTGAAGGTTTATAGAAGCATTATATGTAGTAACCAAAAAGTGGAAAAATTTGGGATGTCCTTCAACTGGTGAATGGATAATCAAAAGTGGTACATAAAAAGAAATAGGATTCTACATTAGAAAGGAACAAAATTATGAGACATCTTACAGTGCTAAACATCCTAAAAAATCCTGCAAATGAAAGAAGCC
The DNA here is from genome assembly GCF_000001405.40 of Homo sapiens. Lineage (NCBI taxonomy): Eukaryota > Metazoa > Chordata > Mammalia > Primates > Hominidae > Homo > Homo sapiens. Next base: position 27,493,877 of record NC_000023.11, on the reverse strand, counting down.
AGAAACAAAAGCCCACAAACTGCAGAAAAATCAAATTAATACAAACAGAAAATAGATTAGAGGTCACGTTGCCAGGGGCTAAGAGTGGGAAGCATGAGGATGACTACTAATAGATTGTAGGGTTTTCTTTCCTTTTCTTTTCTTTTTTTTTTTCTTTTTTTTTTTTTTTTTGAGATGGAGTTTCAGTCTCCCAGTCTGGAGTGCAGTGGTGCGATCTCAGCTCACTGCAACCTCTGCCTCCCAGGTTCAAGCGATTCTCCTGCCTCAGCCTCCCGAGTAGCTGGGACTGCAGGGGAGCACCACCACACCTGGCTAATTTTTGTATTTTTGGTAAAGACAGGGTTTCGTCACGTTGGCCAGGCTGGTCTTGAACTCCTAACCTCAGGGGATCCACCTGTATCGGCCTCCCAAAGTGCTGGGATTATGGGCATGAGCCATTGCACCTGGCCTAGAATGTAGGGTTCTCTATGCAATAACAATTCTAGAAATTACCTCTTGGTGAGGTTTCACAACTGAGCATATTCATTTAAAATTGTTGAATTGTACATTTAACATGGGCAAACTTTATGTTATGTAAATTATCCCATAAAGGTCATGTGAAAACATCAATCTCGTTTTAATTTAATTTAATTTATTTTAGACAGGGTCTTGCTGTGTCACCCAGGCTGGATTGCAGTGGTGTGATCACAACTCACTGCAGCCTTGACCTCCTAGGCTCAAGTGATCCTCCCACCTCAGCCTCCCTGAGTACATGGGACTATGGGCATATGCCACCATGCCTGGATAATTTTTTTATGTTTTATTTTTTTGTGCAGACAGGGTTTCACTATGTTTCCCAGGCTGGTCTCTAACTCCTGGGCTTAAGAGATCCTCCCACCTCAGCTTTCCAAAGTGTTGAGATTACAGGCGTGAGACACTGCACCTGGCCTAAATGTTATTTTAGACTAACCAAAAAGTTAATAATAAAAAATATAGAAAACAACAAGTGTTTTCTCAGGATGTGGAGAAACTGGAACTCTCATACTCACCTGGTGGAAATGAAAAGTTACAGCCATTGTGGTAAATAGATGGTCATTTTCTTAACATATAAAACATGGAACCGGGCGTGGTGGCTCACGCCTATAATCCCAGTACTTTGGGAGGCTGAGGCGGGTGGATCACCTGAGGTCCGAAGTTCGAGACCAGCCTGACCAACATGGAGAAACCCCGTCTCTACTAAAAATAGAAAAAATTAGCTGGGCATGGTGGCGCATGCCTGTAATCCCAGCTACCTGGGAGGCTGAGGCAGGAGAATTGCTTAAACCTGGGAGGCGGAGGTTGCAGTGAGCCGAGATCATGACATTGCACTCCAGCCTGGGTGACAAGAGCAAAACTCCATCTCAAAAAAAAAAAAAAAGAAAGAAAGAAAAAAGAAAAACATGGAGTTAGCAAAGGATTCAGCAATTGCAAAATTAGGTTTCTACAGAAGAAAAGTGAAACTTAGGTCGACCCAAACATAGTAGGTGATGGTTTATAGAAGAATTATATGTAATAGTCAAAAGTTGTAAACAACTGGAATGCCTTAAACCAGTGAATAGACAAACAAAAGTTGGTGTGCCCATACAATGGAGTATGCATCCACATTAAGGAGAAAGAATGTTGTGATAAAGGCTACAGGGATGATGATCTTCAAAACCATCATGATAAGTGAAGGAAGCATGAAACAAATGATCATACATTGTATAGCTCTGTTTAGAAGAACTGTCCAGAAAGACAAAGCAATTGAGAGAGAAAATGGATTTGTGGTTTGCTGGGCTATAGGTGAGAACAGAGTGCCTGGAAACAGGCCCAAGGTTTCCCTTTGTTATAGTGGTATTTTCGAAAATCAGATTTTGGCAATGGTTGCACAACTCTGCATACTACAGAAATATGTTGAATTTTTCACTTAATATGGATGATTTTTTGCTATGTAAATTGTATTTCAATAAAGTTGAAATTTTAATTCCATTTCTCTATACCAGCAATGCTAAATCAGAAACTGAAAATCAGAAAACATTATCACTGTTAATGACATGAAAAAGAAGAGAAGTATTTGGTAGAAAGTCGATATCAGAAAAGCAAGATTTGCACAATGAAAGGTTAAAAAAAAACACTGAAAGTAACTAGAGATCATCTAAGTGCATGGAATAACATTCCACGTTCATGGATTTGAAGAGTGTTTTGTTAGAAGTCAATACTCCTCAAAGAGATTTGCAGTTTCGAAATCATCATTCTCAAAATGCCTGCCACAGTGTTTTACAGAAACGGACAAGCTAAACATTGGACAGAAATGCAGAGTAGGCAAAATGGCTAAAATAATTTTAAAAGGAAAACCAATGATAGAAGAACATTCCAGATTTCAAAAGATACTACAAGACTACACTCATTTACAGAGCATGGTACTGGCACTAATTTAGACATATAGCTCAAGAGAACAGAATTGAGACTGCTGAAATAAAAGCCATGTTACCAAAGAAATTCAATGAGGAATTGGTAGTCTTTTACAAACCAAAAGAATGCCCCACTTGAATATCCACATGCAGAAAGATAAATATGGACAGTTCACACTGACAAAATATTAATTCAAAATAGATCATAAACAAAATGGAGGAAAGTATCTGTACAATATTCAAGAAAATCACCGAGTAAATGATTTAGAATAAAACAAAAAAGTACAAATCAAAAGTAAAATGCAAAACATTTTTTAATAAAAGAAAATACAAATCAAAAGTTAAAACATACTTTAGCAAAATTAAAAACTTTTGACCTATAACAGTTTACACAAAGGAAGTTCAAAGAAAAGAAATTCAGGGGAAAAAATATCTGCAAAGCTCCTAACAGGTAATAAAAGTGAGTCCAGGCTATATGAAGATTATTTTCATAGCTCTTGAAGGTAATCTTTATATAGCCTGGATTTATTTACTGCCTGTGTTCACTTCTAAGTGAGATAAACAATGAATACACATGATCATACAGACAGGAACAGTAGACATTGGAGACCAAATGGTGGGAGGGTGGAAGTTGCTTGAGGGATGAAATACCAACTATTGTATGAAATATCTAGTATTTGTGTGATGGCTACACTAAAAACTAAAAGCCTGGCTGGGTGCAGTGGCTCACACCTGTAATCCCAGCACTTTGAGAAGCCGAGGTGGGCGGATTATAAGGTCAGGATTTCGAGACCAGACTGGCTAATATGGTGAAACCCCATCTCAACTAAAAATACAAAAGTTAGCCAGGCGTGGTGGCCGACGCCTGTAGTCCCAGCTACTCGGGAGGCTGAGGCAGGAGAATTGCTTGAACCCAGGAGGTGGAGGTTGCAGTGAGCCGAGATCACACCACTGCACTCCTGCCTGGGCGACAGAGCGAGACTCCGTCTCCAAAAAAAAACAAAAAACAAAAAACAAAAAACAAACAAACACACAAACAAAAAAACCTAAAATCCCAGGTTTCACCACTATGCAATATATCCATGTAACACAACTACACTTGTACCCCTACATCCATTGAATTATTTTTCTTAAAAAAGCCAAATTATGGTCAGAAACACCCCACCTCAACAAAAGATTACTTTCAATTGAATAAGTGGAACACAACCAAATTTTATAAATTGGCAAAATTTGAAGAGACATTTCATAAAAGCACAAAGATAAATGACAAAGAAGCACACAAAATGTCCAGTCATTAATTAATACCAAATGCAAAATAAGGCCAGGAACAGTGGCCTTCCCAAGGTGGGAGGATTGCTTGAGCCCAGGAGTTTCAGACCAGCCTGGGCAACATAGTGAGACCCCCTCTCTACAAAAAAATTGAAAATTAGCTGGGTGTGGTGGTGCACACCTGTAGTCCTAGCTACTCAGGAGGCTGAGGTGGGAGGATGGCTGGAGATCAGGGATTGAGGGGACAGTGAGCTATGATTGTGCCACTGCAATCCAGCCTGAGGAACAGAGGGAGACCCTGTTTCAAAAAAATAATAATAACAATGCAAAATAAAATGAAAGGAATATAACATTTTTGCTCTGAAGAGCTACTATAATAAAAAACACAAGACATAAGTGTGGACAAAATATGGAGTCACAGTAGCCCTTCCACACTGGTGAGGGGAATGTAATATTTTACAGCTGCTTCAGAAAATAGTTTGGCAATTTCAAATAATGATTTCAGACAAGATACAGGAAAAGCAGGATTAGTAAACTACACAAAAGATGTGAAAACTTCACCCAAATAACATGGACATGAAGGTCATGGGAGCATTATTCATAGCATCAAATAAATGAAAAGAAACAAATGCCATTCAACTGGAAATTATATACATATTTTAAAAGGTACATCAATACAGTGGAATATAATTCTGTGGAATGCAAATTCATGTTCATGGATTAAAAAGTTTACTATTGTTAAAATGTCAACGGAATTGAGCAGCTCTACACATTCAAAACCATCACTATTAAAACTCTACTTGAGGTCGGGCGTGGTGGCTCACGCCTGTAATCCCAGCACTTTGGGAGGCCGAGGCGGGCAGATCACGAGGTCAGGAGATGGAGACCATCCTGGGTAACACGGTGAAACCCCGTCTCTATTAAAACTACAAAAAATTAGCCAGGCACGGTGGTGGGCGCCTGTAGTCCCAGCTACTCGGGAGGCTGAGGCAGGAGAATGGGGTGAACCCAGGAGGCAGAGCTTGCAGTGAGCCAAGATCATGCCACTGCACTCCAGCCTGGGCGACAGAACGAGACTCTGTCTCAAAACAAACAAACAAACAAAAACCTATTTGAATTTTTTGCAGAAATTGACAATATAATGTTAAAATTAATATGGCAATACAATGGTCCCAGAAGTGCCTAAAGAATCTTCAAAAAGGGTGGGACACAGTGGCTCATGCCACTAAAACTAAAAACCTGGGCTTTTCATTTTTAGTGTATCCATCACACAAATCTCAACACTTTGGGAGGCCAAGGTGGGAGGATCGCTTGAAGACCAGCCTGGGCAACATAGCTAGACCTTATATCTACTAAAAACAAAAAACAAAAAAAAAAATTAGTGGGACATGGTGGCGCGTGCCTGTAGTCCCAGCTACTGAGGAGGTAGGCAAAGAGGATAGCTCGAACCTGGGAGATGGTGGCTGCAGTGAGCTGTAATCATGCCACTGCACTCCAGCTTGGGCGACAGACTGAGACCCTGTATTCAAAAACAAAACAAAACAAATCTTGAAAAACACCAAGTGGGAGGACAAATATGCGTGTACATCTTTATTCCCCTGACATTGCAAAGGCTGCTTAAACACAATATGAAAGCGCACACACACACACACACACACACACACACACACACACACACACACAGAGGTAATTTTGGCTTCACAAAACTTTGTAAAAAAGCCTTTGTGTTTTAAAAGCATACATCAAGAAAGTGCAACGGTAATTTACAATATAGATACAGCATTTACAAATCATATGTCAAATAAATGGCTTGTCTCCAGAACATGAAAATAACTCTTTTGCCTCAGGAAGAGCACAGATAACTCAATTAAATATAGGCAAAATAATTTAGTAGACATTTTGCTCAAGAAGATACACAAATGGGAAATAAGAATATGAAGGAATTTTCAATACCATTTTTTAGGAGGGGAAATGCAAGGTAAAATGCCATGGAGATACCAGATAATACACACTAGAATGGTAATAATAAAGCACTAAAAATAGCCAGTATTGTTGATGATATAGAGAAACTGGAACCCTCACACATTGCCAATGGAAATAAGTTACAACAACTTTGGAAAATTGTTTGGAAAATTGATTCATAAAATATTAAACAAATATTTAGGACAGGATTTAAAAATTGAAAAACTTAAATTTCTATCCAAGTTAAAGACTTGTACCTGAAGTTTTATAGCAGCTTTATTCATAATAGCCAAGTCCAGAAAAGGCAAATCACTAGAGTTGGAAAGTAGCATGAAACTACCAGAAAAACATTGAGATAAGTGACTGAAGTCACTCAAAAATAGAAATTGCATGAAATGCCTAGAGAAGGAAAATATACAATGGGTTACTGGTTGGCTAAGGCTGTGAGTGTGAAGGAGAAGTGACTGCAAACAGGTTCAAGTTTCTCTTTGCTATGGTAGTATTGTTAAAAATTAGATTTTTGAGATGATTTAAAACTTTGTATATTTATTAAAATTTAACACTTAAAAACAGTGAATCTTATGCTATATAAATTACATATCAATAAAGTTGCTAAAAATCAATTCAATTTCTCTATATCAAAAATGTAAAATCAAGGCCGGGCGCAGTAGCTCACACCTGTAATCCTAGCATTTTGGGAGGCCAAGGTGGGCGGACCACTTTAGGTCAGGAGTTCAAGACCAGCCTGGCCAACATGGTGAAACCCCATCTCTACTAAAAAGACAAAAATGTAGCAGGGTGTAGAGGCACCTGCCTGTAATCCCGGCTTCTCGGGAGGCTGAGGCAGGAGAACCGCTTGAACCCGGGAGGCAGAGATTGCAGTGTGCCGAGATCATGCCACTGCATTCCAGCCTAGGTGACGGAGCAAGACTCCGTCTCAAAAACAAAACAAAACAAAACAAAACAAAACAAAAGTAAAATCAGACATAGAAATTGAGAAGACATTGTCCTTGTCAATAGCAAGAAGAAGAAGAGAATAACTGGTGTAAAATTAATATAAGTATAGCAAAATGAGTACACTGTAAACTTCAAAATGTTACTAGAGGAAACTAATGATTATCTAAATAACTGGAGAGACATTCTATGTTCATGGATTCGAAGAGTCGCTATTGTTTTGATAGCAATAATCCTAATAGAACTAAAGATTCAACCCTACTGTTACCAAAATACCAGTTGGCTATTTTGCAAAATTTGACATGTTGCTACTAAACTTATGGCAATATAAAGGGCACAGAATAACCAAAACAATCCTGAAGACTAGAATGAATTTAGAGAACTCACTCTAACCAATTATAAAATTTAGTATAATTCTACAGTTATCTAGGTAATATAAAACTGACCTTAGGATAGATATATAGATTAATGGAATAAAATTGAGAGTGACAGCCTGGGGAAAATATTTGCTAATCATATAGTAGATAAGATAATTGAGTCCAGAATATATAAAAACCTTCCAACAATAAAGGAAAATCACAAATAACCCAATTAAATGTGGGCAAAAGGCTAGAACAGACATTCAAGAAGATATACAATGGACAAAAAGAACATGAAAAGGGGACAATGGCTATGTTCAAAAATGAGATTTGTGTGATGACTTCAAAACTTCATTAATTTATAAAAAATCATTGAACTGAACATTTAAAATTGGATAATTTATGGTATATAAATAATACCTCAATAAAATTGCAGAATGATTGCATTTTTGTATACTAGCAATGAAGAAACTTAAAATGAAATTGAGAAAACACTGAAACTTAGTATTAGAAATCTCTTTGTTATGAAACACATTCATATCTGCTACTTTCATTTCAAATATTGAAATCCTATTTTTGACTCTATGTATCCTTCTTTTATTTATTGTTTAAAAAAATCTGGCTGGGTGCAGTGGCTCATGCCTGTAATCCTAGCACTTTGGGAGGCCGAGGTGGGTGGATCACCTGAGGTCAGAGGTTTGAGACCAGCCTGGCCAACATGGTGAAACCCCCTCTCTACTAAAAATACAAAAATTAGCCGGGCATGGTGGCTCATGACTATAATCCCAGATGCTCGGGAGGCTGAGGCAGGAGAATTGCTTGAACCTGGGAGGTGGATGTTGCAGTGAGCCGAGATGGTGCCACTGCACTCCAGCCTGGGCGACAGAGTGAGACTCTGTCTCAAAAAAAAAAAATCTAGAGTGGAACATAATACGATATTATTATAACGGTCTAGATTTTTGCTAAAGAATTTCTACCACAAAAAAAAAAAAAAAAAAAAAGAGAAAAAGAATTCCTGCTCAATTGAATGAAGGTAATGGAGGGTTTATCCTACTGTCAACACATTCATTTTAATAGAATGCATTATTTTTGAAAACCTTGTAATATTTCCTAATTGCCCACATATCCCTTTGTGACTTCAAATATTAAAATATGAGATAATGCTTAATACATGCAGTTCTGATTAGCAGTAAACAATTAATATAGGATTTTTTGTGTCATATAATTATGATTTAACATTGCCTAAAATTATTCGTGTAGAAAGATTAAGCTAAATTAAGGATGACCAGAAGATTAATCTTTAAAATGGTTTATTGATTCAATCTATTTTATCAACTTGTTCATTTGTATTTTTAATCATACTATAGAATAATGAGACATTTTGAAGTATTTTTACTTTATTATTTGGATCCCAGATGATGATATAACCACTAAAGGTATATGTAATACAGAAGGATACTTAACTTCAACTCTAATTAATTTTTATATCAACTACCTAAAAATGAAAGGACTTAGCTAAAGGAACCTCTCCCATAATTTGCCTTTTCAGTGGTTATGTTTTCTTCACCATCCCTTCTTCATTGTAGCTCACCAGTACCCAAGGGCCATAATGTAAATTTTACTAAAATATGTGGAACTTTTGTTTGCAACAACATGCATGCAAACAATTGAATGCACTCAAATATTAGCACGAGAGTTTTATTCAGCAAAGCTTTTAATGTAGTTTTACTTTTCCAGTTCTAATCCCAAGATTGAGAATACCTATGTCTATGTCATCTCGCAAAAATCAAACACACAATATACTATATCATAAAAGCCTTGGTAATTAAGGAAATCGTGTGATCATTTCCATTGCAGGTTCTACACAATAATTTCAATTATTTTCTCATTATGAAAATCCTAAGTGTTCATGACTTAAAACCCTTCAAATATAAACTGCCTCTCTAGTCAAATTAGGTTGTATCTCCATTTCAGTTCTCTTTGTAAAGATATAACTCAAACTCCTACTGATATCCTTTTTACAGTTGGATTCTTTTTCAATGTTTTTACATTCATACCTTTCTAATCATTTTGCCTTTGTTCATACTTTCTCCCCTGCCGCCTTGTATGAGTTTCCTCTCTTCTTTCTCCTTCAATACATAGTTCACTACAGGTTAACATTTCTTAGAATTGCTTTTATATATAATGCACACACTGTATGTCTGTGTGCCTAATATAGAAATATTTCTTGCACAAAAGGGAATCATCTAAAACATACACATAATTTGAAAATAATGTTTTATGAAAATAAAATATAACTTGCACAGTATTCTCACCATATTTAATTAGGTACTCATTGTTTCCAAATAAGACTGATTTGATTCTAATTATTAATATCTATAAAGAATACAGGAGATATTTTATTTAGCAATTTAGAAATATTAGTCTTTGACCATCAACTTAGGGATGAGGAATTCCTAATTTCAGGGATCAAATTTTCTAATATTTTCAAGTTAACACTAAAAATTTTACAACTTTTATTATTATTATTTAATCAGCTTTCTCAGGTTGAAAGATTTTACAACTTTTAAATATAAAAGGATTTGTGAATCACTGAAGAAGGATTTGAATTTAATCTGAAAACCACCATGAGAACAAAAATAATTTTTAAATGTTTGAATTTTATTGAATACTAGTTCAGGCATTGTCAAGAGATGTGTATACACTATACAAATGCCTTCCTATATCTATCAGCATTTTTGCTTTTTTGCTGTAACTGATAGACAAGTAATGTTTAATAATCCTCCAACTCTATTTGAAATTGCTAATGCTTGGTGATCTGCAATGCTAAGATACTCAAATCCTTTAATACCGTTATCAAAAAACAATTTTTAAAAGAATGCACCTAGATGCCAACAATATGCCTATACCCTTGAAATAACATCTAGAAATGCCAAACATCAGAAAGATCTGCTTGAATTTTCCTATACACTCATTTAAAGTCTAACATATTCTCAGTAATGTTTCTTATTCTGGAGTATTCAACAACAGAGCTTCTAAATCCATGAAGGCCACAGTTCTTTTCCTTCACAACCCCTATGCATTTTTCTACTTGACTTAGGCCTATCCATTTGAAGGAGAAATACACTGTTTCGTGGAGGTGAGATGACATCTCAAAACTTAAAATTGGTGTATAAATGGTGTATAAATGTGTGTATAAAATAAATGTATAAAATTGGTGTATAAATGGGAAGGAAGCAAGGAAACCTTTATTGTTTGTAGCTAGCCACACCTTCCACTCAGACACCCAAACGATGTCTGTGCACAATAACATTTCCTGTCAAGCTTTAAACCTAAGTAAACAAAGCCCAACTGGACAAAAGTAAAGTGGAAAGAAAGCTATTCAAATATTGATAAAGATTAATTTTTCAACTAAATTTCCTAATTTGATGTACTATAATTTAACACCAAAGTACCTCTTAGTTTCGTTAAAATTTTTTGCTACTTAAGCCATTCAGTTAAGCTTTTCTTCCCCATCACAAATTATACAGTATTTTACAAAAATGTAAACTACTTTTATTCATTTACTACTTGAAAAATTACCTTTTCATTATATCTTGTATTCATAAATTGTGAACATTCCAGGCCCATGTACATGTTTTTCTTTGTAACAGGACGTTATTATCTTGTCTTATGCATAGAGATGGTTGGGCAGTTTACTCGCTTCTGTTTGAGGTTGAGGTTGAACACTATCTTTTATTGATATGATTTTGCATTTGACATCCATAAATTTTTACCAAATTTGATATGTTAAAGTGTTATAAAATGTTTAGGGTGAAACAAGTAAAGACGTTCGGGTAAATGCAATGTCGTTTTAAATGCTCTCTACAAAAGCAATTGCCAGCTTATAGATGACAGCTATTTGTGGTTTTATGTTACCACTGAATTAATGAAAACACAAACATAATGAAAATACACAAAAAAACACACAAGCAAACACAAAACAATACAATTTTGAATTACTCTTTCAGGCATGGGGGCTTGCTTGGTACATAAATGAGAAGCTATTGTAAATATGGAGTGGTAATCTCAAAATAACAGATTATCTTATCTTGACAGATATTGCTTTTGACATAAAGGAAAGAGAAAAGAGTTTAGAATGTTAATGAGGTGAAAATGACGTGAATTTATCTAATAACTTGCAGTCAAGGGAAGTTATCCTCTACATTTTCAAGTTCTTTCTAACGTTCCAAAAAACCAAAAATAAGATTGTTCTAAAATAACTTGTAGTATTTTTTGTAAAGGAGCATTCTCAAAGTACCAAATACAACATATTCAAAGATCAGATTTTCTTTTCTGGTATTGTGGAAGTTGTTGAATATCTCTAGTGACTTGATTCAGATGGATGTCCACATTTACATTCCCTACACTTTGACAATATTACAATGTCATAATTTAAAGGTGAGTTTTGAAGGAAGAATAAGGATAAGAGGAAATTATGTCAAGAACTTTAAAAGAGCTCTTTCTTAAATGAGCTTTAATTAGCTCATTTCCATGGAATCTAATGGAGGTCATATTTTCTGAGCACTTAAGTTTGGAATTAGCATTTGACTCACTGAATTACCTCTAAAATGTAAAAAAATTTGATGTTCTCTTCTCTGTCATACCAAAATTTTAACATAGGACCACATTTACCACCACAACCTAAAAGATTTGTTACGTTTCTAAATTCATTCAATTTGCAATATGATTAAAAAGTTTAGTCTGGGAGGGGAAAAATTTGGTATCATTTAGAAAGGCATAACTCGATTTAAATTTCCTAAACATTATGAAGCATCTAGTAAATGTGAAGGAATGTGGGAAATAAAAACACTAAGATGAATAATAGAAACTCATAGACAACTAAGTTTTCAAAACTAAGTTATTTTAAAGATTTTAGAATGGAAATGCTTATCTTACCAAGAAAGCACATTCATCTAAACAAGATCACAAATGACACATCTATAATATGTCCAAATCAACTCTTTGCTAGTTGATCACCCAACTGAGCAAAATTAAAATAAATCCAGTTCAGGTTATTATGAATTATAAATCCAATCCAGTCATCCTAACACATAGACTTTCCCATTATTTTTCTGAAGACATCCAAATTCAATAGATCCAAAATGAACTTTTTATCCTTTTCCCAAATTCATTCTTTCTCTAGTTTTTCTAGCTCAGTGAATGAATAATAATTCACCTTTTTGACAAAGACCAATCATTTATGTCACCTTCCGTTACCTGACCTATCCCTTATCCAAGCATCACTAAGTCATCTGAATAGCTTTAAAATTTTACCCAACATTGCCCAAACTAGCATCGCTTTTTTATTACAATAGCCTTTTGGCTATTATACCAGCATCTACTTATACTTCTTTCTAGCTCATTTTCCACATGTTAAAAATGTTTAAATACATATTTAAAAATACACACATCTGAACATTGCTCAAAATCCATGAAAGGCTTCCTATTGTTCTTATGATAAAGATGAAAATTCTTTAATTAAATTAATTAATTAATTAATTTTTTTGAGACAGAATCTTGCTCTGTTGCCCAGGCTGGAGTGCAATGGTGTGATCTCAGCTCACTGCAACCTCCATCCCCTAGGTTCAAGTGATCCTCCTGCCTCAGCCTCCTGAGTAGCTGGGATTACAGGCGTCTGCCACCACACCTGGCTAATTTTTGTATTTTTAGTAGAGACGGGGTTTTACCATGTTGGCCAGGCTGATCTCTAACTCCTGACCTCAGGTGATCCGCCCGCCTTGGCCTCCTAAAGTGCTGGGATTACAGGTGTGAGCCACTGCACCCGGCCAATACCAAAATTCTTAACATGGACTAAAGCCCTGTAAAATTTGGCATATTATGTACTTCTTCTCATGCCATTCTCCAAATTGCTCTCCAAACTTCAACAACATCGACCTTGAAGTTTTGGAAAATCACAAGCACACATTCTTCCTGAAATGTTCTCTTGTTTGTCTAACCACATTTTGACTTAGTTAATACATATTCATATTTCAGACTTCAGCTCAAATCTAACATCTTCGAGAAAAGCCTTCCTGACACATCCCTTCCTTAACCAGTTTGAGTGGCCTGGTGTATCAGTTAGGGTCCAGTAGGTCAACAGAAGAAATGTAATATAGAAGGCAAGTTATGAAGGTGTTAGATGAGCTGAAAGAATAAATAGAAGATGAAACACTCATGGATTTGCACCTGCAGAAATTTGCCACCATGACTAGACCTAGAATAAAGTCTAGGGAAGTAACAGTGTTACCAGATGTCAGGAATTGAGGCCACCAAAGGGATATCTGAAACACAAAGGTAGTAGCTGCCCAGTCGAAGCTAAAGCCCAGGAGGAGACAGAGCCACCGCCAAGAGACCCACCTGAAGCAGAGAGAAAATTATCCTGGCCTGTCTCTGCCTCAGACTCTCCAATTTTCTGCCCATGCCTTCCCTTAGGCAAGCTCATAAAGTAGCCAGATAGCAAAGGAGCATGCATGATGTTGTTTGCAGGATCAACCTTCGTCATGTAAACCAGAACAAGGAAGGAGAGAGAATGGATTTGAGAGCAAACAGGCAAATAACTGGCACACCCACTTATATGCTTCCAAGCATTCTCTAATTTTCTCAGAACTCTTCATGATTAATATCCATTTTCCTACTAAAATATAAGCTCCTTAGGAGAAGAATCATGAATGTCTTTTTAGTGTTGTACCTCTAATGTCTTGCATGGTCCTCAATAAATGTGTTGAATAAATATATTTAAAAATCATTTAACCAATCAACTAACTGTTGTTATAGTCAAAACAATGGTTTAGCCACTAAAACACAGTTAATGTGGTGGTGTGTTCCAGGTACTCTTAACATGTTTGGAGACCATGAGCTTTGTTTAGTGTCACATGAAAAGTCATGAGCTCTTTCACCAGAAAAATGCACATAAGCACAAAACACTTTACATTGATTTTTTGGCTCATAGGCCATCCAGAGATTTCTTGTACTTCTAATCCAGAAACAATGTGACCCTCTCTAGGTGGGTGTGGAATTGTTTGGGTGTATTTTTGTTTTCACAAGGTCTGAGACCCACTGCTGTCGTATAGTGAAAGGGGACTGGATAATATAAACTTTTTGCAGAGAAATGTTCTCCTATCCAAAATGCTAACCATGAATCCAGGAACCTCAGATTAAAATTATGCTGCAGAGGAAAATTACTTGTCCATCAAATTCAAAATTATGTTTCCTCTTTGGCGACAAAGAAATTCACCATGAATACCACTTCCTTTTAAATTGGCTACTGGAATTATATACAAATTCCATATTTATAAGTGTTTAATTTATGTAACAAATTTCACTGAGCTTTGATAAATTTACACATAATGGAAATGTAAACACAGAAAATGCATATAGTAGTGAAGATTTGTTTAGGACTTTATTAGTTACCTATTTCTCCATAGTGAATTACCCCAAATCTTAGTGCCTTAAAACAATACACAATTAATTGCTCAAAGTACCTGTGGATCAGGAATCCGGGTGCAGCTTATATCTATCTGCTGGCTCAAGGACCACTAGGCTAAAACAAAGGTGCCAGCGAGAAATGTGACTTCATGTGAAAACTCTACTAGAGGAGGATCTGCCATCATGCTCACTTACATTATTGGACTCAGGATGCAGTTCCTCAGGAGAACTGTTTGACTGAGGGCCTGTTTCTTGTTGGCTGCTGGCCAGAGGCTACCTTCAATTTCTGGCTACATAGTCCTCTACATGGCATCTTGATTCATCAGAACAAGCAGGAGAGAAAAACCAGAGAGTGCCAGAAAGAGAGAGTGAAACAGAGAAACATAGAGAGAGAGAGAAAGACAAAAGTCACAATCTTTTACAGCTTCACCTTGAAAGTGACATCCCCTCACTTTTGTCATATTCTATTCTTTAATCACTAGGTTAAGCCCATACACAAATAAAGGGGATTATACAAAGGCATAAATACCAGGAGAAAGGATCACTGGGAGCCATTATAGAAGGCTCTTATCACAGTGATGAGACCACAATAGCAAAAGGAAATAACTTCTTGAAAAAAATGTAAAAGTTGTCTAATTTTAGTTATCTTTTAGATGCTAAACAATGTTTTTATTCCTAATTTTTTAAATATTGAATTTCCTCTTCATCAGAAAACAAAAAATGTAAAATATCACTTAGGATTTATTTCCACTTTGGCTCTAATAATTCCTAAGTTCTCTATATATCTTGGCATTATTCTCATGGTACATTTAAAAAGAGGGGATTATGTTTAACATTTTATGATAAAATAAACTTGAATGAGTTATTACAGAATAGTTTGACTATTTTACCCCTGGGAGTGATAATACAATTTTACTTTTGAGAAGTCCTTTACAACTCATTAGCTTATGAATTATGTATCTTTCACACAAAGAAAGCAAATGTAATCCAAACTCTTTATGGGTGAGACATTCTTTATTTCTCTTAAACCTAACTAGAGATGCCTTCAGATATTTCATTATCCTTAAACAATTAAATAGCTCTAGTGAAAGTCAACTTTTTCTTCTTAGCAGGCAAATTAAAAAGCACCTTTTATGTATAAATCTACTCTGCAGCTTGTATATGCTTTAAAAACAAGAGGGTTACATTTACATTTTAAAAATAATCTTTAATCGTTTGCATCCTACATAATTAGAACTGCTACTGTTCAAAGTAGAGGTGAGTGTTAATACTTTATTTTAGGATGCAATTTCTGCCTTACCTGGAGGTATAGAGTTAACAATATTTTAAGCTCTGCATAAAGCTGGGAGAGAAACTGCTTTCTTGGATATCAAGCCTAAAAATATCCATCCCCAAAATAACAGAATGACACAGCAGAATTGGACACATGAGACTAACGATTCATTGAGAATCTTAGTTGGGAGTGAACTCAATTAAATCAATGGGGTCATGGCAACCAGACCACATATCCCTACTTGATGAGCTAACAATCCATATTCTAGGCATTTTCATTCTAAAAAAAACGGAAAGATATAGTAGAGAATGCTTACTTGAAGTTTAAGATGAAGAACAATTTTTAGGCTTGTTAGTTGTCTTTGAATGACTGTCCCCTCTCATTTCGCATTACTTACAAAAAGCCCATAGAGTTTCCTCCTCCCTCTCTATACACTGTATCATCCCCTAAAATACAGTAGATGCAGGGTTTGATGGCAAAATGGGTTTGGAGAAATTCTAGAGTAAGGGTTTAAAAGAGCATTGGGTTAGCAGTAGAGGACTGGGCAAATGCCTGCACAGAAAGAAGTCAAAATAAAGTCCAAGTAAGGCAGCTAAAGAGGCCGGGCGCAGTGGCTCACGCCTGTAATCCCAGCACTTTGGGAGGCTGAGGCGGGTGGATGACGAGGTCAGGAGATCGAGACCATCCTGGCTAACACGATGAAACCCCGTCTCTACTAAAAATACAAAAAATTAGCTGGGCGTGGTGGTGGGCGCCTGTAGTCCCAGCTACTTGGGAGGCTGAGACAGGAGAATAGCATGAACCCGGGAGGCAGAGCTTGCAGTGAGCCGAGATCGCACCACTGCACTCCAGCCTGGGCAACAGAGCGAGACTCCGTCTCAAAAAAACAAAAACAAAAACAAGAGAAACACACAAACACTCTAAATAAGCCTATTATCCATTTTGCCTAGAATCATTCTTGTTCAGAACAAGGAAATCAAATTCCAGACCTGTCCAGGTCAGTCACCATGCTATTTTAATTCTACTTAATGAAAGCAGGAGGTGGTATAGTATACATCTATTCCTTTCCGGAAAAGAAAGGCAGGAGATCTGGGGAAACAAGTTCAGCTTTTGTTCATCATTATTTCTAGGAATTGAAAAGTAATGAGAGAACACAAAATCTATCATCCTTCTTTCAATGAGTTACCTACTTTCAACTTGTCCTAGGAAGTAACACTGTATGCAGTAGAAGAAAGATGAGTGCAACAATTCTCAATTTGGCCATTCACAACTTATAAAACACAGTCTTTATCTGTTCATATATTGGTAAAGATTTTCCAGAATTAAACAGAGACAAATCTAAAAAGAAAGAAAAACAATGCTGCAAGAAAAAAAGTAGCACAGATGGTAAAATTAAAGTGACTTGCCAATTTTGCAGTGTTTCTTTCTTATTGGGCATTGATAACTCCCCTTTTAGCCTTGAGAGTTACCTTAAGCTTTTCTGGTGAAACAGCTCCATGGCATGAAAATATTCAGTCCATCATTTCTAAAGTCCTTCCAAATGCTCTCAGCAGATCATCATTAAGTCACATTCACATAGAGTGAAAAGATTAAATAATCATTGTACTCTACCACACCTCTATTATTATGATATTCTGTGTATGTACCTCAATCTCAACTCATCCAAACTAAATTAGTCTTTCCCCCTAAATATGCCCTTTTCTAATTGAAAGGCATCAGCATGCACCAAGTTGGTAATTGCTTTGTTTTGTGTGTCTACTTGCCCTGCTCACCCTCTTTCTAATTAATCAGGAAGTTCCGTTAATTAAAACCTTTATATATTTCTTGAATTTATCAACTTCTCCTTATCCTTACTGCTAACATTGCAGTTCAGATCACAACCATTTCTCACTAAGATTTCGGTAACTTTTTTTTATTAAGACCCCAGCTTGTTTTCCTTCTCTATTCACCACACAGTGCCCATAGGATACTGCCATACTCATTTTTTCAAGTAGTCTCGGTTACATAATTTTTATGATCTAGTACCTGTTTTTCTTTCCTCTCTAGTTGCAATCCTTTCTCCTCTTGTCCCCTTTATACCCGCCTCCCTATCCCACACACATCTGTAATACTAATTATTATGCTTCAAGTCACAACTTAATCATTATTTTCTCTGGGAAGACTTCCCTGATATGTTTAGGTTGTCCCATGTGCCCCTATAATGTGCTTAATTGTTTCCCTTCCCAGGCATAAGATTTGAGAGGGACAGAGGGTAGGCATTCATCTTTGCATTCACCAATGAGTCACCAGCAAATTTACTGGCTCACAGGAAGTAGTCAACAAATACTCACTGGATCCTTGAAATAACTTCATTTAACTTTCATAAATATCAGTTCCAGCTTTAAATGTCTAATCACTGACAATGTGTTGGTTTGCATTTAAACACTACTGCAATTAATTTCGTTAGTTGAGCATGAAATCCATTTTCTGATATTTTCAGTACTTGTATGGCAAAATTTAGATGCAAAAATATTTTAAATTTTATTTTCCAAGTATGGTTTCAAAAAAGAAGTCGTATTATTATTCCAGCCACATCACAAAGGAAACTGAGGTAAAAGAGGAGTTAGGTGACCTGTTCAAGCGACACACTAATAATCCAAAACAAATCCAGGACTAAACCTCTGAGTATTACAAGCCCAATATGATTGCTTAGCTGCTGATCTGTGCTCTTTAACCTTCATGGGGGAAGAATGTACTTTGCAAAACTGTTAGACCCTTGAAAATGAATGTGACTTTTGTTTATAAAAGACATGTAAATATCTTCAAATATAAATTGGCTCTAGTCTGGTAACAATTAGCAAAACTATAAAATTTTGAAAAGTGAATTAGTAACTAAAAAAATTATATGTGATTTGGGAAACTTAACTTTGGTGATCAAAATGTCCTTGCAGGAAATTTCCCAACTCAAAGTAGAGTACTTACCTCTAAGGGAAGTGAGTGACATAATCCTAGTGTCCTCAGCAATTTAAAGTCATTTTGCTTAAATAGTAACTCATGAAAAAATCGACTCTGGCCCCAAGCTATAAGTGAAATCAAGTGACTTGACCTATTTTCACAAGAAAACCAATTAAAATAAGACACTGAGAAGTGGCAAGATCACCTGGAGTGCCATGATTTCTTGAGGAGGACTCCTATTACACAACACTCACTGTCTTGCTCTAAAAGGAACCTTAGAGCAGCCCCTCTTCCAAAGCATCCAAGGCCCAGAGCAATTCAGAGTCCCTTTTTTTGAGGTTCTCCTTTACCGCCTTCACTTCATATAGTGCCTGGGCCAGAGAAGTAGGTAGGAGTCACTCGTGTCTTTTGTGTCACTCTCTCAGAACTCTAAGCAGTGCATAAACACATCCCAGACTTGATAAATGTGCATTTAATACCTAACCATTGAGCCAATAAGAACAAAAAGCCTATCATTTCTTGGACCCATTTGCCTTTAAAAGGAGCATAATATGTTAAAGAACATTTTTTGTTGCTATTCAGGTGTAAGATTTTAACATGAACCAACATGTTTAAATAACAACGTCACCAGTAACCAGTGTTTTATACCTGTTACCTCTTCTAATCCCATAACAACTAAATGAAGTAGGTAATAGTTCCACTTTAAAGATGTAGAAATTGAGGCCAAGACATAGTAAGAATATTGTTCATGTCACATTACTAGTGCCTGATACAGCCTGAGTTTCAACTCAAGGTATCTATTTTTGTGTTTGGGCTCCTAACCACCAAGCTTGCATCCTCTCACAGACACAGATAAGGACAGAAATGTGGATCTGGATATGTACGCATATGTGGGTGGGATAAAAATATGGATGCAAATGTAGAGATAGATGACTATAACTATATGCCACTATATCTGTATTTATCTTTTGAATATAAAATAAATAGTAAATATATATCATTGCACTTTTTGCAATGTACTTTTTAATTTTCATTTCCTTGTAAGCTTTCTTCTTTCGGTCCTTTGTTTCACTAACTAGGTTTCTTCCTTTCTTTCTTTGAACTATTTTCTGCGTGGGGATAATTGCTTCTTGTACAATGAGCAACTGACACTTCCCTGAAATAACTGAGAATACCCGAGGGACACATTTATAGTCAGAGGCTTTAGGTGTTAAAATACCCTCGGGACTCCAATTGAGCCTGAACATTAGAGCCCTAGGGAATGGATATGTCTTATCATTTTTTTTTGCTTTCCTTTGCTACTTATTCTTAATAAATGGCAAAGACTCCCATAAGTATACGCCCAGAGCAACCTCAAGAATATTGCAAAAAATGCGTATTCTTCCTCTCTTATTTCCATTGTTGAATTAAAATGAAAAGCAGGCTAATATTTCTGAAGGCAACAGAAGTACACATGACATTGATATTGGATAATTAGACATGTATAATTTTAGCATAATGGGGGATTTCTGTAAAGATATTTAGAATTACTGTATATTAGAATGATATTTCTCTTTTAGATATGCAACTAGAGTTAGTTGTTGTGAAGATTAAAAAAAAAATGCAACCCCAAAAAGGTAGATTAATAGTCAGTTACCAAAGAAATTATAAATGCCATGGTAAGGTCAGATATGTTTGGCCTGGGAAGACACGCACTTAACTTCAGATGAAAGAAAGCAATTTAGCATATATGTGAGCTCTCATTTTCTGACCCTGCCATTGAAAAGAGAATAGGAAGAAAGTAAAACAGGAAGGTTTATTTAAGAGAAAAGGCAAAGAAAAAAAAAAAGAATCTCACTGATGTAAGTTGAAGGATATTAGAAAATGCCATCTGTGGAAGTTGTTACATCTTCATACCCACAGGTCTTTAAAATTAAAGCAAAAAGAAAAACTGTTCAGGATAATAAAACCAGTTTAGGCAATCCAGTTATAGCTGTGGATGGCATTTGCTTATATGTGTGAAAGCAAGAACAAAGTTATCAGTTAGATAATATCAAATGAAAAAATTTAGAAATGGTTTTTCACATACAAAATTTTTAGAAATGGTTCTTCCTATGCATTAGAAGTGATATTGTGTGAGTGAATAAACTGACATGCTCCATAATGTGATTATCACAAAGAATAACCCTATCAATGAATGCAAGGAACAAACTGCTATGAAAACTATGTCTACAAAGACTTCTTATGAGTTCAGAGTGGGAAAAATCTAGAAAGAAAAAAATGCATTTGGAAAGAAAAAGTGTTGCAAAAAGCGAAAGGGTCAAGATAGTAGTACTGAAGGTAAATTAAAGTAGCACACAGTTGTAAAACTAATGTTTCAAATAAAGCTTATCACAGTCAGAGGCATGAGAAAAAAAGGAGAATAAAATTTAAAGTTAGTTCACCTCTATTTAAAGCAAACATAACTAAAATGCCCATTAATGATAGACTGGATAAAGAAAATGTGGTACATATACATAATGGAATACTATACAGTCATAAAAAGGAATGAGATCATGTCCTTTTCAGGGACATAGATGAAACTAGAAGCCATCATCCTCAGCAAACTAACGCAGAAACAGAAAACGAAACACCGCATGTTCTCACTCATAAGTGGAAGCTGAACAATGAGAAAACATGGATACAGGGAGGGGAACATCACACACTGGGGCCTGTCAGTGGGGAAAAGGGGAGGGAGAGCATCAGGACAAATACCTAATGCATGTGGGGTTTAATACCTAGGTGACGGGTTGATAGGTGCAGCAAACCACCATGGCACACGTTTACCTATGTAACAAACCTGCAAGTTCTGCACATGTATCCCAGAACTTAAAGTAAAATTTAAAAGAAAAGAATATTTATACTTTGAGGTTAAATACTTTAAGGGAGAGAGATCATGAAGTAGAAGCACTTTATATCTAATTGTCCTCTATGTGTACTATTAAGAAGAAAAAGAGGGGGATGGGGGATAAGAAGAGATCTATGGAGACATATATTGCCTGTCCAAATGCTTAAGAGTCTAACTTGATGATTTTATAACGTAGACATAAAATGTGACTTCTGTACCTATTTAAAGAGAAGGGAAAGAGAATGGTGATGTGTCTTGTAGCAAAGAGCTTACATACACAGATTCTTGAGTCTGACTACCAGGGTTCAAATCAAAGCTCAGAATATTTACTCACTGTGGAAATTCAGACAAGTTTGTTAACCTCCTTATCCTCATCCAGAAATAAGTTTAGGAAAGAACGTGAAAAAAAACAGGTTAATGAAATCAGATACCAAATTGATAGATTTTAATAATATGAGGAGGAATTGAATTTTTTATCATGAAATGTTTCCACTATAAGAAAAGGGTGATTTTTACACATTCTTTGATGCATTCATTCATAATAGTCACTGAACACCTATTGTCTTCTAGATAATGCAATGCAGAAAAAAATAAGATGGGCCGAGACCTATCTTTGTCTTTTTTGGGCTGGGGGAGTGGGATGAGAGCAGAATAAGACAATAAAAGTAACTAAATGTGGTAATTCTAGATTGAGAAAGTTCTGTTGAGAAACTGAAATAGGGTAATGTTAGAGTATGAAGAGAAGTGGTTGCTGCCTCAGATTTTGTGGGCAAAGAATTTTTTGAGGGACTGCTTTTTTAAATGGAATGTGAACCATGAGGAAGGAGATATGAAAATATAGGGGCGTGGAGGTCTGGTCAGCAACCCTTAGAAGGGAAAAAGATATGCACGAAGGACAGTGAGCTGGAACAAAGTGCGGGAAGAAAGGTGAGATGGGGTGAGGCGGTGGGGCCTGGTAGAATGCTAAAGAGTGTAGATTTATAGAAAGTAGTATGCAAGCTCTGGGTGCTGTGAGAACGGACTGCAGGAAAACAAAAGGGAATTGCTAAAACAACAAATTCACTTCTTCATTATTTTTCTGGAGAAGGGCCTGATGATAAATGCCACGTATTGTATTTACTGTAAATATGAAGAAATCCTGATTAATAGAAATCTTGAACCACAAAAATTCAAATAAGCTGGTTTTACTATATCAGACATGAAAAGACGACCATACAACTTGTCTTTTGAGATTTACTATTTGCATTTTAAAAACTTAGTAGATGATAAGAACTGAAAATTATTTCTGGTAGTCATTCTCAACCAACTGTGATTTTGCCTCCTTCACCCAGGGTATATTTGGCCCTGACTGAAGATATTTTTGGTTGTCACAAGCAGGGAATGTGGTGTTAATGACATCGAATGGGTAAACCACAACTACCCTGCTATACCTACTCTCAGTAATCAACCAACCAATCAAACAACAAGCCCACAAATACAGGCATTTTTAAGGCATAAAATCTTCATTAAAATTCACTTTATAAGGTCACATTTTGTGATAAATATAATGCTTAAGAGGCATCTAAAACATAGGGAACCAATGCAGTTATTGTTCTTAAAAGGTCATGCAATATGTATGAGTACTAAGAATTTTTATCTTTGTTTTACATGTTACTGTATGTATCACCTACATGGCCCTGAAAGAGCCAATCTATCAAGAGGAATCCTGAGTGGCTAACTAGTCCTAAATTTAAAATAGAGCCAAGTGGCCATTTGCTCACTATAGACCCCACACATACTCTTTGAATTCCCAGAAAACCCACATGTCTGTTTAACTTTGGGACTTTCATAGCTGACTGTTTATGTTCACATGGCCTGAAACTACCAGTAGTATATGGCCGGCATCAACGGATCAAACTCAGCAAACATTGACCAATTAGAGCTCAGCAGGGATCAATCAATCAGAACTAAGCAAGTTGGAATCCTTCATTTGCATAAAGGTCCTGAATAGGAACCTGGGTAGGAACTTTCTCTATGAAAGCTAAATCCTCCCTTGGTTTTCTACAATGCAATTTCATTTTACATTGAAGGCTGTATCTCCCTGGTTTGCAAGTTGTTCTTTGGAATAAACTCTCTTTCCTCTAAATTCTCTTTTAGAGAATATTTGTTCTCACCTACGTATTTGATAAACCCCTTATATTAGAAGTTTTAAAAATTATAATTTTAATTAACTGTAAACAAATGTTTGATTTTTTTTTCTGAATGATTTTAATGTGTAATTCAAAAATACATTCTTACACTATGTCAGCCCTCCTGCTTAAGAAAGTGATAGCAGATCAGGCCAGGCACAGTGGCTCACGCCTGTAATCCCAGCACTTTGGGAAGCCGAGGCGGGCGGATCACCTGAGGTGAGGAGTTCGAGACCAGCCTGGCCAACATGGAGAAACCCAGTCTCTACTAAAAATAAAAAATTAGCCAGGCAGGGTGGCGCATGCCTTTAATCCCAACTACTTGGGAGACTGAGGCAGGAGAATTGCTTGAACTCAGGAGGCGGAGGTTGCAGTAAGCCGAGCCATTGCACTCCAGCCTGGGCAACGAGTGAAAACTCCGTCTCAAAAAAAAAAAAAAGAGAAAATGATAGCAGATCAGCAAGCGGTAACAAAACATAAAAGGTTGTTTTTCAGGAAGAATGAACTAGATCTTCACACAAGTAGTAACGTGTCCAATATCAAGACTAGCCAAAGTGTTTAAGATTTCCCCTATTTATCATGAAATTTTTGTTTCTGTTTCTGACTCAATTCAATTTTCTCATCAGACATCAAACATATTCAAGGCACCCCTTTAAATGTTAATTGAATTAAGGCAAAAATGTTAAGACGAAATAGACTGCTCCTTATAAAATGAAAATATATATTGTATGACGTAAATATATCTTATACTGTACTGAAGAAATGAAGATGATTCTATCTCTAGGCAAAAATTGAGCATTTTTAACTCCAAATTATGCTCATTACTAGTACTTATACAACATGGCTATAGGGTAATTAGTAAGCAGAGAGCTAATGTTATTCTTGATGATCAAGGTAGGAAGAGGAAGTAACATAGTCTATTCAAATAGAGAAGAAAAGATCTATGAATTACAGAATTTAAAACAAAACTGGAAATGAGTCTGGAAGTAACTATTTGAACAGAATTAAAAAGAGAGAACATGGCACTGAAAGTCAGTGCCTAAAATTTACATGAGCTTAAAAGAACATTTTCCCCTTTTTCTTTCCTCTGCTTAATTCATGAGGTGTGAGCAGATTTTGGAGCTTCCAAGGAAGCCATGCGCACAGCTAGTACTGAGAATGTACTAATGCTGACAGAAACTGCTTATGGATCCAAGAAAATACTTGCATGATTCTTACCTCTGAGACACTGGGAAGACAATAACCAGGACTGCTGCAGTGTACACATAACAGGATGATGTTTTCACCTGAGAATAAAAGAAGATTTTAACTGTCCACACATTCTAATACTCTCTGTATAGAGTAGTCATACATCTCTCTTTGCCCAGGGAAGTTCTTGGTTGTACTTGTCCAAGCTTATGAAAGAATACAACATTGTTCCCAATTCTTCATTCTTCCCTCTACCGACGCCCTTTGTTATATAAGTTTGCTATGATCTCCCTGTCTAGGTGGAGTATACTTTTACACCTCTTGATTCTGGTCTTGTCCATGAACTTGATTTGGTCAAACAGAAGTTTGAAATGGGTTGAACGTTTTAATACTAGAAAATAAGGGTTCTTTCAACACTTGAGAGTGGATGGAAAAGCTGCAGTTTCTACCTGAGATTTCTCTCAGGGTTGGGGAAGAAATATTCAACAAAACTTAGAGGAAAACATCCACCTTATTCAATACACGAGTTTTCATGCAACTAAAAGGAGAGTATTGTTTCCTAGTTTACCATCAATAGAAAGAAAACTATCGAAAAAGATGGAATTTAGGTATCAGAAGAAATGACATATGTATTTTGTAAATTAAAAATATCTCCTGATAAGACTATCTAGCTATTCCATAAGAGGACTGAACATAAAGTTCAAATTCACTGTTTCATCTCCAGTGCCTGGTATAGGGCCTGGCCATAGGGGTTTCTCAATCTGTGGACTATCTGTGGAATAAATAAATGGATTATTGGAAATCATCCTATACATAATGCTTATTTGTTCATGCATTTATACTGCAAATAATTACTGAGAAACTATGTGTACCATGCCTATGGTAGATGCTAGGGACACAGCAGTGTGCAAAATAAGGAAATTACCGCCTTCATGTAGTTGATAGTCTGGTTTCAGAAAACAGAATAAATGAAGTTCAAAATGATCACATGATGCTAAGAACTACGGAGAAAATATACATCGAAGAAAAGTGATAGGTGAATTGGAATGGGAGGCCCCTGCAATTTTAAAGAGGGGGTTAGGGAAGGTGTCACTAGAAAAACAAGAACATTTGAATAATTTTTTAAGAAAATGAGCATGTTAGTCACATAGATAATGAGAAATAGAGTGTTCCAGGTAGAAAGAAGGACAGATACAAAGGTCCTGAGGCAAGTGTGCCCAATGTACTTCAGACACAGCAAGATAGCTAGTGTGGCTGAGGCAGAATAAGGAAGAAAGAGACTACGAGGTGAAGAGCTCAAGTAGATCAAGGGGGCCTGATCTTATTGGGATGGATAGACTATAGTTAGAATGTTGGCTTGTGTTCTAAGGTAAAAACATTAATTTTTAGCGAAGAAGTGGGAGAGTGTGACTTCTGATTTAAAAGAATCATTTCTAGCTATTGTGTTGAAAATACACTAGTGTAGGGAAAAGGTGAAAGCTAAGAGAAGAGACTATTAAAAATTTGCAAACCAGAGATGATGGTGGATTTGACACTGGTAGTAATAATGATAACAAATGTGATGAGAAGTGGCAGGATTCTGAACACGTTTTGAAAGTCAGACAGACAGTATATATTAGAAGACTGAATGTGGGGAGTAAGAAAAAGGGAAAAGTCAAGAATGACTTCATATTTTTTACCTGAGCCACAGGAAAGATGGAATTGACACTGCTTGCCTTGTGTTTCAGATATTCCCATAAGAGATGCCATAAAAGGCAACATTCCACAGAATAAGTTAGCTAGAAAACTTGTAGTAAACATGTAGGTGTGTTTTACATTAATTATTTTGATGTTGAAAATTTTAGATGAGATATATTTGAATAACCATATTTTAATGCCATTTCATAAAATCAAAAATCACTTTGTTTTTCCCACTATGAAATGCTCTCTCCTCTTATAGATAGAATATTTAGACATCAAAATATTTCATATATAGTCATGTGTCGCTTAATGACGGGGATATGTTCTTAGAAATGCATCTTTAGGCAATTTTGTCATTGTGTGAACGCCATAGAGCATACTTACACAAACCTAAATGGTATAGCCTACTACACACCTAGGCTATATGGTATACCTTTTTGCTCCTAGGCTACACATCTGCACACCGTGTCACTGTACTGAATACTATAGGCAGTTACAACACAATGGTAAAATTTATGTATCTAAACATATCTAAACATAGATAAGGCAATGCATTGGGCTGCAATGTTATGACAGCTAGGTGATAGGAATTTTTAAGTTCCACTATAATCTTATGGGACCAATGCCATATATGCGGTCCATTGTTGACCTAAATGTCTTTATGTGGCTCGTGACTGTATAAACATTTCATAGGATTTTACTGTACCTAAAATTCAGAAATGTGTGACTCATTCCTTTTTTTGTTTTCTAAAGAACTCTGGAAATATAAAAATTAAACCCATCACTTCTCGGACTTTTGGCTAAGATCAAGTGTAAAAATTAAACCCTAGTGGTCTTAAGATGTGGATGAATTACAAGATCCTTTTGTAAAACTATTTATTTTCAGAACAGAGTCATGAAGAACTAAATCTTACTACCCTATGGTCATGGGGAGGAAATGTGAGAGGGGCAAGCATGCAAAACAAAAGAGGAATTCTTAATCTTAAGACTCAGTCTGCACATTTTTATTTTGAACTGGCCTCAAATATTTTTCTTCACATAATAAAATGAAGAAACACCAAATAACAGTCATAGTTGGAATAAAAACTACATTGTTGTAAACATCTGCTATAAAAATTTATATACTGTCTGAGAGAGAGCACTGCATATTGGGAAGAGCAAAGTGCCGAGTTGGAACTATAAAAGAACTGGTTTCAAGTTCTGGCATCATCACTTACTACAGGGGTTTGAACCAAATGTTTAACTCAGTTTTGGAGTTTGAAGCTTTTTCCTCTCTAATAAGGTAGTAATAGTATTTTTCTTAGGTCACTTTTTATGAGGACTAAATGAAAAAGTAAATAGTGTATATTTAAAGGATTTACACAGCTCCTAGAATATTTTATTCTTATTACTTTGCTCCCTGTAAGACAACAGTAAAAATAAAAAATAATAATGTTAACTGATGAAGAAAACAGGACATTGCTCTACTTATCGCACCAAATAAAGACAGGAACTGAAAGAAACTACTGCAGAAATAGCACTAAGAAATGTGAATATGAGACTTTTAGATTGTAGAGACTTTAGTTAACCTAATTAAGATGAAGGAACCTTAGTTGGCCTAAGGGAAACTCCCAGTGACGAAATTGTGAGGACACAGAGATTTGTGCTGAATGCCTCTCAGAGAATGGAACTTGAAGGCATATTCAAGGGATTGACAGTATTATAATTGATTTTGATAGAGACTTCAATATAAACACAGCAGAGAAAAATTAGACCATTAGCATACATGTCAGTATTATTATTGTGTATTTGCACATACTGTCGTGTTGAAAGAAGATTTGTTTAGTACACATATCATTCTCATATGTCATTTATTAATTTTATGTTTAAATATTATTTATAATTTGTAAATGCTTCTAAACCAGCAGTTTCCTGGCATTGACTTAAATTTTCCCATGAAATAATTGTCATTTTGTATTCAATTCCCCAAGTGCCTTAGCTGTACTGTCATAAGTAATATTCTTGAACTATACTCTACTGTAGGCCACATTGCAAAAGAGGTGTGTGGAAATTTTTCTTTTCTACTTGAGAATTATCACATATCTCCAGTGCTATGTAAAATGAAGTGATTGCTACAAATGGGACTCTTCAAGTCCAAATGTGCTTGATGTGCCCCAATTCTTGCTTTCCCTTGCAATAACAGGGTTAATGTTTTGGAAAAATATATTTTAAAAGAAAACTGCAAAACTTGCTGCTACATCAAAAATCAACTTGGCTACTATTAAAATTATATTTAACAGAGTTGCCATATCCAAGCTTCTATTTTTCAGTTGGCTATACACAGATGTGGATCTAAAGGAGGAAGTGCGTGACTTCCATCTTGTCTTGATAATTTTATGTTGATTACAAATTATATAGATGGAAGAAATGTGAAATAAAGTGTAATGACGGCCAAGAAAAGAAGGGGATAGCATAGTTCAATGGCTGAGAAAACCAATTTTGGAAGCAGAAAGACATGTTGAACACAGAGTTCCTCAACTTATTAGTGTGTGACCTTTGGCAATTTATTTAACTTCTCTAAGTTTATTTCCTGATCCTAAAAAGATTACTAATACTTCTATATCATTGGATCATTATGTAAACTAAGTAAGAAAGTAACTCCAACATTCTTGTCAGTGTCTTGAACATAATAAGCATTCAAGTATTATTAGACTTGATCAGTTATGTTATTACCTTTCTTCATAATAATAAGTAATCAAGTATTATTAGTTGTTGTGGTTATTATTATCATTATTAAGAAAAGAAAATAATTGATCTGTGATGGCCAATACTTTCTCGGCTAATTTCAACTCACAGTTTTCCTCTGGCCCAGTCCTTACCTACGAATGACGAGTGTCCTTATGGAGTGGGAAAATTTGGGGAAATGTTTTCCCCATTGTGCTAAAAGATAGAGCTTTAGGATGAGCTAAACAGACCAGAGGAGTTAACCAACTCCTTCTTAAAACAATCCTCCCCAAAGGATGTCTAAGTGAATGATACAGATTCATGCCAAGCCTTATTGGGAAGATTGAATACCATTTCTCTGATTTTTGCTAATGGTCTATAGGCCACTTGCTCCTGCTTCTTTTTTGGACCAGCCTTTTCTTGACATAGAATGTGAAATAGGAACTTTGTCAGGACACAGGTGATTACAGTCTCTTTTATCAAAGTTCCTAAGTTTCCATTCCCAAATACCTGATGAGAGAAAATGTTTCAGAGAAACAAAACCCTTTATAAAAAAATCATATTCTAATTTCTAGGCTTCCATTTGTAAGCTGGGTGGCAGCTCCTTTTAACAAGTATAGTAATGGTTACATAGGCACAATCTTTTGGGGCAGAATTCTGGGGAAATCACAAGATTCCTGCCAGAGCGACGCTTTTCTAGACAATGGAGAACAGTCCAAGAGACTCGCTTTTTTTTTTTTTTTTTTTTTTTTTTTGAGACTAAGTCCTACTCTTGTTGCCCAGGCTGGAGTATAATGGTGCGATCTCGGCTCATTGCATCCTCTGCCTCCTGGGTTCAAAGCATTCTCCTGCCTCAGCCTCTCGAGTGGCTGGGATTATGGGCACCTGCCACCACGCCCAGCTAATTTTTGTATTTTTAGTAGAGACAGGGTTTTACCTCTTTATCCAGGCTCGTCTCGACCTCCTGACCTCATGTGATCCACCCGCCTCGGCGTCCCAAAGTGCTGTGCTGAGATTACAGGTCTGAGCGCACCGCGCCTGGCCTGAGACTCGCTTTTTAAGAGACAGTAGGGGATGGGGTGTTGGGGGGCAATGGAGAGAAGATTCAGTGTGCTTGAGGTGGGGGAAAGTGAGAGGTAACAGGGCCTCCAGAGGGAATAGGAGGGAACCCTGCCGCCCTCTGGCCTCTCCAGAGCCTTGGCTCCGCCCCTCTAGCCACTATTGATTGGCAGTCTTCTATCAGGGGTGCCCTCTCGGCCACCATCGTTTTCAAAATAACAGCGGCTTCCATGCTGTACCGGAAGCAGTGCCGTGGAGAACAGACCTGACGGGGCGAGGCCAGAGGACGCTATGGCAGGCCTGAGGTACAGTGTAAAAGTCTATGTCCTGAACGAAGACGAGGAATGGAACAATCTAGGCACCGGTCAGGTCTCATCCACCTATGACGAGCAGTTCCAGGGCATGTCGCTGCTTGTTCGGTCAGATTCAGATGGGTCGGTCATCCTGCGGTCACAGATACCTCCAGACAGGCCCTATGGGAAATACCAAGAGACACTAATTGTTTGGTATGAAGCTGAGAACCAGGGTTTGGTGCTAAAATTCCAGGACCCAGCCGGCTGCCAGGATATTTGGAAAGAAATTTGCCAAGCTCAAGGTAAGGATCCGTCTATCCAAACCACAGTGAACATTTCAGATGAACCAGAGGAAGACTTTAATGAAATGTCAGTAATTAGTAATATGGTTGTGCTGCCTGACTGTGAACTCAATACACTTGATCAAATTGCTGACATAGTTACCTCAGTTTTCTCGTCACCTGTTACGGATAGGGAAAGACTGGCTGAGATCTTGAAAAATGAGGCTTATATTCCAAAACTACTGCAACTGTTCCACACTTGTGAAAATCTAGAGAATACTGAAGGTTTACACCATTTGTATGAAATTATTAAGGGAATTTTGTTCCTCAACGAGGCATGTCTGTTTGAGATAATGTTTTCTGACGAGTGTATCATGGATGTGGTGGGATGCCTTGAGTATGACCCTGCTTTGGATCAGCCAAAAAGGCATAGGGACTTCTTGACCAACGATGCGAAGTTCAAGGAAGTTATACCAATAACTAACTCTGAACTTAGGCAAAAAATACATCAGACATACAGATTACAGTACATTTATGACATTCTTTTGCCTGTGCCTTCCATATTTGAAGATAATTTTCTTTCTACACTTACAACTTTTATTTTCTCCAACAAGGCTGAGATAGTAAGCATGCTGCAGAAAGATCACAAATTTTTGTATGAAGTTTTTGCACAGTTAAAGGATGAGACTACACATGATGATAGACGGTGTGAATTGCTATTTTTTTTCAAGGAGTTATGTTCATTTTCTCAGGCATTACAGCCTCAAAGCAAGGATGCACTATTTGAAACGTTGATACAGTTGGGAGTTCTTCCTGCTCTTAAAATCGTAATGATCAGGGATGATTTGCAAGTAAGGTCAGCTGCTGCAGTTATATGTGCTTATCTAGTGGAGTACAGTCCATCCAGGATCCGAGAATTTATAATTTCAGAAGCTCACGTGTGCAAAGATAGTGACCTTTTCATTAATGTAATAATTAAACAAATGATCTGTGATACTGATCCTGAGTTAGGAGGTGCTGTTCATTTGATGGTAGTTCTGCATACTCTACTTGATCCACGCAACATGCTGACAACACCTGAGAAAAGTGAAAGAAGTGAATTTCTACATTTCTTCTACAAACATTGCATGCATAAATTTACAGCACCACTTTTGGCTGCCACCTCAGAACACAACTGTGAGGAGGATGATATAGCTGGATATGACAAAAGCAAAAATTGCCCCAATGATAATCAAACAGCACAACTGCTTGCTTTGATATTAGAGCTACTTACATTTTGTATACAACATCATACATTCTACATAAGAAGCTATATCTTGAACAAAGACTTGCTAAGAAAGGCCTTGATATTGATGAATTCAAAGCATACTCACCTGATTTTGTGTGTTCTTCGCTTTATGAGAAGGATGATTTGCCTTAATGATGAAGCTTATAATAATTACATCATCAAGGGAAATCTTTTTGAGCCAGTTGTAAATGCTCTTCTAGATAATGGAACTCGGTACAATATGTTGAATTCAGCTATTCTTGAGCTATTTGAATACATAAGAGTGGAAAATATCAAGCCTCTTGTTTCACATATAGTTGAAAAGTTTTATAACACACTTGAATCGATTGAATATGTTCAGACATTCAAAGGATTGAAGATTAAATATGAAAAAGAGAGAGACAGACAAAGTCAAATACAAAAGAATTTACATTCTGTACTGCAAAATATAGTAGTTTTCAGAGGTACCATAGAAGAAATTGGGCTGGAAGAAGAAATATGTTTTATGGAAGATGCAGGAGAAGTAGTTATGCCACCACTGGAAGATGACGATGAATTTATGGAGACCAAAAGAACCCAAGAAGGAGAAGCAGTTATGCCACCACTGGAAGATGACGATAAATTTACGGAGACCAAAAGAACCCACCAAGAAGGAGAAGCAGTTATGCCACCACTGGAAGATGACGATGAATTTATGGAGACTAAAAGAAACCAAGAACATGAAGGCAAGGTAGACTCTCCCAAAAGAACATCTTCTGGTGACTTCAAATTCTCTTCATCTTATTCTGCTTGTGCTGCTATTGGAACAGGTAGCCCAAGTGGTAGCAGTGTGGTTC
This sequence comes from Homo sapiens, assembly GCF_000001405.40. Classification (NCBI taxonomy): domain Eukaryota; kingdom Metazoa; phylum Chordata; class Mammalia; order Primates; family Hominidae; genus Homo; species Homo sapiens. The sequence goes on along the minus strand of NC_000023.11, from coordinate 27,460,910 downwards.
GTTTAGTGGATCATCCAGATGATGAAGAAGAAAAAGAGGAAGATGAAGAAGAAAAAGAGGAAGATAAAGAAGATGAAACATCCCCCAAGAAGAAACCTCATCTTAGCTCCTAAAATCTATATGGGGCACCCTCAAAATGTGGCTCAACAAAAATTCTATAAACGTCCATAAGCTAAAAAGACTGATTCCACAAGCTTTTTCATGTGAACTTATAATGATAAATCACAGATATAACGAGTTAAGAGGGTTTAATTCTGTAAAAACAAAATTTCTCATAATCTTAAAAAAAAACAGTAACCAGAACCTGGGTGATAAACTTTTTAGCAAGAAAGTCTTAATTTGTGTCACGATTTGGGGGAGGAAACCATCTTTGGGAAGGAAAGTCTTAGTTTGGAATGGGGAAGAACCAGGTCGATAATGTTAATGTAGTTTTGTTCTAGAGGTATATATTAGAAATAATAACAGTTCAGTTAAAAGCCTACAAATTACTTGTATAATGGTACTAGCCATGGTATTCTTTCCTTCAGTTACCTTTTTAACACAAAAGTTTATGTTTATATGAAAAACAAAGTTAACTATAAAAAATGTTAGTCTCTTCAGACATTTCTATAAAGATATAACAAAATTTAAGCTTATAAGTAATTGGAAGGAAGTAGCTTTCAGAGTGTACTTTCATTCATTAAAAAAGCAAGCTGGATTTACAATGTGTGGTTATTTGTTTTTATTAAAACAATAGAAATGTATTCTCTCACTGTTCTGGAGGCTGGAAGTCCAAAATCAAGGTGTCAGCAAGGCCATGACCCCTCAGACACTGGATAGCATCCTTCCTTGCCTTTTCCTAGCTTCCTTCCATGGGTGGCCATGGATTCTTGGAGGTGATTGGCTTGTAGGTGTATTAGTCCAAACTTTGCCTGTGTGGTCACATGGCATTCTTCTTGTGTCTATGTGGTTGTTTATATAACTTTTTTTTTTTTGAGATGGAGTCTCACTCTGTCACCGAGGCTAGAGTGCAGTGGTGCAATCTCGGCTCACTGCAACCTCTAGCTTCTGGGTTCAAGTGATTCTCCTGCCTCAGCCTCCCACATAGCTGGAACCACAGGCATGCACCACTATGCCAAGCTAATTTTTGTATTTTTTTGTGGAGACGGGGTTTTGCCACGTTGGCCTGGCTGATTTCGAACTCCTGACCTCAAGTGATCCACCCGCCTAGGCCTCCCAAAGTGCTGGGATTACAGGCATGAACCACTGTGCCCAGCCTATTATAACTATTTTAGATAAGAGATGGCAAACATCAGTCCAGTAGTATTTGCAAAATTTTCTTTTTTTTGGAATGAGAATTTCTTTTTTTTATTTTTTATTTTTTAAAATAATTTTATTGATCATTCTTGGGTGTTTCTCAGAGAGGGGGATGTGGCAGGGTCATAGGACAATAGTGGAGATAAGGTCAGCAGATAAACACGTGAACAAAGGGCTCTGGTTTTCCTAGGCAGAGGACCCTGTGGCCTTCCACAGTGTTTGTGTCCCTGGGTACTTGAGATTAGGGAGTGGTGATGACTCTCAACGAGTATGCTGCCTTCAAGCATCTGTTTAACAAAGCACATCTTGCACCGACCTTAATCCATTTAACCCTGAGTTGACACAGCACTTGTTTCAGAGAGCACGGCGTTGGGGGTAAGGTTATAGATTAACAGCATCCCAAGGCAGAAGAATTTTTCTTAGTACAGAACAAAATGGAGTCTCCTATGTCTACTTCTTTCTACACAGACACAGTAACAATCTGATCTCTCTTTCTTTTCCCCACATTTCCCCCTTTTCTTTTCGACAAAACCGCCATCGTCATCATGGCCCGTTCTCAATGAGCTGTTGGGTACACCTCCCAGACAGGGTGGCGGCCAGGCAGAGGGGCTCCTCACCTCCCAGATGGGGTGGCTGGGCAGAGGCAGTCCCCACCTCCCAGACAGGGCGGCCGCCGGGCAGAGGCGCTCCCCACCTCCCAGACGGGGCGGCCGCCGGGCAGAGGCGCTCCCCACCTCCCAGACGGGGTGGCTGGGCAGAGGCGCTCCCCACTTCCCATACGGGGTGGCTGGGCTGAGGCGCTCCTCACTTCCTAGACAGGGCGGCTGCCGGGCAGAGGTGCTCCTCACTTCTCAGACGAGGCGGCCGGGCAGAGGTGCTCCTCAGTTCCCAGACGGGCCGGCCGGGCAGAGGCGCTCCTCACTTCCCAGACGGGGCGGCCGGGCAGAGGTGCTCCTCACATCCCGGACGGGGCGGCCAGGCAGAGGCGCTCCCCACTTCCCAGATGGGGTGGCAGCCAGGCAGAGGCACTCCTCACCTCCCAGATGGGGCGGCCAGGCAGAGGCGCTCCTCACTTCCCAGATGGAGTGGCCAGGCAGAGACGCTCCTCACATCCCAGACAGGGTGGCGGCCGGGCAGAGGCACTCCTCACTTCCCAGACGGGGCGGCCGGGCAGAGGCGCTCCCCACATCCCAGACGATGGGCGGCCAGGCAGAGACCTCCTCACTTCCTAGACGGGATGGCGGCCAGGCAGAGGCGCTCCTCACTTCCCAGACTGGGCGGCCGGGCAGAGGGGCTCCTCACATCCCAGACGATGGGTGGCCGGGCAGAGACGCTCCTCACTTCCTAGACAGGGTGGCGGCCGGGCAGAGGCTGCAATCTCAGCACTTTGGGAGGCCAAGGCAGGTGGCTGGGAGGTGGAGGTTTTAGCAAGCCGAGATCACGCCACTGCACTCCAGCCTGGGCAACATTGAGCACTGAGTGAGCAAGGCTCCGTCTGCAATCCCGGCACCTTGGGTGGCCGAGGCGGGCAGATCACTCGAGGTCAGGAGCTGGAGACCAGCCCGGCCAACACGGCAAAACCCCATCTCCACCAAAAATACAAAAACCAGTCAGGCGTGGCGGCGCGTGCCTGCAATCCCAGGCACTCGGCAGGCTGAGGCAGGAGAATCAGGCAGGGAGATTGCAGCGAGCTGAGATCACGGCAGTACAGTCCAGCCTCGGCAACAGAGGGAGACCGTGGAAAGCGAGTGAGGAGAGGGAGAGGGAGGGGGAGGGGGAGGGGGAGAGGGAGAGGGAGAGGGACCAGTATTTGCAAAATTTTCTCTAGGATCTTGGGAGTGAGTAGAACAGAGTGCATTCTACTTCCTAGATATGTGACTGATAACTTCGAAGTCATTTCCTGATTCCTTAATGAAGTTTGTCCTTCTTCCCAAAGCAGCAAGTAAGTTTTAAATTGTAATTTATAGAGTAACATATACAAAAAAATTGTGCTGAATGAAGCAGTATTTAATATCTAGGAACCATTTTGGACCATGAAGAAGTTATCTAAGTGTTAAAATCACCACACCGTACATAAAGTTTTTTCTATAAACGGGTATAACATGAAAGGTGCTTTACTAAAGAGTGTATGCAAATATATTTCTATAAATAAGTTGTAGTAAAGGATTAATAGATTTTATTTTTAGAGGAGCAATTTAACCATGTCTGTTTTTCCTGGAATCACTTAAACTGAAAAGCAGTTTCTCCCATTTTGAAGATTTAGAATTAATATTAATTTGGGCTATTGTTTGAATGAGATGAGCTGTCTGTTTAGATAGAAAATGTAGTTTTCCATAAAACAGACATTTATTTTGTATTTTAAAATACCACTGTACTTTTTTTTTACCATTTGGTAAGATTTATACTGAAATATAAAATTCAGGAATTAAGTATGACCCTGTAATTTCAAGAATAAAAGAGACCATATTGTTTACTGTTGTTCCAATAGGAGACACAGCTTATGCAAAACTAAAAGATTCTTCGGTTAAAGCTACAAAGGGAGTATATTCCAAAAATGACAAACAATAATTGCATCAGATATAAAGTCTACTAAAGTCCATGACCTCTGGAGATATACATTGCAGAGAACATGATACAGTGGGGAAACTGCATTTTCACACTTCTCAAGCCATGCTAGTTAATTTAAATATTGTAATAGGATTATTCATGTTGCAATTATATGTCAGAAAAGGTAGTTTGTTAGAAGAGCATTTCATGTTTTCTATCTGGCTAGACTATCAAGGGGATGGTTATCCCCAGTACACACATAGACAGAGTTTCGTTTTGAGAAAATATATACTTAAATCTTTATTATGGTGGAAGTAGCGCTGGTTCCTTAATAAAGCAGCTAAGTACAACTAGACAGAGAAGAAAATTTCTGTGTTTTTTGTTTGTCTTTGAGACAGAGTCTTGCTCTTTTGCCCAGGCTAGAGTGCAGTGGCATGATCATAGTTCACTGCAACCTCAAACTCCTGGGCTCAAGTGATTCTCTCGCCTCAGCCTCCTGAGTACCTGGGACGACAGGCATGTGCCACTGTGCCTAGGTAATTTTTAAATTTTTTGTAGAGATAGGGTCTTAATATGTTGCCCAGCTGGTCCTCAAATTCCTGGCCTCAAGTGATCCTCTCACCTCAGGAAAATTTCTGTTTTGATGTTATTTCTGTTTATTCTTCTCCTATCAGCTAGTTTTAATGTGCCATTTAAAAAATTGACACTGTAGGGGAAAAAAAGAGAATATTTGCATTTTTTGCTCTCTTTTTCCCAGTGAGTTTGTAAGGAAAGATGAAGGAGGACATAAATATAATGGGATGGAAAAATGAATAAAATGTTTTTGAAAAAAGAAGAAGAAAAGAAAGAGAAAAGGACAGGCATTCTATGGAGCTGTGTAACCTCTATGAGCCCTTGTCTAGTCTTAGCTACTTAATGTTAGGGAAACCAGCATGACAAGCAAAATGGTGCATAAGCAAATTGGCCGTTAGATGGCATAACCTGCTATTAAGGGAACATTTAAGAGGGCAACAAAATGCAGAAGAGCAATCCTTACTGTCTACACAGTTAATGAAAAATTAACCAAAATGTTCAGTCTCTCTAACCATGGTGAGTGAGAAGATACCATGTCAAGAAAGTTTAATTTCATCTTTAAATTTTCTAGAAGTAACTTCAAAAGGAACTTTAAGTAGGTTATTGATGATATGAAAAGAAGAAACACTTTGAAACCAGTCCTGTATTTACCATAAAATCCAGGTGAGCATTTTTGAAGAGGTGTTCTGGACTCATCAAGGTTTTAGCTTTGAACACATGACTTCTAGTAACTTTAATGGTTTAATGACTTTCTAAACAACAAAAAGGGAGAGGGTGATATAAAAGATAAAGCAAAAGCCTCATATTCAGACAGCCCTTGATGATAATGCAAGCCCTGATGCTTACCAGTTCTGTGACCTTAGACAATTTACTTATTTTCTCCTCTAGCTACAAGTTCTCCATCTTGTTTTAAAAATTAGAAACTATATGTAAATTACCTGGAACATGTTTAGCACTCAAGAAATAGCTGTTAAAAATCATTAGCAGCCGCAGCAGTAGTATAATTATTTCTAAGAAGATGAGGGATAAAGCCAGCTATAACCACTTATATCACAAGTTATGCTCATAAATTAATAATCTTATATTCTGGATGAAATTGACAGCAACATAACAAATTAAAAATTAAAGAGTCAGTCCTGGTTGGAGGATAAGTCTGTGTATGTATTGTGCCCTGCTGAGACAAAACTGAAATAAAAACATAAATGCAGAAAGAAAAATAAACTCTCATATAGCAATGAAGACACTTGGGTAGAGTGATGTCTGGCATGTTAACCAAGGAATGGGTGCTAGATGACAGGAGTGAAGAGTGAAATTGAAATTAGAGGAGTAGGAGCAGAAGTGGGGAGGGAATTGAACATTTGTAAAAGTGACAAGAGTCACTAAGCCTTATTCCCTCCATGCTTCACCCCAGCAAGCAGAGCAGTCAACTAGAATGTATACCTAGATAACAGACCAAATGTCCTTTCCCTAAAGCAAATGAAATAACAAAGCTGAGGGCCCTGATATGGATGTTGCCTCAGAGTTAAGCCCTTTTCTTTAAGGTGTTGGAAGGTCAAAAATGCTGAAAGTTTACCACCCTTAAAGAACAAGTCACAGTGTTTTCAGGAAAGAGCCACATTAATGCCTGGCTCTTACCTGAGAAGTACAGTCTGAGAGTATAAATGGTGCCCTTGAAAAGAAAGTTTTTACAATTGGTAGGGCAGCCCTGTCCAAGGAAAGCAAGTTGAGAATGCTAGCAGCTAAACCTTAAGGTTCCCAGTTCAGTTAAAATAATTGAGGCTAGTCCTTGTTTGGGAGATTTATTAAAGTGCAGTCAACCCAATATGCTTGTTTGTCCATGCTCAGCTTGGGGACATGACATTAGTCTATTCCAAGGAATGACTGAGACTGAAGGTGAGGTTGACATCAAGGCGTGCACGTGTGTGTGTGTGTGCAGGAGCTGGGATCATCTCCTGTTGCTTCTGACAGACCTCTCTATAAGGTAAAGGGGAAAGGTGGTTAGACTTACCTGGTTGCAAGTGGCCAGCCCAGCAGTTAGTTAAATTGAAGGTCCTTGCAACTGTTTGGGAAAGCTGCACCAGAATGTTTTCCTTGGGGAGGAAGGCTCCTGAGGCAGTCCTGATAAATGAAGATCATTAATGCCCGTCCTTCTCCTGTACAATCCCAAGTACTAGGTTGTTGCTCTTCCTCTGTCTCCACAATACCTGATTCTCCCATTCCAGTAACTATAACTTTGGTCTTTTTTTCAATCATATCCTACACTCACCCAAACCTTTCATCTAGAAGGATCAGGTGCAAGAGGGACAAGGACATTTTTATAAAAGGTAACTAGAATTAAGTTTGAATCTCATAGGTCCCATTTTTGCTAGGTTGCTCCCCACAGGTATACGAATAAGGTTGGCCTGGGAAAAGAAATGTGCTCATGTCCAGGAATGGTCAGGACAGAATTCCAAATTTTCAAAATAAGTCTATATAATTTCCCACACCTTCAGTACTAAACCATAGCCAGTAGATGGCTAAAAGAAGGTGATCTCCTTGCGATAGTTTGCTGAGAATTATAGTTTCCAGCTTCATCCATATCCCTACAAAGGACATGAACTCATCATTTTTTATGGCTGCATAGTATTCTATGGTGTATATGTGCCACATTTTCTTAATCCAGTCTATCATTGTTGGACATTTGGCTTGGTTCCAAGTCTTTGCTATTGTGAATAGTGCCGCAATAAACATACGTGTGCATGTGTCTTTATAGCAGCATGATTTATAATCCTTTACGTATATACCCAAGGACAAAAAACCAAACACTGCATGTTCTCACTCATAGGTGGGAATTGAAAAATGAGAACACATGGACACAGGAAGGGGAACATCACACACCGGGGCCTGTTGTGGGGTGGGGGGAGGGAGGAGGGATAGCATTAGGAGATATACCTAATGTTAAATGACGAGTTGATGGGTGCAGCACACCAACATGGCACATGTATACATATGTAACAAACCTGCACATTGTGTACACGTACCCTAAAACTTAAAGTATAATAAAAAAAAAAGAAGGTGATCTCTTTCTGAGGACAGCCACATTCAATGAGCAAGTTGTCTTACTCTGACCTAGAGTTTCTTAAATTTACCAGTATTGATATTTTATCCTAGATAATTAGTTGTGGGGACTGTCCTATGCATTGTAGGATATTTAGCAGCATCTATGACCTCTACTCACTAGATGCTAGCAGCACAGCCTCAGTAGTGACAACCAAAAATGTATCTAGAAGATGTTAAATATTTCTTGAGAGGGCAAAAATCATCCTCAATTGTGAACCACTGATTAAAAATGTGTGGAGCTCTACTTACGAGCTTTTCTTACTATGTGGGTGTTGGGTCCAATTCCACTAGCCTGAGTCAACTTACCTCTTTTCCCTCTACTTGCAAGGGCCAAGTACACACAAAGGCCAGGTTCATAATGCACTTTTATTAAAAGAAAATGAAACTTGCTTAGGAATATAGAGATCCTGATCCTGCCTTTCATTAAAAGAGTGACTGAGACGTATTATTTGACACCTGTGATTATCAGCTTTCTTATTAGTAAAGTATGGCAAATAACACTGTTATGGCTAAATTGTGTCCTGATAAAATTCATTTGTTGAAGGCTTAACCCCCTTATACCTCAGAATGTGACTGTTTGTGGAGGTAGAGCGTTTAAAGAGGTAATTGAGATAAGATGAGGTCATATGTGTGGGCCCTAGTCCAATATGACTGATATATTTAGAAGAAGAGGAAATTAGGACACAGACACATAGAAGGGAAGGGACATACAAAGACACAGGGAGGAGGTGGCCATCAACAAGCCAAGGAGAGAGGCCTCAGAAGAGAGTAACTCTGATGACACCTTGATCTGGGACTTCTATCCTTCAGAATGGTGAGAAAAATAAATCTCTGTTGTTTAAGCTACCAGTGTGTGATAATTTGTTATGGCAGCCCTAGCAAACTAATACAAACACCTGGTAGGAAGAAGTTAAGAGTATATATCCTATGAATACCACAGAATAATTATGATAAAGTGTTCACAAATGAGATATGACAATAGCCATTCTTTATTGAGCATGCATTGTATGTCAAGCACATTGTCCTAGGTGATTTTCCTACATTACTACTAATTTCACAATAAACGTGCAAGGTAGATATGGTGGCCATGACAATGTGCCTTTTAGAGAGGAAGTATAATTGACTAAGGACCCCAAGCACTGTGCTCTGAAGTCATTGCCTTATTTCCTCCCAAATCATGCTTCCTAGAGGCTGCTCCCATCCAGTGATTAGCATGGCAGGAGTACTACAGCAGGCACATTCCTGGGAGTTGAAGGGCTTCCCTGACTGGATGTTTTAGATTGAGGGCTTTCTGAAGTTCTTCCTGAACTCCTTTTAGACTACACAGTGATTTAGGGTATTTCCATCATAACTTCATTCCTTCCTCTTGGAGTCAGAATGCATCCTGTCCTGATGACTCTCTCAGCCTCCTCTACCTCGCTCCCTGTTGCCTCTCACTGATATCCTCCCTGACAAAGTCCTTGTATGCTAAATTCTCACATGATGATTGTTTCCCAGAAAACCTTGACTAACACAACATATAATATGACAAGCAGAGGCACAAAGAAGTGTGTGCCCAGACATACGTAACTACTACTAGTGGGAGTATTCAGATATAAGTTTTTCTGACTCCGTAGACTGAGTTCTTTCCCCAGCATATATTGTGTCTCAAAATCTATAGTGAAAGTACATTAAATGTTTAAAGCATTATATGCACCTACCATATGTATTTATTAATAATAAGGTAGCAATATGAAATCAATACAAGGTCTATGAACAATCTAAGCACATAAATAGTAGGTGTCCCTCTTTCTGCTTTACTTGTGCTTCCAAAGGTCATGTTAAGCTAACACTGCTTGAATTCCCCTTCACAAAAACAGTACTTTGCAAACTATTCTCAGTACACTACAAAGAGGTAGCTGATGAAATTTTAAGCCTCTGAAGCCAACATAGGTAAAATAGCTAACTTTCATTACATCCCAAGCATAGTACCTTATATGTATGGTGGGATACTTTAATAATAACAATGGAAGTACATTTCACCATTTCTCTTCATATATCCCTCATGCTAGAGTTTAGTTGCTAATTTGAGAAAAATGCTGGGAATAGGGGTTTACTTAATTTACCGAGACTAAGTTTCAGCCCCATTGAAGAATGGTGGTGTGAAATAGAAATTATGTCCAATTTTATAAAACTTAAAATTAAATATCTTGCACGACTGAGAATCCTAGCCACTAGACATGCATCAATTCATGTTTCTAACTTTCTATTGAATTGACTGTTTGCTTTCCTTTTGCTCTTTATTGCTTTGGAAGTTATTCTTCCTATTCTAATCTAGTAGTTAGTTACCTTTAAATTGTAACATGTACACTTCATCTTACATGGACTAAATTTAATTAATAAGTCTATTCTTCTCTTGGATAATAAAGAAAAATATATTCATCATTCCTCTACAGTATTGGATATGATTGCTGTTTTAATATATCTGACATGTTTAGCTGTTGTATTAGTCCATTCTCGTGCTGCTATAAAGAACTGCCCAAGACTGGGTAATTTATAAAGGAAAGAGGTTTAATTGACTCACAGTTCTGCAGGGCAGAGGAGGCCTCAGGAAACTTACAATCATGGTAGACGGGGAAGCAAACACATCCTTCTTCACATGGTGGCAGGAAGGAGCAGTGCTGAACAAAAGGGGAAAAGCCCCTTATAAAACCATTAGATCTTGTGAGAACTCACTATCACGAAAACAGCATGGGGTAACCGCCCCCAAGATTCAATTACCTCCCACTGGGTTCCTCCCATGACATGTGGGGATTATGGGAACTAAAATTCAAGATTAGATTTGGGTGGGGACACAGCCAAACCATATCAACTTTTTTAAAAAAACAAACAAAACAAAACAAACAAACAAACAAACACAGAGTCTTGCTCTGTCACCCAGGCTGGAGTGCAGTGGCATGATCTTGGCTCACTGCAACCTCCACCTCCCGGGTTCAAGCAATTCTCATGCCTCAGCCTCCGGAGTAGCTGGGATTACAGGCGTGTGCCACCATACCTGGCTAATTTTTGTATTTTTAGTAGAGACGAGGTTTCACCATGTTGGCCAGGCTGGTCTCAAACTCCTGACTTCGAGTGATCCACCCTCCTTGGCTTCCCAAAGTGCTGGGATTATGGGCGTGAGCCACTGTGCCTGGCCCATATCAGCTGCTTTCAGTGGAAGGGTTTTAGTATCCAAACTGTTGGAATCAGAAACAAACCAAATTTGAGATACATTATTTCCTGCCCTACTGCAATGACTAAATTGAGCAATTATGTGGGTACTATTTAGAGAAAACTGCAGAAAACTACTTCTGTTGGACAGTTACTAAGGCAACTGTCTGGAAAAGAAAGACATATGAATGGGCTGAGAAGCCTGTAAAGCTATTCAATAATATTGAAATGTTTCTGCCATACACATTTTCAAAGATACTCTACAAAATCCAAAGACTGTTTTGATCTATCACATTTGACAGTGGAGAACATACAGTATTTTGGTGTATTTCCAAAGATTGTGAAATATAAAGAATTGCAGATTTATTTCATTCCTTAAATAAAATATCCTGTGAAAAGCTATTCATATTTCTTTCTCAGTTTTGAGGATTACTCCTTAAAAGTAATTAAATTTTGTATAATTTCTATTGATACTAAACATTATGATGTTTAAATGTATAATAGATTACATATTATGCGAGAAATCACACTATGATAGAGTTTTGAAAATACATCAGCTTCCTTTTGATAAATACATTTTTAATTGGTTTTATATATCTTCACTAATATTTTATACATTGGGAAAAGTGTATGAGACATGGATTTGGAATGGCTTTGTGTCATTATTGAAGGATTTTCTACCTATTAGGCTTTTAGATCATTCATATAACCTGTTTGAGTCTCAGTGTACTTATCTATAAGGCAATGCTAATGCTACAAATAAGAATGTAGATAAAATTACAGAATGTTAAAATAACACTGGGAGGTTGATTAATATTATCTACTTAGTTAATCTGACATTGTAACAGTTTCTTTTCTATACTTAACGACTAGTGCAGTTTCATTTTTATTTCTCACATAAAATATTATATTAGGCTATACGGAGATATAACCCCATATTGGTACCCTGAAATTAGATTGTAAACAAAGATTTATAGTAACTTCTATTTTTATTAGTGCAAAGTATTCAACTCAGATGTAAAAGAATTGGCACATTTTTCTTTGCTTTTTTTCTTCCTGTCTCTCTTTGGAAATTATACGATGATACTTAAGATATAAATATAACCTTCTTATAAAATACCTACTGGTCGGGCGTGGTGGCTCACGCCTGTAATCCCAGCAGTTTGGGAGGCCGAGGTGGGTGGATCGCCTGAGGTCAGGGGTTCGAGACCAGCCTGGCCAACGTAGTGAAACCCCTTCTCTACTAAAAATACAAAAAAACTAGCTGGGCATGGTGGCAGGCACCTATAATCCCAGCTGCTAGGGAGGCTGAGGCAGGAGAATCGCTTGAACCCGGGAGGCGGAGGTTGCAGTGAGTGGAGATTGCGCCATTGCAGTCCAGCCTGGGCGACAAGAGTGAAACTCCATCTCAAAAATAAATAAATAAACAATAAATGAAAAATAAAATACCTATTAATAAGATTAAAGTTTCCATTTAGCATTTCTGAAATCTAAGAACTATCATCCCTACATTTTGCTCAGCATCCATCCTTATCAGTTTGATGTACATGACTTTGGTGTTCCATGGATTTATATAAATGTACCCATAGCAAATTCATAATATAGCCATATTAGTAGATATTTACTTTTTGTCTCATCCATTCTCCCTCATCTTCCTTGAGAAGTATTCTAAATTTCTAATAGGAAATTCAGTTCCCAATTCTTAGCAAAGCAGTTTGCCTCTGTGACAGGCTGAAAAATATATTCCCTAAAAAAAAAAAAAAAATATATATATATATATATATATATGTCCTAATCCCTGGAGCCTGTGAATGTTTCTTGAAATGTCAAAGTCTTTGCAGGTGTGATTAAATTAAGAATCTTGAGAAGAGAATATTACCCTGGATTATGTGGATGGGCCCTTTATGAAATCACATGTATCCTTATAAGATGAAGTCAGAGGTAGATTTGATACACACTCAAGGGAGAAGATAATGTGAAGATGGAGCGAACAGAGATTTGAAATTCTAGCCCTGAAGAATGAAATGTTGTGGCCACAGCCAAGGACTGCCAGCAGCCACAAAAACCTGAAAGAGGCAAGAAACAGATTGTTCCCTGGGGCCTCTGGAGGGAGTATGGCCCTATCGACATCTTGATTTCCACCCAGTGATACTGACTATTGGACTTTTGGTCTATAGAAATCCAAAAAGAATTTTTTGCTATTGTTTTATACCACCCAGTTTGTGGTGATTTGTAACAGCATCCATAGAAAACTAATACATGATGTAACAATTAAAAATACAAATTAAGCCGGGCGTGGTGGCTCATGCCTATAATCCCAGCACTTTGGGAGGCTGAGGCGGGTGGATCATAAGGTCAGGAGTTCGAGACCAGCCTGACCAACATGGTGAAACCCCATCTCTAATGAAAATACAAAAATTAGCTGGGCATGGTGGTGTGCACCTGTAATCCCAGCTACTCAGGAGGCTGAAGCAGGAGAACTGCTTGAACCCAGGAGGCGAAGGTTATAGTGAGCCAAGATCATGCTGCTGAACTCCAGCCTGGGCAACAGAGTGAGACTCTGTCTCCAAAAAAAAAAAAAAAAGTACAAATTAAAGTAATGAGATGTTATTCTGCACTTATGGGTAAAGATTTAAAACCTTGATGAAATATGGTGATGGAATAAAAGTTGGGTACTTTTATACTATTCTACTGCAATTTCTAAGTATGCATAGAAATAAACACTTAACCTTTGATCCATATATTATCTTCCTGGAATTTTTCCTACTAACATATTAAAAAATTTTGAGGAGACAAATGTACCTCGATGTTTATTGCACTGTTGTTTAGAGTAGCAAAATCTGGAAGCAACTCAAGTGTCCATTGGCTGGTAACTAGAATTACACATTACAGCATAGTACATAAATATGTAACATCATTTTCCCTCAGTTTCAGCTAAGGTTCCACTATTGGAAAACAAAACGTAACAATATTTGCTGAAGTGAGGCACCAGTCCATTTATGCATATCATATAAACAAGTTATATGGCAGTGTGTGGTGGCTCACACCTATAGTCACAGAACTTTGGGAAGTTGAGGCAGGAGGATCACTTGCAACCAGGAGTTCAAGATCAGCCTGAGCAACATCGGGCGACCCCACCTCTACAAAAAGATAAAAAAGGGAAAACAAAACATAATAACGTCAGAGGCATTTGAACCAGAGTGACTCCATCTTGAATAGGGGCTGGGTAAAATAAGGCTGAGACCCACTGGGCTGCATTCCCAGGAGGTTAGGCATTCTTAGTCCCAGGGTGAGATACAAGGTCAGCACAAGATACAAGTCACAAAGACCTTGCTGATAGGTAAAGCAGGATGTGGAAAAGAAGCCAGCCGAAACCCAACAAAAACAAGATGGCCACAAAAATGACCTCTGGTGGTCCTCAGTGCTCATTATATGCAAATTATAATGCATGCTAAAAGACACTCCCACCAGACCACCAGAGCCATGAAATTTTACAAATGCCATGGCAACGTCAGGAAGTTATGCTACATAGTCTAAAAAGGGGAGGAACCCTCAGTTCTGGGAATTGCCCAACCATTTCCTGGGAAACTCATGAGTAATCCACCCCTTATTTAGCATTTAATCAATAAATAACTGTAAGTATACTCAGTGAAGCAGCCCATGCTGCTGCTCTGCCTATGGAGTAACATTCTTTATTCCTTTACTTTCCTAATAAACTTGCTTTCACTTTACTGTATGGACTCACCCCAAATTCTTTCTTGCATGAGGTCCAACAACCCTCTCTTGAGGTGTGAATCAGGACCTTCTTCTGGTAACAGTAATATTTGCTAAAGCCACAGTCCATTTCTAAACATCATATGAACAAGTTATATGGCCAGGCACAGTGGCTCACTTCTATAATCCCAACCCTATGGAAGGCTGAAGTAGAAGGATCAGTTGAGGCCAAGAGTTCAAGACCACCCTGGGAAATATACCAAGACCCTGTCTGTACAAAAGAAAAATATATTAAATTAGCTGGACACAGTGGCAAGCACCTGTAGTCCTAGCTACTCCAGAGGCTGAGGTGGAAGGATGACTTGGGCCCAAGAAGTTGAGGCTGAGGTGAGCCATGATTGTGCCACTGCACTCCAGTCTGGGTGACAGAGCAAGACACTGTATCTGAAAAAAAAAAAGTTATGAAGAAAATTTATGTGAACCTGAGCCTACACCTGAGACTATCAATGAGATTTAAATTGAAGTTAGGTGGCCAAGTGCTGTGGCTCACACCTGTAATCCCAGCACTTTTGGAGGCTGAGGCCAGTGGATCACTTGAGGTCAGGAGTTTGATACCAGGCTGGCCAATATGGTGAAACCCCGTCACTACTAAAAATACAAAAATTAGCCTGGCATAGTGGCATGCTCCTGTAATCGCAGCTATTCAGGAGGCTGAGGCAGGAGAATCATTAACCCAGAGGTGGAGGTTGCAGTGAGTTGAAATTGCACCACTGCACTTTAGCCTGGGAGACAGAGCATGACTCTGTCTCAAATAAAAAAAAGAAATGAAGTTAGGCAAAGGAAGAACTTATTTGTAGATGTTTGCAGTAGTACTCTGCTACCTTCCTCTTATCTCATGGTTACACATACCTCTTGAAAGGGGGTAGGGACAATGGTGCTTTTCATTGCTAGTCTAGTGAGAGGTGCTTTGAGAAAACTAGCCGGAGATTTTGCAATGTGCTCCTTGGAGTTTGGGGGACAGAGTGCTCCAGTGTTTGACTCTGTAGGTGACAAGGGAAAACTTGCCCTTCACCGTCTGAGGTTTCCTCAGACAAAAGGCAGATTAATAAGAAAAATGGCAAACAAACTTATTAATGTGCACAGGGGAGAATCACAGAGTGATTATCTCAACCCTCAATGAGATACAGAAGCTTATATAGTCTTTTTTCAGAGGGGAGAGGGAAGATGGGGAATATAGGTGTTTTTGTGGGCTAATGATTCCTAGGGAGAATGAATAGAGCAGGAAAGAGATTAACTTGAAAATGAGTATCTTTGGAAATTGAATGAGCATGAGAGACAGACATTATCTTGTGAAAGGGTCCATTCAGGTGTGGTTACAGTCTTCAGTTTTCTTTTCTGAAGTAGATAATAACAGGCAGGGAAATCAAAAACAAATGTACTTCTTTGTGGTTCCTTAAGATCTTTACATAGATAGGAGAAAAATCTCTCCTAGTGTTTGTTGATCACTAAGGGTCTTTAATTCAAAAAATACTCATTGTATCAGGAAACTGTGTTTTGGGGTGAAATATTTTGGTTTCTTTCAACTCTTACCTGAGAATTTTTAAAAGGCTGTGGAATTATCCAGAGAGAAACAGGGTCATATTACAAACAAACTGCACTTCCACCTACAGAATGGTATGTTGATATTGATGGAGGCAGGAGATAGCCAAATGCCTAGGCAGAGAGGGAAAGATCCTTGGAGAACCTGTAGCCTGCCCAGGTGATTGTGTACAGGCTGCTTGCCAAAACATGCCCACAGTGAAAAATTCTGTCCTTCAACACATGTGCGGTAAGGAAAATAAATCAATGTGGAGAGGCTCAGAATAAGGGCCCACATGCGCACTGGGAGAATGGGGTGGAACCACCAGAAATTTGCACCTTATGCAGGGGAGGAGCCTGGCCTCTTCATCTCATATGTGGTGGCCTGGTATTCAATCTGTGAGATGGGAGCTGGTTGGTAGGACCCCTCTCTTTGCTGAGAGCTCCCCTTTTGCTTAATAAATTCCATCCTCCTCACCCTTCAATGTGTCCGTGTGCCTAATTTTTCCTGGTTGTGAGACAAGAACCCAGATTTAGCTGAACTAAGGAGCAAAAAATCTTGCATCATTTTTGTGGCCTGTATGGGGACATGAGGGAGGGTGAGTAAGATGCAAACCAAAAATCTCTTTCACTTTCATTTCTGGGCCTTCTCATCCTTAGACTTTTTCTGAAGGCAGTGGAAACTGCCCCCCACACCCTGTCACTCTCAGGGGTCAGGAATGTCAGCCTCAGTCCAACCCAGTCTTTTCTATGGCATTTCCTTCTTTTTGGGGGGCTGTAATGGCACCCATCTTTTCTTTTACAACATTGGGGGCATTCCATCCCCACCCCAACAGCTGCAGGCATGTGCTACATGGGATGGGTGGGCGAGCAGTGGCTCCCCCTCCCCTTCCCTCCCCCCGGGACACATGGCCGTGTGTGCTGCATGTATGTGCAGCCTACAATGGCCACGCATGGCAGGACTGAGCCACAGCTGCTGCCTGGGCCCCAGGGCAGTCTTGGGGACCAGAGGCCTCATGCGGCTGGCTAGCCAGCGTTTCCTGTTCACCATCCCCTCCTGCCAGGCGGCCATGGAATATTTCCTCCCCTGGTTGAGCCAGGAAGGAGGAAGCAGGAATTAAAAGTTTCTCTCCCTGTTGGAAAAATCCATTGGCATAAGAATAAGGTGCTTCCCCCAGGCATCTTCTCTGCCCTACACTTAGCTGTTTTTTTTTCTTTTCTCCACCCTGTCAGGAGTTAACTTTTTTTTTTTTTTTTTTGAGACGGAGTTTTCGCTCTTGTTGCCCAGGCTGGGGTGCAATGGCGCGATCTCAGCTCACTGCAACCTCCGCCTCCCGGGTTCAAGTGATTCTCCTGCCTCGGCCTCCCGAGTAGCTGGCTTTACAGGCATGCACCACCACACCCGGCTTATTTTTTGTATTTTTAGTAGAGACAGGGTTTCACCATGTTGGTCAGGTTGGTCTCAAACTCCTGACCAGGTGATCCGCCCATCTCGGCCTCTCAAAGTGCTGGGATTACAGGCGTGAGCCACAGCGCCCAGCCAGGAGTTAACTTTTATGCAAGAGGTTTTTTTTTGTTTTTTGTTTTTTTTCCTTTTTGAAGGTGTCTTGTTAGGCTAGTACCCCAATTCAAAGGACACCCTTTTTCCCTCCCTTGTTTAAGAAGGATGCAATTCCACAGCTTCACCTTAGCATTTGGCTTATGATAAGGAGGCTGCAGCCAGTCTGGTGAGGGGTACCTGGGCTTTGATGAGTCCATGCATGTCCTTGAGGCAGTTCTTTTATCCCAAACTCAATTCCAAGTTTCAGGTTGAAGCCTTAAGATAGAAAACTGGATCTGAGGAATCCAGAGGCAGATGACAATGGAAATTAAAAGGCATGGTGAGGGTGAGCATGACTAATTCCTGCCGATTAAGCGAAGACTTCTGTTTTATGGATAGAGGTGGTGCTAGCATCCGTGGCATAAATGAGGTCTAGGGAACTCAAAGGCTACTGAGAGCAGGGGGAAAGGCAGCTGTGGGAGGCGAGCCACCCAGGTGCCGATGCAAGAGACCGAGGGCACGAGCTGTTCCAGTATAATAAAATATATAAAATAAGAATAGTTATACTAGATATAGATCTTAGATATGATTATATATGAATATGATTAATCATTAGTTTGTAGCAATTACTCTTTATTCCAATATTATAATAATCCTCGCTCTACAATCATAACCTAGGAAAAACCAGGCCATACAGAGATAAGAGCTGAGGGGACATAGTGAGAAGTCACCAGAAGACAAGAGTGTGAGCCTTCTGTTATGCCTGGACAGGGCCACCAGAGGGCTTCTTGGTCTAGCGGTAATGCCAGCGTCTGGGAAGATGCCCGTTGCCAAGTGCACTGTGGTCTAGTGGTAGCGTCAGTGTCAAGGAAAAACACCCGCTACTTAGCAGACCGGGAAAGGGAGTCTCCCTTTTCCTGGGGGAGTTTAGAGAAGACTCTACTCCTCCACCTGTTGTGGAGAGCCTGACTGATGTCAGGCCTGCCCACAGTTATCCGGAGGCCTAACCGTCTCCCTGTGATGCTGGGCTTCAGTGGTCACGCTCCTAGTCCACCTTCATGTTCCATCCTGTACACCTGGCTCTGCCTTTTAGATAGTAGTAGCAAATTAGTGAAAGTACTAAAAGCCTCTGATAAGCAGAAATAATGGTGTAAGCTGTCTCTCTCTCTCCCCTCTCTCTCTCTGCCTTGGCTGCCAGGCAGGGAAGGGCCCCCTGTCCAGTGGACATGTGACCCACGTGACCTTACCTATCATTGGAGATGGCTCACACTCCTTACCCTGCCCCTTTGTTTTGTATCCAATAAATATCAGCGCAGCCTGGCATTCGGGGCCACTACTGGTCTCCAAGTCTTGGTGGTAGTGGTCCCCCGGGCCCAGCTGTCTTTTCTTTTCTCTGTCTTGTGTCTTTATTTCTACCTCTGTTGTCTCCGCACACGGGGAGAAAACCCACCGGCCTTGTGGGGCTGGACCCTACAGGCAGCTTCTGGGTAAGAGTGGAGAATCTCACCCCCTAGGCCCCCGGTTAACATGGGTGAATGCCACATTGGCAATCATGGGCAGCACCCTGTCAAGGTTCCTGGGACTTGGGGATAAAAGGATGGAAGAAGGAAAGAGGACGTTTTTTCTTTCTGTCGCTCACATACCCCAGGTATTCACTAGGAAGAGGAAGGAACCAGGGACCTTGCTCTCCTCTTTCCAGAAGTAGCCATTCATCTTCAGTCTGTACCCCTTTCTAATGCATCCTGAACCCCTGGGACTCCTTTGAAAATGCTTTCTTTTTTTCCTTTTTTCTCCTCTGTCCTCTCTTCACAGATGGAGAATCATGTCTCTGTGCTACAGGACATTCCCCTCAGATGCCTCCTCCAAACCAGGAAGAGTTAATTTCCCAAACCTTAAACTGATTGGCTTAGAATTGAGCTCAGGGGAAGGGAACCCAGAAGCCTGACATGCTGGCAAAAGGGTAAAAGTTTTTCTACCCATCAGATTTTGGCCTCTCTCTCTCTGTACAAACTGGTAAAATGAATGATAAGGATCACTGTTTATATTCTCTGTGAAGTTTTGACTGATGAGATAGAATTTATAAAGTTGGCCTTAGGCTGTAGCCAATTCAATGTGCTTTGCATGTCTGTCTGTATGGTTCTGTCAGAAAGATGGGTACCTTGGAATGGGATACGGGCCTGGGACCTCATAAGCCCACTGATGAAGTCAGCCCAGCAAGTTGGCCAGTAAGAAACTTTGCTGCCGGCCTCCATCTTGTTTTATGTCCTTGGAAGTGTGTCCTGTAACCACGTGGAAGAACTTGGTTTTAGTTTCTGCCATTTGACAGTGATGGCCCGGGTTCAATCCTGGCATGGAAATGAGTACTTTTGAGTTGATATCTGTGTGACTTTTGCTATTTGCTGATTCTCTTCCCCTCCATGAACAACTTCTAACTTCTTTTCTTAAATTTTCCTTTCTCTGAGTTACCTTTAAAGGTTCTAGATTTTACAAAAACTGCCTACCACCTCTTTGAAAATACCTTGTACATTTGTGGTTAAGTCATAACCGTAATTGAGGCCTGCTGGTTTCACCTGTGAGGTTACTTTTGGTAAAGTTCCAACTCCAGAAAAATTGGCCACTTGGCATGGCTAAAGTCATGCAATAAGGGATTTAAAAGGATTTTCTTAAAGAGCCCTCAGATTGGCCAGGCACAGTGGCTCACGCCTATAACCCTAGCACTTTGGGAGGCTGAGGCGGGTGGATCACCTGAAGTCAGGTGAAAAATTCCGTCCCTTAACACATGCACGGTAAGAGAAATACATCAATGTAGAGTGGCTCAGACTAAGGGCCTGCGTGCGCACTGGGGGAATGAGGGTGAAGCCATCAGGAATTTGCGCCTTATGCAGGGGAAGAGCCTGGCCTTTTCAGCTCATGTGTGGTGGCCTGGTATTCAGCTTGTGAGGTGGGAGCTGGTTGGCGGGACCCCTCTCTTTGGTGAGAGCTCCACTTTCACTTAATAAATTCTGTCCTCCTCACCCTTCAATGTGTCCATGTGCCTAATTTTTCCTGGTTGTGACAAGAACCCAGATTTAGCTGAACTAAGGAGCAAAAAATCCTGCATCAATATGGGATCAGAGAGATAGAAAATAACTTGAAGCCATCTTAACAGGGACTTGGCCCAAAATAGCTACCTGAAAGAGAGATGGAGCTCCAGTCTGGAGAGTCTGTTGGGTGACCTAACAGGCACCAAGGAACATAGGAGCCATTACACACATCAGGTGAATGAATTTCTCAGAAATCCTTAAAATCACCCGTTGAGAAAACAAGCTATCTTTGAACAACTGCCAAACCCAGAGATTGCTGGCTGAATAAGCCTGTACTCTCAACCACTCCTCTTGGAGTTGTCAGAAACTATTATTAGTTAAGAAAAGAAGTGTTTGTGGGAGACAGACAGAGAGAGAAGAGGGAGACATGGAGTGGGCTGAGGGGGTGGGGAGGCTCCGGTTCTCTCTTCAGGTTTCCCACCTTAAAAAGAATCAAGCTGGATTACAAAAGCACTTTGGAGATTCATCTCTGGGAGTTCATTGTTCTGAACAATTTATTATTCAAATTAGATAGGTATATTGTCTAAGAAAATTATTACTATTACTATCTGAAAATAACTAGAAAAAGTTATAAATATTATCCAAGTGAAAAAGAGCAAGGAACCCTCAACAATAGCCAAAGAAGTTAGAGTCACAAGATGTTTAGTTTCCTGTAGAAACTTTAGATAACATCTTAACATATGTCCCTGAGTTGTTTTTCAGGAACCCAGACCTCAACGAAAGGGATTTACTGGCATGCAGACTTCAAATAAGGGGGAACTGAGGACTGGACTCTGATCTCCGTTCTTTCTTCTGAATTTCTTCCTGAGGAACCTGGAGGAAGTCACACCCACGAGCCAGAGTGAACATTCTTTTCCATTGTCCCCAAATATTGACCTGAAAGCCTCCATGTCAAGATATCCAGTCTTTTTAGGCCAAACCAATGTATAACCTCT
The DNA here is from genome assembly GCF_000001405.40 of Homo sapiens. Classification (NCBI taxonomy): domain Eukaryota; kingdom Metazoa; phylum Chordata; class Mammalia; order Primates; family Hominidae; genus Homo; species Homo sapiens. The sequence goes on along the minus strand of NC_000023.11, from coordinate 27,439,356 downwards.
GTGTATTGATTTATGATTTTGCCTGTAACTCCTGCTTTTCTGAAGTTTTCCCCTGCCTTTAAAAACGCTTGCTTGCAAGTCATCGAGGAGGTCAGATTTTAATTGTGGGCTGCCCTATTCTCCTTGCTTGTTGCCTTGTAAATAAATGCCCTCCTTTCTCCCGCTGAAAACTTCAGTGTAGATGTTTGGCCTTGCTGCCCCAGGCAAGCAAACCCCTGTTTGTCTTGGTTACACAAGACAGAGAAGAGAATTCATAAAGTAGGTATGAAGGCAACTTGGTAATGCTTGTACCATATTAACTTGTACCCTGAGCCTATTCAGCAAGACTGTTAAACAAATTACAGAATAAAGTTGATATAAACATGTACACCCAGGAAAATATCTCAAAGATATATTTTTAAGTAACAAAAATATAAAATAGATGCAGAAGAATGTGAATAGTAATATCCCATATATGTATTTTTATAGAAAGTCATATTTTTTCTCTAAAAGAAGATAGAGAGGATTGCAGGGAGGATAATGACAAAGAAAAAGATAAAAAGGGGGAAACTTTTCTACCCTTGGCTCCTACAAAGTTGGAGCTTGCACTGTGTTTACACAACACAGGGTTTACTGCTTCTGCTTTAAGTACCAATAAAAATAAAATTTGATCAAGCCCTCCATAGATTGAATACTAGGCACCATTCCCTCTAATCTTATTCAGTGATTCTTTCCAAGCCTTGGGTAGTGTGTTCTTACATGAATCTGCTGACCAGTAATTAGCAGAATACTTGAGGGAGACCCTCTGCTGATCTCCAAGGTTCTTTCTCTGTGCAGCTCTCTTGTCTCCGATATGTTTTTTGAAGAACAATAACCGTGTTGGTCTTTATAGATTGTCATCTCCATTCCAGAGAGCCTCCAGAGCCATGCCATGCCTGGATTCTCCCTCCACATGGTATGCTGTGGCCAGGAAAGTCTCTCCAGGGGATAAACTCTGGAAATCCTAGATTTCCCCTTGTTTGTTTCCAGTCTCTCAGGAATAGTTGTTCTTTGTTTCCTGATGTCTGTGTCTTCCAACTATTGTCCGTTTTTGGTTGTTTCACGTGAGAGGGTGAATCCAGTCCCTCTTATTCCACTTAAGTGACTCTGAAGTTTTAAAAATAAAACTAGCAGGCACATGTATTCAATAAAATTCCAAACAAAATGCAAAAAAAAAGTCAAATCAAACACATATGTCTTCCTTCTCATCCAGGAGGCTTTTGAAATGACAGAAAAAAAAAAAAAAGATACATCTCCAAAAGACTGACTCTCTTGTCTTCACCTAGTAGATGCCTTCTTAGATCTCAGCTAACTCTTTCAAGATTTATTTCCCTTATTTCTCACTTTCAAGACTCTGTATACCCACACTTCATACTGTATGCCTAGGGCACAACTTTATTTTTTATTTAAGTGACTGTTTGATTTATATCAATTTTACTTTTTAGACTGTAAGTGCTATGAGAATAGATGCCTAGGCTTTTTTTTTAATTATTACTTTTTACTTCCCACTCTCTTACCAGTGCCTTTTGTTATAGTGTTAGAGAATAAGGAACTGTGACTCCTAGGTATTTGAATTTCAGTAAGATAAAAAATAGATACGGTGACATTAATGGAGAAATTTGAAAGATTGTCTCAGGAAAAACAATCAAACCTATTTGCTAACCTTTTCCCTATAAGAATTTTTCAGCATAATGCAAAATTATTGTGAGGAATATAATTTCTGATATCTTGTAAAAATTATTATTTAAGATTAAACCATAGCATCACATTTTCAGTAATGGCAAATAAAACTTGAATATCATAATGAGTTTATATTCATCATCATTCACTGAAACAGTATAAAAACAAGATCTTTACATTAAGAGATTCTACATTTTTCTGTTTACTTCTTGAATATTGTCCTAATCTATTTTATATTTGAACATATTTTGTTGATTTCTGCTAATAGAAAGTTACCAAAAACTTAGAAATAAGACAAATTTATCATTGCATGTTTTCCTTTTTCATACTGAAGTAATGTCTAAAAGATTCACCTTGGATTATTTGTTTCTTTCTGAGATTGTACTTTGTTTGTTTTACTACTTATTATTTATTAGGGCCTTGGCTCTGTGAAGTTGGATGTTAACTTATAAATGGTATTCATAGAGATACGTGATTTATTTCAGGTAGAAAAAACAACCCTACAAGATTTTTTTTTTCCAGCAAAACATTAAACAGCTTTGCCTCAAACTTAGCAAATGTATTTCATCATGACTTTCTTAAACTGACAACATAACAACCATCTGAATTTTCCTTTGAACCAGCTTTACCACCTGTGGTTTTCCTCATTATTTCCCACATTATTGAGTTAAATAAATATTTGACGTGTGTTCACTTTATAACTTTAATTTTTGAAAGTTATTCTTGCATAACACCCTATCCTATGTATGAAAAACAAAACACTGGATGTATATGGACTGAAATTTGAACATGCGTTTTATGCATGTGGCCACAAAGATATAAGGGGTAAAAATTTGTTCTGTGGATTTATTTTTGTTGCAATGATGGTTCATATAGAACTGATCAATATAATATTGTACATTATAAGTTTTTATAATTGTTAAAAAGTAAAGTTTTCTGAAAATTATACTTTCTAATGAAATAAAATGTGATAAAATTACCCTTGTTATTATCTGACAGCTAACACATTACTTTTTGTTAATGGGTGTTAGAAAATATTAAACATTTTACAACATGAAATAAGAATTGATTGTAAAGGGAATAAATATTTCATAATATGAGTCAATAAAATAGGTTTTAACTACGTTATTGAAAGCTTATACTAAATCTGAAAGAAATCACATAAAACTTCTATTCTTAAATTTTATCCAGTATGTCCTGGAAGTTTTCTACTTGAAACCTTCCAGTTCCATATGACAGTGTAGCTATTAGGATCACTAACCAATATTGCTGTGGAAGGTGATTTTTCTTGTGGCTAATGACTCACTCTTAGGGATGAATATTGAGAAAAGCTGAAAAGAGTTGTTCATGTTTATATATGTGGAAAAATGGCATTTTAGACATTCATGATTTCTTACTAAATCTTTTCTCTCATAGGACTCTCATTCAAAAGAGGTGTGTTAATTAACAACAGTCTGATGGAGAAGAGACAGTCATTAAATAAAAATTATCATTACTTATACCATCTTATTTTTCCACATATCTGAAATCAGAATGTTACCAAAACACCAGGGGTTGAGTCTAGGTCCTGTTGCTCAGAGTCTGAGGTAACCTCAGATCTCTGTAATGAAGACGGATACTTGTTTATGATATACATGTTTAGTATTGCAATTTTACTAATGACGAACTATTATATAAATAGATTTCCAGTGTCTAAAGGACAGGAAGTTGGTCAAATACTAAGATTTAGACTTAATCTGTAGCCAGCTTTCAAATGGTAATGTAAATTTTATAGAAAATATGCAGTCTATATGAATAGACTAGTTTATGAGTCTATTCAGAGTCTTTATGAATAGACTAGAATAGTTTATTAATATGATATTATGGTTTATTTGTAAACTATAATCTCTTCTGAAGCATACGTAGGAGCTTTGCATAAATGGAAACTATTTTCTTATATGGGAAGATTCAATATTGATTATCAATTTCTCCTACATTAATCTATAAATTCATTACAATTTATAACAGGCTTACTTTTATTAATTAAAAATAATTGAAAAATATTATAGAAAAATTAAGATAGAAGAATTTCCAGGGGAAAATTACAAAATAGAAATGAAGAGAGAATTTCTCCCCAGATATTAAACTCCTAGTAACAGTGACAAAGGAATATGTTATTCCTTTGTAACTGTTGTCTCAGGAATAGACAGGAATAGATTGGAATACATTAATATACGACAATTTAGTTTTTATAGCAATTTTTATAGCAATATAGAAAACATGGATTTCTGGCATTGTCTTTCAAATATGATAAAGTATGAATCAGTATTCACTTGCTTACAGGAGTTTGAGAAACACTGTATTAAGAACTAAATGCTACAATTTTATATTTCCTGGGTGATGTGTGACCTCATAGAGAAAGATAAACAAGAGCCCTGAAATCAATAGATAACATTTGACACTAACATGGTCAATCTCAGACTGTTTAATAAATGGTGCTAGGAAAACCTGTTTGGTATATAGAGAAAAATAAAACCTGATCCCTGCTTTATCAAAAATAAAATGTTGACTTCCAGATGGTTTAGAATGCTACCTGTAAAAGACAAGAATAAGGTAAGTAGAAAACAATTTAAAAGAATATATGTGTTACTTAAGGTTGGGAGACAACTTCTTAAATAACGCTCAAAAGCATCAGTCAAGAAGACCAGAAAGGGACTGCTTTGATTGCATCATAATAAGGGTTTTTTTTTCCTGATAACGGACCCCCAAAATAAATTTAACAGACAGATAAAAGATGAGGAAAAGATACTTACAACACCTAAAACCAGTAACAACATAAACAGAGAATATAAATAGTTTAGCAAAGAGGATACCCAAGAGGTGGATAAATATATGAAGAGATCATCAAATTCATTGGTAATTTTAAAATGCAGTGAAAATAACAAGTACGTAATACTTTACATTGGAAAGTAAAAAGAAGTAGCAAATTGCAAGAATTGGTGCAGATGTGAGAAATAGGAGCCCTTGTGCCCCACTATTGGGTATATTGACTATTGCAAATCTGGATATAAATCTGTCAATACTTAATTAATTTAAGGTTGAATGCATTCTATGACGTAGCACTACTACCGGGCACATACCTGGAAAAAATCCAAATGCCCACCAACAGGTGAATGGATAAATAAATTGTGATATATCCACAAAACGGAAAGATATTATGTTACATGCTGTATTCGGTTCTTAGGGCTGCTGTAACAACAAAGCACCACAAACTGGATGACTTAAAAAACAGAAACTTACTGTCTCAGAGTTCTGGAGGCTAGAAGTCTGAAATCAAGGTGTTGATAGGGTCATGTTGCCCCAGAAACCTGCTGGGGAGAATCCTTTCTCAACTCAACTTTTTCCTGTGTGTGTTTTCACATAGTCTGTGCATGTCTGTGCATGTCTGTGTCTGTGTCTAAATTGTCCCTTTTTATAAGGACACAAGTCATATGGGATTAAGTCCCACTTTGCAGCTGCAGCACTTCAATCTTAACCTCTGCCATCACATGGTATCTTTCTCTCCTGTGTGTCTTTGTGTCTCTTTTCCTTTTCTTATAAGGACTCTAGTCATCGTGTATTAAGGTTCAAGCCCCCTCCAGTATGACCTCATCTTAAATAATTACATCTGTGTATTAGTTTGTTCTTGTATTGCTATAAAGAAATGTCCGAGACTGGGACATTTATAAAGAAAAGAGGTTTAATTGGCTCACAGTTCCATCGGCTGTACAGGAAGCATGATGCTGGCATCTGTTCAGCTTCTGGGGAGGCCTCAGGAAAACTTACAATCATGGAAGAAGGCAAAGGGGTAGCAGCACTTCACATGGCTGGAGAAGGAGCAAGAGAGAAGAGGGAGATGTGGTACACTTTTAAACAATCAAATTTCATGAGAACTCACTGACTATACAGTAACCATGGGGGGATGGTGCTAAACCATTCATGAGAGCTACGACCCCATGATTGAATCACCTCCCACCAGGCCCCACCTCCCACACTGGGAATTACAATTCAGCATAAGATTTGATGGGGACTCAAATCCAACCCATATAAATCTGCAGCAACCCTATTACAAATAAGGTCACATTCTGAGGTATGGGGCTGAGGACTTCAATGCATCTTTTTGGAGGATAAAATTCAACTCGCAGTACATACTAAAACATAAATGAATCTCAAAATAATCATTCTAAGTGAAATCTGACAATGAAGGATATATATTATATAATTCTACTTATATAAAATTCCAGAAAATTCAAATTAATATTTAATGGTGTAAAGCAATTTAATGGTTGCTTAGAAATAGGGTGGCTTTAAGAATTCAAAGGAGGGATTATAAAGGGCCATGATAAAACTTTTGGGGATGATTATATGTAATCACCTTGATGGTTTCATGAGTGGGTATATATTTTAAATTTTATTAAATTGTACCAATTAAATCTATGCAGTTTATTTAATGACAATTATACCTCATTATTGTTGTTAAAAATAAGTGCAAGTTTTTAATGTTCCTAAAAAGTATGAAGTATTATGCATTTCAAGATTCTAAGTTTTATGTAAGCTTTGAAACTGTCACATAAAGGGAAGAGGCATGATGATGTATTAACTCACTGTTTACATACATATATATATATATATATATATAGTTTTTTTTTTATTTTATTTTGCCCAGGTAGACAAACTTGCTGGAGGGATAGTATGTATTATTTTATCAATAACTCTAAGTACCATGTAATTTTTTATTAATAGTATAATAGTCTAAAATATAAATGCTTGGACCAAAGATATCCCTAACATATGTTCCCAGAAAAGTTTTAAACCAACTCTACCCTCATTAAATTCAAATGAATGCCAGCCACTTTAATTGATTTTGCCTTTCAAACAACAAAGCAGATTTTACTATGTGAATATTAATGGTTATCCTGGTTTAGAAATTAATTATTTTTGCACTCCTCATTTTGTGTATGCATATTCCATCACAGTATTAGTGCAACAGTCAGGTGACAAGCTGTCTATTGTGCAAACCTTTTAACCATCATGGCGGCAAAGGGATCCATTTATATTACAAAGCCAGAGAATGTTAACTTCTGTTGTTTTAACACAGGGCATTATTTGGCAGTAAGTTTGCTCTTGACATTTCTTTTTATCCACCCACAAGGACTCAAGAGAAATGGAGAAAAGGAGTTTCTTCAAATCTATCCCATCCTCTTCTGTTTTCTCCCTATTCTCCTCTGGTTATTTTGCTCCTTCCTTGATTTTTTTTTCTTCTCCCATTATATTGAGACTCCATTCTCATTTAAAAGCAATATTTCTCCTGATACGGTAAAATTACAAGAAAATGATGCATCACAAAATTTTATGTTTTTAATTTTTTTGTTTGTTCTTTTAAAAAAAAGTTTTTATTTTTGTAGATAATTTTTATTATTGTTTACGTTTTTTTTATTCTTTAAAAGATTATATGGCAAGGTAGAATCAAATGATTAAATTGACAGCTTTAAAAAAACACCTATCATTGGCCCCTTTTCCATGATCCAGATAAAACTGTTTGCTCTTATTTCAGCTTTCAGAGTTTATGTTCATACATGACATTTGTTACAGATAAACTCTATAAATGATAAGTTTGCATTTATAATAATATTGGATTTATAATAATGGGAATAAAATGTGTAGTTTTAGAACACATTTAATAACATGTTTTACAAATAAAAAATCCTTAATCACAAGCTAGGTTAGAGCTTAATATTTCATGTGAAAAATTATCATTTTTTGAGGTCAAAAACATCTAGCAATTTATAAAATAACCTAGTTATGTAGAAAAAGAGGAAAACTGTTCATTTAAGCTGATTATTTTTCTTACAACCTTTTATTTGGTAAGATGATACAGCCTTTATTCCTCATGAATCAAGACTAAAATATCAAAATAACTCAAAATTTCAAGAATAAAATATCTACTGAGCTTACGGTTATCTTTATCAAGTACAATATTTCTTATAACATCTCTCATATTTAAAATGTCTTATATAAAGAATCCAATTCTCATTCTTTAGGAACCCCTTGAATAGGTGTTAGTTTTTTTTAAGAGTAATTGATTTTTTAAAAAAGTTAACATTAAGTAGTTTGGCTGATGAATCTTTACAGATAGCGTGTTATATTTTATTTTAGAAGCCTTTTAGCTTTCTTTTATTTTCCTGGAGCATCAGGGAGTAGTTACTGAGCTAGTTATTTTTCCACTTTCTCCATAGCTATATTTCAGTCAGACTTGCATGATGCTTCATTCTTTACCAGTTTTTGCTTCCTTTTAAATTGATGCTTTATGGCCAACTTATTTTGTGGGCACTTCCCATGATGAAAACATACATAGTAAATTGTTATTGCAGAGACTTATATTGTGATTAAAATGGTGAAAGATCAATGTATGCATGCTTAAATGTCACCTCTGAAAAACCTTATTCTAGCATCCCTCCTCATAGGCTAGTCAGAATTATTTACTCCCTCCACTGAGCCCAAGTTTGTTCTTACTATGCATTTAATGTCTTTCATTTTTTGAAAATTAGTTTTATATATGCATGCCTTTCCTGTAGATACCAAGCTTCTTACAGACTAGGTCTAGATTTTACTAATATTTATATGCCTAACAGATAGGAGATCATTAATAAATATGTATTGAGTTAATACAGAAATACCCCCTTGGTCTCCATACATTCATATCCATTAATGACACTGTTTGACTATTATAAATATATTATTTTAATGCATATATTTTTTCTCCTTTCATGGAGTTTCAGTCAGGAGTTGGGAAGGTACATGTCCTGTGTCTGACAGTGAACATGTTTTCATAAAATATATTAGTAAAATAGAATTTTGCAAGGTAAATATTTTTTCTAGATTTATATTCAAAATACACGAAGGCCAGACATGGTGGCTCATGTCTGTAATCCCTGCACTTGGGATCCCAGCACTTTGTGAGGCCAAGGTGGGAGGCTCACTTGAGCCCAGGAGTTTGAGATCAGCCCGGGCAAGATGACAAGACCCTGGCTCTACAAAGATTAAAAACAAAATTAGCTGTGTGTGGTGGCATACACCTGTGGTCCCAGCTACACAGGAGGCTGAGGCAGGAGGATTGCTTGAGCCCAGGAGGTTGAGGCTGCCGTGAGCTGCGATCATGCTACTGCACTCCAGCCTGGGAGACATTATGAGACCCTGTCTCAAAAAATAAAATAAAATATATGGAATAGGGAAAGAAATGTATTTATAGAGAAAATATAAGTAAATATGACAAATGACTTCATAAGTAGTCTACTTTTAATTATTGCTAACTTGAATATGTCATTTCAGAGAATAAAATATGTGGTATATATCTTTGCAGATGCAAAGCTCATTCATGATATATGTAATCTTTTTCTTTTTTGTTTTTTTCAAGACAGGGTCTCACTCTGTTGTCTAGGCTGGAGTGCAGTGGTGAAATCATGGCACACTGCAGCCTAGACCTCCCGCGCCCAAGCGATCCTCCCACCTAAGACTTCTGAGTGGTTGTGACTACAGATGCACGTTACCATGCCCAGCTAATTTTTTTTTTTTTTTTTTTTGAGACAACTTTTCACCATATTGCCCAGGCTGGTCTCAAACTCCTGCTCCTGAACTCAAGCAATCCACCCACCTCAGCCTCCCAAAGTGCTGTTCTGGGATTACAGGGATGAGCCACCTCACCCAGCCTTCATGATGCATGTAATCTAATGAAAGTAGTGTTTGTGTTTTCATGTGTGTGCGCGTATAGTTTTATTTATGAATACAAATCAAGGAATTTGCAATTTTCCAGTAACAATGAATTACAGAAATTAATCATGCTGTGTTATGGCAGTTATAGTGTAATTTTGAATTACACACCCTGTTGCTTCATCATGTGCTTGAATAAAGAATATGACTATAGTCACATAGATATGCATTATTTTCTTATCCACTCCCAGAAGATAAGTATAATGTTATCATTTCACACATACATAACATTATATACTCCTTTTCTATAATCTCTTTTACCACACAAACTTCCTTATCCCGTGTTGTTTAAAATGGTGAAGAGTCATTTGAACCTTTGGATTTTTAGGAAAATACAGTGGTCATTTCATTCTCTTGTCCTAACCTCACTACAGGATACAGGGAGTCAAAGCTGTTCTTACGTCCTCTCCACAATTCCTTTCCCAGACACACCCTAACTTCCTTCTTACCCAGAATAGAAATAAAAACTTTTAGAATGTATTGGGATTGATGTTTAGAGCTCCCGTAGACTGGTGGACTTGTTTTCATTCTTCTCTTTTATTCTTTCTTTTTAGTACTTTTTATTTTTAAATCTTAAAAACCACATTATGCTTGCATGTAGGGAAATTGATTTGAAATGCCTGGGGAGGCTGGATATAAAACACATCAGGGGGGTTTTGGTGGTGGTGTTAAAGAGAGGTCTTGCTATGTCCCCAGGCTGGTCTTGAACTCCCAGGCTCAAGCAATCCTCCGGCCTCCCAAGTAGCTGGGACTACAGACACACCACCGCACCCACCTAAAACAATTCAGTTTTGTAGCAAATGAAGGAAATGACTAAATGATTTCTAAGTCAGCCTGGAGCAGAGTACCCACCTAAGAGGTGTGCCAAAGGAAAAATCCATATCACAACCAATTATTCTGTTGTCAAATGATGATTAAATTATAATGTTAATTCAGGGCAATCTCTAATATCACTTTTTGTTTGTTGTTTATAGGAAGAAAGGGAACTGTCATTTAATGATCATCTATTATGAAACATGATCTGTGCATTAGAAGTGTTGTGTGGCACTAATGTGTGGACTAATTTATGAAACATTTCCAGAAAATGAATAGCTCTGGCATGTGGGTGGCCACTGCCTCTTTGTGACATAGCTGGCTGCTGCATTACCCCCACCCCACCCCTTTTAGTCCACTTGGCCAGGATCCTCATGATTGGTGGCCAAGTTTGTCCTTTGCCCTTCACTCTAAGAACTAAAGGGTAGGCTTGTGACATATGCCACTTAAGGCGACTTCAGGGCTCAGGTAGTAATGGACCTGCTTGGTGACACACTTTCCCCTGTGCAGACTACTGAACTCTAGAAATTCCTTAATATTTGAGAACTTCCTATAAGAATGAATAACCTGGACACTGAGTAGCTGAATTGAATGTCAAAACATTTTACAAGCATTCAGACTGGGAGAAGGGTAAAGCTGAGTGCATTTATTGTCCATTGATTCAGTGTCACTGTATCGAAATAATGATGTTTTTTATTGGAGGCTCCTTTTATTTCCTACTACTCCTAACTTCATATTCAACTCACTGAAAATTTTAACTGGAGTGTTTTGAAGTAGATTTATGTTACTTTATATCCTTTCTGTCTATTTTTTAAAAAATTACATCAACATGGCTAGAATGAACCTCCCTGCTTCTGTGGACATTGCATACAAAAATGTGAGATTTCTTATTACACACAACCCAACCAATACCTACTTTAATAGATTCTTACAGGAACTTAAGCAGGATGGAGTTACCACCATAGTAAGAGTATGAAAAGCAACTTACAACATTGCTCTTTTAGAGAAGGGAAGCATCCAGGTTCCGGACTGGCCTTTTGATGATGGTACAGCACCATCCAGCCAGATAATTGATAACTGGTTAAAACTTATGAAAAATAAATTTCATGAAGATCCTGGTTGTTGTATTGCAATTCACTGTGTTGTAGGTTTTGGGTGAGCTCCAGTTGCTAGTTGCCCTAGCTTTAATTGAAGGTGGAATGAAATATGAAAATGTAGTACAGTTCATCAGATAAAAGTGACATGGAACTTTTAACAGCAAACAACTTTTGTATTTGGAGAAATATTGTCTTAAAATATGCTTGCACCTCAGAAATCCCAGAAATAACTGTTTCCTTCAGTAAAGGGTCAGGGGACTTCCTAATGCTATGGCCTTGAGAGTGAAACTTGAAATGGAACTTTATTCATTTTATACATTAGCTAATATGGAGGCTTGGTGAATACTAAGTCTAATGAAGCTTATATAAGAACCTTGAAAAGCAGTTTTAGAAGCTCCCAAGCCTGTCAGATTTGGAACCTCTGTATTTGATGTTATTTTGACACTTAATAAAAATTTCTAGCTTTTCAATATTTAAAAGGTGTTTTTCATTTGTATCAATTGTATCTTATCAAGATATAAAACATTTAGAGAAGTGAGGTGCCAAAATGCCCAGAAGAATACTCATATACTTTTTAGTCTCATAGACACCTTAGGTGATATATTCCTTCAGTCATTTAAACTTTGAAGGGAGGACCCATATGGCCATTTGCTCACTTTGTGTTTATATTTTGCACATTCAAATTGATATATAGAAGGGTTTGTACAACCATTGACTTTGCTGCATTTCTACAATGTCTTAGGTGATTAATTTGTTCCTATAAATTTCATTTTTGTTCTGTTATAAAAATTTCCGTCCTGAAAAATCACACTTACCTCTGGTTGACAATTCAATCTACATTGCACAGATGCACCTATCTTTAAAGTCTCCAGACAAAAACGAGTTATAGTTAATTTGAAGTTTGCACTTCGGGGTGCAACTTACAGAGAGGGGCTGAGAAAATAATGGGAGGGTACTACTAAATATTTCTAGTAAAATATTTTCTTTGTCACATATAGCAACTATTTTAGTAAATGTTTTAACTTTAGTAAGTATTTTTAAAAGGTGAAATACTTCATTATTGCAGCTACAAATCTTATAATAAATATTCTAGGAATCCTGTAATGTTTTATTCTACACCTATTAGAAGTTGTTTACCAAGTATTACTTGTATTGGAGCTGAATTAACTTGTATTCATTTATTTAATGGAATAGGGAGAAGAGTAATAAATTAATATCACACAGTGTTTGTTTCAAATAAATATCAATATTCATAATAATTCTCTTTAAAGTGATATCACATCATGTTGCTACCAATATTAGTAGGACAGCCAATGAAATATTCCACAATGAATATTTTTGTAAAAAAAGGAAGTCTTATTTTACTAGATGAAATATTATTTGTGTATTGAATAGTTTCTAAACCCTAAGCCAAAAGAAAAGCCTCAGAACCTCAAGGGAGGATACAATCATGTACTGACCTTCACACAGTAACATCTTATAAAGCATTAATACAACTTAGTGAAACTGCAAGTACAGCAATAAGTATAAACAACCTCAGGAGCACAAATGTGGAACTTAGCAATCACTCCTTATGGTAAAAAGAGTAATCAGACGATATTTACAGAAAAGGACAATACCAAGAAAGAATAGTGTAGTATGTAAAAATATCGATCCTATTGTTCATTTTCCTTTGATAGAAATACTATTCTACCCTCTTAGCAGGGTATCACAGTGGTTGAAGTGTATTTTCCTGCTTTATGAATTTGTCCTTGGCCATGTGTTTTGCTTTAGCCAATGGAATATTAGTTGACATGATGTAAGCAAAGTTTTGAAATATTCTAACAAAGTTTGGCTTGTCTTTCTTGACATTTCTGATCTGCGTGAGAAAAAATACCCTAGGTATCCGCTGTCCCTCTAGCTGGAGTTGCAGAATCAAACATGTGAAGCCTAATTAAACTTGGCCTATTACCTAGAACCAACTCCAATTGAGCTACAAGCTACTAGCTAAGCCAATCCTAGATGAGTCAAAGCCTACATCACTGAGAAATTGAAGCTTTTTGCTAGGAAGCACTATTGCAGCAATAGCTAAGTAGTACAGTTAGCCTTTCAACAACTTGAATAAGATTGTGAAATGCAGAAATACTAATTTATGAACATTTTGAAAATCCCAGGTTAGATTAATTTATTGCACTTTATTATTCCTAAAATTTAAAGTATGAAATGACTTAGTATACTTTAATACAAACTTTACATTTATTTGAATGTATTTGAAATTGTTTTCAAAAGGTCGAAGGTCATGTCTCAGTTTTCATTGTATGTCAACACTTCACACAGTGCCTGATATAAAGTAATGGCTTGAACTTCACTGAAATAAACTAATCTGGACACTCTAAAACAATAATCTATAACTGAGCTTTAATTTAAATTGATCATTGAACTTAATCCAGTATAAAATCTCTGAAATGAAAGATTTAATACTTTTTGGTCCATGCTATAGTCAGCAGGCTTTTGTTTAGTTTTGTTTTAATGTCAGGACCAAAATGCTTGCCAAACTATAGTGTCTGAATTGAAGTTGTATTACTATTACTCAAAATCAGAACACACTATGATAAATTAATCTACCAACATATAGTTAAAAAAGAACTAAACATAGGATTTCCTGGTGCATTTTTCTTCAATTTTTTTCTTCTTTTTCAACCAGAATGTAGAGTGACATGGTTTCCACCTAGTATGGGTTCCATATTTAATGACAAACTAAAAACTGCTCATATGTTTTTCTTCTTGAAGGCAAGTAAGCAATGTAAAGCAACATAAAAGTAAAAACTATTCCCAATTGATTCTAATGGTGGTGAAGTATGAACATATACATAAATGCTATTTTTGTCACCTAAATTAACATCAAGACTACAAATTGACACCAATGCAATAAACAACTAGACAAAATGGAGATTGTAAGAGTTTATTGTGTATACATTCTTGCTAAGATAGTCTTAGTTGTCTTATTGCAAATTTTTCATAATCTATTTTAACAATAAAAAATATGAATAATTCATTGAAAATAATGCCTAGATTTCAAATTTAATTCTGCTTGAAACATCCATATACTATAATTGGACATTTGATATACCTTAAGACTTTAAAAATTCATTTATTTTCTCCTTTCCTTATCTATCTTGGATTCCTGTAGACACTAAATTTGTTTGGTCTTTTTCTGATATCCTAAACTGATATTTCCTTCTGAATACAAATATTCAAGTTTCCAGAATTAAATATCAACTTGTATCAACTGTGCTATTCTTCCAAAATGTTTAATTGAAAGTTTATGTTGAAAATCAAATTTCAAGGGCAGGTAAGAACTCTTTCTGAATTTAATAAAAAGGTATACAAGTAAACCAAAATCATTGGTATATTACATCATCCAGAAATATATATGGAAGTATCTAAGAAAACATACATTTTTAATATATTTGGCTTGGTGTTTATGTTTGTGTGTATTTGTGAGTTTGAGCTGGAGCTTGTGTTACATAGGAGGTTAAAAACAGTAATTTCAACTACATTGATCTATCAAAATTGCAGTAAATTTGCTCCATTCAGAGTTTATTTTATAAGCTACAATGATGTAACAATAGAGAAGGAGAAGGAGGAGAAGAGGAGTAGTGAGGAATTCTGGAGTTATATATTCTTTTTCTGATATTTTATTCTTTTAGAACAATAATTGCGTTGAATTAAACTTAAGTTTAATTTCTTCAAAGTTGTTTTTGAAAATTTGTAAACCCTTCTGATTGAGTCATTAGCAGTTATTTTATCCTGATATAACTCTATTATGTTCAAGATTATTTACAAGTATAAGTAAGTAACTTTGGGACAGATAACTCTCCCTTTCTCTCTCTCTCTCTCTCTTTCACACACACACACACACACACACACACACACACACACACACACACAAATGACTTCCTTAAAATATTTTTGCCAATTCATAACACATCATAATGATCTATCGTTAGACAGCTTTATTGCAGTGCTTTACATGTATATAATATGCTGTAGCACAAAGGCAGGTTCAATGTTATGTCTGTTTTGTTTTTTAACTATGCAATTCCCTATTTATAATACATGAGCTGCAGAGCTAGCATCACTTTGAGGAACATAAACTTTCCTACTTCTTCTTTGGCAAGTTTAAATGCTATGATCAAAGCCAGCAACTATTCTTCTTTATTAAAATGTATAAAGGCCCTATCTGTTTCCATGTAGGTGCTTACTAAATTAATCTTGGTTTTATTAAGTGCCAAAATATGAATATGTTAGTGTCTTTCCATATTGGTACCTTATACAATTGAAGGGCTAGGTATAGTTCTTCCTGAGGAAAAGTGAAATGTAATTTAGGTAGAACTATCAATTTAGGAAATTAAGTCAGGTGTAAAACTAATGTAAGTTTGTGTTTGGTGCAGTTTGCTTTATTGGAAAAATGAATGCAATGATTAATTGAGCGAAAGTAATGGTTGCACCATGCAATATCACTTGCCTAATATTACAACTACCAAATACCTTAACAGAAGGACAAAATATAAGCAACATCACTCTGAAATTCTTTAATGCTTTATGGTCTGAGTTTTGCATAAATTAGGACAAACCTATTTATAAAGGATAGGTCAGGCTGCCTCCATATACATACTGAATTCTATATTTGTCTTCTGGATTAAGTATCAGAAAGCACTTGCTAATCAAAGTGTAAATTAACATACGTCCCTGAGAAGCCATCATTTTACATAGGAATAGTTGAATTGATGTGCACTCCCCTCTTCAGGGTCTCAGTTTTTTTCAATTTTTAATTTTTAATTTTTTTGAGGTACATAGTAGGTATATATATTTACAGGGTATATGAGATGTTTTGATATGGGTATGCAAGGTGTAATAATTACATCATATAAAATAAGTGTCCATCCCCTCAAGCATTTATCCTTTATGTTACAAACAATCCAAATATATTCTTTTAGCTGTTTTAAAATGTATGATTAAATTATTATTGACTACAGTCACCCTGTTGTGCCACCAAATACTAGGCCTTATTTATTCTTTCTATATTTTTGTATCCATTAACCATCCCCATCTCCCCTCAACCCCCTTCAATACCCTTCCCAGCCTCTAATAACCATCCTTCTACTCTCTACATCCCTGAGTTCAATTGATTTGAGTTTCAGATCCCACAAATAAGTGAGAACACGTAAAGTTTGTCTTTCTATGGCTGGCTTATTTCACTTAATATAATGACTGCCAGTTCCATCCATGTTGTTGCAAATGACAGGATCTCATTCTTTTTTATAGCTGAATAATACTTCATTGTGTATATATATACACATTTTCTTTATCCATTCATTTGTTGATGAACATTTTATCAAAGTTAAATGTTACCTCCAAAACTTGGTTATTGCGAATAGTGCTGCAACAAACATGGGCGTGCAGATATCTCTTCAATTCACTGATGCCCTTTCTTTGAGTATATACCCAGCAGTAGGATTGCTGGATCTTATGGTAGCTCTATTTTTAGTTTTTTGAGGAACCTCCAATCTGTCCTCCATAGTGATTGTATTAATTTACATTCCCTCCAACAATGTACCATGGTTCCCTTTTCTCCACATCCTCACCAGCATTTGTTATTGCTTGTCTTTTGGTGATAAGCTATTTTAATTGGGGCAAAATGGTATCTCATTGTAGTTTTTGGTTTGCATTTCTCTGATGATCAGTGATGTTGAGCACATTTTCATATGCCTGCTTGCCACTTGTGTGTCTTCTTTTGAGAAATGTCCATTCAAATCTTTTGCTCATTTTTTTGATTGGGTTATTAGATTTTTTCCTAAAGAGTTGTTTGGGCTACTTATATATTCTAGCTATTAATCACTTTTCAGATGGGTAGTTCCCAAATATGATCTTCCATTCCCATGTTTTTTGGTTTGAAGTTGCCATGAAGCTTGCAAATGCTATTTTATAATCCATTATTTTAAGCTGATGATAACACTGTCTGCATAAACAACAACAACAAACTTAAGAAAAAAACCATCAAAACTCTGTACCTTAATTTCGTTCCACTACTTTTTAACTTTTTCCTACTTCTATTTATGTCTTTTTTTGTTTTTTGTTTTGTTTTGTTTTGTTTTTGAGACAGCGTCTCACTCTGTCCCCCAGGCTAGAATGCAGTGGTGCAGTCTCGGCTCACTGCAACCTCCAGCTCCAGGGTTCAAGCGATTCTCCTACCTCAGCCTCCGGAGTAGCTAGGCCTACAGGCACAAGCCACCAAGCCCAGCTAATTTTTGTATTTTTTGGTAGAAACGTGGTTTCACCATGTTGGCCAGGCTAGTCTCAAACTCCTGACATCAGGTGAACAGCCCCCCTTGGCCTTCCAAAGTCCTGGGATTGCAGGCGTGAGCTGCTGCGCCCGGCCACTTCTATTGATGTCTTATTGTACTGTCTTGGTCTTGAAAAGTCATAGTTATTATTTTTTAATGGTTCATCATTTAGCCTTTCTACTTAGGATAAGCAGTTTACACAGAACAGTTACAGTGTTATTCTGTGTTTTTCTGTGTACTTACTATTACCAGTGAGTTTTGTGCCTTCACAGATAATTTTTTATTGCTCTTTAATATCCTTTTCTTTCTGATTGAAAAACCGCCATTATCATTTCTTGTAGGACAGGTCTGATGTTCATGAAATCCCTCAGCTTTTGTTTGTCTGCGAAAGCATTTATTTCTCCTTCATGTTTGAAGGACCTTTTTGCCAGATACACTATTTTGGAGTAAAAGTTGTTTTCCTTCAGCATTTTAAATATGTCATGCCCCTCTCTCCTGGCCTATAAGGTTTCCACTGAAAATTCTGCTACGAGGCGTATTGGAGCTCCACTACCACTGTATATTATTTGTTTATTTTCTCTTACTATTTTTAAGATCCTTTCCTTATCCTTGACCTTCAGGAGTTTGATTATTAAATGTCTTAAGGTAGTCTTCTTCGGTTAAATTTGCTTGGTGTTCTATAAGCTTCTTGTACTTGCATACTGATATCTTTCTCTAAGTTTGGGAAGTTCTGTGTTATTATCCCTTTGAATCATTTTTCTACCCCCTATCTCTTTATCTACCTCCTCTTTAAGGCCAATAACACTTAGATTTGCCTGTTTGAGACTATTTTCTAGATCTTGTAGGCATGTTTCATTCTTTCTTAGTCTTTTTTCTTTTGTCTTCTCTGTGTGTTTTTAAATAGCCTCTTTTCAAGCGCACAAATTCTTTCTTCTGCTTGATCAATTTTGTTATTAAAGGACTCCAATGAATTCTTCAGTATGCCAATTTTCAGCTCCAGAATTTCTGCTTGATTTTTAAAAATTATTTCAGTTACTTTATTACATTCATCTGATAGAATTCTGAATTCCTTCTCTGTGTTATCTTGAATTTATCTGGATTTCCTTAACACAGCTATTTTGAATTCTCTTTATGAAAGGTCACATATCTCTGTTTCTCCAGGATTTGTCTCTGGTGCCTTATTTCATTCATTTGGTGAGGTCATTTTATCCTGGATCATCTTGATGCTTATAGATGTTTGTGTCTTATAGATGTCTGTGTCTGGACATTGAAGAGTTAGGTATTTATTGTAGTTTTTGTAGTTTGGACTCGTCTGTACCCTTTCGCCTTGGGAAAGCTTTCCAGGTATTCAAAAGGTCTTGGGTGTTGTGATCTAAGCTCTATCTTCATTAGAGGGCACCTCAGCCCAGTAACGCTGTGGTTCTTGCAGATTCAGAGGTACTGCCAGAATGGTTTTGGGCAAAATCTGGGAGAATTCTCTGGATTACCAGGAAGACAGTCTTGTTCTCTTCCCTTACTTTCTCACAAACATACAGAGTCTCTCTTTCTGTTCCGAGCCACCTGGAGCTGGGGCGAAATGACACAAGCAGCTTTGTGGCCACTTGACTTTGCTGGGTCAGGCCTGAAGCCAGCACAGCACTGGGTGTAGCCCAAGGCCTGCTGTAACCACTCCCTGGTGTCACCTGTGTTCACTCAAGGCCCTGGGGCTCAGCAGGTGGAAAAGCCAGCCAGGCCTAAGTCTTTCCCTTCAGGGCAGCAAGTTCTCCAGGCCCTGGGTAGGTTCAGAGGTACTGTCTGGGAACCAGGAACTAGAGTCAAAAACCTTAGAAGTCTACTTGGTGTTCTGGTGTACTGAGACTGAGCTGGAACTTAAACCATGAGACACAGTCCTTCCCACTCTTCCCTCCCCTTTCCAAGAGCAGAGAAGCCTCACCCCTTGGCCACCACTATCACAGGCCCACAGGGAGTTTTGCCATACTATCACTGGCTGATGTTCCCTTAAGGCCCAAGGACTCTTCAGTCAGCTTGTGGTGAATGCTGCCTGGCCTGGGACTCACACTTCAGGGCAGTGGGTTCCCCTCTGGCTCAGGACAGGTGCAGAAATGCTATCCAAGAGTCAAGTCCTGGAATCAGGGACCCTAAGAGCCCACATGGTGCTCTACTTCCCTGTGTCTGTGTTGGTACCTGAAGCCATCAAGTCTTAGAGGCTCACACTCAAGGCCTTTGATGTAGTACCTGGGTATCACTGCTAGTTATACAGGGCCCAAGGGCTCTTAAATTAGCAGGTGATGAGTGCTGCCAGGACTGGGTCCTTTCCTTCATGGCAGCAGGCTCCCTCGTAGCCCAAGGTGTGTCTAGAAATGTCATCCAGGAGATAGGGCCTGGAAAGGTGACCTTGTAACTCTGACAAGTGCCCTATCCTACTGTAGCTGAGCTGGTATCCAAGGTGCAAAACAGTGTCTTTCCCATTCTTCCCTCTCCTCTTCTCAGGTGGAAGGAAGGAATCTCTTTTGGAGCCATGAGCTGTGCAGCCTGGAGTTAGGGGAGGGGTGATGCCAGCACTCCCTTAGCCACTGCAGCTGGTGTCTCAGTAGGTTGCATTTCCCCACCCCCCACCCACCATCCAACCAACTAGCTCTGGGACCAGTTCAGCACTAGGATTTACCTGGGAGTTGCAGTCCTTGTGCCTAGCCTGCCTTTCAAGTTTATTTAGAGTCACAGAGCACTTAACCTGTGGTGGGATGCTTACAGGAGCTCATGTTCTGACTGCTGGGACTGGCAATTCCCCTCTGGTTAGGGCTGGTTTAAATGCTCCCTCCCTGGGTGAGCAACAGCTGAGTTTGGTCTGGTTTTGCTTTCTGCTATAACAAAACAGCACTGAGTTCAATGCCTCACAACTGCCGTGCTGTCCCTCTCTCCAGTGCACAGAAACACTCTCCATGCCACATTGCTGCTACTGGGGAATGGGAGAGGGGTGGTGTTGGTGATTCCAGACTTTTTTTCCTACCTCTTCAGTGCCTCTTTCAGTGATATGAAGTTAAAACCAAATACTGTGAGTGCTCACCTGATTTTTGGTTCTCATGAAGTTACTTTTTTTATATAGATAATTGTTAAATTGGTGTCCTTGCAGGGAGGGATGAACAATGGACCTTTCTATTCTGCCATCTTGCTCTGCCCTCTCTTGTGGGGGGGGGGGTCTAAGTTTCTTTAAGAATTATTTTTTCTTACAGATTTATTGACATGTAATTCATATGTTATACAACTCACCCATTCAATTAGTATAATTTAATGGTTTGCTGTACATTCACAGACTTGTACAACCATCACCACAATAAACTTTACAACATTTTAGAACATTTTTATCACCTCCAAAAGAAAGCCTACTCTTTAGTGATCACCTCCTCCCCCATTCTTCTCACTCCCAGTCCTAAACAACCAGTTTCTATCTATATATTTTTGCCTATCCTGGATTTTTAATATAAATGGAATGATATAATATGTGGGTTTTTTTGCGATTGGCTTCTATCACTTAGCCTAATGTTTTCAAGGTTTATCTGTGTTGTAGCATGCATCATTTTTATGGCCAAATATTATTCCACTATAGGAACATTCCACATTTTGTCTGTCTATCCACATTTGATGTACATTGGGTTGTTTTAATATTTTTGCTATTATGAACAAAAATTCTTGCACATATTTTTGTGAGGGCATGCATTTTCATTTCTTTTGGGTATAAACCTAGGAGTGAAGTTGCTGGGTCAAATGTTTAACTTTTTCAGGAACTGCCAGACCATTTTCCAAAGTGGGTACACCATTTTGAATTACAAGCTGCAGTGAATGAGGATTTCAGTTTATCTACATCCTTCTAACCCTTGTTAATTATGTGACTTTTTTTTGTTATAGCCATCCTACTAGATGTTAAGTGGTATCTCACTGATGTTTTGATATATATTTCCCTAATGACTATTGATGCTGAGCATCTTTTCATGCTATTATTGGCCATTTGTACATCGTTTGTGAAGAAATATCTATTCAAATCCTTTGCCCTTTCTGATTTGGGTAATTTATCTTTTTTTTACTATTGAGTCTTAAGAATTTTTTAATGTATATCTTAGGTACAAGTTAGTTATTAGATATATAATTTCCAAATATTTCATCCTATTCTGTAGGTTGTCTTTTCAAAGCTCATAATATCCTTTGATGCACAAATATTTTACTTTTGATGAAGTTTAATTTATCTCCTATTTTTGATGCTTCTGTTTTGGTATATCTAAGAATCAATTGCCTGATCCACGATTGCAAAGATTACTCATGTTTTTTTCTTATGGGTTTTATAGTTTTAGCTTTTACATTTAGGCTCTTGAGTAATTTTAAATTAATTGTATCTGATATGAGGTGAGGGTCTAACGTCATTGTTTTGTATGTTGCTAGTCAGTTGTCCCAGAACCATTTGTCAAAAATTCTATCCTTTCTCCATGTTGACATACCTGTTGGAAAATATTTGTCATTAAGATATTTTAATTTTGTTAACATGTAGTAGGTTGACTATTGTTATTCTAAAATACATTAACAAATGAATATTACACAATTACTTGGTTTTAATTTTAAGATAAATAATAAATTATAGATATAATCTACATAAATAAAATACCTCTTAGGTACCCAGTAATGTTTGACTGTAAAAAAGTACTGAGAATAAAGTGGTTAAGAACTTCTAGTTTTGAAAAATGAGGTAGATTAAGAAAAAAAGAAAAAAAATTTAAAAAGAACTGCTGGTTTAGGTTATGGCAAAGGCAACAGAGTTCTGGAACCAGCAGCTGTAGCAGTGACTTTCAAATTATGGCAGAGGAAGTATGATTTGAGAACTGACAGATGTTAGGAGTTGAAGCTTCCCTATTGGACAGAAATCTTCTTAATTCTGCATGTCTGGACTTGTCAGGGTCTAAAGCCTCCTTGGTGGCCCATTTCTGCTTTGTGGGTTTGAATTTCAGCCTGTTTTGTATTTTTAGGCTTTGCCAGTTATTCAATAATACATTTAATGTTGTGTGATTAATCTTTTTCCTCTTAAAATAGCTAGAGTAGATTCTATCATCTGACAGAGAACTAGAAACAACATAAAAGCGACACCAAATTTCAAAAAGAACCATAGAGATTCTAAAACCAAACAAAACTGGAAGAACATTACAGAGACCAAAAATAAAAATGAAAAAGTACACGAGAAGGTAAAATAAATAGGATACAGTAAGAAATTGTGACATTATTTTAATTGGAGTCCCAAAGGAGAAAAAAAATAAATATTAGACCAAAAGAACTATTTGATTAGTCAATGGCAGACAACTTCAAAAATCAATTTTTTGTTTTTTATTTTTGAAAACAGATTTTTTAAATATATAGAGTAAGGGTCTTGCTATGTTGCCCAGGCTGGTCTTGAACCTGCTGGGCTCAAGCAATCCTCCTGCATCAGCCTACCAAAGTGCTAGGATTACAGGTGTGAGCCACTGAGGTGGGTGTAAAAATCAATTTTGAAAATGGATAAGGAATCCCTACAAAGTCCAAAGAATATAGATACATAGAAAGGAACATCAATTAAACAGAAACATTTCAAAAATCATTTTTTTATTTTTAAAAATAGATTAATTTTTTAAATACATAGAGTAAGGATCTTGCTTTGTTGCCTTGGCTGGTCTTGAACTGCTGGGCTCAAGCAATCCGCCTGCCTCGGCCTACCAAAGTGCTAGGATTATAGGTGTGAGTCACTGAACTGGGCCTAAAATCAGTCCTAAAAATTGATAAGTAATCCCTACAGAGTCCCAAAAGTATAGATACATAGAAAGGAACATCAATTATACAGAAACTTATTTTAACAGAAACAATGGAAATTTGAACACAGTGGAATGATACAGTCAATGTCCCCCATGTTTTTTGACAACAATGTTAGCTAGATTTTTTTTAATTTTAGCCATTAAAAAAGGTGTTTAAAAGTATTCTCCACTATGATTTTAATTAGTATTTTCCCAAATAATAAGGATGCTTAGAATCCTTATAAATTCACTGGCTTTTTAGGACTCTTGTGTGAAGTGCTTTTTTCACTCCTTGTCCATCTTAAATATTAGGTTTCCTTGTATTTGTTTATTGAGGAAAAATTGCAGAGTACACAGTCTTCCCAAGCACACAATGAAAATTTATAAAAGATGGACTGCCATATGATCATGAAGCAAATCTCAGCAAATCTCAAGGAAATGAAAACATATATAGCTTCTTATCTTTATCAGTATACAACTGCCTTAGAAAGCAATATAAAAAGATAACACAGCTCCTCATCATGTTTGAAATAATATCAATTTAACATTACCTGGAGAGGCAAGGCGCAGTGGCTCACGCCTGTAATCCCAGCACTTTCAGAGGCCGAGGTGGGCGGATCACCTGAGTCAAGAGTTTGAGACAAGCCTGGCCAACAGGGCGAAACCCCATCTCTACTAAAAATGCAAAAATCAGCTGGGCATGGTAGTGCATGCCTATAGTCCAAGCTACTCGGGAGGCTGAGGCAGGAGAATCACTTGAACCCGGGAGGCAGAGGTTGAGGTGAGCGGAGACTGCACCATTGCACTCCAGCCTGAGTGACAGAGTGAGACTCCATCTCAAAGTAAATAAATAAATAAATAAATAAAATTACCTGGAGGTCAAAAACAACATTATAAAGCATATTAGCAGCTCAATGATAATACATCATACTTATAATAAAGATGATTATAAAATTATAATGAAAATAGAACATTGCAAAACATACTAAACCCAAAACACGAGAAGAAAGGAAATAATATGCAATAGGAGATACTCAATAAAACCAAAATTGGGTGATCATCTTAGCTACTCAGAAAAGTAAAGAAATAAGACAGAATACCTACAAGCAGATAGGAATATCCTTTCAAATCCAGGATACCTCAGGAAAGATAATGAGACGATACTATGAATAACTCTGTAATAATGAAATGGGAAATTTAGATGAACTTGGCAGATTCCAAAAAGATACCCAAACTAGCTGAATAGTTCTCTATTAAATAAATTGAAACAATGTATTTCCCCAAGAAAACCTGAAGCAGAATTGACTTCATAGGAGAATTATAACAAACATTTGAGAAAAATGTAAAACTAAGAGTTTACACAAACTCTACCAGGAAACAGAAATAGATGGAACGATCTCCACTACTAGGAGAAATAATGCTTTTCTGTAAGCAAAGGACATTCTTTCTTATCACTGTCCCAGCTCATATAATCAAGGCTGGGTTTACCTCCATTTTTCTTGAAGTATTGCTTTACTATCAGTCTATTCTACAAGCATGGCTTTGAAAATATTCTTCATTACCTTGTAGCAGCCCAAGGAGAGATAAATAAGGAATACATAAGAGAAATAAGAGAACGTTAAACTCTGTTCATGCTCTTCCTTAGCCCTTTTTCATTCCAGTCTGATTTTTTTTTATTAGCTGGATTTACTATTGAGGGCATTTGTGCCATAGCTTTAAAGACTGTACATACATTCTGGTGATGGCAGGACAATACATATACATTGAAATATACTCTGATTTATTTTACACTCCCTAGTAAAAGTCAGCCAACAAAATTTTGAGATCATCTATAATTTACATAACTCCTTAAGTCTGTTTTGCTTTGAATATTCTTACAGAAGAGCTAGAAAAAATAAAATAACCTAATAATTAAGGTGTGTATCACCAGGACTCCTATTGTAACATCTAATGGAAGTGTTTTGTCCTGTTTTTAAGCCATTGCAATTTAAGAAGTAAAACTTAATAATCAACGTAAAAATGATTTTCACAGTTTTCTAAGGAAATAGTTGGAGCTAATAAGGGACTAACATGAAAAAATAGCTTGCTGTTTGTCACAATAACTTCTGATAAAAACAGTGAGGTCTTCAAATACCTGCTGTTATTAATCCCACAAGTTCTGACAATAAAATCGTTATATTGATGAATGGTCATTGTTAATGAAAATGAAGATTACACAGTAACTTCAACAAGGGAACTATTCATATAATAGAAAAAAATGACTTCAATGTAATCAACGAACATCAGGGTTTAGGTAGGAGTTAGGGAATAGAGGCTCATTTATAACAGTTATTTCACTTCTCAGGTCCCAGATGACGTTCCAGAGTTTTGTGTACTGTGACCCTCCAAGGATGAAAACAAAAACAAGATAATAAGGATTAGGAAACTAACTCTATATATGTCTATGAAAATAGTATATACAAATATATATTTTTAAAATTATACAGGATAAATTAATTTTGGAAAATGGTTTGAGTTTGGATTCATTTCACAATCAGAAGAATGGAATCTTTTAAAGAAGCTGTATAGAGAGTCATTCTATTATGTGATGTATAAAATTAGGAAATATGATATTTCAGTTGATGTTGACAATAAAGAGTATAAAAGCAATTCTTTCTCTAAGGACTTGCGTAAGTGATATTGAATCATTCACAGATTCGATCATTTTGTGATTCAATAAACCGGCTTTATTTTTGTTAGTGTGTTAATATAGACATCTGTTCTTCATGATTAAGATTCCACTGTCATTTATTTTGAAATAATAGTTTATGCATATTGTACATCAGGAAACCACAGGTTTTTGCTTTATTCTCAGTTTTATATTATTGTATTGATTCATATAAGCAAATTTTACAGAGGGGGAAATCATATATGGAATCAAGCTATGCAGTACCACTATTAATTATGTGTTCCAAATTGCTCTATATTTCACTTGTTTTTATTTGACTGTGTCATTGTATGGCTGACAACTTAATACTTTTTTTGTTTTTTTTTAAATTGACACATAATTTTACATATTATGGGGCATAATGTGATGTTTTGATACATGTATACAACATGTGATGATCAAATCAAGGTAATTAGCATATCTATCATCTTGAACACTTATTATTTAATTGTGGTGGGAACATTTGAAATCCTTTCTTCTAGCTATTTGAGATATATGCTTCCTTGTTTTTGAAGGTTAGTTCATACTGTAGTGAATATGCCCAAAGTAACAATGACTTGTTAAGAATCATAATACAATTAATTTATAGTAAAGAATGCATTTTATTGCTAGAGTCCTTGATCACACAGAATTAATTGAAATTTCATATTGAGCAAGTGAATTTTAGGTTGAAATCCATGAATATTGCTACTAGGAAATTAGTATAACATAGTAGGTGCTTAATAAATATTAAATGTGTGAATCAATTGCACAAAGCAAAACACCATCAGTGATTATGCCAGTTGCAATTGATAAAAATATATTTCATATGGTATAATACTTAATTCATAGCTGTCAAATAGCCATCCATGAATATGTATAACTTAATATTTAAAATTACAATTTTATAAATAATTAAGAATTGGTGCCCTATTTTCACATTAAAATATACTTCTTGGAAAAAATTACTAATCACTTAATACTTTCCCAAAGTAATTGGCTATCCAAGAGTTTTAAAATGTAAACTTCAACTGCTTGACATTCAAGACCATACAGAAACCACGTTGTAACTTCAGATTGAAAGGTTCATAAGGATTTTGAAGAAAGACATATTAATATATCACTTAATGTATAATTTGCAGGAGGTATGATGTTGTAAAGGTAGAAGGTTGCTTGATTAAGCACTCATTCCATGCTAAAAAGGGAGTTATTCTATTTCATGCTGAATAGAGCTGGCAATGGGTCAGCTGCTGGCAACTCAAGTGAGACTTCAATCCTATTACGAGTTCACTTTTGGATCTCAGCTCTGAGATATATCCCAGAGCACCATTCATAAACTGGAATAATTCCAAGTAAAAATAACCCATTATGTCACAGAGCCTGATCATGCAACTTGCTTAGGAACAAACCCTAAAATCTTTTTATGAGCTCAAATAAGGGTATCTTATACCATCCTGCAGTGTGAAAATTTCAATGCTATTTTCCCAGGAGGCATCTATACATTTCCCATTGCAAGAAACAGGCCTTGGTTAGTATCAGGCTTAGATCTGTGATGATTCTTCCGTATAAAATGCAATTTTATACTGGCTCTTCCATTTTGATCCATACTGATCACTTATGAATGTAAATTTCTGGGGATTGAAATAAAATAATGGCTTTATCACTTCACAAGTGAAATTATGGTCATAGCAGGAGGTGGGAGTTCTAAAGATTCATACATAAATATTTCTTGCATAACTACTGTGTTCAGGCATTCTTTTAGATATTGATTTTAGTATTCTTTTAATTAAAAAAATATGTCCTGGCACAGCGGATCATCCCTGTAATCCCAACATTTTGGGAGGCTGAGGCAGGAGAATTGCTTGAGGCCAGGATTTTGAGATCAGCCTAGGCAACACAGGGAGACTCGATCAAAAAAGTATAAAAAAATTAGCTTGTAGTTGCAGTCTGGAGCCCAGGAGTTTGAGGCTGCAGTGAGCTACGATAGTGCCACTGCATTCTAGCCTGGGTGACAGAGCGACACCCTCGTTGTCTCTCTCTCTCTCTTTATATATATGTATATAGATAGATATAGATAGATACACACACACACACACACACACACACACACACACACACATCTATATATGTATTTGAAATTCATTATGTGCCAGGGATTATTGTAGGAGCAATGAGTAAGTTAAGCTCAAATGCTGCCTTAACAGAGAAAAGGTTAAGTGGCAGAAGAGAAACTATTTAAAAAAGCAACATTTGATAAATGTTGTGACAGAGAGGTAGGGATATTTCAGGAGCACTTAACAAGAATACTCAACTTGATCTGGAGGGGAAAGGGAAGGCTTTTCATAATAAAATGATATAGACACTAAAATTGAAAGATGTATAGGATAGTGTTCAAGGCAAACAAAATCACAATTTGAAGAATAAGAAGAAAGACTTGGCATGGTGAATTCAAGTATTTATAAAATTTCTGATCATATATAAAGATGTGAGAACAAACTTTACGAAAAGTACATGAATATTACATTCTATGTATTTACTTTATTTATATACCGTATGTATGAGGAACACTGCTTATCTGCTAGTTTGGGATTGCCATAGCTTAGTATGTGCTATTTGCTAATACAAGAAAAAATATATTTTCTCATTTGTATTACTAGATGAAGTAATGGTCAATTAAATAATTATATATATGCATACACATATGTATATATATGTATTTATCAAGTTAAAATATCAGTATTAAACAATTAGAATTTTTTGCCCCTTTGGCCATATTCTTCTTCAGTAAAGTACATGATTTATTATTTTATAGTCAGATTATATAGTTAAAATCTTATAATAAAGGTTATAATTAATATTTGCAGATATTTCCAGTCTCTTTTGCTCCCCAGAGATTATTAAGGAAACTTGGAAGATAGCTTAAAAGAAATCTAGAAGCGTAGCTGTTCCCTAAATTTATAAAATATGTGTGCATTTACTCACACTTATAATAAATACCCTAGCTAAGTCTCAAGTAGTGTGGGATCAGATGGATTTAACTCCTACTCCCCTTTCTTTTTTCTTTTTTCAAGAGTATGTTCA
The DNA here is from genome assembly GCF_000001405.40 of Homo sapiens. Lineage (NCBI taxonomy): Eukaryota > Metazoa > Chordata > Mammalia > Primates > Hominidae > Homo > Homo sapiens. The sequence goes on along the minus strand of NC_000023.11, from coordinate 27,410,069 downwards.
CTCCTTCATTAGATATGGTAACATTAAATTTAAAATAACAAAATGTAAACAATTATTTTTCAGATTATTATAAATTAGGTAGATGCATCAAGGTAATAGTATAACATAGTATAGCTGATCAAGATAGATGACATGGTGCATTTTATTAGCCAGTATATAAACAGGGTTTGCTGAATATTCTTTCCTATTGAAAGCTTAAAACTTTCTCAAAGAGAATAGATTTCCAGTGCAATAGTGGCTTGTACATCGATAATTTATGCAAGACCTAAATTATGTAATGTTTTTATCTAGGCAATAATATATGCACCTTTTCTAAAGAAACCATTATATCATATGGTATTAGCACTTTATATGACTTACAAATATAATTTTAAAGAGTATATACATCAGTCAAAGTCTCTTCATAAAGGCACAATGATTTTAATAAAAGGTTGTTCTTCCAGTCTGTTGCTTACTTGCTTGTTTTTTGTAGCTAGAGTTGGTTCTCCTGCTCCTGACCATAGCCAAACTTTACACATCATCTTCTTCCAACATGAGGCTATGGCAAATTTTCTTGCATGGTAGAATCAAGGGTGGTCCCACTGTCTCAGCATGTGAAAATTAATATGACATATTTTTTTTATTGGGGTGGCATATATTTATTCAATAAATTTTCAATTCAAATATTTTTCATTGTATTTTAACTTCAAATTGTTATTCTTGGTACAAATAGGATTAGACAAAGATTATTGTCTCTTAATTACTTGATCTACACATAATACATCTTAATACTTGCAGAAGTGGTTTTAATAAGCTATTTGTAATTCTAAAGATTAAAGGAAATTTTGACCCATAATTAAGGAGTGTCTCTTTTTTCATTTAGATCTCTAAAGTCTTAAGTCTTTAAGTCTTAAGTACTGTCTATAAGTCAGTGAACTAAAGGGTCAACATTCTTTTTTTTGGGGGGGGGGGCGGAGTCTCACTCTGCTGTCACCCAAGCTGGAGTGTAGTGGCATGATCTCAGCTCACTGCAACCTCCGCCTCCCGGGTCCAGGCAATTCTCCTGTCTCAGCCTCCCTAGTAGCTGAGATTACAGTCACCCACCACCACACCTGGCTAATTTTTGCATTTTTAGTAGAGATGGGGTTTCACCATATTGGCCAGGCTGGTCTTGAACTCCTGATCTTGTGATCCGCCCGCCTCGGCCTCCCAAAGTGCTGGGATTACAGTCATGAGCCACCGCACCCGGCCAATTGTCAAAATTCTAAGACATGGGCTCCCATTTGAAAGGGTTGCTTTATTTTCACTGACTGTGGAAAAGAAAGACCTAGTTCCATTTCCACAGTCTCAGGCTTATGTCAAAGAATACATTTTTTAACATTTTATTTAATAATTTGGTCAAGAACAGTAGACAACAGACAATGAGAGTTCATTAAGTTGTTTTCATTTATTCATTTACTCAGTGCATACTTATTATTTGTGTAGTATACCAAAAGTCATTTTTTTTTTAGAACAGGAATAAAGTCTCTGTCCTCTATGAGCTCTGGGTATAGTATCATTGCAAACCGATTCTTAACAAAAATCATTATTTTTTCCACAGTGAAGCCTGCATTTATGTAGAGATCAACAAATTTTAGTCTAGTGTCTAGTTTGTTTTCTGTGACCAATATTTGAATAACAGTTTGGACTTTATTATTCATTCCTTAAATAACTAAAATTTATCAGAATCCTGTTGTGTGCTCTGTATTATTGGAATACAGAGAAGAAAAACTTGTCACTACCTTTCACAAATGTTCAGAAAGTACAAAAATATTCAGAGATATCTAACTCCATACACATATATGTACACATACTCATATGCACACATGTATGTATATAGTAAATTCTCCTAGGATAAACATGTGTAACGGTAGGAGAGGAACCCACCGATTTGGCTGTTAAATCAGAAGTTTCAGGAAAAGTGCCAAGAAGAGAGAAAATTTTGGTTTTAAATCATAAAGTGTGTAGCAATTATCCAGCTGGAAATGTGGTTGAGGACATTCCGATTAAGGATAATTTTACGTAGAGACTTAAAAAATCAGAGAACTTTAACATCTTGTAGTATTGCTAGAAAGAAGAGTGTTTCGGCCACGTGGTGGAAGATAAGGGTGCAGATGTAAGGAAAGGCAGATCATGAGAAACTTTGTGTGACATACCAAGAAATTTCTTTTGAAGAGTTTTAAGAGAGACGGGGGCCCAGGCGCGGTGACTCATGCCTGTAATCTCAGCACTTTGCGAGGCTGAGGTAGGTGGATAACTTGAGACCAGGAGTTCGAGACCAGCCTGGACAACATAGCAAAAACCCGTCTCTACTAAAAATACAAAAAAAAAAAAAATAAATAACTGGGCGTGGTGATGTGCACCTGTAGTCCCAGCTACTCGGGAGGCTGAGGCAGGAGAATCACTTGAACTCAGGAGGCGGAGGTAGCAGTGAGCAGAGATCGTGTCACTGCACCGCAGCCTGGGGGATGGAGTGAGACTGTCTCAAAAAAAAAAAAAAAGAGAAGAAAAAAAGAGGGGGAAAACACTTTTTATTATGAAGTAGATGATGATTGGTAAGTGGCAATACTGGTGACAGGGGATGGTTAGAAAAAGCTTTATCATAATTTGGGAAAGTTACGAGGGCTTCAATAACTCAAAGGGGATACCAAGATGTGGATAGTTCTGAAAAATATCAAAGAGTATGGTGTGATGGAATTTTGTAACTGTTATCCTCAATTCCCCTGCCTGTATCTGCAACATCCCACTTACTCTATACCTGCACCCAATAGCTAAACATGTCTGGTAAAAAGACCCAGGGATGACTAATCTCCAACTAAATATTTCAGAAAAACCTTACATGGACTCTAGGCGGCTAAGAAATCCTACTTTATTTCTTAAATCAAGTCACTGATCCATTGTCCACGACTATGAGACAATGATTTCTTATTTAATGTAGCAGAGTGTACTGATGCCCTGCCGCATATCCCCTAGGCCCAACTGAGTTCACCAGTGGCAATGGAAGACAGATTCTAGCATGCTGAAAGCATTCCCCTTCTAGTGCTCGTATATCACTTCTCTGTCTCAAGGCTTTCTCCAACACCATGGGGGCTTGCTCTGTCATAAGGAGGTACAAACTGGGCACACGGGGAAGTTAATAAACTTCACTAGGAGCAAGGGATCCTGAATCAATGTGAGATGACAATCGGTAGATGAGTGCCTCAGCATTTGAATCCTCTGGTGGGATGATTCTGAGGTGGGTTCCATATGGTCTCTCAGAGGTTCTGCAGTGAGGGTACTGAGCTCATTCCAGTAGCCCAAAGTTGTCACTTCCCATTAATGTACCCTTTGTTAGTAGCAGTATGTTAATTTGAAGAGGCTCGAAAGAATAATACATGCCATAGGCCTACATGTGTAAAAGCCCAATCAAAATAGCCCTACTAATAGAATTCATACAAAAGAAATAAAGCAAAGTATATGTTTATTTAAAAAAATATTTAAATTTACTGGCGAAATTATTGTAACCACTGACTGAGTTTTATGAGATGGAAGGCATAACAACATATATTTGTAACTCTTTTCCCACTTTCTCCCTTGTGCTTCTTGGAATCAACTCCCAAATACACTACCTGCAACCAAGTCCTTTTTTCAGAGTCTTCTTTTAAGGAAACCAACAGAGCTGTATTGTCATTCTTCATGCCTCAAACATCCTCTCTTACCAAGAACTAACTGGTTATTTCATTCCAACTTCACAAAAGAAAAAGTTATCAAAATAATACCTTCAGTACTATACATATATACCAACCTACATGCTTTTGAAACCAAGTACTCTTTTTTTTCTATTATGAGGGATGAATTCTCCTCTCTTAACACCAACTCCTCCATTTAACCAGTCAAACTCATTCTCCATCATCTGCTTAAGGACTTTGCTCTTGCAATTATCTCCTACTTTTCCATAAACTGATAATGGTATGATTTATTTGTAATTCTCTATATTATCATTTCGATTAAAACATTTGAGGTATTTTTCATTTAGGGGGCAAAAAAGAAACCCTTCCTTGAGTTTGCGTTCTTTTTAGTTAAGTGCTTCTATCTTCTTCTCTGCTAAATAGAAACCTCCAGAATGTTGTCTGTGCTTTCTCTCTTCGCTTCCTCACTTCCATGCACTCTAGAATACACTCCTATTAGACATAGATTCTCACTATGCAACTGAAATCACCTTTATTAAAGGTACCTAATGACTTATACATTACCAATATCAACAGACAATTGTAAGTCTTCATCGCATTCAGTAACATCTGACTTACTTAATCACTCTTTTTTTTCTTCTTCACAGCACTAACTAATGTTTAATATTTTATTGGTAAATGTTTGTTTTCTCTTCTTGCACTAGAAGGTAAGCTCCATGAGGGCAAAACTATGTGGTTTTTAATTTTTCACTTCATCCCTAGTGCTTGGGACAGAGTCTGGAATCATTATTGAATAAATTGCTGAACAAATGAGTAAATCTTTTTTTTTTTTTTTTTTTTTTTTTTGAGACGGAGTCTCGCTCTGTCGCCCAGGCTGGAGTGCAGTGGCGGGATCTCGGCTCACTACAAGCTCCGCCTCCCGGGTTCACGCCATTCTCCTGCCTCAGCCTCCCAAGTAGCTGGGACCACAGGCGCCCGCCACTACGCCCGGCTAATTTTTTGTATTTTTAGTAGAGACGGGGTTTCACCGTTTTAGCCGGGATGGTCTCGATCTCCTGACCTCGTGATCCGCCCGCCTCGGCCTCCCAAAGTGCTGGGATTACAGGCGTGAGCCACCGCGCCTGGCCACAAATGAGTAAATCTATACAATGTGAATGGTGTAGAAAACTGTAAGATTTCTAACTTTAGTTACTTCATGATATTGAAAAAACCCACCTTGTCATCTTAGATTGTCATTAAAATCAGATGTAGGAAAATAATGCTTCCCCAATCCTTAACCAAACGAAAGTTCTTTAAATATTCAACAAAATATCAGATATTTTACAGAATCTGAAACTCAAAAAGGAAAAGTCATTTTTTAAACTTTTAAATAATATTTGATTTTCCTGATACAGGAGACATTAATTTGAAAGCTAATGTGCATTAATAGCTAATTGAAAACTGATAAACGGGAGCATAACATTAAGGACAATTTATCATCATCATCATTATCATCATCCTTTTTAGTTCAAGCTGGAAAGAGTAACTTGTATCACAGGCCAACATATATAAAAGCCCAATTACAAAAAGCTGATTAATAGCATTTCTACAAGAGAAATAAAGCAAAATATGTTTATTTTAGGAATGTATTTAAATTTACTTTCTGAACTACTTTAGCGACTGATTGATTTCTATAAGATTCAAGGAATAGTGGCATAGATTTATTTGCTAGGCTCCTAAAATAGCTACTCAACACGTATGAACTTTTTAAAAGTTAGCAAAAAGGATAAACTGTTAACTTATATGGAATGTTCATAATTTGAAGTAAGCAGGCATTTGGAAGTCCGCCAAAGTCGCTAGCTATAATTTGAAGAAAACCAAGAGGCAAGAAAGCAAATGCATCTCTTATCAAGTCTTGACAAAATTTGTCTCCTAATTTTCATTTTTCTCAATCAGCTGCTAACGGCATTCATTTTCATCTACTTGATTAGATACTGTAGTGACTGATTACTGGATTTAACAGTTTTTTTAATGAAACATTGTTATTTGCTTTACTATGATTACCTTAAAATACCATATTACACCCATTATTTTTTCTTCCTTTGCCCAAATTGTTAGTTTCTTTATTTATTTCCAACTTTTCCTCCACATATTCCAGCTCCAACCTCCAAACCCTTGATTTCTGCCAAATCATTCTGGTTGCCAGAACAATCACATTCAGCATTCCCTTGCCACTTACTTAAGCTTATGTCAAGTCCAGCTTGGGCCATAAAACCTTCCATTAATTTCTAGGAAGTAATAACAAATATCTACCTTTCTTAAAGCAGTTCATAACCCTTGCTACTCCTTAATATCTTTTGAATTTAAAAAATGGTGAAAAGTAATGTTATTTCTTCATACCAAGCTTTTTCTATTAATATATATTATATATAATATATATAATTATATATATTTTTATTTTATATATATTATATATTATATATTTTATATATAATATATAAAATATATACATATTACATTTATATATTATATATAATATATATTTATATATTATATATTATATTATATTATATATAATATAATATATAATATATATATATATTATATATAATATAATATATAATATATATATATATTATATATTATATATAGTATAATATACTATATATGATATATAATATATAATATATAATTTATATATTATATATTATATATCATATATAGTATATTATACTATATATGATATATAATATATAATTTATATGTATATAATTTATATATATATAATTTATTATATATATAATATATAATATATAGAATATATATTATATATAATATATGATATATAGAATATAGAATATAGAATATATAGAATATATTCTATATCACATATAATATATTCTATGTCACATATAATATATTCTATATTACATATAATATATTCTATATTACATATAATATATATTATATATAGTATATTCTATATAATAAAGAATATATATTATATATAATATATTCTATACTATATATAATATAAATTATATATAATATATTCTATACTATATATAATATAAATTATATATTATAATTTATATTATATATTACATATAATTATATATAATATATATTATATATAATATATATTATATATTATATATAATATAATATATATAATATATAATATATATTATATATAATTATATGTAATATATAATATATTATATATTATATATAATTATATATTATATAATATATTATATATAATTATATACTATATAATATATTATATAATTATATATTATATAATATATTATATATAATTATATATAATATAATATATTATATAATTATATATAATATATTCTATATAATTATATATAATATATTATATATATAATATACAATATATTATATATATAATATGTAATAATATATTATAATATATTATATATATAATATGTAATAATATATTATAATATATTATATATTATATTATAATATATAATTATATATTATAATATATTATATATAATATAATCTATACAATACTAATAATGGTTAACAGCTTTTACAGTATTAGTGGGTTCTATAGAGTCCTGTAATGTGGATAGGATTGGTATCATTTCCTTTTTCAGTAGAAGAAAATACAGGTCTTGAGAGTATAGAACAAAAGCTATTTATTTACTAATAATAAGTCCTTCCAGATAACTGTTTCTAAGTGATGATTTTCTGTGAATCATTGAAATGATTATTATTTTGATATAAGAGGGCTTTCTATTATCTGATATTACTGTTTTTAATTGTTATACATAGTTTCTTTTTTAAAAAATGTCATCTAAATAATGTTAAACAGTTACATATTGATGGCATTTTGTTTCTAATTATAAAAATTATATCCTGAATAAATTTGAGTCTTATTGTGAATTTTTTTTTTTTTCTTTTTGAGACAGAGTTTCGCTCTTGTTGCCCTGGCTGGAGTGCAATGGCACGATCTCGGCTCACTATAATCTCCACCTCCCAGGTTCAAGCGATTCTCCTGCCTCAGCCTCCGGAGTAGCTGGGATTACAGGCATGTGCCACCATGCCCGGCTAATTTTGTATTTTTAGTAGAGACGGAGTTTCTCCATGTTGGTCAGGCTGGTCTCGAACTCCCGACCTCTGGTGATCTGCCCGCCTTGGCCTCCCAAAGTGCTGGGATTACAGGCGTGAGCCACCGCGCCCGGCCCTTATTGTGAATTTTATATTCCATGGCTTTGCGGTCTCCAGTGAAAATTCAAATGTAATACATATGCCTTCTTTCTGAATTGAACTCTGTGACTGACATTTGTACAGTAAATATCATTTTCTACAACATGCGAAGGACAGTTAGCTGCAGAATGAAAAATTCTACATGGTCTTTAAAATAATAGAAATACATTTAATGACTTATAGGGATTAACACTCATTTATAGATTGTCTTTCTTCCCACTGTCAAATTTGATTCTCATAGCAGTGCTGCTTGGTGGGTAAGAAAATACCAAAGTTTTAAACATGAATGACTGAAGTTCTGAAAGGTTAGGTAACTTGCCTAAGGTCACAGAGTAGACATGGAAATATGAAAAATGAAAACCAAATTTCTCACCCATAGACCCAGTGTTCTTTCTGTCACATAACTAACTTTGACTTTTCGGAAGGGATTTCTATGTTAGTTAATTCCACATCTCTAGCTTTTTCAATGAGTAATGTATACCCAGGTAAGACAGATGTCTTGCCTTTTCTCTCTCCCAACCTCTCCATATATTAATGTTAATCATTTGAAAGCTTGTTTTTTTAATTCTGCATATTATTTCTTAATGTTTATCAGGTTTTTGTGTGAACTTTTATATATCATATATTTTTCTTGTCTCAGTCATCTTAAATCTTATTTCAATCCTTTCTCTTGCAGTTTCCCTTCTTCATCATTTTCCTCCTCCTTTTCTCTTCCTTCTCCTTCCTCTTCCTCTATACATCATAATACTCTCTATTATTGGAATCAGAGTTAATCTCTGGTTGCTACCTGAATCATAAACTGTGAATCTGTTTCTCTTAGTAAATCTATTAAGCCTGAATTGTTTTTAAAACTAGTTTTGGTTTGCTTAGGAGAAAATATTACTATACCTAAAAAGGACACCTGTAACATTTTGCTTTAATAAATACAAATTTTCATCAAAGCATAGAAAGTAGACACAAAAGTACATAAAATGGTTACAGTTGATTAATTTTTACAAAATAAAAACACATGCAGCTAGCATGCAGAAGAAATTTAACATCATTAGAAATTATGGGATTTGAATTCGATCAGCTTGAATCAGTGACTCTAAAATATGTTGAATCTATAATCCATAAAAGTCTCATACCATTCCAGTTGTTTATGTATTCATTAATACCTCTCAACAATTTTATATAGATTGCTGTGTACAGATCTTGCACATCTTTTATTAAACATATACTTTGAAATTTGATGTTTTTTGATGCCATTTTGAAAGGTATATTTTTTAGCTATGTAATTTTAAAAATTGCTTGTGATATCTAGAATTACACTTGATGTTTTTCTTGAGCTTATATCCAGTAGTCATCTTGCTAAATTAAGTAATTAATTCTAATATACTATCTATAGATTTCTTTTAGATAGTATAAATAAAGAATCTTGTAATCTGTAAACAATAGCAGTGTCTTTGTTGTGTTCTTTTTCTTGCATTATTGCTCTGGCTAGGGCATCCATAAAATGTTGAGTAAAACTGGTGATAATGGAAACCTTTGTCTTGTTCCTGATCTCAAGGGGACAAGTTTTCAATATTTCACCACAAGTTGTCATATTTACTTCAGTTTTCTGAGTTTTTAAAAGAATTATAAATGTGCAGTAAATTTTTTCCAGTGGCATTTCTGCATATTTTGGGATAATCATATGATATAATTCCTCTGTTCTGTTAACTTTATTTGCTTTACAAATGGTATGAAACATGAATTTATTCTTGGATGAAACTCAGTTTGTTCCTGTGTATTACAGTAAATATATCTCGGGTTCAGTTTGTTAGACATACTTTTTTCTTCTTATTTTGCATTTGGTGATGAAAGACAAACCTTTTATTTTCTTTTCCTATAACATCTTGTCAGTTTGGTATAAAGTTCGTATGAATCTCATTAAACATTTGTTCGGGAATATTTTTACTGTTTCTATTTTCTAGAGAATTTTGTACAAGATTGGTGTTGTTTCTTTCTCAATTGTATGAAAAGGTTCACAACTTCCTGTACTAAGGTATAAAATTCATTTACAGGAAGGTTTCTCATTACAGACACAATTTATTTAATACATATATTGCTATCCAGATTTCCTAAGTTTTCTTGTTTTGTTGTGTTTTCCTTTAAATTTTACCATTTTCTCTCATTTCAAATTTATTGGATACAATTGCTTGTAATTTTATGTCTATGTTTCTAGAATGTGTAATGATGACCGTTTTACTCCTTGTAAGAATACTGTGTGCCTCCTCTTTTTGTCTATATCAATCTTGCTAGGTGTTTATCAATTTTACTAACAATTTTAAAAGAGGCAACTTTTGGTTTTGTTGATATTCTCTTTGTATTTTTAAAAAATCATTAGATTTTGATTTTAATGATTTTTTAAATTTCTTCATTTTACATTACCATTTTTCCACATTCTTGTGATGAGTAATCAGAGCCTACATTTTTCCAGAATTTTCTCCTTTGCATTTAATGGAGTAACTTTTCTTTAGATGCGTGTTGAGGTGCATCTCACACATTTGAAAACAGATTTAACAAAGTATAATTGACAAACAATAAACTGCTCAACTTTAAAATGTGTAATGTGATACAATTTGTCATATGCATATATTCATGAAATTATCAACACAATCAATACAATGAACATAACAGTTACTTGCCAAAATTTTACTATGAAATTGTGTGATCACCCCTCCTGACTCTTTTTAAATTCAGTTTCATTATTAATATACTTTGTTTCAAAGTTGATCATCTTTTCATTTTTTTTTCCTGTTTTTCCTATCTCTTGTTTTTCCCTTTCTCTATTTGTACCTACTTTTGTGTTTATTGAATGTTTCTTATTATTCCATTTAAATTCCTCTTTTGGATTTTTATCTGTGGCACTTTGAAAACACATCCACATATTCTTTGACACATCTTCCTTCAAAGGATTGAGTTTATAGCCCCTACCTGGATTTTGGACCAAGCTTAGTAATGCTTTTGTAACCAATACACTGAGACAGTTGCGATACTACATAAATTCCCAGGCTGAAATTCCAACCAACTGACATTACTATCTTCCACCAGCAGAGGGAGCCACCCTGGCCCTGCATCCCAGTGCTCTTCTGGCATTCCAGATATTCTCAGTTTCCATCGCACGCCACTTCCCTCAGCCTGTAGAACTTCCGGCAGCAACTGCAATTAGGGGTAGTCCAGTGCTAAATTGTCGCAGGTGGGCTTATGTGGACACGTCTTATTTTATTCCCAGTTTGGAAAGGAAAATTTTGCTACATTTAGAATTCTATTGACTTTTTTTTTTTTTGTCTTTCAGCCTTGAAAATATTCTGCTTCGTTATTTCGGGCACTCCACAGATTCTGTTGCGAAGGCAGCCATCTTTAGTTCGTCTTTCCTAGAGAGGTAATGTATCTTTAATTCTTACGGAATTATGGAATTTTGAATTCATCTTTCCTAGAGAGGTAATATATCTTTAATACTTTTTTTCTTTTTTCTTTTTTTTTTTTTGAGACGGAGTCTGGCTTTGTGGCCCAGGCTGGAGTGCAGTGGCGCGATCTCGGCTCACTGCAAACTCCGCCTCCCGGGTTCACGCCTTTCTCCTGCCTCAGCCTCCCGAGTAGCTGGGACTACAGGCGCCCGCCACCATGCCCAGCTAATTTTTTGTGTTTTTAGTAGAGACGGGGTTTCACCGTGTTAGCCAGGATGGTCTCGATCTCCTGACCCCGTGATCCACCCGCCTCAGCTTCCCAAAGTGCTGGGATTACAGGCCCGAGCCACCACGCCCGGCTCTTTAATTCTTATGGAATTATTGAATTTTGATTTTGTACTCTACACTAATGTACTGTATATTTTATATAGATGCCTAATATGTAGCTTACTAATAAAATACATTAAAGTTTCAATACCTATTTTGAGTAGCATTTCAATCCAAATTTTTCTATATGTGTAAATAAAAAGGATAATTTATCTGATTGATAACAATAAAGCAAAGCAAAAGATAAAAAGGTACACATGAAAAATAACAAAAGCCAAACTTTTATTTCTCATGAAAACATATTAAAATATCTGTATAGATTAACTATATACGTGTTAAAACAATTTAGCACACTTACAAGCAAAGTATCTAAATTAATTGTTGTTGTAATTGTTGATGTGATACTACTGTTGAACAGGATGAGAAATTGTATGATAACACTCTTGATAAAAAATAAAGAAATGATACCTGTGTTACCTCCCGCAAATATTTTGTCTACTGTAATAATAAAATAGACAATAACATTCCTTGGAAAACATGTTCTATTGGTGAAATGATTTACATAAGGTGCATATCAGAACTAATTCAGGAACAAGGAATATATAGGATGTAGGTGAAAGTAACGAGTTTATTTATGCATATATATTTACATATACATGATATGTAATAACTTTGGTATTATAAGTATGAAGTGGTATGCTTTTTAACAAATAGTGTTATTAAAATGCATATATGATAAACAATAACCATTTTTTGGCAATTATAATAGTTAATACTAAGAGGAAATTAATAAAATATCATTTTTATATCCATTGATACCAGATTTTGAAGGGAGTATAAAATAGTACTATTTTGGAAATTAATTTATTTTTTAGCAGTATTTTAATTTGTCTACTCTTTTCCACAGCAATTGCCTTTCTATGATTATATCTGACAGGACTTGTCAATGTGCATATAACTATGGATACAAAAAGGCAGAACAGCTATTTTTAATAGAGTAAACTGTGTTCATACAATAAATGCTATGCAGATTTTATACTCAGGTAGATCTTTGACGATTACAGAATATATCTCCAAGACATATTGCTAATAAAACAGCAAGCAAATTATAATTTATTCATATGTTTTCACAGTTACATAAATGTATTATTCATGTAAATGTATATTGATATGTATATTTGTTAAATTACACACTTCACTGTTAATCATGATTACTTCCGTGAAAAGATACATATCTGCATTTTTTTCAGAATTTTATACTGAGGAGACATCTTATTTGTAAGTAATCAGGGAAAAAAACCAGTCACATGACAGCATATTATTACTAATGATTATTTTGGAGGACCTGTTTTTGTTTTTAATATATTATAGTACATGTAAGTAGTTATGCTTAAAGCCATAATTAAAACAAAGTTATAAAGGAAAGAAGTAATGAAAAAAGTAAATAAAATTTTTGTGGAGAAATAATTTAATTTAGTTGTGAACCATTTATAAGAAACAGACCTCTAATTAGTGAAATCATTAAACTAAAGGCCATAAGAAAAATTGCAAAAAAAAAATCTTTTATTGTTCCACTAGGAGTAAATGTCCAGTGTAAGCTAGAGTTTATTTAATATTCATGGGGCCCTGTTGCTATGCTATCAGAAAAAATGACAACAATAAGGTTAAAATCCTCTCAATTTTGATCTGAACAGTATATGGAAAAATACTTTAAAACTCTAACCTTGTTATGTAGGGTTTTCATGCCATTTCTCATAAAGTGTATAAACTGTTTAGTGAGAATTGCTATTCTCAGAAAAATGTGTTGAGCTTTAACTATATGGAATCTTGCTAAATGCTGTTGTTAATTCTAATGTATTACCTGTAGACTGCTTTTAGCTACTCTGGTACATAAACATAAAATCTATAAATAAGGATGGGTTTATTTCTTCCTTTCCAATCATCATGCATTTTTTTTAACATTTCCCTGAATTATTGCCCAGGTTATGAACTCCATGAAAAGCTGAATAGAAATGGTAATAGTAGGCATTCATGTCTCAATCCCCATCTCAGGATGAGGTTTTCATTATTACATCACTAATGATGATATTTCCCATAGTTTTCTGAGTCATTTTTTAATAATCATAACTGGATGGTAAATTTGCCAAATGGTTTCTCTATATTTGTTGTGACAGTGACATGATTTTGGTCCGTTGTGTTGTTAAGGAGATTATATTTCAATATGTTAAACCAATAATAATTCAAAATTGTGTTAAGCTCAGTTTGTTCACGGGGTGTTATAATTGAAAGTGTGTTTGGATTCCATTTGTCAAACATAATGATTTTTTTGTCTCATTTTGTCAGGATCCATATCAACCATTGACGGTCCTTTATTATAATATCTTCATCAGTTTTGTGTAACGTTTATAGGGATTTCACTCAACATTTTTTGGAAAGTATTCTGTGAAAGAGATTGTGCATGATTAGTATTATTTTTTTTCTGAAATTTATGGAAAAGTTCACAAAACCAGGCGTTAAACTGTGGTTTTCATTATGAACTAACGTTAATTAATACATTTAGGATAAATGAGATTTTCCTTAATTTCTTACTTTTTAAAGCTGTATCTTTCTGTAATTTTGTCTTTTTTTATAACTTCAAATATTATATAAGCATCTTCAATATCTGTAATGATGATTCACACTGTACATTCCTGGAACTGATAATATGTGTCTTCCTTTTTTTCCTTGATCAGTCTTCTCAAGATTTATAAATTTTTTAACCTTTACAAAAGAAAAAACTAAAAACAAAGCAACTTTTGGATTTGTTGATCTTTTTTCTTGAATGTTGTTAATGGATCCTAATTTTATTCTTTTATCTCAAGTATTCTTTTGGATTAAATCAAATATTTTATTCCCAAATTGTGAAGTGGTCTACCAGATTTTAAATTACCGGGATTTCCCTTTTTGCTTTTAATGCTATAATGTTTAGACACATTTTGGTGCATTCCACACATTTTTAACAGTTTTAGGTATAGGTATAGTTTATTTTAGGCATAAGATAAACTACATAACTTTAAAATAATATGTTTCAAGATACCTGTATATTTGTGAAAGCATCACCACAATTAAGATAGGGGACATATTTATCCACCACTGAGCTTTTATGGGCACCCTTAGGATTTCCCTGTTTCTGATTCTTCCCAAGGCTCTGTCATTTTCCATGCTGTGAATATTTTGATACACATTTTTGTGCACACATCCATCTTCATTTTTCTTGGATATGCATCAATGAATGGAATGGTTGAGTCACACGATATGAACATCTTTAAGATATTTTAGAAAATATCGAAGTGTTTTGTAATGTAATTGTATGATTTTATACCCTACCAGTAGTGTGTGAGCTGCAAAGTTGCTTTACATCTTTGCCAGCAGCTGATAAGGTCAGTATTTTTTATTGTAACCTTCTCTTTAGTGTGTAATGGTATCTCAGTGCCACGTTAAATTGCGTGGGTCAAGTCATTGTTCTTTCTGTCCCAGGCATTCCCAGCAAACGGAGAAAATGGTTCACTAGCCAGATGCTAATCCTTTTCTTCCCATTCATATATTGCATATATATTTTGAATTGCATG
Source organism: Homo sapiens (assembly GCF_000001405.40). Lineage (NCBI taxonomy): Eukaryota > Metazoa > Chordata > Mammalia > Primates > Hominidae > Homo > Homo sapiens. The sequence continues at coordinate 27,394,790 of NC_000023.11, read as the reverse complement.
TAGCAATATATATATATTTTTGAGACAGGGTCTCACTCTGTCACCCAAGCTGGAATGCAGTGGTGTGATCACGGCTTATGGCAACCTCTGCCTCCTGGGCTCAAGAGAGCCTCCCACCTCAGCCTGCAGAGTAGCTGGGATTACAGGCGCCTGCCACCATGTCCAGCTCATTTTCTCTTTATATTTTTTGTAGAGACGAGGTTTTCTCATGTTGTCCAGGCTGGTCTTGAACTCCTGGGCTCAAGCGATCCACCAGCCTCAGCCTCTCAAAGTGTTGGGATTACAGGCTTCAGCCACCACGCCTGGCCGCATGTAGGAATTTATATGTGAAATATGGGAGGCTGAGGCAGGTGGATCACTTGTGGCCAGGAACTGGGGACCAGTCTGGCCAACATGGTGAAACCCTGTCTCCGCTAAAATTACAAATATATATATATATCCGGGCGTGGTGGCATTCACTTGTACTCCCAGCTACTCAGGAGGTTGAGGCAGGAGAATCACTTGAACCCGGGAGGCAGAGGTTGCAGTGAGCCGAGATCACGCCACTGTACTCCAGCCTGGGCAACAACAGAGTGAGACCCTGTCTCAAAAAAAAAAAAAAGGAAAGAAAGAAAAAGAAAGAGAGAAAGAGAGAAAGATTATAGTATTATAGTGATAATTGGAGGTTCTAGGTGATTTTTTTTTTTTTTGAGGCAAAGTCCTGTGTCGCCCAGGCTGGAATGTAGCAATGCAATTATAGCTCACTGCAGCCTCAAACTCCTGGGCTCATGTGATTCAGCCATCTCAGCCTCCTGTGCAGCTAGAATAACAGGCATGTGCCACCATGCCCAACTAATTTGTTAAAATTTTGTAGAGATGGGGTCTCCCTATATTGCCCAGGCTGGTCTCGAACTCCTGGTCTCAAGCAGTCCTCCCACCTCAGCCTCCCAAAGTTCTGGAGTTACAGGTGTGAACCACTGCACCCAGTTCTGGGTGATTTTATCTTTCTCCATGGAGCATTTTATTTTGCTTTTGGGAGGCAGTTAGGTATTGAGTCTTTTGAAGCTGGGTCTCAGATTTGTGAGTAGTTTTGTGTTTTGGGGTCATATTGACAGTTAGAGTATAGCCTCTTAAGGATGTCAAATTCATCGCTGTTGTTTACCACATCCTTTCTGCCAGGGTGGGCCATAAACCCAATTTGTGTCCCTTGGGCTGGTGATTCTGCTGGAAATCCTGATCAGCTGCTTAGCTTTTCAGCCGCAACTTTGTTGTAAGTATTTTAGTTTCTCAGTCATCTTCTTTGAATCACCAAAAAGCTTGTGGAGAAAACGGTACCAAAGTTGGGTCTCACCACGTGGGCTTCTCTTCTGAGATTCAGTCTCTTCAAATGCTTGTTTCTTTGGACTTGTGATACCTACAAACAATATGTTTAATATCTTCCAGCTCTCCTAGTTTTTCTCAGCAGAATGGTTGAGCTAAACTGGCTGCATTACCATGGAAGCAGACATCTCTACATATACTGTTTTTTTGGAATATGTTTTAGTTTTAATTGTTTTTCATTGTATAGCCAGTTGATCCTTTTTGTTGTTGCTGTTGTCGTTGTTTTTTGAGATGGAATCTTGCTCTGTCACCCAGGGTGGAGTGCAGTGGCACAATCTCGGCTCACAGCAACCTCCGCCTCCCGGATTCAAGCAATTCTCCTACCTCAGCCTCCCAAGTAGCTGGGATTACAGGCACACGCCACCACGCCCGGCTAACTTTTTTTTTGTATTTTAGTAAAGACAGGGTTTCACTGTGTTCCCTAGGCTGGTCGCAAACTCCTGAGCTCAGGCAATCCGCCCGCCTCGGCCTCCCAAAGTGCTGGGATTACAGGAGTGAGCCACTATGCCCAGCCAATCCATTCTTTATGTCAATAAGATTAAAACATCTTTTAAGGCAGAAAATCCTCCTGTAGAGTGTGTCTTTTCTCTCATAATTTGATTAGTATCCTACAATTTAGTTATTTTATTGGTTGTCTAAATGATCTGGTTTCTTACATGTGCTGGGTATGTAAACACAGGTACATTATTGAGGTACAGCCTAATGCAAAACAGACAAGTAAATATGGAGTATATTACAGAAGATACATTTTGTAGTAATTATGTTTCAGTAATGGCTAGAATATTATCTATACCTATTTGTATTGTGTTTGCTGGTTACCCTAGGGATTAGCATAGGAATCTTTTACTTACCTTGGTCTACTTACAGTTAAGATAGTGCCAATTTATGTATATGAAGCTTCACAATAGGATGAATCTATTTATTCTCCCTTACTTTTTGCTCTTATGTTTAATATTTTATTTAAATATTTTTTAAAAAACTTAAGTTGATTACGTATAATTTATTTTTGCCCATTTTCTTCAATTACTTTTATATGTGTATTTGTAATCATGTATCAAATGTGTGTATTTATTTACAACTAAATCCAATGTATATACATTAATGTGTTTATTTATTTATTTAGATTTTTTTAGTGATACAGTGCTAGGTATAATCTATTTCTTTTTTAATAGATTCAGAGCATATAGGTGCAGATTTGTTACGTGGATATATTGCATAGTGGTGGGGTTTATGCTTGTAGTGTGCCTATCACTTGAATAGGGAACATTGTACCCAATAGGCAGTTTTTCAACCCATACTCCCCCCTCCAGCCTCCCCACTTTTGGAGTCCCCAGTGTCCTTATTTTCCCCTCTGTGTGTCTATGTGTACCCATTGTTTAGCTCCCATTTACAAGCGAGAAGACACTTGGGCTGATTCCATTACTTTGCTATTGTGAAGAGTGCCGCAATAAACATACACATGTACATGTCTTTTTGCTATAACAATTCCTTTTCCTTTGGGTAGATAGTGAAGTTGCTGGGTCACATGGTAGTTCTATTTTTAGTTCTTTGAGAGATCTCCGTAGTGTTTTCCATAGAGGTTGTACAAATTTACATTCCCACCAGCAGTGTATAAGCGTTCCATTTTCTCTGCATCCTTGCCAACATCTATTGTTTTTTCGCCTTGTTAATAATAGCCATTCTGACTGCTGTGTGATGGTATTTCATTGTGGTTTTAATTTGCATTTCTCTGATGATTAGGGATGTTAAGCATTTTTTACATGTTTTTTGGTTGCTTGTATGTCTTCTTTTGAGAAATGTCTGCTCCTGTCATGTGCCTACTTTTTAATGGCCTTATTTGCTTTTTCTTTTCTTATTGAGTTGTTTGAGTGCCTTGTAGATTCTAGATATTAGTCTTCTGTCTTTACAAATATTTTCTCCCATTCTTTAGGTTGTCTGTTTACTCTGTCTATTATTTCTTTTGCTGTGGCAAGGCTTTTTAGTTTGATTAAGTCCCATTTCTCTATTTTTGTTTGTGTTGCATTTGCTTTTATGTTCCTAGCCATAAATTCTTTGCATAGGCCAATGTCCTGAAGAGTTTGTCCTAGGTTTTCTTCTAGGATTTTTATAGTTTCAAGTCTTAATTAAATATATTGTTTATTCACAGTGCACAGAACTTAAACTTTCAGATTTGATACATTTTGGAAATTATGTATTTTACATTTAAAATGCTATTTATAATTTTTACATCAAGGAATCAGCTTTTTAAAAAGAAATCATAGAAAAAAGTAGTATTTTGTATTTATCTATGTATTTTCCCTACCTAGTGCTCTTCCTTCCATTCCGTAGTTTTCTACTAAGGTGTTTTTTCCCTTTAGGTTTTTTCTCCCTCCTGCAGCATGATGTATTATTGCTTGGACAGGGACAAATTGAAGGCTTTTTTTATGTGCCTCTGTCTTATTTCACTCTGAGCTGGGAAGGATAATTTTGGTAGATCAATAATTCTTTTTTATTTCAGAATTAGAAAGTTACTTCTCCATTTTCTTCCTTTATCCAAAGATTCTTTTGAAAAGGCAGCCATCATTTAAATCATCATTCTTAGTAGGTAATACACTTTCTTTTTCAGAAGTTTTGGGGGCATATAATTATATACTTCACTAATCTTTATATTTGACAGATGTTCAATTTATATGAGATATAATAAATGTTATAATGTTTACTAATGTAATACTTGAAAAGTTTTATAGCTATTTTAGCAATAATGGAGTTACACTATAATATAGCTTAAATTTTATCAATCCAAATTTTTCCATTTATATAAGATAAAATAATTTATGGATAGACAGTAGCAACAAAGCAAAGCGAAAGAAAAAGAAACAAAATAAGTCTCATGAAAAAAATGTTTGGCAAAAGCCAAAATAACCAACTTTTATTTCTAATTAAAATATACACAAATATCTGCACTCATTATATATAAATTAAAGTGTTATGCACTTTCCCATGGAAAATATCAAAACTGTTTTATTTCAGTCATCAATTTAATGCAAATTTTGACATACATGAGAAATTGTATGAGAACAGATATAATTCATGTTAAACAATAATGAAGTGATACATTTTACTTAAAATATTTTATGTCTATAGTAGTTTTAACATGCAATAACATTCAAGTTTGGTAGATATATATCTAAGGTGGTTTATATTAATATACATATTGGAATATTCTTAATATTATTCTTAACAGGCTATATATGCATGTGTGCGTGTATTTGTGACTATAACAAGAATAAATGTATACAATAGGCTTCATGTATAATATTTTGGTATTTCAAATATTTATGAAATAATAGACTAACAAATGGAATAGTAAAATACATCAAACAATTTTGGAAATAAGTGAAGACTGTCCAAATGAGAACAAGAAAAAGCTATTTATTCAGAGCTTGCTATAACAAGGGAGCCAGCCACTATCTTTTGTATTTGGTGGAGACTCAAAGGCAGGCAGGGAAGTTGAGAAGCTTCCCTTATGGGAATATTAAAGCTTATGGTGGAAAAAAGGGAAGGCTTCAGGTATGTGCCAATCCGAAGTTGTTGGCATGGGAAAGCTGGTGGCATGCTAACTAGAAGTGTGAACATACTAAATGACTGGTAGGGGAACATTTTGGGGTTCTTCTGATTGGTCCTAAGTTAGATGCAGGGGCAAAATTTAGGGATGTTGACAGTTATTGGCCAGGTCCTCACTGTTTGGGTTCTATTGCTGCAGACTTTATATTTTGGCTTCACAGGCTGATTGTTGCAGAGGCTGTGCAATCATAGATGTCTGATTCAGTTATATTAAATATGATTGATAATTAGTATGTTAAATATGAAATTATTCTTTTTATCTTGATGCCAAATTTTTGAGGGAGGAAAAAGTGATACTAGGTTTTTGGAAAATAAATTGGCATTTTAAAGCAAATTTTAAAATTTCCCTGCCCTTAAAAACAGTAATTTTCTTTCTACGACTATAGTCTACAAAGATGCATAAAAATTTGGTTAAAAATGACAAAAGATTGATTTTTAAGTAAATTATATTCTGTTTATACTATGACTATTGTGTAGCTTTATAACCAATCAGGTAGTTCATTATATACTTGCATAAGATATATCCAAGTTGTATTATTGTTGAAAAAAGAAAGTAAATTTTAATTTATTTCACATTCCTATACATGTGTATAAATACATCAGGTGTGTTAATATTTATATGCATATCTGCTCATACACACACTTCACTGCCAATCATGAAGTGTGAAAGGCTAATATCTGCATTTTTGGAAATTTTTTTACTTTCCAATCTTTATGCCTTTTTTTTTCCTTTTTCTTTTTCTTTTCTTTCTTTCTTTTTTCTTTTCTTTTTTTTTTTTTTTTTTTTGGCACTATTGTCCTAGCTATGACCTCTATAAAATGTTGAATAGATCTGGTGATAGTAGGCATTCTTACCTCTTTTCTTATTTCAGGGGATGGTTTTTAGTAATTCATCAATATGTATGACACTTGCTGCAGTTTCGTGAGTTTTGGAAAGTCATAAATGAATAATAAATTCCATAAAAAGGTTTCTCTTTATTGTGATAGCGACATGATTTTACTCCTTTGTCTGCCAAAATGACTTGATTTCGTGATGATAAGGCAACAAAAATTCTTTCCTGGATGAAACACATTTTGTTCACAGGGTATTATGGTTGAAGTATCTTTGTTCTGTTTGTAAAACATAAGTTTTACATTTTATTTATTTATTCACTGTTTACATTTTGTCATGAGGCATAAAAACCTTTTATATGGCTGGGTGTGATGGCTCACATCTGTAATCCCAAAACTAAACAATTAGCAGGATGTCGTGGCATGTGCCTGTAGTCCCAGCTACTTGGGAGGCTGAGGTGAGAGGATCGCTTGAGCCCAGCAGTTCGAGGTTACAGTGAGCTATGATGGCTCCACTGTGATCCAGCCTGGGTGACAGAGACCATGTCTCAAAAACAAAAAACAAACAAAAAACAACAACAACAAAACCTTTTGATATTCTTTATGCATAATTTTCTTATCAGTTCAGTATAATACTGAACTGATAAGTATATATATACTTTATAGGGGTCTCATAATACATTTGGGAGTGTTTTGACAGTTATTTTCCTACAGAAGAGGTTGTGTAAGATTGGTTGTATCTTTCTCAGTTACATGGAAAAGATCAGGAATTTAGGCACCAGGACCAATATAGATACATTTTATTTAATAAATAAAGAATTACGAAGACTTCCCAATTTATCTGTTTGTTAAGTGGTGTTTTTTTGTGTGATACAGTAATTTCTATTTTATTGGCATGAATTTGATTATAATATAATATATTTGTCTCCAGGATTCATGGCGAGAATCGTTTTATATTACTGTTGGAGTGGTGATGATGGTGGTGGTGATGGTGGTGGTGGTGGTGGCAGTGTTGGTGGTGGTGGTGGTGGTGGTATTCTTTGATTTTGATCACTCTTGACAGGATTTATCATTTTTTTCTTTAAAAAAACCCTTTTAGTATTGTCTACCACTTTATATTTAATATTTCTTTGGTTTGATTAAATAATAATAATTTTTATTTTTATTTCAAGTTTGGTTTGTATCCCTGCTTTACTTTCCAATTCTGTGAAGTGTATTACCAGATCTTAAATTGTCAGGATTTCCTCTTTTGCGTAAATGGCATGAATTTTATTTTATGCCCATGTTTTGATGCATCCACACAATTTCTAGTAATTTCAGTTAAGTATAATTGATTTAAAATAAACTGAACCACTTTAACATTATGTTTTGAGATATGTATATATTTACGAAACCATCACCACAATAAAGATAATGTTAATGTTCATTCCCCCTCACCAAGTGTCTTGTTTGCCACTGTATCTCTCCTTTCTATTCCTGCCCAAGCTCTTCCACCATTCATATGCTCTGAACATTTTTGCACAAGCCTTTGTATCAACATATACGTTGGATTTTTTGTTGGTTTGTCTTTGTTTTCAGTAAAAATCAAGGAAAGGAATGGCTGGAGCACTTGAGAGGTGTATATTTAATTTTTTTAGGTCATGCCAAAGCGTCTTGCAATGTGATTGTACTGTTCTCCATCCTATCAGCAGTATGAGTTGCAGTTGTTCTACATCCTTGTTATGGTTAGTAATTTTAATTGTAGCCTTCTTTTGGCGGGGGAGGGGACAGGGTATTAATTTAATATTTTTGTCAGTAAAATAAAATCATTATGGAAATGATCTATCCAAGCAGTGGGGCTTTTCTGTCATAATTTATTGTACCCTAATTAAATTTTTGTCATTGATAACCTGTGTTTCCCTAGTTCCCAACATGTGCCAGGTGTGAATTACAGTATATGGTAGAAATATATTATTGAAGTATAGCCTAATGAAAAACAAGCAAGCAAATGTGGAATATGTTATTGACAATATTTTTTGGGGTAATTTGTTATGCAGCAATAGTAACCAGAATGTTTTTTATATCACTTTGTATTATGTTCAGTCATTGCTGAAAGGGCTCTCATATGAATCCTTTACTTATCTTGGTTGAGTTCTAGTTAGGATCATATCACTTTGTGTAAATGTAACTTCACAACAGTACAATTACATTTATTCCCCTTTTCCTTTGTTCTCCTTTTGTCATATATTTCATGTAAATGTTTTATTAAAAACTGAATACTTATAATTTACACTTGCCTCATAATTTTGGTAAAGGAGTTAAAACACATTAAGGGCACAGATCTTAACCTTACGGTTTAATGAATTTTGCACATATTTTCCATCTTCAATTCTGCTTACTATTTTTAAGTGCCATTTGTCTTTTAATGAAATAATAGAAAAAAATTGTTTGTAATATTTTTCCAAGTATTTCTCTCAAGTCGTCTTCACTCCTTCCTGAAGTTCCCAGTTTCTATCAGGTATCTATTCTCTTTGTTCAGAAGAACTTCTTGTTGCATTATGCATATTACTGTTTGGCTAGAAACAAATTGTCTGAGGTTTGTTTATGTGATTGTATCTTATTTCACTCACAATTTGAGAGTGTGATTTTACCGGATGTAGAATTCTGGCTTGACTATTTCCTCTTTAAGCATTGGAAAGGTGCTGGTGTGCTTGTTCTGCTTCACCACGGGTTCTGTTGGGCAAGCAGCCGTCACTGAAATCATCCTGCTTAGGAATGTATGTATCTTTATTCCTTTAAAGTTTTCAGTTGGTATACATTTGTTCACTGATATTTTCTATACTTCATATAGTTATCAAATATACAGTTTACTAATGTCATTTAAAACTTCAATAGCTATTTCATCAATCCAAATTTTCTCATTTAAATTAAAAGATAACTCATTCGATTGATAAGAGCAACAAGACAAAGCAAAATAAACTCACGTGAAAAACAAAAAGCCAAAATATCAATATTTTTCTTGTATTACCTATAGCAAAATATTTTATGTACGCTGTACTTAACTAATATACAATATAATTATTCATTGATAATTTTACAGGTGAGGTGATTTATATGCCATATATTTATACAGAATCAATCAAGTAACGAGAAATATACAGAACATAAGTGAAAGCAACAAGAGTTTATGCATATGTGTATGCTTAATATATAACCATTTTGGTATTCAAGTAATTATGAAATGGTAGTCTCATTAACAAATGGAATCAGTAAAATGCACCAAGGATATACACAAAAATAATCACGAATTGGCAATTAGTATATTAAATATGCTAAATGCTTAGTGGAAATTAAATAAATAACATATTCTTTCTTATATTAATACAAGTCGTGGAATAGTATAAAATGGTCCTGGGTATTTGAAATTAATTTGGTATATTTTAACAATGTTTTAAATTTGTCTACTTTTTTGTGCAATAATTGCCTTTCTATAACGATATCTGACAGAGCTTCTTAAATGTGTGCATAAAAGTATGGACACAAAAAGGCAAAACAAATAGTTTCTAAATAACATACACTGTATTAATATGATGAATACTATGTAACTTTTATATCCAATCGGGTAAATCTTGTATACTTGCAGAAGATATCACAAAGACATATTTCAAATATAAAAGGAACCAAATTGTACTTTATTTCACTTGCATGCACAAGTATATAAATATTTTACATGTGTAAATACTTTGTATACAACTTTTCATTTACACACCTTACTGCTAATCATGGTTATTTCTGTGAAGCAATATGCAATTGCAGTTTTTTTTCTTTTTTTCTTTTTCTTTCTTTTTTTTTTTTTTTTTTTGAGACAGAGTCTCACTCTGTTGCTCAGGCTGGAGTGCAGTGGCATGATCTCAGCTCACTGCAACCTCTGCCTCCCAGGTTCAAGTGATTCTCCTGCCTCAGCCTCCTGAGTAGCTAGGATTACAGGCGTGTGTCACCACGCTCAGCTAATGTTTGTATTTTTAATAGAGATGCTGTTTCGCCATGTTGGCCAGTCTGGTCTCCAACTCCTGACCTCAGGTGATCCGCCCGCTTTGGCCTCCCAAAGTGCTGGGATTACAGGCGTGAGCCACCACGCCCGGCCATGCAATTGCATGTAAAAAAATAATTTATACTGGGCACATGAAAAATTGATAATTAATAAAGGAAAAATCAAAGAGTGAGATGAAGGCATATCACTAATAGTTTTCTTGAAAGATGTACTTTGCTTTTTTTTTTCCCCTTTGGTAAGGCAGTACAGAACAGGTAAGAAGTTACATTTAAATCCAGAAACAGAAAAGAGAAAGAAAAGAAATAAGAAAATATATAATTTATGTTGAGAAAGTAATTTAATATAGTAGTGAAACATTTATAAATACCTGACCTTTAATTACTCAGTGAAATCATTATCCTAGAGGCCATAAGTAAAATAGTCACAATGAATGTTTTTTTTGTTCCACTAGGATTTAATATCAACTTTATTGTGAAGTTAATCATATAGTCAGGTGCCTTTGTTACCATGATATCAGAAAAAATGACAACAAAGTTTAGGGTTATAATGACTTTTGAATTTTAGCTTGTAAGTATCTAAAAACAAATCTTTAAAATAATACCTTGTGTTGTTAGGGTTTTTGTTCTGTTCTTATGATGTGTATAAAAAATTTAGTAAGAATTACTATTCTCAGACTTAGCACGGTGGCTCATGCATGTAATCCCAGCATTCTGGGAGGCTGAGGCGAGTGGATCACTTGAGGTCAGGAGTTGAAGACCAGCCTGGCCAACATGGCAAAACCCCATCTCTATTAAAAATACAAAAATTAGCCAGCTGTGGTGGCACACACCTGTAGTCCCAGCTACTCAGTAGGCTGAGGCATGAGAATTGCTTGAACCCAGGAGGTGGAGGTTGCGGTGAGCTGAGATGGTGCCACTGCACTCCAGCCTGGGTGATAGAGCGAGACTACATCCCAAAATAATAATAATAATAATAATAATAATAAATTAATTTTTTAAAAAAAGAATTACTATTCTCAGAAAAAAATGTCTTTGGGCTTAACTATGGAATTCAGTTGTCTTGCAGAACTCACTAACTGGAGGTCGTTATGTTAAGAGAAAGAAACCAAGCACAGAAAGATAAATTTCGCATGTTCTCAGTTATTTGTGGGAACTAACGATTAAAACAATTGAACTCATGAACATAAAGAGTAGAATGATGGTTACAAGAGACTGAGAAGGGTAATAGAGTGTGGAGAGGGGAAGGGAGAATAGTAAATAATAGTTTAATTGTACACTTTTAACTAAAAGAGTTTAATTTAATCGTTTGTAACATAAAGGATAAATGCTTGAAGTTATGGATACCCCATTTTCCCTGATGTGATTATTACATTTTGTATGCCTCTATCAAAACATCTCATGGACCTCATAAATATATATACCTACTGTGTACCCACAGAAATTAAAAATTAACAACAAAGTCTCTATTACTTATAGACTGCTTCTCAATAACCTGGAAACATAATCATTTGATCTGTGAATAAAGGAGGTTTTATTTTGTTTCTTTCAATCTTTATGCATATTTTTTCTTGCATTTAATGTTCTGGCTATGACCTACCTAAAATGTTGAATAGAACTTGTTATAGTAGGCATTCTTACCTCTTTTATGATCTCAAGGGGATGTTGTAAATCTTTCACCACTAATTATGGTATTTACTAAGGTTTTCTGAGTTTTTTAAAAAATGATACTTAAATGGTAAATTTTGTCATCTGGTTTCTTTGTATATATTATGGTGCTTACATAATCATGTCCTCTGCCTAAAGTATTTTTATTCCAATACAACAAGCCAAAAATAATTCATGTTTTAATTCTACTCAGTTTATCTATAGGCTTATCTACTTGAAATATGTTTGGTTTCTGTTTGTCGGACATATGTTGTTGCTGTTCTTTCTAGGTGTGGCCAGTGGGTTTCCTGAGGGATATAAATCTCTGTTTTTCTTTTTTTTTTTTTTTTTGAGACAGAGTCTCACCCTTTCACCCAGGCTGGAGTGCAGTGGTGTGATCTTGGCTCACTGCAACCTCCGCCTGCCGGGTTCAAGCGTTTCTCGTGCCTCAGCCTCCCAAGTAGCTGGGATTACAGGCGTGTGCCACCACACCCAGCTGATTTTTAAATTTTTAGTAGAGACAGGCTTTCTCCATGTTGGCCAGGCGGGTCTTGAACTCCTGACCTGAAGTGATCTGCCCATCTTGGCCTCCCAAAGTGCTCAGATTACAGGCATGAGCCACTGCACCTGGCCTCTGGTTTTATTTTCTTACAATGGTCTTGTCATTGTAGTATAAAGCTTATAAGGGTCACATGAAACATTTTGGAAAGTATTTTTACTAATTATATTATGTGGAAGAACTTATAAAAGATTGGTGTTATTTCATTCTCATTCTATGGAAAGTTCATTACTTTAGGAATCAGCATAGAATATATTTATAAACATAGTTTTCAGTGCAGAGACAATTTTTAGGAGACATGAGGCAATTGAGATTTCTTGTTTTCTTGTTAAGCTCTGTTTTTCTTGGCACTTTTTTATTTTGTGTAATACCAAATTTATTAGCATAATTTTCCTATATAATTATGTCTGTTTCCAGGATATGGAGTGAGGATTTCCTTTACATTGCCGATATTGATTATTTTGACTTTTTTCTTTAATCCCTTGCCAGGATTTATACATTTTTTAACCCTTTATGAAAATAAAAATGTTTAATATGTTGGTTTTCTTTTTGTAATTAAAAGTATATCTCACTGATCTTATATTGTTTTATTCCTTTTTGCATCTTTTTTAGAGTTCCCATCTGTTTTCTTACATTACCCACCTGTCTTTCCATTAGAGTCCTTAGCATATTAATCATAATTATTTTAAATTTCCAGTCTGAAAATTCCAAAGTATCTACCATATCTTAATCTCTTTTTGCTGCTTTTGATACTCTGTCTCTTCAAACTGATTTTTATTTTAATTTTTTACTTTCAGTATGCCTTGTAATTTTTTGTTCAAAGTGAGTCTTAATGTACTGTATATTAATAGAAGGAACTGAGGTACATAGGCCTTTAGTTTAAGGTTTTTTGTTAATATGGCAAAGTGTTATACTGTGTTTACTCTTTGCTGTTGTCACAAGATCCTTGGGGTATCGATTTGCCAGCCGGAAACCTCTGTGGCCAGTGATGCCTTTGCCCAAGGATTGCTTGGGCCTGCTGGGCCCACTTGGCCCGGCAGGCTGCACTTGGCTCACGCTACTCGCCTGGATCCCATGCCTGCCAAGGGCTAGTGGAGTGGAGAGGAGAGGAGAATGTGAGCATGCGACCGTGGGATCAGGCCACTGTGCAAAGCCAGGGGTGCTGGTTGTGGCGGGACGGGTAGCTCCAGGCTCCAGCATGGGCAGCCGCTCCAGTTGAGGCCACGGCTGGACCAGGCATACTGCAAGCAGCTCCCACAGCTGGCACCAGGGAATGCTGTGGCACCTGGAAGCTTGAAGATGCCAGGAACTGAAGAGCCCCAGAGAGGGTGTCACAGCCCTGGCTTGGGGAGCTCCTAGGTCTGGGCTCCCCAAAGGGCTGCAGCTCTTCTCTCCTTTTCTGTTCTCTCCTTCTTGTAACCCTCAATGTGGTGAGCAAGAGGCATGTTTCAGTCCCATTAGTATTATAGCCCTTTTAGCCCCGCCATTTGGCAGGTCTCAAGTTCTTGTCCTGCATCCGGAAATAATTAGGTACATCAACAAGTGTCGGTTGAGCAAGACAAAGAGGAGCTTTATTGAGTGACAGAGCAGCTCAGGAGACCCGCATTGGGTCGATCCTCTCCACAGGCAGGGTATCCTGATGAGTGTTCAGCTCTCAGCAGAGAAGAGACCCTGCAGTGGGTAGCTCCTCTCCACAGCTGGTAGTCCTGTTGTCTCCTCAGCTATCAACACACAGGAAACCCTGGAGTGGGTAGCCCCTCTCTTCACTCAGATTGTCCCATCGTCTCCTCTGTTCTGGCTGAGTCCAGGGCTTTTATGGGGCCTCAGATGGGAGGAAGTGGATACAAGTTGGTCTATGGGCGACCATGGGTGGGCCCAGAAAAAGCACCACAAGTTCCCACTCCAGTCTTCAGGCTTCAAGCTTTCCCCGGCTTGAAGGAGGGGCTTCACCAGGGACCTGCCCCTTCCTGTCCTGGAGTCTGTCTGCCTCCTGCCTACCTCCTGTCGCTGTTCATGGTGCCCAGGCTGTTTATGCCAAAGGGTGCTTGCAGGCCAGCACTGAGCTGCCCTCAGCTCCCCCTTGGCCTCCCTCCCATGTTTGTTGGCACCCAAAGTCCAGAGTCAGCATTGCCCTGAGCGTGTACACACCCGGCCGGTTGCAACAATGCCTGGGCTCGGCCTCAACTTTGCTCAGATATCGGAGCAGTCACTGGGAGTGGGGAGGGGCCAGGCAGTGGAAGCAGGCACTTCTAAACCTGTAGGGGCAGTGCGGCCTTCCCAGGCTCCCAAGAATGCAGAGATGCCTGGGTCCACAGCCACAGCTTGGGTGGCTGCAGCTGCATCTGGGAGGGTGGGGCTCCTGCCTGCTTCTGGCCCCCAAGAGCACAGGGATGCCCGGGTCTGCAGCTGCGGTTTGGGTGGCTGCCGCTGTACCTGGGTGGGCAGGGCTCCTGCCAGCTCCCAGCTCCCAGCTCCCACCAACTCTGTGGAGTGTGCAGCCCCAGCCATGCCTCCCCCACTGCAGTGGGCATCATGGCAGCAGCCACTCCAGATGGGCCATCGCTGCCATCACTGTCATTGTAGGTGCCATAGGCCAAAATTTCCTTTGTGTCCTTGTTTTAGTCTCCCTTGTTGTCTTTGAGTTTCCCTAGGGACATCTTAAATAAACTATAAGATTTGCAGTTTTTTACATTGTAATACTCTTTGTACTGGATCCAGCAATGGGCTTCTCCTGAGCTTTTGCTCCAGTAAACTGTGATTCTCTGTATTTGCCTGTCTCTCCAATATTTGAGGCCATGTTTCACTCTGTGACATCAATTATCTGATGGATTAAAGAGAGTTGTTGATTTTCAGTTCAGCTTTTTTCTTATTGTGAGGATGAGCGTGACAACTATAAGTCTTTATTATTTCATTTCTGTAAAGTTTTGATATTACTGTTCTCTATATAATATCTTGAGATGTATTATCAGATCATAAATTGCCAAGTGTTCCATTTTGCATTTATTGATATTAATGTCCCTTTAGGACATACATTTATTTATCTTACACTTTGTAACAGATTCATTGGAATAAAATTGAATTAAAAAATGATTTTCAACTTTAAACAATATAACTTTTTATGTATATATATGAAATATGTATATATCACATACATGCATACAAATATTTGTGAAACCTTTACCAAAAACAAGATAATGTACATAGCCATTTCTTTACTCATTTCCTTGTGCAAATTTATATTTTCCCCTTTTTTCTCTCCACAAGTCCTCCTCTTTTTTCATAATGTGGACAATACATTCAAGTCTTTATATGGATGTATATTTTAGTTTTTCTTGTGTAAACATCAATGAGTGATATGGCTGGATCACCTGATAAGTGTATCCTTCAGTTATTTTAAAAAATATCAAGGTGTTATGCATCTTTATTGACTGTTTTATGTCCTGCTAGCAGTGTGTGAGAGTCGCATTTGTCCTATATCCTTGCCAGCACTTGTTTTAGTCATTGTTTAACATTGTAGTCCTTCTGATAGATGTGTGGTGGTATCTCAGTGTCACTCTAAATTGCATGGGTGTAACCAAATTATAGTTCTTTTTATCCCAGACAGCCTCAGCAAATGGAAAAACTAAATCACAGGCCTGAGGTTAATCCTTTCCTTCCCATTCATATTTTGCATCTGTGATTTTTGATGATTGAAAGCATTAATTTGTGTATGAAATACTAGAGAAGTAATTGGAGAATGAATGATTTTTTCTTCCCTCTTGGAGTATTTTCTTTTACTTCTATAAGGCAGTTAGGGTGGTGACATGAGTGAGGCAGGAGATTGGGATGAAGAGCATCTCATCAAAATCAGAGATTGAGTCTTTTTAAGCTGGGTCTCATGTATTGGGAGGATTGTTCTGTTTCTGGTTTATATAACACTTAGGGCATAGCTCCTCAGTGATGTCAAATGAAACTTTGAGGTATTTCCCAAGGTTTCCTTTCCATGATGGATCCTGAGCTGCAATCTGCATTCCCTAGGCTGGAAAAGCTGCTGGAAGCCCTTGTCAGTTGCTTAGCTTCTCAGCTACAACATCTTACTTTGCCTCTTGGGTTCCCAATTTTCTCCTTTGAGATGGGATTCTATGAGGGGGGGAAATGGGGGATCAATTTTAGTGATATCTTCAAAGAGAAGTTTGTTATAGTTTTACATCTTTCTTAGTTTATTTTTCTTCAGCATAATGTTTGGGCTGAAATGTCTGGTCTGCCATTACTGGATGTGTACACAAACACTGTTTTATAAAAATTTGTTTTAATTTGCTTGTGTGTAGTTTTTTTTTTGTTTTGTTTTTGTTTTTTTTTTTTTTTGAGACGGAGTCTCGCTCTGTCGCCCAGGCTGGAGTGCAGTGGCACTATCTGGCCTCACTGCAAGCTCTGCCTGCCAGGTTCACGCCATTCTCCTCATTCTGCTGCCTCAGCCTCCCAAGTAGCTGGGACTACAGGCGCCCAGCACCATGCCCGGCTAATTGTTGTATTTTTAGTAGAGACCGGGTTTCACCGTGTTAGCCAGGATGGTCTCGATCTCCTGACCTCGTGATCTGCCCGCCTCGGCCTCTCAAAGTGCTGGGATTACAGGCATGAGCCACCACACCCAGCCAATTTGCATGTGTTTTGTCTGGTATCCATTGAACCCAAACTGTCTGGTAAAAAGTTACAAACCGTCTTTATTGTGATAACTCTACATTTACTTGCGGTGTAGGAAATGATACAGAGACATCCCATGCACCTTTACCCAGTTCCAGTCAGTTTTGCCATCTTGCAATACTATAGTACAGTATCTCAACCAAGATACTAACATTGATCCAACCAAGATAAAGTACATCTCAGTCATTGCAAGGATGCTTTGTGTTGCACTTTATAAGCACACCCACATCCCACCACTGCAGCCCCTACCTCCCTCCCATTCCTGATTTCCAGCAGTCAATAATCTGTTCTTCATCAAAGATTACGTGCGTGCATGTGTACGTGTGTGTGCACGTGTGTGTGTGTGTGTGCGTGAATGATTGAAGAATGTTGTATAATGAGACTGGAGGTGCTGGCTCACGCCTGTAATCCTAAACTTTGGGAGGCCAAGGTGGGCAGAATACCTGAGATCAGGAGTTCAAGACCAGCCTGGCCAACATGGCGAAATCCCATCTCTACTAAAAATACAAAAATTAGCTGGGCATGGTGGCACGTGCCTGGAGTTCCAGCTACTCGGGAGGCTGAGGCACAAGAATCTCTTAAATCTGTGAGACAGAGGTTACAGTGAACCAAGATTACACCATTGCACTCCAGCCTGGGCGACACAGCGAGACTGTCTCAAAAAAAAAAAAAAAAAAAAAAGAATGTTGTATAATGGAATACTATTGTAATTGCTATTTGGGTTGCTTTTTTCCCTGGAGATTTATCCACGTAGTTTTTATCCACATTGTTGCATTTACCAGTAGTTTGTTCCTTTTTCTTGCTAAGCAGCACTTCATGGTGTGAGTGAACCGCATCTAGTTTAATCATTTTACACTTTTATGGACTTCTAGTTATTTCTATGCTTTGGTTAATAAATATAATAAAGATAAATCTGCATTTGTGTACAAGTTTCCATGCAAACAAAAGTTTTCATTTCTCTGGGATAAATGCCCAAGAGTGCAACTGCTGTATAATATGATATTTGCCAGTTTAATTTTTTTAACCTGCCTGTTTTCTATAATGATGCAGCATTTTACATTCACACATGCTATGTATGAGTGACGTATTTTGCATACATTTTTGCCAGCATTTGGTGATGTCACTATGTTTATTCTGGTAACTCTGATATATGTGTAATGATAGCTCACTGTAGTTTTCATTTGCATTTATCTGATGGCTATGATGTTGAACATCTTTTCGTTTTCATTTGCCATCTGTATATCCTCTTTAGTGAGGTTTCTGTTTATGTCTTTTTCTCATTTTCAAATTGGATTGTTTATTTTATACTGTCAAATTTTGAGAATCTTTATATATTCTAGGTACTAGTCTTTTTTGGATATATGGCTTAAAAATATTTTCTCCCAGTCTTTAGTTTGTCTTTTCATTCTCTTAACACAGCATAAAAAGTTGAATAACATTTTTTCTATTTTTTATTTTTAAGGGGCCAATTTCTCAGTCTTCCCCTTCATGGGTCATGCTTTTAGTGTCAAGTCTAAGGACGCTTTACTACGTGCTGGATTACAAAAGATTTCTTCCTCTTATTTAAAAAAATATGTTTTACATTTAAATATTAGATGCACTATGAGTTAATTTCTGCATAAGTTATGAGGTTTATATTTTTGTTTCTGGATATACAATTTCTCTAGTACTATTTTGAGAAATTTTTTTTCTCCATAAACTTGCCTTTGCAGCTTTATCAAAAATTAGTTGTCCTTACTGTGGTACTATTATGAGTTTTCTTTCTGTTCCATTGATCTATGTGTCTGTCCATCCACCAGTATCACATTTTCTTGATTAGTGTAGCTATACAAGATGTTTTGAAATGGGGTACTGTGATTTCCTTCAACTTTATTTGTAATTTTCAAAATTGTTTCATCATCGTTGTTTGAAATGCTTGTTCCCTAGTGCGGTAAAGAAATAGCACTTGAACATAAATTTAATTTACTCAGCAAGGCCATTTTTACTTCCTGCAGAGAGGATACACTCACCAGCAGTTTTGCCACGAGAGTACACCGAACAAAGGAGACAGGGTCATTTATAACCTGATGCGTCCACCCTACTGCTGTGTCCGGTTTCCATTGGCTGGAATGGGACCTCACATTCTGTATTTGTCCTGATTGGCTAGCAACTTAGAACTTTTTAAAAGAGGCAAAAGCAGAGGAAAACAAAGGAAGGAGGAAGTAACTTGTGGAATGCTGAGAAAGGTAAAAACACCTTCAAATAAGGAAGAGGAACAGGCTATGACCTAATGCTTGCTTGCACCAGTATAAGCATGCCAGGGCAAATATTTAGGCTAAATTGTGGGAGCTAAGAACATAAAGTACATTAATTTCTTTATCACAGCTAGCAGATATTTAAGAATGTTAGCACAGGTCTTTGAATAAATTTTGCTTCTAAGAGAAGTCACTATATATTAAGTCTTTGCAGAGGAACCTCTACTTTACTTTTTACAATCCTGTTTTCTTTTTCTTTCCATATCTATCAGAACCATCCTGCCTGTTTCTAAAACAAAATATTGTTATAATTTTGTTAAGACTGTTTTAAACCTGTATATCAATTTGGGGGGAATTGAAATCCCACTGTGTTTAGTCTTCCCATCCATTAACGCAGTATGTCCCTTCATCTTTTAGATCTACTTTGATTTTTTATTTTATTTATTTGTTTGTTTGTTTGTTTGTTTATTTATTTATTTATTTTGAGATGGAGTCTTGCTCTGTGTTCCAGGCTGGAGTACAGTGGCACAATCTCGGCTCACTGCAACCTCCACCTCCTGGGTTCAAGTGATTCTCCTGCCTTAGCCTCCCGAGTAGCTGGGATTACAAGTGCCCGCCACCATGCCTGGCTAATTTTTGTATTTTTAGTAGAGATGGGGTTTCACCATGTTGTCCAGGCTGGTCTCTAACTCCTGACCTCAAGTGATCCACCAGCCTTGGCCTCCCAAAGTGTTGGGATTACAGGCATGAGCCAGCAATCCCAGCTCTACTTTGATTTTTTAAAAATCAGTGTGATGAAGTTTTCGGAACAGAAGGCCTGTGCATGTTTCATCTGATTTACACCAAATTATTCCATTCTTAGCAATTGTAAATTTTATTGTATTTTTAATATCAGTGTTTATATGATCATTACTAGTATATGGAAAACAATTGATTTTGTATGTCTTATATCCTGCACCCTTGATGAACTCAGTCATTATGTCTGGGAGTTTTTTTGTAGATTTCTTGGGATTTTTTTTATGTAGACATCATGTCATCTTCAAGTAGAGCCAATTTTATATATGCCTTTTATATGGGTTTTTTTCCTTTACTGTTCTAGCTTACCTTCCAGCACTATGTTGAGTAAGAGAAGAGGAAGTAGAGACATACTGTTCATGTTCCTGAACGTAGAGGGAAAGCATTCAGTTTTTCTATTAAATTATTTTTGAATATAATCACCCTGTTGTGGTAGCAAATACTAGGTCTCATTTATTCTTTCTATTTTTTTTTGTACCCATTCAAAATTAAGTAGAATGTTAGCCATAGATTCGGTCTAGATGCTCTTTATAAAGTCTAAAGAGTTTTCTTCTATTCCTATTTTTATGAGTATTTTATTAAAAATTATGAATGGGTGTTGAATTTTGTTCATTGTTTTCCTTCATTAATTGATACAATCTTTTTTAATTTAATTTTATTATTATTATTATTATTATACTTTAAGTTTTAGGGTACATGTGCACAATGTGCAGGTTAGTTACATATGTATACATGTGCCATGCTGGTGCGCTGCACCCACTAACTCATCAATCTTTTTATTTTTTTCCTTTGGCTTATCATTATGGTAGATTACATTGATTGGCTTTGAAATATGGAAGCAACCTGATATCTCTAGAATTAATCTCACTTGGTCAAGGTGTATAATATTTTTTATATGGATGAATTATGTTTGCTAATATTCTGTTAAGGATTTTGTGTCTCCATTCAATCGAAATTTGTCTGTAGTTTTCTCTTTTGTACTATTTTGGCTGATTTTGTTATCAAAGGAATAATAGTTTCATAAAATGAATTGGGAAGTGTTTTCTGTTTTTCTATTTGCTTACTTTTTATTTCTGTTTTCTATTTTAAATTTTGAAATGTTGCATTAGTATTTTTTTTTTTTTTTGATGGAGTTTCGCTCTTGTTCCCCAGGCTGGAGTGCATGGCGGGATCTTGGCTCACTGCAACCTCCACGTCCTGGGTTCAAGTGAATCTCCTCCTTCAGCCTCCCGAGTAGCTGGGAACATGGGCATGTTCCAACGGTGTTGTTAGCCACCAGGTGTTGGCTAATTTTAGTATTTTTGGTAGAGACGGGGTTTCACCCATGTTGGCCAGGCTGGTCTTGAACTCCTGACATCAAATGATCCACCTGCCTCTGTCTCCCAAAGTGCTGGGATTATAGGTGTGAGCCACCCTGCCTGGCCACATTAGCATTTTTATCTATTTCAATGTATATTGTGATTTTCTTTGATAGTTCATCTTTGACTCATGGGTTATTTAAGGTACGTTGTTTTGTTTACAAATATTTGAAGATTTTCTTTTCTCTTTTTGTTAGGGATTTCCAGCTTGATCATATTGTAATGGAAAAACAAACTCTCTGTGCTTTCAATTCTTTTAAGTTTGTTGGGCTTTGTTTTCTGCCGCAGGATATGGTCTGTTTAGCAAAACCAAGTTTTATGGACACTTGATAATTATAAATATTCTGCTGCTATTGAGAGGAGTGTTCTATTAATGTCAATTAGGACTTGTCGATGGGATTATTGATGGTATTGTTGAGATCTTGATATCCTGGTTGATGGGATTGTTGAAATCTTTTATATTATTGCTGAATCTGCCTAGTTTTTCTATGAATTGTTGTGAAAAGGCAGTTAAAATCTCCAGTTATAATGATAGAGTCTTCTATTTCCCCCTTTTGGTGTATCAGTTTGGCTTCATAAATTTTGCAAATAAGTGGGTTGGTACATACCCATTTAGGATTGCTATGTCTTATTATTGGATTGAACACTGTGCCATTATGTAATGTCCCTCTTTTTATCAGAGAATTTTCTTTGCTGTGAGTTGTACTTTATCTGATATTGATATAGCAATTTTTGCTTTCTTTTGATTTTTGTCATAATATGTATTTTCCCATCCTTTTACTTTCAATCTGCCCATTTTATTATATTTGAAGTGTTTGTTGTAGACAGCAAATAGTCAGGTTTTTAAATCCACTATGTCAATGTCTGTGTTTTAATTGGCGTTACCTTTTAACCATTTACATATATGTTATTATCTATATAATAGGGCTTCAGTCTGCCATTTAATTTTTGTTTGTTTGTTCTCTCTTTTTTTCTCTCTCTGTTTTCCCTTTTCTGATTTCCTTTGAGTGGTGATAAAAGTCCTTTTAGTCAGCTTGGGCTTTCATAACAAAATGCCAGAGCCTGGGTGACTTAAATAACAGAAATTCATTTCTGGAAGCTGGGAAGCAAAAATCTGGTTATCATTATGACTGAGTTCTGTTAAGGGCTTTCTTCCTGGTTTGCAGATCTTGCTGCCAGAGAGAAAGAGAAGGAGAGGAAGGAGAGGGAGAAGGAAAAGGGGTGTGGGGGCACATGGAGGGAGGGAAGGACAGAGAGAGAGAGAAAGAGAGAACAAACTCTGGTGTCTCTTCTTATAAGGGCACTAGTTCCGTCATGAGGGCCCCACCCTAATGACCTCATCTAAGCTAATTATTTCCCAAAGGCTCCAAATACTATCATACTGGAGGTTAGGACTTCAAAATATGAATTGCATATATGTTCTTATTTTTAAAACAGATTATTGAAAAAGTATAAAACGTTAATGACTTTTTGGAAAACAATTCTGTATCTTTTAGTAAATTTATAAATCTACCTATAATTTTACACCATAATTCACCTTCCAGAATTGTGTCTGAAACAGCTACTCACACATATGTATTAAATTTAGTTCATTGTAATCATTAATCTCTATCAGGCTTCTTCTGACACCACCCCGGTAAGGAGGGAAGAGGTACTTCATCACTTCCCAGGGGGGTGGAAGTCAAGGCTCCCCACATTTTATCTGTCTACAGATCAATTAACTCAGTGCTAAAGAGAGTGTGCCTTACCATCTGTTGAGGATAAAAGTCCCAGCTGTCTATTGAGACATCTCTGACAACATTAGGGGCACTTTGGGGTGACTCCTTACAGCCTGGAAAAGATAGAAATCTAGATTCTCAATTGGCTTTTGCTGTCATGGTGAGGATAATGATTGGCTGTAGTCCTGTGTCTGTTGTGTAAAAGTTTTCTGTATCATCAGCCTATCTCTCTTCTAGCACTTTATCTAAAGAAAGCAAGCTTTTGTTGAGGCTTTTTTTTTTTTTTTTTGTCAACACTTTTTGGCATTTCTGGATTGTGAGGTTCTCTAGCTACAGATCTGGGATTTATAAGGCAAAATCAAAACAAAACAAAACAGAAAACCAAACCCAGAGAAAACACTGTGTTGTTTCCTGGGTCCTGAGGTGCTTAACCAGTCTCTCATTTTCACCTTTCAGAACCTTCATATGTCTGTTTTATATGTAACATCAAGATTTTTAGTTATACTAAAAAGTTTAGTTATATTAAGAAACAAATAGGAATGATACGTCTACTCCATCTTCTCAGACACTGACATCCAACATAATGTTTAGACAATGATCTTCATAATCAGCGTATTTATTTTTGCCATAATTTGTTTCATTTCTTTTAATCTAATTATTTCATTCATCCTATAAATGTTTGTTCAGTTCCCAAACATGGGCCAGGTGTGGATTATGTGCTGCATTTACGTTATTGAGAGAGAGCCTAGTGGGAAAACAGATAATTACATATGAAGTATATAATTGCAGATAAATATTGTGGTAATTTGTTTTGCAGTAATAGTAACTAGAATATTACTGTATATTTTTGTGTTATTTTTATTACTTTCTCAAGCAATCAGTGTTTGAATACTTTTCATCTTCTACTTAGACTTATATAGCATTGCTTCCTGTAACACACAATCCTATTCTGCTTTGACAAAATATATTTTAAATGCAAAATTATTTATATAAACATAATGCATATCAGAATCAATTAGGAAACATGCAATATGTAGAACATAAGTGAATGGAAGAAGGGCTCATTTATCTATCTATATCTATATACCTATCTGTTAATCATGTATATATATAAATATGTATATAGGCGTAATGTATAGTACTGTATAATAATTTTGGTAATGAAGTAATTATGAAATTATGGAGTACCTAAAGATGGAGTTAATAATTTCTATCAAAGGATATACAAAAATAAATTTAAATGGGCAATTACCTATTAAGTAGGCTTTCTACTTAGTGTACCTTTTTTTTACTGTATGATGATTCCATTTATATAATATTCTGGTAAAGGCAAATCTATTAAGAACAGAGATCAAATCATTGATGAGTTGAGGGTAAGTAGAGGCATTGACCAAAACATTGCATGGAGGAAGTTTTTGGGGGTGATGAAACACTTGTATATCAACTGTGCTGTGATTACACAACTGTGCGTTTGTCAAACTATACAATACACTAAAAAGGGGGAATTTTACTGTATATGAACTGAGCCTTAAGAAGGAATGTACACTGTATTTTAGTTTATTTGCTGTATTTATTGCAAAATATTTTATTTAAAAAAATTTTAAGTTTCAATAGCTTTTGAGGTACAAGTAGTTTTTGGTTAAATGGGTGAATTATATAGTGGTGAATTCTGAGATTTTAGTGCACCCATCACCCGAGTAGTGTATGTTGTACCCAATATGTGGGTTTTTTTAATCCCACACTCCTCTCCCACCCTTCTGTTTCTGAGTCTCCAAAGTCCATCGCATTACTTTGTATGCCTTTGTACACTCATATCTTAGCTCCCACTTACAAGTGAGAACATATGGTATTTGGTTTTCTACTCCTGAGTTACTTCACTTAGAAAAATGGCTTCCAGCTCCATCCACGTTTCTGCAAAAGACATTATTTCATTCCTTTTTATGGCTGAGTAGTATTCTGTGGTGTATGTATACTACATTTTGTTTATTCACTGATTCGTCAGTGGGCATTTAGATTGGTACCCTCCCTTTGCAATTGTGAATGGTGCTGCAATAAACATACATGTGCATGTGTCTTTTTTATATAACGACTTCCTTTCCTTTGGGTAGATACCCAGTAGTGGGATTGCTGGATCAAATGGTAGGTCTACTTATAGTTCTTTAAGGAATCTCCATACTGTTTTCCATAGAGGTTGTACTAATTTACATTCACACCAGCAGTGTTTGTAAGCATTCCCCTATCACCACATCCACACCAACATCTGTTGTTTTTTGAATTTTTAATAATGGCCATTCTTGCAGGAGTAACTTGGTATCTCGTGGTGGTTTTAATTTGTACTTCTCTGATGATTAGTGATACTGAGCATTTTTTCATATGTTTGTTGGCCATTTGTATATCTTCTTTAGAGAAATGTGTATTCATGTTCTTTGCCCACTTTTTTATGGGATTATTATTATTTCTTGGTGATTTCTTTGAGTTCATTGTAGACTCTGGATACTAGTCCTTTGTTGGATGTATAGTTTGTAAATATTTTCTCCCATTCTGTGGGTTGTCTGTTTACCCAGATCATGATGATGATGATGATTATCATTATTATTGCTGTACAGAAGCCTTTTAGTTTAATCAAGTCTCATTTGTTTAGTTTTGTTTTAGTTGCATTTGCTGTTGGGGTTTTAGTCATGAATTCTTCGCATAGGCCAGTGTACACAAGAGTTTTTCCAAGGCTATCTTCTAGAATTTTTATGATTTCAAGTCTTAGATTTTAGTCTTTAATTCATCTTGAGTTAATTTTTGTATACAGTGAGAGATAAGGATCCATTTTAATTCTTCTGCATGTGGCTTGCCAATTTTCCCAGCACTATTTATGGAATAGGGTATCCTTTCCCCAATTTATGTTTTTTGTATGCTTCGTCAAAGATAATTTGTTAGTAAGTATTTGGCATTTCTGGGTTTTCTATTTTGTTCTATTGGTCTCTGGGTTTTCTATTTTGTTCTATCGGTCTCTGTGTCTACTTTTATACCAGTACCATGCTGTTTTGGTAACTGTAGGCTTTGTGTAAATTATTTGGACAACCAGATACTTTCTTATTTTTAAACCAGATTATTGAAAAAGTATAAAATGTTAACGGCTTTTTGGAAAACAATTTTGTATATTTTAGTAAATTTATAAAGTTACCTATAATTTTACACCATAATTAACCTTCTAGAACTGTGTCTGATACAGCTACTCACACATATGTATTAAATTATGGGCACAAAAATGTCAAAACAGCAATTTTTCTTTTTTTATTAATTTCGCATTGTTCATACTGTACTATGAAGCTTTTAAAGCCAATTAGATATATGTTAAATATTTACAAAATACATCCTCTAGGTATATTGCCAAAGATAAGAAATAAAATTGTAATTTATATACAGATATGTGTACTGTTAGGTAAATACATTATTCATGTAAATATAAATCTATGTTTACGTCTGCTTATATACATCCTTCAGTGCTACTTTACAATTACTTCTGAAAAGAATTATGTATCAACATTTTAGAAACTTTACACATATGCCCTTTGTGTATAAAATAAAGCATATAAATAAAAAAAGACATTATGATGACATATTCCTAAATTTTGAAGACCTATACCTTGCTTTTTTATGTTAAAGTCGTATAGAATGACATAAGAAGTAAAGCAAAAGTTAGATGCAATATTTAGGAAAGAGTTACGAAGGAAAAATAGTAAGACAAATATAATCAGGTTATGGGCCAGTCGCAGTGGCTCATGTCTGTAATTTCAGCACTTTGGGAGGCCGAGGCGGGTGGTTCACCTGTGGTCAGGAGTTCGACACCAGCCTGGCCAAAATGGGGAAACCCTGTCTCTACTAAAAATATAAAAATTAGCTGGATGTGGTGGTGGGCGCCTGTAATCCCAGCTACTCAGGAGGCTGAGGTAGGAGAATTGCTTGAATCTGGGAGGTGGAGGTTGCAGGAAGCTGAGATCACGCCATTGCACTCCAGCCTGAGCGATAAGGGCGAAACTTCATCTCTAAATAAATAAATAAGCAATAGTGACACAAAAATTATTGAATTGAATTGTGAAGTTGAACTCCTAGTCTGTGAGATTACTACACAAGGAGGACTTTTTGTAAAATGGTAACAAAGAATCATCTTGTTATTGTATTGTTCTACTAGAATTAAACGTCAAGTGTATAGTAAGGTTTCTTTTATATTTTGAGGTCTCTATTCTCTATTAACGTGATAGTACTACGAAACAAATGACAATATTAAGGATTAAAATTATCTCGTTTTATCTGATCAGTATATGAAAAAAGCTGTAAAAGTATGACCTTGTAAGGGTCTTCTGCCATTTCTTTTGCATAAAAAGTTTGGTAACAATTCCTGTTCTTAGAAAAAATTTGTTAATATTTAAACATATGGAATCCCGCAGTCTTGCTCAACTTACTGTTTAATTCCAATGTATTATCACAGGGAAAGGTTTTTAATATTTCACCACTAAGTATATTTGCTGCAGTTTTTGAGTTTTTTGGTGATTGGATGGTAAAATTTGTCATATTGTTTCTCTCTAATGTGATAGGGACATGATTTTGCCCTTTGTTTTGTTACAGTTGTTTGATACCAAAATGTTTATCCCATTAGAGTATGATTATAGAATATTACAGTTGAAGTACTTTTGGGTTCTGTTTGTCACACATGAGTTGTGTTTTGGCAAGTGGGGATGGGGGAGCCAGGGATTTGATGAGGGATATGTGTACATCATTGATTTTCCTCTCTTCTATTTTCCATATCATTTTGATGTAAAGTTTATAGGCATCTCACAAAGCATTTTGAGATAATGTTTTTATCGTTTCTATTACATGGAAAGGCTTGTGCAGAGTTTGTTTTATTTCTTTTGCCATTATATGAAAAAACTCACTACTTCAGGCACCAGTGCAAGGGATCCACTCATAGGAAGATATTTCACAATTTATTTACAGGATATAGGACAATTGAGGTTCTCTAACCATAAGGATGGTTAACAGAGGATGGAAAACTCTGTGTGTCCATGAGTTCAATCGTTTTGATTTTTAGATGCCACAAATAGTGAGAAAATGTGATGTTTGTCATTCTGTGCCTGGCTTATTTCATCTAACGTAATGGTCTCCAGTTCCATCCGTGTTGTTGCAAATGACAAGATCTCATTCTTTTTTATGGCTGAGTAGTACTCCATTGTGTGTATGTACCACATTTTTTTAATTCATCTGTTGATGGACACTTAGGTTGCTTCCAAATCCTGGCTATTGTGAACAGTGCTGCAACAAACATGGGAGTGCAGATATCTCTTCGATATTCTGATTTTCTTCCTTTGGGTAGACACCCAGCAATGGGATGGCTGGATCATATTGTAGCTCAATTTTTAGTTTCTTGAAGAACCTCCAAACTGCTGTCCATAGTTTTATTATTTTTTAAAGCTGTGTTTTCCTTGGATTTTTTTCTTTTTGTGTAATGTCAAGGTTCTTAGCATAAAGTTGTTTTTATACATGTATCACCAGGATATGACAAGAGGATTTTCTTCACATTGTTGATAATTAATGTCTTTTGCTACTTTTTCATTCCCCTTCACCTCCTTAGTCTTAGTAGGGGCTTGTGTTACTCTTTTCCAGAAAAAGTGGGTTTAAAATTTTCATTCCTCTTTGTGTATTTTAGAACATATCACAGATCATTTTATTGTTTCATTTCTGTTACTGGTTTCACATTGACTATCTTTTTTCCCAATATTTTGAGATAGATTTTGTGACCACAAATTTCAGGGTTTCTTATTTTGCGTTTATTGCTGCAAATATCCCTTTAGACATGCATATTGTATCTCACACTTTTAGTCGCTTTATTGATATATAATGATTTTAAGTAAACTTTACAACTTTAAATTGAGCAGTGTAAGTTTTGGCATATTTATTTGTAAAAACATCACCAGAAGTGATATAAGGTACATATGCTTCCCTCTACTCAAGTTTTCTTGTACAATTTTGTATTTCCCCCTCCAGTTTCTACTCAATACTTCCTCTTTTCCCATGATGTGTACATTATTGTACAAGTGTTTGTATGAACACATCTTTTTATTTTTCTTGGATGAGCATAAAGGAATGGTACAGCTGGATCACATGATATGTGTACCTTTAAATTAAATCAGAATATGTCATATGTTTTGGAAAGTGATTGTATTGTTTTACATCCTACCGGCAGTCACAGATGCTCTCCATCTTTGCCCTCACTTATACTGGTCATTATTTTTTATTGTAGCTCTTTTAATAGGTGCTTAGTGGTATCTCCCTCTTTATCTAAATTAGTGTAATAAAATCATAGTTTTTCCTTTCCCAATGCATGCGTAGTAAATGGAAAAAGAATAAATCACGATGGGGAGGGACAGTTTAAGGTGACACTTTGGAGCATAGTGAGGGTCTGGGTTCACCAATGGGCCTCTGCTAGTGTGGATGAGGATGGCGTTTGTCTGGCATAGAGCAGTTATTGTCTTTCTATGAGTTTTATCATTATTTTTTGTCTGTACCTTTTCTAGTCCTTTATCTAGAGAGAGCAGGCTTTTGTTGGAGGTGTTATGTTCTTTACTTTTTGGTGTTTTCTGCTCGCTGGGTTTTTCTGTATTAGGTATTGGATGCATGAGGCAGAAAGAAAATAAAACAAACAAAAGAAAACGTGGAAATTCCACTGTGTTGTTTCCTGGTTTCTAAGATAGCTATTCAGTTTTCCTTATTTTTTTCACCTTTCAGAGTCTTCCTATGTTCACTTTATTTGTAATGTCCAGGAATTTTTGTTACACTTAGGGGGATAAATAGGGAAAAATCTCCAACATTTTGGAAGCAGACATCATTTTCTTTTTTTACCAAATGATCTTTTAAACAAGCAGTGGATTTTTTTTTGTAGCCATCATTTGCTTAATTTCTTTCAATGTAGTTATTGCATTCATTCTATAAAGATTTCTTCAATTTCAAAGTGCCAAGTACGGATGATATGCTCTACTTACATTGTTGAGGGAACAACTTGTGGGAAAATAGACAAGTATATATAGAGTATATCAAAGAAAATAAGTTTTGTGATAATTTGTTATAGTAACTAGAGTATTAGCTGTGTATTTTTGTGTTATGTTTAGTAGTTGTTCAAAGGATTGATACTTAAATTCTTTACTCTCATCATCTCCATAGGCATAGGTAGTATCATTTCCTAGAAATGTAACCTCACTACAATTATATTTATTCCCCCTTTCCTTTGTCATCTTGTTATATAGTTCAGATCAATAATATTATTTATCACTTTTGTTTTAAAGAGCCAGCTATTTCTCAAATAAATAACTGAAAATATTAGTCTTTTATGTTAATGCACATGTTTCTTCTATCTAGTGTTCTTCACATCTTGTATATCTGTAGTTCTTAGTTTCCATCAGGTGTCGTTTCCATTTGGTCTGAAGAACTTCCTTGCTATTAGTGGAGTTGCATCAACCGAAAATGTCCTACCTTCCAGTACCTCAGACTGTGGCCTCATTTGGAAATAGCATCCTTGCATATGTGGTCAAGTTGAGATTATGTCATTAGAGTGGGCCCTAGCCCAATATGACTGGTCCTTATAAAAAGGGGAAATTTGGACATGCATAGAGACATGAATAGAGGGAAGTCTGTGTGAAGACACACACAGTGGGGTTGTCATATGGAGATGGAGGATTGGGGTGATCCATCTAAAAGGGAAAGAATGCCAAAGATTGCCAGCAAATCATTGGAACCTAGAGAAGAGGCAAGGAAGAATTCCCCTACAGATTTCAAAGAGAGAATGGCCCCACTGACACCTTGATTTCAGATTTCTAGCTTCCAGAACTGCGAGATGACAAATTTCTGTTTTTTCAAAGCCACCTAGTTTGTGATACTTTATTATAGAAACCTTAGGAAACAAATACATTCCTTTAACATTACCTAAAGTTTGGCTACTGAGAAATTTTCTCAGATTTGATTATCTGGATATGATTTATTTCACTCACAGTTTGGAAGAATAACTTTGTTGAATATAGAATTATGGTTTTAAGCATTGGTAAAATGATGCTCCTTTTTATTTGCTTCCCTGTGGATTCTGTGGAGAAGGCAGCCAATATTTAAATAGTCATTCCCAGGTAGGTCATGTATCTTTATTTCCTTGAAGTTATGGGTGGATATACATTTGTTCAATTCATGCAAATATTTTACATTTGACTGGTCACGGTGGCTCATACCTGTAATTCCAGTGCTTTGGGAGGCAGAGGTGGGAGTAATACTGAGAAGGGATCATTGTATTTTGCAATATGAGGACATGAGATTTGGGAGGAGCCGGAGCAGAATGATACAATTTGGATATTGTCCTCACCCAAATCTCATGTTGAAATGTAATCCTCAAAGTTGCAGATGGGGCCTGATGGAAGGTGATTGGGTCATGGGGTGGATTTCTCATGAACAGTTTAATAGCATCCCCTTGGTACTGTCTTCATGGTAGTGAGTTCTCACAAGATCTGGTCATTTAAGAGTGTGTGGTACCTCCTACCCCACACTCTCTTGCTCCTGCTTTCGCCATGTGACGTGCTTGCTCCCCCTTCACCTTCTGACTTGATGATAAGCTTCCTGAGGCCCTTCTAGAAGCAGATGCTGTTATGCTTTCTGTACAGCCTGTGGAATCACGAGCCAGTTAAACCTCTTTTGTCTATAAATTACCCAGTCTTGGCCGGGCACGGTGGCTCATGCCTGTAATCCCAGCACTTTGGGAGGCCGAGGCGGGCAGATCACGAGGTCAGGAGATTGAGACCATCTTGGCCAAAATGGTGAAACCCTGTCTATGCTAAAAATACAAAAATTAACTGGGAGTGGTGGCACATGCCTGTATTCCCACCTACTCGGGAGGCTGAGGCAGGAGAATAGCTTGAACCAGGGAGTCGGAGGTTGCAGTGAGCTGAGATCACGCCACTGCACTCCAGCCTGGAGACAGAGCGAGACTCCGTCTCAAATAATAATAATAAAAAAATTACCCAGTCTCAGGTATTTTCTTTATAACAATGCAAGAACAGCCTAACACACCTGGAGATGTCCTTTATAAGTATTTTATATCTAGCTAATTGGTCGGTTGTAAAAGCTACATAGTATTCACAGTATGAATGCAGGATAATTTATCAAATAATATTTAAGTTGGTGCAAAGCTATTATTTTTGCACCAACCTAAATAGCTGTTTTGACATTTTTTTTGTGCCCATACGCTAATGCACATGTGTAAGTAGCTATGTCAGATACAGTCCTAGATGGCAAGTCACTGTGTAAAACTGTGGGTAAATTCACAACTCTGTCAAAAAACAACAAATTACTTTCCAAATACTCATTACCACTTTATGCCCCTATGATACCCCAGTATCAAGATTTAAAAAGAGTAGTTTGTTGCTTAAATTACTTACACAAGGTATTAAGCAACCCTAGGATAGTATGCCGTCATATATTTATTTTTTGTATATTCTTTGATACATATTAATTCTGTTACATAGTCTGTTGTTTCATAATAATTACAATTCTGAACCAAAATTATACATTGACCATATATACATACATATTCATATATATGCATAACTTTTTGTTGCTTTCAATTATGTTCTATACATTGCATGGTACCAAATAGATTCTTATGCATACTATATGTCTTATATAAATCATTTTGCTATAAAATAAATTGTATTTATTAGAAGTATGGTAGATATAAAATATTTTGTTATAGTTAATACAAGTGTCATTTCATTACTCTTTACCAAGAGATTTTGGCTCTTCTCATACACTATCACATTCAGATCACTATTAGCATCAGATTAAAAATAATAATTTTAAAAGTTTTTGATATTTTTCTTGTAAATGTGCTGAAATTATTTTAATTTGTATGTAAGCAGTAGAGATGTATTTATACATTTTAATAAGAAACAATAGGGTTTTTTTGGTTATGGTATTTATCACACAGCATATTTCTGCTTTCCTTTATTTCCTGTTGTTGATCAAGTTAAAGTTTTTATATAAATGGAATCATTTTCATTTACAACATAGCTACTGAAAATTTGAAGTATTTCATTAGCAAACTATATATATGTTCCCTTACACAATTTTTTTTGGAGATGAGGTTTCACTGTCACTCAGGCTGGAGTTGGGTAGCACAATCATACTTCAGTGCACTCTCTAACTCCTGGATTCAAAGGATCC
This sequence comes from Homo sapiens, assembly GCF_000001405.40. NCBI lineage: Eukaryota > Metazoa > Chordata > Mammalia > Primates > Hominidae > Homo > Homo sapiens. Next base: position 27,361,738 of record NC_000023.11, on the reverse strand, counting down.
TCCTGCCTCAGCCTCTTGAGTAGCTGGGACTACAGGTGTACACCAGTGCACCTGGCTAATTTAATTTTTTTTTTTTTGGTAGAGACAGCATCTCACTATGTTTTCCAGGCTGATCTTATTGTATTGACAGTAGATCCAAAAGCCCAAAGAAGCTCACGTGAAAAATAACAAAAGTAAGAATTAAAAGCACATATTCTTATTTAGATACATAGAATATATCTGTGTTGATCATATACAAATTAAAATAATTTAAGCACGTACATAAGCAAATACAAAAATGATTGATAGCTGCTGATCTGTTGCTTATGTCAACGTGAAAAAAGAATGCATGAATAAAGAGCAAAAGTCTTGTTAAAAAATGAAATGACACCTTATTACCTATAGCATAAGAATTTATATCTGCTGTAATTATATAATATTTAAGAATCCTACTTTGGATAAACATTTTGAGTTCATATCAGAATCATTTCAATAATAGGAAAAATACAGAATGTAGATAAAAGCAACAAGTTCATGCATATAAATAACTTTCATATATAATAATATTGATGTTCAAATAATTATGGCTCTTTATCAAATTATTAAATGGAGACACTGAAAATAAACTAAACTCTATTTAGACGATGAGATAATTAAACTGGGTATCATAAATAGCACTGTAACAATGAATGCTTGTTTAATTGTTCCACTAGGATTAAACGTCGAGTGTATTGGAAATTTTATCTGTGATACAGGGCCCTCTGTTACCATGATTTAAGGAAAAAATGACAACAGAAATAGGGTAATAATGTCTCTTGTTTTATCTTGTAAGTGTATAGAGAAAGCCTTAAGTATTATCTTGTCCTGTAGGAATCCATCTCTTATGATGTGTATAAAAAGTTTAGTAACAATTGCTATACTCAGAGAATGTGTTTACATTTATCTAGATGGAATACAATAATCTTGGTAAACTAATTTAATTCTAATATATTACCTTTAGATTGCTTTCTCATAGTCTGTATGTGTAAACATGCTATATGTGAATAATGACAGCTTTGTTTTATCATTTTCAATTTTTATGCCTTTTCCCCCATTCTTGCATTATTGCCCCAGCTGTGACCTTCCTAAAATACTGAATAGAACTGATGATGGTAGACATTCTTAAGTCTTTTCGAATCTCAGGGGGAGACTTTAAGTATTTCACTACAAGAGTATGATATTTAGTGTATTAAACATTTTAAATTAATACTGTCTGGTAAATTTTTTCATATTTTTCTCTGTGTTTGCTCATGAGGTTAATTTTAATTTTTTAATTTTTTTTATTTTTGTGGGTACATAGTAGGTGTATATGTTTGTGAGGTATATGAGATGTTTTGATACAGGCATGCAATGTGAAATAATCACATCATGGAGAATGGGGTATCCATCTCCTCCAGCATTTATCCTTTGAGTTACAAGCAATCCAATTGCACTGTTTAAGTTATTTTAAAATATACAATTAAGCTGTTATTGACTATAGTCACCCTGTTGTGTGATCAAATAGTAGGTCTTATCCATGCTTTCTAATTGTTTTTATTTGTACCCATTAACCATCCCCACTTCCCCACAACCCTCCCACTACCCTTCCCAGCCTCTGGTAACCATCCTTCTACACTTTATATCCATGAATTCAATTGTTTTTATTTTTCGATACCTCTACTATGTACCCACAAAAATTAAAAATTGAAATTTAAAATTAAAAAAATGAGCTATGAAGCCATGGAAAGACATGGAAGAAAATGCATATTACTAAGTGATGGATGCTTATCTGAAAAGGCTGTATACTGCATGGTTCACGCTATATGATATTCTAGAAAAGGCAAAACTTTGGAGACAGTAGACAGATCAATGTGTGCCAAGAGTTGTGGGGAATGATGGGGCGAATAGGCAGGACAAAAGAATATTTAAGGCGGTGAAACTACTTTGTGTCATTTTATAGTAGTAGATACATGTCATTATGCATTTGCCAACACCCACAAAATGTACAACACAAAGAATGAACTCCAATGTAAACCATAGACTTTGGGTGATAATGATGTATCAATGTAGGTTCATCAGTCATAATAAATGTGCTACTGCAGTGGGAAGTATCGATGATGGGAGAGTTTATGCATATATGGGGACAGGGATATATGAAACCTCTATTTACTTTGCACTCTATTTTGCTGTGAACCTAAAATTTCTCTAAAACTAAAGTTTATTAGTAAAAAGGAACATGCCAGCCATGATGTTTCATGTCTGTAATCCCAGCACTTTGGGAGGCCGAGGTGGGAGGATCGCTTGAGCCCAGAAGTTCGAGATTAGCCTGGGCAACATAGTAAGATGCCTCCTCTACAAAAAATTGAAAGACTAGCTAGGCATGGTGGCCTGTGCAGGAGGATCGCTTGAGCCCAGGGGATCAAGGCTGTAGTGAGCCATGATTGTGCCACTGAGCTCCAACCTGGATGACAGAGTGAGACCCTGTTTAAGGGAAAAAAAAGAACAGTACAAATTTTTCCATATGTGTTTGGCATGTGTGTATGTGTATATATATACATATATATGTGTATATATATATATTTGTTGTTGTTAAGCCATCATCAAGGGCATGATAATGTACATATCCCTCCAGTCAAGTTTTGTGGTGCATGTTTGTATTTCTTCCTTCCTGGTTTTGGCTAATGCCTCTCCCTGTTTCATGATGTGTATACTCCTGTGCAAGTCTTCGTATAAACATTCTTTTTTCTTGTATAAATATCAAGGTTTGTGAATATCTGGATCACCTGATAGGTGTTTCTTTTAAAATAATTTTAGAATATGTCAAAGCATTTTACATTTTGGTTGTACCTTTTTACATTTTATCACCATATATGAGAGTCTCAGTTGCTCAACATCCTTGCCAGCACTTGTTATGGTGATTATTTTTAATCACAGCCCTTCAAATAGGTGTGCAGTAGGTGTGCAGTGGTGTCTCATTATCTATTTATATTGTACGGGTTACTAAGTCATAATTCTTTCTTTCTCAAACATCCCCAGTAAATGGAAACAATGGATTACCATTGAGGGTGGATTGTTATCACTCATTATAACCTGCGGGGGTGTTGGGGGGGTGGAAGTCTAGGTTCTCCACTGGGATTTTGCTGATGTGGGTGAGGATAGGTTTTGGCTGGAGTAGAGTGGCTATTGTGTAAAAATTTCTGTCTTTTTATTGTTTCTTTTTTAATCCTTTGTCTAAAGAAAGCAGGCTTTTTGAAGATGTTTTGTTTTTGCACCCTTTGGTGTTTTCAGGTTGCCGAATTTATCATCTCCATGTCTGGGATGTCTGAGGCAAACACAAAACTAACAAAAATAGCTGGGAAATCACCACTAGGTTGTTCCATGGGTCCTGAGGTCCCTTCCCAGCCTACCTTCTTCTCTTCACCTTTCAGAGTCTTGTATTTGTTTTACATATAACATTCAGGGTTTTCAGTTATACTTACTGGGGAAAAAAAGGTAAAGTCTGTCTACTGCATCTTTTTGGAAGTATATATGCAAGAATTTTAGCCAAATGATTTTCACAAGCAGTGAATCTTTTTAAGCCGTAATTTTCTTAGTTTATTTTGACATAATTATGTCACTCATCCCATAAATGTTTCTTCCATTCCCAACATGTGCCAGGTGTGGACCCTGTGCTGCAGTTTATTACTAAGGCAGAGCCTAGTGGAAAAAACAGACAAATGTGTATGGAGATTATTATAGAAAATAAGTTTTGTATTAATTATGTTATGCACTTTTAGTGTAAATAGGATATTTCCTATATGTTTTAGTGTTATATTTAGTGGTTGTTGAAGGGATTGTTATTTGAATTATTTACTTGCCATGCTGTTTATAGAATATATATATAGGATCACTTCCATTAAATGTAACCTCAGAACACTATAATTCTTTTATTCCCCCTTTTTTATCTTCTTATTTTATAGTTTACATATCAAATACCATTTGTAATCTTGCTTTAAAGAGTGAGTTGTCTTCCAAAGAAATGATAGAAAATTTAGTCATATACGTGCATTTATCCACATTATTTCCCTATCCAGTAGTCTTTGTTTCTTTCTGTAGTACTGTTTCTATCAAGTGTCATTTCCTTTTTGCCTGAAAAACTTCTTTTAGTAATACTTGTGTTCCAGGTTGGTCAGAGACCAGTTGTCCGAGGCTTGTTTATATGAATGTATCTTCTTTCACTCTCAGTTTAGAAGGATAATTATGCTGGATATAGATTTCTGGGTTGATTGTTTCATCTTTTCATTCAGCATTGGAAAGGTGCTGCTTCATTTTTTTTTTTTTTTTTTTGGTTCTCCATGTATTCTGTTGAGAAGGTAGCCAACATTTAGTCATTGTTTCTGGGTGGGTAATAATGTATCTTTATTTCTTTGAAATTTTTGATGGATAGATATTTTTCAATTCATTAAAATGTTTTATATTTTATGTCAATGTCAAACACAGTTTATTAATAAAGTATTTTAAAAAATTTAATGACTTTTGTCAATGAAAATTATTCGATATATGTTTCCATATGTGTTTAAAAAAGGATGATTTTTGTTGATAATAACAAAAATCAGAAGCAAAAAAACCTGCATTAAGTGTAGCCCAAATCTATCTTTTATTTCCTATTAAAATATATGAAAGTCTCTGGACAGATAATATACAAATTAAAAGAATTTAAGCATACTCACAAACAAAAGTAAAAACGTTTGTTAATATAATTGCTGATTTGAAGCTAATGTTTACTTGGATGAGAGTATGAAAATAGTTAAAATCTCATGGTAAAAATAATGAAGTGACACTGACACTGTATTAACTATCACAAAATATTTTATTTTATATCTACTGTTCTTACACAATATTTTGCTTTGGCGAAGTATTTTTATGTGGAAAATGATTTATATGTCATACCTATCAGAATCAAATTGCTACCAGGCAATATATATAACATAAGTGAAAGTATTAATAGTTTATACACACATATACATATAAATATGTATATGTATGTATCTATATGTGTGTGTTAATGTAAACTAATGTTAGTATTCAGATTATCTTGAAGTATTGGACTGTTGAGAAAATGGAATTATTAACATGCATTTAAGGATATACAAATATAAATATATTTTTCTTGAATTAGCATTAAAGAATGAAATGGCTGCATTACATGCTTCATACATTTTAGTTTATTTTGGAATATGTCAAAATATTTTGCAATGTGATTATACTGTTTTCCATAATACCAGCAGTAAATGAAAGTCACAGTAGCTCTACATCCTTGCATGCACTTGGTACGGTTAGTATAGTCTTTTTAACCATAGCTCTTCTAATAGGTGTGCAGTTGTATTTCATTGTTGCTCTGAATTGTATGGTTCTGAGTTCTTTTTTTGAAGACATCCCCAGTAAATGGAGAATATAGATCACAGGCTTGAAGCTCTTTCTGTACCATTCAAATTTTGCAAATGTGATTTTTTTATTGTTTGCGAAAATTTGTGTATGATTACTGTAAAATAATTGGAAGCTCTAGGTGATTTTATCTTCCTCCAGGGAACATTTTATTTTGCTTCCAACAGGCCATTAAGATGGGGGCAATTCATCTCATTGCAATCAAGATTTGAGTCTTTTTGAAGCTAGGTGTTTGGTTTTGTGAGTAGTTTTCTATTTCTTATTCATAAGGACACTTAGGACATAGTTCCTCAAGTCTACATCTAATGAAGTCTTGTATTTCCATATCCTCTCCTCCTTGGGGGTGGCGGGGCGGGGACTGGAATTCTCTCTGTGTCTCATGGGCTGGTGAGTCTGCTGGAAATATCACTCATTCGCCTTGTTTCTCAGCTACACCTTTCTGCTTAGAAACTTGATTTCAAACTTCTCATTTGAGGAGGGATATCTTGTGGGGAAAAAAGTACCAAATTTGCTTCTCACCCCTTTTTCTATTCTTTTACTTGAGATCTTGTCTCTTCAATGTTGCTTATTTGGGTTTATGATAACTTAAAACGATGTCTTCTATATTTTCCATCTTTCAGAGTTTTTCTTGATAGAGTGTTTGGGCTGAAACATCTGGTCTGACATTGCTAAAAGGAAGTATCTCCAAAAACACTTTCGTAAATATATTTTACTTTGTATGTGTTTTGCCTGCTCTCTTGAATTAACCCAATCTGTAAATTAAGGAGATAAACAATTTTAATTAAACTTCCTATTTGGGATAATTGTACATTCACTTTCAAATAAAAGAAATAATATAGACATATACCATGTGCCCTTTACCTATTTCCAGTGAATATTAACATCTTGCAAAAGTATAGTACAATACCTACATCAGGATATTCACATTGATACAGTTAAGATATAGCACATTTCTATCACCACAAAGATGCCCTTTGTTGCACTTAAAGGCACACCTTCATCCCTGAATTCTGGCAGCCACAAATATGTTCTTCATTTCTATACATTTTCATTTCTAGGCTATTATATAAATATAATCATACTGTATGTGACCATTGGGATTGTCTTTTCTCAGAATACATAATTCTGTAGTGATTTATCCAGGTTGTTAGATTAGTACTTCCTTTTCCTTTCTGAGTAGTATTTCATGGTACACATGTACCACAGTTTGTTTAACCATTCACTCTTTGAAGATTATTTTCTTATTGCTAGTTTCCAGAGGAGACTAATAAATCTGCCATCAACATTTGTGTACAGGTTTCCATGTGAACATAATCTTTATTTTTCTGGGGTAAATATCCAAGAATGCAATGGGTGTATTCAAGTTACTCCCTTGCCCTCTCTTTACTAACGAGTGGAGAATGCTCCTTGTTACTGCTGAGCAAGGTTGGGAGTTCTGACGCCCCATTAGGCCTCCACTAATTTCTCCCTGATAGGAGAAAGAGGAATGTCAAGTTACAGTTCCTTTTGTGTACTGCAGTGACACTCATGCAGAGTGGTTTCCTTACCATGAGTTGCAATGGAAGTCATTAATCTCTACTAGATCTCCTCTGAGACCACTCTAACAAGGAGGGGAAGGTTACCGTATTACTTCACTTCCCAGACAGTGGAAGTCCATTCTCCCCAAATGTTGTCTATTGACACTGTCGTGCAGGAGTCCTTGTTATTGCCCAGCAGGCATGAAAGTCCTAGCTCACTACTTGGTTTTCTCTGACCTACATCATAGGGTAGGCAGTTAGGGGTGACTAGTTACAGCATAATAAGTGTGGGAGCATAGGCTCCTCTCATGGTCTTTGCTGGCATGAGTGAAAATAGGATCTCCATATTGTCTGTCATACCAGCTGAAGTAGGATGCTTATTTTCTTAAAGTTTTCTGTTTTGTTTTAAGCTGTCCTTTTCCTTTTCTTTTGACTAGAGAGATTAGGCTTATTGGCGAAAAGGGAGGAATTTTTTGTAGGCACCCTTTTTTGTTTAAAGGTTGCCAGGTATGTCAGCTTTATTCTGGGACATATGAGGCAAAACCAAACAAACCAAAACACAGCGACAAAATTAAAAACAAAAGCAGAGAAGTCACCATCCTATTGTTTCTTGGGTCCTGAGGCCTCTAGCCAGTCTTCCTTCCTGTCTCCACCATTCAGAGTTTTGTAATGTTTGTTTTATGTATAACATCCAAGGTTTCTAGTTATACTTAGAGGGCAAAATAGAGAAAAAAATTATGTCTACTCCATCTTCTTGAGGCGTCTTGAAGCAGATGGCCAACAATTATTTTAGTCAAGTGACCTTCAAAAATAGTGGATTTTTTTGCCATTAGTTGCTTAATTTATTTCAAGCTAATTATTTCATTCATCCCATAAACGTTTTTAAATTCCCAACATATGTGCCAGATGTGGACCATGTACCGAATTACATTATTGAAGGAGAGGCTAATGGGAAAATAGACAAGTAAATATGAAATGTATAATAGAAGATAACTCTAGTGGTAATTTGCTACCCAGTAATATAACTAGAATATTACCCATATCTTTTTGTGCTATTTTTTGAACTCTTTACTTTTCACGTTCTACTTGCAATTATATAGCATCACTGCCTGTAATATCCATACTCTTCTGCTTTGGCAAAATATGTTTTACATACAAATGATTTATATGAAGATAATACATATCAGAATCAATTAGGTACCATGCAGTATATATTAATAGAACATAAGTGTTTACATACTATTATCTGTCAATAATTGGTTGAATACCAAAGTTATTAAACATTAAGCCCATAATTTTTGCAATCATGTAATTATAAGTAAATAATTAACACATGGAATTAGTAACATCCATCACAAGGTATACAAAAAATAAATATAAATGCCTTACACTTAATGTATGCTTTACACATAATGTAAATGTGTAATGCAGTTATAATAAGTAGAATATTATTTGTACTTTTTTGTGTTATGTTTGCTGCTTGTTCAAGGAATCTGTATTTGAATTTTTTACTTTCATGTGGTCTACTTAGATTTAAATATATTTATTTTCTGTAAATATAATCTTACAACAGGACATTTCTATTTATTCCCTTTTCCTTTGTGTTCTTGTTGTATTGTTTGCATCTAAAATATCATTTATCACATTGCCTTAAACAATCAATAGTCTTTCAAAGAAGTAATAGAAAATGTTAGTCTTTTCTAATTAGGCACATACTATCCCGTGCTCTTTTTTCCTTCCTATGGTTCTTAGTTTCTATCACATGTCATTTCCCTTCAGCCTGAAGAACTTCCTTTGGTATTGCTTGTGTTACAGATTGGCCAGTGACACATTCTCTTAGGTTTGGTTATATGCCTTAGTCATTCTCAGTTTGAAAAGATAATTTCACTGGATATAGAATATAGATTGAAAGTGCTATCATCTTTTCCTTTGTAATTGGAGGGATTCTGCTCCATTTTCTTTACTTTTCCATGGATTTTGTGGAGAAGACAGCCATCATTTAAATCATTGTTCCCAGTGAGATAATGTACACTTATTTCATTGAATATTTTAGTGACTATACATTTGTTAAATTCACTAATATACTTTATATTTCAAACATGCCCAATATATAGTTTATTAGTAAATATTTCAAAAACTTAACCAGCTATTTTAACAATGAAAATTATTCTGTTTATAAGAAATTAGTTTATTTAATCAACAAGAGAAAAAAAAGCAAAAAAAGATGCATGCAAAGCACCAAAAACTCCATTATTGTTAAAATATCTAAAAATATCTTTACAGGTATATACAAATTAAGATAATTTAAGCACATTCAGAGACAAAATATGAAAAAAAGTTTGTTATTACAATTTCTGATCATACCTGGATGTGATAGTATATGAGAGGAGCCATAATCTCCTGATTAAAAAATAATAAAAATGAAAAAAATTAGCTGGGCATGTTGGTGCACATCTGTAGCCCAGCTACTTGGGAGGCTGAGGCAGGAGAATTGCTTGAACCCAGGAGTTCAAGGCGGCAGTCAGCTATAATGGCATCATTGCACCCTGGCCTAGGTGGCAAAGTGAGACCCTGTTTCTAGAAAAAAATTTTTTAAAAAAGAATATTGATGTGACACTTGTATTAACTATCACAAATATTTTATATCTAATGTGCTTATAAAATATACAGTATTTTTCTGCCTTGACAAATATATTTTATATGGAAAAATAAATACAGTAAAATATCACAGTCAAAGGAATATGTAATATATAGAATATAAATTAACATGAATTTATGTATATATGTGTGTATAATATGTATGCAGTCTATAACCTCTCTCTCTATATATATATATAGATGATTCCTTATATATATATGAAATAGACTTCTGTTTCTTAAAGTCTATCATAATGATTTGAACACGAAATTATTTGAATAGTTTTATATATATATAATATATATAGAATTAGTAGTTTGTATCCAAGATATAAGGACAATAAATATAAATGGGTCACTAGTATATTAAATATGCTTAATACTTAATGTAAAAATTTTAATTAATGAGATAACCCTTTTTATCTTGTTAGCAGATTACTGAAAGAGTACAAAATGGTAGAGTTTGCGGAAGTTTTCTTTTTTAGTTAGATCGTAAACTTACCTATGGTTTAGATAGTAATTTTCCTTTACTGTATCTCACAAAAGTTACACATGTGCATTAAAATATGGTCTAAAAAGGCCAAAAAATGGCACTGAATTGCTTACTTTCAAGTGGTTAATTTTATTATATAATTTCACCTCATTTTTTAAAAAGCTGAAAGGACAAAAAAGGCAAAACCCAATTTTTTGTTTTTGTTGTTTTTAAAAGCTTTTAATTTCTGGCAGTTCTTTTTAACACACAGCAATTGTCACATTTTCTTTTTAGATATTATTTTTTATAATGATATTTATGAAGAGATAATTGGATTCAGTAGCAATCATGGAAATGTAAAAACAACCATAGCAGATATTTTTCCAAATATACAAATATTATAGTGAATAATAATGTCCAACCTTCACAAAAATTGTGAAGGGAAAACTACCCTCAGACGTAGGAGATGGGTTTCTAATTTTGCAACATTTCTGTGAACAATTTGGCAGCAACCATCAAATTAAAAATGTGTTCATAAACCTACAAGAGGACTATATAAAATTCTGAAAATTATTCAGGATATATATTTCAAGGAAAATTTAAGTATAATAACAGAATGATTCTGTGATGTAATAAGTATCTACCTATCTGTTTAAATTTACATATAAAAATACTCTAGGAGGATACACATTATTTGGCTAATAACGATTACCTGCTGATAAGTGAGAGTGGGGAAGGAAGGGCCAGAAATTATCTGAAATCATAAAGAAACAAAAATACATACCTTTTTGGGGTAGGCAGAAAAACAGCTTCTCAAAGATGTCCACGTGAAAATCCTCTGACTCTGCGAATATATTATTTTACACAGCAAACGGAATTTGGCAACTGTGATTTAACTGAAGATCATGAGATGGAAAGATTATTATCTGTGTGCATCTAATATAATCACAAAGGACCTTAAAATGTGAAAGAGGAAGATAGGAGAGTCAGGGTCAGCGATGATGTGAATACAGAAGCAGAGGTCACAATGGTGTGAGAAAGACACATCTGGCTTTGAAGATAGAGGGACGATGTGCCAAGGAATGCAGGAAGCCTCTAAAAGCTGAAAAAAGCAAGAAGTAGATTCTTTCCTGCTGCCTCCAGAAGAAACAAACCCCTTCAGACGCCTTGATTTTTGCCCCATAATACCCTTTTTAACCTTTTGACTCATAGAAATATAAGATAATAAATTTGCTTTGTTGTAAGCCACTAAGTTTGTGGTAAGCAGTAAGGCAAAACCCATTTTTTAACTAAATTATGCTGTGTTTGTAGTATTAATACTATGCACTATACAATTATTTAAAATATTAAATATTTATATATCTACAAGACAAATTGCTAATAGAAAGCAAATTCTAATTTACTTACAGGCATGTGTACAAATATTTAAATATATGATTCATTTAAATACATATGTATTTTTATATACACACTATAGTGCTAATCATAATTGCTTTCAGAAAGCATATGCATTGGCATTTTCTGAAAATTTTACAATGAGCACATCATATGCAATTGTATGCGATAAAAGATATAAGTAACAAATAGTCATGTGATGACTTATTACTAATAATAGTTTGAAAGATCTACGCTGATTTTATTTCAAAGTAGTACACAATAGCATACGAAATTAGTGGGGTGTTTTTTGTTTTTTGCTTTTCAAGACAAGGTTTCTCTGTCACCCAGGCTGGAGTGCGGTGCTGACATCATAGCCCACTACAGCCTCGAACTCCTGGGCTCAAGCTATTCTCCCACCTCAGCCTTCCGAGTAGATAGTACAGGCACGCACCACCACAACTATTTTGTTGTTGTTGGTGGTGGTTTTTTTGTTTGTTTTTTGTAGAGATAGTGTCTCGTTATGTTGCCCAGGCTGGTCTTGAACTCCTGGCCTCAAGCAGTCTTCCCATGTTGGCCTCCCAAACCTCTCACAGGCATGAGTCACCAGGCCTTGCCAGAAGTTAGTCTCATACACAGATTTAGAAAAGAGTTAAAAAGAAAAACATATGCTGAGAAATAATACAAGAAAAGATATGTGGAGAAAAAAATAAATTGGGAATCACTGAAAATAGGCTGAACCTGTGGTGAGTCAGTGAGCTCATTAAACAATTGGCCATAGGTAAAATTGTCACACATAATGCTTTTTATTGTTCCACTTAGATTCTAAGTATCAAATGTATTGCAAATTGTGTCTTACATACCGGGGAGCTTCTGTTAATAAGATACCAGAGCATCTGTTACCATGTTATCAGAAAAAATGATGACAGTAATCAGGATTATAATAACTTTAAAGTTTTATCTGATAAGTATATAGAAAAAATATGGCCTTATTTTGTAAGGTATTCATGCCATTTCTTATATTGTGTATAAAAGTCTAGTAAGAATTAATATTCTTAGAACATTATGTTTAACTGAATGGAATCCAACAAATCTGCTAAATTATCTAAGAAATTCTAATGTTATTACCTACAGGTTCCTTTTAGCTTATAAACATCATCATGCTCTTTGTGAATAAAGTTGATTTCATTTCTCCCTTACAAATTTTTATATATATTGCATTTCTGTCCTGTTGTAAGATTACATTTACAGGAAATGACCTCTATAAAATGTTGAATAGAACTGGTGATGGTAAGTATCCTTTTCTCATTCCTGATCTCAGGGAGAAGGTTCTCAGTATTTCAACACTAATCATAATATTCTCCAGTTCTTCAGGTTATTTTTTAAATAATAAGTGACTGGTAAAATTTGTCAAATGGTTTCTCTATATTGATATGACAAAATTACGTTCCTTTTTGTTAAAATTGGTTGGTATCTAAGTGTTAAATCTACAATAACTCAGTTTTTTATTAAACGCAAATTGTTCAGGTTGCATGAACAGTGCTGTAAGATACATCATGTCTGATGTATGTTAGTATTTCGTTTGTCAGAAATAAATTTGTTTTTTTTCCAGAGGTTTTGTAAACAATGATAAATGTAAAGAAATCACAGTAATTTTTGTTGTTACTGTTTACCACAAGAGATATAAAGCGAAGCTTATCTTCTCTTATAATGTGCTTTATAGTTTTGTGTAAAATTTACACAGATCTCATAAAACATTTTGGGGTGTGCCTTTGCCCTTTCTATCCTGAGGAAGATCTTGTGTAGAATTGATTTTATGTCTTTCTTCGTTGTATGGAAAAGTTCATGGCTTAGGGAACCAGGAAATGGAAATTATTTTTAGGAAGGATTTTTCACTAGGCAAAATTTCATTGATTGATATTGGACTATTTGCATTTCTTAAGGGTTTTGATCTTATATGTGTTTAACTCTGAATTTCATCATTTTGTGTAATTTCAAATATATTGAAATGAATCTGCTCATATATTATGTGTACATTTCCAGGTTTAGTAAAAATTATCCCGTCTACATTCTGCGTATTGGTAATGTGAGCCTTCTTTGCTTCTTGAGCAGTATCTTCATTTATTTATTTATTTCACCATTTTATAAAAATGAAAACCAACTTTTTTTTTTTTTTTTTTTTTTTGGAGACAGAGTCTCACTCTGTCACCCAGGCTGGAGTGCAGTGGCGCGATCTCGGCTCACTACAACCTGCACTTCCCAGGTTCAAGCAATTCTCCTGCCTCAGCCTCCCGAGTAGCTGGGACTACAGGCACCCACCGCCACGCCTGGCTAATTTTTGTATTTTTAGTAGAGACGGGGTTTCACCATATTAGCCAGGCTGGTCTCAAACTCCTGACCTCATGATCCTCCCGCCTTGGCCTCCCAAAGTGCTGGGATTACAGGTGTGAGCCACCACGCCAGGCTGAAAACCAACTTTTGAATGTGCAGATCTTCTCTTTGTAATTTTGTTCAAAATTTCTTCTCTTATTTTTGTGTTACTGTTTCATTTGTATTATTTTCTATACTAAATTACCACTTGTTTTTCATTTCTTTAAGGCTGATTATCAGATCTTAAATTTTCCACATTTCTTCTCCTGCATTAAGTGCTGTATAATTTCCTTTAGACATATATTTTGGTACATTCTATACACAGTTTGTGACAGTTTCATGAAGACATATTTGACCTAAAATAATCTGGACAACATTTAAATTAACAATATAAGTGTTAAAATGGGCATATACTTGTGAAACAATATCCACAATCAAGAAAATGTGAACATCTCCCACATCCAAGATTCCTTCAGCATTTTTATATTTCTCCCTTCTTAGTCCTGCTCAAGCCCCAACCCCTTTCCCGTGAGTTAAAAATTCCTACACATGTCTTTGTATGGACATGTAATTTTATTTTGCTTGGATATGCTTCAAGGAATGGAATGGCTGTAGCATATGATTGGTGCATCTTTAAATTATTTTAGAAAATGTCAAAGTGTTTTGCTGTATGATTACACCTTGGTACACCCGACCAGCAGTATGTGAGACTTGCAGTTGCTCTGCATCCTTGCCAGCACTCGCAATGGTCAATATTATTTTTTATTGTATAAATTTAAGGTGTACAACATCATGGTCGGTATTTTTAACTGTACCTCTTCTGAGTGTATAATGATATCTCGCTGTCGCTCTAAATTACATGGATGTAACTAAGTCATTGTTCTTTCTTTCCCAGGCATACCAATAAACGGAGAAAATGGATTGCAGGCCTGATGCTAATCCTTTAATTCCCATTTATATCTTGCATGTGTGATTGTTTTGTATTGCAATCTGAATTATCTGTATTAAATACTATGGAGATAATTGGAGGCCAGCAGTTATATATAATACTTTTGCTTTTGAGAGCCTGTTAACGTGGAAACAGTTTACCTCATAGCAATCAGGAATTGAGAACCTGGGTCTCAGATTTTGTCAGGAATGTTCTCTTTCTGACACACATAGACATTTAGGTCATAGCCCCTCAGGGTTGACAAATGAACCACTGTGTTTTTCAGAACCTCTTCTCATTGGTGCACCCTCAGGTCCAAGTGTGTCTCCTGGGATGGTGAAACTGCCGAAAGCTCTCACCAGCTGCTTAACTTCTCAGCTTCAACTTATTGCTTAGTATCTCGGCTTCTCATTCACCTTTGAATTAGCAAAACTGTCGAGCATAAAAGGGGTACCAAATTTGAGTATCCCCACTTGGAATTATCTTCTAATTCAGACCCTGTCTCTTTAAATAATTATTTTCTTGCATTTGTGGTGCTTTCTAACACGTGTTTGAAGCTTCCCTTTCCCAGTTTTTCTCAGCGTGGTTGGGCTGTAAGATCTGTACAACCACTATTTCATAAAATATGTTTATAATTTGTAGTCGTTTTTTCCTATAGCTAATTACCCGTATACACATATATATAGGGGTAATTATGTATAATATATAACATATGTATATAATACATAATTATATATTTATATAATATATAATTATATATCTTTATATGTAAACATAAATATATATATATAAAATCTATATTTCATATAAATATGTTGAAGGGATCTTGGATGTGTGAGCTAGATGTTCACATGTTCTTTTTTCTTTTCTTTTCTTTTCTTTTCTTTTTTTTGGAGACAGAGTCTTTCTTTGTTGCCCAGGCTGGAGTGCAGTGGTGTGATCTTGGCTCACTGCAACCTCCGCCTCCTGGGTTCAAGCGATTCCCCTGCCTCAGCCTCCTGAGTAGCTGGGATTACAGGTGTGTGCCACCACGCTCGGCTATTTTTTTTTGTATTTTTAGTAGAGACAGGGTTTCACCATGTTGGCCAGTCTGGTCTCGAACTCCTGACCTCAGGCAATCCGCCCACCTCAGCTTCCCAAAGTGCTGGGATTACAGGCGTGAGCCACCACGCCCGGCCCACATTTTCTTCATTGTGGATATTGCTTCACAAGTGTACACACATGTATATATATTATATATATAAGTACATATATATGGTGTATATATATATATATATCTTGTGTGTGTGTATGTGTGTGTGTGTGTGTGTGTGTGTATATATATATATATGTAAATTTATTTCAGGGCAAATAATTGTCCCAAGGAGAGCATCATTTTTCATTTCATTCTACTTCATTTAAATATTTCATTATTTACTCCATAAATATTTCTTCAGTTCACAACATGTGCCTGGTATGGACCATATGATGTTAGTGCTTCATCGACGTACAACCTAGTGAAAAAAAAATGAGTAAATAAGAAGTATTCATTAAAGATAAACTTGGGGATAATTTTCTGTGTAGCCACAGTACTAGAAGGAACTTACACCTTCTTGTATCATACTTAACTCTTGCTCCAAGAATTGGCATATGATTCTTTATATTATTTTGGTCTACTTTGAATTATGATAATACCACCCCATGTAAATATAGCCTCACAACACTACATTTTGACTAATCCGCTTTCATTTATGCTATGTCTTATATTTCACATATACAATACTATTTACCATTTTTGCTTCATAGAGTCGGATACATTGCAAAAGTAAAGAATAGTTGTCTTTTTCCCTCTCCAGTGCACCTCTTACCTTCCTGTAGTTCTTAATTTCCATGAGGTGTCGTTTTCTTTCATCCTGAAGATCTTGCGGTATTACTTATATTTCAGGTCATCCAGCAACAAATTGTCTCAGGTTTGATTGTGTGGATGTGTCTTATTTCAGTCTCAGTTTGGAAGGATAATTTTGCTAGATGGTTTTGAGTTGACGGTCTTATTATTTTTTTCCTTCGACATTGGAAAAATTCGGCCACATTTTCTCCAGTCTCCATGGATTCTGTTGAGAAGCAAGCCATTATTAGTGCGTTCCTGCATTTCTATAGATATACCTGAGACTGGGTAATTTATAAGGAAAAGAGGTTTAATTGGCCCACGGTTCCATGGGCTGTACAGGAAGCATGGTGGCATCTGCTTCTGGGGAGGCCTCAGGGAGCTTTGACTCATGGTAGAAGGCAAAGCAAGAACAGGAGTCTTACATGGCAGGAGTAGGATCGAGAGAGAGGGGAGGTGTTACACACTGTTAAACAACCAGATCTCTTCAGAACTTAGTCACTATACAGTACCAGAGGGGATGGTACTAAACCTTTCATGAGAACTCTGCCCCCATGTTCCAATCACTGCCCACCAGGCTCCGCCTCCAAACTGGGGATTGCAGTTGAACATGAGATTTGGGTGGGAACACAGATCCAAACCATACCAGAAGCCATCATTCCCAGGTAGGAAATTTAATTCATCATTCCCAGGTAGGAAATGTATCTGAATTCCTCTCGAAATTTTAATTTCTTAAAAATGTTTGTCTCTCAGTAGTTTAAATGTGAGTACCCACGTGCACATCTATTTCTATTTAACATGCTTCGATTTCAGTGGTCTTGGATCTGCAGTTTGGCTTTATTTAACAAAACAAAGGAATATTTCGTCACTTTTCCTCAAAGCATATATATTTTTTTCTGCTTCATTCCTGTACCTCTTCAACTTGCACTCTACATAAACATATGTTAAATGACCAGATATTTTTTCTACTCTAGCTAGGCCAGAACCCCACAGTCTTTGAACACTGTAAGACCTCTGGTATTTTTGTTCTTCATTTAACCTCACATTCATGCTCTGCTGGGCCTTGATGAGTCTTGTGCACATGTGCAGCCTAGCCCTTTAACAATGACCTATTTCGAACTCCCACATTGACTTCTGTCCTCGTTCTGTGCATAGCTCCTCCATCTTCAGTGCCCTACCAGGTAAATCACAGCTGCATTAACAGCCCCCAAATTTCCATCTCTGTCTCATCAGTGCAGTTACACCGTCATGATCTGCTTGGTTTCAAACTCCCCGCCACAGGAGAATTTTCGCCACCCATAGGGCCTGGGCAAACATGAGGCTCTCACCCTGACAATACCTTATGTCTATGAGAAACTCTCATACACTGTTTGTGGGAGGAGAAATTGGAGTTAGGACTCTGGCAAAGTTTTGGCAGGTTCTATTAAGCTGAATATGAACATTCAGTATGACAGTAATTCTCTCTGTCATATAATCATCCTAAAAGTTAACATGTGCCAAAAGGCATATAGAAACGCTAATTCCTAATAGCCCAAACTGGACACAACCTAGAAATTAAATCACCATCTCTAAAAATGGGTAAAATATGGTATATCACACAATGTAATACCATGCAGCAATGAATATGAACAAACTTCTGTATACAACTTAGATAAATCTCATGGCCATATCGTTGAGCAAAGAAATTCACACATACAAAAATAATAATTGTCTGGAACTATTCATGTGAGTTTCCAAAACAGGTGTGTTGTTACAAAGAGTTGTGTTTTGAAATCAGACTCACATGAGTGGCAGCTCTTACACCACATTTTATTTGTGATTTAGGTAATAGAGGCAAACATCCAGTCAAAATATAAAACATTATATTTTTTGAGGTCATGAAAGCATCAGAAACAGCCCCTCCTTGTGCTGTTTTTCTTCCACATCAGGATGTGATTTTGTTTTACAATAAAAGATGAGTTGTGTTGAGTAATGTGTGTGAAAATATTATTTTAAAAAGGGAGTCATTTAATTTTTTGGCTCATCCCATTTTACAGTGTTAATTACACAGTCTCCATTAATTGCACTATATTTTATTCTTCAGCCAGTGAATCTGTATAGATCCATAACTTCCAGGGTTGTTTATAATAAACAACCTAGACAGAAAAAGTACATCCTGGTAAAATAGTAATATCTATTAGCAGGTTTACAAAGAGTTATTATGTCAGCACCTTTACTAGAAAGTCATTAACTTTTTCAGGCATTTCTGTTAGAGAATAGTTACAAGCCTGCTCTTATTCCTTTCCTTCACAAGAGGAAAAGTCAGTTTAAGTTGTTAGGAGTCAGAGCTGTGGTTAACTATAAAGAAAAGGAGAGACATAATGATGGGAGATAGCAAAAAGGATTTATTTCTTTTATTCTTCTGGAAATCTGACTTTCTCCATCCAAGTGTTATTTATACAGCTATGTTCTTTTTGGCTAACTATACGGATCTGGTCAGTTGGTAGTTTTTCACTTTTCTCCATTTGTATTATGCTTTGAAGGATAAATAAAGACGACATATAGTTACAATAAATATAACCTAAAAAAATCAAGGGAATGATCAACACCAAAATTTTGGGGTGTGTGTGTGTGTGTGTGTGTGTGTGTGTGTGTGTGTATGTGTGTGTGTTTGCGTATGTGTTTCTAGGAGGAAGCAGAGTGATATAATTGGGAAAGTGCATACATGTGTCCCCTAAGGCCTTGGTCATATTATCTTTCTGGTGGAAATATATTTTTTTTCATTAATATTATTTATATTTCAAATATATAACAAACATATATTTCTAATAAAATAATTCAAAAACTTCAAAGTGTAGTTTTCAATTAAAATTATTTCCTCTATGTAAGGCAAAGGATACTTCATTTGAATGACAATAGAAGGAAAGCCAAGTAAAAAGAATGAGTTAGAATAAAATAATAGTCAAAAATATTCCAACTAAAATTATTATTTTATTATTCCAATTTAAAAAATTTTAAGCTGGGCACGGTGGCATGCACCTATCATCCCACCTACTTGGGTGGCTGAGGCAGAAGGAGCACTTGAGTCTTGGAGTTCGAGGCAGCAGTGACCTCAGATGCACTCATGTATAACCAATACTCTCCAGCCTGGGTGACATAGGCAGAGTTCATCTCTAAAAAAATTAAATTGAATTAAAATTAAAATACTACAGTAACCAAAAAGATCTGAATTGTATACAAATTAAAATTATTTAAGCATATTCCTAAAGAAAATTTCAAAATGGTTTGTTCTGGATACTTGGCGACTTGAACCTAATGTTGACCTAGATGAGAAATTACATGAAAACTGGCAAGATCTATTAATATAAAATAGTAAGATGAAAGCTGTGTTACCTATAGCAAACTATTTTATTTTTATGGTAGTTATACAATATACAATAACATCTGCTTTTAGAAAACATTTTCTGTCTACAATAATTTATATCGCTTTATTTCTTAAAGAACATTAAAAAATATGTATATTTATATATCTGGTCATAGATTTTTGTAAAGAGTATGAAATGATACTAGATCTTCGAAACTTTATTTAAAATTCCTTAGAAGAGTTTTAAGTTACATATCCTTTACAGAGTACTTCCACGTTTAGGATTGGACAGATACTCAGAGAAGGGCATAAAGGTGTAGGTACAAAAAAGGGAATAGAGAAATTGTCAAATAACTTATTATATGTCCATACTATGATTACTGTTCAGCTGTTGCAATCAGTCAGTTATGCCTATGTTTATTTACAGAAAACATCTCCAAGGCATATTGCTAAAGAAAGAAAAGCACATTGTGATTTCATTTCCATCAGTCATGTGCACAAATATATGCATATATTATGCATATTAACATATATTTATGTCCATATACTAACTTTACTGCTAATCGTGTTTACATCTGAGAATGAAATATGTATCTGCACTTTTTCAAAACTTTACAATGAGCACACTCTGCATTTTCAACTACTTAAAGAAAAATTGTAGAAATATCTACATGACGGCCTATGACTAATGATTGTTTTGGACATCTGCTCTTTGCTTTTTGTTCTTATTTTTTAAAATAGTACAGAACAGGATGAAAAGTTATACTTGAAGAAAGGATAATTAGAAAACAGACAGAAAAGACACAATATAAGCACAATATAAGCAAGTTATGTGGAGATAATTTATTTGTGAACCACTTTAAAAAACTGACCTCTATTTAGTCAGTGAAATTATTATACAAGGGGTCATAAGTAAAATTGCTACAAGGAATGACCTTTTATTGTTCAACTAGAGTTAAATGTAACATGTATTATGAAGTTTGTCTTATATTAAGTGCACCTGTTCCCATATTAGAAAAATTGACAATAATAATCAGTGTTGTAGTGACTCGTTTCATGTGTATATGAATACCCTTACAACTATAATTTTATCCTGTAGATTTGTTATGCCCTTTCTCATGATGTGTATAAAAACCTTATGAAGGATTGCCATTTTCAGAAAAATGTGTATGTTAATTAACTAGATTTAGTCATTTCACAATACATATTTCAAAACATGATGTTATACATGGTAAATACATCCAATTTTGTCTTTCAATTAAAAACATGAAGTAGGCCAGGCACGGTGGCTCATGCCTGTAATCTCAGCACTTTGGGAGACTGAGGCAGGCAGATCGCCTGAGGTTAGGAGTTCGAGACCAGCCTGGCCAACATGGTGAAACCCTGTATCTACTAAAAATACAAAAATTAGCCAGGTGTGCTGGTGCATGCCTGTAGTCTCAGCTATTCAGGAGGCTGAGGCAGGAGCATCTCTTGAACCCAGGAGACGGAGGTTGCAGTGAGCCAAGATCATGCCACTGCACTCCAGCCTGGATGACAGAGGGCGACTCCATCTCAAAAAAACAAAAACAAAACAAAACAAAACAAAAAACAACACCATGAAGTAATAGAAAAGAAAAAAGAAAAATGCGTTTATGTTTAACTATGTAACAGGACCATCATCAATGGCAGAGAACCACTTAAGTACCATCAAAATTAGTGAATGGTGTATATTCATTGATCGACATATTGCTAAAGAAAAAAAAGCACTTTGTAATTGCATATATTGAAAATGAAGCATGTAGTGTATAAGAAAAAACAGCTTCCAGAAGCAATTTCTTAAAGTACAATGTTCAATTTGTGTGTGATTACATCTCAGAGAAATCATAACAATATTTGTGATATGGACGAGATTAGAGCCCAGTTATAGCATATAATTCAAGTTTGAGGAAATGATTCTGATAATTTTGAATGTGTTTGCCTCCCATTTAAAAAATTAACGCTTGTTGATAAATGGTATATTGAATATGGAAATAGGATAGTGCAATGCTCAGGACTAGGTTATAGAAGGATGATTCTTCGGTTCGATTCTGCTATTCTCCTTATAAACTTGGGAAAATCTCTTTGCTTCTATGACCTTAGTGTCTTTTTTCCAAACATGCAAAGTAAAACCAAAGTACATCCATTCCTTTTACCACATATAGGGCAAAATCCTGCACATAATTTCCAGTATTCCATAAAAAGGCTAACGTTTAAATGTGCAGTGAATTATACATCCCACCTTCTGTATAAGCATGCCATTTTGAAGTCTTCATAAAAATGATAATTCTCCCTGTGGTTTAAAAGATTAATTCTTGAGGCCAGGTGCAGTGGCTCACGCCTGTAATCCCAGCACTTTGGAAGGCAGAGGCGAGTGCATCACGAGGTCAAGAGATTGAGGTCATCCTAGCCAACATGGTGAAACCCCGTCTCTACTAAAAATACAAAAATTAGCTGGGTGTGGTGGCGCACACCTGTAGTCCCAGCTACTCGGGAGGCTGAGGCAGGAGAATCACTTGAACCCGGGAGGCAGAGGTTGCGGTGAGGCAAGATCATGCCACTGCACTCCAGCCTGATGACAGAGCGAGACTCCGTCTCAGAAAAAAAAAAAAAAATTCATTCTTGAATAATAGAGTGTTCGAAAATTCAGTAGATGATCTCAGATGTTAAAATACAAAGTGTAGCTGTCACAAGTCATCAACCTGTCTTTAATTTCCTGATAGAATATCAACACCAAGGTACTGTATAATTCATGCACCAACTCTAGTGGCAGGAAATCACAATGTTCCAAATTGCCCTAATCTTTCACCAATAGGTCTTTTTTCATTCTATCTGACTGAAATCGAACTTTCTGTTAATTCTCTCCATTTGTCCAACTTTTAAATTTAATGATTTATAGAATATGCTGAATTACTGCTGGGATTTGACTTGGGTTCGTGTTGAATGAGATTACATATGCTTCAAAGTGGGAAGAATTGATCACCTTAAAAAAACTACATCTTCCATTTAATAAACATTGTTCACCATTCAATTGTTAATATCTCGATTTAATTCATCTGAATAATTTTCTATAGTTTGGTATGTAAATATATTGCTCAGCTTTCATTAAAATTTTACCTAAGATTTTGATAATCTTGGTGTTGTTGTAAACGGTATCTTTAATTAATTTAATCTTCTAATTGTTGCAGGAATTTGGAAATACAGTTACAGTTTATTTTTATATTAACCATATATCCAGTAATTGCTAAATTAATTAATTCTAACATATAATATATACACTGATGTTAGTCTAGAAATATAAACATTCAGTATGTGAATAATGGCAGTTAATTTCTTCCTTTCCCATCTGTATGTCTTTTTTTTCTTGTATTATTGCATACATAAATGTTGAATAGAACTGGTGATAGTAGGAATCTTTTTCTCATTCCTGATCTCAGGGAAAGATTTGAATATTTCACCACTGATTATGATATTAGCTACAATTTTAGGATTTTTTTCTAATATTAAGTGGGTGATATGTTAGTTTTTGCACTTATAATCACAATATTATTATATATTTCTATGTTTTACTGAACTTTTGTGATTTCAAAGTGTTTATTGCAACAAGAATTCACTCTGGGATAAAACCTAATTTATTTATAGTGTATCAGATTTAATGTAACTTTGGATTCAGTTTGTTAAACTTTTTTTTTCATTTGTTCATGAGATGTGTGTGTGTGTATATATATATATATATATATATATATATATATATATATATATATATAACCTTTTCATGTGATATCTTTGTCAGTTTGGTGTAAAGTTTATACAGAACTCTTTGCTTGTTTGTTTGTTTGTTTGTTTTTGAGATGGAGTCTCCCTCTGTCGTCCTGGCTGGAGTGCAGTGGCGCAATCTCGGCTCACTGCAACCTCCGCCTCCCATGTTCAAGCAATTCTCCTGCCTCAGTCTCCTGAGTAGCTGGTACTACAGGTGTGCACCACCATGCCCGGCTAATTTTTGTATTTTTAGTAGAGGCAGGGTTTCACCATATTGATCACGCTGGTCTCAAACTCCTGACCTCAGGTTATCCCCTCACCTCGACCTCCCAAAGTGCTGGGATTACAGGTGTGAGCCACCGCACCTGGCCCAGAACTCTTAAATCATTTAGAGGAGTTGCCTACTGCTTTTATTTTCTGCTACTTTTGTATAAGATCGATGTAATTTATTTCTCAGTTGTAGGGGAAAATTCACCAATTCGATCACCAGAGCATAGGACTCACTTATAGGGAATTTTTCATTATAGATGTAATTTACTTAATGAGACTATGCAAATTTTCTCAGTTTTATTTTTCATTAAGTTGGGTTTATTCAGAGTTCTACATTTTACATAATTTCAAATTTATTAACATATAATCACTTATATTTTGTCTCTGTTTCCAGATTCTGTAATTATGACATATGTAAATATTGTGTTTCTTCCATTCCTGATGAATAGATCCTTTAATGATAATGAAATGTTCTTCTTTATTTCTAGTTACTTTCCTTTCCTGGACATCTACTTTGTTTGGCATTAATGTACACATTCCAGTTTTCTTATGCTTAATTTTACATTGCACATTATTTTTTATACTATTACTTTCAACCTTACTGTGTCTTTCAATTTAAATTGCGTCTCATATAAACAGCAAATAATTGAGACTTGCTTCTTTTCTAGTCTCAAAATGTATGCATTTTAGTTGGAATGTTTAAGCTTTTAAAAACTAATGTTTTTATTAATATAGTTTGATTTCAACTTGACAGTGTTGCCATTTATTTTCTATTTTTTCATCTCTTTTTATTTCTCTATTTCTCCTTTCATGGCTACATTTGTGTTTATTTAATATTTTTAATTCAATTTAATTTTCTCCTTTAAATTTTTGTTTATTGCAAATTATAAACATGCCCACACATTTTTTACACCCTCTGCCTTCGAGAGATAGGGTTTATGGCCACACATGGATTCTGGACCAAGCTTAGTGACCCTTTCATACCCAACCTAACGCAGCAGTTGTGTGATGCTATAGGTAAATTGCTAGGCTAAAATTCCAGCCGACTGCCATTAGCAACTGCTACCAGCAGAGGGCGCCACCTTATCCCTCGAGCCTCGTGCTCTTCTCGAATTTTCTTCCTTCTCAATTTTCATCTCGTGAGTGTAGCAACATGAATTATAGCTTGTCAAGCAATACATTTTCTCAGGTTTGTTTGCCTGGCTAATCAGTTTGTAAAGATAATTTTGCTGGATATAGAATCTGGGTTAATAGTTTTAATTTTTCTTTCAGCGTTGAGAAGATTCTGCTCCATTTTTTCTGATTATGGATTCTGTTCAGAAGGAAGCCGAATTTTAAGTCATCGTTCTAGGATAGGTAATATATCTTTATTTCTCAGAAGTTTTCAGTTGGTATGCATTTGTTCACTTCACTGATTTTTTTTTTTGTATTTCATATAGATATCTAATATGTAGGTTAATAATAAAATAGTTTTAAAAGTCCAATGCCTATATGGTCAATCTAAATATTTCATTTCTGTAAATAAAAATATAATTTACTTGATTGACAGCAACAGCAAAAGCAAAAGAAAATCATGGGATAAATGTCTAATTTTTATTAAAATGTATACATATCTACGAATTATATCCAAAATAATATAATTTAAACACATTCCCAAGAAAAATATAAAAATCGTTTTTATAATTGCTCATTTGTTGTTAATGTTGGCATGCATGAGAAAATGTGTGAGAAGAAATTAAAACTATAAAGAATAATGAAGTGACATTTGTATGATCTATAGCAAAATTATTGCTTTGGCAAATTATATTGCATATCTGGAATGATTTATGTAAATATAATACATATAGGAATCGATTCAGTAACTGGCAATATATGGAACATATGTGAAAGTAAACAGTATATGCACAGGTTTGATATATAAAATTTTTAGTATATTAAATAAATTATAAACTAACAAGTGAAATATTAAAATTCATCATTTTACATAAAGTAAGCATACATTTTCATTAATGCTATTAACTATGCATAATAATGCAAATTAAATAAAAAATTATCCTTTATCTTGATACCAGATTATTGAGGGAGTATAATATAGTACTGGGTTTTTGGAAATTAATTTAGCATTAACAAAGTAGTTTTTCACCTGCTTTCTAAAATAATAATTTGCCTTTTAAGACTGTATCCAGTACAGCCACTAACAAGCATAAATGTGTGGTTACAAAATTGGCAAAAGAGCTACTTTTCAATAAATTACATTGTTTTCATTCTGTGGATATTATGTAGCTATGCAACCAATCTAATAGATCTTATATACTTCCAGATGATATTTCCACAATATATTGCTGGTAAAAAGTAAAGCAAATTATAATTTCACATGTGCGCATATGTATATACATATATTATGTAAATGCCAATTTATGTGAATATCTGTTCTTAGACACACTTTACTGATATCATGGTTACTTCCGAGAGGATATATTCATGTGCATTTTTTGAAAATTTTACACCAAGCATAAGATAAATTTTTACATAGCGCAAGGAAATTAAAGAAGTAGTCACATAGTGGCATGTGATTGTTTTCTAGTGATTGTTTTCTAAACAACTGTAGTTTTTTTTTTCCTGTTTTTTACTTTTAAGGTAATATACAAACAGTTAAGAAATCATGCTAAAAGAACTAGAAAACAGTGGAAAAGAATAAGAAAAAATATATAAGCAAATTTTGTAGAGAAAATACTTGTGACTTACTTTAAAGAAGCTAATCTCTATTTAGTCAGTGAGATGATTAGACTAAGGACCATAGGAAAAATTACACAAAGAATGCCCTTTTTATTGTTTCATTTGGATTAAATGTCAAGTTTCTTATAAAGTTTGGTTTATATTTTGGAGTCTCTGTATTAGAAAAAAGTAGCAATATTCAGGGTTATAATGACTGCTAAATATATAGAAAAAGCCTTAAAAATATAACCTTGTCCAGTGGGGTTTTTGTGTCATTTCTTATGATGTGTATGAACGGTTTATTAAGAATTGCTATTCTTAGAAAAAAAAGTGTTTGTTTAAATGTATGTTACCTATCAATCTTGAAATATTTACTTATTAGTTGTAATACATTGCTTACAGATTGCTTTTAGATACTCTGGAAGCATAATTATGCAGTCTGTATATAGACATGGGGTACAGTTTATGGGTTTCAATATTTATGTCTTTTTCTTTTTTTTGTATTGTTGCCCTGAACCAAATTTTCCCTAAAATGCTGAATAGAATTGGTGACAGTAGACATCCTTGTCTCTTTTTTCACCTGAGGGAGAAGTTCTTCAGTTTTTCACCACTGATTATATATGCTGCAGTTTTTATTTTTTATTTTTTTTAAATCTCTTAAGTGGCTAATTATGTGAAATGACTTTCTGTAATTGCTGTTGTAATGGCATAGTTTCATTTCTTTGTCAAGATTGTTTGATTTGAAAACAAAGCAACAAGAATCCATTCTTGTGTTAAAGCCAATTTGTTCAAGGTTAATTATAATTGAAGTATCTTTAGATTCTGTTTGTCAAATATAAAATGTTACTTTTATTTAGTTTTTTGTGTTTGTCATTAGGCATACAAACCTTTGGTTTTCCTTTTATATAATGTCCTTATTAGTTTGGTATCAAGTTTATAGAGGTCTTATAAAGCATTTTGGGCAGAGTTTTTACTGTTTCTCTCCTGTGTAAAGTGGTTGTCCAATATTGGTGTTATTTAATTCTCAATTACATGAGAAACATCAGGAATTTAGGCACCAACAAATAATTTATTTGTTGGAAGGTTTTTCTTATAAAGATACAGCTTTTGATTAGATATAAAATCGTTGAGATTTCCTGGTTTAACTATTTTGCTATATTTTTGTTTCTCTCATTTCATGAATTTCAAGTTTATTGGCATAAATTTGCTTATAACATAATGTATGTATCTCCAGTATCCTAGGGATGGTTCCGTCTACATTCCTGCTATTGATAATATATGTCTTTTTTAAATTCCTTTGATCAGTCTTGCCAGGGACGTATTACATTTTTTCCTTTCAAACAACAGAATTCTTCAATTGCTATTTAATTTTTTTTAGATTTCATTAACTGATGTTAATTTTAATTTTTCATGTTTAAAATTTTGATTTCATTTTCTGATTTATATTTTAATTTCATGCAGTGTATTCTCAAATCTTCAATATTCAGGATTTTATCCTTGGCATTAATGCTCTAAATTTTCCTTTAGTCACATATTTTGGCATGTAGTACACAGTTTTTAACAGCTTAGATGAAGTATAATTGATTTCAAATAGGCTACACAATATATATATATTTGTGTGTATGTGTGCGTGCGTGTGTGTGCGTGTGTGTGTGTGTGTGAGAGAGAGAGAGAGAGGAACCATCTCTACACTTAAGATTATGAACATATTTATCCTTCTCTCCAGCTTTCCTTGTGCACTTTTGGATTTCCCCCTCTTAATTTTGCCCGAGCTCTCCCCACTTTCCCATACCGTGGACGTTCTTTATTGCTAGTAACTTCAACTTTCATTTTAGATAGGAGGTACATGTGCAGGTTTGTTACATGGGAATATTGTGTGATGCTGAGGCTTAGAGTACAGGTCTCATCACATAGGTAGCAACCATAGTACTGGATAGATATTTTTTAAACTCACCCCTGTTTCTCCCTCCACCTGCTAGTAGTCTTCAGTGTCTATTGTTCCCATATTGATGTCCATGTGTGCTCAACTACACACACACAAACACACACACAAATATATATTAAATTGTGCAGTTCATCTGACATCAATTATACCTCAATTAAGCTGTTACAAACTATGTGCTATGTACCAAAACATGTATCTAAAGGAAAATTTAGAGCATTAATGTCAAAGATAAAATCCTGAAAATTTAAGATTTGAGAATACACTTTTTTGAAATTATAAAATAAAAAGTTAAAATCAAAATCAAATGTTTAGCTCCCACTGACACATGAGAACATACAGTATTTGATTTTCTGTGTTTATTCACTTGGAATTATGGCCTCCAGTTCCATTCATGTTGCTGCAAATGATATTATTTCATTATATTTTATGTCTGCATAGTATTTTATGGTGGACCTGTACCACATTTTCTTTATCCAGTCTACCATTGATGGGCACCTGGGTTGATTCCATGTCTTTGCTATTGTGAATAGTGCAGCGATGAAAATGTGAGTGCATGTCTTTTTTGGTAGAATGATTTATTTTCCTTTGAGTATATAGCCCGTAATAGGAATACTGGGTTGAATAGTAGCTCTGTTTTCAGTTCTTTGAGAAATCTCCAGACTGCTTTCCACAATGGCTGGACTAATTTACATTCCCACCAACAGTGTAAAAGTGTTTTCTTTTCTCCACAACCTGGCCAGCATCTGTTGTTTTTTTGACTTTTTAATAATAGACATTCTGACTTGTGTGATACATTATCTCATTGTGGTTTTTATTTGCATTTCTCTGATAATTAGTGATGTTGAGCAATTTTTCATGTGTTTGTTGGCTGTCATATGTCTTCTTTTGAGAAGTATCTCTTCATGTCTTTTGCCCATTTTTTAATGTGGTTATTTGTGTTTTGCTTGTTGATTTGTTTAAATCCCCTCTAGATTCTGGATATTAGACATTTGTTGCATGCATAGTTTATGAATATCTTCTCTCATTCTGTAGGTTACCTGCTTTGTTGATAGTTTCTTTTGCTGTGCAGAAGCTCTTTGGTTTAATTAGGTTTCACTTGTCTATTTTCGCTTTTACCGCAATTGCTTTTGGGGACTTAGCCAAAAATTCTTTGCCAAGGCTGATGTCGAGAAGAGTATTTCCTTGGTTGTCTTCCAGGATTTTTATAGTTTGAGGTCTTACATTTAAATCTTTAATCCATTTTGAGTTAATTTTTGTATGTAATGAAAGGTAGGGGTCCAGCTTCCATCTTCTGCATATGGCCAGCCACTTATTCCAGCACCATTTATTGAATGCCCATTGCTTCATTGCTTGTTTTTGTTGGACTTGTCAAAGATCAGATGGTTGTAGGTGTATGGCTTACATTTCTGAGTTTTCTGTTCTATTCCATTGGTCTGGTGTCTGTTTTTGTACCAGTACCAAGCTGTTTTGGTTTCCTTAGCTTTATAGTATAGATCCAAAAAAGAGCCCCAATAGTCAAAGCAATTCTAACCAAAAGGAAAAAAGCCAGAATCATCACACTACCCAACTTAAAACTATACTATGGACATTCTTGTATGAGTCTTTTTGTGAATGTATAATTTCATTTTTCTTGGATAAAGTTCAAGGAGTGGAATGGCTGTATCATGAGAGAAGTGTACTTTAAAGTTGTTTTAGAATAAATCAATATGTTTTGCAACGTAATTATACCGTTTTACATCCTACCAATATTATGAGAGTCACAGTTGCTTTACATACTTGCCAGCACTTGTTTTAGTCAGTATATTTAATTGTAGCTCTTCTAATAGGTGTGCAGTGATACCTCACTGTTGCTCTAAATTGTGTGATATACACAAGTCATCAATCTTTCCTTGCTATTTATTCCCAGTAAGTGGAGAAAATGGATTACAAGCCTGTTGTTAATCTTTTCTTTCCCATTTATGCTTTTGCCTATATGGTTATTTTTATTGTATGCTGGATTTTGTGTATGAAATACCATAGACATAATTGGAAGTTTTGAAAAATTTTTCCTTTTTAGCGAGCATTTGCTTTTGCTTCTAAGAGACAGTTAGCATGTGGGCAGCTGTCAGCAATCAGGGATATTCCTTTTGAAGCTGCATCTCAGGTTTTGTGAGATGTTTTCTATTTCTGGCTCATATCAGCATTTAGGGCATAGCCTCTCAGGGATGCCACATGAACCCCTGGGTTGTCTTCCTGTTTCTTTCTCCTTGGTGCACTGTGTCCCCTGAGTTTTTGAGACTACTAAAATACCTGCTCAGCTGCATAGTGTCTAAACTACAGCTTTGTGGTTAGTATCTTGGCTTCTCAATCACCTCCTTTGAGTTAGCATATATTTTGAGGGGAAAAGAGGTACCAAATTTGGGTTTCATCCCTTGGGCTTCTCTTTTGAGAACTCGTCTCATCAGGTGGTTGCTTCCTTGGGTTAGTAGTGCTTTTGAAGAATGTCTTTAATATCTTCCAGCTTTCCTAGTTTTTCTCAGAGGAATGGTTTATCTGACAGCTTCTCAGTCATTCCTGAAAACTGCTCCATATATTCTCCTTTTTGAAATAAGTTTAATTGTTTTTCCTTTTATGCCTAATTAACCCAATCTTTATATCAATAAGATTAAAATTTTTCTTAAAAGACAAATAATTTTCTGAAGAGTTTATCTTTTCTGTCTCTCTCTCTCTTTTTGTTTTTTTGAGACAGAATCTTGCTCTGTTGCCCAGGCTGGAGTGCAGTGACACGATCTCGGCTCACTGCAACCTCCCTCTCCTGGGTTCAAGCAATTCTCCTGTCTTTATTTGCTTAATGTTAGATTTTTTTCATTGATTGCCTAAGTGTTTCCCGAGTTCCCAACATGTGCCAGATATGGATTTCATGGTAGAGGTACATTACTGAGGCACAGCCCAGTGGAAAACAAACAAGTCAATATGTAATATATTATAGAATATAAATTTTGTGGTAATTTTAAAAGCTACGTTAATAACCAAAATGTTACCTATTACTTTTTTCGTTATTTATTTACTTATTTATTTTTGGAGACGGAGTCTCACTCTGTCTCCAGGCTGGGGTGCAGTGGCGCGATCTCGGCTCACTGCAACCTCCACCTCCTGGGTTCAAGTGATTCTCCTGACTCAGCCTTCCGAGTAGCGGGGACTACAAGCGTGCACCACCACGCCCAGCTAATTTTTGTGTTTTTTGTAGAGACGGGGTTTCACCACGTTGGCCAGAATGGTCTCAATTTCTTGACCTCCTGATCCACCTGCCTTGGCCTCCCAAAGTGCTGGGATTATAGGCGTGAGCCACCGCGCCCCACCAGAAAGTATCAATTTATGTAAACGCAACCTAACAGCAGAAAAACTCCTTTTATCCCTGCCTTTTCCTTGTGGCCTTTTTGTCACATTTTATTTAAACATTTTATTGAAAACTTGATATTGATAATTACTTTTTTCTTTCATTTTATTGAATGAGGCAATTCAGTGAAATGCACAGATTTTAAGCTAACATTATATTTTTTAATTTTGTAAACACAGTTTCCTTTTGTTTTTAAAACATATTTATGATAGCTGTTTTGAAGCCTGTCTGCTACTCCAACATTTTGGTCTTTGCAAAGGCAGTTTCTGTTGTTTGTCTTGTGTCCTATATATTTGTCACACTTCCCTCTTTTTTTCCATGTCTCATAGTTTTGGAATTTTTATTTTGTTGTTAAGTACTGGACATATTAGGTAATATAATATATTAAATCTTGAGATTTACTCCTCATCTGGTTTATTGTTGTTGTTTGTTTTGTTGCTCATTTGTTGACAAGACTGGGCTAATTTTGTGAAGTCCATCTTCACTGTTGTGTGCAGCTTCTGATATCCTTGCTTAGATTTTTCCTCATGTTTTCATCTTTTAGCCCGTCTTGTCAGCATTCTTGGTGAAAGGTTGTACTTAAGCCTCTGAACAAAAAGATGTTCCTCCCTTACCTTTGGATCTGTTTGTGGCTTAGAAACTGTTTTTATGATTCTGGGTTTAAAATTGTTATCTTGTTTCTCAGCATTGGAAAGATGCTGTACCATTTTTCCAGTTCTCCATGGATTCTGTTGAGAAGGCAGCCATCATTTAAACCATTGTTCATGGATTGATATTCTACATTTATTTTTTGAAGTTTTTGATGGATATATGTCCATTTCATTAATATTATTTATATTTCATATAAATGTCAAATATATGGTTTACTAACAAAATATTTCAAAAACTTCAATAGTTTTTATATCAAGTTATTTCATTTAGGCAAACAAAAAGAATTTATTTGGCTGACACTAGCAATAAAGCAAAGCAAAATAAAAAATATATAGCTGGTATGAGAAACAACAAAAGCCAAAAAGCCAAAAATTTATTTTATATTTAAAACATAAAGATATCTGCACATATTTTCCAAGAATTAAAAAATAAGTACATTCCCAAGTAAGATGGTTTGTTGTTATTATTGCTAATCTGATATTACTTGTGACTTAAATGAGAAATTTAATGAGAAACACGAATCTCTTGATAAAGAATGATGAAGTGATAATTGTATTGCTTATTGCAAAATATTTTTAGTCTAGAGCTATTATGTAACATGTAACATCATGTTTTGAGAAAATATACTCTATATGAGAAGTGATTTATATAAATATAGTAAATATCAATTTATCAGTAACAAGCAATATATAGAACATAAAATAATAAGTGGAGATGCTTGATACTTCCATAGCCTTAATATATGATAATTTTGCATTTAGTATAATTGTAATGGTATTTTAACAAATGAACTTTGCATTGCACCTAAGTATATACACAAAGTGTAAATTAGCAATTACTCTATTAAATATGCTTAATACTTAGTGCAAGTTAAATACTAGTAAGTCACTATATTGTATCTTAATATGAGGTTATTGGAGGGGTATAAACTTGAACTGGCAGGATGTAAACCTTTGATTTCCTGATAAATTCGGTGTAAAGTTTGTAAGGGTCTCTTAGAACATTTGGAGGAATTCTTTTCTGTTCCATGGAAGAGTTTGTGCAAGATTGGTGGTGTTTCTTTCTCATTATATGGAAATGATCAGGAATTCAGGCACTAGGATGTGGAATTAATTGGTAGGAAGGATTTTCATTATAGATACAATTTATTTAATAATCATGGGACTACTGAGAATTCCTAGGCTTTAGATTTTTTATCATTTTATAAAATTTAAAATTTATAGCATAATTTTGTTTATAATATTATGTATTTGTCTACAGGAACTGTAGTGATGTTTCTGTCTACATTTCTGATACTGTAACGTGTATTTTATTTTTCTTGATAAGTTTTGCAAGAGATTTGTCAATTTTTTATTCTATTTAAAATGAAAACTTTGAGATTTGTCAATATTTCCTTTAAAATTATTCAAATTTTATTAACTTATCTCGATTTTATTGGTTCATGTCTTCAATTATTTTTAGTAATTAATAACTTTTTTCAATTTCTTGAGGTGGACTATGAGATCTTAAATTTTCGGCATTTCTGTTTGTACAATTAATGCTATAAATTTTCCTTTAGACAGATATTTTGGTCCATCTCATGCATGCTTTATTGAGGTATAATTGACTTAAACTGTGCAACTTTAAAATAAACAGTATACATTTTGGGATATGTATGTATTTGTGAAACAGTTACCATCATTAAGATAATGTAAATATCCATTCCACCCACCTTTTCAAGTTTTCTTGTGCATATATGTATCTCCTGTCTACTGATCCTGCCTCAACATTCCTCATTTTCCCATGCTATGCACATTCTTGTACAAGTTTTTTTATGGACATATACTTTCATTTTTTGGATAAACTTCAAGGAATGGATGACTAGGTCACATGATTAGTGTACTTCTGAGCTATTTTACAATATGACAAACTAGTTTGCAACATTGTACCATTTTACACATTACCAGCTGAATGAATGCTGCAATTGTTCTACATTCTTTATAGCACTTGTTAAGTTCAGAATGTTTAACTGTAGCCCTCCTAGTAGGTATGCAATAGTAATCTCATTGTCACATTACAATGCATGAGTATAACCAAATCATAGTTCTTTCTGTCCCAGGCATCCACAGTAAATGGAGAAAACAAATCAAAGGCCAGATGCTAATCTTTTTCATTCATTCTTTTGCATGTTTATTTTTTTTATTGTATGCTGGATTTTCTGTATGAAATACTATATAGTTTGATATTTGGTATCAAATCTAATAACTCCTCGCCTAGCCCAATGTCCTGAATGTTTTTATTCTATTTCTTTCCTTAAGGTTTTTAAGTAGTTTTTATAAAAAATAATTATATCTATGATATATTTTGAGTTGCTTTTTGTATGAGATGTGAAGTTTAGAGGTTTAATTTGTGTCCTATGGCTATCCAATTGCTATAGCACAATTTTTGAAAATATACAATTATTTCTCAATTGAATTGCTTTTGCAGTTTTTTTTTTTTGTTTTTTTGTTTTTTTTTTTGACAGAGCCTTGCTCTGTCGCCCAGGCTGGAGTGCAGTGGCACGATCTGGGCTCACTGCAACCTCTGCCTCCTGGGTTCAAGCGATTCTCCTGCCTCAGCCTCCCGAGTAGCTGGTACTATAGGCGCATGCCACCAAGCCCAGCTAATTTTTTGTATTTTTAGTAGAGATAGGATTTCACCGTGTTAGTCAGGATGGTCTCGATCTCCTGACCTCCTGATCTGCCCACCTCAGCCTCCCAAAGTGCAGGGATTACAGGCGTGAGCCATTGCGTCCAGCCTGCTTTGGCAGCTTTATCTAAATTCAGTTGACCATACTGTATGGGGCTATTTCTGGATTCTTTTTCTTTCATTCATCTATGCGTCCATCTCACTATGAATACCACACTGTCTCTATTACTATAGCTATATAATACTTCTTGAAAGTGAGTGGTGTGAGTTCTCCAACATATTTTACTATTTCAAAATTTTGTTAGTTATATCAATTTTAGAACAATCTTCTCAATAACTACAATAAATATTATTGGAATTTACTTAGGAATTGTGTTAAACCTGTATTTTTCTTTTGTGAGAATTTAAATTTACTCTGTTGAACAGTCAAATTCACATGCACAGTATGTCTCTCTGTTTAGATATTCTCTGATTTCTCTCATCAATGTTGTGTAATTTTTAGCATACAATGCCTATACATGTTTTATGTTTATTTCTAAGTATTTCATTTATGAAGCAATTATAAATTCTATTTTTTATTTCAGTGTCCACATGTCTATTAGTATATAGAAACATAATTTATTTCATGTTTATTTTGTATCACATAACCTTGCCAATGTCACTTTTTTTTAAAAGACAGGGTCTTGCACTGTTGCCCAGGATGGAGAGCAGTGGCGCAATCATAGCTCATTGTAATCTCCAATTTCTGGGCTCAAGTGATCTTCCCCTCTGAGCCTCCCAAGTAGCTGGGGCTACAGGCTTCTGCCACCACACTTGGCTAATCTTTTAATTTATTTTTTGTAGAGACACGGTCTTGCTATGTTGCCCAGGCTAGTCTTGAACTCCTGGCCTCAAGTGGTCCTTCTGCCTCGGCCTCCCTAAGCTTTGGGAATATAGGCATGACTTGCCACATCCAGCCAATTACTTCTTATTTCTAAGTATTTTTTGGAGATTCTTTGGGATTGTCTTTGTAGACTTTAGGTCATCTGCAAATAGAGGTAGTTTTCTTTCTTCCTTTTAGGTTTATATGCCTTCTATTTATTTCTTTCCTTGGATCACCAGCAAGCACTATTTTGAATAAAAGTGGTGAAAGTAAACTACTTGCCTTATTCCTGAAATTAATAGGAAAGCATTCAGTTTTTCACCTTTATGTATAATGTATGCTATAAGTTTTTGGCAGATGCTTTTTATCAAATTTAGGAAGTTCTTCTCTATTTTTCTCTTTCTGTAAGTTGTTATCATGAATGGGTATTGGATTTGGTTAATTGATTTTGCTTCAATTTCTATGTTCATGTCATTTTCATTCTTTAGCATGCTAATATGGTAGATTACATTGATTGTTTTTTAAAATTTTTATTGTATATTTTTAACTTGTATGACTTGACTTTTTGATATACATATACATAGTGAAAGGATTGCTATAAACAAATTTCCATATCCATCACCTTCCATGGTTGTCTTTTTTGTGTGTGTATGCCTTATATCCCTGGAATTAAACCAACTTGTAAACCTTTTATGTATCACTGAGTTCTATTTGCTGGTATCATGTTAAAATTTTGTGTCTGTAGGGTTATGTTTTTTGTTGTGGTACTTTGTCTAATTTTGATATAATGGTATTACTAGCTTCATAAAATAAATTGAAAAGTTTTTCCTCTTTAATATGCTATTTTTCTGTTTCTGTTTTCTGTCTTAAATGTTCATATGTTGTATTTTCTTTTTCGTCTATTTCAGTGACTTTAAAAAAATTCTTGATGTTATCTATTTGACCCATGGATTATTTCCAAGTGTATCATTTTGTTTGCAAACTTTTAGAGATTTTGCTGTTATGCTTTTGTTACTAATTTCCATTTGATTCCATTGTGGTCAGAGAATACACTCTTATGATTTTAGATTTTTTAAATTTGTTGAGATTTATTTTATTCACCATGATATGGTCTACCTTGGTGTATATTCCGTGGACACAGGAAGGTAATTTGTACTCTACTATTGTTGGATGCAGTATTCTATAATTGACAGTTAAATCCTGTTGGTTGATGGTGTTATTTTCTTTAAAATCTTTGCTGGCTCTGTGTAGTTGTTCTATCAATTGTTAAGAGAGGGAGGTTGAAGTCTCCAGCTACTGTAGATTAATCTATTTCTCCTTTCAATTGCATCAGCTTTGTTTTCATATTTTGTAGCTCCTTTTGTTGGGTGCATGCATATTTAAGATTACTATATCTTCTTTTGGATTGACCATTTGTTATTATATAACGTCCATCTTTATTTCTTAAGTTTTCTTTGCTCTGAATTTTGCTTTATCTGTGTTTATATTGTGATTCCTGATTTCTCTTGATTATTTTTGGTATGATATATTTCCCCATCCTTTTTTTCATTTTATTTTTATACATTTTATATATATTTTATTGATGCATAATGAATGCACATATTTTGGGGTTACATGTGATAATTTAGTACATTGATATAATTTGCAAAGATGAAATCAGTGCGTTTGGGATATCAATCACTTCAAATATATGTCTTTTCTTTGTGCTTCATCCTTTACTTTTAATCTGTCTATGTTGTTATATTTAAAATGCAATTGTTGTGGACAGAAAAATAGTTAAGTCACTTTTTTGTGAATTCATTCAGCCAATGTCAGTATTTTAGTTGGTATATGCAGGGTATTTTCATTTAATATTATCTGTATGTTAGCACTTAAGTGTGCCATTAATTTTTTATTCTCTTTGTTCTCTGATTTTGTTTCTCAGTATTCTCTTTCCTGTCTGCCTGTGGGTATTTAAATTTTTTAATTCAATTTTTATTTATCTGTAGTGTATTTGGATGTACATTTTTGCATTATTCATTTTACTGATTACTCTGAACAACAGGTAGATGATAGATAGATAGATAGATAGTCAGATATCATAATCTGCTGTCATCATTTTACCA
This sequence comes from Homo sapiens, assembly GCF_000001405.40. Lineage (NCBI taxonomy): Eukaryota > Metazoa > Chordata > Mammalia > Primates > Hominidae > Homo > Homo sapiens. Next base: position 27,323,444 of record NC_000023.11, on the reverse strand, counting down.
CTTTAGTAATGTGTTAGAAACCTTATCTCCTGTTGCCATTGCTTTTGGTGTTTTGGACATGAAGTCCTTGCCCATGCCTGTGTCCTGAATGGTAATGCCTAGGTTTTCTTCTAGGGTTTTTATGGTTTTAGGTCTAACGTTTAAATCTTTAATCCATCTTGAATTGATTTTTGTATAAGGTGTAAGGAAGGGATCCAGTTTCAGCTTTCTACATATGGCTAGCCAGTTTTCCCAGCACCATTTATTAAATAGGGAATCCTTTCCCCATTTCTTGTTTTTCTCAGGTTTGTCAAAGATCAGACAGTTGTAGGTATGCGGTGTTATTTCTGAGGGCTCTGTTCTGTTCCATTGATCTATATCTCTGTTTTGGTACCAGTACCATGCTGTTTTGGTTACTGTAGCCTTGTAGTATAGTTTGGAGTCAGGTAGTGTGATGCCTCCAGCTTTGTTCTTTTGGCTTAGGATTGACTTGGCGATGCGGGCTCTTTTTTGGCATATTCTCACTCATAGGTGGGAATTGAACAATGAGATCACATGGACACAGGAAGGGGAATATCACACTCTGGGGACTGTGGTGGGGTGGGGGGAGGGGGGAGGGATAGCATTGGGAGATATACCTAATGCTAGATGACGAGTTAGTGGGTGCAGCGCACCAGCATGGCACATGTATACATATGTAACTAACCTGCACAATGTGCACATGTACCCTAAAACTTAAAGTATAATAAAAAAAAAAGAAACCTTATCTCCTGTTATCTCTATGTACTATACCCCTGAATTCATTTGTCTTAAATATTTACTCTACACACTTGAGATCCACATCAGAAAATGTTACAATTTTTATTTAGAGTGAAAAACCTAATTTAGAAAGCTCAAGAGGAGAAAGTTAGTTTATTGTATTCACCTGTGTTTTGATAACCTTGTCCTTCTTTTTTGATATTCCAAGATTACTTCTTTTATCATTCTTCTCTGTTTAGATAACTTGCTTTTAGCCATTCTTTTAGGGTAGTTGTGCTGGCAATAAATTTTCTTAGTGTTCCTTCATCTGAGAATGTCTTACTTTAAATTTGATTTCTGAGAATATTTTCACTGTATATAGGATTCTGGGTTGACCATTCTTTTCTTTCAGCATTTTAAAATTGTGGAACTTGCTTCTGTCTTCCCTGTAGAAACCAGATGATAAATTTGACCTAATTTGAATGTTTTTGTACTTTCCCTATAGGGAAGGTATAATTTCTCTCTTGCTGTTTTCAATAACTTTGTTTTGTCTTTAGTTTCCAGAAGTTTGACCATGATGTGTCTTGGGATGAATTTCTTCAGGTTTATCCTAATTGTGTTTCACTAAGCTCTTGAATCTGTAGATTTCATTTGACAAGCTGGAAAGTTTTTAGGCATCCTATCCTAAAGTATTCTTAGTCCTATACTCTTTCCACTCCTTATGGGATTTCAGTCACAGGAATGTTACAACTTTTCTTATTGAACTACAGGTCCCTGAGATTTTGTTCCTTTTTTTCTCCCTTTTATTCCCTCTCTGTTGTCCTGATTGGGTAATTTCTTTTTTTTCTGCCTTCAATATCAATAATTAACTCCTCTGCACCACACAAGCAGGGCAAAGGTGAAGGCATTACCTCTATTGCCAGGTGAGTGTAAAAGAGTGTTCCATCCCTGGCCCCCATTGACTCCTGAGTGAGGGATGTTCCTGGTTACTCCTGGTTGGGGTTGGGAGTTCTGGTCGCTGTCTAGGCCTCCACTCATTCCTCCCTGATGGGGAGAGTAGGAGTGTCAGGTTATAGCTCCTCATATGAATTTCATTGACAATGTATAGGGTGACTTTTTTTTTTTTAACCTTTTCACCATGTGCTGTTGTGAAACCATTAATCTCCACTGACCCTTCTCTGACAGCACTCCAGCAGGGAGGGGAGCAGTATTTCATTAATTCTCAGGGAAGGGAAGTCCAGATTTCCCACATGGTCTCTTTTGACACCAGTGGTGTGGTTGAGGGCATGCTCTTTACCACCCAGCAAGTATGAAAGTACCAGCTCCCTACTGGGCTTTGTTGGATCACATGTGGTGGCAGTTTGGGTTAACTAGTTACATAGTGGTGAAGGTGCATTTTTGATGGATGGGTGAGGATGGGAGCTTTGGTTTTCTGTGATGTTTGGCTGAAGTAGAACAGTTATTAAAGATATATTTAATATATTCCAGATTTCTTAGTTTTGCTCAGCAGGATGGTTGGACTGAAGGGGGCTGGTTTACTTCTTCAGTGGAAGTGTTCATTTTTGCAAATACTAGTTACTGGAATACTTGTGAGTCTGTAGATTTTTCTTTTATAGAAAATGTGTTCAATCTATATGTCCTTAAGATAAACAATTTCTGTTAGGGCAAATGATATTACCAAGGAGTGCATCATTTGTATCATTATACTTAATTTATTTCAAGTTAAATATCTGTAACTTCAGTACATTTATCATTGATCTCAGTTATCATTTAAATAAATAATAGAAAATCATATTATATATTTATCCACATATTTTCCCTTTTCAGGGTTTTTCACTCCTTCCTAAAATTCTTAGTTTCTGTAAGATGTTATCTTCCCTTACCCTAAATGGCTTCATTTAGCATTATTTGTTTTATAGTTTTCCCAGTGGCAAATTGTCTCAGGTTTGAATATCTTATTTCACTATCAGTTTGGAAGCAAAATTTTTCTACATATGGAATTCTGGATTGGCAGTTTTCTCTTTTTTCTTTCAGCATTGGAAAGATAGAGCTCCATTTCTCCAGTTCTTCACTGTAAACCATTGATTTTCCTTTCTTATATCTTCTTTGTGATATTATTTTGGTGTAAAGCTTATAGCAGTCTAATAAAATAACTGAGAAATGTTTCTTTTGTCTGGAAGAGATTGTTCAAAGTTGGCATACTTTCTCATGGTAATGAGTGTAGGTCATCAAGCAGTACTGTGTAGAATCATTGGTAGGAAGGATTTAATTACAGATGTAATTTGTTAAATAGATATAGAATTATTGAGATTTCCTAATTTTTTTTTTGTTCTTGATAAGCTGATTTTTTTCTCTACAATTTACTGATCTCATGTAACTTCAAATTTATCAACATAACTTTGTTTAACATATTATGTATATGTCTCAAGGAGCTGTAGTGATAATCCTCTTTACATTCCTGATAATGATAATGCCTGGCTTTTTTTGAGAATTGTTGTCAAGGGTTTATCATTTTTGTGCTCTATTCAAAAAAAAGAAAAACAACATCAAAAATATATTTAATGTAATTAAAAATATTCATTTATTGATTTAATTTTAGTTTTTCATTTTTTGGCTTAAATCAATTTTTTTCCAATTTATTCTGGAGGATTATTCTGTCTTAAATATTTCATATAAATATTAAATTTCTTAGTATTCTGTCTTCAAACTTTCTCTTTTGAGTTTAATGGTCTTAACTTTCTTTGAGACATTTGGTGCGTATGGCACATTTGGAATAGATTTATTGAAGTATAATTGACTTAAACTGTACAACATTAAAGTTAACATAAAAGTTTTAATATGTGTATACTTAAGAAACCAATACTACAATCAAGATAATGTAAATATCCACTCATCGTGCACCAGAGTTTCTTATGAACCTTGTTCTTTTTCCCTTTGATCTTGCCCAGGCTCTCCACCCTTTCCCATGTTATGGACATTCTTCTAGGAGTCTTTGTATGGACATATAATATCATTTTTTCTTGGAAAAATTTAAAGGAACAAAATGACTGGATCACATGATATTTCTGCCTTTCAGTTATTCTAGAATATGTCGATGTGTTCCGCAGTGAATATACTGTTTTGCACTCTACCAGCAGTGTAGGAGAGTTACATTTGCTTTATAGCCTTGCCAGAACTTTTTGTGGTCTGTATTTTTTGCTGTTGTTCATATAATAGGCATTTAGTGGTATCCCACTGTTGTTCTAAATTGCATGGGTGTAAAATCACGTCTTAGTTCTTTCTGTTTGAGGCGTCCTCAGTAAATGGAGAAAATGGATCCCAAGTCTGATGCTAAATCCTTTCCTTCCAATTTGCTTTCTGCATTTGTGGCTACTTTTGATTGTAGCCTGGCTTTTCTGTATGAAGTCATATAGAGGTAATTGGACTTTCTAGGGTGGTATATCGTTGCTTTTGCATTTGAGAGGCAGTTAGGGTCGGGATAGTTCATCTCATTACAATCAGAGATTGACTTCTTTGGAAACTGGATCTCAGGTTTTGTGTGGAGTTTTCTATTTTAGGTTTATATCAATATCAAGATATAATTCCTTGGGGATGCCAAATGAACCTCTGGTTTGTTTTCCCTGGCTTGTTTCCTTTGTTCACTGTTAGGTCTAATCTGCATCCTCTTGGTTGGATGAAACTCCTGAATGTCCTTCACAGCTGCTTAGCTGCTCAGCTACAACATTCTGCTGAGCATCGTGGATCCTCAATCACATCCTTAAAGTCAGCAAAAGCCTTCAAGCGAGAAGCAGTAGCAAATTTGAGTGCTTCTCATTACACAAGCTTGTCTCCTGGGATCCTATCTGCTTTCTTCCTTTGGTTTATGGTGCCTTCAAACAATATCTTTAATATCTTCCAGATTTCCTAGTTTTTCTCAGCAGGGTGTTTGGACTGAAAGAGGCTTGTTTGCCTCTTCAGTGGAAGTGTTCATCTTTACAAATACTAGTTATCGAAATACTTGTGAGTCTGTAAATTTTTCTTTTATAGAAAATTTATTCAATCTATATGTGCCTAAGATAAACAATTTCTGTTAATGCAAATTATCTTCCCAAGGAGTGCATCTTTTTTTATCATTATATTAATTTATTTCAAGTTAAATATCCATAAGTTCAATACATTTTTCTTCAGCATCTAACATGTGCCAGGTATGAGCAATATGGTGGCAGTACTTTTATTGAAGTATATCCTATTTGGAAACTAAAACAGTAAATAATGAGTATATTACAAAATATAAGTTTTTGGAGAATTCATTATACTGCCATAGTAACCTGATTACTACCTATACTGTGTTGAATTGTTGCTTTGGGGATTGGCATATGAATCTTTATCCTATCTTATTCTACTTGGAACTATGTTAGTACCACTGCACATAAATGTTAACTTCACAACACTCTATTTCCTTTTCATCCTCTTTCCTTTGTGGTGTTGTTTTCATATATTTTACATATACAATGTTATCATCAGTTTTGTTTTATAAGTTGGGTTATTTTCCAAAATCAGTAGAAAAATTGACATATTTATCTACGTAATTTTCTTTTCTAGTGTGCTTGGCTCCTTTCTATAGTTTTTAATTTCCATGAAGGGTTATTTCCCTTCAGTCTGAAGACATTGCTGTAGTATTCCTTATGTTACAGGTTATACGGAACAAGTTGTCTCAGGTTTGCTCGTGTGGATGTGTCTTATTTCATGCTGAGTTTGGAAGGATAATTTTTCTAGACGTAGTATTCTGCATTGAAAATTTTATTTATTTTCTTTGAGCCTTGGAAAGATGCTGCCCCATTTTCTCCATGTCTCCGTGAATGCTCTTGAGAAGACAGCCATTGTTTAAATCATCATTCCCAGGTAGGCAGTTAATTTTTATTTCTCTGGCACTTTTAATTTATTTATTATTTGGCTCTTAGCTGTTTAAGTATTATATACTCATGTGCATATCTGTTTTTATTTAACCAGATTTGGTTCCATTAATCTTACATTTGTAATTTGACATATTTCTGAAAACTTGAGAATCTGGGGCCACTTTTATACAAATCATGTATCTTTCTGATCCATTTCTCTTTCTCTTTATATTGGACTCTGACTAACGTATGTTTGATGATTGAACATTATCTCACAGGTTACTGTAGGTTGTTTTATTTTGGCTAGGCCAGAACCCCAAAATCTTTGAACACTGTAAGACCTCTGGTATTTTTGTTCTTCATTAAACCTCACATTCACTCCCTGCTGGGCCTTGATGAGTCTTGTGCACATGTGCAGCCTAGCCCTTTAACAAGGACCTATTTCGAACTCCCACATTGACTTCTGTCCTTGTTCTGTGCATAGCTCCCCCATCTTCAGTGCCCTACCAGGTAAATCACAGCTGCACTAACAGCCCCCAAATTTCCATCCCTGTCTCATCAGCTCAGTAACACAGCCATGCTCTGCCTGGTCTCACACTCCCTGCCACAGAATTTTCCCCACCCATAGGGCCTGGGCAAACATGAGGCTCTCACCCTGACAATACCTTATGTCTGTGAGAAACTCTCACACATTGTTTGTTGGAGGAGAAATTGGAGTCAGGACTCTGGCAAAGTTCTGGCAGGTTCTATTAAGCTGAATATACACGTACAACATGACACAGTAATTCTACTCTGACATATAATCATCCTCAAAATTAACATGTGCCAGGCTAGGCGCAGTGGCTCACGCCTGTAATCCTAGCACTTTGGGAGGCTGAGGAGGGCGGATTCACCATATATGCCAGTACAAGACCAGCCTGGCCAATATGGTGAAACCCCATCTCTACTAAAAATACAAAAATTAGCTGGATGTGGTGGTACGATCCTGTAATCACAGCTACCCAGGAGGCTGAGGCAGGAGAATCGCTGGAACCTGGGAGGCAGAGGTTGCAGTGAGCAGATATCACTTCTCTGCACTCCAGCCTGGACAACAGAGTGAGACCCTGTCTCAAAAAAAAAAAAAAAGAAAGAAAATTAACATGTGCCAAAAGGCATATAGAAACACAAATTGCTAATAGCCCAAACTGGACACAACCTAGAAATTAAACCACCATCTCTAAGAATGAGTAAAACATAGTACATCACACAAATTAATACCATATACCAATGAATATGAACAAAATTCTACAAAGTTGTTGTTTCATGATCTCTGAGTGCTCCCTGCCCATGCAGTAGTTGGAGGAGGGTCTTGGGCCTAGTTGGGAAGGCTAGTACATTTTTTGTCTCTTTATTGTCAGCAGTATTTCCAGTAACATCCCTCTTTCTGGTTCTACTTGGCTGCCCTAGTTACTTTGGCAGGATTATTGTTGAAGCCAAGGGAGAAATTAACCTATCCGAGTCAAATTATGCTAGTATGTTAGGAGTTGGGAAATACTAGGTCTAGGTCCCCTTTTTTGTTGGGTGAGGGTCATAAGATGCCTTGTTGCGTTGTTCTTCTAGTTTGCCTTCCGCATACAAATTTGCCTTCCTCTGTTCAGAGTTCCTTTTTAGTTGTCTCTTGCATTATATCCATGGTTTAGGGTTGTATCTAGTGGAAAGGAACAAGGAGAAACAAGTGTACGCTATTTTGTCCAGGGAAGAACTTCAGTCTAATATTTTTGCGGTTCATCCAAACTTCAGAATACATCAGTACTTGAGGTTTTTAAATGACAAATATAGTGTACTGTTTGGAAAGCCTACAGTTTGTTTTTCCATTCATCGGTTTATGGGCATTTGTGGTTTCTCCACTTTTTGCTATTATGAATAGTAGTGCTATGAATAATCAGGTATAATTTTTGTGGTTGTATGTTTTTTAGTTATCTTGAGTAGACAACTAGGATTGGAAATTGTGCATCATATGGTAACTCTTTGTCTCTTTTTAAGGAATTACCAGACTGTATTTCAAAGTAACTACCATTTTTTACATTCCCAAGAACAATATATGAGGATTCCAATTTCTCCACATCCTCACAAACACTTGCTATCTCTCTTATTTGTTATACTGATTCTTGTGGTTATGAATTATTATGCCATTTTGGGTTTGGTATGCAGATCTCTAAGAACTAATGATGTTCAACATCTTTTTATGTGATTACCATTTGTATATCTTCTTAAGAGAAATGTCTATTAGAATTCCTTGCTAACTTTTAAAACATTGGATTGTCTATTTATTATTGAGACAGCTCTTTATATTTTATCTATGCAAGTCCTTTATCGGATAGATGATTTTACAATATTGTGTCCCATTCGGGCAGTTGTCTTTTCGTTTTCTTTATGATGTCTTCTGAAGCAAAGACATTTTCAATTTTGATGAATTGCAGTGTATCAATCTTCTCTCTTATTGCTTGTGCTTTTGCTGTCATATCTAATAACTAATTGGTTAACCTTAGGTTAAGCAATTATGAAGGTTATGAAGATTTATTTCTATGCTTTCTTCCAAGAGCTTTTTTCCTCCTTATACTTAGGTCTGTGATCCACTTAAGTTAATTTTTCTGTGTGATGTAAGGTAAGGGTTAAACTTATTTCTTTTGCTTGTAGATATCCTGTTGTCTCACAAACATTTGTTGAAAATACTGTTCTTTACCTATTGGTGTATATCTATCATAAAAATGTTAATTCTTTGAATCCATGTACATGGTTATTTTCCCATTCCCATTTATTTAGATATTTAATAATTTATTTCTATAGTGTTTTGTGATTTACAATCTATAAATTGTGCATTTTTGGAATATATTTCTAAATAATTAGTATCTTCTGATGCCTTTGTAAATTAATTTTTTTATTGACACTTATAGAAATATGATTTTGTGTATGTTTTTGTATCCTGCTACCTTGACTAAATTGACTAGTAGTTATAATAGTTTTTTAGTGGATTTCTTAGGATTTTCTATATATACAGTATCATGTCACCTACAAATAGAGATAATTTTACTTCTTCCTTTCCAATTTGTACATCTTACATACCTATTTCTTGCTAAAGTATATTAAACAGAATTGGTTAGAGTGGACATATATTTGTCTTGTTTTTGATAGTAGGTGGAAAGCATTCAGTCTTTCATCAAGTGTAATGTTAGCTGTAGGCTTTTTTTGATGTCTTTTGTCATGTTGAGGAATTTCATTTTTATTCCTAGTTGTTTGTTGTTTCTTATCATGAAAGTGTGCTAGATATTGTCATGACTTTTCTGCACATTTTAAAATAATCATGTGGTTTTTGTGTTCTATTCTCTTAATATGATATATTACTTTGGGGGATTTGGGGATAGTAAATATATCTTGCATTGCTGGTATAATCCTACTTAGTCATAGTGTATAATCTTTTTAAATGTTGCTCAATTCAGTTTGCTAGTATATTCTTGAGGATTGTTGCATCTACATTCATAAGAAATATTAATCTGTACTTGTGATATCTTGGTTTTGACATCAGGATAATACTGGCATTACAATACAATACTGAGTTGGGAAATACTCCCTCCTCTTCAGTTTTCTGGAACATTTTATGAAGAATTGCTGTTAATTCTTGTTTAAATGTTCTGTAGAATTTTCCAGTGAAACCATTTGGATCTGGGCTCTTCTGGGAAGCTTTTAAATTACGAATTTAGTATCTTTACTTGTTATAGGTCTATTCATATTTTCTATTTCTTGAGTCAGTTTATTAGCTTATGCCATTCTAGGAATTTGTCTATTTAGCACACAATTGTTTATAGTAGTCCCTTATAAGCATTTTTTCACGCGTGCAAATTTGGTAGTGATGTCGTCTGTTTAATTCCCTATGTTAATTATTTTAGTCTGTCCTTTTTTTCATGGTTAGTCTAGCAAAGGGCTTATCAATTGTGTTGATCGTTTAGAAGAATCAATCTTTGCTTCCATTGATTTTCTTGATTGTGTTTCCAGTTTGTTTTATTTCTGCTTCAGTCTTTATTATTTCTATCTCTTGCTTATATTAGTTTTAATTTGTTATTTTTCTCATTTTATAGTTAGCCTATCTGAGATTTTTTTGAATATAGTTGTTTATAGCTATAATTTTCCCACTAATTATTTACTGAGCTGCATCTCATAATTTTTGCTGTGTTTTGTGTTTTCATTCATCTTAAAGATTTTCAAATTTCGCATGTGATTTATTCTTTGACACATTGGTCCTTTCATTGAATGTGGTTTCACTTCTACATGTTTGTACATTTCTCTATTTTCTTTCTTTTATTGTTTTCTAATTTAAATCTTTGGTGGTCAGAAAATGTATTTTGCTTTATTATAATCTTTTAAAATCTGTTTGGCCTTGTTTTAAGGCCTAATAAATGATCTATTCTGGAAAATATACCATGTGTACTTGCAAATAATGTGATAATGTTGTTTGTTAGATGGAATGTTTTATCAGTGTCTTCTAGGTCTAGTTGATTTTCATGTTCTTTAGTTCTTGTGTATCTTCTTGATTATGTGCATAGTTTTTCTATCCATTATTGAAAGAGAGGTATTGAAGTCTCCAACTATCATTGTTGAAATTCAGTTTCTCCGGTCATTTCTATTAGTTTTTGCTTGATATTTTTTGGGGCTCTGTCATTAGGGGTATATATGTTGAATTGTTAGATCTTTGTGATTGACCATTTTATAACCTATCTTGTAACATTTTTATCTCAGTGTTTATTTTTATTGATACAAATCTAGCCAGTCTGACTCTGTTATGGTTGCTTTCTGTATAGTGTATCTTTTCCATTATTTTATTTTCAAACTTTTTATCTTTGAGACTAATGCATATCTCCTGTAGACAGCATAGAATGGGTCTTTTTTTAAATATAGCTTGACAATATTTCCCTTTTGCTTGGGTTAATTCATTCACATATATTCGTAATATGGTTGGATTTACATCTGCCACTTTGTTTTTGTTTGTTTCTAAATGGCTCATGACTATTTTGTTCCTCTGTTTCTCCCTTAGTATTTTATTTGTATTAAGTGTATATTATTTTAATTTACAATTTCAATTTCTCAATGATTTTATCATATTTTTGGATTATTTTCTTTCAATATAAATCTGAACTTATGAGAATCAATATCAGATGCATAATAAATTAATCCCTGTAAGATATAGAACCTTTGTTTCTATATATCTCCTTTCCTACACACTTTTATGTGCTATTATTTTTATACATATTATGTCCATGTATGTTATATACCAAACAATACATTGCTATAATTATTTCTTCATATAATTATATATCTATTGAAGAAGACAGTGGAAAGAAAATGCATATATTTTATAGTGTTTATTTTATTTTATTTTATTATAAACTTATGTGCCATTTCTTCTTATGAGTTTGTGTTATCATCTGGTTTCATCTCATTACACCAATATAGCTTCACTCTCAACTTTCTCCTTTGCATTTTTTGGTCAACTGCATTATATTTGTATATTTTATATGCCAGAAAATACAATTATATATATATATATAATATATATAGTCTTATTACATATAATATAATATATATATATTGTTTTATACAATTGCTCTTTAAATGAGTTTTGATCAGAAAGGTATGTCAGTGTGTAATTATACTTTGTTTATTATTGCCTACATCATTACCTTTACTGGAGATCTTTGTTTGTATCATATGGATTTTAATTGATATTTAGTCACTGCTTTCATGCTGAAGAACTTCTTTTACAATTTCTTATATTGCAAGATTCATAGCAACAAATTCTTTCAATTTTTTTCTTTAATCTGAGGATGTCTTAATTTTGCCTTCATTTTGAGATAGCTTTGCTAGGTATAAAGATCTTGCTTGTCACTTTGTTTTCTTGTTTTTCTTTCAGCACTTTGAATATGCTGTCCCACCACATTCTGACAGTGTTTCTCATGGAAAGTCAGCTGTTGATCTTATTGAAGTACACTTGTACATGATGATTATTTTCTCTCTTCCTGCTTTTAGTAGTTTCTCTTTATTTCTGGCATTCAACTTTTTTTTTTTTTTTTATTGAGACAGGGTCTCACTCTGTTGCCCAGGCTGGAGTGAAGTGGCACAATCTTGGCTCACTGCAATCTCTGCCTCCTAGGCTCAAGCAATCTTCTCACTTCAGCCCCCCAAATAGCTGGGATACAGGTACAAGCCACCACACCTGACTAATTTTTGTATTTTTTGTAGAGACGGGGTCTCACGTAGTTGCTCAGGCTGGTCTCAAACTCCTTGAGGTCAAGCGTTCATCCCTTTAGCCCCCCAAAGTGTTGGGATTACAGGCATGCGCCACTGTTCCCAGCCTGGCATTCAACTTTTTGACTATGATGTCTCTTAATGTGAATCTCCCTGAATTTATTCGCCTTGGAGTTAATTGAACTTCTTGTATGTATAGGTTAATGTTTTTCATCAAATATGGGAAGTTTTCAGCTATTACTCTTTTGAATATATTTTCTGTCTTGTTCTCTCTTGCCTCTCTTTCTGGCATTTTGTATGTGGTTGTTCTTTTTTTTTTAAACTTACACATGTAAAGTTAATTTATTTTGACAAAGATGACAATTCAATGGATAAAGTCTAGAATAATAATTAAATGGTACTGGAATAATTGAAAATTCACATGTAAAAAATAAAACAAATTATATTCACACCATAAACACAAACCTTCAATGAATTATAGATCTAAATGCAAAACCTGATAACTATAAATCTTTTAGGAAAACATATTTTGCCCTTAATGTAGACAGAGATTAAAACTACTTTTTTTGTTGCTCAAAATGTTAAACAAAATAAAAGGACTAAAGTAGTTCAAGAAAATATTTGCAAATCACATAGAAAGTACCCTCATAACTCAATAATAAGGAAACAGAAAATACAGTTTAAAATGGGCAAAAGATTTCAACAAACATTTCACCAAAGAAGAGATACAGATAGTAATTAACAACATTGTCATTAAGCAAATGAAACTTAAATGGCAAGACACCACTACAAACCTAAAAGAAGGATTAAAATGTAAAGAAATTAAAAGAAAAAAAGCCAAAACACCAGAAAACTGACAATGTCGAGTGCTTTTGAAGATATAGACAAACAGGAACTCTCCTGCCTTGTTAGTTGAAATGCAAAATGTACAGCCTTTTTTGGAAAATAACCTGGCAGTTAATCATAAAGTTAATCCTACACTTAATATACAACCAGATAATCCCACTTGTAAGTATTTACCCAAGTGGAATGATAACCCACATTCATACAAAAACTGAACATAAATGTTTACAGACACTTTATTCTTTTTTTTAATTTTATTATTTCTTTTTTTTAATTTCTTTTTTTAAAATTTTATTATTATTATACTTTAAGTTTTAGGGTACATGTGCACAACGTGCAGGTTTGTTACATATGTATACATGTGCCATGTTGGTGTGCTACACCCATTCACTCGTCATTTAAAATCAAAACCACAATGAGATACCATCTCACACCAGTTAGAATGGCGATCATTAAAAAGTCAGGAAACAACAGGTGCTGGAGAGGATGTGGAGAAATAGGAACACTTTTACACTGTTGATGGGACTGTAAACTAGTTCAACCATTGTGGAAGTCAGTGTGGCGATTCCTCAGGGATCTAGAACTAGAAATACCATTTGACCCAGCCATCCCATTACTGGGTATATACCCAAAGGATTATAAATCATGCTGCTATACAGACACATGCATACATATGTTTATTGCGGCACTATTCACAATAGCAAAGACTTGGAACCAACCTAAATGTCCACAACAATAGACTGGATTAAGAAAATGTGGTGCATATACACCATGGAATACTATGCAGTCATAAAAAATGATGAGTTCATGTCCTTTGTAGGGACATGGATGAAACTGGAAACAATTAAACTCATGGCGATAGGGAGTAGGAGGGTTACCAGAGGCTGGGAAGGGTAGTGGCGGGTGGAGGTGGGAACTGGGGGGATGTTTAATGAGTATTCCTTTTATTCTTTAAACATGCTTTTTTTTTTTTTTTTTTTTTTTTTACTTTCTTGAACATATTTATAATAGCTGTTTTGAATTCTTTTTCTGCTAGGTCAACATGTGCTTTCCCCCAAAGACAGTTTCTATTGCTTGCCTTTCATCCTGTGTATGTGTCACTTTCCTGTTTCTTTATATGTCTCATTGTTAAAAACTGGGCATATTTGGCAATATAACTTAGGAAATCTGTACACTGATCCCCATACAGACTTCTTGGTGTTTGATTAGTGACTTCAGTGGACTAATTTTCTGAGGTCTGTTTCCACTGCAGTGTGTAGCTTCTGATATCCTTGCTCAGATTTTCTCCATGTTTTTATCTTTTAGCTTGGCTTCCTAGGGGTCCTCCCTTGGTCAGCATAGGGCACTTATTGGTCAAAGGGTGCACTTAAGCCCCTGAAGCAGAAAGATGTTCAGCCTTTAACTTTGGATCTGTTTGTGGCTTCTAGACTGCTTTCATGGTTCTAAGTTCAAAGTTTTATGGTTTATTTTACCATTGGAAAGAACAGACTGAGTGTGATTTTATTTTTAAGCCTGGCTTCATTGGAGTCACCCAGTGTCAACATAACTTATTATTCAGCCAGTGATTGGTCAGAGATTATGTTTAGTACCTTGAGCCATTAACGCTCTGCCCTTTGCCAATGGATCCACTTGTGATTTTTGAACACTTTCTCCTCAACATCCTACTCTAATAACTTCTGAGTAGATGCAGCCTACTGCACGCAAATAACCTTCTGGACCCCCTGGGATAAGTGTGATCCCAAAAGGGGCCCTTCATTGCCATGTCTTTTTCTGGTTCTTTCTGTTAAATTTCTGGCTATTCTTCTATCTCCGTTGTTGCTACTACTTCCATGAGGCCACCAGCCCCTTCTTAATAAGTCACCACCAATATTGCCAGTTTTTGAAGCCCTTAAGCATGAGCTCTCCAAGTTCTGTCCCAAATAAAAGCAGTATTCTCAGGCAGAGCTGCTAAGATACTAATCCTCACAGCCTGCTTTTCCCCAAGGCAAAACTTTACCACTACTACATCTTAGCTCAGGCAGGGAATATAAACCTACATCTCCCAGAGTGATATTTCTGGTCTATGAGTGGGCACTGGTTGGGGAAGGTGGTAGCAGCTAGTCTTCTTGATTTTCCTTCCCCATCACACAGCATCTGCCCAAAAAGCCAGACAGTGGGAAGGAAATTATCAGGGCCCAGGATCAGCAGTCTTGCTCCTGAGGCAGAGCTGATGTCCTAAAGTGGGGTCTGGGTGAAGGAAATATACTGCAGTTATCTTGACTGTGCTTTCCTGCAATGGAGCTTCTTCAACAGGGAGCTTATAGAGGAGCAGGTGAATGAAAGTCCTAGGCAGCCTTTCCTTCTACAGTGAAATTGGAGCCCTACTTTAGATGCTGGGCAGAGAGGGAGTGATTGTATTCTTGGCCACACCTTCTGCAGTAGAGATTTTGTAGTAGGGAGCTGGGAGGAGAGTGCAGAAGAGCACATCGTAGCTCAGACAGCACAGACCCTTGCTGTCCTTTCCAAGATTCAGATTTCATTGAGTATTGTTTCTTCATTTTCTATATGCCCTTAGATTAATTTCCAGATACTTTAAATGTTTTTAAAATATAATATTCACTGGTTAAATAATTGCTTCACAGGGAGTTGTATCCAACTGGATCCTCATATATCCACTCCTGAAGTCTGCCTTTCCAGGTTTATTTAAACAACCTAGACAGACAAGTTATGCTCTGGTAAAACAGTGACTATTCTTGTTTACAAGGAGTTATCATCAATGTCATTAGCACTTTTACAAGGAAGTCATTTACTCCTACCTGGCATTCCAGGTAGAGAAAAAATAGTTACAGGCCTGATGTTATTCTGTTAATTCCTTTCCTTTAGAACAAGTGAAATCAGTTCATAATGTTAGAAGTCAGAGTAGTGGTTAATTATGAGAAAAAGGAAAAGCATAAGGATGGGAGGTAGCAAAAAGGATTTCCCTCCTTTATTCTGGAAATCTGACAGTGTTTCATTCTCCATCTGAGTGATGTTTATACAGCTGTGTTCTGTTTGGATAGCTACATGGATCTGGTTATTTGTTAGGTTTTTTTTTTTTTTTTTTGATGGTGAGGGTGGAGAATTTTATTGAGCAATGAAAACAGCTCTCACCAGAGAGGGGAGCTGAAGAGGGGACAAGAAGGGCAGGTCGTCTTCCCCAAAGTCTCATTGTCTCTTCCCCAAAGTCAGGCCATCTTCTCTCTACCGACTGAGTCTGGGGTCTTTATATGCACAGGATGGGGTGTGCATGCTGATTGGTTTGTGAGTATGCAAAAAAGGTTAAAGTGAAGATACCACTCAATGGTGGGTATGACAGTTTAGAAAACCAATTAGGAAAGGGCAGGTATAGAATCCAGTCCAAGGATTTAACTTGCAGCTTGGCTTTCAGGCTTTAAACTGTCTTCAGCTTTGAGGAGGGGTTTCACCTGGTACCCACTCCTATCTGCCTAGGCATCTGGCTGCCTCCTGTCGCTATCGATTATATATATATATATATCTTCGACAATATGGGTATATATACAAATCCATATATATCCAATCATATATACACACACAAACATAAATATAGATATATAAAAACATATAAAATTTTAAAATTAGAATCATTATTATAATTCCTACATTGTAAGTTTTTTTGTGTCAGTGATCCATTGTTAAAATTTCCACATTATAAAATATACTGCTAAACCTACATTTTTAATAATTATGATTTTATTGTATCAGTATATATAAGTTATTTAATCAATCTCCTGGGTTTTATAATTAGGAAATTAAAATCTATTCTATTTTATATATCTGTGTTAACATATCCTTTGCTGTTAAAGATGGAATATATTTATACATTTGAATAATATAATTAGTTACAATCAGTTACCTGTAATTAAAAATCTAAGTGCTTAGCACATTTCTATGTGATATGTATGTATGTGTGTATATATATAATATATATTATATATATATGTGTGTGTGTGTATATAATATTTAATCCCCTTAAAAGTAATTATCAATACTTCAATTTTATCGATTGGGCACAGAGGTTCAGCGTACTTGAGCAACTTGCCCAAAGTCATATTGCTAGTGAGTGGCTCAAATGGAATTTGAACTAGACAGGTCTTTTTCTAAGCTAGTTCTATTATTCCATCATGTCTAATACATATTGACCTTGAAAGTAAAATACAAAAATATGTAATTTATACAATGAATAACAGATCTTGGAATATTATAGCTAGAATAGGAAAACCACAAAAACAAGAGCAACAGACACTGTTCCAGTCCCTTTACAGTTATATGATCTTTTGTTTCTCATTACAACCAAGGACTTTAGAGATTATTGATGTATAGCTCTTTGTTCTACAGACAGGTAAGTTTTTAAAAAGAACACATATCACCACTTAAATAAAAATCAGATTTGGGATGATAATTTCTTTATTAAAATATCAAATAAATATCAAACATACATCAAAAGTGGACCTTGTTTCTTCAAATAGTTTAATTTCAGCTACAATAAGTATGCCACTAATTGGATCAAGTATATTTGTAATATCTAATGAAGAACCAAAAGAAAGAGCATGATTACTCCTACCTGTGATGTTTCTCTTATTTATTATGCAAACAATTTTGAATACCTACTTGCTGCAGGTACTAGAGCTTGTTACAAACAAAAAGCTCCCAGGAAACTTTCACACAGGGATGACTCTTTATGTGGGTTTTCAAAGACAGGTAAGTGTAGGGAAAAGACATCCAAAACTAGGAAAAACATGAATACAGGGTTTGAGCTGGGAAAATAGAAGGTGAACCAAAGAAATGGTGAATAGTAATCACCACAGGCACATGTGTACAGGTGTGCATGCACGCACACACATGTGCACACGTGCGCACACACACACAGACACACTTCTAATTTCTTGAGAGAACAATTTGATCTGCCTGTTCTCTAATCTCTCTCTTCTTAAGTGGACTCTCGTTTTGTAGCAAAATGAACACTGGGTCGTTTTTTTTTAAATAAAATATAATATGTTTATTTATTTTTAGACTTTTTTTATTATTATGCTTTAAGTTCTGGGATACATGTGCAGAGCGTGCAGGTTTGTTACATAGGTATACATGTGCCATGGTGGTTTGCTGCACCCATCAACCCTTCATCTACATTAGGTATTTCTCCTAATGCTATCCTTCCACTAGCCCCCCAACCCCTGACAGGCTGTGCTAATTTTAAACAGGCTGTGATGTTCCCCTCCCTGTGCCCATGTGTTCTCATTGTTCACCTCCCACTTACGAATGAGAACATGTGGTGTTTGGTTTTCTGTTCCTGTGTTAGTTTGCTGAGAATTATGGTTTCCAGCTTCATCCATGTCCCTGAAAAGAACATGAGCTCATTCCTTTTTATGGCTGCATAGTATTCCATGGTGTATATGTGCCACACTTTCTTTATCCAGTCTATCACCAATGGGCATTTGAGTTGGTTCAAAGTCTTTGCTATTGTGAACAGTGCTGCAATAAACATATGTGTGCATGTGTCTTTATAGTAGAATGATTTATAATCTTTTGGGTATATACCCAGTAATGGGATTGCTGGGTCAAATGGTATTTCTGGTTCTAGATCCTGGAGGAATTGCCACACTGTCTTCCACAATGGTTGAACTAATTTACACTCCCACCAACAGTGTAAAAGCATTCTTATTTCTCCACATCCTCTCCAGCATCTGTTGTTTCCTGACTTTTTAATGGTTGCCATTCTAACCGGCGTGAGATGGTATCTCATTGTGGTTTTGATTTGCATTTCCCTAATGACCAGTGATGATGAGCTTTTTTTCATATGTTTGTTGGCCGCATAAATATCTTCTTTTGAGAAGTGTCTCTTCATATCCTTCACCCACTTTTTGATGGGGTTGTTTTGTTCTTGTAAATTCGTCTAAGTTTCTTGTAGATTCTGGATATTAGCCCTTTGTCAGATGGATAGATTGCAAACATTTTCTCCCATTCTGTAGGTTGCCTGTTCACTCTGATGATAGTTTCTTTTGCTGTGCAGAAGCTCTTTAGTTTAATTAGATCCAATTTGTCAATTTTGGCTTTTGTTGCCATTGCTTTTGGTGTTTTATTCATGAAGTCTTTGCCCATGCCTATGTCCTGAGTGGTATTGCCTAGGTTTTCTTCTAGGGCTTTTACGATTTTAGGCCTTATGTTTAAGTCTTTATTCCATCTTGAGGCAATTTTTGTATAAGGTGTAAGGAAGGGGTACAGTTTCAGTTTTCTGTATATGGCTAGCCAGATCTCCCAACCCCATTTATTAAAGAGGGAATCCTTTCACATTGCTTGTTTTTGTCAGGTTTGTCAAAGATCAGATGGTTGTAGATGTGTGGTGTTATTTCTGAGGCCTCTGTTCTGTTCTATTGGTCTATATATGTGTTTTAGTACCGGTACCAAGGCTGATTACTGTAGCCTTGTAATATAGTTCGAAGTCAGGTAGTGTGATGCCTCCAGCTTTGCTCTTTTTCCTTAGGATTGTCTTGGCTGTACGGGCTCTTTTTTGGTTCCATATGAAATTTAAAGTAGTTTTTTTCTAATTCTTTGAAGAGAGTCAATGGTAGCTTGATGATGATAGCACTGAATCTCTAAATTACTTTGGGCATTATGGCCATTTTCACAATATTGAGTCTTGCTATCCATGAGCCTGGAATATTTTTCCATTTGTTTGTATCCTCTCTTATTTCCTTGAGCAGTGATTTGTAGTTCTCCTTGAGGTCCTTCGCATCCCTTGTAAGTTGTATTCCTAGGTATTTTATTCTCTTTGTAGCAATTGTGAATGGGAGGTCACTCATGATTTGGCACTCTGTTGATCTATTATTGGTGTATAGGAAAGCTTGTGATTTTTGTGCATTGATTTTGTATCCTGAGACTTTGCTGAAGTTGCTTATCAGCTTAAGGAGTTTTTGGGCTGGGATAATGGGGTTTTCTAAACATACAATCATGTAATCTTCAAACAGAGTCATTTGACTTCCTCTCTTCCTATTTGAATACTCTTTATTTCTCTTGCCTGATTGCCCTGGCCAGAACTTCCAATACTATGTTGAATAGGAGTGGTGAGAGAGGGCATCCTTGTCTTGTGCTGGTTTTCAAAGGGAATGCTTCCAACATTTGCCCATTCAGTATGATATTGGTTGTGGGTTTGTCATAAATAGCTCTTATTATTTTGAGATACATTCCATCAATAACTAGTTTATTGAGAGTTTTTAGCATGAAGTGGTGTTGAATTTTATTGAAGGCCTTTTCTGCATCTATTGAGATAATCATGTGGTTTTTGTCATTGGTTCTGTTTATGTGATGGATTACATTTATTGATTTGCATATGTTGAACCAGCCTTGCATCCCAGGGATGAAACTGACTTGATTGTGATGGATGAGCTTTTTGATGTGCTGCTGGATTCATTTTGCCAGTATTTTATTGAGGATTTTTGCATCGATGTTCATTAGGGATATTGGCCTGAAATTTTCTTTTTTTGTTGTGTCTCTACCAGGTTTTGGTATCAGGATAATGCTGACCTCATAATATGAGTTAGGGAGGATTCCCTCTTCTTCTATTGTTTGGAATAGTTTCAGAAGAAATGGTACCAGCTGCTCTTTGTAACTCTGGTAGAATTCGGCTGTGAATCCGTCTGGTCTTGGGCTTTTTTTTTTTTTTTTTGGTTCGCAGGCTATTAATTACTGCCTGAATTTCAGAACTTGTTATTGGTCTATTCAGAGATTCTACTTCTTCCTGGTTTAGTCTTGGAAGGGCCAAGGAATTTATCCATTTCTTCTAGATTTTCTAGTTTATTTTGTGTAGAGGTGTTTACAGTATTCTCTGATGGTAGTTTGTATTTCTGTGGGATCAATGGTGATCTCCTTTTTATCATTTTTTATTGTGTCTATTTGATTCTTCTATCTTTTCTTTATTCGTCTGGCTAGTGGTCTATCTGTTTTGTTAATCTTTTTAAAAAGCCAGCTCCTGGATTCATTGATTTTTTTGAAGGGTTTTTCATGCCTCTATCTCCTTCAGTTCTGCACTGATCTTAGTTATTTCTTGTTTTCTGCTAGCTTTTGAATTTGTTTGCTCTTGCTTCTCTAATTCTTTTAATCGTGTTGTTAGGGTGTCGATTTTAGATCTTTCCCACTTTCTGATGTGGGTATTTGGTGCTATAAATTTCCCTCTAAACACTTCTTTAGCTGTGTCCCAGAGATTCTGGTATGTTGTGTCCTTGTTCTCATTGGTTTCAAAGAACTTATTTATTTCTGCCTTAATTTTGTTAATTATCCAGTAGTCATACAGGAGCAGGTTGTTCAGTTTCCATGTAGTTGTTCAGTTTTGAGTGAGTTTCTTAATCATGAGTTCTAATTTGATTGCACTGTGGTCTGAGAGACTGTTTGTTATGATTTCCATTCTTTTGCATTTGCTGAGGAGTGTTTTACTTCCAGGTATGTGGTCAATTTTAGAATAAGTGTGATGTGGTGCTGAAAATAATGTATATTCTGTTGATCTGGGGTGGAGAGTTCTGTGGATGTCTATTAGGTCCACTTGGTCCAGAGCTGAGTTCAAGTCCTGAATATCCTTGTTAATTTTCTGTCTTGTTCATCTTTCTAATATTGACAGTGGGGTGTTAAAATCTCCCACTATTATTGTGTGGGAGTCTGTCTTTTTGTAGGTCTATAAGAACTTGCTTTATGAATCTGGGTGTTCCTGTATTGGGTGCATATATATTTAGGATAGTTAGCTCTTCTTGTTGCATAGATCCCTTTACGATTATGTAATGGCCTTGTCTTTTTTGATGTTTGTTGGTTTAAAGTCTGTTTTATCAGAGACTAGGATTGCAACCCCTGCTTTTTTTTTTCTTTCCATTTGCTTGGTAAATCTTCCTCCATCCCTTTATTTTGATCCTATGTGTGTCTTTGCACATGAGATGGGTCTTATGAATACAGTACACTGTTGGGTCTTGACTCTTTATCCAATTTTCCAGTCTGTGTCTTTTAATTGGGACATTTAGCCTATTTACATTTAAGGTTAATATTGTAATGTGTGAATTTGATCCCGTCATTATGATGCTAGCTGTTTATTTTTCCCATTAGGTGATGCAGTTTCC
Organism: Homo sapiens; assembly: GCF_000001405.40. Taxonomy (NCBI): domain Eukaryota; kingdom Metazoa; phylum Chordata; class Mammalia; order Primates; family Hominidae; genus Homo; species Homo sapiens. The sequence continues at coordinate 27,301,603 of NC_000023.11, read as the reverse complement.
TCATAGTGTCAATGTTCTTTACAATTTGGTATGTTTTTGTAGTGGCTGGTAACTGTTTTTCCATTCCATATTTAGTGCTTCCTTCAGGAACTCTTGTAAGGCAGGCCTGGTGGTGACAAAATATCTCAGCATTTGCTTGTCTGTAAAGGATTTTATTTCTCCTTCACTTATGAAGCTTAGTTTGGCAGGATATGAAATTCTGGGTTGAAAATTCTTTTCTTTAAGAATGTTAAATATTGGCCCCCACTGTCTTCTGGCTTGTAGGGTTTCTGCAGACAGATCTGCTGTTAGTCTGATGGGCTTCCCTATGTAGGTAACCCAGCCTTTCTCTCTGGCTGCCCTTAACATGTTTTCCTTCATTTCAACATTGATGAATCTGATGATTATGTATGTGTCTTGGGGTTGCTCTTCTCGAGGAGTATCTTTGTTGGTGTTCTCTGTATTTCCTGAATTTGAATGTTGGCCTTTCTTGCTAGGTTGGGGACGTTCTCCTGGATAATATACTGAAGAGTGTTTTCCAACTTGGCTCCATTCTCCCCGTCACTTTCAGATACACCAATCAAAGGTAGGTTTGGTCTTTTCACATAGCCCCATATTTCTTGGAGGCTTTGTTTGTTCCTTTTTGTTCTTTCATCTCCAATCTTGTCTTCGCACTTTATTTCATTAAGTTGATCTTCAGTCTGTGATATCCTTTCCTCTCCTTGATCAGTTTGGCTATTGATACTTGTGTATGGTTCACAAAGTTCTCATGCTGTGTTTTTCAGCTCCATCAGGTCATTTATGTTTTTCTCTAAACAGGTTATTCTAGTTAGCAATTCCTCTAACCTTTTTTCAAAGTTCTTAGCTTCCTTGCATGGGTTAGAACGTGCTCCTTTTGCTCGGAGGAGTTTGTTATTACCCACCTTCTTAAGGCCAATTCTGTGAATTCGTCAAACTCATTCTCTGTCCAGTTTTTTTTCCCTTGCTGGTGAGGAGTTGTGATCCTTTGGAGGAGAAGAGGTGTTCTGGTTTTTGGAATTTTCAGCCTTTTTGCATGGTTTTTTCCTCACCTTCATGGATTTATCTAGCTTTGGTGTCTGATGTTGGTGACCTTTGGATGGGGTTTCTGTGTGGACATTCTCTTTGTTGATGTTGATGCTATTCCTTTCTGTTTGTTAGTTTTCTTTCTAAGAGTCAGGCCCCTCTGCTGCAGGTCTGCTGGAGTTTGCTGGAGGTCCACTCCAGACCCTGTTTGCCTGGGTATCACCAGCAGAGCCTGCAGAACAGCAAAGATTGCTGCCTGTTCTTTCCTCTGGAAGCTTCGTCCCAGAGGGGCACCTGCCAGATGCCAACTGGAGCTCTCTTTCGACCCCTGCTGAGAGGTGTCTCCCAGTCAGGAGGTACGGGGGTCAGGGACCCACTTGAGGAGGCAGGTTGTCCCTTAGCAGAGCTCAAGCTGGGAGATCCACTGCTCTCTTCAGACCCGGCAGGCAGGAATGTTTAAGTTAAGGAATGTTAAGTCTGCTGAAGCTGCGCCCACAGATGCCCCTTCCCTCAGGTGCTCTGTCCCTGGGAGATTGGAGTTTTATCTATAAGCCCCTGACTGGGGCTGCTGCCTTTCTTTCAGAGATGCCTTGTCCAGAGAGAAGGAATCTAGAGAGACAGTCTGGCTACAGTGGCTTTGCCAAGCTGTGTTGGGGTCTGTCCAGTCCAAACTTCCTGGTGACTTTGTTTACAGTGTGAGGGGAAAACTGCCTACTCAAGCCTCAGTAATGGCGGTCGCTTCTCCCCCTACCAAGCTCAAGCATCACAGGTTGACTTCAGACTGCTGTACTGGCAGCAAGAATTTCAAGCCAGTGGATCTTAGCTTACTGGGCTCCATGGGGGTGGGATTCACTGAGCTAGACCACCTGGCTCCCTGGCTTCAGCCCCCTTTCCAGGAGAGTAAACTGTTCTGTCTCGCTGATGTTCCAGGCATCACTGGGGTATGAAAAAAAAAACTCCTGCAGGAGCTTGGTGTCTGCCCAAACGGCCACCCAGTTTTGTGCTTGAAACCCAGGGCCCTGGTGGCATAGGCACCCAAGGGAATCTCCTGGTCTGTAGGTTGTGAAGACCATGGGAAAAGTGTAGTATCTGGGCCGGAATGCACCATTCCTCATGGCACAGTCCATCATGGTTTCCTTTGGCTAGGGGAGGGAGTTCCCCGACCCCTTGTGCTTCCTGGGTGAGGCAACGCCCCACTCTGCTTTGGCTCGCCCTCTGTTGGCTGCACCCACTCTCTAACCAGTCCCAATGAGATGAGCCATGTACCTCAGTTGGAAATGCAGGAATCACCCACTTTCTGCGTTGATCTTGCTGGGAGCTGCAGACTGGAGTGGTTCCTATTCGGTCATCTTTCCAGCACCCTCTTATTTGTTAGTTTTGTACTATTTATTTGTATCATGTTTTAAAGGACTCACAGTATATAAATACAATAATATTACTTAGATAAACAAAAGAATGTTATCACTGAATTTTTGATATGTGTTTGTGTGTGTGTGTGTGTGTGTGTGTGTTCCTAGGAGGAAGCAGGGTGATATAATTGGGAATGTGTATATATGTGGTCCCAAAGGCATTGCAAATGTTCTCTTATATATGTTAAATATATATTTTGCTAAGAAACTATTTTTAAATAGCTTTTTTAAACTGGACTTATATATTCTTTTGTGTCCAGCTTTTCTGAGAGTAGTATCTTTGAAGTTGTTTGTAGAGTCAGTTTACATTTTGCTGTTTGTGCCTAGTATTCTACTGCATGAATAGAATACTCATACGAATATTTATCTATTCTATTGTTGCTTGGAATTTGCATTATATCCTGTTTGGGACTACTTTGTATAAAGTGTCTGTGCACATTGTGGTATATATATCCTGGTGAAAATACGCATTCATTTTTCCTAAGTATGTATGTAGGGGTGGAGTTGCTGAGTTGCAGAATAGACAGAGAAGCTACACTTTTAAATAAATATTTGAGTTTTATCATTATTTAGCAACTAGAAATTTTAGTCACTGACATGAGGGATGTTTTTGACACTAAAATGACCAGAGGATATTATTTTTTTCTGTAAGTGAATTAAAATGTTGTAGAATATACTTAGGATTTTATCCATGGAGTGCAGAGTATAGACAATGAACAAATTTAAATGGGCCATGGAAGGCCCATTTTTTTGGTTCCAGATTTAGTGAATACTGATTAAGTAAAATGGTTACTTTTCCATACAGCAGGGAAGCAACAGTGGTGCCTTGAAAGTAATTTATTTCACATAATATAATAATAGTAAGAATTGGTGTTAAACTCTCCTTACATCATATTTCTTGACTATTCACTTCTGCAAGCAGGTTAGTTAATGTACTCTTTGTATGATACCATTTTCTGCATTTGCTTTAGATTTGTACAGGGGTGATGTTACTGTCACCTATCATCTAATTGTTGGTGCTAAATTCCACTGTTTATAGAAGCAACGAAAGAACTATAATGGCAGTCACAGAAAACGTGTTATCAAATGAACATTATATTTTGTTCCATTAGGAAATAAACATGACCTATTCTCAGCATCAAAGGTTACTTATATTCATCAAGGAACAATTATGTCATCAAAGTTCACATAGCTACAGGCTTAAAGAAATGATCACTGTGTTTTAGCTTTGCTTAAATGGACATCCAAATGAAGTGATGAAATCAAAATGCCTAAGCACCATCAGTATTGAGAGTAGCACCATAAAGAGAAGGGTATTACTTAAAGGAGAATGCAGCCAGTGATAAGAAGAGGTCCTAATTTCTGAATGCTTACTCTGTGCTATGTAATCTTGAAGTGGATTGTTTAATTTAATTTTCACAAATACTAACAGACATTCTATGTTTTAATGATGCTACTGGGGTATAAGAAATACATAATTTGGCTGTGGAAAATGATGAAGCTTAGAATTAGGTCTCGACACTTTAAAGTCCAAAAGTTACCCTCTTTACACCTTCATTGTAGAGGCAATTCACAGATGGTTTATTTTTTGTGGACAAAAATTTTGGTAAAGACATTTGTGGCTTAAAAATAGCCTGATAATTGTGAAGGATTTCATTCTTCCTTTGTTCTTCCTTCTCCTTTTCCTCCTCCCCATTTTGCATTATCACCATCATTGTAATCAGTATATATGAATGGTAGAACATAGTATTATCTACAAAATGAGGTTTGCCTACACAGTCATTTTAAAAGGGCAATAATTAAAAACATACAAAACTGGCTAACTGCTATGGTATGTCAACTGTAGCTTGGTTCTCTCTGACTGCTTTCTGATGAGACTCAAACAGGCTAAGAGAGAAATTGTAATCTAAAATTAACATAGAATTCCATTTGGAAAAAAAGTCAGCATTTCTTTTTAATTTTAAAGAAAGGAAACTGTGAAAAATTGTATGAAGAGAAGCAAAAAAGTTTCCCTTTGTGATTACTTTTTAAAATGCAGATATATTAAATTTTCAGATACTTCCTTTAAATTCATTGTGTAAGTTATATATACATGATGTATTATATACATACTTATAGTAATATATTACTATAATACTATAGATTATCTCATGTAGTAACATATATATAAAGTTATGTGTGTGTATATGTGTGTAGATCTATGTGTGTGTAGTTATATAGTAGTAATTTTGGAAGTGTCTGTGGAAAAAAAAAAAGATAATGCAAAAAATACCCTAATCACCATCTAGAGGTAACTAAAAATATATGTTGGATAAAATGTTGTCGTTGTATATACTAACTAGATTGTATTACTGCAGATAAAACTCTAGGCAAAATATTAGTTTCTTATTATTCAAAATATCATTTTATAACTCTTTGGTAAAAGTGTCTATTAAGTGTATCCCATTTCCTATGTTCTTATTTGCTGTATACCTCAAATCTCATTTATAGAGCGTCTACTTTTTTCCAGGTATTGTTTTATAAGGAAAAATAAGGCATTACTTTTTACTTCTGGGTTCACAATTTAGGGTGAGAACTGGAGAAACAAATGATATCCACAGTGTAGGAAATTGTATCAGGTAGTTAGAAAAAGGTCCAAATGATGCCTTGGGTGAACAGAGAAGAAGTCCAATGGCAAGGATGCTTGGAGATCTAAGGTATATTCTTAATACATAACAGTGGTACCAACCAAGGTCAAGTGAGTGCACCTGAGGTGACATGTGACATGCTCCATTAGGGTGCCAAGAAGCAAACTGATAGAAAATGTTCTTTTTAAATGACAAGATAATGAAAACACAATTAGATACGTTGAGGTTTAAACTTATTTTTTAAAAATTCTTCAAAGGCACTTTTTCTTTTGTCTTTTCTATCTTCAATCATTTTTTCTCCGTTGGCTTTTTCTTCTTAGTCTCTAAAAATTCCCAATCAGCCACAATATAAACAATCACAAAACAGAATTAACCATTTACCAAGATCTCCAGAAGGTCCCAGGCTTGCATTGTCCCTTTATCTCCCTATAGCTATCTAAAGTGCAGTATGGATTCTCAGATGGTCACTTAAGCATGAGCAAATAATGCCAGAGCACAAATACCCCAACTTAGCGGGCTTATTTTATTGGGTTTTTCTCAACTCATAAATCTGAGCCTGATAATTCTTCATTGTCTTGTTGCCTCTGATGTTTTAAAGCTTTTTAAAGTTCCCTCATTGACAAAGAATGTGTATATAACCCAATTCGCCATTATCAGTAGACAGTTTTAACCTCTGCAAATTAGTTTCCTACCCAAACTCCATCGCCCCGCCCCTCCCAGACCTGCCACATGCACTTAAAGACTAGCTTTTCCTTGTATTTTCTCTGGCAAGACCTAATTATTTACAAACTATCATATTAAAATATCCATGAATAATCATAGATTCCTTTCTGAACCTCACCTTTTCATTGTTTCTAGTTTAATTGGTCATGAATTCCTTGCGATTCTATACTCTAGTTGTCTTATACCTTTATTCTTTCTCCATCTTCATTACTGCAACCTCAGGTTTTGACTTCACAGACTTCTCTCATTCAGGCACTCATCACCTCTGCCATGCCCTTATAAAACACTGTGGTACTAGAAGTTCTTTGAATGAAACAAGCTCCCTTCCCCTTCCCCTGGTCTGTATATATTTTTCTTCTTCCTGGAATATTGTTGCTCGCTGTCTCACTTGTAAACATATACTCAATCTTCAGTTATCAAATTGGATCTCTCTGAGGTGTTGCTTCCCCTTACTCTTCATACCTACTATTACCTGGCCCAAAGATGTTTGTCTAAAATATCCTTCAACTAAAATTATACTTCGGAAGTCTATATGCTGTGAAAGACCCAGCTCAACTTTGATCTCATTAGAAATGTCTCCCATTAGTGGTTATCAAGGATTCTCACACTGTGATCCACAGACAAGTAGCATGAGCACATGCAAAAATGATAGAAATGCAAAATCTCAAGCCACACAATAAAAGTAATGTATCAGAAATGCTGGAGGTTTGTGTTTTAACAAGATCCTGAGGAAATTCTGATGTGGATTAAGTTTGAGAAACATCAATATACAATATTTTTCTCCTTCTCTGTGCTTTTACAGCAACTTTCATATATCTTCAATTGTCGCATTTACCATATTATTGTCAGGCCTCTGAGCCCAAGCCTGCATGTATACATCCAGATGGCCTGAGGCAACCGAAAAGTACAAAAGAAGGGAAACAGCTAGCTCCTGTCTTAACTGATTGACCAACCTTACAACTTTCCATTATGATTTGTTCCTGCTGTGTCCCAGCTGATCGATCGATCGAGCTTGTGACATTCTTCTTCTGGACAATGAGACTTATGATCTCCCCACCATGTACCTTGTGACCCCCGCCCCTGCCCACAAGAGAAAAACCTACTTTAACTATAACTTTCCACTGCTTATCCCAGTCCTATAAAACTGCCCCATCCCTAACTCCCTTCGCTGACTGCTTTCTTGGACTCAGCCCACTTGCACCCAGGTGAATAAACAGCCTTGTTGCTCACCCAAAGTCTGTTGGTGGTCTCTTCACACAGACGCTCATGACATTTTGGTGCCATGACTCAGATCAGGGGGCCTCCCTTGGGAGATCAATCCCCTGTCCTCCTGCTCTTTGCTCCATGAGATGGATCCACCTATGACCTCGGGTCCTCAGACCAACCAGCCCAAGGAACATCTCACCAATTTTAAATCGGGTGAGCGGCCTCTTTTTACTCTCTTCTCCAACCTCTCTCACTATCCCTCAACCTCTTTCTCCTTTCAATTTCTGTGCCAGCCTTCAACCTCTCCCTTCCCTTAATTTCAGTTCCTTTCCTTTTCTGGTAGAGACAGAGGAGACACGTTTTATCTGTGAATCCAAAATTCCAGCACTGGTCATGGACTCAGAAAGACAGTCTGCCCTTGCTGTATAATCACTACAGGGACACCTGCCTGATTATTCACCCACATTTCAGAGGTGTCTAATCACCGCAGGAATGCCTGCCTTGATCCTTCACCTTGGTGGCAAGCACCACCTCCTCTGGGTGGCAAGTACCACTCCCCGCATCCATGTTTCTACCCTCTCTTTTCTCTGGGCTTGCCTCCTTCACTATGGGCAGCCTTCCACCCTCCATTCCTCCTTCTTCTCCCTTGGCCTGTGTTCTCAAGAACTTAAAACCTCTTCAACTCTCGCCTGACCTAAAACCTAAGCATCTTATTTTCTTCTGCAACACCGCTTGGCCCCAATACAAACTTGATAATGGCTCTAAATGGCCAAAAAACGGCACTTTCGATTTCTCCATCCTACAATACCTAGATAATTTTTGTCAAAAAATGGGCAAATGGTCTGAGGTGCCTTATGTCCAGGCATTTTTCACACTTTGTTCCCTCCCTAGTCTCTGTTCCCAATGCGACTGGTCCCAAATCCTCCTTCTTTCCCTGCCGTCTGTCCCCTCAGTCCCAACCCCAAGTGTTGCTGAGTCTTTTCAATCTTTCTTTTCTACCGACCCATCTGACCTCTCTCCTCCTCCCCAGACTTCTCAAGTCGCTCCCTGCCAGACTGAATCAGGCTTCAATTCTTCCTCAGCCTCCGCTCCTCCACCCTATAATCCTTCTATCACCTCCCCTCCTCACACGCAGTCTGGCTTACAGTTTCATTCCGTGACTAGCTCTCCCCTACCTGCCCAACTATTTCCTCTTAGAGAAGTGGCTGGAGCTGAAGGCATAGTCAGAGTACATGTGCCTTTTTCTCTATCAGACCTTTCCCAAATCAGCCAGCGTTTAGGCTCTTTCTCATCAGACCCCACTAAATATATACAGGAATTCTGATATCTAACTCTGTCCTACAATTTAACCTGTAGTGACTTAAATGTCATCCTAACTTCTACCCTCTCCCCAGATGAACGGGAAAGAGTTTTTTCTGTAGCCCAATCTCACGCTGACAACCACCAGCTTCCCGGAAGCTGGAAGACTCCAGGAAGTCATTAGAGCAGTTCCCCGAAAGGATCCCCAATGGAACTAACAGGCAGATTCCCCAGGTATAGCTAGGCAAGATTACATGGTTTTCTACCTAGTTGAAGGGCTTAAAATGGCAGCTTACAAAGCTGTTAATTATGACAAACTTAAACTACCCAAGGTAAAGACAAAAACCCGGCCCAGTTCTTGGCTCATTTGGCAGCAACCCTGAGACGCTTTAGAGACCTAGACCCTGAAGGGTCAGAAGGCTGTCTCATTCTCAGTGTGCATTTTATCACTCAGTCAGCTCCTGACATTAGAAAAAAGCTTCAAAAATTGGAATCCCGCCCTCAAACCCCACAACAGGAATTATTCAACCTCGCCTTCAAGGTATGCAATAATAGAGAGGAGGCAGCCAGACGGAACGCATTTCTGAGTTACAATTACTTGCCTCTGCTGTGAGACAAAACCCAGCTGCACCTCCAGCACACAAGAACTTCAAAATGCCTAAGCCACAGTGGTCAGGCATTCCTACAGGACCTCCTCCCTCAGGATCTTGCTTCTAGTGCCAGAAATCTGGCCACTGGGCCAAGGAATGCCCGCAGCCCATTATTTCTCCCAAGCTGTGTCCCATCTGTGCAGGGACCCACTGGAAATCAGACTGCCCAGCTAGCCCAGAAGCCACTGCTAGAGCCCCTAAAGCTCCGGCCCGAGGCTCTCTGACTGACTCCTTCCCAGATCTTTTCAGCTTAACAGCTGAAGACTGATGCTGCCCGATCGCCTTGGAAGCCCCCTGGACCATCACAGATGCCGAGCTTTGGGTAACTCTCATGGTGGAGGGTAAGTCCATCCCCTGTTTAATCAATGCGGGGGCTACGCAGTCTACATTACCTTCTTTTCAAGGGCCTGTTTCCCTTGCCCCCATAACTGTTGTGGGTTTTGACGGCCGAACTTCAAAACCCCTTAATGCCGCCCCCTTTGGTGCCAACTTGGACAACATTCTTTTATGGACTCTTTCTTAGTTATCCCCATCTGCCCAGTTCCCTTATTAGATCAAGACATTTTAACCAAATTATCTGCTTCCCTGACTATTCTTGGACTACAGCCACATCTCATTGCCACCCTTCTTCCCATCCCAAAGCCTCCTTTGTGTCTTCCTCTTGTATCCCCCGACCTTAACCCACAGGTATCGGACACCTCTACTCCCTCCCTGGCAACTAATCACATGCCCATTACTATCCCATTAAAACCTAATCACCGTTACCTGGCTCAATGCCAGTATCACATCCCGCAACAGGCTTTAAGGGGATTAAAGCCTGTTATCACTTGCCTGCTACAGCATGGGCTTCTAAAGCCTACAAACTCTCCTTACAATTCCCCCATCTTACCTGTCCAAAAACTGGACAAGTCTTACAGGCTGGTTCAGGATCTGCATCTTATCAACCAAATTGTTTTGCCTATCCACACCCTATGGTGCCCAACCCATACACTCTTTTGTTCTCAATAGCTCCCTCCACAACTCAGTATTCCATTCTTGATCTTAAAGACGCTTTTTTCACTATTCCCCTGCATCCCTCATCCCAGCCCCTCTTTGCTTTTACCTGGACTGACCCTGACACCCATCAGTCCCAGCAACTTACCTGGGCTGTACTCACCCAAGGCTTCCAGGACAGCCCTCATTACTTCAGCCAAGCCCTTTCTCATGATTTACTCTCTTTCCACCCCTCTGCTTCCCACCTTATTCAATACATTGATGACCTTTTATTTTGTAGTCTTTCCTTTGAGTCTTCTCAATAAGATACCCTCCTGCTCCTTCAACATTTATTCTCCAAAGGATATTGGGTATCCCCCTCCAAAGCTCAAATTTCTTCCCCATTCCTTACCTACCTTGGCATAATTCTTCATGAAAACATGCTGGCTCTCCCTGCCGATCGTGTCCAGCTGATCTCTCAAACCCCAACCCCTTCTACAAAACAACAACTCCTTTCTTTCCTGGGCATGGTTGGATACTTTCGCCTTTGGATACCTGGTTTTGCCATCCTAACAAAACCATTATATAAACTCACAAAGGGAAACCTAGCTGACCCCATAGATCCTAAATCCTTTCCCCACTCCTCTTGCCATTCCTCGAAGACAGCTTTAGAGACTGCTCCCACACTAGCTCTCCCTGACTCATCCCAACCCTTTTCATTACACACAACCGAAGTGCAGGGCTGTGCAGTCGGAATTCTTACACAAGGACTGGGACTGCGCCCTGTAGTCTTTTTGTCCAAACAACTTGACCTTACTGTTTTAGGTTGGCCATTATGTCTATGTGCGGTGGCTGCCGCAGCTTTAATACTTTTAGAGGCCCCTAAAATCACAAACTATGCTCAACTCACTCTCCAGTTCTCATAACTTCCAAAATCTGTTTTCTTTCTCACACCTGACGCATATACTTTCTGTTCCCTGGCTCCTTCAGCTATACTCACTCTTTGTTGAGTCTCCACAATTACCATTGTTCCTGGCCCAGACTTCAATCCGGCCTCCCACAGTATTCCAGATACCACAGCTTACCCCATGACTGTATCCCTCTGATCCACCTGACATTCACTCGATTTCCCCATATTTCCTTCTTTCCTGTTCCTCACCCTGATCACACTTGGTTTATTGATGGAAGTTCCTCCAGGCCTAATCGCCATTCACCAGCAAAGGCAGGCCATGCTATAGTATCTTCCACATCTATCATTGAGGCTACCACTCTGCCCCCCTCCACTACCTCTCAGCAAGCCAAACTCATTGCCTTAACTCAGGCCGTCACTTTCTTGCAAAAGGACTACATGTCACTATTTATACTGACTCTAAATATGTCTTCCATATCCTGCACTGCCATGCTGTTATATGGGCTGAAAGAGGTTTTTTCACTATGCAAGGGTCCTCCATCATCAATGCCTCTTTAATAAAAACTCTTATCAAGGCCACTTTACTTCCAAATGAAGCTGGAGTCATTCACTGCAAGGGCCATCAAAAGGCATCAGATCCCATTGCTCAAGGCAACAATTATGCTGATAAGACAGCTAAACAAGCAGTTAGCTTTCTAACTTCTGTCCCCCATGGCCAGTTTTTCTCCTCATTGGTCACTCCCGCCTGTTCTCCCACTGAAACTTGAACCTATCAATCTCTTCCCACACAAGGCAAGTAGTTCTTGGACCAAGGAAAATATCTCCTTCCAACCTCACAGGCCCATTCTATTCTGTCATCATTTCATAACCTCTTCCATGCAGATTACAAGCTGCTAGCCCACCTCTTAGAACCTCACATTTCCTTTCCATCATGGAAATCTATCCTCAAGGAAATCACTTCTCAGTGTTCCATCTGCTATTCTACTACTCCTCAGGGATTGTTCAGGCCCCCTCCCTTCCCTACACAGCAAGCTTGGGGATTTGCCCCTGCCCAGGACTGGCAAATTGACTTAGTCACATACCCTGAGACAGGAAACTAAAATACCTCATGGTCTGGGTAGACACTTTAACTGGATGGGTAGAGGCCTTTCTCACAGGGTCTGAGAAGGCCACCGCGGTCATTTCTTCCCTTCTGTCAGACATAATTCCTTGGTTTGGCCTTCCCACCTCTATACAGTCTGATAACGGACCGGCCTTTATTAGTCAAATCACCCAAGCAGTTTCTCAGGCTCTTGATATTCAGTGGGACCTTCATACCCCTTACCGTCCTCAATCTTCAGGAAAGGTAGAACGGACTAATGATCTTTTAAAGACACACCTCGCCAAGCTCAGCCTCCAACTTAAAAAGGACTGGACAGTACTTTTACCTCTTGCCCTTCTCAGAATTAAAGCCTGTCCTCGAGATGCTACAGAGTACAGTCCATTTGAACTTTTATATGGATGCACTTTCTTGGTCGGCCCCAACCTCGTCCCGGACACCAACCCTCTAGGCGACTATCTTCCAGTCTTCCAGCAGGCTAGACAGGAAATTCGCCAGGCTGCTAATCTTCTCTTGCCTACTCCAGATTCCCAGCAATATGAAGACACCCTAGCTGGACAATCAGTTCTTATTAAGAATCTGACCCCTCAAACTCTATAGCCTCGATGGACTGGATCCTACTTGGTCATCTGTAGTACCCCAACTGTCGTCTGCCTGCAGGACCCTCCCCATTGGGTTCACTGTTCCGGAATAAAGCTGTGTCCGTTGGACAGCCAACCTGATCTCTCCTCTTCCTCCTGGAAGTCACAAGTACTCTCCCCTACTTCCCTTAAATTCACTCACATTTCTGAAGAATAGTAATAACCCTTATGAGCCTAATACATTCCTTTATTCTATTAGGTCTATTCATCCTTACCCTACTACTTTTTACAGCAGGGCTCTACGCAGTCACCCCCACTACTTTGACTGTGCCCCCAAAACTTGTCATCCCTACTATCTTCTGTCTAGTCATACTCTGATTCACCATTCTCAACTACTCATAGATGCTCTACTCTTGTTTACACTGCCAGTTTACACTTCCTCTCCAAGCCATCACAGCTGATATCTCCTGGTGCTATCCCCAAACCGCCACTCTTGACTTCCTCTTGGAGTGGATAGATGATCTTTGCTGGCAGGGCACCCTCCAGTACTTTCACTCTGATGAAGTTCTATTGTTTACTTTTATACTCACTCTTATTCTCATTCCCATTCTTATGCCACCCTCTACCTCTCCCCAGCTATGTCCACCACACTATCAATCTCACTCACTCTCTCCTAGCCGTTTCTAATCCCTCCTTAGCAAACAATTGCTGGCTTTGCATTTCCCTTTCTTCCTGCACCTACACAGCTGTCCCCGCCTTACATACAGACTGGGCAACATCTGCCTCCCTACACCTCCGAACTTCCTTTAACAGCCCTCACCTTTACCCTCCTGAAGAACTTCTTTACTTTCTGGACAGGTCCAGCAAGACCTCCCCAGACATTTCACATAAGCAAGCTGCCGCCCTTCTCCACACTTACTTAGAAAACCTTTCTCCTTACATCAACTCTGCTCCCCCCATATTTGGACCCCTCACAACACAAAATACTACTATTCCTGTGGCCGCTCCTTTATGTATCTCTCGACAAAGACCCACTGGAATTCCGCTGGGTAACCTTTCACCTTCTCAATGTTCCTTCACTCTTCATCTCCAAAGCCCAACTACACACATCACTGAAACAATTGGGGCCTTCCAGCTCCGTATTACAGATAAGCCCTCTATCAATACTGGCAAACCTAAAAACATCAGCAGTTATTATTGCTTAGGAAGATACTTACCCTGTATTTCACTCCATCCTTGGCTACCTTCCCCTTGCTCATCAGACTCTCCTCCCAGGCCTCTTCTTGTTTGCTTATACCCAGCCCCGTAAATAATAGTGAAAGGTTGCCGTAGACACTCGACATTTTCTCATACATTATGAAAATTGAACCTCCCCCTCTACGCAGTTATCCCATCAGTCCCCATTACAACCTCTGATGGCTGCCGCCCTACCTGGATCCCTAGGAGTCTGGGTACAAGACACCTCTTTTAGTACTTCTTCTCATCTTTTTACTATGTATTTCCAGTTTTGCCTTGAACAAGGTCTCTTCTTCCACTGTGGATCCTCTACCTACATGTGTCTACCTGCTAATTAGACAGGCACATACACACTAGTTTACATTACTCCCAAAATTCAATTTGCAAATGGGACCGAAGAGCTTCCTGTTCTCCTCATGACACCAACACGACAAAAGGTTATTCCACTAATTCCCTTGCTTGTCGGTTTAGGACTTTCTGCCTCCACTATTGCTCTTGGAACTGGAATAGCAGGCATTTCAACCTCTGTCACGACCTTCCGTAGCTTCTCTAATGCCTTCTCTGCTAGCATAGCAGACATATCACAAACTCTATCAGTCCTTCAGGCCCAGGTTAACTCTTTAACTGCAGTTTTCCTCCAAAACCGCGAGGCCTTGACTTACTCACTGCTGAAAAAGGAGAACTTTGTACATTTTTAAATGAAGGGTGTTGCTTTTACCTAAATCAATCTGGCCTGGTGTATGACAACATAAAAAAACTCAAGGATAGAGCCCAAAAACTCGCCAACCAAGCAAGTAATTATGCTGAACCCCCTTGGGCACTCTCTCATTGGACGTCCTGGGTCCTCCCAATTCTTAGTCTCCTGGTACCTGTTTTTCTTCTTCTCTTATTTGGGCCTTGTGTCTTCCATTTGGTTTCTCAATTCATACAAAACTGCATTCAGACCATCGCCAATCATTCTATATGACAAATGCTACTTTTAATAACCCCACGGTACCATCCTCTGCCCCAAGATCTCCCTACAGCCTAAACTCCTATTCCATGTAACTCATTATAAAATTTTCTTTAACGTGTCCATGCAGCCCCTAATCCTGCTTGATGCAGCCCTGAGAAACATCGCCCATTGTCCTTCCATACCACCGCCCCCAAAAAAAAAATTGCCGCCCCAACACTTCACCACTATTTTGTTGTATTTTATTTATTAATATAAGAAGACAGAAATGTCAGGCCTCTGAGCCCAAGCCTGCACGTATACGTCTAGATGGCCTGAGGCAACCAAAAAGTACAAAAGAAGGGAAACAGCCAGCTCCTGTCTTAACTGATTGACCAACCTTACAACATTCCATTATGACTTGTTCCTGCCCTGTCCCAATTGATCAATTGACCTCGTGACATTCTTCTTCTGGACAATGAGTCTTCTGATCTCCCCACCATCCACCTTGTGACCCCCACCCCTGCCTGCAATAGAAAAACCCACTTTAACTGTAACTTTCCACTGCTTACCCCAGTCCTATAAAACTGCCCCATCCCTAACTCCCTTTGCTGACTCCTTTCTCTGACTCAGCCCATTTGCACCCAGGTGAATAAACAGCCTTGTTGCTCACACAAAGCCTCTTGGTGGTCTCTTCACATGGACACGCTAGACAAATATAATTATTATTTAGTTATTTACTTAAACATTTTACCGTTTCTTTTATTGGTGGCGATGAACACAAAGGAAAATTCAACCCATAACGGTACTCTTTGCAACCCTTTGTTTTCACCACCTTCACCACCTGCTGGTCAATGGCCAAAACTGGTCTACATTCATGTACTTACCAGCACTGAGAAGAAAGAGCAGTCTATAAGGTCAGTGTAAAGAGGATTCATATTTTCCTCACAGGTCAGAAGGAACAACATGGGCAAGAATCTGAATCCTTTCTGCACCAAAAGTGCAGCACTCCTGAGGAACTGAAGGTTGAGTGAACAGGGAGCGAAAGTGCAGAAAGGATTCAGATTCTGCACTTTTTGGCGACCTCATTGCTAATGCCTGCTTCAGACCTCCCAGCTTAATGGTAATGATGGTGCCAGGAGTAAACTACATTGCGTTGTTCTTTCCCAGATTCACTCACTCTGTATTGAAAGATTTCAATGCCAGTTTGACAATAGGAACAACTCACCATGGAGTCATGTACTTCACCAGACCTATGAAGAATGGCCGATCTGGCATTTCACAGTAGTGCTGCTTTTGGTAAATTTATGGCACTGAAGAGGTTCAGGAATCTGCTTGATCATTTCTAAAATAACCTCAAAATGATTGTTTCATTTGGTCCTGATAATGTCTCAAGAATGTAACCAAGGCATGAATGAGAGAAGTAAAAAGTTAGGGCCAAATACTAAATCACAGCACACGTGCAATTACTGATGGGTCTGTCACGGCAGACACATTTCTTGAAAAAAACCTTAGGGTGAGCAAAACCAACTTCTCTATAATTCAGTGTAAACGAGGTTGGTAACCTTTCCAGTCTGCCCACATTGCCTGCCAGTGGTCCTGGACAGTCACCCGGAATGCCTCTTCAGAAAACCATGGGATTGCTGTTCCAGCAAGTTGTGGTGAATGGATACAGCAATCTCAGGGCTGATTATCCTGGTATAAGAATGCTTTAAAAACTCCTCTGGGTTGCCCTCTTGTATGATGCTTCTTTCGATTTCAGTGAATGTGCTGTGCAGGGATTTCATGCAGATACAGAGCTTCCTCTCGGGAGTGCTGTGTAAGTGCAGACTGTTCCTCATGGGAGGCAAGACCCTCATCCCTCGCAGGGTTTCAAAATGGGCACTGAAAGGTTGCTCTGTGCCTGGCCTTAGAAACTCACTCCCCGTTCACTCAGCCTTCAGTTCCTTAGGAGTGCTGCACTCCAGGGCACTTGTGACAATTATTGTCCAGATTTGGTACCACCGGTGGCTTCTCTTCAATGCACATTTGCTTTTGGAGGGCTATCCAGTACATTACAGAATGGTAAGCCTGGGAGAATCTCACTCTGTTTCGAAAGTTGGTTGGTGACTTCTTGGGTTGGTCCGCATTGCCTGTCTTTTTACTGGTGCCACTTGGGGTGCCTTTTTGTTGTTGTTTTCCTTTTGGAAACTTTGGGATTTGCAGTCTTCTCAATCACTGGGCATGTGTAAGTCCTCTCAGGGGTGCTTACAGTCATTCTGGTGGAAGGCATATAATATGTGAACTCTCACTTACCAGGTTGTTCCCCCATTTACAATAGGGGAGTAAAAGGGTCATTCCATGATGACCAGATTAAAATGGCATATCTGCAAGGCTGATTGCTCCTTTGAGCAATGCCTTTTGAACTCCTCTATGTTTCTCTTGTGTTTGATGCTTGTTTTGATGGCAGTGAGCACGCCATGCTGAGGGTCCCAAGCCTAACTTCCTGTTGGGGGTTTTCGGCATGTTCAAATTATTCCTCTTGTCAGACAAGACCATCTTGCCTCCCGGGGCATCGTGTTGGTCACTGAAAGGTTCCTTGGTTCCTGGCATTGGAATCTCGCTCTGCGTACATAAAGTCTTCAGTTTCTCAGGGAGTGAGGCACCCCAGTCGCTCATGAAAATTACTGTCAGAGTCCAGAGTGCTCACCATTGCATCATGGAACCTCACCCTAAAATCACTCTCAAGGTCCTGAACAAAAACATGGCTTGTTTTCAATGGACATTGGCTCTTTTAAAGGATATCCAGTGCATTAGAAAGAAAGCACGTTACCCACAGGAGGATCCTACTGTGTTAGTAGTGGGGTTTGATGACCTCTCGGATCTGTCCCCGTTGCCTGCCCAGGGTGCTGGAAATCACTTTGAATGCCTTCTGTGGAATCCTTGCGACTGGCCTTCCTGGAAATTGTTGGCCGTGGATCCAGCCATCTCAGGGCTGATTGTCCCATTTTAAAAGTGCCTTCAAAACTGCTCTGGATTGCCCTTTTGCATGATGCTTGTTTTGATGGAAATGAACTTGCCACGCAGGGATTTCACACAGAGTTTTCTCTCAGGAATGTTCTGTACGTTCAGACAACTTGTCATGTGAGGCAAGATCCTCTTGCCTCAACCTTCAGTGTCTCAGCAGTGATGAGTCCCGGGGCCCTTGCTACAGTTAATTTCAAGGAACTGCACAACAGGTGGCTTCAATTCAATGCACATTGGCTTCTTTAGGGTGATCCAGTGCATTAGGAAGCAGGTTACCCACAGGAGGGTTGTTCTCTGCTAATAACAGTGGCCAATGGCCACCCGGGTCTGTCCTCATTGACTGCCTATGGTGCTGGCAGTCACCCAGAATGCCTTTTTGGGAATCTGGAGTTGGGGGTTCCTGTAAATTTGGGAGGATGGGTACAGAAATCTCAAGGCTGATTGTACTGTTTCAATAATGCTTTCAACACATCTCTGGGTTGTCCTTTTGTGTGATGCTCATTTGATGGCAATGAACACATTATGCTGATGGCCCCAGGCATAGCTTCCTTTTGGGAGCTTTCAGTACATTTTAATTATTTGTCACATGAGACTATACTGTCTTGACTCTTAGGATCAGGTGTCGGGTCACTCAAATGTTTCCTGGTTCCTGGCATTAGAAACTCGCTCTATGTCCACACAGGCTCTGGCTTGTCATGAGTGGTGTACCCCAGTCACTCATTATGATTGCTTTCAAGGTCCTGAATAACAGGTGGCTTCTGTTCAATGACCATTTGCTTTCTTAGGGGTGTCCTCTGCACTAGAAAGCATGTTAAGCAAAGGAGGATCCTACCCTGCTTCTAACAGTGGTTGATAACCTGTCTGGTCTGTTGCCACTGCCCACCCATGGTGCTTGACAGTCACCTGGAATGCCTCTTTTGCAAACCATGGGATTGCTGTTCCAGCAAGTTGTGGTGAATGGATACAGCAATCTCAGGGCTGATTGTCCTGGTGTAAGAATGCTTTAAAAACTCCTCTGGGTTGCCCTCTTGTATGATGCGTCTTTCAATTTCAGTGAACGTGCCATGCAGGGATTTCATGCAGATGCAGAGCCTCCTCTCAGGAGTGCTGTGTAAGTGCAGACTGTTCCTCGTGGGAGGCAAGACCTTCTTCCCTCACGGGGTCTCAAAATGGGCACTGAAAGGTTGCTCTGTGTCTGGCCTTAGAAACTCACTCCCTGTTCACTCAGCCTTCAGTTCCTCAGGAGTGCCGCACCCCCTGGGCACTTGTGACAATTATTGTCCAGATTTGGGACCACTGGTGTCTTCCCTTCAATCCATATTTGCTTTTGGGGGCTGTCCAGTGCATTACAGAATGGTAAGTCTGGGAGGATCCCACTCTATTTCGAAAGTCAGTTGGTGAATTCTCAGATTGGGCCCTATTATCTGTCTTTTTACCGGGTGCCACTTGGAGTGCCTTATTTTTTGTTGGTTTCCTTTTGGAAACTTCGGGATTGACAGTCTTCTCAATTGCTGGGCATGCGTGCAGCCCTGTCAGGAATGCTTACAGTCATTCTGGTGGAAGGTGTGTAAGATGTGAACTCCCACTTACCAGGATGTTCCCCCATTTACAACAGGTGAGTGAAAGGTCATTCCATGATGACCAGATTAAAATGGCATATCTGCGAGGCTGATTGCCCCTTTGGGTAATGCCTTTTGAACTCTGTGCTTCCCTTGTGTATGATGCTTGTTTTGATGGCAGTGAGCACGCCATGCTGAGGGTCCCAGGCCTAGCTTCCTGTTGGGGGTTTTCAGCATGTTCAAATTACTCCTCTTGTGCGACAGGACCATCTTGCCTCCCAAGGCATCGTGTTGGTCACTGAAAGGTTCTTTGGTTCCTGGCACTGGGAGCGTGCTCTGTGTCCACAAAGTCTTCAGTTCCTCAGGGGTAAGGCACTGCAGTCAGTCTTTATAATTACTCTCAAGGTCCTGAACAAAAACATGTCTTGTATTCAATGCACACTGGCTGTTTTAGGGCTATCCCGTGCATTAGAAAGCATGTTAAGCACAGGAGGATCCTACTGTGTTTGTAAGGGTGGTTCATATTGTCTAAGGTCTTTCCCCATCGCCTGCCCAGTGTACTGGAAGTCACTCAGAATACCTTCTGTGGAATCTTTGCAGTTGACCTTCTTGGAAATTTTTTGGCGTGGGTACAATAATCTTGGGGCTGATTGTGTATTAAGAGTGCTTTACAAACTCTTCTGGGTTGTCCTCTTATATGATGCTTGAATTTCTTTTGTAAAACCTGTTCAGTAAGTTTAGTGTCATGCCTATTATGTTTTCTGGCTTAGAGTTCAGCTGTGTTCACTCCAGATTTTTAGCCCTATGTTCATTCTTTTCTAAACTGATTTTCACCACTGGCCTGTATTTTCTATAGGCCAAGAATAAACAAAAAAGTGGGAGCTCCATAGGTGTGCATTAGGAAGATGTCAGTGTCTTTGTGCAGATTATTTTTTTTATGAAAAAATTATTCTCCTGTGATCACCTATTCAAATTGATGCTAGACTTTTCACCAAAGTTATTTATTATTTATTTCTAGGTAGTGGTTAACGGCTTCTTTTTAAGTCAACGAATTGCTTATTTAAGGGTTTTCATGTGCTTGAGAAAATAGTATGTGCTCATGAGACGCCTGTTGCTGTCCTCAGGAAGCTTGATGACCTCTTCTTTAAGGCCAGATTGCATTTCATTCACATTTAAGACATTTAAATTGCTGTTCTTAGAATCTAGCCCTAAATTATCAGTCACTCACCAGTCCTTGGAAAATTGTGCAATGTTTCATTTCAGAGTAGGGCTGCTCCAGATTTTCCTTACTGTCTCTAAGGATGTTATTATGTCAGTGAATCTATCCTTTCTGTTTCAGCACTGGATACTTGCTCTATTGTCTTCTACTGGATGCAATGCCATTTAATTGAAAGGAATGTGCCTGGGTTTGAATTCATTCAAAAAGTCTCCCCAGGCTTTACTAACACTGTGTCCAAATACATCACCTGCTACTTGACCATGCCCACATTCAATGGGTAGTTAATGTTCTTTACGAATCTTTGGAATAATGGCAGTGTATCATGTTATGGTAGAGCTTTGTAGTAGTCCATTTTGTGCTGCTAGAAAGGATACCGGCGGCTGGGTGATTTATAAAGTTAAGAGCTTTATTTTGGTTCATGGTTCTGTAGACTGTACAGGAATCATGGCACCAGCATCTGCGTTAGGCAAGGACCTCAGGAAGCTTTTACTCGGCAGAGAGCAACGGGGAGCAGGCATGTCACATGGCAGGAGAGGGAGCGAGATAGAGGAAGTTCCAGGCTCTTTATAATCTCTTGGTAACTAATAGGGTGAGAACTCACTCATTTCAGCACCAAGGCATTCATGAGGGATCCACCCCTACAACTCTAGCACTTACCACCAGGCCTTACCTCAAACATTGGAGATCACATTTCAACATGAGATTTGGAGGGGACAAACATCATCCTACACCATATCAAGGTTCTTCTGGTTTTTTGCAGAGACCAAAAAAAAAAAAATTCAAGATTCATGATGGTGAATCAGCTCTCATCTCATAAATGCACATGAAGAACTCTCCTGTAACAATTTTCCGATTGAAGTATGGCCATTGGCAATAATGTTGCTTGGATTACATTGCTCTGTAAACTCTCCTTAAGCCTCACTTGCCCTGTATTCAATTCTTTTTATTGCTGTTTCACACAGGCTGTAATCAGCTGTGAATTCATGTAATACACTATTCCTCAGAAGACTGTACAGTCTTTCATTTCAATTTATGTTTGCTTCTGGTATTCCTCAAAGTCCCAAAGTCACATTCTGCCCATGAATCTGAATCGTTTCTGCTGAGTGTGCCTGGTCACTTTTCTTGTAACCCCCTGTTGTATACCTCCCAGCTTCATGGATATGATGAGGCCTTAAAGAGAATCTATTGAATTACTCACCCGAGCATCACTCACCTTTTTGTCATCCCCTACATGGTCTGTTGGACAGTCGCTAGAACTGGTCTTTTGTTTTTGTCCTTCATCTGCTTTGGGAACAGTGATTCATGTGTCATATCAATGCAGTGCTGCTTCAGAGTTCGTCATAGTCCTGTAGGAATTGTATTGAGGCTGAATTCTTTTTTCTCAAAGCACTTAACATCCTGTCTTCTAAGTTTCCAGCCTAAGCTGACAAGCTTGAAGGCAATGAAAGTGCCTAGCTCAGATTGAATTGATGGTTATTGATTTATTTTTTTCGTGTTTTATCACTCTATTGCCCACGTAGAAGTGCAGTGACATGATCATAGCTCACTGCAGCCTCAAACTCAAGGGCTCAAGCAAATCTCCTGCCTTGGCCTCCCAAAGTGCTGGGAATACAGGTGTGAGTCATTTGGCCTGGCCTTTTTAAAAAATGTTTACCGGTTTACTGTAAAGCATATTACAAAGGATACAGTTGAAGAGATGCATAGGGCTTGGAATGGGGGAAGAGGCACAGAGTTTCCATGCACTTCCTGGGAGCACCACCCCCAAGGAACCTCCACATGTTCAGCTATCTGGAAGCTCTCTGAACTTGTCTCTTGGGTTTTTATGGAGGCCTCGTTATGTAGGCATAATCAATTAAACTATTGGCCATTGGTGATAAATTTGCCTTGGGCTCTCAGAGGTTGGGGGGATGGGGCTGAAAATCCCAACCCTCTAATCATGCCTTTGTCTTTCCAGTAACTGTCCCCATCCTGAAGCTACCAGTCAACATTAGCATACAAAAAGACAAAACTTTGGAGATTCTAAGGATTTTAGGAGTTGTATGCCAGGAAACAGGGACAAAGACCAAAACGTATTTCCCAATATCACCAGTCTTTGAACCCAGAGAATCCCTTATATCAAAAGGACATGCAACTCAAAAGAGACTGCCACATTACTAGAATCCCATTTAAACATTAATAATTAGTCCAGTACATCATATTGTATTATTGTCTCCCGTGGTAAGGCCACTCAGGTTTGCCAGCTTTCTTTCACTCTTGTCAGGTTCCAAAAGCAGGAGTGGTGTTGGCAAACAGCTTCATCCATTCAGGCATCTGTTATAATTGAGCTAAGAGACAATGCCATCTCTTGCTCTGAGTCCCTTTCAAGGTGTTAATGTAATGTTAGATTTACCCAATTTATAAACCATTTATTCTTTTTTTTTTATCCTTAGCTAGTATTTCTCCTCTCTATTAATTCTCAAACTTTTTCACCTTTGGAAGGAACACTAGAATTGCCACCGTGTGTGCTGGTTTATATTGCAGGCAGCAATACTAGCCTAGTAAGTACTTCCTCCTCGGTTCATTCCTATTCAAATAGGGTAAAGTTACATAGGTGCAGAGCTGGTGAGCTATTTTTACCATCAGGCAATATAGCTGCATTCACTTTTAGTCCCAGTTTTGATAGATGGGGATGAAGGCACAATCCACTCCCCTTAGGCCCTTAGAAATTCTGACAGAAGGTTTAAAAATATTTTCCCAGTTTCTTGGTTAGAAATCATCCCAGCTTCCAGTACTTGTCATTGCAGCCCTAGTCCTAGCACCACTGCATCAGGTAGGGGAGAAAAAAAAATTTGAGGTGATTTGGGGAAGAAAGAAAAAATTATACTCGTTATACGAGTGTACTCCTCCCTTGGCAAGAATTGCACAGTCATGCCAGCATCTTCCCCTCCTCCTCTTCCCCAGGTGAACCAGAAAAACAGAAAATCTAGTGAAGACACTCCTTTAGTCCCACTCATATTGAGTGTCAGCACACACTCTTGAAGGCATACAAGGTAGCCCTGAATGCTTTCATTTCCCCCAATTTTAGACAACCAATGTTTTAACTCCCCCTTCTATTACTCTATCAAACTATTACACTGAGGAGGATATCTCTGTGCACATTATTGGACATTATGGGATGTACAGTGTATTCCTTGGTTTGAAGAAATGACCATCAGCTGTCCAACTCCATGTAATATCTTTTGTTCTGTTTGTTTGTTTGTTTTTGTTTTGTTTTGTTAATGGCACTCTGAATTTAAATCTTCCACTGGGTAAGCAAAGCCCACTCTAGAGTCAGTGTCTCTTCCTGTCAAGACTCCTTTGTAGCTCCCAGGGCTACCAGCATCAGTCCCACTTGCCAGCTATGTTCAGAGCCCTCCCACCAGGGAATCTACCCCATAGTCATCTGTAGTCTCTGTCTCTCTTGCTGACAAACAGTTATGGTTGGCATTTTGTACCTGAGAAGATGCAAAAGAAACATGTCTGGATTTGCCCCATCTCCACACTGCTGCAGTACCCCCTATATTCCACTCATTTCGTGGGCCCTGGTGGCCACCTCAAGGAAGCACACACCAAAGTTGTTCTTCTAAAACATCACTTGTCCTGTGTTTACTGCCTTCCATTCCTGTTGGCCAATGGCCACAAATGTCCTTGAGTTTATTTATTTAATCAGCTCTGGGAAAACTGAATTGGTCATGTAAAGCATTAATTTAGCTCTTTAGATATTCTTCAGCAACTGTTGAACAATGAACACAACTAACTCTAAGTTAATTTAGTACATCAGCACTAGGGAAAATGGCTAACCTGCCAGGTTATCACACTGCTGCTTCAGATGTTCATCACAGTTTTGAAGCAATGTCATGGACATGAATCAGTATCCCTTCTGTTCAAAATGCTTAGTGAGTTCACCCATAATGCCCTGCAGGACATAGCACAGTTTTATGGCAATGAATGTGCCTGGTTTATAATCCATTGGATTGTTCTTCCCAAGCATCATCTGCCCGTGTTCACCTCCTTCAGCACCTGCTAGACGTGCACTTCACCAGCCATGGGAAGAACGTTCAGTCTGTTAAGTCAATGTAGTGCTATTTGTGTTTCTTCTCGCATGTCATAAAAATGATATGTCCATGAATCTGACACCCTTCTATTCAGATGTCTGACATCTGACTCGTTACATTCCACTGGATGTACTTCACCAGCACTGAGAAGAATGGACAGTAAATCATGTCATTGTGGTGCTATTTCTGTTGTACCTCACAGGTCAGAATGAATGTTATGCCCATGGATCTGAATCCCTTCTGTTCAGATGTTTGACATCTGTCTTGTTAAACACTCCATTGAATGCAGCCTGGCTTGATGGCAATGAAAATGCCAGTTTTTAATCTATTACATCAATCTTCCTAAGTATCACTTTGTATGTTCATATCCTATAACACGTGCTGAATAATGCTAAACCCGGTCCTAAGTTTGTGTACAGACCTGGGAAGAATAGGTGGTCTATCAGTTTAAGGCAGTGCAGTTTCAAGTATTACACTGAAGTCCAAAGGATCATTGAGACCATCTGGCTAAAACTTTTCTGCTCAAAATGCATGATGCCTTTTTTCGTAACTGCGCACTTTTGCCTCCTAACTTGATGGCAGTGAAGTTGCTTGCACTAAAATGCATTGGATTTATCATCCCCATAGTCATTTGCCCTTTGGTAAGATTGTTCATCCCTGGCTGGACAATGACCACAACACACCTGAGGTAATGTACCTCACCAGTCCTGAGAAGAATAACTAGTGTATCATTTCAGTATAGTGATGCTTCATCTTTTCCTTACAGCCTGAAGGAATACCAGTTTTCTCAAGCTACTAGGAATGCCTTTCTTCCCGAGAATTTGATGACCTCTCCTGTAATAGCCTGTTATATAGAACCCCAGGCTGATTGCAGTGAAGGTGCCTAAGTAATCGTTGACCGGGTATTCCAAGCATCACTTACACTGTGTGCACCACTTACATTGTGTTCACCTTGTACTACATATGCTGGACTATCAGCACAATTAAAAATTAGTTCATGTACATCTCCAGCCATGGAAAAAATGGCTGGTCTATCATGTCAACGATATGCTGCTTTATAGATATCTCACAGGTCTGCAGTCATGGCACAGCCATGAGGTTGAATCCATTTTTCTCATGTGCATGAAAACCATTCCCATAGGTCTTTACCGTAACCAGTCAGGCTTGAAGACAATGAAGGCATTAGGCTTAGAATCCATTGGATCGTTCTTCCGAAGTATCACTACCTTCACATTCACATCCTTCAACAGCCACGGCTCTGTTACCCTAACTGGCCCTGAATTCATGTAGTGCACCAACACTAAAAACCTTATAAGTGAATAGATTCAGCACATAAAGTGTTGCATCTCTTGCTTCTCTTTATCTTTTTTCTCTCAGCCTTAAGTGGCACCTTTTCAGAGTCCATTTCTGATTATACCTCTAAAGTAGCACGCTAGGCAATTCTTTGAATCCCTGTCAGTGACCCTGTTTTACATTTGAATTACTTGATGATATCTAACTGTTTAATGTATTTGCTTGTGTGTTAAACTTTGGTCAACATCAGGATTCGCTGAGAGCAGGAACTAAGTTTTGTGGTCTCTTATCACATCATGTAAAAAGTGCTTGGCATAGATATACATATATATGCATATTTATGCTGAATGAATGTATATGTGTGAATTAATAAATTGTGATGTCCAGATGGATTTCTAAGGGACATGAATTTGGATCACAGAAAGTGCACAGTCAAGTGTGGAAACATCTCAGATAGAATACCCATACATCTACACACTGTAACCTTACAGAAAACAACTCGTAGTAGCATATATTTAGTGTATTACATAAATAAGCCAAAAATAGACCTCTGTATATGGGCCCCTAGGGTTTATTTATTCATTTTTAATTTTTTGAAAAGCAGACGGAGTCTAATTATTTCAAAACCCCATGGGCACCAAACTCAAATTTTTGTACATTCAATATTTTTTAAGCATAGACCAAATAAGCAAATTTTTAGCCAATTATAGTTTTCCTGCTTTCTATACCTAGTGAAACTATGCCCAGCATCTGCTAGCCATAGATAAGATACAAACTCCAGGGCTATAAAGGCCCCAAGCTGTTTTTGCTCTCTGAAGATCTCTGACCCAGAGACTCTTCATCTTGTGACTAAGTGACAATACCTACACATGTAACCCCCCTCTCTGATCCCTCTTTCCCCTAGAAGTTTCCTTGCTTTCCTCACTTTCTGAAGGATGACCCTTCTGCACGGAAGCCTCTGGATAGTCTCTTGCTGTGAGGGACTTCCCCCACATGCAAACCTGTCAAAGCGTCGTCCAGATAAAGCTTGTGTGTGCTACCTTATTGTGGTTTTATCTTTTTCATTGAGAAGCCCTCAAATCCCTAGAACTCCTTATAAAGAGGCAGGAAGAAATGGAGGTAAAGCAACAGTGGGATCTATGATTTATAAAACTTTTTAAAGAACATATTGTTATATTTCTTATATTCCAAGGAGTTATGGGATTGGGATGAGAATATTTTGGAAAAATAGCACTGTATTCTACAACAGTAATTATTTTGACAGGAATTTGTGTTCGAAGAATTGACCCAGCATTTAAAAAGTCAATTCCAATTACCAAGGATAGTTAAGAAGGTGCTAGTTGGGGAAATTAAAAATCTAAGAGGCATCCTCAATTCCTCCTTTTAACATTCAGTCAGTGAACAGTTCCATTTATTTATACTCCTAAGCATTTTTAAACATGTGCTTCTCGGCAGTTCCACCACTGTTGCCTGGTTCTAGCTGTTCATTCACTTTTACCTAGAATGTTTTAATGGTTTCCTGACTTGTCACCCTGCCTCCAAACTGAAATCCTTAGGATTCATCAGTCACAATCACACTACCTTGGTCCTTCAAAAAAGAGTCTGTTCATAGTCCTCTACCTTAAAACCCATTTGTGGCTCCTGTTGCCTTGAGCAGTCCCTCCATGATCTGTACCCTAGACAAGCTCTCCAAACCCATGTTTAGGTTTCATGACATTATCTTTCACATAGCCATGTCAGTGTTCATACTACTTCATTTGGTTACCAGGACATCCTTATTTTTCCACTTGGCACACACCTGTACAGTTTTAAGGGTGAAATTAAGTCCACAATGGCATTTATATGAAGGCATTCTCAGACTTTCAAGAAGAGTTGAGCTTCCACTTGCCCCTTTTGTATTTGTTACCATTTATAGAGCCCATAACCACATTGAGACCTGTTTGATTCAGCATATAGAGAGACAACGGAATTTCTTAGCTATCAGTGTTTACCTTGCAAATTTTATTGCTCATAATGCATAGTAGATGTTCAAACATTGGTTGGTTAAATAAATGAATATTTGGAGAATTGAATGAAAAGTATAAATTTCCATTTAATTAGAAGGTATTTAAAACACTCCAATCTGAAACCATACTTACTTTTGATTCTTGTAATGCCTGGAGCTCATGATTTTAATTATGTTTAATGGACAGTATACATATATTTTATATACATAATAGAGATTAGGTTGGAGATATATTTATTCTAATCATATATCTTAGAAAATTTCTGTTTGATTTTATTTAATCCATTTTATTGTCTGGTTCCTCAACCCAATACATTAGAATGAATAAGAGTTAGCATGCAGAATATATAAAAATAAGTAACATTGTTTATTATCTTTTTACCTTTATGAGTTTCTTGGTTTCCAAATAAAAAAGAGTTTATTCAACTAATGAAAAGTGTCAAAAATTTTTCCATTATGGTAACAGTGGCATATTATAAATATGTGATAAATGATCTTTCATTTTTCGATATACAGTGTAAATATACATAGATTTCCCAAAAGATTTATTTGTCCATAAGATGTTTCAATGAAAAGAATGTTCTCTCTCTCACTCTCTCTCTGAAGAGTTGTTTTAGTATACCAGATTTATAAAGCCTACATTTCTTTTCTAAACTTATGCCAGAGAAAACCAAACACTATTTTATCTTTAGTAACTGGTCTTCTTGTTTTTATCCAAATGGATTCTCTCTCTGTTCTTTGAAGGAAAAAAAATTTTTTTTTACATGCTGATATTTAGACAGGCAACATACAAGACGTTTAGTAATTCTCTATTTGATAATTTGGCAGAATAATGAGAAATAGAGCACTACATTATAACACTGTGTTGAAATTTGTTTAAATAAAATAAATAACAGACGTAGGGTTAAAATATAAAACCTAAGTTCTTCCTGAAGTTATGTAAGTAATACATTTTAAAAGTTAGAAAGTTAGTGACATTTGAACTTATCATAATTTAATATTCAGCAAGAATTTTAGCATTGAGGAACAAATTTAGCATTTCTTTTAAGGATCTTAACCTTTACATAAACTGTTTATTTCTGCATTTTGGTAATCATTTTATTCATAATATTTTTTAATTTTATAAAAAATAGTTTTGAAAGTTTTCTGGGAAATGATATTTTTTATTATATCCTATCCTGAAAGCATGTTATTTATTTATCAAATGTGTGAATTTACCTTGTTCATGAGTTTTCCAAATATGCAAAGGTCAAACAGCATGAAATAAAAATGTTATAATCTCATTATTCCTTACAAAGATCTTTGAAACCAGTTTAAAATGATGGAGAATCACATTTGAAACATCATCACTCTAGACTCTAAAGTCAGGTAGTAAAGTCAGGTAATATGAAGAAAAATAAAGCAATAAACAGTATTCCATTGAGTAGAGTCAATTTTAATAATTGTTTTGTCAAGGGGATGTTGTGGAAGAGGGATTGTAAAACTGGATTGACAACTTTAGATGAGTAGAAAAATCAGGCCAGTTTAAGGAATGTACACTTTTGTGGATTATCATTTTATAAATTATGTTGAAAAATTTAGCTTCACATTTAATTATCTAAAAACTCATGAATCAGAATAAAACCTTTTGAGGATAAAACAACAACTTCATTTTCCTGTTGTTCCATTTCAGGAAATAGAACCCCGGCTCCATTATTGATTAAATTCAGACATTTTCATCAGGCAATAAGCAATATATAATATTGGGAAGCAACTTAATTTTCTATTTATGTCTAGTGAAAATAGAGCCCCTTAAGCTAGATTATTTGTAATGATAATATGTTGTACTCTGTTTTATGAGGAAAATAAATTCCAGTCATTTACATATGTGACTAGACAGTTGCATTAGTCTTGGCCTATATTTGACTTTTTAAAAATTTACAGGCAGCCATCTATTTTCTCAGATGTTGGAAAAACATACAGTGGAAAGGCTTTCAAGAGAAGTCCTTATAGAGACAGCTGATAGATGCTGTAACTCCTATTTTTCTGAAATTGGGGAAGTCATCAAAATAATAGTTATGCCAATGTTTTCTAGGTCACCAGTGAGTCCTTCAGCAGAAATTGCACCCAAGTACCTCACCTTCAGTTTAAGGTAGCAGTAGTTGTGCAATTTTAATTTAAAATCCAATCTTTTTTTCTTTCTGAGACTGTTTTGAATTATAATGTTAGATAAATCTAATGTAAAAAGAAGGAAAATTGTACATATTTGTAGGATTATTATAATAGAAAATACTATGTTAAAAGAAATTTTTCAAAAAATAGAGTTCATATGTCATAAACATATTTTTAACCATGGTATAAATAAAAAATGTATGTATGTATGTATGTATATATTGGGAAACCCCCATTGCCATTGTCCTGTGTTTGATAGGCTTCCCAGAGAAACACTGATTTTTGGAACCAGACATCCCTTCATTTAAGTGTAGAAACGTTCCAGAAATTGTTTGTAATGAAGATTTGTATTTTTGGGAAATAATGTACTTGGACTGGGAAATTGATATGTTATCAGTTCACTGCTGTTATGCCTGTATCACTTTACTGAAAGATAGAGGTCAGTGTCACATAAATGTTAACTTCTTTTCATTTTTCCAAATACTTCATGTTTTTATAAAAATGAGTGTTTTGCTGTGTTCTTATATTTCACTTTATAGTTTAGAGTTTATAATTAAGGCAGGGAAATTTCCCTTTTATGGAATCAGAGGAGTCTCAAGTTTTTATTAAAAAGAGGATGAATTTTCATTTCTCAATACCATAAAACCAGTGATAATAAGGGGAGACTGACAGTAAAGTATAATGGTAGAGTAAAGGAGACCTCACTATAACCAACTCCACTTACTTTCCTAACAGGACCTTTGGAAAGTGTCATAAAGAGTGGGAATGGAGGTCTTCGGTGCCTTTAGATCAATAAAACTATAGACTCTAAGTTCCATGAGATTAGGCAACACAAACATCTTGCTAAATGATGTATCTCCATCACCCATCCCATTGCCAGGCACACAGTAGATTCCATCAATCAGTGAGTTAGGTGTGTCCACAGCAACTTCTCTAAGACCTGCAATAAACTACGTATCGATGAGTAATAAATCATTATAATACCATTCCTACAAAGCATATTGCAGTATCTGGTACACTGAAATCCCTCAAGTGAAATAAAAGGAATATAATAATAATTAACTGTATTAAAATGCAAATATACAATGAACATATATTTGCAGTTTCTTAATATAAATTGTAATTCTAGATTCATAGCAGTGACCTGATTACATTGTTGGGCTCATTATCACAAGGATATTTGAAAGCCTGTTAACTGATTTAATTTGCTGTCAGTCGGATATGTTTTCATTTTAATGTTACTGAAGATACAAATTTGATTTTTAAAAAATACTTGTATGAAGAAGAGACACCAAAATTTATTATAAGTTTTTAAATGCTCTACAAAATTGGGTTTTATTTTAAACTCATTTTAATTAACGTATAGTTTGTTAGTTTTAGTTCTTTCAGTAGTTCACTGTTTCTTCCAGGATAACATAAGCACAAGAGAAAAAGATATTTTGATAATACAGTACTCATGTTGTAGACAATTAGTGATTCTTATGTTTGTGACTTTGCTTAGAGTTCTTAAATCTGATTCCTGGTCATTACTTTGTGGGATTAACAAATTTTAGAAATTTTTTTACCTTTAAATCAAGCCCGACTTACAGCCAGTAGATGTAATAATTGTATTATACATCACCATTTTAGCTTTGGTCATTGCCTTCTTAATATGTGTTATCTTTGTTGTATTTTGCCCAGTTTTGACATATTTTATGCATCATTTATAAATATAATGTAATACAATATGATGTGTTTGCATTCTCTTAAATGTGTACAAATAGGCCTGGTTAATTCGATCAATATTAGCTGTGCCCCAAAGATGAGGATGTAGTTTAGAAAAGTTGAATAACTGCTCCTAACACTCAGTGAGGGTTTTTATTGTTATTTGTTATCTCCTTTCACACTGTGTCCCCCTTCTAGAATGCTCCCATGAAACTTAGGGAGACGAAGCTGGGCCAATAATATCTCTCTATGTTTACTGTACTGTTGTGTTCTAAATAACAAAGAGTTAAAGTATATTTGTAGAATCATTAGCTGACAATCTGTTGAACAAGAACGGTACTCAAATATATGAGATTAGAGCAGAGGTTGGCAATTTTTTTTCTGTAAAGGGCTAGATAATAAACATTTCAGACTTTGGGGACCATATGGTCTCTGTCTCACTACTCACTCTGCCGTTAAATGGAAGAGTGTGGCTCTGTTCCAAAAAACCTTTATTTACAAAATCAAGCGATGGATCTGATTTGGTTTTAGGGCTATAGTTTGTCAACAACTGGCTTAGAAGTTGGATTCTCATGTTATTTCATGAAATTTTCCAAGGCAAATTTCATTGGCATGAAATCAGAATGAAATTTTATGTAATAATTATTTTCAGGTTATTCAGTGATGCATGTAAATTAAATGTTTATAACTAAAAATTGATACATACTCTGATGGATAGAAACTAGGTTACCTGTGCATTTAGTAATAAATTAATAGAATGCAGGACATATTGGACCATAGAATAGTGGAGGTTCAAGTTGATAAATGCTCAAGTAAAGTTATAGATAATTTGAATATGTGATGGAACTATTTTGCATAAGATGATCATGTATTCAGTAGAACTCATTCAGATATGTACTGCTAAGTTGGTAAATTTCAACTAGAACATAGATACTCAACTCTGAATGCACATCTGAAGTCTCTAGGAAGTTTTAAGAATCACAGATAGAGCACTTTCACTTATCATGGCAGAATAACTGATAGTAAAATTATACCCTACCATGAACAACTTGAAAAATAGACAAAATATTTGAAAATACTCTTTTCAGACTTGGACAACGAGCAGTGCAAGATCCCTAAAGGAAGGAAAAGGATGAGGTGAGCCCTGTAATAGCCCTAGATTTTCACAGAGGCACTTAATGGACTCTGGCAGAGGAAAGGTGATACCAAACTGAGAACAATGGACTTCCCAGACTTAAGAGACAGATATAAAAGTTTTGAAGGCTAAGGTGGCTGAAACTTGTCGGGTGGAGTACCAGAGCAGAGAGAGTTCTGCACTGAACAAGGCTCATAGAGATCAGAATTGGGATCATTTTGAATATTTGGCTGAATAAGTGTCATATGCATAAGGTGAGATTCCATAAGGTCAGACAGAGAGTAGCTGTCAGAAGCTATAAACTGAAGAAGTTCCAAAGTTCACACGAGGCTGGGACATCACTATTGATCACCCTGAGACTTCGGTAGAGACCCCAGAAAGGCCACATTATAGGAGGAAGGCTATGCTAGCCCTAGAATAAAAGCTAACCTAGACCCATCCTAACAAAGCTGAGAAAAACGTCTCAACAAGAAAATGCTGATATACAAATACATAAATGTCAAAATGAAACTCAATAGTCTTTCAAAGAGAACAGCAAAATCTAGATAATTGACAACATTAATATTCATAATTTCCATCATTATCCACAATTACTAAACATGCATGTAGCAGGAAAATGTGGATCATAACTAGGAAAAAATCAATTAAGAAGATCCATAATTGATAGAGATGATAAAATTAAGAAAGAATTTAAAAGACATTGTAAATATGTTTAAATAAAGAAAAGAAGAATATAATGAAGAAAGAAATAGAAAGTGTAAAAAAAGGAATTTGTAGACCTAGAAATTACATCAAATATTACCAGGTTGTATGGCTGTGGCTACATTCATTCTATCTCTCCTTAGCCTACTTGTCCTTGACTTGTCAGTAATAAGAAAATAATTATAGCTAACTCACTGCTGCTGATGTCCTATTGGACATCATATTTAAATAAAACATTCTTTGCAGTGCATATTTACGTTCACTTTTACTGGAGATTATTCAAACCCATAAAACTCAAACCTAATATAATTAATAACCACTGAGATTGAAAGAGCTGAACTATGACTATTAAACGTTTCTTAAATAAATGCAATATGTATTTGTTAAAGTTGCAATGAAATAAAATCATCAAATATCATCCAATATTACTTTTTTAAAAGTGTATAGCTGCACTACATACTTGAAAGTTAAATCTGAGTCTGATTAGAGGATGTTTTCCCTTAATTCACTTACATTTTCCCTTTCAAAAAGATTTGCGTACCTGTTCTAAATTTGACAAGGATAATTTACTATATTTTCTCAAGCAATTTCTGGATGTTCCAAAGATATATCGGTAACCATCATACGCTCCCATAATTAATGCCGGAGTTGAGTCAGCATACAGAAAGTGTGGCCTTTGGATGGCAACTCTTGGCTGAATTCCTAATGTTCTGTTTCAGTTTCTGATGAGGTGATGAAGTGGAAAGCTTGTTCGATGTAATTTTGCCATATGTTTCTTTTGGGATTTTCGAAAGAGGATCAACAGCTTAAAATCACCAGATGAAATATTTCAGCTTTTCAGAGACCAGAATGAGGAAGGTCAAAGCTAATGCTTTTTGAAATTCTACCTGAAATATCTGAATCCATTCCAAGTAAGCCCAAGTAGAGGTAGAGTGGTAGGAATACTTTTTAGGACTGCAGCAATATGATAGAAAATGTGTGAAGTGTAGTATCATTTATACACATTCCACATGTTCAACATTCGGAACAGATATGCTCTAAATTTGTTTTCCCAAGATCAACATGATGCAGATAATTTAAAATGTAAATGTTTCAATCTAAATAAGCCCAACACATGATGAGACTTGTTTTACGAATGTAATATTTCAAAAAATAATTACCTTTTAATAATCCCTGCAGTAATCCTAATACTTACCAAATGAATTCCTTCTGAATGAAAGTCAGTGTTGGGATATACTTAATATTTAGTCTTTATAATATTTGCATAAAATGAGCATTAACCCTAAAGAACACCAGTTTCTAAATGTGTGGAACTGGTTTGTCTTCAAAGAGCATTCTTCTAATAAAGGCAGTAACATATATACACATTTTAAATATATATATATATATGAATACTCTAATGTATTTAAATTGTTTGATTCCACATATAAGTGAGATTATGCAATATTTTCCTCTTCTGTCTGGCATTTATCATTTAGCATAATGTCCTCTAGGTTTATCCATGTTATCACAAATGGCAGAGTCTAATGTACAGCATGAGGACTATAATTAAGAGTATTGTGTTGCATACTAGAGATACGCTAAGAGAATAGATTTTAGATCTTTGATCACACATGCAAAAAAGGTGATGGAAATGCTAATTTGCTTGACTGTAGTAATCATTTCACTATGTGTATGTGTATAAAAACATCATGCTATACATAAAATAAAAAAAAATATTCTGATGAACCAGCCAGTTGATCAAATATATTTTGTAAGGCATGGGGACATTTTAAAAGGCATTCTATTTACCCAGCCTAGATAAAGAAAAACAGAATATTCCAAAGGAATTCCTTAAACACAGAAACTAGGAATACATTGAAGTCCCATGAATCTTTCTTTACCTTTTATGTTTCTGACAGGAGTTAGTAGTATTCTAGAATAATCAGAAGTCACTATATCCTGTTCCCCATTCCCACCCCATTAATGGCATAAATTAATGAATATTTAGTTCAACTCAACTACAAAATAGTTTTGTGTCAAGCATATATCTTATACAGCAAATTTTATATGTTTCTCATTGTGTTATATTAGCTATGTATTTTTCAGCAAATCTGTATTTACCATCAGAAAATATTCCAAGATTGTAATGGGACTTGTTTGCTATTATAAAAGTATAGCCTTTTTCAGACTTGTGTCTATATGAACTAGTTTTTCTAATTATTTTGAGGTGAGGGTGTGGTCCTTCTTGCTACTTGCACAGTATTTTGCACAATTTGACCTGGATTATTTTTTCTCAGTATTTTAGTATGAAAATTTCCAGACCTATAGAAAATTTGAAATACTTGCACCATGAATATCCAGGTAACTATAACTTAAATTCTATAATTGTTAACATATTTCATCATGTGCTTTATTTATTTTTGTTTTTATTTTTTTGAGACAGAGTCTTGCTCTATCGCTCAGGCTGGAGTGCAGTGGCCAATCTTGGCTCACTGCAATCTCGGCCTCCCAGGTTCAAGCGATTCTTTTTTTTTTTTTTTTCATTGGTTGTCTTTATTATTATTATTATTTTATTATTATTATTATACTTTAAGTTTTAGGGTACATGTGCACAACATGCAGGTTTGTTACATATGTATACATGTGCCGTGTTGGTGTGCTGCACCCATTAACTCGTCATTTAGCATTAGGTGTATCTCCTAATGCTATCCTTCCCCCCTCCCCCCACCCCACAACAGTCCCCGGTGTATGATGTTCCTCTTCCTGTGTCCATGTGTTCTCATTGTTCAATTCCCACCTATGAGTGAGAACATGCAGTGTTTGGTTTTTTGTCCTTGCGATAGTTTGCTGAGAATGATGGTTTCCAGCTTCATCCATGTCCCTACAAAGGACATGAACTCATCATTTTTTATGGCTGCATAGTATTCCATGGTGTATATGTGCCACATTTTCTTAATCCAGTCTATCATTGTTGGACATTTGGGTTGGTTCCAAGTCTTTGTTATTGTGAATAGTGCCGCAATAAACATACGTGTGCATGTGTCTTTATAGCAGCCTGATTTATAATCCTTTGGGTACATACCCAGCAATAGGATGGCTGGGTCAAATGGTATTTCTAGTTCTAGATCCCTGAGGAATCGCCACACTGACTTCCACAATGGTTGAACTAGTTTACAGTCCCACCAACAGTGTAAAAGTGTTTCTATTTCTCCACATCCTCTCCAGCACCTGTTGTTTCCTGACTTTTTAATGATTTCCATTCTAACTGGTGTGAGATGGTAGCTCATTGTGGTTTTGATTTGCATTTCTCTGATGGCCAGTGATGATGAGCATTTTTTCATGTGTTTTTTGGCTCCATAAATGTCTTCTTTTGAGAAGTGTCTGTTCATATCCTTTGCCCACTTTTTGTTGGGGTTGTTTGTTTTTTTCTTGTAAATTTCTTTGAGTTCATTGTAGATTCTGGATATTAGCCCTTTGTCAGATGAGTAGGTTGCAAACATTTTCTCCCATTCTGTAGGTTGCCTTTTCACTCTGATGGTGGTTTCTTTTGCTGTGCAGAAGCTCTTTAGTTTAATTAGATCCCATTTGTCAATTTTGTCTTTTGTTGCCATTGCTTTTGGTGTTTTAGACATGAAGTCCTTGCCCATGCCTATGTCCTGAATGGTAATGCCTAGGTTTTCTTCTAGGGTTTTTATGGTTTTAGGTCTAACGTTTAAGTCTTTAATCCATCTTGAATTAATTTTTGTATAAGGTGTAAGGATGGGATCCAGTTTCAGCTTTCTACATATGGCTAGCCAGTTTTCCCAGCACCATTTATTAAATAAGGAATCCTTTCCCCATTGCTTGTTTTTGTCAGGTTTGTCAAAGATCAGATAGTTGTAGATATGCGGCATGCGGCATTATTTCTGAGAGCTCTGTTCTGTTCCATTGATCTATATCTCTGTTTTGGTACCAGTACCATGCTGTTTTGGTTACTGTAGCCTTGTAGTATAGTTTGAAGTCAGGTAGTGTGATGCCTCCAGCTTTGTTCTTTTGGCTTAGGATTGACTTGGCCATGCAGGCTCTTTTTTGGTTCCATATGAACTTTAAAGTAGTTTTTTCCAATTCTGTGAGGAAAGTCATTGGTAGTTTGATGGGGATGGCATTGAATCTATAAATTACCTTGGGCAGTATGGCCGTTTTCACGATATTGATTCTTCCTACCCATGAGCATGGAATGTTCTTCCATTTGTTTGTATCCTCTTTTATTTCATTGAGTAGTGGTTTGTAGTTCTCCTTGAAGAGGTCCTTCACATCCCTTGTAAGTTGGATTCCTAGGTATTTTATTCTCTTTGAAGCAATTGTGAATGGGAGTTCACTCATGATTTGGCTCTCTGTTTGTCTGTTATTGGTATATAAGAATGCTTGTGATTTTTGCACACTGATTTTGTATCCTGAGACTTTGCTGAAGTTGCTTATCAGCTTAAGGAAATTTTGGGTTGAGACAATGGGGTTTTCTAGATATGCAATCATGTCATCTGCAAACAGGGACAATTTGACTTCCTCTTTTCCTAATTGAATACCCTTTATTTCCTTCTCCTGCTTGATTGCCCTGGCCAGAACTTCCAGCACTATGTTGAATAGGAGTGGTGAGAGAGGGCATCCCTGTCTTGTGCCAGTTTTCAAAGGGAGTGCTTCCAGTTTTTGTCCATTCAGTATGATATTGGCTGTGTGTTTGTCATAGATAGCTCTTATTATTTTGAGATACATCCCATGAATACCTAATTTATTGAGAGTTTTTAGCATGAATGGTTGTTGAATTTTGTCAAAGGACTTTAATCCTCAAGAAAATACTGGCAAACCAAATCCAGCAACACATCAAAAAGCTTATCCACCATGATCAAGTGGGCTTCATCCCTGGGATGCAAGGCTGGTTCAACATACGAAAATGAATAAACGCAATCCAGCATATAAACAGAACCAAAGACAAAAACCACATGATTATCTCAGTAGATCAAGCGATTCTTATGCCTGAGCCTCCCAAGTAGCTGGGACAACAGACACACACCACCACACCTGGCTAATTTTTTGTATTTTTGTAGAGACAGGGGTTTCACCGTGTTTCCCAGGCTGGTCTCGTACTCCTGAGCTCAGGCAATCCACCTGTCTCAGCCTCCCAAAGTGCTAGGATAACAGGCGTGAGTGGCTACGCCTGGTTCTCTTTATGTGATTTATTAGGTATCACATATCTATCCAGCCCCATATCATCCACCTATCAATCTATCTTATTTTGATGGCGTTTTACCCCTAAACATGTCAGCATGCACATCTTTATCTAGAGTTCGGTATTTGTTTTCAGTCCTTAAATCCTTAGGGGTAAAATCCACACACAGTAAAATCAACACATCTTAAAAGTACTGTGCCATGTGTTTTGACAAAAGCATATACTTGTGTAATCCCTGAAGATACAAAACAGATGGAAATCCCTATCAAGATATGAAACATTTCAGTCGCTCCACAGAATTCCTATATGCCTCTTTGAAGAGAATTCCTTGGGTGTAACCCTTGCTCTGATTTTCCTCCATAGTTTATTTTAGTTTTGGGCTTGCCAAAAACTGACTCCAGTTTCTCCAAACCCAAGTAGTCTGTTTTTCACACTGTGTTAGAACATCATAGCACTTCTATAGTGAAAAGCAAACAAATAGACAAATGAAATAATACAAACTAAAAATAATTGACTCCACATTAAACAATGCAACCATCACAACATTCAAAGTCCATTATCATTTGGCTCCAAGCTTCCTTTCTGGCCTTACTTATGGCATTCCCCATAATTTACATAGACTCTATAATCACAGCAAAATATCTCTTATTCCTTGAATAAACCACAAATATTATGCTATTATCTTTGGTCATAGAGTGTTTAATAGATTTAATAGTCATGGTTTTGGTTATCTGAGCATCCATGTAAAGTAGTAAATTTAAATACAGCTGAATGACAGATTTGAATCACAGGTCCTGCAAAACTGGTATGGAAGAAAGCAAGTCCTGTATGGAATGAATGAGCACAGCCAGTCACATGTATCTGCCTATCAATGTAATGACATTTGCTACACATCAGATGTACATTCAGTCTTACTGAGATTTTGAAGGGATCATTTAATTTTCTTCCTGTGTTTTAAAGGGGAAATTGTAAGCTGTAAGGAAACACAACTTACAAATTCACAGCCTCAGGATTTCTTTCTCAGATATATAAATGTTCTATCCTAGTTATTTCTCTATGCTGCAAGAAATAGGAAAAAACTTTTATTTTTATTCTAAATGTATTAGTTTCAATCATAGCCTTTTATGCCTTTTCTTAATTACCTATTTACATGCTAATTCTTCCTTACGAATTAAACATGAAAAAGCATCCCACATACTTGAAATGCTGTAGATTGCTTTTTAGAATATATAATTGAGCTATTTCTATGCAAGATAAAAAGGAATTTTTTAGAGACCACGATGAATTGGTTATATATAGAAACTCTAATATCAACCTATTAAAGATGTACCATATATACATAATTCTTCATTTTTCTTTCATCTATTTTGAATATTTTCTTCCATTATACTACCGTATGCACTACATTCACACCAATTCAAAGACAAAATAGGGAAGTATATATTTTTTTCTTATACTAATGATTGCAATTAATTTTATTTAAGGAATCAAAAAAGATTGGAAAGAGATCTTCAAATATATTTTTTATCTCTGAGGAAATTTCTTCCATTCAGCTGACAATAAAACTGCCTACTTTTCAGAGATATGTTAACAAATGTACAACAAATAAGTGAGACTCATGACAATATATAAACTGATTTGTAAAATCATGTCAATTCCGTTGATTGATAAATCCCCCCAAAACCAGCTAAACTATTTTAGAAATAATATTTATTTTTAAAAAAATTATCAAAAGCATTCATGAGGTGAACCATATGTGGTACCATATTATCGACAGATAGTGTTTACATTAAATCGAGAAGTACAAGCTGGAACCTCAGAGGCTCAACATAGCCAAAACTTTTAGCTACTGCCAAGGCTGTTTAGCAGGGACTCTGCACATCTTAGCCCCTCAAGGACATAGGCTTTTAGAAGCTCCAAACTGAAATGTTTCCATAATCTCTTACAATGAAGGATTGTGGGGAATCATGTACTGACTTATGAAGATTTCACTTATAGTAGAGACACATCTCTTTCCCTGATATTTAATTGGATAAAACAAGTCATATAGCCATACCCAATTTTAAAGGGTGAAAGGTAATGCCAACCTCCCAGGTGCCTGAAAGGAGAAGAGAAGCACAATGTAAACAGCTTCAATGACCACTTCATTATTCTTGGCACTAGATGGTAAACTGGTTTCGCAGAAAGCCTGGGATTTTCTTAATATTTTTATTTACTCTGGCATTTTTAGTGAGGGCTTTTCATCACCACTGAAAACAATAGGTTACTTATGTGTGTTAGGTGTGTAGGTGGGGGCTTCACCTCTTTTATTACATCAAGCAACTTCTACCATTTTCATTTGCTTGGCTTCCCATCTTCTTACTAACTGAGCAAGGATTGCTATTCCAATGATCTACCTCATTAATTGAGCAATGATAATGAATTGATGGTGTCATTGTGCCTGAAAATCCATGGACTCTTCATTCTTTTTTGTGCCTACCTCCTTCACCGTAAGATACAAAATGGATCTGTCAGGTCCTCCTTGGTGCCATGTTATATTTAAGCTTTTCTTTCTGGATTCTTTGAGGTTTGATAGATAAGTAGAGTCACAGTTTACATTGATGCCTAGTGGTTTCTTGATCCCTTTCTCAACAGGTACACCTTATAATACTAATCCTATGATTTAGATTCTAGAAGAATAAAACATGTTTTGTTCTTGAATCCATGTGATATATTCTAATTTCTTTCTTTAATAGAATACTCATACAGCATATATATATATATATCAACTGCAGTATATATATAGATATATATACACACACACACACACTCTGTATAAGCAGTATATATATTGTGTGTATACACAATACTTACAGATTCTGGAAAAATAGAAATGCATACTAATAATGACAAAGATCAGATGATATTAGATGGGAAGAAAATTATAAGATAATAGGAACAAAAACTAGCATGTCTCATATGGAAGCAGCATAAGCAAGCGATTCAGCCTGAGGCACAGAGGGCCAGGAGGGAGAACAGGATCATGACATATTTTATGTAATATGCTAATAATTTTGGATAATACCCCATAAGTGAGACTACAATAAGAACATGTTTTGGATAGATTGAGTGTATCTGGTTGGATATGTCCATCAGGAAATTGGATATGTCAGCTGAAGCTATGAAGTTAACTTGTTCCTGGAGAAAGAGACTTGAATGTGATCAGCATATAGATAGTGGTGAATAATGGAGATTGGAAACTCTCCTCCTGGAAAAATTGTATGTAAAGAGAAAAAGCAGTGGACAAAAGATAAAACCAGAGGTTATTGAATGTATTTCTATTTTCTATTTGTACCAGTTATAGAGAAAATCAGCCTATTCTCTGCTGCAGAATCTACTGGCTACATTCTGAAAAATACTGAAAAGGAGAAGTATAGTGTGCTATAAAATCCATTATGGTAAAGGCAAGGGGAAGAGAGGGTGAGTGACTCAAACTAGTCAAAGAAAAAGGAAATGATAGTCAACAGCTTTTAGATAGTATTCACTTTGTGTCAAGTACTGTTCTAAATTGTATATATCCTCACCTATTTTTCATAACAAACTGGAACAGAGAAAGGTTAAGTAAATTGCCAAGCTAGTAAGAGTTACCGCGGGCATTAAGAACAGAATTTTTACTCAGATAGTCTAACTTCAGTATCTCTGCTCTCAGCACAATTGTATCTGTCTGCTTAAATTAGTTTCATAGTTTTCAGAATTTGGTTAGTGAGAACATGGGGATTTTTAAAAACATTATGACTTC
This sequence comes from Homo sapiens, assembly GCF_000001405.40. Lineage (NCBI taxonomy): Eukaryota > Metazoa > Chordata > Mammalia > Primates > Hominidae > Homo > Homo sapiens. Next base: position 27,259,127 of record NC_000023.11, on the reverse strand, counting down.
AGCTCTAGTCTTCCCAGCCTTGTCTTAGAAGCGTCGAATATGCCGTATTTAATTGTTTCAGTTTGTAGTACAGTCGTCCCTCAGTGTCCATGGAGTATTGGTTCCAGGCCCCATGTGGATACCAAAATTCCCAAATGCTCAAGTCCCTGATATAAAATGAAATAGTATTTGCATATAACTTATGCACATCCTCCTGTATACTTTAAATCATCTCTAGGTTAGTTATAGCCTAGTACGATGTAAATGCTATGTAAACAGTTGTTGTACTGCATTTTTATTGATATTACCTTTTATTCTTGAATTGTTATTCTTATTTATTTTTTTAAATATTTTTGATCCATGGTTGGTTGAATCCTTGGATATGGAACTCACATATTTGGAGGGCCAACTGTATAGTAGGTTCTGGCTTCTAATTGTTATAGTGATATTATCCATAACAAATTGAATGTTATATATTTCCATTTACTTAATTAACTATTTTTATTGGGGAAATAGATGTTTAAACTATTTTTGATTAAAAATGTATAAAGTGAGTAGAAATGTAAGACAATTTAGAATAAAGAGGTTCTATGATATAGATAACCAGCTATTTAATCTCTCTGATAACTGTTTCCTTATCGGTAATATGGTGTCTACATTAAAGAATAGTTGTGGGAATCAAAGTTGATTTACAAAGAACATCTAGTAGTAGAATATTAGCAAACCACTTCCTCAATATGCAATATACTTCATTAAAAATATATATGACAAGGCGGGCAGATTACTTGATTACAGAAGTTCCAGACCAGCCTGGAAAAGGTGACAAAACCCCATCTCTAATAAAAATACAGAAAAAAAAAATTAGCAGGGTTTGGTGGTGCATGCCTGTAGTCCCAACTACTTGGGAGGCTGACGTGGGAGAATCACCTGAGGCTGCAGTGAGCCGAGATCGCACCACTGCCTTCCAGCCCGAGCAACTGGAGTGAGACCCTGTCTCAAAAAATAAAAGTAAATAAAAATAAAAATATATATACAAGTAAAACTCAAACTCAAATGAAACTTATTTTCCAACCACAAGGACTTCTATAATGAAGAGAAATTTTATTCTGTGGCCATTAGTAGAACATTAAGTTATCTTGCCTTCATTTACTCCACAAAACCTAATTTGGTGTAAAATTTAAAATTTAGATATAATGATATCTTAGTGTCAGGTTTAGAGTATTTTGAAATTTTTAGTTTGAGCAATCTAAAATTATGCATTTAATTTGCAACGCCTCAAAATATACTCACAAACCACTTTCGTACATCTAAGTTGTGAAGTTGAGCTAATATAACTTTAAAAATAATCTTTTCTTGATAGGTAAAGGGAAAATAAAATTCTGAGGAATATCCCATTAAGATAAGGAAAGAATAAAATCACTGGAATAAATCTCTTCACATAATAGCTTGTTATTATGTGTAAATAAAAAAAAGCTCATATGGGTTTTAGAAGTCTAGGAAAATATTCCCATTCAGACATAAGCTGCTTACGGAGAAGTGGAGAAGATGAAATAAAAGGTTTTATTTTAGTTTAATCATATGTAATGTCTGTATGCATGTTAGTATTTTTGAATTTGCATTAATATTGAAGTATTAATTTGAATGAGTTGGGAAAATATGTACTTAATCTTCTCTATATGTAGCACTATGTTAGGATCTGAAGATATATAAAAGAAATGGTGCCTACCTACAAGGTAAATCACAATCTAGTGAGGGAGTCAGTTAGAAAATCAATAACCTCAAGCACAACATGAAGTGATTACTATGGAAACAGATGAATGAATTTCTTATGGAAGAAATTAGAAAAAGCTTAATAAATGAACTGATATTTTAGAATGGGCTTATAAGTTTTCAACAGGAGAGGAAAGTTACATAGCAGTGCAATCATGAGTAATACTAGAGGGGAAGAAAAAAGATCAGCAGAATCCTGGCAAAACAGTCAATTATAGTTTAAACAAAATGTCCATAATACCTATTTCTTCATAATATATATTTATAATAACTAAAACATTCCACTTAATAAAACTTTTTAATGGTTTCACACAATGTTGATTTTTATTTAGCAAAATCATTTTAATGGTTGTACAAAATGTTGATTTGGTAATGTGAGGAAAATGAAGGGAGAAAAACTGGGGGAAATGCAGATATATTCTAATAGCATACTTTTTAAATAGGATGTTGTCATCTCTTTATACTGGACTATGCGGGTAGGTAAAGATGTGTGCCTGTATGTGATGAAAACATTTAAAATCTTGTGTGATTATATTGGACTTCTGTAAATAATATACTTTCTTAAAGTTTTGCTCACAAAAATATGAATAATTATAGAATGTGTGGTGATTGCCATAAGGAAACTATTTTAACAAAACCACTTATTTGGTATTAGAATTGCTGCTCTGACTTGTTAGAATTAAGGTATAATATGCAATAGCTGCTGGTGGTTAAGAACTTGGTAGTTCAGGTCTTACATTTAAGCTCATAATTCACCTTGAGTTGATTTTTTGTATATTCTGTGAGATTTTTCCATATGTGGATTTCGAGTTTTCAAAACATAATTTCTTGAAGTGACTGTCTCTTCCCCATGGAGTGATTTTGGTATCTTTGTCAAAAATCAGTTGAACATAATGCATAGATTTATTTCTGGGATCTCTCCTGTTCCATTTGTATATGTGTCTGTTTTTATGCCAGCACCATGCTTTTTTTATTACTATAGCTTTGTATTATATTTTGAAATCAGATGATGTGATGCCTCCAGCTTTGTCCTTTTTGCTCAAGACTGCTTTGGCTCTTCAGGGTCTTTTGTAGTTCCATATGAATTTTAGATTTCCTATTTCTGTGAAAAATGTCATTGTAATTTTGATAGGGATTGTATTGACTCTGTAGGGATTGCATTGACTGTAGATTACTTTGGGTAATGTGGACATTTTGACAGTATTAGTTCTTCCAATTCATGAATACAGAATATCTTTCCATTTATTTTTGTGTTCTTTCATTTTTTTCATCAATATTTTATAGTTTGCAGTGTACAGATCTTTCACTTCCTTCGTTAAATTTATTCCTACATATTTCATTATTTTTGTAGCCATTATAATAGGATTGTTTTCTTAATTGCTTTTTCAGATAGTTTGTTGTTAGTGTATACAAATGTTATTTTGCACATTGTTTTAGTATCCTGCAAGTTTACTTAATTTGTTTTTCAGTTCAAACAGTTTTTTGGTGGAATATTTATGGTTTTCTATCTGTAAACAGAGACAATTCAACTTCTTCCCTTCTAATTTGGAGACCTTTTATTTATTTATCTTGCCTAATTGCTCTGGCTCGGGCTGGCCAATGATCTTTTAGATCTGACCCCCAAAACACAGGCAAATAAAAGACCAAAAGTAAAGATATGGGATTACATAAAACCAAAAACCTTCTGAGCAGTAAAGGAAACAATCAACAGAGAAAAGGGACAATCTATGGAATGGGAAAAATATTTGCAAATCATATATCTGATAAGGGGTTAATATCCAAAATATACAAAGAACTTGGTTCAATAGCAAGAAAACAAAGATGGACAAAGGACTTGAAAAGACATTTATCAAAAGAAGACACACAGATGGTTGACAGGTATTTGAAAATCAGTAATCATTAGGAAAATGCAAATTAAAACCACAGTGAGCTCTCACCTCATATCTGTTAGAATGGCTATTAACATAAAGTTAAAAAATAACAAAAGTTGGCAAGTGCATAGAGAAAAGGGAACTCTTGCACACTGTTGGGAATGTGAATTATTAGTGCAGCCATTATAGAAAGCAATATCGAGATCCCTCAAAAAACTAAATATAGAACTACCATATGATCCGGCAATCACACTACTGAGTACCTATCCAAAGGAGATAAAATCAGTATGTCAAAGAGATATCTGCACTCCTGTGTTCCTTGCAGCATTATTTACAATAACCAAGTTAGAGAATGAATTTAATGGTCTATTAATGCATGAATAGATGAAGAAGATTTGGTATATATATACAATAGCCTTATAAAAAGCCTTATTCAGCCTTATAAAAAAATAGAAATCCTGTCATTTGTGACATTGATGAACCTGGAGAACATTGTGTTAAATGAAATAAGCCAGGCACAGAAAGACAAACTGAATGACCTCACTTATATGTGGAATCTAAAATAGTTGAACTTATAGAAACAGAAAGTAGAATGGTGGTTACCAGAGGTTGTGGCAGGGAGGATTGTGTGGGACTGGGGAGATGTTGGCCAATGGTTATGAAATTTCAGTTTAACAGGAAGAATAAACTCAAGAAATTTATTGCACAACATGGTGGCTACAGTTAATAATGATGTATTCTATGCTTGAAAATTGCTAGAATAGTAGATGTTAAGTATTCTCATAAAAAATTATAAGTATGTGAAGTAATGCATATACTAATTAACAAATTAGCTTGGTTTAGCCATTCCACAATGCATATATATTTTAAAACATCATAATGTATACCATAAATCTGTACAATTTTCATTTGTCAGTTAAAACAAAAAGATCTAATAATCAAATAAAATGAGAGTAATTAAAGCTTTCTAGCATGTAGGATTTTTGGAATATATATTCTAGGGTTTGAGGCATTGTAGTTACATAGAGGTAACTGATGTAAGTAATGTGGCTACAGGCAATGACTTAGCAAGCCATTCTCCCCCTTCTTCTCCTCCTCTACTTCCTTCTCTCTCTCCTTTTTTTCTCCAGATAGTTATAAAGATTTACCTAGAACACAAACTCACATACTTTTCCTACACTCTCAAACACATTCCTTGCGCTTGCTTGTATTGACAGGCATTTTGGTAATCAGTGATTACGGTAGGATAGCATTCTGGAACCATAGTCACTTGATACCTTCTTTTGCACAAACTGAGATAGCTCTTAGGAAGAAGAAGGTTGAACTAAATAGATCAATTAATACTTTTGTAAGATTAAGGTGACGTTATTATCAGAATAATTTAGACAAAACACTGTGCTAATCGCTTTACATATACTGTTTAACCTGCAAAAATATAGACATATAAATAATACATATAGATCCACTTCCAAGCCGTACACTAAAGATGTTGCTTTTTAAATGTATGTATTTATTATATCCTCTTTCTCAATAAATAACTGGAAAATAGCAAAACTCTTTTGCCTGAAAAACTGAGTTCTTCCAAATGTGGATGTTGAGTGTAAGCCACTCCATTAATTTCATTGAGATATCTAAAAGTAGGCATCTGGATGTGGGTATATAACTATAAACATATTTTATTTATTTATTTACACACTTAATTTTAGAACAGGGTCTCACTCTGTTGTCCAGGCTGGAGTACAGTGGTGCGATCATGTATTAGCTCACAGCAGCTTCAGCATCCTGGGCTGAAATGATTCTCCTGCCTCAGCCTTCTGAGTAGCTGGGACTACAGGCACCTACCACCACACCTGGCTAATTTTAAAGTGTTTTTGTAGAGACAAGGTCTCACTTTGTTGCCCAGGCTGGTCCCGAACTCCTTGCCTCAAGCAATAAATCCTCCTGCCTTGGCCTCCCAAAGTGCTGGGATGAAAGTCGTGAGCCACCCTGTCTGGCCTATATTTTATTTAAAATAGCTTAGATATTAATTTATGTCATCATACATATTTTAATATGAATCTATTTTCACTGCTCTATTTCATCTAAGCCATTCAACAAACTGTAGCAGTCAAAAACTGTCCATCTTTCAAACTGTGACAGATTACATCTGGTATGCAGTAGTTTACTTATTGACATTTCATACGATACTATGTACTGTGGAAGTTGTAACCCTACAAGCTACATTTTACAAACCCGTTTGTTAATTGTTGGGTGAATATTTCTCGATGAGTGTCTCAAATTTCTGCATTATTGCAACTAAGGCACTGTCTTATTGTCAGGATTTTTTCCAAGGATGTTGATATATCAAAAAGTCCTGAAAAATAATGGCTAAAGTACTTGGAGCGGAATGTGCATTCTTGTAAAAATAACTTTAAAAGGAAGCTGATCATACAATACAGTTAGATAAATTTTAATTAGTAAAATTATAAAGTAAAATGTAATAATATACATCTTCAGTAGTATTTTAATTGAGATTTCAACTAGCTTTTGTATTCCAGCTAAATTAAATTTTCTTTGTTCTTTTTTATATTGAAATTCTACATATCTACTTTTATACATGGTGTTCAAAGTTTAATTTGGCAAAGTTTTATTTTATTTAGCAGTAAATTTAAGCAAAAGGAATGTGGAGTAAGAAGCATTAAGACCTGTGTTACATTTTGCCTTTCCACATTCTTATTAAATGCCAATTACAATTACCCAAGTATTTTTGATGTCTACTCTCCCACAAAATTGGCAATAAAAAATCGTCCCTGACTACTTCTATCTCTCATCATTGTGATGTACATTAAATGAAATAAAGTGAGTGATATACTTTCTATATTATACATTTCTCTACATAGAGTAATTGTTTATATATAATTTTGCTTATTACAAAAAGGATTTGATACAGCTTTCAATTTTAGCAGATTTAACTGTTGCAACCCTTCAACCTTCACTTATCACCACCACTAACAATTACAAGCACATAGAAATGTTGACTGAAGTACACTAAAAATATATTCAAATATTTTTTAGTATTTCAAGTCAATCTCCAAATAAACAAAAAGCTACCCCCAAAATATCAACAAATAGTAAGGAACTATAATACAGTAATAAGGGAGTGACCTTAGGCCACAGGGGTTTAAATAACTAATTTCTGAACCTGAAGATAAAACTGTAAAAATAAATATCTTCATAACATAAAGATCTTGGATTGTTACTACAGTATGAATGAAACTCAAAAGCATTATGCCGGCTGGTCCAAAGGGAATACATTATCCCAATTAATTAATTGTTCAGAGTTAGTTACAGATCAAACTCTTTGTTCTACTCTTTCCCCCTTTCTCACTACTATGCTTCACAAGTCTCAAAAAAAAGAGAGAAAGAAAAAGCATTATGCTAAGTGAATAAAGCCTGAATCAAAAGGTTACATACTGAGCTTCTAGTTCCACACAAAATGGAGTAGACTGATTTCTTCATGCTTCTCCTAGTAATTATCACTAAATATTTGGACAAAATAGAACAGATGACCATAAGAGGACTCTGAAAGGTGGAAAGAGAAGGGCAGACTGACTAGGGAACTTCAGGTTTTGAGAAGTGACAAGATGGTTAGTTCTCTGTGTTTCTTTATCTTTGTCTTCTTTCTTCTTAAAAAAATTTTCTGTATATCCTGATTGGACACTAGATTTAATCTGCAGTATGGAGCACCAAACAGGTACAGACTTAGAAAAAAGAGAAAAACCCGATTTCTCAGCCAAAAGACTAGGAAAGGGGCAGCCTAGGATGACAGAAACTTTTAAAACAAATACTTGCCCCTATGCAAGCCAAACAGTACAGATTCCCTCCTTCCTACCACGAACACCCTTCTCCTCCCCCCGGTGTCAGCAGAGACTAAGTGGGGAGTCTGAACTTCACACTCTCCTCCTGGTGGTGGCAGGTGGAGTCCCTCACCTTCCCAACTAAAGAGTGGGGGAGGATTTCAGAGAGGATGGAACAGGGATAAAGGATCCCTTAAACTTGCATAAGAAGTCCTGGGCAGACCTTTGAGCAACCCACATGTGAAACTGACACAAATTATCAGGCCAAAGGTTTCAAGAACTAAACTACAGTGTGGGATAACACCCAGGTTTTCAGAGTGACATCTGAATAATATACTTCATAAGTGAAGTAGACTAGAATAGCACTGCAAAGGCTCTGAAAATTAAATTGTTATTGGATCCACAACCCTCCAAAGTAGGCCAAGACCTTCATACTGAACCCAAATAGGGTGACTGCTAAAACAGAAAATTTAAATAAGATCCAGAATCTCCTAACATAATAGCTAAAATATCCAGGATACAATTGAAAATCACTAGTCACCTCAAAAACCAATAAAATCACAACCTAAAAAGACAACCAGTAGTGCCAGTACTAAACGATTCACATGTAAGAATTATCTAAAAAGGATTTTAAAGCAGCCATTATAAAAATACTTCAATGAGTAATCCTTAAGTCAAACAAAAAAAGGAGAAAATCTCAGTAAAGAAACAGAAGGTATGTAAAAGAGCCAAACTGAAATTTTATAGTACTTTACAGTGAAATGAAAATCCCACTGGGTGAACTTAATAGCAGAATGGATGTACAGAAGTGAAGTCCCAAAAGGAGAGGATAAAGATAGTGGGACTGAAGCTGAATGAAGCCCAGACACTTGGAAACTCCTCTTCTCTACCCTGAGATGCCAGATGGCCCTGGAAGGAAAAATCCTGCTAACAATGAATGGCTCAATCTAGAGAAGAGTTCATAATCTGAGATACAATCAACTTTTAAAATATCAAGTATACCATCAATAACTTTATGCCAATACATTTGAAAAAAAAAGTTAAAAATGAAAACGTGTATATAAATTTATATAAAAGTATAGTTTATGAGATTTGACTTAGCAAAACTCAAAATATAAATAAAATACAATTAAAAGTGAATGAATCAAAATGAATCATTCAAAACAGTGCTAGGATTATATAGTTTTATTTTAGTTGTTATCCAAAGAAACGTAACTTCTGTCTTATACAAAGTGATTCAGAAAATCAAAACATAGGAAAATAATCATTACTGTTAGACAACATTTTTGTTTTCAGTTTTCAACTTAAATTTTATTTATAGCAGAAGTATAGATAATTTATTTTCAAATAACAAAACACCAAACTTAGCCATTAAAAATGCCTAACTCCCAAATATCTTTTAACCTTGAGCAATGTATATTACTAGGTAACTAAATTGCTCAGTTTTTTATAGACAAGCTGTCTGGGCTAGTTAATTGATGGAAGGCATCTAATAGGAATGTTAATTTTGGTTAAGGAACAGTTAATCAGAAGTCATTTTTTCTGATGGTAATTAGAGAGTGGGTCCAGTTTTCTGTTACAGCCACTTACATGTATTTGACAACAGAAAATACACATATATGACAATACCATCTTTTCCGTCTATGAGAGAGTTCTCACTCTCCCATTTCCTATACCAGCAGCAGGATAAATAAAGTACAGTGGTACAAAGGTAGCTTATTAAAAAGTTTTATAAAATCTTAAAAGCACAGTAAAGAAATGTGGAGTAGGTAAGAATGGAACACATTCCTGTTTCACTTTACAGGACACTGTTAGGTTCCTCCAGAGACAATACCCACTAAGCCTTTCTCACAGGAGCATTAACATGCAGGTTCTAATAATCATCAGTAACTAAAGATATATATGCTGATGAATATATCATCAATAACTAAAGATATATTGAATTCTTCATTACTTCATTACTGTGTCTTCATTACTTCATTCTTCCTTTCTTCATTCTTCATTCTTCATTACTGTTTTACTTAAAGCCAGCTTCTTTCCTTGGAAGGATATGCTAGGGAAATAACAATACAAATGGCGCTCTTAGTGAGAATGTGAATTACTATTGCTTTTCTGGAGGCAAATGGACAGTATATGTTGAGACTTAAGTGTGGGCACAGTTTGATCCAGTAGTTCTGTCGTTTCAAAGCAAGGAGTAAAAATTGCTAAGAGAGTAAATTATAAATGTTCTCACCACACATACCAAAAAATGGCTAGTATGTAAGGTAAAGGGTACGTTAATTAGTTTAACAATTCCCTAATGTATACATATATCAAAACAGCATCTTGTACACCATATATATACATTTTTTTCGATTTTTAAATATTAATTTTTTACAAAGCAAGGAGTAGATAGAAGTTGTTAAGAATATTGGCCCTTGTGCTAGGTAGGTAGGATGTGTGGAAATCCCAGATCTGGAACTCACTAGTTGTGTGAACTTAGGCAAGTCACTGTTTGCCTTATGTACAATGCAAATGTAATAATAACACCTTTCTCACTAAACACAGTACTTGGCACCTAATATTATCTTAAAGAAATTTTTGCACAAGTACACCAATAAGCATGTGCAATAATCCTTCTTACAGCATTTTTTCCAAAAGCTTAAAATAGTGAACTATTGAAATGACAACTAGCATAGATGTGGCTAAACACTTGCATTTACATATTTTGTATTGTTGTACCTTTGTACATAAATTAGATACATTTCATACTACAGAATGAAAAGAACTTCAATGCAAATTAAGCAGGAAAATTGCAGATGGAAGCACACTGTTATTTAGTTTACCTACAAAATATTCTAAAAGCTGACTTGTCTTACAGCTATTTTAACAAATGTATTTAAATCCCTAGGAAGAGATCTGGAGTCATAAATACCAAAGTGATAACATAGATACTTTGGGGAGAGGATTGGAATTTTAGTGAGACAAGAGGGACTTTTTTATATGTAAAGTTTTAATTTTTACAAGATATATACGAGTCACTTATTTAATTTTAAAAATTTAAAAATTAAATAAAAACAACATAAGTTTTGTAAGTTTTTCCCCTCATATTGTGGTAAATGAAGAAACATTGTCTACAGACTATCAGTGTTGCATTTCAAGAACAAATTATGAATATGTATTTAAAGGGAGTGTTTGCATATTAAAATAATAGGCCCATGCTTAGGGAAGAATAGAGGAATAGGATTTTAAAAAATAAGATAAATAACCCTTTTGATCCAAACAACCTGGACCTTATCCATAGAGTTAATAAAAACCATCAAAATTTGAAGTATAGAAAATCCTGCCTGGATGCTTTATATTAAAAGAATCAAATATATTATGTGAAGGAACATTTCCATAGCCCAGGTGGAAGAAGCCTTTGGTCTATGAAGTTCAATGTATTGGTTTTCATTTATAAAATTTATTTTGCCCTTTTATAAGATGTTGACAATTTATATCTGGGCTCCTAAGCCCCCATTCACCAACGTCACTTGACCAGTAACTAGTCTCCAAATTTGTTCTTATTTCTGAGCATAGCAGTTGATATTTAGGTGCTGAGAAACAACTAAATGGAACACATATAATAAAGCTTAAATGACTATCTAAAAAAATCAGATATTTTACAATACATCAATTGCCAGAATGAGGATAATGGAAAGATTGAAATAGATCTCTTCCAATTTGCCAGCTATGCAACTCAAAGTAAAACCTGAAGAAACATGATTTAGAGGAGAAACCAGGTGACTGAGAACAATCACAATGCTAAGAATTTTATTTTTATCTTCAGAATTAGATTATAAAATATCACAATTTTTTATCACCTTTCCTTTCCCAACAGGTCTAAGACAGAATCTAAAAATATCATAATGCCATTAGTACAAGAATTAGGAGAAAAGTTCCATGAAATTGTGATATTCATAAAGTTCCGTCTTGATCAGATTAACATAATTAGAAGTCTCATATTCTAAAAAGTTTATGGCACACCTTTAGTATGTAATAATAATTTTAAAACACAATAAGCCATAAAAAATAACAGTTTTGCTTTGTCCTTTCATGACACACTTGATGTTCCATTGAAAATTCTTAACAAAACACTAACTGAAATTGGTGTCTATGTTTTTCTGCTGCTCTAAACATCATGACTAGTTTGCCTTTTGGGTAAAGTGCTATTAAGTCTTATAAAAATAAAATAGAGGAGCTATGTAAGCATGTACACTTTCATTAATGAAGAAACTAAATGAACACATAGAAGCCATTAGAAATTATTGCAATATTCTCAATTATACATGTATTTTGGTACATGAAGAGACATTTTTTGCTTTTTCATCTCTGAGTTAAAACTATTTCCCTATTTCAAATGTTGCATATGAATTCAAATTTCAGTTTCAGTTTTACATGTTGTATATCTTTTTTATATTTTATCTGGTTTTTTATTTACTAATTTCATTGAAGAGAAGATTAAAAGTATTATATCACTAAAGAGAGTTGCAGTTGATGTATTAGTGAAAAAAGGGGATGAATATATAGCTGGATAAGCACAGTGTCTTATTACCTAACAGTTGAGATATGAAGTTCTGAAATGGACAACGTGTCCCACATTTAACCAAGTTATTGCAAAATAAATTAATTTATACATTTGTAACATTATCATTTTACTGTGCATCACATAAACTGACATTGCAAAAAAATTTCCATTGTGAGAAGCATAGTAAACTTCTTTGCAAATAAAATTCGGACAAAAGAAAAACATTATTTCTCTATTTTGAGATTCTTAAAGAATGCAAGTTTGCCTTATCTCTTTATCTCCAACACTGCACCTTGTGCATACATACAAAAGGTATCCACTATATATTGGTCTGATTTTAATCAAAATTTTAGTGGAAAAATACAAGACTAGGTCATATATCTATCAACAAATTTAGAGATGCTGACTAACTGAACTCATATCAATTCATCTACATTTATCAAGATCTTTTAAACCAATCTAAATATATCCAAATATGCATCTTCTACGTCTAATTTTCCTGAATCATTTGAATACGAGCACATTTGCAACCTTGAATTATTGATATAATTATGGTTGTGTGCTAACCTGGCTAGATGAATAGTGATTTTGGACTGTCATTACCTTGGCATATTTCTGAGTTAATAAAAATAAAATTCAGCATGTTTCTCATTTGTTCAGTTTCGTTTTCTTGTTTTGTCCTTGCACACCTGCAAATCTGACAATAGGAAAATCTTATTCACAGCTGTGAAAAGTTTATGAGAACTCAATAAGTTCCAGTGACATTCATTAGTTTCATCACCTCATAATAGCTGTTTACCTGAACTTTATTAGCCTCCTGAAAGTTGACAAAAGAAATGATAGTGACAGAATAATGGCCTAGTAACACTTTAAGTGAGAATTCAATATTAAATTTTATACACACACAAGTATATATGTACATATACATATGTTCATATATACATATATATACACACATGCATGGTCAAGCTTGGAAGAAAGTTTCAGATTCTTACAAACTTAATTGTACTCACATACTATGAAACAAAAAATTACCTTTGCAAGCAGAGAAAGATGAATTGAAGTTTTGTTTCTCTAGACCGTTTCCTTACACTATATACAAAAAGCAACTCAAGATTTATTAAAGACTTAAATGTAAAACCAAAAACTATAAAAACCCTGGAAGACAACCTAAGGAATATCATTCTGGACATAGGAATGGACAAAGATTTCATGATGAAGACACCAAAAACAATTGCAACAAAAGCAAAAATTGACAAATGGGATCTAATTAAACTAAAGAGCTTCTGCACAACAAAAGAAACAACAGAGTAAACAGACAACCTACAGAATGGGAGAAAAATTTTGCAAATTATGCATCTGACAAAGGTCTAATATCCAGCATCTGTAAGGAACTTAAACAAATTTATAAGAAAAACAAACAACCCCATTAAAAAGTGTGCAAAGAACATGAAACACTCTTCAAAAGAAGACATACATGTGGCCAACAATCATATGAAAAAAAGCTCAACATTACTGATCATTAAAGAAATAAAAGTCAAAACCCCAATGAGATGCCATCTCATATTAGTCAGAATGGATATTATTAAAAAATCAAAAAACAATGGATGCTGGCAACTTTGTGCAGAAAAAAGAATGCTTTTACACTGTTGGTGGGAATGTAAATTAGTTCAACCATTGTGGAAGAGTGTGGGGATTCCTGCAAGACCTAAAGGCAGAACTGCCATTTGACCCAGCAATCCCATTACTGGGTATATACCTAAAGGAATATAAATCATTTGGTTAAAAAGATACATGCACACATATGTTCATTGCAGCATTATTCACAATAGTGGAGACATTGAATCAACCTAAATGCCCATCAGTGGTATACTGGATAAAGAAAATATGGTACATATACACCATGGAATACTATATAGCCATAAGAAAGAATGAGGTGATGTCCTCTATAGGAACATAGATGGAGCTGGAGGCCATTGTCTATCCTTAGTAAACTAATACAGGGACAGAAAACCAAATACCACATATTCTCGCTTAATGATGAGAATGATGAGTAATGATGAGCTAAATCATGAGAACACAGGGACACATAGAGAGGAACAACACACATTGGGGCCTATCAGAAGGCGGAGGATAGGAAGAGGGAGGGGATCAGGAAAAAAATAACTAATGGGTACTAGTCTTAATACCTTAGTGATGAAATAATCTGCACAACAAACCCCCATGATACAAGTTTACCTATATAACAAACCTGCACATGTACCCCTGAACTTAAAAGTTAAAGAAAGAAAATGTTATTTCTGTTCAAGGAATCTTTAAATACTTGATTGCATCTCAAAACTTGTGTTTTACTTATATATTCTACCTAGAAAACCACCTAAACCTAATGGTATAAATGAACAACTCTTTTATTATGCTCATGAATTCTGGCATTCAGGAATTTTAGCCGGGCACATTAGGGTAAGCATGTCTCTGTTCCATAATGTCTGAGGCCTCAGCTTGCAGGATGAAGGCAGAGGCTGAATCTGAATCTGCAATAGAGGCTGAAATCATTTAAAAGTTTATTCATTCACACGTCTGGTAGTTAATGCTGACTTTTGTCTGGGACCTTAGAAGGGGCTTTTGGCCAAAACACCTATATGTGGCTTCTCCACGTGGCTGCTTGTGTTTCCTCACTGCATCGTGGCTGAATTCCAAGAGCAAACATCCATCCCAAGAGAACTAGGTGAAGCGATACCACCTTTTATGACACTTAATGACCTATCCTCAGAAGTTACAAGACTGCCCAAATTTAAGGAAATGAAACATAGACCGCTGTCTCTTGATGGTCAGTGTGTTAAAATCACATTGTAAGAAAAGCATGTGGGACAGTAGATATTTTTATGGCTGTTTTTAGAAAATGCAATCTGTTACAAGCAGATTGAGCAGACAATTTACCAAAGAAGGAAGATACACAAATGGGCCAAAAAACACATGAAAAGACAATCAGCATTATTAGTCATCAGCAAAATTCAAATTAAAATCATAATAAAATATTACTGCACACCTAATGGAGAAGTTAATTAAAAAGCTAGATATACCCAATCTTAGTATGTGAAACACTCCTACATTTCTGGTAGGAATGCAAATGGTAAAACTATCTTGGAAAGTAACTTGGTAATTTCTTACAAAGTCAAAAATATTCTTACCATATAATACAGCAGTTGCTCTTCTCCAAGAATGAAGACATGTCCACACAAATATTTGTACAGTTATTTATTACTTAACAAATGGGATATGTTCTGAGAAAGGGGTCCTTGGGTGATTTTGTTGTCCAGACATCACAAATCTTGATTGAACAGCCTACTACACACATAGGCTATGTGGTATAACCTATTGCTTCTAGGCTACAAACCTGTACAGCATGTCACTGTACTGAATATTATAGGCAATTGTAACACATTGGTAAGTATTAGTGTATCCAAACATAGCTAAACATGGAAAGGGTACAGTAAAAATATGGCATTATTATATTATGGGACCACTGTTGTGTATGCAGTCCATCATTGACCAAAACATTGTTATGCAGCACATGACTGTATATGAATGTTTATAGCAGCTTTATCCATATTTATGTATATGCATAGATAGTTATCCATATTTACTCATAGCAAATATCTGGGAACAACCCACAGCCCATCAATAGGTGAATAGATAAACAAATCTTAGTATATGTATGGAATCCTATTTAGCAATAAAAGAGAACAAGTTATTAATACATAGAATATCATGGAAAAAATTTCAAAAACATCATGCTGTGCAAAAGGAGCCAGATAAAAAAAGAATACATATGCTAAGATTCCATTTATATAAAATTCTAGAAAATACAAAACCAATCTACAATGACAGAGAGCTGAACAATGGTTATCTAGGCTGAGGGTGGGTGGGAGGAATATTTCCTCTTACCATCTTCTGTAAATTCAAATGTAAGCCTGTGTTTTAGGTTCAGCTCATCACATGCCCCACTTCAGGATTTTAATCTAAAAACGTGGCGATGGAAGGATAGTTGAGAATTTAGTCAGGCCTGCAATGACATGCTGGCAGCATTTAAGTCCACCAAAATGATACCAAACCAATACCATATCCTGGTTGTTTCTGTAGCATGATATTGGTTATGTCTGTATTACCCATGACTCCTTTATTTTCTACTCATCTCCTGAGCTTGGTTCTTAAGCCTTCCTTTTTACTCTATTAACTACAGCTATTCTTCCAATAAATTTACATTTGGCTTAAGTTACTTAGAGTCAGTGTCTATTGCCTTAAAAAAAGAACTTTGGCTGAAACAGACTGTTAGGTGCCAAATAATAGAAAAATTTGTTATTATGCAGCAGGAAAACTCTTCTTCAGGGAATTCAGTAGGAAAATACTATTGTGTTCAGTATACTTAATGACACAATTGTTTTCAATACATATGGGCATATTGGCTTACAGTACAATCATATTCTAAGAATCATCACGTTTCACCTTAATTTTTCAGATGATTGTAATACATTGGCTGGCTCCTTGATCGTTCATCTATCAAGGTCCCTGTTTGGGGGCCAATTAATTAGAAGGTTCAGGATCCAACCAATATCACCCTCCTGAATAATCTTGTTTCTCATGGAGGCTTTGTAACTGTCTTAGTTAATAGTTCTGTTGATCAGCTTCAAGTCACCTTTGATGCTGATTCTGCTCTTTTTTCTGGTATCTGGCTCTTGACTATATGCTTGGCAAAAGCCATTCCTTCATACTCTAGTTAATTCACTAGATCCTTGCTGTTTCCCCATCTCTGAGCAGACATTTTAGTACTTAGTCCATTTAACTGCCTTGATACTACCTTAAGCCAAGCCTCCATCATGTTCAGCATTGCCTTTTAGTAATTCTATTGATTCCCAATGAACAGATTTCCCTAACACCATTTTCCTGCCAGAACACATACTGGCTGTCCTCCAGTGGACATTGCTGACTGAATACATAGGCAGGCTGAATGCTTGCTTATCTTTCTGCCTGCTTCTTCCTGGCAAATTCCCCTAACACTTGACTTACTAATCTAGACTCTTATTATTATTAATTGTGAGAAACTTTTCAAACTCTTTCCCATAGTGTGATAAAGTACTCCCTGGTCCTTAGGTCTCTTAGTGTATCTACTCAATTCTGATAGATGATTTGGTAAAATCATAACTTTTATTTTCATTTATAATGTAGTTAAAATCCATTATTATTCTTATACTTGGCCTAGTTAAATTAGATTAGGTTTCTCATGTTGCATGATGTTCCCCTTCTCCCTGTTTTTGCTCCCTGTTTTAAATATAGTTAGAGAAACTTTCATCCTTATTCAAATCATCTGGGAAATTTCTGGAAACATTCTCCACATTTGAGTTTATACCAGATGATGTTCTCAATAGAATCTTTGGAATACTGTGAATTTTCTTCTTTTGTCTGAAAAAAAATACATAACAGAGGCCAAATGTCAAAAAGAGGGAAAGATTAAATTTTATTGGTTTCTTATATATTTTCATTTTATTTCATTTTCACTATATTTCAGATCAGATTTATTATTTGATAAGATACATATAATGGTAGGATATCATTGATCAAAACACGTGTATTAGTCCATTTTCAAGACATACCCAAAACTGGTCAATTTACAAAAGAAAGAAGTTTAATTGGACTCACAGTTCCACGTAGCTGAGGAGGCCTCACAATCATGGCAGAAGGCAAGGAGAAGCAAGTCACATCTTACACGGATGGCAGCAAGCAAAAAAAGAGAGCCTGTGCATGGAAACTCCCATTTTTAAAACCATCAGATCTCGTGAGACTTATTCACTGTCACAAGAACAGCACAGGAAAGACCTGCCCCATGAGTCAATCACCTCCCACGGGGTCCCTTCCACAACACGTGGGAATTCGAGATGAGGTTTGGGTGAGGACACAACCAAACCATGTCATTCCAATCCAGCCCCTCCCAAATCTCATGTCCTCACATTTCAAAACCAATCATGCCTTCCCAACAGTCCCCCAAAGTCTTAACTCATTTCAGCATTAACTCAAAAGTCCACAGTCCAAAGTCTCATCCAAGGCAAGGCACGTCCCTTCCACCTATGAGCCTGTAAAATCAAAAACAAGTTAGTTACGTCCTAGTTATAGTGGGGTTACAGGCATTGGGTAGATACAGCTGTTCCAAATGGGAGAAATTGGCCAAAACAAAGGGGGCTACAGGGCACATGCAAATCCAAAATCCAGCAGAGCAGTGACATCTTAAAGCTCCAAAATGATGTCCTTTGACTCTGCATCTCACATCCAGGTCACGCCAATGCAAGAGGTGGGTTCCCATGGTCTTGGGCAGCTCTGCCTCTGTGGCTTTGCAGGGTGTAGCCCCACTCCTGGCTGCTTTCACAGGCTGGCATTGTCTGCAGCTTTTCCAGGTGCGCCTTGCAAGCTGTCGATGGATCTACCATTCTGGGGTCTGGAGGACGGTGGCCCTTTTCTCACAGCTCCACTAGGTGGTGCCCCAGTAAGGATTCTGTGTGGGGGCTCCAACCCCATGTTTCCCTACTGTACTGCCCTACTCGACATTCTCCATGAGGGCCCCACCCTGGCAGCAAACTTCTGCCTGGGCATCCAGGCATTTCCATACATCTTCTGAAATCTAGGTGGAGGTTCCCAAACTTCAATTCTTGACTTCTGTGCACCTGCAGGCTCAACACCATGTGGAAGCTGCCAAGGCTTGGGGATTCCACCCTCTGAAGCAACAGCCCAATCTGTATCTTGGCCCCTTTTAGTCATGGCTGTTGCGGCTGGGATGCAGGGCACCAAGTCCCTAGACTGCACACAGCAGAGGGACCCTGGGCCTAGCCCACAAAACCATTTTTTCCTCCTAAACCTCTAGGCCTGTGATGGGCGGGTCTGCTGCAAAGGTCTCTGACATGCCTTGGAGACATTTTCTTCATTGTCTTGGTGAATAATGTTCGGCTCCTCATTACTTACGCAAATTTCTGCAGCCACCTTGAATTTCTCCTCAGAAAATGGGATTTTCTTTTCTATCATATTGTCAGGCAGCAATTTTTCAAACTTTTATATACTGTTTCCCTTTTAAAACTGGATGCTTTTAACAGTGCCCAAGTCACCTCTTGAATGCTTTGCTGCTTAGAAATTTCTTCTGCTGGATACCCTAAATCATCTCTCTCAAGCTCAAAGTTCCACAAATCTCTAGGACAGGAACAAAATGCTGCCAGTCTCTTTGCTAAAACACAGCAAGAGCCTCCTCTGCTCCAGTTCCCAACAAGTTCCTCATCTCGATCTGAGACCACCTCAGCCTGTATTTCATTGTCCATATCATTATCAGCATTTTGGTCAAAGCCATTCAACAAATCTCTAGGGAGTTCCAAAATTTCCCACATTTTCCTGTATTCTTTTGAGCCCTCCAAACTGTTCCAACCTCTACCTGTTACCCAGTTCCAAAGTCACTTCCACATTTTCGGGCATCTTTTCAGCAGTGCCCCACTCTACTGGTACCAATTTACTTTATTAGTCCATTCTCATGCTACTGATAAAGATATACCTGAAATTGGGCAATTTACAAAATAAAGAGGTTCAATTGGACTCACAGTTCCATATGGCTAGGGAGGCCTCACAATCATGACAGAAGGCACAGAGGAGCAAGTCACATCTTACAGGAATTGCAGCAGGCAAAAAAGAGAGCTTGTGCAGGGAAACTCCCATTTTCAAAACAGTCAGATCTCATGAGACTTATTCACTATCCTGAGAACACCACAGGAAAGACCCGCCCCCATGATTTAATCACATCTCACTCAGTCCCTCCCACAACACATGGGAATTCAAGATGAGATTTGGGTGTGGACATAGCCAAACCATATCAACACACAATATCAATATCTGTGAATAAATCTTTTTTCTTCTATTGCCTAATAGAATAAATATTTTTAAAGACAATCTTTTGAATGTATTTAAGTATAGAAGCAAAAACTACCTAACCCTGTTATCTTTTCAAAATATAAAACCACTTGGATCAGGGACTCTGTCAGGTTTATAGGTGTTTATCTGGATGGGTATCTTAAAATGTTTATCAGGACAGAAGTACATCTTAATAAAAGATAGGCAAATTTGGAAATAGGTCATAACCTTCTTATATTTAGAATTAATATAAATACATGTTTAAGAGTATTAGGGACAAGTTTGATAACATTCCATTTCAAAGGGCATTTCATTCTGTTTATTTGGAATCTGTTTAACAAGAAAAAATACAAATTAATATTGTGTATACAGTTATGATTAGCCTTTCTTACACATAAATGATTTCTTTTATCATTCATGCCCTAAAGAAAGACAAAAGTATAAAAAACACTGATCCGTGACTCCATATACTAAGTACAAACCTCAGGTCTGTTAATAGGATACCTAATGATTCCCAATAGCCTATTTATTGGATTGACTCTTAAAATCCCTAACCAGTAATGACCCTTAGAGCAGATTTCTTTCAGTATACTTTTACCAAAATAAATTGCAAAATAATATCTTGACAATAGCTAATCTTATTTTAAAACCAATGCATTGGGCTAGCATTCTTAAGCATCAAAATGAAGATTATAAATAATTCCACCATTCAAGTGTTTAGGGGTATTTTGCAGCCAATTCATTCTGGTAAACCCACCTTAAGGCAATATTCTTTCCTTTTCTTTCCTCCAATACCAAAATCACATATTTTTGATTCTCTGTTATTTTATTTTCAACTGAGTGAACTCTTTCACTTGCTTTTTAAAGTTATTCAGGCTAAAATGACTCTTGTTTTTTCTTTCTGGCTTGTGCTGTGGTGTCATGGCTGATTACACCTACATCAATAGAAATCCAAATTTGCTTTTAAGGATATGGTTGACCTTGCTTATAATCATATTTGTGACATTTTTTTCTGTGTGAGGATGTGGTAAATTTTGGAATAAGAAATTTATTAAATGCCTCAATTTTCACAAGAGAAGGTTATACTTATTACCTGTTTATCTGAGGTGCTAAAATATTTGTGGTAAATAATTGTTTCTTTGCAATTTAAGCTCATGTATAACTTTTAGTTGATGTCCTTAAGGACTCGAGAAAAGTACTGTTTACAAAAAACACATTATAGAGAGAATTAGGTAAACATGTTCATGTGATAATATTTCTGCATTCCCTGGTGACTTCATCTCTCTTTATTCTAAATAGCTTCTGATCTGTATTTTCATCTTTTTTTAGTTGATTAATTTTAATAGCCTAAAATTTTTCAAAAATTTCTGGATACAGATATAAAATATTGGATGAATACTCTCTTCTCTCTCTTTTAAGGATTTTCTTATTCTGCCTTGTTCTAAGCCCTCCAGTATAATAACTGATTCTATGCAGTATAAGCCAATGGATTGGTTGCTTTTGCTTTTCTCAGTAGCATCATTATTTTGGCCATACTTTATTGAACACCGGCTTACTCTAGGCAGAGTACAGTACTAAGTGTTGTATATCTTTTCCTCATTAAATCATCATAACTGCATTTTGGAGGCAAGATATAGATTTAGACATTAACTGGTATCTAATAGAGTCTGTTAGAACCTAGAATCTATTAAATAGACTATTAAAAATAAGTGCCCATTTGTGGTATGATAAAAACATTAGTTTTCTAAGATTCTGTCTAAACAGGGCTTCCTTTTTTTTTCTGTACGGTTATAGTGACAAAATCAGGTGCTTGAACTTACTTTAAAAATGGATTAAAAATAAGATGGATCGATGGATTCCTGAATGTATAGAAATTTGATCAAGCAAAGATGCAAATATGATTTGTAGGATCTAGGTGGTGCATATATGAGTGTTAATTGTATGATTCTTTCAAATTTTCTGTATGCTTGAGATTTTTCATAATAAAATACTGGAAAAAATAAATGTGTCTTAGTCATATGTTCATGTTGAAGATTTTCACATATTATGTTGGTCTTTTCCTACTCAGCCAGTATTATATTTTTTCTGTGACTTGAAGCTACCACCTTGCTGATGTGTAAGGAGAGGATAAACTGAAAGGGCTTAAACCAAGGACTGGCACATGTTAAGAACTCAATAAATATTAGCTATTATTATTACTGATATGATGATGCAAGTATTGCTTGTTTTTCTCTGCTATCCTCTTCCTAACCAAAAGTAGCCTTCCAAAGCAAACAATGTGTGTTTTCATTTTAACCTCTGACCTTATGTAAATAGAAAATGTTGGTAAGGTATGTATGTGTGTGTGTGTGTGTGTGTGTGTGTATATATATATATAATATTTTTGTATATTTTAACTTTCTCACTTTGGAATCAATATTATAACCAATGTGAGTTTTTAATGTGGTGATGTTAATACTGCATCTGCTCTACTGAAAGCATGAAAGGTTGTTTTTAAATTGAAGTCAACAGCATCTCGAAAGAAATAGATTAAAATGTGTAATTAATCCTCTCCAATTTCAAATGACAGCTATAACTTGATAGTCATTTAGTTAAAATAAATGAAGGAAGTTAATCACGAATGATTTTTTTAAAACTAAAAGTAGTACTTAACATATGTTACCTAGTAATCCAATGATCTCTCTTTGTGACCAACACCAGTTCTACTCAAAAGTGGGTGAATTATAGCATATTTTAAACAAATACTATTACAAATTTCTCCTTTGCAAAAATGAAATTAAAATGTCTTTGCCATTGCTTGTATAAGGATAATATCAGGGACAAAATATCATTTGCTTAGTAAATAGGTTTGTGAGATACAAACCATAGCAGAACTAACTGAATTCCGGGTCAGGACACGTAAGTGTGCATAGGAAAATGAGCAAGCTTCTTTCTGATATCTACTCAAAACGGTATCCGTAGCTGGCAGTATCTTCAAGTGAGAACATCTTTTATATTTCTTTCCATCTTTTCAAATGCAAAATAAGAGTACTAATTCCAATCTAATGCCTGATTGATCACTTCTTTAAGTCATATTTTAAAATCACCACCTTCCTTGCAGAAGAATCATTACTATGGAACTGGAACTCAATATAAATTATTTCAGGGAGCAAAAAGAGATTTTTAGTTTTCTAAAGTCATCAGATTTCTGATGGGCAAATTATGTATGTATAATATATGTATCATTATAATATATAGTGAGAGAGTGCGTGTCTTAGAAACATATATATTTTGCATACTTTCCATGTATACAACTGTAATTACACCTATATAATAATTATAATTATATATATTTTATATATACATATATATAGAGAGAGAGAGAGAGCATTCAGAGTGCTTAGAAACGTGTGAATGAAAAGAAAAGGAAGGGAAAAAACAATAGGATGGTTTCTCTATTCCACATAAATTTCCATTGCAACTTCTGAAACTAGCTTTTACATACAGTGAGTGCTCCATAAATATTTGTTGATGATGATGATAGATTGCACATTTTGTATGCACTAATGTTAGTGCATGAGCACATTGCTTGTGTTTCTAAAATGAAAGCAAGCAATAATGTTGACAAATGACCAGATTCTCAGCTGCGTCTAAGTACTGGTAGTTCAAAGTCAGGGGCTCTCATCCATTTATCAAGACTGTAAGTGAAATTTGGCTGCAATGGTATTTGTCCAACTTGAGCATTTAAGTATAAACACCCTTTATATGGAGTTACTTCTGTTCTCTTCAGATAGGTCTTAGGGTCACTTTCTTTTCTCAAAGCATGTTGGACACGTTCAGAAGCACTGGACTCCATATGAAGTGTGAGGTTTCTATATGCTAAAAAATGAAAATAATACTTTAGAAAAGAAAACCATTCCATTTTGTGAAGTAAAACTTGTTTATTGCAGCAATTTAGCTCTAAGTTTTTGGAGTCAAAGGAGGATCTGTTGGAATCTCATTCCACCTGTTTCTAGTCTTTTATCCTTAGACACATAACTGAAGCTTGCCAAGTGTTAGTAAACTGCAAACTGCTGCTACAAAGAATTCCAATTTCACAGGGCTTTTGTGAGAGTTAAATGATATGATACATATTATATATTTACAGAATATCTAGATTATGTTAAGTTCCCAAAATTAGCTAAAATACCAATTTTGCAGGTGTTTTAATTCAAAATAATCTACATCAGATAACTATATTCTAACCACAACATTAGTACATTATGTATTTTTCCTTATGTTTATCCAGTCCCTTTTTTGTCCAGTCCTTTGGAACCAATTCTTTCTTTAGTTTTCCAAATGTTCATCTGCAACCAAGTAGCTTCTTTAGACTGTGTGAAAGAAGACTACCTCAGCATTGGTGAAATGCTTCTATTATGGATATTTTCAAGTTAACATAGAACTATAGAAAGAAATAGAATTAACCGACTCTTTATACCCAATGAAGCTTAAGCAGTTATCAATATTTTTCAAATCTTATTTATCTCCTGAGAATTAAGATCATCTAGGTTAACATGACTTAATTGCTTCGTTTTCTTTCCAGGAATCCTTTGCTCTGGAAAGATAAGACTAAAATAATGAATAACTTCATTGTTCACTTCAGGAAATTCCTACAAATTAATTTATCAAAGAGAATAGTCTCATCTGGGTAAACAGCTCACTTATAAAACAACAACTTACTTATGAAGACTTGCTTTAAGATCCTTGATACATCACTGTGTCCACTAGTCCTAAATTATTATATTATGAACTTTTCCCAATCCCATTCAATTCCCTGCCTTAAACCACTCAAGCCTGAGAAACTGCTAAGACTCTATCACAATGGTGCTCTTCTTTCCTGAGATGATTTTGAACAGATCTAGCGTTTCTTTATTAACGGGTTGTCTGGTGATATTAGGGGACAGCAGTACCCATATTTATGAAGTGTGTGTGTGTGTGAGTGTATGTGTGTGAGTGTGTGTGTGTGTGTGTAAGTAAAAATTTGGGGGAGAAGTTAAAAACGAAACAAAGATACAATGTCATTTCAACTGCAATTTTTTCATTTAGAATATCTAACTGATCAGTGCCTTTTAAAAAACATAATCACTATACTATTATCATACTTAATTAACAATTGTTTCTTAATATCAACCATTACCTGATCCATATTTGAGTTTCCTAGTTACCTCAAAGGTGGCTTCCCAATTTTTTTTCTTTTAAATCAGGATTCAAATAAATCCCATAAATTACATTTGGTTATTAGGTCTCTAGCGGCTCTTTTACTCTGTAACAGAATCCTCACTTTTTTTTAATGCCATTGATTTGTTAAACTAGGTCACTTGTCCTATAAAATGACTTATATTATAAATTTTACTTTTCTTTCTTCATGGTCTGCTTTTACTTTTTATACTATTATACCCATTCCCCAAACCCCATATTTCCTGTAAACTTCAGATAGATCTATAGGCTTTATTGTATAATGAAGCAATATTCTGACTAAGTATTTTATAGATGATGTTGTTTATTTCCTATTGCATCATAATAGGAGTCAAATAATGTAGTGGTGTCTAGTTATTTGTTATACTAAGACTGATCACTAGGTTCATGTGGTTATCAGTCTTATCCCACCATTATAAATGTATCCATCACAACTTTATCTAAAAGTTTGAGCATCCATTGAAGTTTATTGGCTATTTCCATTATTTCATTAGATTTTAAAATTGCAATTTTATAATACTATCATACCTTCTGTATTTTTTAGCAGAAATTTTTTTTATGAGGAAGAACTTCCTTCACCAATTATTTGTTTCCTCTGACATAGAGATTGTATGGGCAATGGAGGATAAATTTGTATTATTTCCTTCTACTTATCAGTGTTTAGAGTGATGAAATTGTGCCTTAGCAGCATCCAGTGGTGACCAATAGGATTTTTTGAATAACATCATGAACTCATTAATATTCATTACATTTGATTCATTTGCAACTTAAACAAATCGTTCCTTATAGACCAGTAGAAGTCCCCTTTTATTTCTTTTAATTAAAGTGCAAAATTCTTACAGAAACATTCACAACTCCAGAGTATACATATCATTGAATTGTCACAAAGTAATCATACTTGAGTGACCGTCACCCATTCTAGAAATTAAATTAAACATTATTGCACCACTCTTTGTATGCCCCACCCTGAATTCTATAACTTCCTCCTTAACAAAGGTAGGCACTATCATAACTTAACAGCATATATTAATTTCCTTACTTTTGATGTGAAAGGTATCACCTAGCATACATTCTTTTGTGGATGGCTGTCTTTTTTTTCTCCACATTATGTTTAAAATTCTTCCTTAATGATGCAAGAAACACTGGTTTGTTCATCTTGATTGTGTTCAACCATTTGCAGGAAGATAATAAAATATATTATTGCATTCATTTACCAATACCATGCTGTCATAAAT
The DNA here is from genome assembly GCF_000001405.40 of Homo sapiens. Lineage (NCBI taxonomy): Eukaryota > Metazoa > Chordata > Mammalia > Primates > Hominidae > Homo > Homo sapiens. Next base: position 27,232,744 of record NC_000023.11, on the reverse strand, counting down.
ACTTTAGCTCTATAATAAATGTTGGTATCCAGTAAAATATGTTCTCTCAGTTTAATCTAAATTGATTTGGGTTTTCTTTACCATATAAATTTTATAGTCGTTTGGTTAATTTCCACATACACAAAAAGAAAGCCAGATTAAAACCTGCTGAGATTTTTATTGTAAATTTAATGGAACTACAGATCAATCTGGGGAGAAATGACATATTTAAAATTCTGGATATTCCAATAGATGGCCAATTACGATTTAAGTCAAGTCTCATAGTCCAGTCCACACACCCTTCCTTGTTAATAACTATTTCAAGTAATCTTATGTGCTTAAAAGATTTTGTCCAATTTTTAATCAATTGCATAAATCAATTGGTATTTTATTTTTAAATATAAAGTTATACTCTAATAGTTAACATGATTTCCCACTTACGGATGGTTTTCCTGTTCTTCCCAAACAGCTATTCATGTTTATAACTCAAACTCTTGTAGATTTTTCCATTAATGTTAATGGTGATAAATGTGATACACTTAAAGTTTTAGGGCGATAGAATGTACAATCACCAAATTACTCCATTAAAGTTTATGATGTGTCTGCCCATTAGATTAGGATATCATACTAGATAGAGCTAGATATTTTAGTACAGTATTACTGTCCTTTTCGCCTCTCACTATATCTACATGATTCCAATGTTGTTTACTATTTTTCACAAAATTAATTGTCTCTGAAGCCGTATAGATTCCAACATCATATCCTTATCCTTTTCACACTTTTTATACCTAACTTTCTTTCCTTCTGGGCTGGCTTTGCTGATTATTGGCCGAATGCTTCCGACTAATGCTTGAGGAATAAAGGAAGAAAAATCTTAAGAAAACACAGCAATTACAATATTTTGACTTGCCTCAAAATTATTTTCATTAGATCTATTTTAGTCATTGGGTAATGGTTTTATCTTTTTTATCTCTTCAATGCTTGGTTAAAAATCTTTTATATCTATTTAGCAGATAAAAGTCTACGTATTATTTTTCAAACTTCACCTATTAAAAAAAGAACTAGTTCAGAGAAGATGACTTTTTTCCTCCAGTTAGCATATCTGGGCTCAAATATTGTTTGTCACTTTTGGAATGTTTTCTCCAGCCAAACTGTCATTTCAGTTATTTGAGAATATCCTGCCTGATTTTCTGATACATTGCAGAAATTTTATTTAAAATAAAGTGAACTTTGATCTCTCAAAATCATGTCTTTGTTGAAGATTTTAATAAAGTATTTGACCAAGAGATCTTGACAGTTTGAAAAGGACTGTGAATTATTGTCAGGATCTGTACAATCAGGCTGCACAATTCCTAAGGAAGAAATAATCTATGTGGAGGCTTATCTCTTACTCATGCAAAAATATCTTAAATCCCAAAATTTCTCCTTAAAATAATTAAGGTAGAAGATACCAGCAGGCTCTAGAACAAGAGAACAGGGCTTCTTATCCTAGGCACTACAGATGTTTTGGGCTGCATAATTTTTTGTTGTGGGGTGCTCTCCTGTACATTATAGGATTATTAGTAGGATCCTAGGCTTTTATCAACTAAATGTTAGTGCCACTGTCCTCTGCCCAGTTGGGACAACTGAAAATGTCTCCAGACATTGCCAAATGTTCCATGGGGGCAAAATTACTACCGTTTGAGAACCACTACTTTAGAGCATAATAGCCATAACTATTTAAGGAATAATGAAGGTGTGCCCTTTTTGTTTGTTTTTCTCAATCAACAAAGATAGCAAATTGATTTGAGATTAACATTTGATGAAATATTATTAAAATCTTTTGTTATAATATTTTTTTAAGTTCCTGTAGTGAAAAGCATTGACTATCAGGGCTTTTTCTTTTCTTTTCTTTTGCCACTTTAACTTTGTTTCTTCTCTGAAACTTTTTAAACAACAACAACAACAAAAAAAAAACAGCATAACAGAGTGGTATAAAATGTTAACTTAGCTATTACTTAAGACATTAAACCATTTGGTTTCAGCTCCCCAAGGACTACCTTCCTATCCAATATCAGGGGTTAGACCAATAAAATTGAAATGCCAATTTGTCTCAATGTTCCTGTTTAAAAAAAAAAGGGAGAGAGGGAGAGAGCTATAAAATTGAGTGCGGAGTAGCAGCTTAGTCTATCTGAAAGAGAGTTTTTGAAAGAATTAAGCATAAATTCTTTGTCCCTAATCCAACCTATCTGTGGGGGAAAGCAAGGATAGATGGTCCTAAAAGTATATTCTCATGAAGAGGGGAAACAATTCTGAAAGCTCAAAGACAGAGCATCATAAGGGAGGCAAAACTTTAACTCTACGCATTTTAGGTTTTCTGTTGGAACTCCAACAGAAAATAAACTGACAAGAGAAGCAACAAGAGTGTATTAATACTTGCAGCTCACATCACAGGGGATAAACTTCATCTAAAAGTAACTCAAAGTGATGGCTTAAAACCCTGGCTTATCTAGCATCTTCAACAAAGAACAGTACATTTAGAGAAATTACAGTACAAAGTGAAGTAGTTTTAGGCTTTCAAAAGTGGGAAATATTAGGAAGGTAAATATATGGAAATAAACTAATGGAGTAAGGTTTGTTTGCACATCCGTCTGGTGCTAAGTCTGGACTGATAATACTCTAGAATTGTCTCCAGTAAAGGAGAATTTTTATCCTGTGTTTAAGCAGAAAAAGTTAGAGAGACCTTTTCCTGCATTTGCTCCTTCTTGATTGTCTTCAGCTTAAAATAAGCTTATGTTGAAGAGGCATTTGGGGATGACATATTCTGTTTTCCTCCAGCATACATCTGGAAATAGTAGTCCACATTAATCAGACCAATAATTTGGAAATGTTTGCTATTCACAAAGAATGCGAGACAAATGTTAAGTTCTAAAGTGTAAGAAAGCCAAGATTCACCAGGCTCAAGTGAAAAGACAACAGGATTAATTGAAAGAAAATTTTGGCAGAATGCAGTGGCTTGCACCTATAATCCCAGCACTTTAGGAGGCTGAGGCGGCAAATCACTTGAGGTCAGGAGTTCGAGACCAGCATGGCCAACATGGTGAAACGCCAGCTCTACTAAAAATACAAAAATTAGCTGGGCATGGTGGTGCACACCTGTAATCTCAGCTACTTGGGAGGCTGAGGCAGGAGAATCGCTTGAACCCAGGAGGTGGATGCTGCAATGAGCCAAGATTGAGCCACTGCACTCCAGCCTGGGCAACAGAGTGAGACTCCGTCTCAAAAAAAATAAATAAATAAAAAAATAAATATAAATAAATAAATAAATAAGAGAAAATGTGGATAAAATGTCATGAAATTAGAAATAAGGAAAGATTTTAGGGCAAATGAAATGGAGTAGCAGATTTCATTGCTAATGAGCAGTAATGCCAGGTTTTTATTAAAATAATGCTCTATTGTAGCAGAGTTGCTGGAGAAGTTGTAAAATGTTAACAGGAGACAGGCCGGGTATGGTGGCTCACACCTGTAATCCCAGCACTTTGGGAAGCCGAGGTGGGCAAATCACTTGAGGTCAGGAGTTTGAGACCAGCCTGGCCAACATGGTGAAACCCCATCTATACTAAAAATACAAAAATTAGCTGAGCATGGTGGCAGGCACCTGTAATCCCAGCTACTTGGAAGGCTGAGGCAGAAGAATCGCTTGAACCCAGGAGGCAGAGGTTGCAGTGAGCAGAGATCACGCCAATGCACTCCTGCCTGGTGACAGAGCACGATTCCATCTCAAAAAAATATTTTAAAAAATGAATAAAAATTTAAAAATCAAAGAGTTTACTACATACAGTGATGATTGTGCTGACACAGGTGGATAATTAAATACAAAGTATGGAAATAAGAGACAAAGACAAAGAAACAATAACCATTTGATTAGTTATAATTGATGAAAAATTAATTTTTGAACAATAACCAAAAACAAAAACTGGCCCGAGTGTGAAGATTGAAGTGTTCATTGAACATCAGAAAAAACTTAGAAAAACCATTTCTAGATACTATATCAAATGAAATACATTACAAAGTTTACTGTACAGACCTATAAAATCTAGGAAGAAAAAAAAGTTACCTAGAAAAGAATGAGAACAAGATTGCCTTTAGTTTTTTGTTTTCAATATGATGTACCAGAGGACAATGAATTCATACTTTTAGACTTCCTAGGAGGAAAATGTGGTGACTTGAGAATCAAGCTAAATCACTTTTCATTCATGGAGAAAAATAATTTTATCCTTGAAAAGTTAAGACCTTAGAAAATATACTAACCGTGCACCTTTTTTCAAAATACTACCTGAAGACTTTTTCAAAAATTAATTAATGCTAACATCTAAGATAGTTAAATCATAATTAAAATTGACTTTCCTTAACAGGCTGAATGCCCTGAATGCAGTGTATCTTTGGATGATTCATTACCAGGTGGATTCTGTCACTCAGAGTGAATGGTTTTCAGTGCTTGCCAAAGTTCTTTTCTTACAATAATTACAAGATCACTCCAGTATTAGAAGGTTTTACAGTATTGTTTTGCGTTGTTTAATTTTTTATGTGTCTCTCATCTTATGATTTAGTGAGAAAATCTTGTCATTTTTTGAGGATGACATAAACTAAACCTCTTGATGTCCTAACCCAATAATTAGTGATAATAACTAAACTGTTTTGGAGACTTTTCTGGCTGAAATTGCAACCCAAAATGAGTTTTCTCTCTATCCACAGATGCATACTTGAATAGAAAATTATAATAATCCTGCTTTTATTAGGAAAATTTAATGATTTTCTTTAACTTTAAATATTATATTGTATGAATTGAGCCATTTTTGTAGTCATTATATTGTTGTCCCTACCATTAAAAAATCTTCAATGTAGGATTTATGAATATCCTGAGTTAACTATTTTTAAAATTTCAATATATTCTGAATGATATAAACTGTTATAAAAATACTTAATAATAAATATAGTAAAGCACACAAATAATGAGTAATATCTGGGTGGTGGGATTTGGGGTGATGGTTTTTCATCATTACTATAATTTCCTACATTTTTCATATTTTTACAAATAACTTTAATAAAAAATAAGAATCATATACACAATTGATCACAGATAGCAATTATTAAATATACAGAGAAAAATGTTTCAAGTCTTAAATACCTTGCCAGGATGGTAAAATTAGTGGTAATTTTTTCATCATCTGATTTTCTATATTTTCCATCCATATCTCAAGAATTAGCTTTAATGGTAGTTTCTTTTGCTGTGCAGAAGCTCTTTAGTTTAATTAGATCCCATTTGTCAATTTTGTCTTTTGTTGCCATTGCTTTTGGTGTTTTAGACATGAAGTCCTTGCCCAGGCCTATGTCCTGAATGGTAATGCCTAGGTTTTCTTCTAGGGTTTTTATGGTTTTAGGTCTAACATTTAAGTCTTTAATCCATCTTGAATTGATTTTTGTATAAGGTGTAAGGAAGGGATCCACTTTCAGCTTTCTACATATGGCTAGCCAGTTTTCCCAGCACCATTTATTAAATAGGGAATCATTTCCCCATTGCTTGTTTTTCTCAGGTTTGTCAAAGATCAGATAGTTGTAGATACGCGGCATTATTTCTGAGGGCTCTGTTCTGTTCCATTGATCTATATCTCTGTTTTGGTACCAGTACCATGCTGTTTTGGTTACTGTAGCCTTGTAGTATAGTTTGAAGTCAGGTAGTGTGATACCTCCAGCTTTGTTCTTTTGGCTTAGGATTGACTTGGCCATGCGGGCTCTTTTTTGGTTCCATATGAAATTTAAAGTAGTTTTTTCCAATTCTGTGAAGAAAGTCATTGGTAGCTTGATGGGGATGGCATTGAATCTGTAAATTACCTTGGGCAGTATGGCCATTTTCACGATATTGATTCTTCCTACCCATGAGCATGGAATGTTCTTCCATTTGTTTGTATCCTCTTTTATTTCCTTGAGCAGTGGTTTGTAGTTCTCCTTGAAGAGGTCCTTCACATGCCTTGTAAGTTGGATTCCTAGGTATTTTATTCTCTTTGAAGCAATTGTGAATGGGAGTTCACTCATGATTTGGCTCTCTGTTTGTCTGTTGTTGGTGTATAAGAATGCTTGTGATTTTTGTACATTGATTTTGTATCCTGAGACTTTGCTGAAGTTGCTTATCAGCTTAAGGAGATTTTGGGCTGAGACAGTGGGGTTTTCTAGATATACAATCATGTCGTCTGCAAACAGGGACAATTTGACTTCCTCTTTTCCTAATTGAATACCCTTTATTTCCTTCTCCTGCTTGATTGCCCTGGCCAGAACTTCCAACACTATGTTGAATAGGAGTGGTGAGAGAGGGCATCCCTGTCTTGTGCCAGTTTTCAAAGGGAATGCTTCCAATTTTGGCCCATTCAGTATGATATTGGCTGTGGGTTTGTCATAGATAGCTCTTATTATTTTGAAATACGTCCCATCAGTACCTAATTTATTGAGAGTTTTTAGCATGAAGGGTTGTTGAATTTTGTCAAAGGCTTTTTCTGCATCTATTGAGATAATCATGTGGTTTTTGTCTTTGGCTCTGTTTATATGCTGGATTACATTTATTGATTTGCGTATATTGAACCAGCCTTTCATCCCAGGGATGAAGCCCACTTGATCATGGTGGATAAGCTTTTTGATGTGCTGCTGGATTCGTTTTGCCAGTATTTTATTGAGGATTTTTGCATAAATGTTCATCAAGGATATTGGTCTAAAATTCTCTTTTTTTGTTGTGTCTCTGCCTGGCTTTGGTATCAGAATGATGCTGGCCTCATAAAATGAGTTAGGGAGGATTCCCTCTTTTTCTATTGATTGGAATAGTTTCAGAAGGAATGGTACCAGTTCCTCCTTGTACCTCTGGTAGAATTTGACTGTGAATCCATCTGATCCTGGACTCTTTTTGGTTAGTAAGCTATTGATTATTGCCACAATTTCAGATCTTGTTATTGGTGTATTCAGAGATTCAACTTCTTCCTGGTTTAGTCTTGGGAGAGTGTATGTGTCGAGGAATTTATCCATTTCTTCTAGATTTTCTAGTTTATTTGCGTAGAGGTGTTTGTAGTATTCTCTGATGGTAGTTTGTATTTCTGTGGGATTGGTGGTGATATCCCCTTTATCATTTTTTATTGTGTCTATTTGATTCTTCTAAAATGGGAGAAAATTTTCGCAACCTACTCATCTGACAAAGGGCTAATATCCAGAATCTACAATGAACTCAAACAAATTTACAAGAAAAAAACAACCCTATCAAAAAGTGGGCGAAGGACATGAACAGACACTTCTCAAAAGAAGACATTTATGCAGCCAAAAAACACATGAAAAAATGCTCATCATCACTGGCCATCAGAGAAATGCAAATCAAAACCACAATGAGATACCATCTCACACCAGTTAGATAGGCAATCATTGAAAAGTCAGGAAACAACAGGTGCTGGAGAGGATGTGGAGAAATTGGAACACTTTTACACTGTTGGTGGGACTGCGAACTAGTTCAACCATTGTGGAAGTCAGTGTGGTGATTCCTCAGGGATCTAGAACTGGAAATACCATTTGACCCAGCCATCCCATTACTGGGTATATACCCAAAGGACTATAAATCATGCTGCTATAAAGACACATGCACACGTATGTTTATTGCGGCACTATTCACAATAGCAAAGACTTGGAACCAAGCCAAATGTCCAACAATGATAGACTGGATTAAGAAAATGTGGCACATATACACCATGGAATACTATGCAGCCATAAAAAATGATGAGTTCACGTCCTTCATAGGGACATGGATGAAATTGGAAATCATCATTCTCAGCAAACTATCGCAAGAACAAAAAACCAAACACCGCATATTCTCACTCATAGGTGGGAATTGAACAATGAGATCACATGGACACAGGAAGGGGAATATCACACTCTGGGGACTGTTGTGGGGTGGGGGAAGGGGGGAGGGATAGCACTGGGAGATATACCTAATGCTAGATGACAAGTTAGTGGGTGCAGCGCACCAGCATGGCACATGTATACATATGTAACTAACCTGCACAATGTGCACATGTACCCTAAAACTTAAAGTATAATAAAAAATAAATAAATAAATGAATAAATAAATAAAAAAGCAATTCCTATCAAAAAAAAAAAAGAATTAGCTTTAGTCCTTCCCATACCAAACCCAGTAAATGGTTCCCCTTCTCCATCATACACAGGAAAAAGAGATAGTCATCTCAAATTGTCCCCTTTGCAGTGTGGTTTTATCTTCTCTGTATTGTGTTTAGTACCTTCCCCATTCCAATAAATCCGTACTATAAGGTACTGTTTCCTCCCCATAAAAGCTAATTCAAGACTGAATGTGGGCAACATCATGCCTCTCTTTACTGGCCTTTCTGCATCTCAGAGCACAAAGTGGTCCTACAAAGCCATCCTGATGATTACAGGCAATTATTCCTGTCCATAGGATGACACCTTTCTTTGCCTGCCAGAAGAGACAAGGCATCAGCCATAGCTTAATGAAAAGTGGAATGATTAGGAGAGGGATAAGGGAGAGGGCAAGAGAAGGAAGGAGAGAAGAACAGATTGTAGGGGAGGAGAGGGAAGTACAGGGCAGAGAGAGATCTTTTTTCGTAATAACCTCCATCCCCTACAACTTTACCATGGTGGTGAACAATAAAACTATGTTTTCTGACAAAGAATTTATGCAGAAAGCAAATAAAACACCCTTGGGGAAATTTAGTTTTCAATGCCTAAAAAATCATACATAGAACAACTAATATCCAACCTCCCCTTGCTTCCAAATTACGTTAGTTATCTTTTACAGGTTATTAAAGAGAATAGTAAGCTTCAGATGATGGAAAACTCTAGCCTGGGCCTACCAGCACACTGGCATATTGCAGGATTTAGTTTAGCCTAGTTTTACTCTTTTCTTTTGATTAAGTTAGTTTGATTAGGTTAGCTGGTTAGCTGATGCATGTTTATTTGGAATTATTTGTCAATACTGCTATTTTGTATGTTGAAAAGAAGATATTCCACCTTTTTTTTTTTTTTTTTTTTTTTTGAGATGGTGTCTGGCTCTGTCGCCCAGGCTGGAATGCAGTGGCACAACCTCGGCTCACTGCAACTTCCACCTGCCATGTTCAAGCAATTCTCTTGCCCCAGCCTCCCGAGTAGCTGGGACTACAGGCGCGTGCCATGATATTCCACTTTTATCTGTTGAATCTGTATGAATACTTTTCCTTTGATATATTTATATTTTTTGTTTACTAATATTTTAAAATGAAGTAGTTTTGTAGTTTCTTTATTAGTATTGGAAATGCTTAGTGATTTAACCTTCTTGTTTGTATAGAAAAACATCCTCTTAGAGATTAAATTGTGTGTTCTTAGTCTTACTATTTTTAAGATATTCTTCAATGTAAGTTCTGACATTTTCTTTAACTCATTCATTAAGGATCCTGTTTCTTAGGTTTATTTCTTTTTTGAATGTTTGTTGAGTCATTAATTACATTGTGATCACAAAGATTTGTCTAAATCATGTTTACTTTTTGGAATTCATTGCCATTGTCTTTGGACATATAGAGACATTTGTTTCTGTATATGTCTCTTTTGTGTCTGAAAGAAATAATTTATTCTAATTTTTCATGGTACTGAGTTTAAACATAAATATTTTTGCCACAGGATCTGTAGGGTGTCGCTTTTCCAGCTGGAAGCCTCTGTGGCCAGTGGCGCCTTTGCCTGAGTTTTACTGTGACCCACTGGGCTCATTCCACCCACTCAGCCTGGCAGGCTGCAGTTGGCTTGTGCTACCAGCCTGGAACCCACATCTGCCAAGGGCGGGCCAGGTATGGAGTGGCAAGGGGTGTGTGAGCAAGTGTGCATGGGGTACGACCACTGCACACAGCCAGGCATGCTGGCTGCTGTGGCGGGGCGGACCGTTCCAGGCGCTGGCAAAGGCATCAGTTCTGTGGAAGCCTGAGGCTGGATCAGATGCACCACAAGCAGCTTCCACTGTGGGCACCTGCATCTGGACAAGGGGAAGGTGGTGGCACCTGGAAGCTTGGAGTTGCCAGGAACCGCAGAGTCCCAAAGAGGGTGTCACAGCCCTGGCTTGGGGAGCCCCTGGGGCTAGGCTCTCTGAAGGGCTGTGACACCTTCTCTGGGACTGCAGCTCTTCTCTCCTTCTTGTCACTTGCAACGTGGTGAGCAGGGGGCATGTTTCAGCCCTGTTTGTGTTACAGCTCTTTCAGTCCTGCCATTTCGCACGTTCCGAGTTCTTGTCCAATGTCCAGGAAGAATGAGGTACACGGACAACTGGAGGGTGAGCAAGGCAGAGAGGAGCGTCATTGAGTGACAGAAGAGCTCTCAGGAGACCCAAAGTGGGTAGCTCCTTTCCACAGACAGTTAGTCCCAATAAGTGTCCAGCTCTCAACAGAGAGGAGACCTGGAGTGGATAGCTCCTTTCCACAGGCAGGCCATCCCAACATTTGTCCAGCTCTCAGCAGACATAGCTGGGCCCGGATTCCACACAAATGAAGGTGACATTGACTTGACTCCTTTTTCAGGTGATGTAAACCATATTTAAGATCAAATCCTTCACATTTGAGCTCAGAGATTGGAAGCTGCTTATTTCCTTTCCATATTTAGCTACTAAGTTATTCAGTGTCAGTGAGAAGAAATTTGGCTGTCTTATAGCTTCCTACTGGGGTCCTTGTCTACTTGTATTTTTTCTCTGGATACCTTGCAACACTAGTCCTCTGTTAAACAAACACCTGTTTTGTTAAAGAGTGTCTTGTGCTTTTTAGTCTTTTTCTCTTTCTTTCAAATTGGTTTAAATACACTGCTGGTGGGTCACTGTAGAAAAGAGTTTGATGATTTCTCAAAGTACTTAAAACAGAATTACCATTCAACCCAGCAATCTCCTTACTGGGTATATACTCAAAGGAGTATTAATCATTCTACCAAAAGGACATACACACTCATATGTTCATCGTAGCAGTATTCACAATAACAAAGACATGAAATCAACTTATATGCCCATCAACAGTGGACTGGATAAAGAAAATGTGATACATACACACTATGGAATACTATAGAGCCATGAAAAAGAAATAAATCATGTCCTTTGTAGCAGCAAGAGTACAGCCAAGAGTATGGATGCAGGTGGAGGCCATTATCCAAAGCAAATTAATGCAGGAACAGAAAACCAAATACCACATGTTCTCATTTGTAAGTGGGAGCTAAATATTGAGTACACATGGACACAAAGAGGGGAATAATAGGCACCAGGGCCTACTGAGGGTGGAGAGTGGGAGGAGGGTGAGGGTTGGTAAACTATCTATCAAATACTATGCTTACCACCTGGGTGATGAAATCATTTGTACACCAAAACCCAATAACATGCAATTTACCCATGTAACAAACCTGCACATGTACCCCTGATCCTAAAATAAAAGTTGAAAGAAAAAAAAAAACGGTTTAGTTGCCTGGCTGCTTTGGTAAGAAGTCAGATTAAAATAACATAATATCTCACTTTGTGGAGTTTTTTTTAAAAGGAATCTATGTTTTTTTTTTTCAAAAATATATTGTGAAAAATTTCAAACATAAAGTTTAAAGAATTTTACAGTGAATTTCCATATTCCCAACACTTGGATTCTATTATTAACATTTTCCTGTAGTTTTTATAACACATTTGACCATCTAGCCATTTATGTATCCATCCATTAATCCATCTTATTTTTTATGCATTTCAAATGGATTTTCAGACATTAGTACTGTCCCCTCTAAATGCATCAGCAGGGAGATCATTAACTATAGTAAAATTTGTTTACTGTGTTTCCTCTTTTGATATAATATTTACATATAAGGCAATGTGTTAATCTTAAATATACATTTGCTGAGTTTTGACAAATGCATGTACCTATATAACCCAATCTATCAAGACATAAAACATTATATCACCCCTGTAAGTTCTCTTATCCCCTTTCTGAGAAAATCTTGGTTCTTACCACTCCAGAGGCAAATAATATTCCAATATTTTTCTCTGCATATTACTTTTACTTGTTCTAAAATTTCATGTATGCAGAGTAATGCAGTACATATTATTCCATTTGTGAACATAGTATAGAATATAATGCAATAAAGAGTAGATATTGTTTTGTATAAGGCCTCTTTTGCTCAGCATGATTTTGAAATCTATCCAGGTTGTTGAGTTTATCAGTAATTTGTTCCTTTCTTCTGATGAATAGTGTTCTATTAACTGAGTATGCCACAGTTTGTTCATTCTCCTATTGATTGACCCCTGAACTGTATACAATTTGGGCTATTATTAATATAACTTTTGTGAATGATATTTAAAGGTCTTACTGGAAACATATGTTTTCATTTTTCCTGGCCGAATACTTGAGAGAATTGCTTTGTCACATGGTAGATATATTGTTAGTTTATTAAGAAACTGCCAGAACTTTTTCTGAAATGGTTATACCATTTTACACTCCAGCCAACAATGTATGAGAGTTCTGGTTGCTCACAACTTTGTCAACATACAGTTTTGTCATTCTTTTAATTTTAGCCATTCTCATGGATATGAAATAAAATCTCATTCTGTTAGTTGGCATGTATTTTTCAAAGAAAATTTATGTCTGGTTTGTAAGTGCATTGTAGCATTGCTTCTAGACTTCAGAAACTAGTACTAATCAACCTTGTGTTTTTCATCTGCTATTCTGCTTTCACTTGTGTGGTTGGTAAAGAAGTCCTACATAATAATCTCAGTCCCTCCAATATAGAAGATATTCATTTAGCAGGGTCCTTCAGGAAAAATGCTGCTAGGTTTCCTCAACACAGAGTTGTTTTTGTTTTTTTTTTTTAATCAGGTCCCAATATCTTTTTTCAACCAGGACCAAATTGTATTGTACTTGGTGTACATGCTTCTGACATGTTATTGGAGCCTTTTCCTGTTATAGCAGTAAGTGATATTTCATTCCCTATTTTTCATTATTGTCACTAATTTTGGGGTTGAGGTGAGAGTTGTATATGGTCATTGATTTCAGTATTTCCCTAGCTTTTCATAGAGAAATGTTTAAAAAGGAAAAAAAAATCAACAGATTATATACAGTTTTTAAATTATAAAGCAACATTGCAAAAGGCTCATTAATTCTGAAATCCATTTTTATCATATGCTGGTAGTGAAAATGGAACTATCTGCAATCCATTTTTCATCACTATATTAATGAGTTTTGGATGATTTTGTTTTATTGTAATCTCTAATTGAAATTTCACCCCAAGCAGGGTTTTTTATTGACAATTATAATAAGGAGATTTTCCATGTAGTTGGTAGATTGGTTTCAAGGCTTTTTAATTTTTTTTCAAACAGGAACAATCAGTTTCTAAGCTATGACATAACAAAAGCTCCTACCAGTTCTAATGTACTGAGAATACAATTGAAGTAGTGTATTCTCACCAGCTTGGGGAAACACTAAATGAATGTGCATTATAATATTAAATTTTCATTTTTCAAGCCAGAGATTGGAGTTGATGTCTAAAAGTTAATGTTCTGTTACAAAACATTCTGATATCTAAGCAGTTTTGAAAGGCCAACTGGTTGTCAATGCTTGTACTGAAAATGCATTATCCAAGATTCAACAAATTTATATGTATAGGCCCTGAAGCAACTCTAATGGATGTCTGAAAACATCTTGATTTTTCAAAAATAATCTGGTGGTGGATGGGCTGTCTTGAGGCCTGGCAGCAGGTATGAAGGTCCCCTTCCTGAGGACCCCTCTCCAAGACTTTGAACAGTGTATCAGTAATCTCGGAAGAAATTCAGTATTTATATACAGTTCATTGGATTTCTAGGCAACACCAAAATTATCAGAGAAGAATATATTAAATAGCCCAAGAGCCATTATGAAGCATTTTTCTATAGCTTGGCAGTAGAACAGAATTTTTTCCCATTTTCGCAACTTGGCGCTCCTTTAGAGTCAGTGATAGCACGCAACCTACAAATTCATACAGAGAAAATCCTTAAGTTCATAAAAAGGAATAAATCTGAAAGTGTCTTCTGTATCATGGGAATAACAATGATTGATCTTTGCAAAAGAGACTCATGGAATTTTGTCTTTGGACAAGCTCTTTGGCAGATAGTAAGGAGATAGTCAGCTTTGCTAGGTGTGGCAGTGGTTTTTGTCTTTCACACTGTGAGTGTGAAGTGAAGAAACTCAAGAAAATATCTTCAAATGGCTATTCAATTTTTGATAACTGTTATCTTCCCGAAATCACTAATAGTTTGCTGCTTTGGTTCTATAAGTCTTTAACCCATGAAATTGGACACATACTTGGACTCTGACATTACCAGTGGCTAATCCTGATATAAGGCTTTAGCTACCTGAAGACCATCAGCCTCTAGACCTTTTCCCCAACTGTTTAGGCAGGATACAGTGTGCTGCTATTCACTTCAACACTTTAGAATGAGCCAAAGCAATTGTGAGGTGGATTAATGATGAATCTACTAGCATACCTGGAGTAACTCCAAAATATAGTTGTCAGGATAATATGAATTTGATAAAACCTGTGGACGCCTTTGAAAAATTGAATGAGTTGTATAGTGAACAGTCTTGCTGTTCTCTAAAATAAGAATTTTCAAATAGTTCTAATCAAAATAAAATACTTGCATATTAAAAAATAATCTAGTAACTGCTGAAAATAAGAACTTCTATATATAAAATTTAATCTTATTGGGTCCTTTATTCAATAGACTCTGCTTTCTAAGATTCCATCATTAGAAAAGCTGTCTGATGTGCACACTCTAAATGGTGCTATACGAGTCTGCACACAAGGAACATCTAACTTGAGTATCCACACACTAGGAATATAAAAAATAACCGTATGTTTTCACCTATTTGATAGTGCTGGGTTAATATATGAGGATTTTATAGACCTACACTTCAGGGTGTGAGGTGGGAGCAAAGAGAAATTCACTGGACACTTTATAGCTGCCTCCTAGAAGAATCGAACCAGCTAAAAGCAAGGATACTCCTGTTACTAAGACCTCCAAGAGCAAGTGTAGATTCAGATGAACTGGATCTGTAGGGAAAAACAGACTGGGCTCACCAAGCTAGCACCGTATGTTTGAAAGCACAATGGATTGCAGCAGGACTTCAGAAAAGTTGAAGGTGATAAAAAAATATATGAAACCCTAAGGAAGTTCTCAAATAAACATGCACATAATTACATATAATTATATATTTTGCTATAACTAAATTAATGGTAGCAGTCAAACAAGTTTAGATTTCTAAAGAAAACTCAGAGGACCCAAAATAACAAGGTTTGCCCATCTACAGTTTATTTTAGGGAAAGGATATATTAAGTCAAAAGTCTTAGAGTCAGGATACGTGTCACAGCCACAGGCTGACTTACAACAAGAGGTTACAAAGTTTGGAGGAGGTTACAAAGTTTGGAGGAGGCTCCAATTGTCCCCCTCTGCAAGGCCCTCAATGGCCATGCTTTGTCACTTGGATTGGAAACCACCAACATGGAGCCAGTACCATTGACCAGCAGTCAGTACCATGCAGATACATCTCATACGTCAGTGAAACATCTCAGGCAAATTCCAGAATTGTTAGAATTAACCCTCAGAACACAATAACTGAGAAGACTATTTTAAAAATATCCATTATTTTATTCCACTGCACCATCCATTAAAACCAAGCTTCAGTCTTCCATCTTCGTGGCCTTTCAGAGCAGGCTCCTGTGCCACTGCCATCTCATATTATCATATTATTTTTTCATTTGCTTACTTTTCAAACTATCTTTTTCTAATCCTTCCTAAATAGGCCAAGAGTTCTGTAAAATGTTTTTCAATATTATTTTCTATATAGGCAAATGTATCAGATAATTTCCTATCTCCACCACTTAATGATTATTATTACCATTATTATCCTGTACTGAACTTTCTGTTTACTGATTTCTTTCTTGCTTATCTTGCTAATACAGTTTCCTGGAAAAGACAGCATGTGAGAAAAGTAGTATGACTGTTTTCATTCTTAATAGATGGTTGGCTGAATATAGTTTGAAATAACTGTGCCTCAGACATTTTGTTTCATTTTCTTCTAGCTTCCCTTATATGTATTGAGAAATTAATTGCTGTCCTATAGGAAAATTTTTCTTTTTTTTACTTTTGTCAGATTGCTTTGGCTACTACCACCAAAGCAATATTAATTAATTGTACTGGCCTTGAGCACCCTTTTCCTTGTACATAACTCTTGGTGGAATGCTTTTAGATTTCCTTGTTGATCATAAAATCACCTTTTTTCTCACAGAGATGCTTTACTAATTACTAATTTCACCAATGATGCAATAGAATTGGTAATCCCATTTACTATGGCTGATTTCTACATCTATGCTGTGACTTCTATCTGTTCTAATTTCTCTGAGACCTCACTCTCTTACTTTGTTTACCATTTGGATTTTTAACCTTTTCCTCTGTAAACCAGTAGGGTTTTAAAACATTCAAGTTTCTCATAAAGTTCCTTGTTCTCATGATACTCTCCATATCTCTTTCTTGAACACATTACATATATTTGCAAGTCTCTGCTTCAAAATATTCATTTAATTTTATTTAACTGCATTTTAGTTTCCATTCACACTTCTGTCACCACTCTTGACAAGGACATTGACAGCCATCTTGATAAAGCTAGTGGATTTTTTCGGACCTTATTTTATTTGATAAAACATATGCATTCAAAAATGTTGACAACCTTTTCCTTTGAAAACTCTTCTTTGGCTTTTATCACATATTATCCTGTTTCTTTTTACATTTCTGGCAGTTCCTGTTTTTCTTCTTGTGAATAGATTTTATGTTGTCCATACCTTGAATATTGGAGTTCTTTGAGTTTCGGGTCTAAGCTTTTTCTTTTGCTTGGTAGACCACACTCTCTCTGGGCAGTTTCACTACTCTTAGAACTTCAATAGCCAACTGATATACAGCTAACATATAAGTGACATTTTATTAATGTTTACCTCCAGACTAGGGCTTTCTCTTCATCTTCAAGTACAAGAAGCCAACTGCCTTATAGATATTTCCCATTGAATGTCCCACCAGAGCCCTAAACTGATTTTGTCCAGATTATAAGGTTATCTTTACTACCAGAACTCCTCCTCACACTGTATCTCTCTCTAGTATTGAATAAGTTCAGTTGCCCCAATAATAAAAATTATATACTTTGCTTAACTGCTTTCTCCACTTTATGCCCAGCTTTCAATAAATCACCTAGACTATTGAATGTACATTTTAAATGTGTTTATAAATCTGACTTCCTTTACTTAATATTTACTGCTTAGAAGAAACCAATATCCTTCCTACAAGTCCCTCCCACGAGTCAATTACTCATGCTCAGATTCCATCTGAGTTTTTAACCTCTTCTTGAAAACTTTCCTGGCTTAGGTTGCTCTCTTGTTTTCTTAACCACCACAGACTTCTGCATATAATTACAGTGTATTGCATCATATGGTAATTATTGATTTATTGTTTTTATCTTCTATTAGATTATAAACTTTGTAAATAACTAAGTCTTTCTTGTTAGTCATTGAAAAAGTAGCACCTAGCAAAATGACAGGTATAATGTGCTAAATAAAAGTAACTCAAATTAATTAAATTAAAGATGTCTTAGATAATTGAATGTTGTGGATACTCTTCAGTGCCAAAGATTATTTCACCAAGGCAGGCAGACAGATTTCCTTAAAAATTTTCCTCAGATGCTAGTGCGGTGGCTCATGCCTGTCATCCCTGCACATTGGGAAGCTGAGGCAGGAGGATCACTTGAGTCCAAGAGTTGAGACCACCACCCTGAGCAACATAGTGAAACCCTGTCTCTACAAAAAAAAATTTTAAAAATTAGCCAGGTGTGGTGGCACGTGCCTTTAGTCCCAGCAACTCAGGAGGCTGAGGTGGGAGGATCACTTGAGCACAGGAACTCAAGGCTGCAATGAGCCATGATCACACCACTGCATTCCAGCCTGGGCAACTGGAATGAATGACAGAGCCAGACCTTGTCTCAAAAAAAAAATCCTCTGAGGAATAAAAACCAAAGATGAAGAGGAAAAAATTTTAATATTATTGAAAACTTGTTGGCCAGTGTATATCTTTTTTTTTTTTTGCTCTGTTGCCCAGGCTGGAGTGCAGTGGCACAAAGATAGCTCACTGCAGCCTGGAACTTCTGGGCTCATGTGATCCTCTTGCCTCGGCCTACCAAAGTGCTGGGATTACAGGTGCAAGCCACTACTCCCAGCCCAATGTATATTTTAAGTGTTATTTTTGTTTAATCATAAATCTATAGGAAATTTTTGTTTTATAATTAAGGTACATTCAATGTCAGTGTGGCCTTTTGGACAAGAACTGCTACTGAGAGCTAAAGAACAGCATATTCATCTTCAATTTTGGCAAGTTGAGATGTTGAATTTTATTATATATAAAAGAGGATGTGAAGAAATTGTATCCATTCCAAAAGCGCTATTCTTAGGCATCGATAATGACTGGTTACCTTTATTGAAGTTGAAATATGACTGATTAATTGATATTTCAGAGCATGCATGTGTATAGTAGGTTACATTGATGTTCTGAATTTTACCACTGCCTATATCCACGTACTTTGCAATGTCCTTTGTAGTCTCCCTCCTCTAACCTTACTTTGGCCAACGGAATCCTAGTATATGTGATGTATTCAGAGACTTGAAATAAGCTTTCACTTTAGCTTATGTACTCTCCTGTGCCTCTGTCATTACCATGAAAACATTTCTGACCTAGTCTACTGGAGGATGGGAAACATTTGGCCAGAGTCAAGTCATCCCAGTCACCCAAGCTAAACCAACCTAAATCAGTTGATGGTCAGTTCACTGCAGAACATGTAAGTGAACCCAGTCAATTAGGCAGAAATGCTTAGCCAACTTTCAGCTGAGCACACGAGCAATAACTGCTTACCATCATATATAGCCAAGGTTTTTGTAGTTGTTTATTATCCAGTAAAAGATAACCGGTACATTACAATATTTTTGTTTTCAGAGTTCATTCGCTATCGTTTCTGAAGAAACATTGAAAAGTTGCTTTCATGTTAGTAGCAATATGAAATCAATTTCTTTAAATAATGGAACAAAGTGATAAAAGTATCCTGACTGTCAATAAGCCATAAAAAATAGAAATTCAAGGAGTACTTAATAGTACAGAGTTTCTCTTTGAACATATTTAGCTTCTCTCTTTCACTACTATGACTCTAAAGCCAATGTCACGTGGCAGAGACAAGGCTACCTGTTAAACACATCATTTCTTCTTTCTGGAAACAGAAGATTTCATTTACTAGCTTTTGTTGCAGTTTGGCTAGGGTCATGTACTTGAATTTTTACAAATAAGTATATGAGAGAAACGCTATATTTTTTCATAGTCCAAGACAGTTTAGGGATGGATGTTTGTTCTTCGTGCTATCTGTCCCTCATGTATAGCTGAAAGTGAATAAATTTTAGCAGAGGGGTTTATTACCAACAAGAAGCCTAGATTTACAATATACCTTTAGGGGAAAGTCACCAGGAAGAACCACTGGATCGGAATTGACTGTGACATGAACAGGAAAAAACCTTTGATCTATTTGTGTATTGTGGTAGGTAATATTAACTATCCTGAGTAATACACAGTTACATTCTCAAAATCATTTAAATATGTGCAGGTAAACATTCTAGATGTAATATTGTATTAATTATCTATTGCTGGATAACCAATTTACCCCAAAACTTAGTGACTTTAAACAATAGTATTAGTCATTTCACAGTTTCTATAGGTAAAAAATAAAGAGTGGCTCAAGTGTAGGGCTCTGGCTCAGGATCTTTCATGAGGTTGGCTGACTTCAGTTTCTTTTCATATGGATCTCATCATAGGCTACTCTGAGTGTCCTCACAACAAAGCAACTGCTTCCCCATAGCAAATTATTCAGGAGAGCAAATATAAGGATCTTTTATAATCTAATCTCAAAAGTGACATATCATTAATTCTATTATATTCTATTAGTCACACAATGCAACCCTGTTACAATATGGGCATGAATACCAAAAGAAGGGGATCACTGGGGGCCATCTGAGAGTCTAGCTACCACAAATACAGTAGAAAATGGAGAGGCCTGACATAACCTGGTGAGTGCATGCCCTAGTAGACTAATTCTATTTCAACTTGTAGAACGCTATATGAGTGCAAAAAGCAAGTCTGCTGGTCTAATTACAACTGAAAGGAAGCATTATTTTAAAAATGCTGTATGTATGAAGGGAAAGGTGTATATAAAGATGTTTCCATGAAAGGGAAAATGATATGCTTTTGGGATACATATTATTCTCAGGTTATAACAAGAAGAAGAAAAGGAAAATGTCTTTTTCTATCTTTGAATTAAAATGATAAGATCCCTTTTTTCAGTTAATGTTAATGGGCAGGTGTTACAATTGTCTGTTTTCAAGCTGGAGTTCACATAAAAATAGTGAATCATCAAAAAGGAAGCATCATGGATTTAATTTGGTATTATGAATAAATACTTCAAATTTCAGTAATGGCACATTGTCTATCAATAATGGCAGAAGAGCTATTCAATATGAGAGAAATGTTTAGATGTCTAAAATATAACTGTTTATGTACAAATTAGTGTAGATTGTTTTAGAAATCAATATGGAGTATGAATTTTATGCCCCTTAAACATATAATATTGACTCTACTTTCAATTTTCATTAACAATTTATGGGTAATCATTATGGACAGTATGGTAATTGGTCAGAATACTGATCAAAGAGTTTGACCTAGACTTGCTGATTCTGTTATTGGCTGTGCAATATTTGACAATCTGAAGCTCATCAATTGTTAAATGAGGATAATGATGCATGCCTCAAAGGAGTTTTGGAATGATAAAAGAAAGGAGCAATAAATTTGCAAAACTCCAGATCATAAAAACACTACACAAATGTTGGTCATTGTCACTCATCTCTATCCTATACTGTAATACAGTTTCTCTCCTTTTATGCTTTAGTCTCCTTTCTTTCTACCAGATTGTCCACTGTCACTGCTCCTGCTGTCATAGTACCAGTCTCTAACAGTTTATTCACTTACAGCCTTCTTATGGTTTAATGTTTCTGATATACTAGGCACTGAAAATCAAAATAAAACAACCAAAAAGAAAACTAACCAAGCAGCTTGATATGTTTATATTCAACATAGAAGATTTTATTTTAAAGATTTTGGTGGAAAATAAGTGGCAGAAATAGTGAACTAAAGTGGTAGCATTATTTGGAATGTTCTAGATCATTTACTATTTATTTCCTGGTTCACAGTGACTTCCAGAAAGATGAAATCTTAGCACTGTGAAACAAGAATAAATGAAATGAAGTGTTACAGTATTGTGGATATGTTCACATGATGTATAAATATATACATGTTATTTCATATATGTCATATGTAGATATATGTGTATATAATGTGTATATATGTACACATATATGTATATATGACATATATAGTATATATCATATATGTGTATATGTATATATGACATATAGTATATATCATATATGTGTATATGTATATATGACATATAGTATATATCATATATGTGTATATGTATATATGACATATATAGTATATATCATATATGTGTATATGTATATATGACATATATAGTATATATCATATATGTGTATATGTATATATGACATATATAGTATATATCATATATGTGTATATGTATATATGACATATATAGTATATATCATATATGTGTATATGTATATATGACATATATAGTATATATCATATATGTGTATATGTATATATGACATATATAGTATATATCATATATGTGTATATGTATATATGACATATATAGTATATATCATATATGTGTATATGTATATATGACATATATAGTATATATCATATATGTGTATATGTATATATGACATATATAGTATATATCATATATGTGTATATGTATATATGACATATATAGTATATATCATATATGTGTATATGTATATATGACATATATAGTATATATCATATATGTGTATATGTATATATGACATATATAGTATATATCATATATGTGTATATGTATATATGACATATATAGTATATATCATATATGTGTATATGTATATATGACATATATAGTATATATCATATATGTGTATATGTATATATGACATATATAGTATATATCATATATGTGTATATGTATATGTATATATGACATATACATATACACATATAAGACATATACATGTGTGTGTATATATATATCTCTCACAGCTCTTCCCTAGCACATGGAGCTTGCTTACTATTTCTGATATCTAATGCCGTATCTCAAATCATTCTCCTGCCTAGAATGCTCTCAAGAAAAATAAAATACAATTTTATTTGTAAAATAATTCTGTGCACTGCCTCACTAAAGGAACAGAATAACAATATTACTGTCATTAACAATAGACTGAAATATAGAATATGTTTAATAAATATTCAACCAGGTAATTAGTATGATGTAGGTATTTTTGAAGCCCTTTCATTGTCTCCTTTAGCTCATGGGCATAACAGTATCAGAGAAAGTCATATGTACACTGCCTCATACTTGCTGATTTTCTTGAATGTCTCCCACCCTAGTCTATTAATGCCTTTACAGCACAAATGATATCTTTGTTCTCCTTGTATCTCAAATAACTAGCATAAGAGTGATATTTAATAGTTGTACATAAATTTTTTAGTGGATAAATAAAAAGGAAACAAAGAGGAGGGCAACTAATACAGCCAAAAGTGGTCAGGGAAAATTTCACATACAGCATTAAAATTTAGTACAGTGCTCTCTCTCTCTCTCTCTCTCTCTCTCTGACACACACACACTGCTTGCTTTTCTTTCTTTGAGTTTGCCTTTTTAATTTTTTCCAATTTTAGTCATAATTTGCAAACCATTGAAGCCATCCATTGTAAATTTTCAATTTCATGGCTTTTAGTAAATCCATGCAGTTCTGAATATATCACCACAACACAGTTTTCCATAATCCACTTCCATCACACCAAAAAGTTTCCATGTTCCCATTTGTAGTCTATCCACACTTCCACACCCAGCCCCAGGCAGGCGCTCATCTATTAATACTTTGTGTATGGATATACTTTGTATCCCTAAAAAAGTTCATGTCAATTTAAAATACAATATATAATCTTTTGTGACTGGCTTCTATCACTTAGCATCAGAATTTCAAGGTTTATCCATGGTATAGCCTGTAACACGACCTCTTTACCCTTTTTGTCTAACAGCATTTTATTGTATGGATGTGCCACATTTTGTTTATACAGTCACCTTATCATTGCATGTCTACCCTTTTATGGGAGTTTAGCCTTTCTTTGAGCTCTGCTAGTTTTAGGAATAATTCCTGGGCCTGGGTGCTCTCCAGCTGAATCAGAGAGACTTTTTATAAGCTACCTAGGAGGCTTCCTGGTTTTCACACTTAGCTTTTAATTGTCAATTAATCACCATAAGCCCTTTTTAACTTTTTCCCTAATTATCAATTATATCTAATCTACCTAATTCTACAGTCATTATAGTAACTATTCCTCTCATTTTTCTCAAATGCCTGATACATCATCACACCTACTAGTACAGTTCCTTTCATTAGAATACTGCCTCAGTTTTCCACAGCAAGAGTTGTATATATTTCACTCCTATCTTGCTCCAGGGTATATGTGTGCCTTATCTACCATTAGTGATGGAATCCTTGTTGCCAGCTGACAAGTTGAACATACTATCTTAGTATCTGCTTTCTCTAAGCACATCTGTTCCCAACTATCAAAGGTGATGTTCTACAAGAATCAGAATATAACATGAAAAGTAGTGTGTAGAAAGTGCCTATGGAGTTACCTTGGCACCAACATCTGTCAGAAGGAAGGGGAGGAAGCAAGGCTTGACAGAAGGGGAGGTCGTCCTTTGACGCATTGTCAGTGAAAGCTTCATACATTTGAATAGGGAGCTCTGAAGCTAGGATGGTTCTACAGAGTTGTCTGGAGTTGGGGCAAAGGAGGTAGGCCTTCATACCCCTGTATTGACTGATGTGAGTGACTTTGAGCAAGCTAATTCCTTCAACAGGCAATTCTTTTTTTTTTTATTATACTTTAAGTTTTAGGGTACATGTGCACAATGTGCAGGTTAGTTACATATGTATACATGTGCCATGTTGGTGTGCTGCACCCAGTAACTCGTCATTTAACATTAGGTGTATCTCCAAATGCTATCCCTCCCCCCTCCCCCCCCCCACAACAGGCCCCGGTGTGTGATGTTCCCCTTCCTGTGTCCATGTGTTCTCATTGTTCAATTCCCACCTATGGGTGAGAACATGCGGTGTTTGGTTTTTTGTCCTTGCTATAGTTTGCTGAGAATGATGGTTTCCAGCTTCATCCATGTCCCTACAAAGGACATGAACTTATCATTTTTTATGGCTGCATAGTATTCCATGGTGTATATGTGCCACATTTTCTTAATCCAGTCTATCATTGTTGGACATTTGGGTTGGTTCCAAGTCTTTGCTATTGTGAATAGTGCCGCAATAAACATACGTGTGCATGTGTCTTTATAGCAGCATGATTTATAAACAGGCAATTCTTAAAGAGGGCTGATAGGTTAAGGCTGTCTATCAGCCCCACTTGTGGCAGCTAGGGAAATAAACCCTTCAGTCCTGAGGGGGGATCCAGGCGGTATATCACAGCATCCACTATGTAGAGCCAAAAGGATTTTTTGACTGATGGTATGAGGTATGTGAAGGAAATTGAGGCATCAAGGATGACTCCAAGGATATTGGCCTGAGCAACAGAAGGCTATAGTTGCTGTTTACTGAGATGGCAGAGGCTATAAGTGAAGCGTTTTTGAAGGGGATTTCAGGATTTCAGTTTGGGTCCTGCTATGTGTGAGATGTTGATTAAACATCCAAGTAGATATGTCAAAATGACGGTTGGATATATAAGTCTGTCAGAGACTCAAGGTGATTTTATTAATAACTGCCAGTATTTTTTTACTGCATTTTCCAAGTTCTTGTGTTGTTGTTTTGGTTTGGTTTTCTGGTGACCTTTGGAAATATTTTCAATCAACTTTCTTAATATGAATACCTAGTTATGCAATTTACTGAAATCTTGGAAATCTAAGAATAACTTCTAATTTTTGATTTCCTCACTTCAACGGCAACTTAAGTATATATCAACGTCTATGAAATGATGAACTGTTCTTACATACTGCTATCGTTTTCATGCATATATATTTATGACATTTCTAGACTTTTTCTCTTCATTTTCAGCTTTAGCGTATTCTCATAGAATCAATCCATGATTTAATTATTGTTTGTTGACTCATCCTTGAACATAATCAACAGAAAAAAAAAAAACCTATGCCCACTGTTTGAAGACACTCAAAATAAGTTGATAGGCTTTAGTTGTTTTTCAATCATTCAGGCCTATAAGAAGTTATTTTCTTAAGATGGAGCATATACCGATATTTTAAAAGCTTAATAGTATTCTTGGTTAGTATTTTTCTCAATTATGCAGATTTGCTTTGGATGCCTAATATCGGAACAGCTGTTAACATATTTTTATCTCAATAATATCTGTTTTTATAAGAGATCATATGAAATACTTTCTGTTTTAGAATTTTTTTTTCCTATTTTTGGTTGCAGGCACTACTTTTGTTTGGCTATTTGGAGTAAGATTAGCAAAGCTTTCAGACACTCAAATGTCTTAATATCAAGCTAGATTTTTGATTTATGTATTAAAGTTGAATAGAATTTTATCACATGAATTTCAAGTAATAAAGAAGGGTAAGTCTAAAATAGTAATACCACAGATGGTTATGTACAAGGAAATTGGTAATCTGAGGGAGTGCATGGGCAGAAATACTGACCTATTTTTATACCTAATTCCATATTTATACATATTTATAAAATATATTCTTGAAAATATATTTGGCTTTAGGTTCTCACAATTTTTTTTTTTTTTTGAGACAGAGTCTCCCTGTGTCTCCCAGGCTGGAGTGCCGTGGTGTGATCTTGGCTCACTGCAGCCACCACCTCTGGAGTTCAAGCGATTCCTGCCTCAGCCTCCTGAGTAGCTGGGATTAGAGGCGTGTACCACCATACCCGGCTAATTGTTTTTGTATTTTTAGTAGAGATGGGATTTCGCCTTGTTGGCCAGGCTGGTTTCAAACTGCTGAACTCAAGTGATCCACCTGCCTCAGCCTTCCAAAGTGCTGGGATTAGAGAGGCATGAGCCACCGCGCCCGGCCAGGTTCCCACAAAATTGCCCTGTAACACTAGCAAGGGACTAAAGATTTGCATGTTCTAAACATTCTTTCATGCATATTTCTACTGTTGATGTTAGCAACAATAATAAAATCCCACAAATTTGTAGACAGAATCTAGTATTATGAAAGATTACAGCCAATAATTATAGTTCACCTGTTCCTAAAAGCTTAACTCCTGCGGTCCTCTCTTGGAAATGTGTATTCGATGAAACTTCAGTAACAAGACCATGAATTAAATTTGGAAGAGAAACTATATCTTTAAGAAGGTGTTGCTTTTCTGAAGTCAATAATGGCAGCTAAATTAGACTAGAACCCTGGTGCCTTGAACACAAATCCAGACTTATTCCCAATGTACCTCATGCACAAAATTCAAGCCTTCAATTTGACATTTATTTTCTATTGTGGATATTGATTTCCTGAGGGGAAAAATGAAATGTGGTGTTGTGGTCCAGTGTGCTTTATTGACCAAATAAACTATAATTGATTAAGAAGACTTGTGTACTACTCTTTATATTACTACAAATGTATTTCAATAAAGCTTCTTCAGTGATAGCTGATTGCAACCACATATATTAATAAACAGTACTACTAATGTACAAACAGTTATTACAGATTTATCTGGTTTATAGGCTTACCTTGGCCCAAATAAAACCTTCATTGTGTTTTATAGTACTTCATGAGGAGCTTTATAATTAAGCTCATGTTTAAGTGAGAAAAAGCATTACAATAAAATACAGTTCCTCAATCCTTCAGTTTTTGCTGACTGCGTTGAGAACTACAGAAGCCAAAGAAAGTTATAAAATATATTTCTGAGTTATATGTATAGTTATAGTTATATCATCTAAGTTATAAATGATACATTTGTTAAATATTTTTCTAAAAATATATCATGGTCAAGTTTAAAATATTTTTCATCCCACTGAAGGTATGGGACACTAAAAATCTATTACATTCCACTCGAAATTTCTTATCCTCACATTTATTTAATATTAGCTTAGTTAATTTTTCCTGCATATTGATTACTATCTGCAACTTCCCTATAATTTATTTTATTTTGATATGCTAAATTCACCATTCTTGACTACCAACAAAATTAATCCAAGATGAACACATTTTTGAGACGGATATGACTAGTCACTAAATGCAGAAAAACATGAATTCCCTTATGGTTTTCCTAGTGTCCACTGACAATACCCACTGGACTAGTAGAAAAACTTCATGAATAAATGATTTGTTAACCTATGCAGCCTTGACTGTTGCCTTTTATTTTATCTCCTCAATAGCTGTATTAAATACAGAAGAAGGGATATCCTAAGGAAGCAGCAAAATAAAGTGTATATTGATGTTACATATTTCAAACAAGAGCCTGAATATAACAATCATGGTAAATTGCATTGCTGTCATAAACTATATATCAGATTTGCATTGTAAAACAAAGCAAGGTATATAAACCTTCTTAATTCAACCAATATGCATTGCAAAGACTCCTACTGAAATGCGTGGTTCAGGTATATCCATTTCATTGGACAATGCCATTAACCAACAGTGCATGATTGACATTTTAGAACACTTCGGCCAACAGCAGAATGCATATTTCCATAGGAAACATATACAAAAACAGGCCATATTCTGGGCCACAAAACTAACCTGAAAAATGTAACAGATTTGAAATCATACAAAGTATATTCTTTGATCAAAATGGAATCAAACCAGAAGTCAATAATAGAAAGAAAACAGGAAACTCTCCAAACACTTAGAAATTAAATAACATACTTCTCAATATTGCATAGGTCAAAGAAGATATCTTGAGGGAAGTAAAAAAAAAATACATAAAACTGAATGAAAAATGCAAGATATCAGCATTTGTGGGACATATCTAAAGTAGTGCTGAGAGTGAAATTTATATTACTAAATGCTTTCATTACAAAAAAAGGGAGTCTTAAGTCAACAATTCAAGCACCCACTCCAAGAAACTAGGAAAAAAATGAATCCAAAGTAATCAGAAAGGAGATAATAAAGATATGAGCAGAAATAAATTAAATTGAAAACACAAAACAAAAGAGGAAAGTAATGAAATCAATAACTGGTTTTCTGAAAAGATTATTCAAATTTACAAACCTCTAACAAGACTGACAACCATAAAATAGAGTGGACAAAACTTAGTAATATCAGGAATAAAACAGTAGATATCATTACAGATGGAGTAGGGATATATGAGGAATAAGGAACACAGTTTATGCAAGATCTGCATGTAGGAAACTACAAGACCCTGACAAAAGAAATAAAAGAAGATCTGGGTAAAAGTTGAGACATATTATGTTCATGGATTGAAAGATTGACCATACACAGTAAGGATGTCAATTCTCCCCATATTGATCTATAGGTTTAATGCAACTGAGTTTATAGTTATTTCAAACAAAATGAAGCAAAACACCGGCCCACAGACATTAAGTTTACCAGTGTCCCTCATATTGCCATATCTAATGGATCTTTTTTATTTTTTCCTTAATTAACTTCTGCATGGTATTAAATTATCATTTGCTACAGTCATGTTAAACAAATGTCGTTTCTTAAATGTACTATTTTGTTTTCTCAGAATTTTTCCTTTAGTTTCATTTTCTCCTGATTTCTGATTTAGGTTTCATTCATTCCTTCATCCAACAAATGTCTTCTCTTTGCAGGTATTTTATTATGCAGTTAATGGACAAAGATTTGTAGCAACATCCCTCTTAAGTTCCTCGCTGTGTAATTCATGTATTGGTTACAGAGTAATAGGAAATTCATTTATCTATTTTGTCTTATTTACTTACAAACACAGCAAATTCTTCTACTATTTTTCATTTCGCATTATTAAGGCCAATGAGTAACAAATGTAATTGGCAAATAAGTGTAATTCAATTCTTTGTTTAATAAACAGGCATGGAATAAGCCACTGTGTACCATAATGTTTGAAATGCATTGAAAACATTTATCTGATTTGTGTTTTTATAAAATTTAAGATAGAATATGGCCCTGGTTTTTAGAACTCTTTTTCTGACTTTGATAGACACAAAGAGTAAACATTATATGCTTATAATACTTTAAACATTTGTACATCTGGACAAATATAATTTTAGTAGTACAGTTGCTCCAAAAAGCCATGTTGTGCATCAGATGACTTCATTTGAGCAAGAAATTTGAATGAAAAATATGCTTAACTTATATTATTTTTCGTCCTTGTGAATACTAAAGAATATGGACCCATGTTTGTTACAGAATATAATTTTGAGGAGCTCTAGAATATACTTTTTATCTAGAACATATTTTTTGCAGTTCTAGAAAGTGTTAATTTCTAAAGTTTTGATATTTTAAGGTTCTTGAAAATATTTTAATCAAGTGATAGCAGAAAAGATTGACAAAATCATAAAATGGTTTTATCTGTAGCTAAAATTATTCTCTAATCAGAAGACTCATCAAAATAGCATGCTGATTTCTCAGTATCATTTATCATTTCAACTAGACAAGGCCATTTGCACTGAACATGAGAGAGCAGAAACATCTTCAAATCAACCTCTTAAATTTACTGACTAGAAATACATGTGAGCGACAAAATACCATAATATTATTCAACTAGTATTTTGTTTTTCTAATATATTAGAAATGCATTTTTTCCTTCTGTCCTATACATTTTTGCTACAATTATATTGGTTTTGTTTTACTTTTTTTTGTCTGTTGTTTACTTCAAATGATATTTTCTAGGGTGTAGTCAGAGCTATCACTGATATTTCATACCTACTGGGAGGTAGCTTTAAGTTTCTATTTAAGATTTCACTCAGTTCACTATCTTTCTAGCTTTATTTATGAGTGACTGATATCTATTTTGGGTATTTGGGTATGAGGACAGATTTCCCAGTTATT
The DNA here is from genome assembly GCF_000001405.40 of Homo sapiens. Classification (NCBI taxonomy): domain Eukaryota; kingdom Metazoa; phylum Chordata; class Mammalia; order Primates; family Hominidae; genus Homo; species Homo sapiens. Next base: position 27,202,517 of record NC_000023.11, on the reverse strand, counting down.
GTTTTTAGTTATAGTTAGATAAAGCTATATAACAATATTTTGAAGGCAGATCATGACCACAATGTAGATATTAATATAAATGAAATGAATTACATTTTGTGAAATAAACAGTATTGTGATTTTTAAATTTATATTGTGTGCTGTTTCTAATATTTGGATTTCTAATGCAATAATAAGAATAAAGAATGGAAAAATAAATATGAAACATCAGTAATGTCCACAGCTTTCCTACTCCAAGTTACTTTTGCAAATAAACAATCAAATCCCTGCATCTTTATATACCAACTTCAGGTGCTCATATATATTTAACACTGAAGAATTTTATTTTTCAATTGAATCTAGATAGTCTTTCAAAAAAGCTGTAAGACTTTTCAGTGGGCTAACAGGTTTGCTAAAAATGGTAATTGTACTGAGTGAAGTGACTTATGCCTATAGTCCCAGCACCTTGGTAGGCTGAGGCAGAGGATGGCTTGAGCTCAAGAATTTGAGGCTGTAGTGCACTATAATTGCGCCTATGAATAGCTGCTGTATTCCAGCCCAGGCAACATAGCAAGACCCCATCTCAAAAAAATGGTAAGTCCACATTTGTCTACTTTTCCAAAATATTTGGAAAACCCATTTGTCTATATTCATTTAGAAGACCCTACTGTAGACATTTAACAACCTCTAAAACTTGATATTGTCAAGTTTAAAATAAGTGGCTCTTCTAATATAGGTAACTCACTTCTCATCATCACAACACAAACTCAGTTACCATCCCTTTCCAAAAGTTACCAAGGCAAATTTGATTGTGATATTCTAGATTTGAATAATTTGAGACAGCTTGTGTTGTAGCAACATGATTACATATAAATGATAGGTCGTAGGAATGATCCATTTTTATTTCATTATTAATACCAAGTAATATAAAATGTTAAAGGAATGCACAGTTAATATTTTTCTAATAATCTGCCGTAGTCATCTATTTTCCAGTCTCTAAAGACAAATATTATACATATGTGGGTGGATACATGCACACACATACGCTTAAACTTAGTGTATTTTACTGCACATTATAAAAGCGTATAAAATTATGAATTAAAAATTTCAAACTTCTTGATCACACATCACTGCAAGTATCTTTAGCTTCTTTCACCCAAGGTGTGGTGATTAACATTGTCTGCATAGACCTGTAATGGAGAACATTCCATAGCAGCATGTGAAACCCATTGAGTCTTTTTTTTAAATTTATTATTATTTTCCATAAAATGTATGGACATAAGGTTTTGATCATTTCCAAGCTGTTGGAAATGTGGGTTGATTTTTGCTGTTAAATCAATATAAAATTAAATAACATTATACAGAGTTCTTTCCATAGTTTTCAAATTGGGCTATGGAGTAATTTCCTACAAAAAAATTGAAGAGTCAGAGTCTCTGGAGTTTACATTTTCTTGGATATTGAAACACTGACCTGCAGAAATGTTTGACTTACTTAGGCACTTACTAGTAGTTTTTAAATGGGCTGTTTTCTCACATCTTTACCAAATCAATTTTATTTATCTTTATACTTTTTTTAACCAATCTGTTGATTGAAAAAAAGTTATTTGCATTTCTTTATTTAGACGTTAAACACCCTTTTATATTTTTAGCCATTTGTATTTATCTTTTTTAATTGCTTGATCATAAACTTTGCACATTATTACTATTTGGTAGCTTGTCTGTTTTACACACATGCACATGCGTGTGTGCACGCTTGTACGTACACACACACACACCACTCTTACATTTGAAATTGCTCAGACTTTTAAAACACATTTACATAATAGTGTTGTTAATCCGGGCTCTAAAGTTTTTCTAAATTTTTATGGAATTATTCTACTGCTTTTTTTAAGGGTAATGCTTTCCTTGGTTTGCAGTATAGATATAGACAATTATTTTTTAAAATCAGTATTGAATATTATTTTGTGTGTGTTTTTAATGTAAAGCAGTAATCATAAATTTTTCTCCTGAGGTATTTAAACTACATATGTGCATATATTTTTATTAAAGTTGCTAATTTTGAATCATCCTTATATTCTTATCACTAGTTACTCATACTATAAGTATTTATTGTGTTTCTAAAATGTAGCAGGCATTTTCCCAGGTGCCAGAGACTCAAACTTAAAGTTATGTAGTTACTTTAAAATATCTATGTCTTCTCTTTTCTAATACTTGATTTCTTACCTAGGTATTCACATTAGTAAATTTTACTAGCTTAATTTTTCTTATCAGTATTGTTCTGACATCATAATGTTTAAGTATCACCTTAATTATTGCTTTAGAAAATTTTACATTGTGTTGGAATTAACTTCATGGTTTGAAATCACTTGCAAGGAAACTATCTGGGCCTTTTAATTTTTAGTGAGGTATTTTCTTAATATTTTAAAAATAATTTACGTGCAATTACTGCCTTGCTCAGATTTTCCATTTCTTCTGGGATTAATATCAGGAATTTATGTTATTTTTAGAATACAATACATGTAATCCTGAATTTCAAATAATTTTATACAGTTATTCTAAAGAACTTTGATAGATGTCTTTTAATTTCCATTCTATCACTTTTCCCTTCCTCATTTCTAATTTTGGTAGCATAGTATTTTATCATTATTCATATATTAATCTAGTATCATTTATATATTTAAAAAATGTATAAAATAACTAGGTGTGAATTTTTTTATTACTTTATTTTTTAGAGATAAGGTCTTGCTGTGTTTCCCAGGCTGGAGTGCAGTGACAGAATCGTAGCTCACTACAGCCTAGATCTCCAGAGCTCAAGGGTTCCTCCCACCTTAGCCTCTGGAGTAGCTAGGACTACAGGCTTGCGACGCCATGCATGGCTATTTTTTATCTTTTAGTAGAGATGGGGTCTCACTATGTTGCCCAGGCTGATCTGAAACTCCTGCCCTCAAGTAATCTTCCCACTGCAACCTCCCAAAGTATTAGAATTTTTAAATAATGCTATTGATTTAATTCTTTAAAATTTTTCTTTGTTATTTTCGTGACCATATTTTGTTTTTCTTTTCTAAAACATTTAATGTTGAAATGTAATAATTTTTACAATATTATTTCTTATTTAGAAATAACTCATAAGTCTTTATGAGTTGAACAGTATGGATTTTTTCCACTGAGAATAACTTCAGCATTATCCGTTGTAAAAATATATATCCTTAATCATAATTATCTCTATATTCTGCAGTATTGATTTTTATTTCTTTTCCAATATAAAGGTTATATAATAGTGTTCTGTTATTATTATTATTAATACATAAGGTTTTATTTACCAAGTGTTCCATATTTTATAATTTATGATATTCATAAAGTTTTACGTTGTACAGATGTTCCTGCTTTTTGTAGTTCCACTCCCACCTGAGGAACAGCCAAGTTAGCAGTACTACTTTGGAACAGGTTTTCTTTTTCTTGTTTTTTTTAGCAAGGTTTTTTTTTTTTAATTTATTATACTTTAAGTTCTGGGATACATGTACAGAACGTGCAGGTTTGTTACATAGGTATACATGTTCCATGGTGGTTTGCTGCACCCATCAATCCATCATCTACATTAGGTATTTCTCCTAATGCTATCCCTGCCCTATCCCCCACTCCCCAACAGGCCCCAGTGTGTGATGTTCTCCTCACTGTGCCCATATATTCTCATTGTTCAACTCCCACTTACAAGTGAGAATGTGCGGTGTTTGGTTTTCTCTTCCTGTGTTAGTTTGCTGAGAATGATGGTTTCCAGCTTCATCCATGTCCCTGCAAAGGACATGAACTCATTCTTTTTTATGGCTGCATAGTATTCCATGGTGTATATGTGCCACATTTTCTTTATCCAGTCTATCATCGATGGACATTTGGGTTGGTTCCAAGTTTTTGCTATTGTGAATAGTGCTGCAGTAAACCGTGTGCATGTGTCTTTATAGTAGAATGATTTATAATCTTTTGGGTATATACCCAGTAATGGGATTGCTGGGTCAAATGGTATTTCTGGTTCTAGATGCTTGAGGAATCGCCACACTGTCTTCCACAATGATTGAACTAATTTACACTCTCACCAACAGTGTAAAAGTGTTCCTATTTCTCCACATCCTCTCCAGCATCTGTTGTTTCCTGACTTTTTAATGATCGCCATTCTAACTGGCATGAGATGGTATCTCATTGTGGTTTTGATTTGCATTTCTCTAATGACCAGTGATGATGAGCTTTTTTTCATATGTTTGTTGGCCCCATAAATGTCTTCTTTTGAGAAGTGTCTGTTCATATCCTTTGCCCACTTTTTGATGGGGTTGTTTGTTTTTTTCTGGCTCCTTTAGCTCGGAGAAGTTTGTTATTACCCACCTTCTGAAGCCTACTTCTGTCAATTCGTCAAACTCATTCTCCCTCCAGTTTTGTTCCCTTGCTGGCAAGGAGTTGTAATCCTTTGGAGAAGAGGCATTCTGGTTTTTGGCATTTTCAGCCTTTTTGCGCTGGTTTTTCCTCATCTTCGTGGATTTATCTACCTTTGGTCTTTGCTGTTGGTGACCTTCGGATGGAGTTTTTGCTTGGTCATCTTTTGTGTTGATGTAGATGCTATTGCTTTCTGTTTGTTAGTTTTCCTTCTAACAGTCAGACCCCTCTTTTGCAGGTCTGCTGGAGTTTGCTGGGGGTCCACTGCAGACCCTGTTTGCCTGGGTATCACCAGCGGAGGCTGCAGAACAGCAAAGATTGCTGCCTGTTCTCTCCTCTGGAAGCTTCATCCCAGAGGGGCACCCACCAGATGCCAGCTGGAACTCTCCTGTATGAGATGTCTGTCGACCCCTGCTGGGAGGTGTCTCCTAGTCAGGAGGCTCGGGGGGTCACAGATCCACTTGAGGAGGCAGTCTGTCCTTTACCAGAGCTCAAGTGCTGTGCTGGGAGAGCTGCGGCTCTCTTCAGAGCCGGCAGGCAGGAATGTTTAAGTCTGCTGAAGCTGCGCCCACAGCTGTCCCTTCCCCCAGGTGCTCTGTCCCAGGGAGATGGGAGTTTTATCTATAAGCCCCTGACTGGGGCTGCTGCCTTTCTTTCAGAGATGCCCTGCCCAGAGAGAAGGAATCTAGAGAGGCAGTCTGGCTACAGTGGCTCTGCCAAGCTGAGATGGGCTCCACCCAGTCCTAACTGCCTCCGGGTTTGTTTACAGTGTGAAGGGAAAACCACCTACTCAAGCCTCAGTAATGGCAGATGCCCCTCTCCCCACCAAGCTAGAGCATCCCAGGTTGACTTCAGACTGCTGTGCTGGCAGCAGGAATTTCAAGCCAGTGGATCTTAGCTTGCTGGGGTCCTTGGGGGTGGGATCCGCTGAGCAAGACCACTTGGCTCCCTGGCTTCAGCCTTCTTTCCAGGGAAGTGAACGGTTCTGTCTTGCTGGCATTCCAGGCGCCAGTGGGGTATGAAAGAAAACTCCTGCAGCTAGCTTGGTGTCTGCCCAAACAGCCACCCAGTTTTGTGCTTGAAACCCAGGCCCCTTGTGGTGTAGACACCAGAGGGAATCTCCTGGTCTGTGGGTTGCGAAGACCATGGGCAAAGCATAATGTCTGGACCACATAGCACCATCCCTCACAGCACAGTCCCTCATGGCTTCCCTTGGCTAGGGGAGGGAGTTCCCTGACCCCTTGCACTTCCCAGGTGAGGCGACGCCCCACCCTGCTTCTGCTCATCCTCCATGGGCTGCACCCACTGTCTAACCAGTCCCAATGAGATAAATCGGGTACCTCAGTTGGAAATGCAGAAATTACCCACCTTCTGTGCCGGTCTCGCTGGGAGCTGCAGACCGGAGCTGTTCCTATTTGGCCATCTTGCCCAGGAATCTCTTCTTATTATTAAAACATATTTTGAGATAATTTTTGATTTTCTGTCCACCTTAATTTTAAACATTACACCATTGTAGTCAGAAAATATGGCTTTTTATTTTTTACATGCTGACATTTACTATGATTTTCTTTGTGGTCTACATATGCTTAATTTTAGTAGTTGCCTTATTGCCACTTAAAATTTTCATCAGTTCATATACAATAGTATATGGCATAGCAGATGCCAGTAGTGCCCTACTCATATTCCTCAGACCCGACAGTTTTCAGTGTGCCTCTTTAAACTTTGAACTACCAATGTCTGTGTCTCTCTGCCACAAAATTCTTTCTGAAATCTTACAAGGCTTTTCTGTTGCCATGCATCAGGCCAGAAGTTCCAGTGAATTAACAAATACCCAGAAACTCCCAACCAGTGACTGCTGGGATACAGTATATAAATACCCCAACTCTCTCCCACCTTGGGTGGAAAAATTTGGTCACACTTTACACCATTTCTCAGAATTTTTCCATATGATTAACTTGTGGTAGGTAGCTTAGTTATGTACAATTTATTGAATGTTTTCCCTTCCTATGTAATTTCCATGCCCTATGTTGTGTTCCTTTTCTTCTCTCATAAACAGATTTCAATGGAATTCTTGTCCTAGGTCCTGCTTCTGGGGGATTCAAAATAAGACAATACCAATCTTATTAATACTTTTTTTCTATTAAGTTCTAGGGTACATGTGCAGGATATGCAGATTTGTTACATAGGCAAATATGTACCATGATGCTTTGTTGCACCTATCAACCCATCACCTGGTGGAAGCCATTATCCTCGGCAAATTATTAACACATTTTTCAGATAAATTATGTGATTAACTACTCTAAAATATTATGTGAATTATTCATTAGCTGTTCATGGTGGGTTAAACTCTGTTTCTCATTCTTGTTACACTTAATTTTATTCTTCGGGGTTTTTGGGGGATTTTAGGTACAAGATTTGTTTTATTATGTGTTAAATTTGTATGGATACATAATATTTGTACATGTTTTGGGGGTACACGTGATATTTTGTTACATACATAGAATGTGTAATGATCAAGTCATGGCATTTAGGGCATTCATCACCTTGAGTACTTACCATTTCTATGTGTTAGAACCATCTCAAGCCTTCTCTTGTAGCTATTTCAAAATATATGATACACTGTTGTTAACTATAGCCACTCTACTCTGCTATCGAACATTAGAAATGTCCCCTCTATCTGACCTTATGTTTGTACCCATTAACCAACCTCTCTTTATTCCCCTACCCACACACCCTTCCCAGCCTCTCATATCTATTATTCTCCTTTCTACCTCCATGATAGCAACTTTCTTAATTTCCACATATGAGTGAGAATATGTGATATTTTTCTTTCTGTGCCTGGCTTATTTCACTTAACACAATAACCTAAAGTCCCATTCATGTTGCTGCAAAAAACGTGATTGTATTCTTTTCTATGGCCAAATAGTATTCCGTCGTGTATATTTACCACATTTTATTTATCCATTTGTCTATTGATGGACACTTAGATTGATTTCATATCTTTGCTATTGTGAATAGTGCTACCTTAAGTTTAAGATCTGAAACTATAAAACTACTAGAAGAAAACATAGGGGGAACACTTTAGAACAGTGGCCTAGACAAATATTTTTTGGCTAAGACTTCAAAAGCATAGGCATCAAAACCAAAAACAGACAAATGGGACCACATTAAATAAAAAGCATCTGCGCAGAAAAGAAAACAACAGAGTAATGACACAACCTACAGAATGGGAGAAAATATTCGCAAACTATTCATAGGACAAGGAACTAGCATCCCAAATATGCAAAGAACTCGAACAACTCAACAGATTAAAAAAAAAAAACATAATCCTATTAAAAAGTGGGCAAAGGACATGTATAGACATTTCTCAAAAGAAGACATACAAATGGCCAACAGGTATATGGAAAAAATGCTCAACATCACTAATTATCAGGGAAATGGAAGTCAAAACCACAATGAGATATCTTCTTACCCCAGTTAGAATGGCTATTAGTAGGAACAGATGTTGGCCAGGATGCAAAGAAAAGGGAACTCATACACCTGCTGGTAGGAATGCAAATTAGTATAGCTACTATGGAAAACAGGGTGGAGATTTCTCACAAAACTAAAAATAGAGTTACTGTAAGATCCAGAAATCCCACTACTGGGTATTTAGCCCTCCCCCAAAATAGAAAATCAGTATATATTTTAAAAAATACCTTCACCCTTATGCTTATTTCAGCTTATTTTTGACATTTTATTATTCAGAGCCTAAGTATTAATTACAAAGTTTCATTATCAATGTAGATGGTAATCAATATCACTATAATATACCCCTCTTTTTCTTGTTTAACAATTCTACATTGCCTAGGATTAATGTCATGGGACAACTCAATTCATACTTTTAAATCATTTTAGATACACCTATTAGATACAATATTTATTTGCCGGTGTTATTTGCTCAGCCTTTTATTTCTAATATGTGAACTTATCCCATTTCGATTTATTGATATATAAATATTTGGTCTTAGTTCTTTCATCTTATTTTATGCTATGTTTTACGTTCAATGCTTCCTTTGTTTTCTCTCTTCTGCTGTGGGAATTGTGTGAGTGCACGCTTCTTTGTTCAAGTATTTAGCTTTAGAACCTCAGGTGACTGATGATGCATTTTGAAAGATGGAAAGAACTTCTCCACTCTAGGTTGACAGGGGGTGAAAGTCCTTCCACAAACAGAGATTAATGTATACTCTTGCACAGCAAGCGAATGTTGTTCTAGAGAGAGTGAGAGTAGGTACAGCCTTAATGAAACACTAGTCCTCTCTCACTTACTGTCCCAGGGTGTGGGGGTGGGGATGGGTGGAGAGAATTTCTTTAAAGAAAAACACTGTAATGGGATCCTTTTAGCCCAGGCATTTAAATTCTTTGTGATTCGAAATACCTTAAGATATCAAATGTCCCACTTTTCCAGCCCTTTAAAATCTTACATAAAGTTTATTCAAAATGAAGTGCATCTTTTCCAGTTTTGAAAACTCCACTGAAGCTTTCCTTTTTGATGATTCTCACTTTCACTTTAAGAAGGGTGTAGGGATCTGGAGTGTTAATAATCATTGGCATGTTAAAGTCACTTGTCCATGGTTTTCCAGATAATTATAATAAAAACGATACTAATGATATCTGATGCATAGTGTTTACTATGTAACAAAAACTGGTCAATGTTATTTATGTACAGTAATTCATTTAGCCCTTATGAGTTACATGAGGATTCTATTATATTCAACTATGAGTTGTGTATTAATGCCGCTATAAATTTACATCTGAAAACACTGAGTAGCAGGAGGCTATATATCCTTCCCAGGGTCTTACATCCTTTGAATAGTAGAGCCAGGAGTTAAATTCATAATTCATGATACTTGGCTCCTGAAAGTACACTCTTTTTTATATTTATTTTTATTTTTTGGGTTAGAGTCTCTTGCTGTCACCCAGGCTGGAAGGCAGTGGCGCGATCTTGGCTCACTGCAACCTCCACCTCCTGGGTTCAAGCGATTCTCCTGCCTCAGCCTCACGAGAAGCTGGGATTACAGGCATGTGCCACCATGCCCGGCTAATTTTTGTATTTTTAGTAGAGACGGGGTTTCACCATGTTGGGTCAGGCTGGTCTTAAACTCCTAACCTCGTGATCTGCCCGCCTCAGCCTCCCAAAGTGCTGGGATTACAGGCATGAGCCACCGTGCCGGTACACTCTTAACCAGGACACTGCACGTCCTCAGACAGAAATCGTATTTTACAAATACTTATCTAGGAGACTAAGATAAAGTAAGCACATTTCACCCTAGTTCTCCTCAGTTATTACAACTAAAACCTGGATGAGACAAATGAAACAAACAGCAGAAGACTAAATGAAAAGTAGACAAAAGAAAGCAGACACATTTGAGGACTTGGATTCAAGGAAAGACACAGAATTGAGTTCCCTGGGCATTGTTTTCACCTTCTGTATATCCCAATCTGAGTGCAGGAAAAGTTCTCAACCAAGACGTGCTAACAGGTGCACAAAATAAATAAAACAACAGAAAAAAGAAAAAACAGAATAAGTCTGTTCTCTCTGGACAGGGGACTGGCAGAGCAATGGTTCTCAACCTAGGGTGATTTTGTACCCCAGGGGATGTTTGACAATGTCTGGAGACATTTCTACAGTGGGGGAGTTCTACTGCGATCTAGTGGGCAAAGGTCAGGAATGTTGTTCAACATCCTAAAATGAATAGAGCAACACAATGGCAATGAATCAACAGACCCCCAATAACAATAGTGTGAAGATTGAGAAACCCTATTCTAACTGGTCCAAGCCAGGGTCAGCAAACTATGGCCCTGTGAGCCAAATCCCTGTGAGCCAAATCCAGTCCACTACAATAAGTACAATAAGAACAATAGGTAGATCATTGATGGCACAGATAAGACCAGCAGAACTTTAAGCACCTGATTTGAAATGGTAACACATAATTCATATTTAGCATTGGACTCTTGAACCTTTTTCAGTAACTTAAAATATATATGTATATATACATATATACCTTAGCTTTTTAATTATTTTATTTTTATTGTCTTATTTGTACTGAAAAGCTTTGAATATGGCACTCAGACAAGTCATTTTGAACTCGTTTTTAAAGCTGTCATATTGTTTGATCGTTCCGTATGTCCTCACACCTAAAAGGTACTTATAGTTGAAATATAAAATATAATCCCACAAGCCTCACATGAAAATGTCCACTTATATGCATTCCATATGCTTAATAATTTTAAAATAATAGAAATTATGTTGTGTTTATAATGTTGATAAATAGCTTGGTTGTTCTGAAAATATTCAGTAATACTATTATTTGAAGCCTCTGGTTGAAACAAATTAGTTGATACTTGGTCATCCTTTGAATTAAAAAAAAATCTGGGCCGTGCTCGGTGGCTTACGCCTGTAATCCCGGCACTTTGGCAGACCGAGACGGGCGGATCACGAGGTCAGGAGATCGCAACCATCCTGGCTAACACGGTGAAACCCTGTCTCTACTAAAAATACAAAACATTAGCCTGGCATGGTGGCGGGCGCCTGTATTCCCAGCCACTCGGGAGGCTGAGGCAGGAGAATGGCGTGAACCCAGGAGGCAGAGCTTGCAGTGAGCTGAGATCGTGCCGCTGCACTCCAGCCTGGGTGACAGAGCGAGACTCCGTCTCAAAAAAAAAAAATCTGAAAATCTTGCTATTTGGGAGCAGCCAAGTCTATTGATACGTCAGTATTTTTATTGACATCAATAACTCCGTATTTAATTAGAAATTAACTTTTAATTAAAATGTATGTATTATTGCCCCTATGAGAACAAAATGTAGCATCATCTCCCTGGAATTAATAACTCTTAAATAGCTAAATTTATTATATTAAAAATGTTAATAAAGTTACAACATTACAAGTGAATGGACTCTCCAGAATTGCTGTAAAATAAAGAAGCCTTAGTAAAGATAATCCTACTAGAGTCTCCTGAAGAGTGAGCTTGGATATCTCATGATTGTGGTTCAAATAATGATCTGCTGACATTGAACAGTTCTTAAATGAAATAAGTTAACGTGCATCAAGAGAGATATCATGGTCCAGTAGAAATGTCTGCAATAAGGTGAGCATACAACATTAGGCAACCCACATTAAAATTTGTCATTTTGCAGATGATTTCTGTAGTGGAAACTGATTTTAGTATTATCCTCTTATCTATCTGTAACTGCAAAAACAATTTTAAATATTTATTTCACTGGAATTAAAATAACTTCTGCCTTAAAAAGAAATCTAAATCACGGAGCTTGTAAATAATTATATGAATATATAGTAAATCCAAACTGCTATTAAAATGTGATACAATTTTTGACTAACACACTTGTCTAATGGTTCTTTGAATGATTCCCCAAATTTAAGGGTTTTTTTCTAACTTTTCTTAAGATTATGCCCACGTTTTCAAGTTTAATGCTATAATCCTGTCTTTTTTTTCCCCTAGAGGAATACAGTGTCTTTTTATTGTGTTAATGTTTTTTTTGGTGGTTTCTACTCAGTATATCTTGTAAATAATATAGAAGATTCAAATACACATATATCAGGGATTAAACAGTTTGGATACTCCATTTTAAACATTAATGATTGTTGGTATCTATATAATTTCAAATGTAAACTGCATAACTTATAGAAAAGAATGGGAAAAAATACAATGGAACAATTAACCGAAAATGTTGATGTGATTGTTCTTAGACAAAGTGGGTTTAGCGGATGAATTGCTTCTAGAAGAAAAAAAAAAGGTTTATTCCAACATAATAATAGGCTGAATCCAAGAGGAAAATAATATAAACATCTTAACCTTTTGTTTATGTAATAACTTTTTTTTTAGCAAAAAAAGCAGGAAATGGTCAGGATGAAAAGGAGATTCAGGTAATTTAACTTACCTATCTCTGAAATTAATAGAACAAACAAGGAATAAAATATTAAGAAAGCAGAATATTTAAACAATATTGTCATAATTGACATAAAGAAAAGAACAGACCCAACAACTGCAGAGAACATATTCTCCTCAAGTATTACATTAAAAGTATTACATTAAAAGTATTACATTAAAAGTATTACATTAAAATCATAAAAATTGATTATTAATCAGGATTTGGTAATGGTCAAATACTAATACACAGCATGTTCTATGACAAGAGTGGAGTTAAACTAGAAGTCAGCTAGAAATTTTATTACCCCAAAAATGTTTTTGAATCATGCATTTTTAATATTTTGCATGCACAGTTAGTTTTGATTGTATGCTTGATTTTCTGTATGAAATAGTATAGAGGTAATTGGAAATCCTAGGTGATTTTATCTTCACTAGGTGATTTTATCTTCGTCCAGGGAGCATTTGTTTTTGCTAATGAGAGATAGTTAAGATGAGGGTAGTTCATCTCATAGCAATCAGGGATTGCGACCTTTTGAAGCTGGGCTTTAAGTTTTGTGAGGAGTTTTTTTTTATTTCTGATTCATATGGACCCTTAGGCCATAAACCCTCAGGGATGCCAAATGAACCCTTGGGGCATTTTCCAGGGCCTTGGAAGGCCCTGAATCCGTATATTGTTCCCTGGGGTGAGTGAGACTACTGAAGTCCTGCTCAACTGCTTAGCTCCTCAGCTACAGGTTTCTGCTTAGCCCTGTATGTTCTCAGTCACCTCTTTTGAATCAGCAAAAAGCTTGAAGGGAAAAGCAATATTACATTTTTTTCTCACCAGGTGAGTGACTCTTCTGACATCTTGTCCCTTCAAATCTTTGCATCCTTGGATTTCTGTCTTCAAACAGATGTCCTTGATTTTTTTTGTTTTTGTTTATCTAGATTTTCCCAGGAGGATGGTTGTTGAAACAGATTATTCTCCCATTACTGGAAGCAGATATCTTTACAAACCCTATTTTTTTTCTCTGAAATATGCTTTAGTTTGTAGCTTTTTATCCTTGAAGCCAATTAATACAAAATTAAGATCAATTTGTATTTAGGTACATGATACCATGATACTCACTGGCAGTGGATCTTTTTGTCATAATTTCCTTAAATTCTTTCAATTAATTTTATCATTTAATTGATTTAATAAATGTTTCTTTAGTACACTTGTGTCAGGTATGGGCCATATGCTAAAGATTCATTACAGATGTACCGTGTAGTGGGAAAACAGTGAAGTAAATAAGGTGTATATTTTTGCCATTAAAAGTAATGGCAAAAACCAGAATTACTTTTGCACCAACCTAAATACATATTCCTACATTAGCACATACTAATGAAACAAAATCATATAGTAGGCCTTAATGAAAGTATCAAGGATTTCAAGAAAATTATATCTAACAAATCACAATCTCAATTGAAGTTGTCAGTGATGTACTAAGCCCTGCAATATGTGATCATTTGTACATTGGAGATGTTCTTCTGGTCAAGACAGACTAGGTCAATCAGACCACTTCTTCCCTGAGTAGAACTTAAAAAGCAGGAAGAGGGAGACGGAGAGACAGAGGAAGACAGAAAGAAAATAAAAGGCAAGGTTAAGAATTCAGCAGAGAGCCACAAATTACAAAAAAAAAAAAAAAAGAAATACCCACCAGGTTTCATTTTGATGTACTTTGAAGTTCTTTCATCAGGTACTGAAATATTCAGGTTTATTGGTATTCATGTTAAATGGATCCTTTAATAATGAAATACCCCTTATTATCTCTAGTTATTACTCTTTTTCTTAAAGGCTACTTTTTTTCTAACATTAGTGTACCCATTCCAGCTGTTGATGAAAAGAGTCAAACTGTAAAATATTTGAAGATATTTATTTTGAGCCAAATGTGAGTGACCATGGCCTATGACACAGCCCTCAGGGGACCTCGAAAATATGTGCCCAAGGTGGTCCGGGCACAGCTTGGTTTTATAATTTTTCAGGAGACATAAGACATCAATCAAATACATTTAAGAAATACATTGCTTCAGCCCAGAAAGATAGGACAACTGGAGGGATCCAGGGCAGGATCATGGTGGGGAGTTCCAGGTTATAAGCAGATTTTAAAATTTTCTGATTGGCAATTAGTTGAAAGAGTTATCAGTAGAAAGGAACGTCTGGGTTATGATAAGGGGTTATGGAGACCAAGGTTTTATCATGCACATGAAGCCTGAAAGCAGCAGGCTTCAGAGAGAATAGATTGTAAATGTTTCTTATCAGACTTAAGTTCTGTGTTGAGCTTAAATGCTAGCCAGCTTTTCCTGAATTCCACAAGGGAGGGGGGCATAATGAGGTATGTCTGACACCTCCTTCCAGTCATGGCCTGAACCAGTCTTTCAGGTTAAATTTAGAGTGCCCTGGCAGAGGAGATAGTCCACTTAGATTGTTGCAGGAGGCCATCGAATTTTATTTTGGGTTTACATAGCTTTTTTTTTTTTTTTAGGTGGAGTCTCGCTCTGTCACCCAGGCTGGAGTGCAGTGCAGTGGTGCGATCTTGGCTCACTGCAAGCTCCGCCTCCTGGGTTCACGCCATTCTCCTGCCTCAGCCTCCCGAGTAGCTGGGACTACAGGCACCCGCCACCACGCCCAGCTAGTTTTTTGTATTTTTTAAGTAGAGACAGGGTTTCACCGTGTTAGCCAGGATGGTCTCGATCTCCTGACCTTGTGATCCGTCGCCTCGGCCTCTCAAAGTGCTGGGATTACAGGCGTGAGCCACTGCACCTGGCCTTACATAGTTTTTTAATGCTTACTTTTGTTTGCTGTCTTTTCCCATACTATTATTTTCAACCTAATTAGGTTTTAAATGTAAGTTGTCTTTCATATTAAGAGTCTACAATTGGAACTTGCTTTTTTTTCTTATCTGAAAATCTCTACTAAATTTTAATTGGGGTGTTTAGGCCTTATACAATTTAAAGTCATTATTAATAGTTTTTTTAAGTTGACTATCTTTCCCTTCATTTTATGTTTTTCTCTTTTAATTTGTTTCCTCTTTTATCACCACTTTTATGTTTATTGAAATTTTTTATTCAATTTAAGTTCTTCTATTGGATTTTTATCTGAGGCTAATTAAAAACATTTCTACACATTCTTTGACAACCTCTCCTTCAGAAGATGGGGTTGATGGCCCATCCCAGGATTCTGAGCCAATCTTAGTGACTCTCTTGTAACCAATTCAATAAAACAGTTGTGATGCTACATAAATTTCTAGGCCGAAATTACGACCTACTGTCATTACCTCTTGTCACCAGCAGAGGGCGCATCTTACCCTTCATGCATTTTCAAAGTTTGGTTTTTCACGTGTCATTTCCTGCAGCCTGTAGAGCTTCTGGGAGCAAGTAAATTACAGGTTGTTCAGAGACGAATTGCCTCAGGTCTGTTTATGTGCATATGTCTTATTCTCAGTTTCAAAGAATGGTCTTGTTCATATAGAACCCTGTGTTGACAATTTGTTTTCTTTTCTCTTTGTAAAGATTCAGCTCCATTTTCTCTGGTGGTAGATCTCCATGGATGCTATTGAGAAGGTACTTCTCAAAGTCCACGAGGACAAGGACATCTTTCCACCGAATGCCACCTGGTTTATAACAAAAGGTTTGTCATCATTTAAGTCATTGTTCACCTGTTGGTAATATGTCCTTATTTCTCTCGCAATATTGGTAGATAGACATTTGTTCACTTCATTAATATTCTTCATATTTCATGTATATGTCAAATACGTAGCATGCTAAAGTATTTCAAAATTTTATAGCTATTTTTAATTAAAATTATTTATATAAACTAATTAATTCATATAAATAAAATAATTTCACTGACAGTAAAAACAAAATTAAGCAGAGGAAAAGCTAGCATAAAAGTAACAGAAGCCAAAGAAATCCAGGTTTCTTTCTTATTATAATACAGATTTGAACAAATTATATAAAAAATTTAAAAATATAAGCATAGTTCTGAACAAAATATCAAAATATTAACCTTTTTTTCTTATAAATGGTGATGATGGTAATGTTGACCTGGATGAGAAATTATATAAGAGCACCCAAAATCTTCCATAAAGAAAATGAAGTGCCATTTGTATTAACTATGGCAAAAAACTTATATCTACAATAATTATGTAATATTTAATAACATTCAGCTTTGGCAAAGTATTTTATATACTTTATATAAGACAGTTCAAATCTGAATCAATACAGAAATAACTTATAGTACATAAATGAGAGTAAAAACAAAATATACATATATGTATGCTTAACATGTAACAATTTTGCTATTTCAAATAATGAATTCATAGCCAAGTTAACAAATGATATTAGTAAAAAGCATCAAAGATAGATACAAAAAGTATAAAAGAATGATAAGTGTATTAAATATGATTAAGATAAATTTTATATTTTTACCCTAGTATCAGAGTATGAAAGGAGTTTAAAATATTACTCTCTTTCTGGAAATAAATTTGATGATCCAGCAAAGTTTTAAAATTTGCATGCCTTTTGCATGTTAATTCTACTTCTAGGACTGTATTTGACACAACTAACTTAAATACATGCAAAAAAGTATCAATGCATAAAAGACAAAGCAGTTGTGAGATAAATTATAGCGCGTCCATATTGTGACTACTGTACAACTTTTATAATCTTTCAGGTAAATTTATTTATGTTTCTGAAAAGCATCTTCAAGTTACATTATCAATAAAAAGGGAAAATTATCAACTTCCAAATATGTGCCTAGATTTATAAATGTTATTTATGTAAATATATGTATATGTTTGCATTTGGTAATATACACATTTGATGGCTAATTATGGTTATTTTGCAAAGAAATATTTGCTTGTTTTGGAAGTTTTACACAGAGCACATGCCATATTCGTAATTAATAAAAGTCAAAGAAATAGAGACATGATGGCATATTACTAAAGGTTGTTTTGAAATATTTATGATCTTTCTTTAGTACTATAGACATAAAAGTTTAAATGGTAATTTATATATGGCAATTTCATGTAAATGGATATATACAATATGTAGTCCAGTTTGCTTCCTTCACTTGGAAAAATGTATTTGAAGTCTGTACATGCTTTTGTGTGTATGAGAAAATCAGTTCCTTTTCATCGGTGAATCCGAATTCTATTGTATAGTTATAGTTATACCACATATTGTTTACTCATTTACCAAATGATGGACATTTTGGTTCTTTCCACATTTTTAGTGTTGTAATTAAAGTGGCCATGAACATATTTTTTAGATGTCTTTGTATGAACATAAGCTTTCATTTCTCTGGAGTAAATAGAAGGGCTAGAAGTAGAAGGTCTGGATCATATGGCGGTGTGTGTTTAACTTATTAAGAAACTGCCAAAATGTTTTTCAAAGTCCTGTACCATTTTTCAGCCCTAATATCAGTGTATGAAGTACCAGTTGCTTCACATCCGTGCCAGCTTTTGGTTTTGTGACACTTTTTAATTGCAGACATTATACAAGGCGTGAATTGGTATCTGAATTGTGGATTTTATTTGTATCTTTCTGAGGAGTAAAAATGTTGGGAACTTATTCATGAGCTTATTGAATATCTTTTACTGAAATATTTAACCATGAAAATTGTCCAGTATTTTAGTTGTCATTTTAGTATCAAGTGGAATTATTCTTTATGTATTCTAGATACAAGCTCTTTGTTCAGGTAAATGTATTGTTAGTATTTTCTCTAGGTTTATGACTTGTCTTTCATTTCTTGAATTTTGGTAAAAGTTCTTTTTTATATTTGATAAAATACAATTTATCTTTTCTTTTTGTATTCTAAGAAATCTTTCCCTACAGCAAGGACTGAAATATTTTATCCTGTAAGTTTTATACATTTTGCTTTTATATTGAAGCCTAAGATCCATTTTGAATAAATTTGTGTAGTGTAAGATTGGTGTCCAGGTACATTTTTCCATTTGGTTATTCAATTGTTACAGTGCTTTTTAAAACAACTCTTCTTTATTCCCTTAGATTAGCTTGGCACGCATGTCCAAAATTCATTGGCCATATTTCTGGACTTTTTATTGTGTTTAATTAAATGTTTATTAAATGCCTTGCGGTAGTCTTCTTTGGGTTAAATCTACTTAGTGTTCTATAACCTTCTTATACTTGGATATTGATATCTTTCTCTAGGTTTGGGAAGTTCTTTGTTATTATCCCTTGGAATAAACTTTGTACCGCCATCTCTCTCTTTACCATCTCTTTAAGGCCAATACCTCTTAGAGTTTCCCTTTTTAGGCTGTTTTCTAGATCTTGTAGGCATGCTTTATTCTTCTTTATTCTTTTGTCTCCTCTGACTGTCGTTTCAAATAGCCTGTCTTTAAGCTCACTAATTCTTCCTTCTGCTTAATCAATTCTGCTGTTAAGAGACACTGATGCAATCTTCAGTATGTCAATTGCATTTCTCAAAGAATTCTGCTTCATTCTTTTTATATTTCAATCTTTTTGTTAAATTTATCTGATATAATTCTGAATTCCTTCTCTATGTTATGTTTCATTTCGTTGAGCTTCCTCAAAACAGATATTTTCAGTTGTTCTTGTGAAAGGTCACATATCTGTGTCTCTCTGGGCTTGGTCACTGGTGCTTTATTTAGTTCATTTGGCAAGGACATGCTTTCCTGGATAGTCTTGAGGCTTGTGGATGTTCTTTAGTGTCTGAGCATTGAAGAATTGGGTATCTTTGTATTCTTTGTATTTTTGGGAAAGCTTTCCAGATATTCAAAGGGACGTTTTTGTGACCTAAGTCTTTGGTCACTGAAGCAGTATCTGCATTAGTGAGCACCCCAAACACAGTAATACTGTGGCTCTTGCAATCTTATAGAGGCATTGCTTTGGTATTCTTGATTAAGATCCAGGAAAATTCCCTGGATTAGCAGACAAACACTCTTGTTTTCTTCCCTTACTTTCTCCCAAACAAACAGAGTCTCTCTCTGTGCTGAGCTGGCTGGAACTGTGGAAGGGGTAACACGATCACCCCTGTGGCCACCACCACTGGGACTGCATTGGTTCATACTAAAAGCCAGCACAGCACTGGGTCTCACCCAAGGCCCACAGTCACCACTGCCTGGCTACCATTTATGTTCACTCAAGGCCCAAGGGCTCTACAATCAGCAACTGGAGAATCCAACCATGCTTGTGTACTTCCCCTCAGGGCAGCTAGTTCACCCTGGACCTAGGCAGGTCCAGAGATGTCACCCAGGAGCCAGGTCCTGGAGTTGGTAACCCTAGGTATCTACCTGGTGCTCTATTCTACTGTGGCTGAGCTGGCACTCAGGCTGCAAGACAAATTCCTTCCCGTTTTTGCCTCCCATTTCCTCAAGCAGAGGAGTCTCTCCCCAGGGCTACCACCATCCCCATCCCATGGTGAGTACTGCTTGACTACAACCGTTTACTCAAGGTCCAAGGGTTCTTCACTCAGCTTGCGGTGAGTGCTCCCAGGCTTGGGACTCTCCCTTCAGGGTAGCAGGGGCTTCTCACAGGCCTTGAAAAGGTCCAGAAATGCCATCCAGGAGCCAAGGTCTGGAATTGGGAATCCCACAAGCACTTCTGGTATTCTACCCTATTGCAGCTGAGCCGGTACCTAATCTGATTTTTGGTTCTTATGAAAGTGTTTTTTTGTGTGGATAGCATTCAATTTGGTGATTCCATTGGAGGATTCTATTTGCCCATCTTGCTCTGCCTCCCTTAGAGTCAGACACCTTTAAAAGATCTGAAAAGAAACATGTACCATGTATTATCTCTGAGGGAAGCTTCATCTACATAACAAGGCCACCTTTGCTAGCCAAGCTTCTTTCTTTCTCTTTCTCTTAACCTGTCTTGCCTTTAAATCTGATTTACCTGTTTCTGGCCATGCTCTGAGTCTCCATTCTTTACTGTGGCCTCAGGATGGTATATAAGTTTCTGTAACTCTTTGGGACATTGGTTCATCATTCTGAAGGCTCCTGTGTATACAGGTTAAATGTGTGTGCCTTTTCTCCTATTAATCAATCTACCTCATGTCAGTGATTTTTAGCAAACCTTTAGGGGGCCAAGAACGTATGGCTCCCACAAGGTGAAATGTTTTGATTTCGTTAACATCAGTTGAAATAATCAGGGCTTGAAGAAGGAACAGATTATGAAATAAAGATAGGGCCCTCTACACTGTCCAAAAGTGACCTAAGCTCAGCAACAAAGCATTATTTTCTTCACAGGTTTCAACAAGGATATATTTTATCCCCTCTAAATTTTACCTGCCTCTAATAGTTAGCAATTATTTCCTGGGCATTCATCTTAGATTGTTGCTAAGCAATGAACATAAGCTTGTATCTTCTCATTTTACAATTTGCTACATAGAATTTCTTGCATGACTCTGCCAAAATATTGCTTTTCATTTAAAAAATTTATTAAGTATGCTTATCTTATGTAGGATTTAATGTAATTTTCTGTGTAATACAGTCTTTAAAGAGAGAAAATGAAATTTGTTGGGCCATTGACTTTTATGGAATTTGTTCAATTTGTAATCACATTTTCAGTATGGAAACAAACACACCCACGTGCTCGCATGCGCACACACACACACACACACACACACACACACACTGAATTAGATTTAAAAAAAAGTAGGCCTTATCACCACTAAGACAAATGGTTCATCTGATTTGATTCAGCTCATTTTCCTGGAAGAGATGCCTGCTGGGAACTGGATCTTTTCTAGTTTTGAATGCACCAAAATACCAATTATGAATACTGGTATAGCATTTTGTAATCATATTTGTAGTTTATTTTCTATTTTATAAACTTGCTATAGTTTATTTTTCTATGGATTACTTAAGCCATGCAGAGTTGTTGGTGTACTGGAAATAATATTTACCTGTGTAGGGGCCAAAGGCTTGGCTCTCTGAAGGTTCACTGAAAAATCAAATTGCAAAAGGCAGATTAATTGGAGAAAAAATACAAATGTACTTAACATGTATGCACGGGAGCCTTCAGAATGAAGACTCAAAGATACAGAGGAAATTATTCATTTTTATGCTTAGGCTCAACAAAGTATAGACAGCTGTGTTGAAATATGATTGGACAAAAAAGATGATCTAATGCCAATAGGCTAGTGGGAAAATCCAACAAGGACTGTCTAGATTCTTCTTGGCCTCTCTGAGCATGCATTTTTTCTTTCTGGATAAGGGGCAGACCCTTTTCTGGAATGTAGGTCTTTTGACCTACAGTAAAAAAAAATGGGTCAGATAATTTATTTATAGCCAGTTTTTACACAGAAAGGCAGAGGGAAATTAAAGAGTCATATTTTTAGATTTTATGACTAGCTTTGGGGAAAAGGGGTTCTGGTTTCTATGACCTGCCTTGAGGAAGAAGGATTCTAGTTTCTATGGCTAGCCCTGGGGGAGAAAGGGACTGAGACACAGGAGGACAGGACAAGGTCATAGGAAAGCTTTTGTTTCTCAGGCTGCTTCTGAAGCTTTCCTTTTGGGGTATTGTTTTCTGAGGCCCAGCACCTGCAATCGCAGTAAAAGGGTCCAAACCTAGGATTGAGGTTTAAAGAGTTTTTGAGCAAGTAATTAAATTTCTGCAAGCCTCAACTAACTGTACTGGCAAAATGAAGATAATTATCCTGTCTCATAATCCTGAGAAAATGTCAAAATCACCAGCCAGCGTACTATGATCAAGGTCCTCTTCCTAGAACAGAGAAACATCTTTTTGCCTTTCCCCCTATTTTAATTGTTCTAACAATATTCTTTCTATGCCATTCCCAAGTCTGAGTCTTGGCTATAGCAGTTATAAGAAAAATCTCTCACATTTCCTTAGAGTTTATTTGGTTTTTTAAAAATATTATTAGGTAGAAGGGCATTTTAACCTTAAGTATATATTTTAAAAGGTTATCCTTCTGTAGGTTTTATTATCATGCTTTCTTTGCATCACAGACCAAGTCACTCTATTTGTCTTTATCTTTGTAATTTGCACAGTGACATTCTCTAAGATTCAAAGTGAACTTAAAATTTTTAAGAAACCAAATTTATTTTAATGTATTTAGACTTTTATAGTTTTCTCTTCCAATCTGTTGCTCAAATATTTACAATATGACAGTCATATTTATGGTTTTTTAACTATTTATCTCTTTAAAACAAAATATGTATGTTGGTATCTTAAAAGTAAATAGTATTGTTTCCTATAGTCAACTATTTATTCTAGTATTATTTAATAAATAATATATCTGCCTACTGAACTGAGGGTTTTACATAGATTGTAAAATTGTATGTATACTAGGGTTTATTTCTGGGCTAACTCTTCCATTTTATTATTCTATTTATGTACCATTGCCATACTTCTGTTTGTATTAGATAATAAATTTAGCATTTGTTGGCCAAGATTGCTAGAAATCTTAATTTCCAAAATTCTATTATGATTGCATTGTTCTTTATTCCGCCCCATGCCTTTTGGAGTCATTTTGGTTAATGAGAAGGTAATCTTATTAGGACCAAACTGCACACATTTCAAAATAGATATTTGTGGAGCAAATTGGTCAGCAGGGGTAGGAAAGGGCAGGGAAACACCACTTTTTGGAAAAATATTCTGTTCCTCATTTTTGTGCTAGGCCTTCTTCCATAGGAAAATAATATACAACTTTAACAATATAGGTTTTTTTCCTAAATACATTAATGAATGAAATATTGCACTTGCCAAGATCAGATACAAATCTAAATACATTACTCCATTACTTAGGTCATTATGATTGTATCTCTTTCAATGGTCTTTTAAGAATAAGGATAAAGAATTAAACTATGTTATTGTTTTGGCAATTACATTGTGGCTCCTAACTGTTTCACCATTCTGAATCTGATGCATGACGATTTCTAAATGTAATCTAAATATAATATAAGAGTTACACTTTATATTCAGCAAAGAAACACTTACATTTATTAAAATGAAATCAGTGGCTGGGCATGGTGGCTCACGCCTGTAATCCCAGCACTTTGGGACACCAAAGTGGGAAGATCACTTGAGGTCAGGAGTTCGAGACCAGCCTGGCCAACATGGTGAAATCTCATCTCTACTAAAAATACAAAAATTAACCGGGCATGATGGCGCACACCTGTAGTCCTAGCTACTCAGGAGGCTGAGGCAGTAGAATTACTTGAACACAGGAGGTGGAGGTTGCAGTGAGCCGAGATTGTGCCACTGCACTCCAGCCTGGGTGACAGAGAGAGACTCTGTCTCAAAATTAAATAAATAAATAAATAAAATAAAAATAAAATGAAATCAGTGAGTGACAGTTCCCTTTGAAGTTCACTTAAATGTTGCCCTTTTCTCTGTCAGTGAGACAATTATCACTCAATTAACACTCAGTGAGTGAAACAGTGTTAAAAGGGAAAAAATGATAAATCAAAAGAGGGTTCTGCTTAAAGAATACTTTAAATTGTAATAATTCTGCATAAATAATTTTAATGCATATTAAAGTGTTGTGAGTACCTAAGTGAGTCACTGGGTATGATGGAACATTAGAAGAGGGAGAAATTACTGTCATATGTAGCAGTCTGGTGTGACTTCATGTTTGACGTGATATCTGAACTACACCTTGACAGATGACTTAGATTTGCGGTTGATGAGAGGGCATTACTGAAGGGTTGAGACAAAGTTATTGAGGTGTGAAGACTCTGTATATGTTCAGAGAATACTTGGTAATTTGTTGTCTGGAACATAGAGTGTGTGAGAAAAAAAACAGTAGGAAATAATTTTGGAAAGACAATTGGAAACCAGATGGCAGAATATAGATTTTTTGTTGTTGTTGTTGATTTGGGACCCATAAAGTATTGTTTTTAAAGGCATTGGTAGGAGTGGTACCATGCTTTAGAAAGGTTACAAACATTATTTCACTAGTTAAGCAGTTAGGCTGGATACTTGTAGTTCTATTGAGATTCTAGGATTCTAAAATCTGAAATCACCAGATTCAGAACAGTCTAGATAATGTTAATTTAACCAATGATCAGAAAAGTTCATCCACTAAGCCATTTCTACCTTTGTGCTATAATGTTCGATGTCAAATTCATGTTTTTCCTTATCCTTCCTTTGTTTAATGAAAGATGTTAATATCCTTTAAAGGAGTTAACTGAACTATATAATCCTGGTCTTGTAAACTATTAGAATAACAAATGTGATATGAGATATTAAAAAGTTTTCTATAGCATTACAATAATCCTAAAATATCATGTCATTTGAACAGAAATTTGAGTTAAATTTGCTTCATATATTACATTTTTTTCCTCAGTATAGCTACAAGTCAATGTGCCTTCAAGATATCCCCAGATTAAGGAATTTAATTTAATGTTTAGCTGATTTGATGTTTCACATGAAATTATTAGTTTTATTTAATTTTTTTAAAAAATCTGTACTTAAAATCTAAACTCAACTTTGTCATGTGCTTTATTTATTGAATTATTGAGACACACGGTTGATATTCATTTTGACAGACACTGAAAATGTAAATGAAGTCAACTCAATAATTAACTGGGGTGCTCATGCATTAAAAGAAGTGACTAAAGAAGTCGCAAAATCTAGTTGTAACTGCTTATGGTTCATTACTGGAAACCAAATCAGTTCTTAGTGACATGTAATCTTGTTATGTTTTTATAGCTCATGTATAATTTTTATTAAAAACCAAATGTCTATAACAGCACAATTATCAATTTTGTTTAGAAACTAACGTTAACTGCCATATGAATGCCTATAGCATAGTAATTTGGGAAACTGACAGCAATCAGGCTTAGTAATTCTTAGAATATCAGGAGATTTTCAGCGTTTAATGTTTATCAATGTTGTAGGTGCAAGCTTGTAGAATATATACTTGACTATTGGTGTCTTCACAGTTGAGATGCTAACATATGGAAATATATGAGAATTATATAGGACCTTGTAATGGATTGAATACAATAGATGAGAGAGTGTATTAATCTTGACCCCTAGATTTTGGCTTGCATAACAAAATGGCTTGGTGACCGCCAATCACGGAAATAGCAGTGAGTATGAGAAAAACAGAGCTGAGAGATAAAAATATCAATTTTGCATTTACATATTATTCATATGATTTTGGAATACCTTTTATTCAACTGGGTGGAGATGGCAAGAATCCCATTGGATACTGAGATGTGGAGTTCAGAATAGAGGTCTGTGACAGGGAGATATATTTTGGGAGTTACCAGTATATAAATTGCCAATTGAAGCATGGAAATAAACCAGACTTCTCAAGAAAACTGTGAAGAACACAAGAAGAAATTGGTGTCCTGGGATTGAGGCATGGTGTATTTTATCATTTAGTGCCCCAGTAAAGGAGATTGATTGTGAAAATGAGACCAGGAAAGGGCAGCTAAAAAATATAATGACATTTAGAAGGTGTGTCATAGCAGTTACAGGATCAAAATCTTTAAAAGTGCTACTGAGATTAGGAAGATTGACGAATGATAATGACAATGATATTTAACATTTATTGAGTGATTATTATTTTCTGGGTACTAAGTGTTTTACCTGGATTGATTCAATAGTACTCAAAAACACCATAAGGGTGAATACTATGATCTTCATTTTACAGATGAAGAAAATAAGGCTTAGAAAAGGTAAGAAATATACCCAAATTAACGCAAGTAGTAATTAGTGCATGTAGGTTTGGAATGCAGACAATATGGGTCCAGAGACTATACTCTTAGCCTATATGCTATATTCCATTAAAATGGTCTGAAAAATATTCCTTGATTTTTTCCCTAAGCATGAAAAACAAACAGGAATTTCTCAATGCAGAAAGGACTGAAGCTGTCAAAGGTGTGCTTTTTTTCTGCACAAACAAGTTTCCATTGAATGATAGAATAAAGAGATACTGACTTCCCCGGAGCCTCCAAACTTGAGTAGTCAGGTAAGGATCCTTGAGTAACAAGACAGCAAAGTAAGTATTATCCCTCCTGGGATTTTGGTTGGTTACAACATTGTGTTGAGTATTTGCATTCCATTTTTCCCTTGGGGAATTACACTTTCTGAGACCTCAATTTAGGAGGCTTAAGTGAAGATAATCCATCCCCAGTTACACTTGGCCTGCATAAACCAAGCAGATCAAAAAGAGTGCTATGTTCATTACTCAATGAATTGGTCGATATTGGCTTCCTTGATATATAAAACTCCATTAGTCAAAAATATCTTCTAAATCTAATGCCTTGCTTTACTCCAAAAGGCTGATTCTTTGCTACGGCCCTAATCTGTGGAAATTGCAATGTTATTTTTCTGGACTATTATGGCATATTTAAGCCAAGAACATGGGGTCAAGGATACCTCTGCAGATGTTGTTCTGGATTTCAGGCAACGGTCTGGAAATTTTAAGTAACTCTCGTGTTATTTGAATTAGGTAAAGCGTGTTCACATTTGGACAGCATTTATTCTTTGGTGTACCAGGGATCCCCAAGACCACTCTCAGGATAGATGATTTGTTAGAAGAATTCACAGAACCCAGAAAAGCTATTATAAGTTGGACATGATGGCTTGCACCTATAGGCCTAGCTACTTGGGAAGCTGAGATGAGAGGATTCCTGGAGCCAAGGAGTTTGAGGCTGCAGTGAACTATGATCAGGCCACTGCACTCCAGCCTGAGTGACAGAGCAAGACCCCATGTGCAAAAATAAAAATAAATAACAAAGAATAAACAAAAGCTATTATACTCATAATTACAGTTTTTTACAGCAAAAGGGTATACATTAAAATCAGCAAAGGGAAAAGGCACATAGGGAGAGAGTCCAAAAGAAACCAGACTGAAGCTTCCAGCTATCCTCTCCCTGCGGAGTTATATGAACAGTGTTTAATTCTTCCAGCACGTGATGTGTGACACAGTACATGCAAAGTGTTACCAGCCTTGGTCATAGAGCCATGGAGGGTCTGGATCATTGACCTTTGCTACTCAGTTCCAGCCCCCACAGAGGTCAAAATGATACAACATGTCCTAAAGTGCCAAGCATACAAAAGCAGATATTTAGCATGAAGCACATATTTAGCATAAACTATCTGGTGTGCCCCAGATAGTTTCTACTAAAAATACAAAAAATTAGCCAGGTGTGGTGGCGCGCACCTGTAATCCCAGCTACTCGGGAAGTTGAAGCAGGAGAATCGCTTGAACCCAGGAGGTGGAGGTTGCAGTGAGCTGAGATTGTGCCACTGCACTCCAGCCTGGGCGACAAGAGCGAGACTCCATCTCAAAAAAAAAAAAAGTCTCATCCCAAATTTTATTAAAATTATTTTACTTGCAATTGACAATTATTTCCATGCCATGGATAAAATGTCTGACTTGCATAAATAGGTCCTCTCCTTTTTGGGAAAGTACTTGTACTTGGAGTGACATATTACCCGTGTTATATCTGTGGGAGGTCTTTTCTTGAGATTTCTGGAAAGACAAGGACCTTTCCCACTGCATTTAGTATAGTTGGGCAAGCTGGGTCTAGGGCAATATTTCTCAAATGTAATGCAAACTAGATTTGCTAGGGAGCTTGAAAACAGCTATTGTCCTGATATCACCTCACCTCAATTTATCCATAATCCATGACTGAAAAACTTTGTTTTGGCTGGGTGCGGTGGCTCATGCCTGCAATCCCAGAACTTTGGGAGGCCAAGGCAGGCGGATCACCTGAGGTCGGGAGTTTGAGACCAGCCTGACCAATATGGAGAAACCCCATCTCTACTAGAAATATAAAATTAGCTGGGCGTGTTGGTGCATGCCTGTAATCCCAGCTACTTGGGAGGCTGAGGCAGGAGAACCTGGGAGGCAGAGGTTGTAGTGAGCCGAGATCGTGCCATTGCATTCCAACCTGGGCAACAAGAGCAAAACTCCATCTCAAAAAAAAAAAAAAGGAAAGAAGAGAAAGAAAAACTTTGTTTCAATTGTTTTTTTGTTTGTTTGTTTTGAGACAGAGTCTTGCTCTGTCGCCCAGGCTGGAGTGCAATGGTGCGATCTTGGCTCACTGCAGCCTCCGCCCCCTGGGCTCAAGCCATTCTCCTGCCTCAGCCTCCTGAGTAGTTGGGACTATAGGTGCCCACTACCATGCCTGGCTAATTTTGTATTTTTAGTAAAGATGGGGTTTCACCATGTTGGCCAGGCTGGTCTCAAACTCCCGACCTCAGATGATCCGACCGCCTCCACCACCCAAAGTGCTGGGATTACAGGCGTAAGCCACTGTGCTGACCTCAATTGTTTTTCAATTATCTGATGGAGAAGTCATTTTAAAGGATGTAATGAGTAGCAGTGGTTCATTACCATTTTCACATTTTGACAGAGTGTGGGTTCCATGGAAGACTCAATAAATTTAGATTGGTGTCCCTACCTCAAATTCAGTTTGCTATTGTGTTGGTGAGGATAGGTTGTGTTGAGAAACTGCGTCTCTAACAAGTGCACAGGTGGTGCTGCTCAAGGACCGCCCTCAGGGAACCAGTGCTCCACTGTGAGGAAAGGTATGAGTATGCTGGCTAGAAGTCTGCTCTGCTGTGACTAGTGAGAATCATGAAAAGACTTAATTTGGTTTTTGTTCCCTTTTTAAGGATGGAATTCTCAGGTAGTAGAGCCTTTGTAGGTCCCATGGGTGACTGGCCACCTGGGAAGTTTCATTTCTGTGCAGATCCCAGGCTGTATCACTGATGCTGGATAAGGATAACATTTTGTGAACCACTGCTCTAGCCTGCCCTCTGTCCTTTGAACACTTTCAACTAAAGGTGATCTTTGCTTACTGTAACTAACAGTGAGAACTAAATAGATAGTTTTACTAACTCGTTATATTTTTCAACTCTTTTCAGCTTCATTGCATAAGTTATTAAAATATGTATCATCTACCATAAAAGAAAATACTCAGAATAGAATAACTTTCCAGAGGCATCAAGACCAATAGGAAACAGAGCTCAGTATTAGAACCCAAAAGAGGCAGATTCCAAGCTTCTACTCTTCAGCAGGATGAATTGGAGATTTCAGGCCAGGTGGAGGTGCCAGCCACGTGTTCTTCTCGCAAGTGAACATTTTCTGGAATGTGAATCAGATCACACAGCAGTATGCAGCCACCACTGCTTTGCAGTTGTTCCAGACCTATTTCCTCACCTGTTGAGATGGATGTGACCTGTACCCATAATGTCTATAATTAGAAGTTTTTCAGTGAGCATTCTGTGGGTTAGACCTATCCTTGAAAACATGGGCTGGACTGGATGTTGCAAGTAACATTTTCTGTCAAATGGAGTTTGGCCACAGACTCCAAAGGCCTAAACAACAAATGCCAAAACCCCATATTCTAAATTCAGGTGCTGGATGATCTGGAGAGGGATTGGACCCAAATTGGTTCTGCAGGCATCGGCACATTGTTTAAGTGAGTGATATAAAAGAGCTGAGGTGGTAAAAGGAGGAAAGACTCTTTTGAGACAGTTGCCATCCTGGCATATATTTTCTCCAAACTCATGGGAGATGTAGAAAATGGCTGTCCCTATGTCTCTAGTCAAATGAAAGGGGCATGGAACTTTTGCTCCACTCTGATATAGTTTGTATATTTGTCCCTGCCCAAATCTCATGTTGAAATGTAATCCCTGATGCTGGAGGTGGGGCCTGGTGAGAGGTTTGGATCATGGGGGCGGATCCCTCATGGCTCAGTGCTGTTTTCATGATGGTGAGTTCTCCCAAGATCTGGTCATTTAAAAATGTGTGGCAGCTCTCCCCCTACTCTCTCACTTCCTCCTGCTCTTGGTATGTGACATGCCTGCTCCCACTTCTCCTTCTGTCATGATTTTAAGTTCCCGAGGCCTCCCCAGAAGCCAAGCAGATGCCAGCATCATGCTTCCTGTAAAACCTGCAGAACCACGAGACAATCAAACCTCTTTTCTTTATAAATTACTCAGTCTCAGGTATTTCTTTATAGCAATGCAAGAATGGCCTAATACAACTCAGGGCCAGCTCCAGTGATACATACTGATATGCCTTCCTTGATATAGAAAAAGTCTATCTTTCTAAAATTGGGAATCCATACTTTCTTAGTATAACTGAAATATCTTTTGTAAACCTGTTGTCTTGCTTCATTCCCAAAGTCCCAAAGGTAGACTCTTTGCTATGTATTCACTCTTTGGAAACAAAAATTTTGCTCTCTGAGAATTAAATGGCATGTTGTACAAACAGTATGACCTCAAGGATACCACAGCCAATTTTTTCAGGATACAATGCAACAGTCTGGCAGTTGAAGTGAGAACTCCTCCACACTCATTTAATAGTTCCCATATTATTATAGTTACTTAAAAAGCATGTTCACATTGGGCATCATTTATTCATGAGCCTGTTGAGGTACTTCAAAGCCAGCTTCAGGTTCCATAATCCCTTATAAGATCTCAGTAGACCCCACAGAGGCCTTTGTACTGATCCTTACAGTACATTACAGTACAAGAACATAGATGAAAATCAGCCAGGGTAAAAGGAGCATAGAGAGGAGTCCAGGAGGAAACAGGCTCAAGCTCTCCATCATCCTCTTCTGGTAGAGTCATATGCACTGCACTTAATTCTCTCAGCCAGGTGTGTGTCCACATTAGCAAAGTGTTGCCAACCAGGTAAGCTCTTCCAAGCCTTGCTGATATAGGGATGGAGCTTTCACATTCCTGATATTAGCTTCTGACTCTCTAATCTATCTAAAAAGTGAAACTGACATAGCCTGGACACAGCCCCAGTCATACAAAAATGCATTTTTACCGTAAATCTCATTGTTACCATGAATCATCTAGTGAGACCAAATCCACAGGTACACAAAGCGTTCTTATCAGACAGAAATATCAGACCTCACAGGTTACCCAGTAGGAGCTGGTCTAGGGCAAGTTCTCAAACTTTGAAAGGTGCAGGCTGTTAGCAACCCTAACCTCTTGTGTTAGAAGTTTTTATAGCACAGCTTAAAAATAGAAAAGTATTAAAATAATTACCTTTGATTGCTTTCTAATATAGCCTTGCATTAATTCTTAATTTGTCTTCTTATATTGAATAGAACTTCAGAGAAAACTTTTAAACTGGGGGCGGGGATGATAATTTTATCATTCATAAGTTAAGGGAGAAATTAAGTTCTCTGCATGTACAAAAAATTGTACATGAGAGTAAACACTATAAGAATTCATATGAATTAAAAAATATTGAAAGAGGCATACATAAAAAATTAAAAACTGTGATGAGTCCTAATGTAAACCTTTGATTCGGAAAAAAGGTACTTGTCCCCAAAAATAAATTTAAGATTTTTCTCAGAAATGATGAATACAATCTTGATATTTTCTGAAAGTGTAATATAAACTACCAAAAAACAGACAAAAGAGAAAATACTAACAAAAGTCATAGCAATAGTAATTCTTCCCAAATATTTAACCAACTGAATGTATTTTGATACTCCTCACACTGTCCGATTTCCAAATTTCTTTTTTTCACTTTTAGGACATTCTCACTCCAAATTTTATTCCAGGTGTACTTATTGGAGCTGACCAGCCTTCACATGCTGGGTTTGAGAATGCCTGGACTCTGCCCGTCAATTCTCTCCTTCTGGGGAATATGTTTGAAGGTCAGGTGACATATAACCTTTGCTGAGTCAGTGGGAGGTGTTTTCCTGAGATTTCCATTAAATTATGGGCCTTTTCCTACTGAATTTGATAACCTTGGATAAAATGAGCCTAGATCAGCATTTCTCAAATATATTGCATATTATATAATTCATAAAGGAGGTTGAAAATGCCTTTTGTCTAGGTGATACCTCAAGTCAAATTATTTTGAGTCAGACAGGCACTGTGGTTCACACCTGTAATGTCAGCACTTTGACAGGCCAAGGCAGGAAGAACATCTGAGCTCAGGAGTTTAAGACCAGCCTGGGCAACATAGTGAGACCCCGTCTCTGCTAAAAAAGAAAAAAAAAGAAAAGAAGAAAAGCCAGGTGGCATGCACCTGTAGTCCCAGCTACTCAAGAGCCTGAGGTGGGAGGTCGAGGCTGCGATGAGACCTGTCATGCCACTGCACTCCAGCCTGGGCAACAGAGCAAGACTCTCTCTCTCTCTCTCTCTCAAAAAAAATCTGTATCTCTGACAGTAGAATTTTATTTCAATTGTTTTTAAACCATCTACTGAGGATTCCATTTTGGGGGATGTATTGGAAACCAATGTTTAAAGTATGAATATTCTGACACTTTAGCAGGCATTGGGATCCGTGGAAGGCTTGTTAAATCCAAATAGATTGGTCCTACTCCATCCGCAGAGTTGCTGACGAGGTGCGTCCAGGTAAGTTGAGCTGAGATTTTACATCCTTAACAAGTATATACAGGTGATGCTTGTCGGGGATCACCTTCAGGGTACTGGGGCTGTACTCTGAGGAAAGATCTGAATATGCCAGTGAGGAGGCTGCTATCAGTGTAAAAAGAGAGACCCATGAAAAGTATTAGTTAAGTTTTGTTTTTCTAAGGATACATTTCTAAGGCAACTGAGACCTTACAGGTTACTATGGGTATGTGGGGACGTAGTAAGTTACATTTCTTGATAATGCACTGTTACTGCTTGGGGATGGCATTTTGAGAAATACTGATGTAGCTCACTCCCTGGACTGAGTCTGACCCTTGAATACTTTAGACTATGTCTCACTTTTCACAAATATAACCATCAAAGAGAACTAGCTATGTCGAGTTCCAGGATTTATACTAAGGCTGTATATTTTTATCTCACTTCAGCTTCACTTCCAGGAAAGTTATTGAAATATGCCTTATATACGAAAAAAGGGAAAAGGTGAGCAGAATAACATTCTGGAGGCTTCAGGGCCAATAGGAGAGATAGCTCATATTGGAACCTGGAAGATCTGGACTTCAAACTTCTACTATTAAGCAAGATAGGTTGCAGGTTTCAAGCCAGATGGAAGTACCAGCCCTGTGTCCTTCTGGGCAGGGAGACTTCTTTTGGAGGATGAATTGGAGCCTACAGCAGTATGCAGCCACTACTTCTTTCTGGTTGTTTCAGGCCTTCTCCTCACCTCTCAGGGAGATATACCATGCAGTGCCTTCAGTTATGGTGTTGTGACTGAGGATGCTTCGGTCAGACATGTCCCTGAAAACCTGCATAGAGGTAAATGTTAAAAGCAGCATGTTCTCTCACAGAGTTTGGCCAGTGACTGCAAAGGCCAAATCCATAAATGCCAAGAACCCCCATATTCTAAAATGAGGTGCTGGATGATCTTGCAAAGGCACTGCAGCCAAATTGGTTCTGCAATAATTGGCGTATCACTCAAGTGAGCCACATAAAATAATTAGGTGGTAAAAGGAGGAAAGGACTCTTGAGAGAGTTGCCATCGTGGCAGGCATTCTTTAAACTCAGAGGAGAGGTAGAAAGATGCCTTTTTTTGCTTCAGGCCAAGTGAAAGTGGCTTAGAAACTGCTTTCATGAAGTCCAGCTCTATTGATATTGATTGATATTGGATTTCTTGATGTATAAAGCTCTATCTTTCTAAAATTAGGAATCTACACAGTCTTACTGTAGTTGAAATACCTCTTCTAAACCTGCTGCCTTGCTTTGTTCTTGAAGGTGGATTCCTTGCTACTGCCTTGCTGTGTGGAAACAAAAAGTTTGTTCCCTGAGACTAGGATGACAGGTTGTAGAAGGAGCATGCCCTTAAGGATATCACAACAGATTTTTTTCAGAATGGAAAGGGACTCTGTTGGAGCTGCAGTGAGACTCCTTCACACACACTCAGAATTCCCATATTATTAGAGTTAGGTAGAGTAGCATGTCTACATAGCACACCTTTATTCACAGGCTTGTTGGAGTACTTCAAGGCCAGCTTCAGGCTGGATGATTTCTTAGAAGGTTTCAACTGGACTTGAAAAGACCTTTCTATTGATAGTTATAGGGTATTATAGTACAAGAACACAGGTGAAAATTATCCAGTGGAAAAGGAGCATAGGGAGGAATCCCAGAGAAACCAGGCTCAAGCTTCCAGCCATTCTCTTTCTGTGGACTCACATGTGCCGTGCTTAATTCTCCCAGCTAGTTGTGTGACTACATGTGCCAAGTGTTGCCAACTAGGTAAGCTTGCCCAATCCCTGGTCATGTAATCATGGAATGTTTGCATGAGTGGCTATAACTCCTGACTCTCCAGGCCATGTAGAAGTCAAACTGACATTGCCTGGACACAGCGCCATTCAAAACTGACATTCACCATAAATCATATGGTCAGCCTGGATCATTTGGTGTGACCATATTCTCAGGTTTACAAAGACATCCTGATCAGACAGAATATCAAAGGGTTCAGAGGTTGCCTGCCAGGAGCAGATCAAGGGCCATTCTCCAAACCTGGGAGGGTGCAGCTTTTCAGCATCCCTGGCCTTATAATTGGAAGTATTTAAAAAACAGTTCATAAATTCTTATTTTTATGTGTATCCTCATTTATTCTTTATATTTCCTTAAATGTTTTTGTTATAAATAAAAATATATTTTCAATATATATTTTCTAGTTTGGCCACTTTTTCAGCTATTTGTGTTTATTTTTAAAAGTTCCAGTTGCCTGGCTTTGCTTTTAAACACATATATTCAGAATTAATTGCATATACAAAATAGTTATCTTTGAATATTTTCTAATATTTCCATGCATTATTTCTTAACTTGTGTACTTAAATTGACTTGAATAACAGGGAAATCCTGTAAGTATTTTATGGGATAAATTTTTGGTTTATTTTATTTTGTTATTATTATACTTTAAGTTTTAGGGTACATGTGCACAATGTGCAGGTTAGTTACATATGTATACATGTGCCATGCTGGTGTGCTGCACCCATTAACTCGTCATTTAGCATTAGGTATATCTCCTAAAGCTATCCCTCCCCCCTCCCCCCACCCCACAACAGTCCCCAGAATGTGATGTTCCCCTTCCTGTGTGATAAATTTTTTATTGGAAACTTAAATGAAAAAAAGAGTCAATTCTTCTGTGCATGTAAGACCTTTACATGAGCGCATATAGAATGAGGATTTGTATTGATTAGTTATTGAAACCAGACTATTAAGAAATGATAAAATGTGACAAGTCTAGGGCAACTCTTTAAGCATAATTCGAAAAAAGTTAAATAGAATTTCCTACAAAATTAACTTCCGATTTTACTTCACAAATTGGAGGAAAGATGTATGCAACCACAATAATTCCTGAATATACAAATAGAAAAGTGTCAAATTAGATAATACGAACAGAAATATGACAATCAAAATTCTTCCTAAACAGTTAATTAATTGAATAGCTGTTGTTTGCCTTGAGCACTGTCTAATTCCCAAATTTTGTATTCCCCTTTTAGGAATCTCTTGCCCCAAGTTTCATTCCAAGTATTTAAATTGGAATTGAGCATCCTGTCATGCCAGGGATGAGAATGCCTGGGTTACATCAGTTAGCCCTCTCCTCTTGAGGAATGGCATATTACCCATTTTAGGTGAGCAGAAGGTCTTTTCCTGAGATTTGTGGGAAGAGAAGGTCACTTTCCAGTAGGCTTTGTAAATTTGGACAAGCTGGATCCAGAGCAACGTTTCTCAAACACTGCACATTAGATTGGCTAAGGGACCTTGAAAACACTTGTTATCCAGAGTTTGATAGGTCGCCTCAAATTATCAGAATGTGAATGTAAAACCTTGTTTTAGTTATTTTTAATGAATCATCTGCCATTCCATGATTGGGAAAGTATGAAAAAACATTTGTTCAAGGATTATCATCCTTACACTGCTGAGTTGGAATCCATTCAGGATTTGTTAAATCCAGATTGGTAGGTCCTACTCCACCTTCCAGTTTTGGATTGTGTAGGTCTCCAAAGGAGGGGCTGATAGCCTGCTCCAATTATGATAAGTGAGAACCGTGAAAGGTTTTAGTTTGATTTAGGTTTTTTTTTTTTAATTTAGGTTTTTTGTTTGTTTGTTTGTTTGTTTTTGGAGTAGCTTTCCAAATAACAGAGACCATAAAAGTTCCTCTGGGTTAGTGGGTACCAAAGAAGTTGCATTTCTACCAAGATCCCAGGCAATATCCCTGCTGCTGTTTGGGGATGTCATATTGTGAATCATTTTTCTAGACCACCTTCTTTCCATTGAGCACTTTAGACTGAGTCTGGCCTTTGCTTACAATAGCTAACAATGACAGATAGATAGGTTGAGTAGCAAGAGTTGTATTACATCTTTTTATTTGCCATCTCTTTTTTCAGTTTCACTGCTGTAATTCAAATATTTCTCTTCTACTGAAAAATAGAATGATAATCAGAATAAGATGACTTTTCACAGGCCTCAGAGCCAATAGGAGAATGAGCTCATATTGGAACACAGAAGAGCTGGACCCAAACCCTGTGTTCTTAAAATGGATGAGTTGGAAGTTTCAAGCCAGATGGAGGTGCCAGCGCCATGTCCTACTGGGCAGGTGAACCTCTCCTTGAGGGTGAATCAGAGCCCACAGCAGCATGCAGCCACTACTGCTTTGTGGTTCTTTCAGGCCTGTCTCCTTACTGCACAGGAAGAGTGTTCTATGCACCCACAGTGCCTATAATTTAAGGTGTAGAGAATGAAGGGGAAATGGGTCAGATACACCTCTGAAAACCTGTACTGAACTGTATGTTGAAGGCAACATGTTCTTTCACATGAGATTTTAGCCACAGACTGAACCAAAGGCCAAACCCTAAATGCCAAGAGCCCCCATATTCTAAAGTGAGGTACTGGATAATCTTGCAGAGGCACAAGACCCAAATTGATTCTGCAGGCATTGACTCAACTGCAGGCATCACTCAACCGAGTGAAATAAAAGAGTTGAGGTGGCGAAAGGAGGTAAGACTTTTTTAAAAGAGTTGCTATCATGGCAGGCTTTTTCTGTAAACATGAGAGAGAGAGAGAGAGAGAGAGAGAGAGAGAGAGAGATCTGTCTCCTTCCCTCCATTCAGGTGAAAGGAGCTTAGAAGGGGCCCTCATGAAGTCCAAATCTATTGATAGTCATTTATCTTTGCTTCATTGATAAATAAAATTTTGTCTTCTTATAATTGGGAATCTATACACTCTTAATATAGTTGAAATATCTCTTCTAAACCTGCTGCCTTTTATTTTTCCTGAAGGTGGATTCCTTGTTACTGCCCTGCTGTGTAGAAACAAAAATTTTGTTCCCTGAGACTAGGATGACAGGTTGTACAAGGAGCATGGGATCAAGGATATCACAGCAGATTTATTTCAGGATGGAAGGTGACTCTCTGGGAGTTAACATGAGCATTGTTCCACACACTTAGTAATTCCCATGTTATTAGAGTTAGGGAAAGAACTGTGTCCACATGGCACACCATTTATTCATGGGTACCTCAATGCTACCACAGGTTTGATTATTATTTTAGAGGATGTCAACACAACTTGGAAAGGCCTTTGTACTGATGCTTACAGTACATTACAGTTTAAGAACACAGATGAAAAATCACCAAGTAAAAAAGGAGCATAGGGAGGAATCCAGGAGAAACCAGGCTCAAGCTTCCAGCCACCCTCTTCCAGTGGAGTCAAGTGCACTGCACTTAATTCTCCCAGCCAGGTGTGCGGCCACCTGTGCCAAGTGTTCCCAACCAGGTAAGTTCTCTCAAGCCCTGGTCATATAAGCATGGAACTTCCACATGATGGTCTTTAAGTTCTGACTCTCTAGTTCATTTAGAAGTCAAACTGACATAGCCAGAATACAACTCCAGTCGTACAAAAACAAGCATTCACCATAATTCTCATTGTCAGCATGAACCATCTGGTGTGATTAGAGAGCCTCAGGTACCCAATGACTTTCTGATCAGACACAGTATTCTATGGGCTTAAAGGTTACCTGCCAGTGGTGGGCTTAGGGGCAGCCTTCATCCTTGGAAGGGTACAAGATTTGAACAATGTTTGTCTGCTGAATTAGGACTTTTTAAACACAGTTTTTAAATTTTTACTTTTATGCCTATGATCTTTTATTCTACATATTTTATGAAATGTTATGAAAACATAGGTATTATAAATATTTGTATTTTAACTTGGTTATTTCATAAACATTTGCATTTATTTAAATAAGTTCCAGTTGCCTGGCATTGCTTTCAAATACATGTATTCATTATTATTTACATCTCAAAAATAGGTATCTTTCATTATTTTTTAATATTGTCAGGCATTATATCTTTATTTAAATTGTCTTGAATCTGGGAAAACTTAAATATTTGGTATGATCATTTTGTGTTTTCAATCTTAAGTATATCTTGCATATACAAGAAATTTACATGAGAGTCTACAGAATAAGCATTTTTAATGATTAAGCAGATATTGAAGCCAGAATAGATAAGAAGTTGAAAAATGTGGCAATTATAATACAGCTGTTTATTTATAATTCAGAAAAAAATAAAAGGGAATTTCCTAAAAAAATCGATGATTTTTTTCACAAATAAGAATAAAGATGAATGCAACCATAATAATCCCTGAAAGTACAAGCAAAACTGTCAAAGTGGATAATACTAACAAAAACATGGCAATAATATTCTTCTCAGTTAATTTATTATATGGGTATCGGTTGCCCTGAACACCGTCCAGTTCCCAAATTTCAAGTTGCTCTTTTAGGAAATTCTCACCCCAATTTTATTCCAAGTATTTGAATTGGAGCTGACCACTCTTCATATGCCAGGAATGAGAACACCTGGGCTCCATCAATCACTCCTCTAGCCTCGTGGGGAAAGTTTTTGGAGTTGGAGTGACATATTATCCATGTGAGGTCAGCAGGAGGTCTTTTCCTGAGATTTCTGGGGAGAGAAGATTGTTTTCCAGTGAGTTTGGAAAAGTTGTGCAAGCTGGGCTTAGAGCAGTGTTTCTCAAACTTACTATACCTTAGAATCGTTAGGGAGCTTGAAAAGACCTGTTTTCCTGGTGGCACCTCACCTCATATTATTTAGAACTTCTAACAGTAAAAGTTTGTTGCAGTTGTTTTTAATGAATCGCTTGGGGGTTCCATTTTTAAGCAAATATGGAAAACCTTTGGTTCAAGGATAACTATTCTCACACTTTGGCAGACATTGGGATCCCTGGAAAGGGCTTGTTAAATCCAAATTCGTTGGTACCACTCCATCCTCCAGTTTAGGGTTATGTAGGTCTCCAAAGGAGGGGATGAGAATTTGCATCTCTAACAATTGCACAGGCGATGCTGTTCAGGGGCTACCTTTAGGGAAAAAACAGCTCTACTGTGAGGAAAGTTCTGAATATGCCAGTGAGAGCCTGCTCTGATTTTAACAAGTGAGAATCATGAAAGATTTATTTTTTATTTTTTTTAAGGGATAGCTTTTCATGTAACTGTGACCTTAAAAGTTCCTTTCAGTGAGTGGGCACCAGAAGCATTGCATTTCTACCGAGATCCCAGGCTACATCTCTGCTGCTGCTTAGGGATGACATTTTCTGAACCATTGTTCTAGCCCACTGTATTTCCTTTGGATACTTTAGACTGAGTATGACCTTTGCTTACAATAGCTAACAATGTGAGGTAAATAGGTTGAGTAACAGGATTTGTACTAATGCTTTATATTTTTCACCTCATTTCAGCTGCACTTCAAGGGAAGTTATTGAATATGTCCTATCCAACTAAAACAAGGAAATGATGAAAAAAATAAAATCACTTTCCAGAGGCCTCAGGGCTAACTGGAGACAGAGCTCAGACTGCAACTGAGAAAAGTTGGACTCCAAAACCTGTACTCTGAGGTAGGATCAATTGGAGGTTTCAAGCTAGATGGAAGAGCCAGCCTCATGTCCTTCTGGGCAGTTGAACCTCTTTTTGAGGGTAAATTGGAGCCCTGAGCAGAATGCAACCACTACTGCTTTCTAGTCATTCCAGGCCTGTCTCCTCACCTCTCAGGGAGATGTACCATGCACCCGTAGTGCTTTCAATTATAGTGTTGTGAGTGAGGGTGCTGTGGGTCAGACATTCCCTTCAAAACCTGCACTGAGCTGGATGTTGAAAGCAACATTTTCTCTCACGTGAGAGTTCAGTTAGAGACTGAAAAGGCCAACTCCATAAATGCCAAGAACCCCTATATTCTAAGGTGAGGTGTTCGATGATCTTACAGAGACCCTAGACACAAATTGGTTCTGCAAGCATTGGTGCATCACTCAAATGAGTGATGCAAACAAGCTGAGGTGGTAAAAGGAGAAAAGACTATTTTGAGAAAGTGTCCGCATGTTCCATATTTTCTCTAAACTCAGGCAAGAGGGAGATAGCTGTCTGCTTTCTTCCAGCCAGGTGAAAGTGCTCCTATGAAGTCCAGCTCTATTGATACCAATTGATATTGGCTTATTTGAGATATAAAACTCTATCTTTCTGAAGTAGTGAATCCACACTCTCTTAATATAGTTGAAATATCCTTTCTAACCCTGCTGCTTTGCTTTGTTGCCCAAGGTAAATTCCTTGCTGCTGCCCTGCTGTGTGGAAACAAAATTTTGTTCTCCGATGGCAGGTTGTAGAAGGAATATGAGCTCAGGAATATCACAGCAGATTTATTTCAGGATGGAAGGTGACTTTCTGGGTTTTAAGTGAGAACTCCTCCACACACACTCAGTAATCCCCTTGTTATTGGAGTTAGCTAAAGGAGGGCATACCATTTATCAGTGGGCCTGCTGGTGTACTTTAAGGCCAGCCTCAGGTTCCATGGTTCGTTAGAGGGCCTCGACATAACTCAAAAAGGCCATTCTACTGGTGCTTACAGTATATTGCAGTACAAGAACAGAGATGAAAATTAGCCAGTGGAAACAGAGCACAGGGCTGAGTCCAAGAAACTTTAGGGTCAAGTTTCCAGCCATCCTCTTCCAGTGGAGTCACATGCATTGTGCTTATTTCTCCCAGCCAGGTGTGTGACCACCTGTGCCAAGTGTTGCCAACTAGATAAGCACTCCCGAGCACTGGTCATGTAAGCATGGAATGTCCACATAATTATCTTTAGCTTTTGACCATCTTGATGTCTAACTGACATAACTTGGCCACTGCTTCATTCATATAAAAATAGACATGCACCATAATTCTCATTGTTAGTATGAACCATCTGGTGTATCCAAAGCCTCAGATGGATGAAAACTTTCTAATCAGACAAATTTCAAAGGCTCAGGGCCTTCCTTTTAGGAGCCAGTGAAGGGCCAGTCTTCAACTTTTGAATGATACAGTCTTTCACCAACTCTGACCTGTTGCATTACAACCTTTACAGCACAGTTTATAAAGGGATAACTATTAGAATATTTAATTTTGATTACTTTCTAATAGAACCATGCATTAGTTCTTAGTTTGTCTACTTAAATGATTTTGGGAATTTCTGAGTAATCTTTTAAATTTGTGGGATGATGATTTTTTCATTGCTTAAGTGAGAAAAGAGTCAAACCTTCTGCATATACATCAAATATTACAAATTTTAGATTAACCAAAATAAACATGTGTTTATATTAAAATGTTACCAGCATATTTAAGTAGTTGACCATTGTGAGAATTACTAATGTAACTCTATATTGATAATTCAGAAAAACAAAAAGGAAATTTTCCTAGAAAACAATTTAGGATTGGCTGGGTGCAGTGGCTCACGCCTGTAATCCCAGCACTTTGAGAGGCTGAGGCGGGCGGATCACGAGGTCAGGAGATCGAGACCATCCTGGCGAACACAGTGAAACCCCATCTCTACTAAAAATACAAAAAAGAAATTAGCTGGGCGTGGTGGTGGGCACCTGTAGTCCCAGCTACTCGGGAGGCTGAGGCAGGAGAATGGCGTGAACCCGGAGGGTGGAGCTTGCAGTGAGCTGAGATTGTGCCACTGCACTCCAGCCTGGGAGACAGCGAGACTCTGTCTCAAAAAAAAAAAAATTAGTATTTACTGCATGAATTAAAGAAAAGGCCAATACAACCTTTAATAATTCCTGAAAAAAATATGCTTAAAAAACTGTCAAACTAGAAAATACTAACAAAAAACATACTGTAAAAATTCTTCCCAAAGTATTAAGTAATCTAATGTAACTGTTGTTTGCTCTTCACACTGTCCAACTTTGAAATTTCTATTCCCCTTTCAGGAAACTCTCACACCACCTTCCACCCCCAGTTTCATTCCAAGTATTTTAATTGCAGCTATCCACTCCTCATATGCCAAGGGTGAGAGTGCCTGGGCGTCATCAGTGAATTTTCTACTCTCCTGGGGAAAGTGTGTCAAGTTGGGGTGACATATAATCCATGTTAGGGCAATGGAAGGTATTTTCTTGGGATTTCTTAGAAGGCAAAAACTTTTCCACTGCGTTTGGTAATGTTGGGCAAGATGAACCTAAAGCAGTGTTTCTCAAAATTATTGCACATTGGACCCCCTAAAGGGGCTTGAAAACACGTGTTGTTTAGTTGTCACCTCATCTCAAATTATTTAGAATCTCTTATAATAAAACCTTGTTTCTGAAGTTTTAAAATTATCTGGTGAGGATTCTATTTTCAAGGAAATATGGAAAACCATTGGTTCAAAGATTATCATCCTCACCCTTTGGAAACATTGGGATTCCTGGAGCAATTCTTAAATCCACACTGCTAGGCCTCCAACCTTAAAGTTCAGATTATGTAGATTTGGATAGGTGCGGCTGATAATTTGCAAAGCTACCAAGTGCACAGGTGATGCTGATCAGGGGCCATCCTCAGGGAACAACAGCCCTAAGTTCAGGACAGACCTGAGTATGCCAGTGCGGAGGCTGCTCTGCTGAGTGAGAACCATAAAAAGTTTTAGGTTTTTTTTTCTTTTTGTCTTTCTTGAGGATAGAGTTCTCAGATCTTAAAAGTTGAGATCCTAAAGGTGGCTCTGGGTGGGCATCTGGGAAGTTGCATTTCTATGCAGATCCTAGGCTGTAGTACTGCTGCTGCTTGGGGATGACATTTTGTGAACCACTGCTCTAGCCCCACCTTCTGTTTTGTGAACACTTTAGACTG
This sequence comes from Homo sapiens, assembly GCF_000001405.40. Lineage (NCBI taxonomy): Eukaryota > Metazoa > Chordata > Mammalia > Primates > Hominidae > Homo > Homo sapiens. The sequence continues at coordinate 27,159,191 of NC_000023.11, read as the reverse complement.
AGTCTGACCTTTGCTTACTGTAGCTAACACTGAGAGCTGACCTTGTCAAGTAGCAGGAGTTGTACTAAAGCTTTATATTTGTCATCTCATTTCAGCTTTACTGCATGAGAAAGTTATTGAAATGTGCCTTGTGACATTCAGAATAAGTGACTTTTCAGAGGTCTCAGAGTCAGTAAGAGACAGAACTCAGATTGTAACCAAGAAGAGCTGAACTCCAAACTTCTGTGTCCGGAATTGGTGGGTTCTTGGTCTCACTGACTTCAAGAATGAAGCGGCAGACCCTCGCGGTGAGTGTTACAGCTCTTAAGGTGGCGCGTCTGGAGTTTGTTCTTTCTGATGTTCGGATGTGTTCGGAATTTCTTCCTTCTGGTGGGTTCGTGGTCTCGCTGGCTCAGGAGTGAAGCTGCAGATCTTCGCAGTGAGTGTTACAGCTCTTAAGGCGGCGCGTCTGGAGTTGTTCATTCTTCCCGGTGGGCTTGTGGTCTCGCTGGCTTCAGGAGTGAAGCTGCAGACTTTCGTGGTGAGTGTTACAGCTCATAAAAGCAGTGTGGACCCAAAGAGTGGGCAGCAGCAAGATTTATTGCAAAGAGCGAAAGAACAAAGCTTCCACAGTGTGGAAGGGGACCCGAGTGGGTTGCCACTACTGGCTCGGGCAGCCTGCTTTTATTCTCTTATCTAGCCCCACCCACATCCCACTGATTGGTAAAGCCAAGTGGTCTGTTTTGACAGGGTGCTGATTGGTGGGTTTACAATCCCTGAGCTAGATATAAAGGTTCTCCACGTCCCCATCAGATTAGTTAGATACAGAGTATGGACACAAAGGTTCTCCAAGGCCCCACCAGAGCAGCTAGATACAGAGTGTCGATTGGTGCATTCGCAAACCTTGAGCTAAACACAGGGTGCTGATTGGTGTGTTTACAAACCTTGAGCTGGATACAGAGTGTCGATTGGTGTATTTACAATCCCTGAGCTAGACATAAAGGTTCTCCAAGGCCCCACCAGAGCAGCTAGTCACAGAGTGTCGATTGGTGCACTCACAAACCCTAAGCTAGACACAGAGTGCCGATTGGTGTATTTACAATCCTTGAGCTAGACATAAAGGTTCTCCAAGGCCCCACCAGAGCAGCTAGATACAGAGTGTTGATTGGTGCACTCGCAAACCTTGAACTAAACACAGGGTGCTGATTGGTGTGTTTACAAACCTTGAGCTAGATACAGAGTGCCGATTGGTGTATTTACAATCCCTGAGCTAGACATAAAGGTTCTCCAAGGCCCCACCAGAGCAGCTAGATACAGAGTGTCGATTGGTGCACTCGCAAACCTTGAGCTAAACACAGGGTGCTGATTGGTGTGTTTACAAACCTTGAGCTAGATACAGAGTGCTGATTGGTGTATTTACAATCCCTGAGCTAGACATAAAGGTTCTCCAAGGCCCCACCAGAGCAGCTAGATACAGAGTGTCGATTGGTGCACTCACAAACCTTGAGCTAAACACAGGGTGCTGATTGGTGTGTTTACAAACCTTGAGCTAGATACAGAGTGTCGATTGGTGTATTTACAATCCCTGAGCTAGACATAAAGGTTCTCCAAGGCCCCACCAGAGCAGCTAGATACAGAGTGTTGATTGGTGCACTCACAAACCCTGAGCTAGACACAGGGTGCTGATTGGTGTGTTTACAATCCCTGAGCTAGATGTAAAGACTCTCCATGTCCCCACCAGACTCAGGAGCCCAGCTGGCTTCACCCAGTGGATCCCGCACTGGGGCTGCAGGTGGAGCTGCCTGCCAGTCCCACGCCGTGCACTCGTACTCCTCAGCGCTTGGGCGGTCGATGGGACTGGGCACCGTGGAGCAGGGGGCGGCATTCGTCGGGGAGGCTCGGGCTGCACAGGAACCCATGGAGGCGGGGGAAGGCTCAGGCATGGCAGGCTGCAGTCCGGAGGCCTGCCCCATGGGAAGGCAGCTAAGGCTTGGCGAGAAATCAAGCGCAGCACCGGTGGGCTGGCACTGCTGGGGGACCCAGTACACCCTCTGCAGCCGCTGGCCCGGGTGCCAAGTCCCTCACTGCCTGGGGCCGGCAGGGCCGGCTGGCTGCTCCGAGTGCAGGCCCGCCAAGCCCATGCCCACCCGGAACTCCAGCTGGCCCGCAAGCCCTGCACGCAGCCCCGGTTCCCGCTCGCGCCTCTCCCTCCACACCTCCCTGTAAGCTGAGGGAGCCGGCTCTGGCCTTGGCCAGCCCAGAAAGGGGCTCCCACAGTGTAGCGGTGGGCTGAAGGGCTCCTCAAGTGCCGCCAAAGTGGGAGCCCAGGCAGAGGAGGCGCCAAGAGTGAGTGAGGTCTGTGAGGACTGCCAGCACGCTGTCACCTCTCACTTCTACTCTTTAGAAGGATGAGTTGGAGGTTTCAAGCAAGATGCAAGTGTCAGCTCCATATCCTTCAGGGCAGATAAACCTCTCATTGAGGGTGATTGTGACCCCACAGCAGTATGCAGCCACTACTGCTTTGTGGTTGCTTCAGGCCTGTCTCCTCACCTCTCTGGGAGGCTGTAACATGCAACTATTATGCCTATAACTAAAGGTGTTGTGTTGTGAGTGAGGGTGCTATGGGTCAGACATATCCCTGAAAACCAGCATTGAACTGGATGTTGGAAGCAATGTTTTCTCTGATGTGAGCATTCCAAAAGCCAAAACTACAGATGCCAAGAATTGCCCCCACCCCAACAACACACATATTTTAAAGTGAGGTGCTGGATGATCTTGCAGAGGCACTGGACTCAAATTTGTTCCGCAGTTGTTGGTCCAAGGCTCGTCTGAATGAATTAAAATATTTGAGGTGGTTAAAGGAGGGAAGACAATTTGAAATTGTTATTGTCGCCGCCATTTTCTCCAATCTCATGAGAAAAGAAGAAGGTTGTGTTATCCTTGACTCAAACTAAATGCAAGGAGGCTTAGAATGATTTCCCCCATCAAAATTAGCATGGCAGTAAATTCATGGCATATACAGTGAGTAGACCTTGAGCCTCTAAAATAACCGAGGCTCCTGAGAAGATTATCCACTTGTCCAAAGATACCTGCTTAAGTGTTGGGTCCAATACCTTACCAGAGATTTCCACTGTAATAGTATTCTCTGAGAACAAGGAGGTCACAAACCTAGAGAGAGCTGAAGGAAGTCTTGCGTGTGGGAGTTTCTGCATGCACACTCAATGCTCATAAAATGATGGGAGTAAGTCACTGCTTTGGAGTTTCAGAAACTTCATTGGTGAAGAGAGGATTTTCTTATATCAAAAATGCTCCGTAAGTGCTGTCTTACATACAATTTTGGTGGTTTTCAAATGTTAGTATGCATCATAATCACCTTCAAAACTAGTTTAAATAGAGGTCGTTGGAACCCTCCTCTACCCCCAGATTTATTAATTCAATATCTCTGGGCTAAGGCCTGGGAATTTGCATTTCTAACTCGTGCATAGGTGATGTTGATGCTGCTAGTTTGGGGAACACACTTTGAAAACCACTGAGTGAGCATCTAGGGCTCTCATTTAAAGGCAGATTATCTGAGAATTAAACAAATTTCCTTATTTATTTTTATTTGTGTAAATTTAGGGGGTACAAGTACAGTTTTGATACATGGATATATTGCACAGTAGTGAAGTCTGGGCTTTTAGTGTAACCATCACTGAATAGTGTACAGTGTACCCATTAAATAATTTCTCAACCTTCACATACGTCCCACCTTCCCACCCTTCCAAGGCTCCAGTGTCTATTATTCCACACTCTGTGTAAATGTGTACACATTATTTAGCTCTCACTTGTAAGTGACAACATGCAGTGTTTGGCTTTCTGTTTCTGAGTTATTTCACTTAAGATAATGCCCTGCAGTTCATTCATGTTGCTGCAAAACATGTGATTTCATTTTTTATGGCTGAATACTATTCTATTGTGCATATATACTACATTTTCTTTATACCGTCATCCCTTGATGGACACTTAGGTGAGACCATATCTTTGCTATGGTGAATAGTGCTGTAGTAAACATAATGAGTGCAGGTATCTTTTTGATATAATAATTTATTTTATTTTGGGTAGAAACCAACACATTTAAATTGGGTACCTAGAGATTCTTTAAAAACATGCAGAAATAGAGATTCTTGATGACATGCTTTGAGTTTCTGGAGTCAGGAAAGAAAGAACAGCAGGAAACTCACCATGTATATTTTATTTTATATTTAAATTAAGTTTAATTAAATTCTGCCTTCCTTTGGATACTTTCAGTTGAAATTCAGTTATTTTACATAATTTAAAATTTAAGTAATTCAATTCAAAGTGAAAACATTGAAAGGGAAGCAGAATTTTAAATGAAAAATAGTTAAAGTGCATGTATTCTTATATGAAATTAGAATTACCATTAAATTAATAAGTTGATCATACAACCAAAATCATACAAAAACTCTATAATTTGTTTTAACTCTTCAGTCATTAGGAAATGCTAAAATTTTGATTGTTTAGAAAAAAATCATGGAAATACATAGTTTGGCAGCAATTTTCAGAAAGATTCAAAATTTTGCAGAAGATAAATTAATCTGTTAAAAATAAGTCTGAATCATATGCTTAGTTTCTGAAAGTCAATATATATTAATAATGCATATGCAAACTTACAAAATGTTTTAAAAAGATAGGTTAAAATTATATTATATTTGAAATCTAAAATATTTCAAAAAGAAGATATACCAGAAATACAATTTGAGAAGAAAACAAGCAAATACATACATATATATCCTATATTTTTTTGTCATGGAAAAATATTTCTTTTAAGTATATTTAATACTCAGAAAATGTTTTTCATTTTCAGATACTAATATCGGACATGAACCTTGTTCTCATAGCCATTTTGTTATGCCTTTATATTTGGTCATTGGTTTTATAGAACTTGATAATTTGGCAAAGTAAGCTTTTGTAAATTGGTCTTTCAGTTAATTACTTGTTTTGAAAATTCAGTTTCAGCACTGGTTTTTAGGAAGTTGTGCTAAAGATGGACTCTAGCGGACTTCATTACTTTTAACTGCTCAGAGTCACTGGCATTGTTTTGTTAATTTGCATTGCACTTTTTTGGGGGGAATTGCCCTTCCTGCAGCCTCAATTGATGAGGTTTATGTGAAGATAATTTCATCGCTAGCTCCACTGTGGCTGTACAAGAGTGCCATATTCAGATACCTGATGGATTGATGTTGGCTTCATTGATATGTTAATCTCTATTTTAAAAAAATATTTTGAATGGCAACTCTATCAACATAGTAGAAATATCTCTTCTAAATCTGCTACCTTGCTTTCTTTCAGCATTTCAGTTCCTTGGTGCTCCTTGGATTTGAGGAAATTCCAATATTTCCTTTGGAGTCACATGGATACTGCCTAATTTTCCCAGCAGGGATGTATGAAAACACATGCTTGTTTTCAAGTGAAGATAATCCCATCACCAATTCTGCTTTAGCTGCATAAAGAAAGCTGATCAAAAACATGCCTGGTGGATTTATTGTTATTGGTTCTGTTGATAAATAACCTATTTTTATATATTAGGACCCTTTTTTCTATAAACATAGTTGAAATATTTCCTAAGTCTCCTGCCTTGCATTATTCTAGCAGGTTGTTCCCTTATTACTGTCCTGATTAGTGGTACTTCTGATATTATTCTTCTGAATGCTATGTTGAAGCTTTTAGAAATGTGAAATAAGGGGCCAAAACTTTCTGGTGTCATGGGCTTGGTAACTAAACAGGTCTTTGTTTTGGGTTCTAGATGACTATCTGGAAAATGCGGCCAAGGGCTCTTCTCACAACCAGTCAGCAAATCCATTATCTGAGTTGGTTAAAGAGTGCTTTTGGCAGTTTTGGAAATCTTCTAAACCCATCAGATTCCTGAAAAAAAAAAAATTTTAATCCACTGTTATTGAAGTTTTCTACTTTATATAGCTCAGCATAATCTCAGCTTAGGATCCTTAATATAAGTAACACTTACTTGAATTACCCAGGTGGTTTTCTGACTTTATATCAATCATAACCTACTGTAATCATACACAGAAAAATGGTGTTTCAGCCAATGATAAACCACATGTACAAAGGTGGTCCCAGAAGATTACAATGAAATGTATATAAAAACCTAATATATGACACTTGATATTGACAGGTCAAATCAAGTAGGGGAAATGATTGACATTCAGTAATGGTTCTGGGGCATTTGGCTTTCCTTATGAAAAAATATATATAAATATAAATATATATATATATATATATATATACCATCTATGTTTGTGTAAGTTTGTGTACACTCTACGATGCAAACATAAGGATGAAACCACCTAATGGTGCATTTCCCAGAACGTGTCCCCATCATTAAGCAATACATAATTGTATTTACATTAGTAAATTTTCTTTTTTTGTGAAACCAAATGCACAAGTGATTAAATAAAATGGATAAATTGGACTTAATAAAATTAAAACTATTTGTTTCAATGACACCATCAAGAAAATAAAAAGACATCTCACAAGCTGAAATAAAATGTTTACAATATCCCACACTTTTGAACTTTCATTTTATTTAGTCACAGAAGTCTGCTGAACCCAGGAAGTCATAGACTAGCTTGTGTCTCCCCACAAAATTCATATATTGAAACCTTAATCCTCAGTGTGACTGTATTTGGAGATAAGACCTTTAAGGGGGTCAATAAGGTTAAATGAGGTCATAATGGTGGGGCCCCTAAACCTACAGGACTGGTAGCCATATAAGAAGAGACACCAGGGATTTCTCTTTCTCTCCATGTGTGCACAAAAGAAAGGCTAAGTGAGGACACAGGAGGTGGCCTTCTACAAACCAGGACCAGAGGCTTCACCAGGAACCAACCCTGCCAGCACCTTGATTTTGGATTTCCAGCCTCCAGAACTGTGAAAAAATATATTTCTGTTGTTTAAACCACTCAGTCTGTGGTATTTTGTTATGGCAGCCTGAGCAGACTAATACATGGGACAATACTTGATATAGCTGACTAAGCCAGAAATGGAAAGTCATCAATGATAGCCCACCCCAACACTAGACAAATTATTAATGGATCTTTAAAATTTATGTGAACTCTTCCTTCTAATCAATAGTCTCTTTATGAACTTTGCTCCATCATGCTAATGTTTCCACAGTAAAGGCCACCTTTGCCTTTCATTTGCATTTCTAACACACATTCATGTCTGCTGTCCTACATTGATCTTATCTACTACCCCAACAACCAAATAAGCCCAATACATTCCTCACACTGTAGTTTCAATAATCACTTTAAAATGAAAATCTGATTGCATTAATACTCTGCTTCAAAGTCTTTATCGACTCATCCAGCTTATTATCTGCCTTTTCTCAACTCCCTAAATATATTTGCACCATCTACCTATGGGACTCAGCTACATTAAATGAAACAAGCATAGTAAATAGAACTTAAATGAACAATTGTCATAAGTGGTGATGCTAAAATATGCAGAATGCAATCCGGAAAGCAGAACTACTTAATTTCAGAGTTAAATTGTTTGAATACAAGATGGTTCAGGATGCCCATATGCTGATGTGAATGAAGGGTATCTAGATTTTTGTTTTTATTCTGTAGCCTTCTTAAGGCAGGATATGATTCTTAGTCATATCCACATCACTGGCTTCTAAAACGAAGTCTGTCTCAATAAATGCACTTATTAATAAACATTAAGGAGTTGACATTTCCACTAGGAAAACACCTAGAAAATTCCAGGGCATAGCCAAGAGAAGGGTGAAAAGACTGACTCCTTTTCTCATAAGAAATGGGAGAAACTTTTTTTTTCTTCCTAAACTCATGATTTCAGCAAAGCTAGTCCTCATTAATACATGTTTTTCAAATTCCTATGTTCTCATTTCAGTGTTTTGACATTTCTTAAATTTAATTTTCCTTTATTTACAATTATGCTTCTTTCTCCTAAACTAGTGACCCCTAGGTGAGTGGGACTAAGTTATCTGAGAACCTCTTCTCCAGAATTCAGCACTTAGGTGATTATTGCATGTTTATAGAACAAGATGCAAAGAAAGTAAAATTTCCAGTAATGTTTATTACATCACAGGTAAAGATTTCTGTTCAGTGACAGTAACCATGGACACAGTTTTTGAGGAATGATTGAACAGATGATATTTGTAATGTCTAAAATAGACGAGTAATTAGTATTTAAATTATATAAGAAACTGCTACAAATCAACAAGAAAAACACATAATCTCTAATAGATACATGAGCAATTTACAGAACAGGAAATTTAGAAAGTGAATATAGCATTTATAAAACTGCTCAAAATTACAGCTAATCACAAAAATGTTAATTAAAACAACAACAAATTAATAGTCCCTTGTAATAATATTAGATTGGCAACATTTGGAAAGCTGGATAATGCCAGATTTGGCAGTTGGGGGAGAAAGCGGAGGTATCATGTTTTGGTGATACAACCAATTCTGGAGAGCAATAATATACTACATGACCAAATTAAATGTGACCTGGGAATGTTTTTTTCAATGTACCAAATATGACTTTCAAATGGATGGGTTTCACATAAGAATACCAAAATTCTGTATTATTTTGTCTATATGTATACAAAATGAATCAGAATTTTAATAGAAACCATAAACATTTGTATGTGCAGGCATGTATATCTTGTATTTTCATTGTGATTATTGTTAGTCAGGGGACAATTTTCTGTGTTATCTATAAAAACCAACATATCTGTTAGCTTCTAGAGGTCTATCTCTTAGAGTTTTAAAAATCATCTTTGTGAAAGGTACTGCTGCTTTAAGTATTCAGTTTGTTGGTCCAGATTTTGCCTCTGAGCTTTCCAAGGTATTAGGGGGTGACTACATTGCTTTGTGGAGAGAAGAGTTCTGGCTCTGCTCAGAACATTTTCTGTCACAGCTTCCATGACCTACAAAAACACTTACTCCTGAATAAATATGCATTTAACAAGTCTAGCCTAATGCACTCTAATGGCCACTGCTGAACTCTGAATCGTGGTCACAGCTAGAGAAAACATCTACCAGAGAGCACAGACAGAGTGACTACAAAAATATCATCTTGGGACCAGTGAAACCATCTGTCATGAAGTTCTTCCCACTAGACTCAAGTCCGAACTGATATGTAGCGAGACAAAAGAATAGAATCAAAGAATTTATTCTTTATAGGCCATGCAAATGATGGACGTACAGTAGAAAAAAATATATTTGGTCATTGTTACTTATGTTGACTCAAATTCAGTGATTCTCAACCAGGACAATTTTTCTCCTCAAGAGACATTTAGCAATATCTGAAGACATTTTTAGTTGCCTCAACTAGCTGTGAGGGTGCTACTGGCTTCTAGCTGGTAGAGTCCAGGATGCTGTTAACATCCTACAACACACAGGACAGCCCCCCACAACAAAGAATTATCTAGCCTAATATGTCAATAGTGAGAAAGTTGAGAAACCCTACCCTGAGCTAAAAGTTTAAGTAAATCAAATGTGTCCTGAGCACTCTCACAGCCCTGAATGGCAACCTTCACCTCCTTTGTATAATATTTCCCTGGAATGCTCTTCTAAAGATATTCAAATGGTTCCCTCCCTCTCCTCTTTCAGGTTTTAATTCAAATAAGATCTTCCCAGTAAGACCTTCTTTAACTTATTAATAATGAAATCCTTATCTCACCCCTCAAAACTCCCTACTAATCTCCTTTGCCTCATTTTACTCCACGTACTTATCAACATATGGAATATGACTTATTTGTTTTATTTTCTGGATAGCTTTCTTACAATTTAATCACCATTTGTTGTTGCTGGACCCCCAGTGATGAAAGGAATGCCTGACGCATGATAGGTGCTTAATAATTTATTGGTGAACAAATTAATGAACTCAGTACTAAGAATCTTAAAGAAGAATTCAAATACAGATGTGACACCTTTTTCAGGTTATAGTGTGCAGTTTTATCAAGTCCTGAGTTAGTATTGATCAAAGCATGAGTTTACCCCTGCTCTGTAACAAAGACCAAGGAAAATGGGATGCTCCTCCAGGCTTACTGTGAAGATTCTGAGAAAAGAAATCAAATATTTGTTCAGATTCAAGTGACATGTTCTATTAAATTTCTTTCAGTTATTACCACCTAAGAGAGCACCTAAAGTTAACTAAATAAAAGAAAATCTGATTTTATTTTTCAGGGGTTGTTTTTTGCCAGAGAAAGCTGATGTCTGGCAAGCTGGAGTCTGTAATTATGTAACTATGATAGTGATTTTCCTATTCCAAGTCCACACTCATGTACCACTCTCTCAGGTACACTTATGGAAAGAAATGGACTAAAAAAATTCCCTTGCTGGGCATAAGGGTGATGGTGGGTACTAAGAACCCTCTCTACTTGTATACTTTATCATTCTTTTTTAAAAAGTTAAATTTTTGACCAGATGCCGTGGCTCACGCCTGTAATTCCAGCACTTTGGGAGGCCGAGGCGGGCGGATCACCTGAGGTCGGGAGTTCAAGACCAGCCTGACCAACATGGAGAAACCCTGTCTCTAATAAAAATACAAAATTAACTGGGCGTGGTGGTGCATGCCTGTAATCCCAGCTACTCTGGAGGCTGAGGCAGGAGAATCGCTTGAACTAGGGAGGCAGAGGTTGCGGTGAGCCAAGATTGCGCCATTGCACTCCAGCCTGGGCAACAAGAGTGAAACTCGGTATCAAAAAAAAAAAGTCAATTTTTAAAAAATTTGTATGGATTTCAGAGGTACAAGTGCACATATACAACATATCCATTTTGTTACATGGATATATTGTATAATAATGAAGTCTGAAATTCTAGTGTAACTATCGCCTGAACAGTGTACATTGTACCACCCATTAAGTAATTTCTAATCCTTCATCTACCTCCCACCCTCCCACTTTTTGAGTCTCCAATTTCTATTATTCCACATTCTACGTTCATGTGTACACATTGTTTCATTCCCGCTTGTAAGTGAAAACATGCAGTATTTGACTTTCTGCTTCTGAGTTATTTCACTTAAAATAATGTCCTCCAGTTCCATTCCTGTTATTACAAAAGACATGATTTCATTATTTTTTATGTCAGCCATTACCGTTCTTATCCATAAATTAATTGTATATACTTGGAAACAGTAACCACTATATGCTAATCCCCTTTACTCTTTTTCAAAATAAAATTACTTTCTTCTAGGGTTCTTATGGTTTTAGGTCTAACGTTTAATTCTTTATTCCATCTTGAATTAATTTTTGTATAAGGTGTAAGGAAGGGACCCAGTTTCAGCTTTCTACATATGGCTAGCCAGTTTTCCCAACACCATTTATTAAATAGGGAATCCTTTCCCCATTGCTTGTTTTTCTCAGGTTTGTCAAAGATCGGATAGTTGTAGATATGTGGCGTTATTTCTGAGGGCTCTGTTTTGTTCCATTGATCTATATCTCTGTTTTGGTACCGGTACCATGCTGTTTTGGTTACTGTAGCCTTGTAGTATAGTTTGAAGTCAGGTAGCATGATGCCTCCAGCTTTGTTCTTTTGGCTTAGGTTTGTCTTGGCAATGCGGGCTCTTTTTTGGTTCCATATGAACTTTAAAGTAGTTTTTTCCAATTCTGTGAAGAAAGTCATTGGTAGCTTGATGGGGATGGCATTGAATCTATAAATTACCTTGGGCAGTACGGCCATTTTCATGATATTGATTCTTCCTATCCATGAGCATGGAATGTTCTTCCATTTGTTTGTGTCCTCTTTTATTTCATTGAGCAGTGGTTTGTAGTTCTCCTTGAAGAGGTCCTTCACATCCCTTTTAAGTTGGATTCCTAGGTATTTTATTCTCTTTGAAGCAATTGTGAATGGGAGTTCACTCATGATTTGGCTCTCTCTGTTTGTCTGTTATTAGTGTATAGGAATGCTTGTGATTTTTGTGCATTGATTTTGTATCCTGAGACTTTGCTGAAGTTGCTTATCAGCTTAAGGAGATTTTGGGCTGAGACAATGGGGTTTTCTAAATATACAATCATGTCATCTGCAAGCAGGGACAATTTGACTTCCTCTTTTCCTAATTGAATACCCTTTATTTCTTTCTTCTGCCTGATTGCCCTGTTCAGAACTTCCAACACTATGTTGAATAGGAGTGGTGAGAGAGGGCATCCCTGTCTTGTGCCCGTTTTCAAAGGGAATGCTTCCAGTTTTTGTCCATTCAGTATGATATTGGCTATGGGTCTGTCATAAATAGCTCTTATTATTTTGAGATACATCCCATCAATACCTAATTTATTGAGAGTTTTTAGCATGAAGTGTTGTTGAATTTTGTCCAAGGCCTTTTCTGCATCTATTGAGATAATCATGTGGTTTTTGTATTTGGTTCTCTTTATATGATGGATTACATTTATTGATTTGTGTGTGTTGAACCAGCCTTGCATCCCGGGGATGAAGCCCACTTGATCATGCTGGATAAGCTTTTTGATGTGCTGCCGGATTTGGTTTGCCAGTATTTTATTGAGGATTTTTGCATCGATGTTGATCAGGGATATTTCTTACTTTAGATGTGATATTTCAATGTGCCCTAGATGACTGGAAATCTAGTAAATTTAGTGGTGTGACCCATGAACTTTCCAAGGATTATATGTTCATATTTTGGCATCCAGGGCTCTGGCTACTTCCTGGCCACCCAGGTTCAATTAGCTTAATCAGTGTAATAACCAGAGTGATGGTTTGTGGGACATGAATAAAATTACAGTCCCTGTGCATTATATTTCAAGCAAGTGCATAAGGGTTTATATGATCCTTATAGAAGACAGAATGTGTACTGCTTCTCTTGCCCCAAAAAAAGCAAACAACTTTGGATTTTATTTACTAATTTGCACTGAAAAGGAAGTGTTTGCTAGATTAGTAACTCTGTACCAGTTGCCAGTATCAATGTCAATATGTTCTAGTAAAAATACCTTAATTGGAGCAACAGCTGGCATCACCCTATGATTAAATTTATAATGATTTACAGTCGTTCCTTGAGACTCATGTGTCTTCTGCACTGCACAATATGTGAGTGAAATGAAAAGCCCTGGCACTGTACCTTTGAAGATTTTTAAGGTAGTACTAATTTCTGAAATCCTCTAGTGGTATGGTAGTGTTTTGGCTTACTATTTTGGAAGAGCACATTCCCATTCTTCAAATTGCCCCCTCACAGTTTTGAGACAAGGTCTTGCTTTGTCATCCAGGATATAGTGCAGTGGTGCCATTATAGCTTACTGCAGCCTGAAACACCTGGGCTCAAGTGATCCTACTGCCTCAGCCCCCCAAGTATAGGGCTATGGGTGCATGCCACCACACCCAAATAACTTTTTAAATTTTTTGTAGAGACTAGGTTTCCCTTTGTTACCCAGGCTAGTCTTGAACTCTTGGCTTCAAGCAATCCTCTCACCTTGGCCTCTTAAAGTGCTAGTATTATAGGCATGAGCCACCCTGTCCAGCTCCTTCTTTCCTTAATTACTCTCACCCCATGGATTCGGGAACCAATGTGGGGCTTCTGCTAGTTGCTTCATAAATCTTTTGCCAATATGAACTCAGTAACTAAGGAAATAACCACAGGATAAGTCTGTGGTCTCTGTGAACCCACTATTGAAGGAGTTAGTCCAGGCCTCATTCTCTATCTGAATTCCCTAAGCTGCCACTTGACTAGTAGATCAAAGTAGGAGTCCAAATCCTTGGTATTAAAGACAATTCATAGCTAGTATCTAGTGATCCCCAAAAGTTTAAGGTATTTTCTTTTTGATAGGACCCATACATGCTATTAAATGGCTGTCATTCCCTCTAGGATAAGGTTCAGAGGTGTCACTATAATCATTTCTGGCTGCATTCTAGGGACATCTTTGAATGTGACTTAGCCTCCCCATCAGTCAGGGCACTCGGGGTCTCTAAACTGACTTGAGTCAAGCTTCTTCTCACTATGTAAAGAATTTGAAATATTACCAGAGGGTTAGTCTAAAACAACATGGAGGATATTTCCCTGACTCCTTCGTGGGACTTGTGAAGGGGGTGCCCCATTTACTCAGCCCACAGCTCTCACCTCCTCATGAGAGGGAGCATGTGGGTGAATGAGGCAGGAACTGGTGTACATGAGTGAGTGCTGGAGTCAGCTGGCTACTCCGGTGCCAGCAGAAGCAAAATCCACTCACTCGAACCCATTGTGTTCCACTCCTCGTGGGAGTGGGTGCGCAGGTGAATGGGTGCAGGAGCAGGGACAACTGCTTTTGAGCGCCAGCAGAAGCCAATTTCATGCCGTCCTCCTGGCAGCGTCTCGGGGGGACGTGCCCATGACCCCTGAAGCCCCAGAAGGAGTGTCACGGTGCTCTTTTGGTTCTGCTGTCTGCAGATGGCTTAAGTGTTAACAGCTCAGTGGACCTTCTTCCTTTTCATGTGAGGTGGCTGCCTTCTGCCAGTGAGAGCAAAGGGTCAGTGTGACAGCCTTTTGCATCTGCACTTGTGGCACCTGAGCTCCTGTCTGGTGTCCAGGAGAAATGAGGTCACATGAACGAATTGAAGGATGGTAAATGCGGGGGATTGTATTGCCAATGGAGGTGGCTCTCAATGGGAAAGGGAGCTGCAAAGGGGATGGGGCAGGAAGGTAATCTTCCCCCAAAGTCTGGCCGTCTCTGGCCAGATTCTTCTCCAAAGTTACGCTGTCAAGCTGTCCATCTGAAATCAAGCCACTTCTCTCCAGTGTCCAACCGTAGTCTCCAACGTCCAGCTGCTTCTCCTCTCTGTCAGCTAAGTACTGGGGTTTTTATAAGCACAGGATGGGGGACAGGGCAGGCCATGGGTGGTTTTGGAAAAGGCAATAAACAAGGATGTAAGTTCTCACTTTGGGCCGTGATTTCAGGCTTGAGGGTGGGGCTTTGTCGGGGACCCGCGCTTATCTGCCTGGAATTTCTCTGCCTCTTGCCTCTGTCATTGTATCAAATACACCACTTCATGAGTCCACCAAAATTTAGGCTGCAGCAATGTTTTATCTTTATTTGGCAACCTGAGGTTGTTCTTTCTTTGTGAGTCCACTAATCAATAGAAACTTCAGTTGCATGAGAACATGCATTACTTACTTTCATTGCTCAACTCAGTTATTTCACTGGGAAGGAGGAGGAACACAGAAAAACACTGATCATCTTATTGTTGACTATTCATGTATTCATTCAACAAATATTTATTGAACATTTACTACACATCACTGTTCTAGATACTGGAGATACAGCAGTGACAAAATCAGGAAAAATATATTTGCTCTCTTATGCAGCCAAGATAAATAGGTAAAATATATTGTATGTTAGAGGGCAATAATACAAATAAAAACAAAGCACACAAGGGGGACAGAGGTGATGGAAGTGACAAGTTGGGGGCTACATGATAGCAATTCTAAGTAGACTGACTAGGTAAGTCCACACTGAGGTGACATTTGATTGAAGACCTGAGGGAGGTAAGGGGGTGAACTCTGCAAGTGTCTGGGGTCAGAACAATCAAGACAGAGAAAACAGGAAGTGTTCATGTCTGGGGGAGGAACCATGCCAGGTATGTTTGAGGAACAGAGAAGACTAATAAGTGATGGAAAAATAATTGAGAAATATATAGTAGATTTAAAAAAAGTGTTAGCAAAGCTTAAAGTTAGCACTAGGAGAATTAAAAACAGCTTATACTTTTTTCATCATGCAGTGAGTTAAAATAAAACAAATGAGTTTTCCATAATTACTAGAAAGCAGCAAGGAAATTTCTAATGATATGGGGGGAATACTCACAAAATGACCTGAATATACAACTCTATATATTATATGACCCCAAATCTATAAAATTATATATCGTTTTCAAATGACATAAACCAGGAGGGAAATTCCCCAAAAGATTTTTCTGAGTTGTAGTATTTGAGAAATACATTTTTTCCCTCCTTATTCTTTTCTGTATTGTATACACTTTATTTTCTTAGTTTTGCTTTGTTTTGTATTCTCTAAAGGAGCTGTATCCTAAAAAATAGCAATTAAGAGCTAAGAATTTATATCAGACAAACCTCAGTTGAAGTGCTGGATCTATTTACTTACCAATGGTGTTATGTTGGACAAGTGACCTTAGCAGTGTCCAAATATGTGAAATAGGGATAAGAATGATGATTTTTTTTTTTTTTGAGTCGGAGTCTTGCTCTGTTGCCCAGGCCAGAGTGCAGCGGCGCCATCTCGGCTCATTGCAAGCTCCGCCTCCCGGGTTCACACCATTCTCCTCCCTCAGCCTCCTGAGTAGCTGAGACTACAGGCGCCCGCCACCACGCCCGGCTAATGTTTTGTATTTTTTAGTAGAGACGGGGTTTCACCGTGTTCGCCAGGATGGTCTCGATCTCTTGTCCTCGTGATCCGCCTGCCTCGGCCTCCCAAAGTGCTGGGATTCCAGGCGTGACCCACTGCTCCCGGCCAAGAAAAATGATCTTATAGGGTTGTTTTAGATTATTAAATGTGGTAATGTTGATAAACGTGTTAGTGTAGTATCTGATCTGTCATAAATCCTCAATAAATGGTAACTAGTCATTATTAATCAACAGTATAGCTTTTGTAATCAGTTAATTTTTTAAGGCACAGAAAGAGTTAAAACACATCTTTAAGGCACAGAAAGAGTAAAACCCATCAACATATATATATATATATATGTTAAATGATAACCTCTCCTCTGTGAACTTTAAAACAGTCATATTTCAGAGGATTTCTACTTAGAATTCCGTTCGCAGTCACTGCTTCATTAGCAGTTCAAGCAAGATTCTCATTCTGGGTACTAAGAGTATAAATAAGAGAAGAGGTTTATTGTAGTTTCAATAAATGCATCATTTCTCATTTTAAAAGTTCTACATAGCTGTTATAAACAATTTGGATCAGGTATGTTATATGAGAAAAGATAAAGCCAGTGATAATCAGATAACCGCTACAATCTGTATGTTTTCTTCCAATGTTTTACATTATGTCTTGAAAATCTGAAAAATGTTTATATATGTATGCATGATTTGATTAATACAAAATAACACTTTTGACCTTTAGTTTTTCATAACTTAAATAACAATATGAATATTTTGTTTATGTTAAAGAGGATTTTAAAACATACTAAATAAAATGTATTTAGGTTTAAATTTTAAGCATACTAAATAAAATGTACTTAGGTTTAAATTTTAAAACATACTAAATAAAATGTACTTAAGTTTAAATATTCAATAAAATTAGAGAGATGAATCATATATTATAACATGATCAATTCTTCAAAAATTGCTCTTGTATCACCAGACTGAAAAAAATTCAAGACAAAGTTTAATTAAATGTGCTTTTTTACTGAAATAAACAGGAACCATTACATAATGAACATTTTAATTCATTACATTTTCTTCTAAAACATTTTAAAATGCTAAGCATATAAGCAGTGGCAGTGCACTAACCAACAATAATTATAATCCTATTCATTGTTTTAAAGTGCTTATTCCTAGGCCATTCAAGCCTGTTAGCATATTTTCAATCTAATGTGCCAAGGTCAAATGCACTCTAGAGATATTTCTTAATGGAATTTTTAGGCAAGTTCATGCTATTATACAGTAGACTAAACAATTTGATGACTAGCACATTTAGAATACATATTATGTAATTTCAGAGAGCTTTGGAAATGAAGAGGCACCTTCTAAATGCTAAATACTCTCTTTGGTCATTTCTCCTGAAGAAAGATGGAAAAAATAATTTTACTGACTTTTCTCCAGTGAGACAAAGTATAGATTAATTTTAAGTATAAATTTTATTCTTTCAGTAATTACATCAGTAGGCTTAAAAGTATGTACAAAAACATTCAAATGGACAGTGAGGAAAACAAGATAGAATGGCTGGAAGAACTTGACTGTCATTAATTTGTTAACAATTTTATGCACACATCAGTATTATTAAATCATGTTATAAAAGGCAAACCATTCATTAACTAACTTACGAATGTAACATTAAATTTCAGAAGAATTTATCTTATTAAACTAAAGGAGATTTTAAAAAGCTATTAAGTATATTTTAAATAATGCCATGTTTTAAATAATGTTGCCCTCAGCCATTTTAATGTTATGCCAGGAATACTCTAGTATTTATCAAATTGAATTTTGATGTTGAACACAGTTATCATTCTGTCCTTAAAATAATTTTCTTCCTTAAATTCTCTCATTTACTGAGTTTTTCTCGTATTTCTCCATTTATTTGTTTAGTGCTTCTTTCCACATCTCATTTTTGGACTCCTCTCACTTTCCTAACATATTATTGGTGGTTTTTAAAAAACAATCTTCTCTTTGTATTCCTTAAGCCTCTCACTTGAATATTGGTATGGAATATCCTTATTTTGTTTTCCAAGTAAATGCAGATAATAACTTAATGTTAGTCTCTTATCCTAGACTCATTCCAATGGCCTATTTCTAATTCCCAACTCATTTTATCCCTGCCCAGTTAGTACACTACTAAGTTTCAAAAATCCTTCTAAGGTATCTCATAAATCTCCTCTGTCTTCTCCAATATCTACTGCTGTAACCATAAGTAAAATAAAGAAGACATGGGCCAGGCACTGGGGCTCATAGCTGTAATCTCAGTCCTTTTGGAAGGCCAAGGTAGGAAGATTACTTGAAGCCAGGAGTTTGAGATCAGCCTAGGCAACATAACAAGACCCTGTCTCTACAACAACAAAATCATAAATAAAAATATTTAAAAATTAGCAGGGCATGGTGGAAGATGCCTGTAGTCCCAACTACTCAGGAGGCTGAGGCAAGAGGATTACTTTAGTCCAGGAGTTTGAGGTTACAGTGAGCTGTGGTTCACGCCACTGCACTCCAGCCTGGGTGTCAGAGCAAGACCCTGTCTCTCTATTAAAAAAAAAAAAAAAAGGCCAGGTGCTGTGGCTCACGCCTGTAATACCAGCACTTTGGGAGGCCAGGGCGGGTGGATCAGTGGATCACTAGGTTGGGAGTTTGAGACCAGTCTGGCCACCATAGTAAAACCCCCACCTCTACTGAAAATACAAAAAATTAGCCAGGTGTGGTGGTGTGCACCTGTAATCCCAGCTACTCCGGAGGCTGAGGCAGGAGAATCGCGTGAACCTGGGAGACAGAGGTTGCAGTGAGCCGAGATCACACCATTGCACACCAGCCCAGGTGACAGTGCAAGACTCCGTCTCAAAACAAAACAAAACAAAAACGGTCAGATCTATTGTTCTAGACAACAATAGCCAAAAGACTTTCTGCAGTGATAGAAATATTCTATATCTCTTTTGTCCAATACAGTAGCCATTAGGGGAGTTATTGAACACTTGTAATGTGATTAGTGCAATTGACAAATTTACCTTTAGCTTATTTAATTTTAATTAACTTTAATTTAAATTTGAATAAACACATATGGCTACTAGCTACTGTATTGGACAGCATAGCCTTAGAATATTTTGTGTAGTTTGAATTGATCTCAGATGTTCCAGGATAAAGACCTTCCAATCTTTCTTTAAAAGTCTCAAGAAACTGTAGACTTTATCTCACTGCTTAGAGACTATCAATGCCTATTCTTATGCTGCTACTTAGTCCATATTCCATAGGTTCACATGTAAGGTCCACTTTGATCTGGTTCAATCACACATTTTCAGTCAAGTTTTTATTAATGTAATTCTCGTGTACTCTAATCCACCCAAATTAAATTATTTTTGTTATGAGTCCATAGCTTATGCTTTCTCTGCTCTGATAATTTCACTCATCTAGAAATACTTTGCCCAAACTGCATTTTCAAAGCATCTTAGCTGTTAAGTTTCAGTTTAAGTTGCCACTTATTTCCCAAAGCCTTTCCAATTTCTTCTGCTTAAGCAAGCTCTCCTTGCACTGAATCATTCTAGTTATCTATCTTTATTTCCTCTTGACATATATTTATCATTATATAATTTTATAAGCTCTTTGAGGTCATGTTCCATATCTGATTTATGCCATAATCTTTAGCCTTTGGTCCACTGTCTGGCACATAGAACTTCCAAAATAACTGGTTATCAAATGAATGGATTAAATAATAACTGAGTGAAGGTGGACACTTGAATTTGAAACTTTTTTTATCATCATTATCAGAACAATCCAAGTGAAGGTAATTAAGCCATTAGATAAATATGAATTTAGACATAGGTACATCCTATATATGGAGACATGTTATACACATACTTTCAAATAGGCATGTAATCTCTTAAGTTATAGCTTAATTGTTTGCATATTTCACACAAATGGTTGACATTTTTATATGCATATACAACACATATACATTGTTGTCTTTTATTTCCTGTAAAAAGTATATAAATTATATTTTTGATTTTTCTAGATAATTGACTCTGCCTTTTTACTTCCCCCATGCAAAGTAATCTTATAATTATATACTACAAAATAAAATTTTGTATGAAAATATTTATTTTAAACCAGAATATTTTGTTAAATTGAAAAGATTTTTCTCCACCGTGTGCATTTGTTTGCCATCTGTATACAGTCCATGCAAACTGCTCATTACTATTAAGGAAACTTGAACAGCAAACGTCCTATTCCTTGGAACTATTGGATTATGGCAGTTACTAATGAATTTAAAATCTTGGCCAGTTGTATTGGCTCATGCCTGTAATCCAAGCACTTTGGGAGGCCTAAGTGGGAAGATTGCTTGAGCCTAGGAGTTCGAGGCTGCACTGAGCTATGATTGTGCCACTGCACTTCAGCCTGGATGACAGAGTGAGGCTCTGTATCATGAAAATAATTTTTAAAATCTGATACTCTATTTAGTATTTTGTGAACTCTCTATGGAGATCCTGAGAAGTTCATTATTTCCAAAGAAACATTAATCATAAATAGCAAATAGGTATATTAATAGTATGAATACAATCCCAATGATCTATAATACAATGTTTTTCAGTAATAAACATTGCCTTATTTTGTTACAAAAATCAATAATTTCACTGTGAATAGGATTAAATGACAAACTGCAGTAAGGATGGCATGAAACAGGGTTCAGTTGTTAAAGAAGGTTCACAGGACCAACTATGACAAGTGAAATCTACAGTTCACTGCATTAAAGGACTATAATAAGGCAACAGCATTATATGTTCACAGCCAAAGGCACTTTCACAGTAAGGGTTCAGAGAAGCCAGGCATAAGCTCCTACTGTCTTTTTGCAAAGACCACACCAAGATGCACCTTTATTCTCAGACCAGGAGCACACTTTTTTCTCATATCAGTAACCACCTATGTGTGCACATAAAATCACAGAACCAGAGAGCCCAAAATGGAGTCTCAGTCAGGATTTCTTATATTCTGATTTTCATGTAGACATATTTCTGCGACATAACCAGCCCCAATGACAGAGCCCTCCAATTCATTCATGAAGATCAGGTGCAAATCATCAACTTCAATTTATCAATAAATAATGTTGACATGCAAATCACCCCTAGAACTCCTTAGACCCATAGTTACAAAGCATTACTAGTAGTCAGTATAGTTTGTGCCTTGGCAATGATCAGTACTGTGCAAGTACTGTTCTTATTTTAGTAAAACAACTGAGAACAATTCCAGATATGTGGGAATTAACTTTCACATCACAGAAACCAAATAACGGGAGCGTGCTCTTTCTGCAACACATAAAAGCGACAAAGGATTAGTA